>NC_000018.10:2510000-3760000 GCF_000001405.40 Homo sapiens | reverse complement strand
CTCTGACCAGAACAGGCTCAGCTTTGGATACACCGGCATCCTGAGTGTCTGGCACCCCGGCCGCTGCCTGTACCTCTGCCTCCAGGTTTTTGCCCTTGCAGCTCCCTGGATCTGGAATGACTATGTCTGGCTCACTTTTACCTGGTGACAGTCTTACCACTCAAGGTGTAACTTAAAGCCACTTTCTGTCTGAAGCTTTTCCTAATGGCTGCACTCCAAATGAGTCTCTTCTTTTTCTGCCCTCTTATGGTTGCTTGCTTGCACATCTGTTATAAGCTTAACATGAATTACACTGAAGTCAGTTCTGCATGTTCATCTTAACCTGGAGATGTGAAATTCCCAGGGGCAGGAATCACATGTCCTCCATGACATCCAGCATAAGCGTCATGCATAGTCGGCATTCATTTTGTATTGCTTTAAATCTAATGTTGCATAGCCTTGATAACTGAGGAAAGAACATTTAAGTTCCAAGTGCCACAAGAGTCTAAATATGATGGATAAACATATTTGGCACGCTGAAAGAATTGCATTTTATGTTGATAATTTCTACGTCTGATGAATTATTATGAAAAGGACAACACCTTCATTTTGGATAAAGCCAACTTGATAACTAAAATGGGTTATTCCAGCTTCTAGCATGTGGCTTTGCACATAGTGAGCCTGTGGTTTTTGAACAGTTTCTCCAGTTGAGCATTCAGAAATCCCCAACCAAATCAGGTTGGGTTTTGTTTTTTTTTTTTTTTGGCAGAGCAATATAGATGGAGCAAATAATAAGTTGCAGCATCAACTGAATCCCCAAGATTATTCTCTCAACTCCCTTTCACCCTACCCTGAACCCTGAGCTTCTAGGAGATACCAAAGTCTACAGCTCTTCACAATAGCAATGTCTCCCAGAAATAATGATGACATTTATGCCCCGTGTCAAACCTTTACGGAGGAAGAACAAGAATATAGAAGGGGTCTATAGGAGTTTGTTCCTCTAATTTGTATCTTAAACTTTAGAAGTTGTCCCTGTGTATAAACTGAGATCTTCGGATGGGGCACATTGGTTGGTGAAATAGATCCCTTTATGAAGTCACACTCCTAAGAAACAGAAGGAAAATTAATGTTTAAGGAAAACTGTGTTGTTGCAAAAAACGTAAAATTTGTAAAGGGACTCTGGCCGGCAATGCAAATATCTGGAACAAAGGAAGAAAGTCGGGCATCTGCAATCCTACTATGCGTGACGCTTATGCTGGAGGAGTCATATGCATGAGTCATATGCATGACTAATCCAACTATGCATGACGCTTATGCTGGATGTTATGGAGGACATGTGATTCCTGCCCTTGAGAATTTCACATCTCCAGGTTAAGAAGGACATGCAGAACTGACTTCAATATAATCCATGTTAAGCTTATAAATAGATGTGCAAGCAAGCAACCATAAGAGGGCAGAAAAAGAAGAGACTCATTTGGAGCGCAGGCATTAGGGAGAGCTTCAGACAGAAAGTGGCTTTGAGTTAGACCCTGAGTCTATAAATAAAAATAGTCTGTGAATAATTTTGGCCAATAATGATCAATATCATCAAGAGATTCACTGTAAACTGAAGCTCCCGTTATTATAGCTTCATAGAAATTTTGAGCTCTCTCATTTTACAGATTAGAAAACTGAATCCCAAGAGTTTAAAGTCACTTTTTTCAGTCTTTCAAATAGTTAATGACAAAGCCAAGACTTATTGTGCAGTGTCCAGATTTCATTGGTCAGGTTTGAATACGTTGGGTATTATGTAAAATTTTTGTTCCTGTTTCTTAATTGTTTGCACTGGCTAGAAACTCCAATAATGATGCTGAAATGAAGTGACAAGAACAGTTATCCTCGCCTTGCTCTCAGTCTTTTTTTTTTTTTTTTTCTCAAGATAGAGTCTCGCTCTGTCACCCAGGCTGGAGTGCAATCTTGGCTCACTGCAACCTCCGCCTCCCCAGTTCAAGCAATTCTCTGCCTCAGCCTCCCGAGTAGCTAGGATTACAGGCACCCACCACCAAACCTGGCTAATTTTTTTGTATTTTTAGTAGAGACGAGGTTTCACCATCTTGGCCAGGCTGGTCTTGAATTTCTGACCTCATGATCCACCCGCCTTGGCCTCCCAAAGTGCTGGGATTACAGGCAACAGCCACCGCGTCCACCCTCTCTCAGTCTTATAGAAAAAGCCTTCAGTCTTCCACCATTAAGTGTGATATTCCCTGCTGGTCTTTAGTAAATGCCCTTTGTGAGATTAAAAAAGTTTTCTGCTATTTCAAGTTTATTCAGTCTTTATCATTAATAGCTGTTGGGTTTAATCAAATGCATTATCTACTTCTATGTGAGACGATCTTGTGGGTTTAGTCCTTTGTTTCCTTAATATGGTGTATTATATTAATTGATTTTCAGATACTAAACCAACCTTGCATTCCTGAAGTATGTCTGACTTGGTCATCATGTGTAATCCTTTTTGTATTTTGTGGGATTCCGTTTACTATTGTTTTGTTGGGAATTTTTGGGTGTATATTAATGAGGGCTATTAGTAGGTAGTTTCCTTTCCTTGCACCATTTATTTATTTATTTATTTAATTTGAGGTGGAGTCTCGCTCTGTCACCCAGGCTGGAGTGCAATGGCACAGTCTTGGCTCACTGCAACCTCTGCCTCCCGGTTTCAAGCGATTCTCCTGACTCAAGCCTCCTAAGTAGCTGGGACTACAGGCGCATGCCACCACACCAGGCTAATTTTTGTATTTTTAGTAGAGATGGGGTTTCGCCATTTTGGCCAGGCTGGTCTTGAACTCCTGACCTCGTGATCTGCCTGCCTTGGCCTCCCAAAGTGCTGGGGTTACGGGCATGAGCCACTACATCTGGCCTCCTTGCAGTATCTTTGGCTTTGATCTCAGGGTGATACTACTCTCATGGATTGAGTTTGGAAATATTTATTCTTCCTCTATTTTCTGGAAGGGTTGATAGACTATTGATATTACCTCTTTAAATGTTTGACATAATCCACCAGTGAAACGATCTGAGCCTGAACTATTATTTATGGAAAGATTTTTATTTAAAAATTAAATTTATTTAGCTGTTGGAGATCTATTCAGATTTTTTATTTCTTCTTGAGGCAGTTTTGGTAATTTGGGGGTTTTTTTAGAATTTTTTTCTATTTTGTCTCAGTTGCTGACTTCAGTATTCTCTTACAATCTTTTTACTTTCTGATGTCAGTCATAATGTTTCCTCTCTTTTTTCTAATTCTGATCATTTGTTTCTTCTCTTTTTTCTTGTTTAATCTTGCTAAAGTATTGATTTTTTTAAAGAGCCTACTTTTGTTCAAAAACAACTAATTCGTTTTTCTTTTGCTTTCCATTTCATTTATTTCCACTATAATAGCTATTATATGCTTCATTCTGCTTGCACTGGATTTAAATTGCTCTTTTTCAAGACTATTAAGGTGAAAGTTTAGATTATTAATTTGAGATAATTTCTTTTTTCTAACATAGATATTTAAAGTTATTAATTTTCCTGTAACTACTGTTTTAACTGCATCCTATAAGTTTTCATATGTTGGGTTTCTATTGTTATTTAGTTCAAAATACTTTGTAATTTCCCTTGCAACTTTCTCTTTGACCTACAGTTTTTAAAAATGTGTGGTGTAGGCCAGGCGTGGTGGCTCACACCTGTAATCCCAGCACTTTGGAAGGCCGAGGCGAGCAGATCACAAGGTCAGGAGATCGAGACCATCCTGGCTAACATGGCGAAACCCCGTCTCTACTAAAAATACAAAAGATTAGCCGGGCATCGTGGTGGGCACCTGTAGTCCCAGCTACTCGGGAGGCTGAGGCAGGAGAATGGCGTGAACCCGGGAGGCGGAGCTTGCAGTGAGCCAAGATCGTGCCATTGCACTCCAGTCTGGGTGACAGAGTGAGACTCCACCTCAAAAAAAAAAAATAATGTTTAGTGTAATTTCTAAATTATTGTGCGGTTCCAAAATTTCCTTTTGTTACTAATTTCCAGTTTACTTCTATTATAATTACTGAACATACTTTGTCTACTTTCAATCTTCTAAAATTTATTCAGGCTTGTTTTATGACCTATTATGTGGTCTACCCTAGAGATAGTTCAGTGCACTTGAAAATAGTATGTATTCTGGTTTTGTTTAGTGGAGTGTTCTATAGGTATCCGTTAGTTCTGTTTGGTTGATAGTGTCTTCGAGGTCTTCGGTTTCCTTGTTGATTTCTAATTGTGTTATCCATTGCTGAGAGTCAAGTATTGAAGTGTCTAACTACTATTGTTGAATTATTCATTTATACCTTCAATTCTGTCAGTTTGTGCTTCATGTATTTTGGGACTCTATTGTTAGGTGCATATGTTTATAATTGTAAGATTTTTCCTGATGTACTAAGACTTTTGTTGTTATAAGACGCCCCTTGTGTCTTTATTAACTTTGTTTTTTGTCCTAAAGTATATTTGGTCTGAAATTAGTATAGCCTCTCCAGTTCTTTTTTGGGTTTTGTTTTTGTTTTTTGTTTTTTTGTTGTTTTTTGTTTTTTGCATGCTATATTTTTGCAAGCCTTTTGCTTTCAACCTATTTGTGTCTTTGAATTGAAAGTCTCTGACAGGCTGCATAGAATTGGATTCTGTTTTTTATCCAGTCTGACAATCTCAGCCTTTTGATAGGGAAGTTTAATCCATTTGCATGTAATATAATTATTTCTATGGTAGGATTTAGATTTGCCATTTTGCTATTTGTTTTCTATATGTCTGTGTCTCTTTGTTGCCTCTGTTCCTCCATTATTGCTTTCTTTTGTGTTATATATATTTTTTCTAGTGAAAAAATCCTTTGGTTTTCTTTACTAAATATTTTTAAATTATTTTCATAATGGTTACTCCAGAGATTACAATATGTATCTTATCTTAATCTAGTTCAAATCAATATTATTATAGTAGTATGATATGAACTACAATTAATTATAGCAGTTATAATTTAATACTGCGTCTTTACATTTGCCTACATTTCTCTCCACTGCAAATGGTGCCATGCATGGTCTATAAATTTTCATGTGCATATGTTTTAATAAACTTTAATTTTTTATAATACATATTTTTTTTTAGATGGAGTCTTGCTCTGTCGCCACGCTGGAATGTAGTGGCACGATCTCTGCTCACTGCAACCTCCAACCCCCGGGTTCAAGCAATTCTCCTGCCTCAGCCTCCCAAGTAGCTGGGACTACAGGCACACACTGCCACGCCCAGCTAATTTTTTTTTTTTTTTTTTTTTTTGTATTTTAGTAGAGACGGGTTTCACCATGTTGCCCAGGCTGGTCTCAAACTCCTGAGCTCATGCAATCCACCTGCCTCGGCCTCCCAGAGTGGTAGGATTACAGGTGTGAGCCACCCCCCACCCCTCTTTTATAATATAGTTGTACATATTTTATGGTAGTAAGTTATAAAATAAACTACTGTCTACATATATTTTATGCATTCGTGATATACCTAATTCTTTTTTAATTTTTAAAATATTTCTAGGCCACAGTTTGTCTGCAGCTTTTTTCAAATTGTTGCAAATCTTCCAAAAAAAAAATTTCAATACATTTATTGAAGAAAACCAGTGCTCAAGTGGACCCATACAATTCAAACCTGTGTTGTTCAAGGGTCAACTGTATTCAGTATTATAAGTAATCTAGAGATTATTTGAAGTAGGAGGCTGAGTACGGTGGCTCATGCGTGTAATTTCAGCACTTTGGGAGCAGAGGCAGGCAGATTGCTTGGACCCAAGAGTTCAAGACCAGCCTGGACAACATGGTGAAACCTCATCTCTACTAAAAATACAAAAAAATTAGCAGGGTATGGTGGCATGTGCCTGTAGTTCCAACTACTCAGGAGGCTGAGATGAGAGAATCTCCTGAGCCTGAGAAGTTAAGGCTGCAGTGAGCCATGATCATGCCACTGCACTCTAGCCTAGATGATGGGAGTGAGACCCTGTCTCAAAAATAAATAAATAAAATAGATGGGAGGATGTGCATAGGTTATTTGCAAATACTATGCCATTTACATAAGGGACTTGAGCGTCTCCAGGTTTTGGTATTTGCAGGGAGTCCTGGAACCAATCCCCCACAGATTCCCAAGGACAACAGTATTTTTAAGCCTGGCTTCCTTGGGTTCACTGTGAAATTAGCATAGTTTAGTGATCAGCCAATGATTGGTCAGAATATGTCTTTAAATACCTTAAGCCAACAAGTCTTCCACCTTTGCTAAGGGAAACTGTATGTGAAGGCATACTTCCAAATTTCAGGCAGCTTACAAATCAGCCTTAGTATTTACTTCCTGCTTGTGCAGGATCTCAAGGTCAGCCACAGGTGAGCGATGGAGCTCCTTTCCTTTCCCAGGTCTTTCCTCAGCATGCACACATCCCTGTAACATGCATAAAGTCTTCTAGATTCTCAGCAATATATCAGAACTTTTCAAGTTCCCTAGGTCTTTCTTTGAAATTTTGGGCCAAGTTCTTTGTTGTTTTCAATAACAGCCTGGGGATAGGGCTTTTCCACAGAGCAGAGCTTCCAATCAGATCAAATAGTTCTGATGCCCTGGGATCCAGGCTTTCGAGGGGAGATGTGAGACCAGTAAAAATATTAACTGTTCACTGGAGATGGTGGTTTCAACAGAGCTCCAAAAGGGTGCATCCACTCTGTTGGCTGCAAGGCTGCCATCTGTTCACAGCTAGCATGCCAGCACCGGGGAGCAGGGCAATGGGCATATCCCCAAGTTAAATCTCCAAAGACCCCATTGTTTTTATCTAAAATCAGCAGTTTTTCTTGGATAAATGAGTTTGTTCGTTCCCTGCCTTTGGTTACTTAGTTCAGGAATGGTTGATTTTAATCGTTTTGCCAATATGTTAACCTAATTCCTCTCTGTCATTCCAGAAGTCCCACCCCCTTATGTAAAGTTTCTTGCTCATTTATCTCAAATGTTTTCCTATAAAATTTTTATGCGCTGACACAAAAACTTTTACATGATTGTTTATTACAGCATTATTCATAATAGCCAAAAAAATAAAAACAAGCCAACTGTCCATCAACTGATGAATGGACAGATTTTGGTGTATATTCATACGGTGCAATATTATTCAGCTATACAAAGGAATGAAGTACTGATACATGCTACAACACGGATGAACCTTGAAAACATCATGCTAGGGCTGGATGCAGTGGCTTGCACCTACATGTAGTCCCAACTACATGGGAGCTGAGGCAGGAGGATTGTTTAGGCCCAGGAGTTGGAAGCTGCAGTGAGCTGTGATCATGCCACTGCACTCCAGCCTGGGCAGCAGAGTGAGAACCCATCGTAAAAAGGAAGGAGAGAGAGAGAGGGGGGTGGGGAGGGGGAGAGGGAGAAAGAGAGAGAGTGGAGAGAGAGAAAGAGAGAGAAGAAAGAAAGAGAAAGAGAAGGAAGGAAGGGAGGGAGGGAGGGAGGAACGGAGGGAGGGAGGGAGGGAGAGAGGGAGGGAGGAAAGAAAATATCATGCTAAGTTAAAGAAGACAGATACCAAAGGCCACGGATTGTATGATTCCATGTACATGAAGTGTCCAGAACAGGCAAAGGCATAGAGACAAGGGGTAGATGTGGGATTTGGGCTAGGGAAGAATGGAGAGTGACTATAATGGGCATAAGATTGGATCAGGGGATGATGAAAATGTTCTAAAATTCAGTAGTAATTATGATTACATAATTCTATGAATATACTAAAAATCACTGAAGTACACACTTTAAAAGGGTGACTTTTATGGTACTGTGTATAAATTATATCACAATAAAACTTTATGAGCCGGCCGTGGTGGCTCACACCTGTAACCTCAACCCTTTGGGAGGCCAAGGCAGGCAGATTACTTGAAGTCAGGAGTTCGAGACCAGCCTGGCCAACATGATGAAACCCTGTCTCCACTAAAAATACAAAAATTAGCTGGGTGTGGTGGCACATACTTGTAATCCCAGCTACCTGGGAGGCTGAGGTAGGAGAATCACTTGAACCTGGGCAGCAGAGGTTGCAGTGAGCCAAGATCGCGCCACTGCATTCCAGCCTGGGTGACAGAGTAAGACTGCATCTCATTAAAAAAAAAAAAAAAGAAGAAGAAGAAGAAGAAGAAGTCCGGGCACAGTGGCTCACACCTGTAATCCCAGCACTTTGGGAGGCCAAGGCAGGCAGATCACGAGGTCAGGAGTTTGAGACCAGCCTGGCCAATATGGTGAAACCCTGTCTCTACTAAAAATACAAAAATTATCCAGGTGTGGTGGCACACGCGCACACCTCTAGTCCCAGCTACTCGGGAGGCTGAGGCAGAAGAATCACTCGAACCCGGGAGGCAGAGGTTGCAGTGACACAAGATCGTGCCACTGCACTCCAGCCTGGGTGACAGAGTGAGACTCCGTCTCAAAAAAAAAAAAAAAAAATTTTGTCGGGTCACAGGAGGATCACTTGGGACCAGGAGTTCAAGACCAGCCAGGGCAACATAACAATACCCCATCTCTACAAAAAAAAATTTTAATTAGCCAGGTGTAGTGACACACACCTGTGGTCCCAGCTACTCAGGAGACTGAAATGAGAGGATTGCTTGAGCCCAGGAGTTCGAGGCCTCAGTGAGCTGTGATAGCACCATTGCACTCCAGCCTGGGCAACAGAGTGAGACCCTGACTCAAAAAGAAAAAAGAAAGAAAATGAAAAATGTTTTACAGCAAAGTATTTTAGGTCTAGAATAATGATCAACTGAGTTACCCTCTTCATTTATTTATTTACTCATCCATTTCATGAGATGATTTAAAGACAGTGCCCGGCATAAAGGAAGCACTCAAGTGTTAGGGGTTATTAGTGGTAATTAAAGTAAGACATTTAAGTGCCAGTGTACCACTGTGTAACAAAATGAATGAAATATTGATTCTGCTTCTAAGAGCTCAGAAATCTGAAGAGTACACAAACGTATAACCAAATATTAATAATTACAACAATGGGAAAAGTGTGTAACAGAGAAGTATAAAAGCCACTATAGGGGTACAGATGGAGGACTTTAGTCTGGGAAGAACAAAGGAGGCCTTCTGAAGGGAAATGACCTAAATAGAGGTTCTAACACCCAGTGACCTGCTAAAATGAGTTGAAGAGTTTGGTGGGTGGAAAGCAGAGGAAGGAGAGCATTCCAGGCCATAGAAACAGTGTGTGCAAAGATGAAACTTGCGAGGGCATGCGTGATCACGTGGGGAAACAGCAAACGAGGAGACTGGAAAATCAGGTAAAGAGTTTAGAGTTTCTCCTGTGGTTAAGAGGATTCACCCAAGGAGCCTCCGTAAGAGAGTGTCGAAGTAACTAGCAGGACAAGAGAGATACATTCAAGGATACAGGACTCATGATAGGAGCATGGTTAGGAGAACCAAGGTGAAGCCTGGACTGAGGAAGCAGTAGACCAAGAAGTGCTGAAGGAGAGAGAGGCAAGAACTGAATATGGAACTACCATTCGACCCAGCAATCCCACTACCAGGTAGATATCCAAAGGAAAATAAATCCTTCTACCAAAAGGACACATGCACGTGTATGTTTATTGCAGCACTGTTCACAATAGCAAAGACATGGAATCAATCTAGGTGCCTATCAGCAGTGGGCTGGATAAAGAAATATGGTGCATACACACCATGGAATACTACACAGCCATAACAATGAAATCATGTCCTTCACAGCAACATGGATGCAGCTGGAAGCCATCATCTGAAGCAAATTAACGCAGGAAACAAAAACCAAATGCCACATGTTGTCACTTATAAATGGGAGCTAAACAGTGGGTACACGCAGACATGAAGATGGCAACAACAGACTCTGGGGACTACTAGAGAGGGGATGGAGGGAGGGGACAAGGGTCGAAAGACTAACTGTTGGGTACTGTGGTGCTCACTACCTGGGTGATGAGATCACTCATACCCCAAAACCTCAGTATCACACACAATATATTCATGTAGCAAACCTGCACATGTAACCCCAAATCCAAAAAGTTGGAAACAAGGAAAGAGAGAGAAGAAACCATATTTAAATGTATATAGGAAGTAGAAACAAGAAAATATGATTATCAGCTGGATTTGGACAGTTAAGAAAAAGAGACAGGATAAATTTCTGGATTTCTAGTTTGGTTGACTGGGTAGATTTCAGTGCCATTCATCTCAATGTGGATTAAAAAAATAAGAAAATTTGAGGAGAAAGGTATGTGTTCATTTGGGGTTCATGACAATTTTTTGGTACTTGTGGAACATCTGGATAGAAATGTACAGTAGTTACTTAAAACTTCAGTTTTGAAGTTCAAGAGATCTCTAGACTACAAATAGATTTGGGAGTGATTAGCATAAGGTTGGTAGTAGAAGCCATTGAGGAGATGAGATTGTCCATAAACAGAATGTACAATAAAAACAGAATATAAACAATTATAAAGTATTAGGGAATAAAAGCATGTAAGGGCAAGTTAGAGGAAGAGGAACCCAAATGAGAATCCAGGCTGGATTCCCCAAGAAATAGAAGGAGATGTTGGCCGGGCGCAGTGGCTCACCCCTGTAATCCCAGCACTTTGGGAGGCCAAGGCAGGCAGATCACTTGAGGTCATGAGTTCAAGATCAGCCTGACCAAAATGGTGAAACCCCCCTCTCTACTAGAAATACAAAAAAAATTAGCTGGGTGTGGTGGCATCCGCCTGTAATCCCAGCTACTTGGGAGGCTGAGGCGGAGAATCACTTTAACCCAGGAAGCAGAGGTTGCAGTGAGCTGAGATTGCACCACTGCACTCCAGCCTGGGCAACAGAGTGAGACTCTGTCAAAAAAAAAAAAAAAAAAAAAGAAGAAGAAGAAGGAGGAGGAGGAAGAGGAGGAGGAGGAGAAGGAGAAGGAGAAGACAGAATAGGAATGTGGAAGTTAAAAGGCCAAGTTTCCATTGGAATTACCTTCAACACTATGTGATCTCTCAAAGTCATGATTTCTTTATCTAACAGTAGCCAGGCATTGGATAAATGGTAACAAATGTCAGGTATTATTATAAAGTAGAAATAACTCAAGAGGCAACTACAAAAGTAAACAACTTTAATGAAAGTTACATTTCTATACGGATTATAAAGCCATTATAGGTAAGGTTACTGAAAAGAAAGGCTTCGTTTTACCAAAGCAGATTGACTACTAAAATGCCCTGTGTTTGATTCCCTGAAACTAGTTCAACAGAGAACTGTCACCTACTAAGTACCATTGTCCACACCAAAGCCCAAGGGATCAAAGCCTCTCAGTTTAAGCCATTAATGTTTATGAGTATGATTTGATAAAAGTGTCATGACCAAGGCCAAATACGTTCATTTTTGAAATACAATGAAGTTAGATTAACCTCCTGAGGCCATAAAATGTTTCCTCTGGGTCCCATGGAAGAGCCTTACATTCCAATACTTTTGTAAGTCAGAGAGAAGACAACGTGAAAATGAACAAAACTTAGGGTGCAGATGGCTCCATAAGATGGTCCATCACCTCCAAAGATTCTCCCATTAGACTCCATAACCTGGAAGCATTTCCTTCTTTGGGGGAAAAAGCATCCCAGCCATCTGAAGTTATTTCCAGTAATATGTTGCAAAGTTAGTCATTTTGTCTTTTGAGACACTGGTTTAAAACTTTGTGGTCTGATGATTACTGTACACGCTCTTCTTCGCAATGGCAGCCTTCCGGATACAAAGGGTCAAGCTTGTTTGTGTGGTTGGCTCACTGTCACCTAAGAACTTCCCATTATTGGTTGTACTTTAAAGTCATGATAATGAATGGGACCTCCCAGCCCAAAAAATCAAAATCTCCCTTTAGTTCTGATAAGCTAGGAAAAGTTAACTTAGCATAAGTAATTTAGGGAGAAGGATGGAAAAAGAAGAGTGCCATTTCGTTAGACCAACATTGGAAATAATTAACGTAACATGAGAGAGTTAATGTTTCTGAATATGCACACTGTCTTTCTTCTGAGCAGATCAACTTTCTTTTGAGGTAAAGACAAAGTCATCGATGCACTATTTTGGTGTTTATTTAATGAGCGTTTCTGCATCCGGAGCACATGGGCATATAGTAACCTTTATATTGATAGCGGAGGGCTCTGTTCTATAAGTGGGCAAGATAAAACAGTTCATTTCCTTATATTTTGTGTGTTATTAATGTATGCATTGTTTTATCAGGAATGACTCACCAGAGAAGAACTATTCAATTCCTTCTGAATGATGTTTCACTTTGAAATTTGGGAATTGTGCCTTATTTCATAACGAGTGGCCAGAGTGAATGATTGTTGCAATGATGCCTCATTTCCCCATTCAGCCAGCAGACGCTCATTTTTCAAAACGCCGGACTTTCACTTCTTCTTTGAATATACACCATTTATGAAACAGCCACTCCCGTCACTGCCCTGATAACATTTGGAATGGCATCATCATTTATGTTGGCAATATCATTGCTCTGGGTCAGGTTGCAAAATAGTCAAAGAAACACATTTGTCATCTAATGCGCAAGTTCTAAAGAGAAGTGAACTTTAGGTTATAAATGCTTCCAGCTACGATTCTCTTTTTCTAAAAAAGATCTTAAAAGGAAAACGAATTTTTCAGTTTGTTTGTTGGTTGAAATTTTTGGCATTGGTATTATAAAGCGATGCAGCTGGAATCACCATAATAGCACGTAACACATGGAAAATATTACCTTGACCTGGCAAACTATTTTCATGTTTGACCACTACTTGAAGGATCCATAGGGCACATTTCTAGAACAATTTTTTTCTTTTACTTTTTTATATTAAAAAATACAGACAGGGCCTCACTATGTAGCCCAGGCTGGTCTGGGCTCAAGAGTTCCTTCCACGTAGACCTCCCAAAGTGCTAGGATTACAGGTGTGAGCCACACTGCACCCAGCCTAGTTTATCTTTTGTAACAGTAAAATGCAATAAGAGATTTACTTTCGATGTTATATTCTAGATCTGTCTTAATTTGGTTTCTCCCTCAGTGCAGCTGCAAAAAGTGGTTGCTTATCACATTCTCAGGGTTTAGTATTATTAAGAATAGTTTTTGGCTGTTATATATTAAGTAATTCCATACAAGCTTTAAGAATAGATGCAATCGTACACAATGCTACTAAGAGGACACTTAGAATATAGGGAATATCTTTACAATTTGAGGACATCAAGATGGATGTACATGAATGTAATGTGTAAATGT
The DNA here is from genome assembly GCF_000001405.40 of Homo sapiens. Lineage (NCBI taxonomy): Eukaryota > Metazoa > Chordata > Mammalia > Primates > Hominidae > Homo > Homo sapiens. The sequence continues at coordinate 3,746,772 of NC_000018.10, read as the reverse complement.
ATGTTTTTTAAAATCCACATTTCTCTAATTACTAGTGAGATCGAGCATTTTGTCATATGCTTGGTGATATATAAAGTTACTTTCCTGTGAATTTATATATTTATTTTCTTATGATTCCCTCTTTATAGGCTTTGACCATTTTTTATTGTGTTGGTTTCATTATTTTTATTCATAATTTAAATATTATGCATGTGAACCCTTTTTGCTGCTTAGTGTTGCAAATATGTTCTTATACACAATGACTATTTTTCTTAACATTGTTGACAGGATCTTTGGCTGAACAAAAGTTTTAAATTTTCATGTACTTCCATTCATTAACCTTTCTCTTTATGGCATCTAAGTTTACCACGATGCTTCTAAAGTCTTTCTCTACCATATTCCTTTGCATTTCTTTAGGCCTTCTTTATTGCCTTCCATAAGGCTTTATAGGTTTTTTTATTCATAAAACATTGATAAATTTCTCTTTAAATTGTTTAAGTATAGAAATTGAGATTATAAAATATAATCTATATTGTATTGGAGAACTTTAAGTTTTTAAAATATTATTTTTCATCTATATGCTTAGTAGGAATTCATTTTTCCCCAAGTGGAGGCAAAAAAGGTCTAACTCCATTATTAAATACTTGATCTTTTCCTTGCCTATTCCAACTGCCACGTTTGCAATATATTATATTCAAACACATACTTAGTTCTGTTTCTGGAGTCCTTATTTCATTCTACTGCTTTGTCAGTTCCTTTACTAACATGACCCATTTTCATCATTGCAGCTATAAAGTATAGCTGAGGCCGGGCATGGTGGCACACTCCTGTAATCCCAGCACTTGGGGAGGCCAAGGTGGGCAGATCCCTTGAGGTCAGGAGTTCAAGACCAGCCTGGCCAACATGGTGTAACCCCTTCTCTACAAAAATACAAAAATTAGCTGGGCTTGATGGCATGTTCCTGTAATCCCAGCTGCTCTGGAGGCTGAAGCAGGAGAATCGCTTGAACCCAGGAGGCAGAGATTGCAGTGAGCTGAGATCGCACTACTGCACTCCAGCCTGGGCAATAAAGCAAGACTCCATCTCAAAAAAATAAATAAAAATAAAAAATAAAATATAGCTGAGATCAGATAAAGGGCATTCCTCCCCTTGTTTTTTATTTATTTTTATTTTCTGGCTGTTCTTAGAACCTTTAGACCTCCTTACTCATCAACCACATTTAATTTTCGTGTGGATTCTCAAATCTATCTCTTCCTCTCTACTACCACTAATACTTAACTGAGCCCTTTTCCCTTGTTTAGATTATAGCAACATTGCAACCACCTTAACTGGCCTTCTTTCTCTAGTATTGCCCAGTTTAGTCTACCCTCTAAACTCCGTAAGGAAATCTGATTATTTTGAGGACTCACGTAATTTTTTACAACGGTTTTGTGGAAATATAATACACATAACATATAATTCACCATTTTCAAGTGTACAATTTAATGATTTTCATATATTCAGAGTTGTGCAACCAACACTATAACTAATTTTAGAACTGTTTTATCACTGCAAAGAGAAACTCCATACCCTTCAGATATCACTTCCTAATGCCACCATCTTCCTATGCTTTCCCCGCCCAGCTCTAGTCAACCACTCACCTACTTTCTATCTTTAGCGATTTGCCTATTCTGGACATTTCATGTAAGTAGAATCATGTAATATGTGGTCTTTTGTAATATGAGGCTTCTTTCAGTTAGCATGATGTTCTCAAAGTTCATCTATATTATAGCATGTATCAATACTTCATTCCTTTTTTTAGTCAAATAGTTCATTTACCACATTTCATCTACTCAGAGTTAGACATTTGGGTTGCTTCCACCTTTTGTCTGTTATGAATAATGCTGCTCTGAATCTTATATAAACTTTAAAATGAGTTTGTTACATTTGAATAAAATTTCTATGGAGATTTATGGGGCAGTGGCTTATGCCTGTAATCCCAACACTTTGGGAGGCCAAGGTGGGCAGATCACTTGAGGTCAGGAGTCTGAGACCAGCCGGGCCAACATGGTGAAACCCCATCTCTACTAAAAATACAAAAATTAGCCGGCCGCGGTGGCGTGCGTGTGTCATTCCGGCTACTCGGGAGGCTAAGGCAGGAGAATCACTTGAACCCAGGAGGTGAAGGTTGCAGTGAGCTACACTCCACCTGGGCGACAGAGTGAGACTCCATCTCAAAAAGAGAAAAAAGGTAAAATTGACATGGAGATTTTTGTCGCAATTACGTTAAATTTATAGATAAATTTAGGGAAAATTTAAGTTTTTTTACAGGAAAATTGTTGTGGGGGTTTTTTGCATTAATTTAGCACTTACTTAGTGCCTTCCATAAATTTTATCATTTTCTTCATAAAATTTGATGCGTTTCTTTTTTGTAATTTCTGTGTATTTTATGTTTTGCAATTTTAAAGGGAATTTTTTTCATTAAAATTTTATTTGATGTTACGTGGAAAAGCTGTTAATTTATGTATTGTTACCTTGTATCTAGCTACCTTGAGGATTTCCCTTAAAAGTTCTCATGGTTTTTCAGATGATTTTCTCTTACTTTACAGATAATTGATTACATAATCTATAAATACTCAAATCTTATCTCTTTACAATGTTTATATTACTTATTTTTCAAAATTTTCTGATTTCACTGGCTAGGATGATAAATAATAGCGGCTATGGGGGCATACATCTTTTTCCCTATCAACTTTAATTTATTTAATTAGGAACAATGTTACAGCCAAAATGAAAGAAATCTAATAAAGAAAGAAAAATCGCACTAATACCATGTGAAAAGAAACTTTAAAAATAACTAACATTGGCCGGGCACAGTGGCTCATGCCTTTAATCCCAACACTTTGGGAGGCCGAGGCAGGCAGGTCACTTGAGGCCAGGAGTTCAAGACCAGCCTGGCCAACATAGCAAAACCCCATCTCTACAAAAAGTACAAAAATTAGCCAGGCATGGTGGTGTGTACCTGTTGTCTCAGCTATTCAGGGGCTGAGGCATGAGAATTGCTTGAACCTAGGAGGCGGAGGCTGCAGTGAGCCAAGATCATGCCACTGCACTCCAGCCTGGACGACAGAGCAAGACTCTGTCTCAAAAATTAAAATAAAGGCCGGGCGCGGTGGCTCACGCCTGTAATCACAGCACTTTGGGAGGCCGAGGTGGGCGGATCACGAGGTCAGGAGATCGAGACCATCCTGGATAACACTGTGAAACCCCGTCTCTACTAAAAATACAAAAAAATAGCCAGGCGTGGTGGCAGGTGCCTGTAGTCCCAGCTACTCGGGAGGCTGAGGCAGGAGAATGGCATGAACCCGGGAGGTGGAGTTTGCAGTGAGCCAAAGTTGCGCCACTGCACTCCAGCCTGGGTGACACAGCAAGACTCCGTCTCAAAAAAATAAAAAAAAAATTAAAATTAAATAAAATAACTAACATTAAATTGATTATATATGAATAGAAGGACTGAGGAAGAATATACCCCAAACTGCTATGAGTAGTTCTTTTAAGGGTATGGAATTCTACAGACAGGAACAAGGGGAGACAGAGGGACCCACCTTCTACTTTGTGCACATCTGTATAGCTTGGCTATTTGCAATTAGCATTTTCTACTTTTATAATTTTACAATGCATCCTAGAATAAATCCAAAGAATACAAAGTGTGTAGTGACTTGTCTTTACATATAAAGATTGAGAGTTGTGCCTTTTTAATGGCTAAGGTGTAAGTTCTGTTCACGAAGTTCAATTTCAACTATATTAGAGAGTTAAAGATGGAAGGAAGGAAGGAAGGAAGGAAGGAAGGAAGGAAGGAAGGAAGATAAATTGATAGATAAAAATATAGATATAGATATATACCCACTTACTGTTACCAAACAGTCCAAAAACAAAAAGATGGCCACAGGAAAGAAATAGATACAAAGAAAAGCTTTACAAATTACACAAGTCAGAATTCCTGGGCAGGACAATTGCTGCTTATTATCTGCTTCCTAGGATGGCTAGAAAAATGTGAATGAGGCAATTAGTTCATGGTTGAAGAGAATGTTAATTGCTCTCGAATGTCATCAGATCTTGATGATTTCCTGTCAAAAGCTCTTCCTTCTGAGACACTGTGGGGGAGTTTAGTAATCACAGAAGGGCATCTATGTCATTTGTCCCAGTATTTAGGGTGCTACATAAATGACAATAGTGCCACATGTTATTGCTTCCTGCATTTTGGAATGTGACTAATGCACCTCTTCCATTGTTCCCTTCCAGAATCTCCAATGAACACTCACCCAAACTCCAGATCCGGAGTCATAGTTACCTGAGGGCAGTGAGTGAAGTCTCCATCAACCGGAGCCTGGACAGCCTGGACCCTGCAGGCTTGCTCACATCACCAAAGTTCCGCTCCAGGAATGAGAGCTACATGCGAGCCATGAGCACCATCAGCCAGGTGAGGGCCGTCAGGGCAGCGGTGGTCAGGAGCCATTAGTGGCAGGAAGGTTAGTGAGAATTGAGAGGGCATGAGGTGGGGAGGCAGTCATTCATCCAGTAGACCATTGATGGATCAGACAGGAGGTCCAGTCAAGTGCTGCAAAGAGCATGCCATGGGTTCAGCCGCAGTAAGCCCCCGGTATCAATGGTCTGCCAGGAGGTGGGGCCCTCTGTAAGTGGATAAAGCACAATGAAGAGGGTCCTTGGAAATTCACTAGAGATCAGGAGTTCAAGATCAGCCTGGCCAACATGGTGAAACCCTGTATCTATCAAAAATACAAATGTAAGCCTGGCATGGTGGCACCCATCTGTGATCCCAGCTACTCTGGAGGCTGAGGCAAGAGAATCACTTGAAACTGGGAGGCAGAGGTTGCAGTGAACCGAGATCACGTCACTGCACTCCAGCCTGGGCGACATAGCAAGACTCTTTCTCTGTTAAAAAAAAAGAAAAAGAAAAAGAAAACTTCGGCTTTTAAACAAGCAAGGGATATGAATCTAACTTTGACATAGGATAACTAATCTGGCAAAAAAACATAGGAAAGATTGGAGAGAATGAGAAGCTAGAAGCAGAGAGGCTAGTTTGGAAGACACTGTGATCATCAAGGTGAGAATTAATGTTACTGATGGTGATGGTGACCATAGTGGTGATGTTGGTGTGTTGGTGATAATGATGGCAGTGATGGTGATGATGGCGATGGTGGTGATGGTGATGGTGGTAGCAGTGATGATAGTGATGGTGATGGTGGTGATGTTGGTGATGGTGTTGGTAGTGATGGTGGTGGTAATTATGGTGATGGCAGTGGTAGTGGTAGTGATAGTAATGGTGATGGTAATGGTGATGGTAGTGGCAGTGATGATGGTGATGGTGGTGACAGTGATGGTAATAGTAATGGCAGTGGTGATTGTGATGATGGTGATGGTGGTGGTGATGGTGATGTGGTGGTGGTGGTGGTGGTGGTGGTGATGGTGGTGGTGGTGGTGGTGATGTGATGTGGTGGTGGTGGTGGTGGTGATGGTGATGTGGTGGTGGTGATTGTGGTGGTGATGGTGATGGTGGTGGTGGTGATGGTGATGTGGTGGTGGTGGTGGTGATTTGGTGGTGGTGGTGGTGGTGGTGGTGATGTGGTGGTGATGGTGGTGGTGATGGTGATGGTGATGTGGTGGTGGTGGTGATGGTGGTGGTGATGGTGATGGTGGTGGTGGTGATGGTGATGGTGGTGGTGGTGGTGGTGGTGATGGTGGTGGTGGTGAGGTGATGGTGGTGGTGGTGGTGGTGATGGTGGTGGTGGTGGTGAGGTGATGGTGGTGGTGGTGGTGATGTGATGGTGGTGGTGGTGGTGACAGTGGTGGCAGTGGTGGTGATGACCATGGTGGTGGTGGTGTTGGTAATGGGTGGCAGTGGTGGTTGTGATGGTGACGGTGGTGGCGGTGGTGGTCGTGATGGTGGTGGTGATGATTATGGTAATAGCAATGGTGACAGTGGTGGCGGTGGTGGTTATGATGGTGGTTGTGATTGTGGTGATAGTGATGGTGACAGTGGTGGTGGTGGTGGTCGTGATTGTGATGGTGGTAGCAGTGACAGTGGTGATAGTGATGCTATGGTGTGGTGCTGGTATAGATGAAAACAAGGTATTCAGAAAAAATTATGAAATGGTAGGCTGATCACTGAAACATCTGTCAAAATAAGACCCTGAAATAGGGACACTGCTCTCATTCTGTCCCTATCAACAAAATTAAGCTCCCTGCTCTAAATGGAGTCCTGAAGAAAAAAATCAGGAACTGCAGGGCAGGCTCCAAGGGCAGAGTAGGGAGGGAGCCAGGGAAAGCTGTCATGTGGGATTTCAGTGCTGACCCATCGTGTGTTTCCTTGCTTTACAGAAATCTCCAAGAACATGCAAACCTATTCGTGCTGGTTACTGCTTGTCCAATGATATACATTATCCCAATTCTCAGGGAAATAGCTGGAGCCTCATTTTGGTGCATTTTGGACTTGTTTTGTTTTTATCTTTTTCACAATAGGTAATATAACATTTAAAACTTTTTGGAGCACATATTTATTCTGCATGGCCTAAAGGTCACACAGTCATTGAGAATTATAAAATGGTCTACAAACCTAGGGGTCATACATGCAGAATACATCAGTGGATTTAAAATATTCTGTTGGAAAAATATTTATATACATTCATGGTTTTCATAACTTTATGGAGAACTTTTAATTTCCCCCAGCAGCACACTACCCTTGCAGCTCACTGTTTTTAGTCCCTGGCTGCACATTTGACCTTCTTTAGGGCAACATCACTTTCTAATGATAGCTTAGTAAGATACCAACAAATCATTGCACAGACACATGGGAGAAGTAATGCTGTCAGGTCAAGCACTGCAATTCCATGACGTAGCCATTCGGCCTTAGGTAAAATACAGAAAGAATGGCCAGCTGAAATGGATTCCTAATGACATCATTTTTCTAGTTCCATATTCAATTTTCAAGTAACACAGTATCTTTTTTTTTCTTTTATTTTTATACTTTAAGTTTTAGGGTACATGTGCACATTGTGCAGGTTAGTTACATATGTATACATGTGCCGCACTGGTGCGCTGCACCCACTAACTTGTCATCTTGCATTAGGTATATCTCCCAATGGTATCCCTCCCCCCTCCCCCGACCCCACAACAGTCCCCAGAGTGTGATGTTCCCCTTCCTGTGTCCATGTGATCTCATTGTTCAATTCCCACCTATGAGTGAGAATATGCGGTGTTTGGTTTTTTGTTCTTGCGATAGTTTACTGAGAATGATGATTTTCAATTTCATCCATGTCCCTACAAAGGACATGAACTCATCATTTTTTATGGCTGCATAGTATTCCATGGTGTATATGTGCCACATTTTCTTAATCCAGTCTATCATTGTTGGACATTTGGGTTGGTTCCAAGTCTTTGCTATTGTGAATAGTGCCACAATAAACATACGTGTGCATGTGTCTTTATAGCAGCATGATTTATAGTCCTTTGGGTATATACCCAGTAATTGGATGGCTGGGTCAAATGGTATTTCTGGTTCTAGATCCCTGAGGAATCGCCACACTGACTTCCACAATGGTTGAACTAGTTTACAGTCCCACCAACAGTGTAAAAGTGTTCCTATTTCTCCACATCCTCTCCAGCACCTGTTGTTTCCTGACTTTTTAATGATTGCCATTCTAACTGGTGTGAGATGGTATCTCATTGTGGTTTTGATTTGCATTTCTCTGATGGCCAGTGATGATGAGCATTTTTTCATGTGTTTTTTGACTGCATAAATGTCTTCTTTTGAGAAGTGTCTGTTCATGTCCTTCGCCCACTTTTTGATGGGGTTGTTTGTTTTTTTCTTGTAAATTTGTTTGAGTTCATTGTAGATTCTGGATATTAGCCCTTTGTCAGATGAGTAGGTTGCAAAAATTTTCTCCCATTTTGTAGGTTGCCTGTTCACTCTGATGGTAGTTTCTTTTGCTGTACAGAAGCTCTTTAGTTTAATTAGATCCCATTTGTCAATTTTGTCTTTTGTTGCCATTGCTTTTGGTGTTTTAGACATGAAGTCCTTGCCCATGCCTATGTCCTGAATGGTATTGCCTAGGTTTTCTTCTAGGGTTTTTATGGTTTTAGGTCTAACGTTTAAGTCTTTAATTCATCTTGAATTAATTTTTGTATAAGGTGTAAGGAAGGGATCCAGTTTCAGCTTTCTACATATGGCTAGCCAGTTTTCCAAGCACCATTTATTAAATAGGGAATCCTTTCCCCATTGCTTGTTTTTCTCAGGTTTGTCAAAGATCAGATAGTTGTAGATATGTGGCGTTATTTCTGAGGGCTCTGTTCTGTTCCATTGATCTATATCTCTGTTTTGGTACCAGTACCATGCTGTTTTGGTTACTGTAGCCTTGTAGTATAGTTTGAAGTCAGATAGTGTGATGCCTCCAGCTTTGTTCTTTTGGCTTAGGATTGACTTGGCGATGCGGGCTCTTTTTTTGTTCCATATGAACTTTAAAGTAGTTTTTTCCAATTCTGTGAAGAAAGTCACTGGTAGCTTGATGGGGATGGCATTGAATCTGTAAATTACCTTGGGCAGTATGGCCATTTTCACGATATTGATTCTTCCTACCCATGAGCATGGAATGTTCTTCCATTTGTTTGTATCCTCTTTTATTTCATTGAGCAGTGGTTTGTAGTTCTTCTTGAAGAGGTCCTTCACATCCCTTGTAAGTTGGATTCGTAGGTATTTTATTCTCTTTGAAGCAATTGTGAATGGGAGTTCACTCATGATTTGGCTCTCTGTTTGTCTGTTGTTGGTGTATAACAATGCTTGTGATTTTTGTACATTGATTTTGTATCCTGAGACTTTGCTGAAGTTGCTTATCAGCTTAAGGAGATTTTGGGCTGAGACAATGGGGTTTTCTAGATATACAATCATGTCGTCTGCAAAGAGGGACAATTTGACTTCCTCTTTTCCTAATTGAATACCCTTTATTTCCTTCTCCTGCCTAATTGCCCTGGCCAGAACTTCCAACACTATGTTGAATAGGAGTGGTGAGAGAGGGCATCCCTGTCTTGTGCCAGTTTTCAAAGGGAATGCTTCCAGTTTTTGCCCATTCAGTATGATATTGGCTGTGGGTTTGTCATAGATAGCTCTTATTATTTTGAAATACATCCCATCAATACCTAATTTATTGAGAGTTTTTAGCATGAAGGCTTGTTGAATTTTGTCAAAGGCCTTTTCTGCATCTATTGAGATAATCATGTGGTTTTTGTCTTTGGCTCTGTTTATATGCTGGATTACATTTATTGATTTGCGTATATTGAACCAGCCTTGCATCCCAGGGATGAAGCCCACTTGATCATGGTGGATAAGCTTTTTGATGTGCTGCTGGATTCGTTTTGCCAGTATTTTATTGAGGATTTTTGCATCAATGTTCATCAAGGATATTGGTCTAAAATTCTCTTTTTTGGTTGTGTCTCTCTGCCAGGCTTTGGTATCAGAATGATGCTGGCCTCATCAAATGAGTTAGGGAGGATTCCCTCTTTTTCTAGTGATTGGAATAGTTTCAGAAGGAATGGTACCAGTTCCTCCTTGTACCTCTGGTAGAATTCGGCTGTGAATCCATCTGGTCCTGGACTCTTTTTGGTTGGTAAGCTATTGATTATTGCCACAATTTCAGATCCTGTTATTGGTCTATTCAGAGATTCAACTTCTTCCTGGTTTAGTCTTGGGAGAGTGTATGTGTCGAGGAATTTATCCATTTCTTCTAGATTTTCTAGTTTATTTGCGTAGAGGTGTTTGTAGTATTCTCTGATGGTAGTTTGTATTTCTGTGGGATCGGTGGTGATATCCCCTTTATCATTTTTTATTGCATCTATTTGATTCTTCTCTCTTTTTTTCTTTATTAGTCTTGCTAGCGGTCTATCTATTTTGTTGATCCTTTCAAAAAACCAGCTCCTGGATTCATTAATTTTTTGAAGGGTTTTTTGTGTCTCTATTTCCTTCAGTTCTGCTCTGATTTTAGTTATTTCTTGCCTTCTGCTAGCTTTTGAATGGTAACACAGTATCTTTAAGGATAATTTCAAACGTCCTGTTGTAGTTGCAACATTGTCATTATTCAAAGGAGAATAGTTTCCTCTTCAAAGCAATGCTACTGTATATACCCTAGACTTTTCAAAAAGAGGTTGGCTTTTAAGATGTTAGAGCTATTTTCTCAAATAGATCATTAGTAGAAGCTATAATACTATAGAATTTAAGTGCATTATATCTTATTTCCCTTTAAAACCTGACACATTATTCATCAAAGGCTCCTAGAAAGTTGAGTACACCAAGGAGTTGGTCTAGAAAAACTAAATTGCTTCTGTCATTTATTACTCACAGCAGTAAAAGAGCCCTAAAAACAGATTGTGCTTGGATGATAAGGAAAAAAATTAAGTATGTTTTTATGTTTATTATTTTATATTTTTACCATAGGTACATCTAATTTAAAATGAGGGCTTTTAAAGTAGGGCTTGAGAAGAAAGAATTGTATTTATAGAAAGTCCAATATTTTAAAAATATGTCATGTAGTCACTGTCATTTCCAAGTTAATTTATGTCTTTATTTATTTCAAGTCCAAATCCTAGGTATTTTCATCTGGAATGGCAAACTAGAAGCCCGCAGACATATTTTCTCTGGCAACATGTTGGGTTTCTACATCCTTTTCTAAAATTAATGTAACTAGGCAGCTGTTTTAATACCAGCAGCTCAGCCGTGACTTTGACTTAGGCCATCCCCTCATTATGTGTGTGTGTGTGCATGTGGCATGGTGTGTGCTTGCGTGTGTGTGTGTGTGTAGAGAGAAAGAGAATGAAATGGAAACCTAGATAAATTAATTGTCTGTGGGTACCCAGCCAGTCAGTGACAGAGGCTAGGAAACCCAAGTGTCCTGACTCTTAACTGGTAAATGACTTCAATACCTGCTGGTATTGGTGGCAATAATATTGCTAGTAATAGTAGTATTAACAGTAGAAAGAATAACAATGGAATAATTAGTTACCGTTTTATGATTACCTGATACATGCTAGTAGCCTTGCTTATTATCTAATTAATTTCACATCTGTCCTGTAAGAAAGATCATTTTTTAATTTATGAATCTCAGTCTCAGAGAGTTGGACTAACATATTTGTTTCCTACTACTATTTTCCCACTACACTATCACAAAAAATAATATCCACCTTTTATGGAGTGTGTACCATATACCTAGACATATAATATGAATTTTGGGCCAAGCACGGTGGCTCACGCCTGTAATCTTAGTATTTTGGGAGCCTCAGTTGGATGGATCATGAGGTCAGGAGTTCCAGATCAGCCTGGCCAATATGGTGAAACCCCTTCTCTACTAAAAATACAAAAAAAAAGTTAGCCAGGCGTGGTGTCACACGCCTCTAGTTCCAGCTACTCAGGAGGCTGAGGCAGAAGAATCGCTTGAATCTGGGAGGCAGAGGTTGCAGTGAGCCAAGATCGTGCCACTGCACTCCAGCCTGGGTGACAAGAGTGAGACTCCGTCTCCAAAAAAAATACGCATTTTGACATTATTTTATTTTTATCCTTAAAGTACTCCTATGAGATAAGTATTATTATACTTATTTTACAGATGAGGAAAGTGAAGCTCAGAGAATTCAAGCAAATTGTCCACTATATAATTGAAGGAACACTAAAATTCTTCTTCATCCCATGTAAAAACTACATCTAAGTAAATTTAAAATCTAAGCAATAACACAAAGTAACAAAATGCATTAAAATAAATGTTAGGAGAATATATAGATAGTATTGTGGTCAGAATTATTACTTGTAATAAAATACAAATTCTAGAAAATATAAAGTAAAAGATCTATTCTAAATAAAATTAAATATTTCTGTGTGGCAAAATATATGATAAAGTTAAAATACAATTGGTGGGAGGAATATTGACACACATTAACAAAAAGGGTAAATGTTATAGTTGCTTAAAGTATTTCTACAAATTAGTAAGAAAAGATAACCCAAAAGAATCTTGGTCAAAGCTTATAAATAAAAATAATCAGAGAAAAAAATACAAAAGCCAGTAAATAAGTCAAAAGCCAGTAAATAAAGTGACAGGTGCCTATTCACATTTGTAGGATGTAAATCAAAACAGCACAGTATCATTCTTGACATAGAGCAGCAAAAACTGAGCTAACATTCTATTCTGGTGACCATGTTGAGAAATGAACTCTGTATTACTTGCTGTTTGGACTGTAAACTGCTATGTTTTAGAAAGTAGGTTAGTAAAATCTACAAAAAGGTAAAAATACACTAAAAAAAAAGGAACTAGAAAGGAAGGAAAATTTTAAAATCAAAAAGAAATGGGGCTGAGTGCAGTAGCTCGTGCCTGTTGTTCCAGCTACTCAGGAGGCTGAGGCCAGAGGATAGCTTGAGCCCAGGAGGTTGAGGCTGCAGTGAGCTATGATGACACCACTGCACTCCAGCCTGGGCAACAGAGCTAGACCCTATCTCTTAGAGAGAGAGAGAGAGAAAGAGAGAGAGAGAACACAAATGAAGAGTTAAAAAGAGAAATTGACAAATATCAAAAACAGACAAAAAAGATTAGACATACAGATAATAGAAGTCCCTTCAGAAGAAAATCAAAGGAACAGAACAAGTAAGAAAAACAATGATTTTTTTAAACTCTCCTGAAATAAAAAGTTGATTTGAAGCTACATATTGGAAGAACACACCATGTAAACACACCATGTACCTGAGAAATTGACCCTGAACAATCAACATCAGGACATATTCTTGTAAAATTACAAGACTTTAAAGAATTTCTTTAAAAACACTTTGGATTTCTGGACAGAAAGAACAACTTACTTAACAAAATGAAAACTGAGTTATCATTGGACCCTTTAACAGGAATGGTTTATGCTGGAAGAAAATGATGTGTGTAGCATTTTAATACACTCAAGGAAAAACATGTGAGTCAGATTTTTATATCCAGAAAAACTGACTTTCAAGTATAAAACATACAAACTGTTATAAGCATGGATGAACGCAGGAAATATTGATTCCATGAACACATTCTGAGAAATGTACTAGACAATGAGCTCTAAACAACCAAAATGACCAGACATAAGAACTACAGATGCTCCTCTACTTACAACGGGATTACATCCCTGATAGACCCATTGTGAGTTGAAAATACCTTAAGTCAAAAATGGGCATTTTGTAAACATGGTGGGATGTGAAAACAAAACAAAAAAACCCCACAATATCCAAAAAACACTGGCAACACAGTACACTTTGGAGTATCAGTTGTTTACCCTTGTAATTGCATGGCTGAGCACCTACCCAGAATCTCGAGAGAATACTATACCACATATCAATAGCCCAGAAAAAGATCTAAACTCAAAATTCAAAGTACAGTTTCTACTGAATGCATATCAATCTTGTATCATCATAAAGCAGAAAAATCATAAGTCATGGACCACCTGTAGCGGCAAACATTAAACACAATTATTTGTAGAACTAAGACTAAATGAGCGTTCACTGGTTGGGGAGCATAATACGTTTATTTGCTCTGACAATGTAAATATAGCACAACTATGTAAAAATGAGAAAAGAATAGAGGGACCACATGTAAAATAAAATTGTTTGCTCTTTAATCATATGTGGGCAGGGGTAGTACTGATAATGTTTTCTGTGCATATACTATGGGTTAAAGCAAATGGATAGTTATAGAATATTCCAATTCCATCATCTCCCATGTCCTTGAGAACCAAGATTCTTAGTATGGAATAAAGATCTAAGAATAAACATATATAGAAGAGGTTACATAAGAACCCTATAGTATTTATATCCTAGTTCTTCTCACTGAAAAGGCCTAAGAACAATGATTAACCCAGTAGCAATGACAATATATCTCCCTAGTACCCAGATTGTGTTCTTGTAATACCATTTCCCACTAAAAAAAGAAAGGGCTTTTTGGAAACATACTGATTCCAGGACTGGGCAGGAAAGGTTTAAGTTGAGTTTAGAATACCTTGTCATACCAGATATCAAAGAAGTTCTCAAAGATTACTACTTTCATGTCAAAAAGACCCCCAAACCAACCTAAAAGGCTCCCACTGACCAAAGATGGGACAAATTTAAGTTCATTAAGGATAATTATTTCAATTGACTTAAAACCATCAAATATTTTTAAATCTATGAGTTAATGTGATATTTTTTAAAAATCGATTACATATGGAATATAAGAGAGAACAAATTTATCTTGAAAATTAGTAAATAAAGAAGACAAATCAAGCATTTATCCTACCATTCTATATGAACTAAATCATTAAGTAAACAAGTAATGTGAAAGAGAATATTCCAACTAGTAGTTATAAAAGTAATTATAGAATATTGCATTTTGCAGCTCCCAAGGATTAACAAATCTAGACATTGAGCATAGATAACTCCTAACAACATAGAAGAGAGACAAACTAGACATAATGTGCCTCCTGATGAAATAAACACATGGCCTCTAGCCTTGCCAAAAAGATTGAACCTGAAGCTGATCAAATCTCTGAATCTGGATTCCAATTTTCAGGCAATACAAAATGCAGAGGAACATGATGAACTCCACCATGAGTATGAAATCAGCAAAACCCAGACTATGGGAACCTCTATGGGGCAAACAATCTAGATGCTCAATAGATAAGTCAAAATAAGTGTATGTTAAAGGTGAATTTTAAAGTGTATCAGATTTTTAAAATGGGTAAGACTAACTAGAGCCCAGGGATGCACGCTTGGGTGAAATAAAACATAAAGAAATGCACAAAAGTGAACGCAATAAAACTCAGGGTACTAGTTAAGCACTATTAGAGGGAGAGTGGAGATTGTGAATATGGGGGCATGTGGAGGGCTTCTAGGGTGTCCAGAAAAGTTTTGCTTCTTGATCTGGGTAGTGGTTCCAGGATGTTTGCCTTATTATAATTCATTAAGTTCTATATTTATTTTGTATGGTTTTCTGTATCTGTGTATAATGAAAATAAAAGGATAAAAGGGAATGAAGAAGAATTCTGTTAAGAATATAAGTTTAGCCAGGAGCCGTAGTTCACACCTGTAATCCCAGCATTTTGGGAGGTGGAGGTGGGAGGATGGTTTGAGACCGGGAGTTTGAGAGACCAGCCTGGGAAACATGGGGAAACCCTGTCTCTCCAAAAAAAAAAAAAAAAGCCAGGCGTGGTGGTGCGTACCTGTGGTCCCAGCTATCCAGGAAAATGAGTCGGGAGGATTGCTTGAGGCTACAGTAAGCCTTGTTCGTGCCACTGCACTCCACCCTGGGTGACAGAGCAAGAACCTATCTCAAAAAAAGAAAAGAATATAAGTTTAACCTAGAGGGTTAAGTAAAAAACCAACAAGTTGCAGAATTATATTTACTATATGATTCAAGTTTTATACAAAGTAGAAGAGGGGACATATATACTTATCTGGAAAGATAATCATCCGAGTTTAATGGTTGTTACCTTGACAGAAATATTTTGCTATCTCTTTGTAAAGTTTGGCATGTTGATTAAAAGGGGAAAAATGAATAAATTATATACATATACATATATTATATATATGTCTATATATACACCCATACATTTGCAGATGTATATAGACATACACACATATATATTTGCTTTATTTTTGGCTTTGAAATAATTGCAACCTTAAAAAAGAGTCACACATGTAATACAAAGACTCCTGTATATCCTTGACCCAGATTGAAATGTATGGATTGTTGAGATTTTGGCTCACTTGCTCACTCTTTGTCTCTCTTGCTCCATTTGATAGTTGCAGATACATTCCTTTACCTCTAAATGTGTGTCCATGTATTTCTTTAAAAACAAGGATATATAGAGATATAACTTTCTAATATGGACACATATAGTTATTAGCCTGGAAAATATGCAGGGATTTCACATAACAAATTAGATAAAGACTGTGAAAATAGCATTTTTAAACTGTAAAGAATTCTTATTAAAAAGTGTATGTCTCTTTCTATTGATATGCCTTAAGGTAATTGGTCACTTTTATCTGAAGTTTAAAGAAATTAGTCATTACTGGAGCACAACTTCAGATAATACAAAATGAGGAGACAGCCAAAAATTGTAATAGTTTTCAGTAAGTATTCAAAACGTAATTGTAGTTTAATTTGTTAAATTCTCGGTGCCTCATGAATTTGATATTAGGAAAATAGAGATAAGATGTCCTGGAAGGTAACAGAAAATTGAGAAATGCTCCCAAATCTCTAGCAAGTCAACTAAAAAGTGAGAAGTTGACTGGAACATCTAGTCAGGAATATTTTTTCTTAAGTGGGGCTCAAACCTAATGTAAGTTATATACAGGAGGAATATAAATCAATAAAAACTTATTCGTCAAAAAAAGAGGGCCCCCATTTCAAAGATTTTTTTCCAATTACGCCAAATATTTCTGTAGCAAATTTTTTTAAAATACATTAATAATTTATGAATCTTATCAGGTTTTTTGTTGTTGTTGTTTGTTTGTTGAGACAAGATCTCTCTCTGTTGCCCAGGCTGGAATGCAGTGGTGCAATCAGGCCTTACTGCAGCCTCGACCTCCTGGGCTGAAGTGATCCTCCTGCCACAGCCTCCCAAAGTGCTGGGTAATAGGTGCGAGCCACAACAGTCAGCCCATATGGGCTTTTTATAAAGAAGACTGAAACTTGTAAATAGTTTGAAAATCTTGATGGTGCTTTTCAAGATTTTGACATATCTGAGTTTAGTCTATTTTTGTGCAAAACGTGAGTATCTTGCCAGAAAATATAGGGCATGTTTCCATACCTTGCACTAAATTAAGCTTAACACTGAAATTATTTGACAAACTAGTCACTTCAAAAGGCACTGTAAAAATACTCGTTTCTAAAATGTTTGTGCTAAAAAGTGATACCAAAATACATGAACTCTGACAATGGACTGGTAAAATTCTTCTCCAAGTTTGCCTTTATAAATAAGAATGTCATGCGTTGGAATAAGCCCCACATTTCCTTGCGTTCTACAAACGGTGCCCTTTTTTCTTTAAAATGTAATCACGGCTGGTGGTGGTAGCTCATGCCTGTAATCCCAGCACTTTGGGAGGCCCAGGCGGGTGGATCACTTGAGGTCAGGAGTTCGAGACCAGCCTGGCCAACACGGTGAAACCCTGTCTCTACTAAAAATACAAGAAAAAAAAAGTAATCTATTGTTTGGAATTATAAGCGGATGCCATTCAATTATAGCCTGTAACAGAAAGGAAATAAAATGCATTTGAGCTTAATCTAACCAGACGCTGCTTTTTCTTCTGGGGATTGAAGTTCGCAGATGCTTGGAGAGGTTGATCCTCCACCAGGTGGAGGCGAGTGTCACAACGCCTGTGTCTGCCCGCAGGTGAGCGAGATGGAAGTGAACGGGCAGTTCGAGTCCGTGTGCGAGTCCGTGTTCAGCGAGCTGGAGTCGCAGGCCGTGGAAGCGCTGGACCTGCCCATGCCCGGCTGCTTCCGCATGCGGAGCCACAGCTATGTGCGGGCCATTGAGAAAGGCTGCTCCCAGGACGACGAGTGCGTGTCCCTGAGGTCGTCCTCGCCGCCGCGCACCACCACCACCGTTAGGACCATCCAGAGCAGCACGGGTGAGTGCGCGGGCCCTCAGCCAGCCTGGCCCCTGTGCTGGCTATGGCACGACTGTCCCCAAAGACTGTGCCCTTGCTGTCAACACACATAGTTGCCAGGAACAAGATACCACCCATGTCCTACAAACCAAAGGTTTTCCTTCCCTATCTGCCTCTATCCCCGCCTCTGGCCACTCTCCCACACCTCTTTCCCATCTCTATCTCTGGCATCCACAGGGGAAACTGCAACAACGGCACCATGAGGGAGGGACAGCACAGCCCAGAGGGGAGGGACTTCCAAGATCCCCACACAGGTCCTAGGAGCCGATCCCCGCCAGCTCCTACTCCCAATAATTAGGCTCGGCCTTTTAGGGCTGTGACCCTAAATGACCAGACACCCTGCTTATGACCCATCACAGAATTGAAATGACTGTTTTATTCCAAGATAGCCACAAAGTGACTATCCCAAAAGACCTGAAATATCACTGTGAGAAAATAAGAAGAAACGGATGACCCAGTAATATTGGTCGCACATTTTATGAGTTTTATTTTAACAGAAAGCAGATTTATTTCACTATTTTAAAACTTCGATCTATCCTGTATAAATAGCACCTCCTTTTCCCACTAAACTGTATTTAAGTGTGTGTGTGGTTAAACTGTATTTTTGTCAGTAGATTTTAGGCACGGAGACACAGAAAAGCTTAACGAGTTTCTGTGACACTGGAACCTGCATAATAATATAGCCGTGGGCTATATATGACAATGTGTGCATATGAAACATATATATACCGTGGGCTATATATGACAATGCGTGCATATGAAACATGTATATATATATATATATATATATATATAACATTTGCGTTCCAAAAAGAAAATCCCACTGTCTAACTAGGCTTAACTTTATGATTGAACTCAGCATAACTTCAATATAGAGTATTCTACAAGAAGATCATCAAACTTAGAGTCAAGATAAATAATGATGAATAAATTGGAAAGAAAAGCCTGTGTCAGAATATTGTATCACTCCATTTTAGTGCTAGGTGCATCAAATGTCAGTAATTATCATTCAGTCTAGAACTTCCGCAGGCTTAAGAGTTTAAAGGTCCTCAAATCCAAGTTAAAATCCTTCTAACTAGATATATGGAATTGAGGTGATAATTTTATTTAAAATAAATATATGGGTTAAACAAGAGGAGTTCATTCTTGACCACCGCAGACTGAAATCTCAGTGTTAGGAGAAGAGATGCTTCCAGACCTTGCGTTGGCCAAGCAGCTCAGCAGGGAGCCCAGCAGCTCAGACCCTGGCTGGCTACCTCCAGACCAGAGATGGTAGATGTCCGTATATTCTTGCTCACTAGGAAATTCTCCAAGAACAACCACAGGTTAATAAATTAAATGAGAGTTATTTATGAAGAGAAAAATATATATATTTTTGAAAAATCAACCATGAGCATGTTTGTATGTGTTTGCATTCATGCAGTAAGTGTGATTTGGAAGGTCTGCCCTGTCCCTGTAGCTTATCACTATGTCTTTTGGTGTGTCCCATTTTCACCACCCCCACCCAACACACAACCCGTTCCCAGTGTCTGGTCCATTCTTCTGTATGATGAACTCATTGCCTGCCAGCTGAAATCGCTCCTTAAATATGTAAAATGCAGATCCTGGCCCAGAAGTCACAAGGGGTGCTCTCAGGAGAACAGTCGGGAAGGAAAGGG
Organism: Homo sapiens; assembly: GCF_000001405.40. Classification (NCBI taxonomy): domain Eukaryota; kingdom Metazoa; phylum Chordata; class Mammalia; order Primates; family Hominidae; genus Homo; species Homo sapiens. Next base: position 3,727,437 of record NC_000018.10, on the reverse strand, counting down.
CTGGTGGCTCACTCCTTCCGCCTCAGGAAACGGTGTTGCAGATAAAGTAGCAAGAGACTTGGAATGGTTTTTCTCTTCTCACCTGTCAGATTTGCGTGTTTTTGTCATTTTACTTACACTTCCTGCATCAGCGCCTGTCCCATGCTCTTCACTCCAAACACACATGGGGTCTGCCCTCCTAAGACACTTCTCAGATACTCTGGAGGCTCCCAGAGCTCAAGCAATAGAGTTGCCAAATAAAATCCAGGTCGTCCAGTTAAATTTCAATTTCAGGTAAAGAGTGAATAATTCTGCTGGATAGGTATATCCCAAATATTGCATGAGAAACACTTATACTACAGAACTATTTGTCATGTTTGTAGTATTTTTCTAAAATCCAACAAGCCTATCAGGGCAGGAGATGAATGAGCCCTGGGAGGGTGTCTCATGTTGTTCCATTTTTAATCTAAGTTGAATCTAAAGGGCTTTAACCAGAAATGCTATGTGGGAAAACACCCAAAACGGGGAGAAGGGAATCAACCTGCACAGAGGGGATCGCATTTGCTCCTTCTTGGACTCTATGAATCTTATCCTAAGTACGAGCCACCTCCACCTTCAACTCTCTTGGGGAAGGCTCCAGGCTTGGCTGCCCCTGCAAGGATTTAAGGGCAGAAAGGTGTGACTTGCCCCTGGGGTTGGTGATGCATAAAATGCCAAGTGTTTGCACAGGGCAGCTGTACTTCACCCAGAATCATTAAACCAAACATAATGTATCATCTTTACAGGTGTGGAAAAATAAACAGTTTAAGTACTAAACCATTATAGTAGATTCTAACTAAGTAAGCACATAGGATATTTTTCCAATATTACCTTTCACAGTTTCTCTGTGACATGGATTTGTTCTTTAAAAATTCTTTATTTTATGATATGATAAGGGTCTATGCCCTTCATTCTGCCCCTCCTACTACTCCTGTGTGCTATTTATCTCTCTCTCTCTCTCTCTCACACACACACCCCACACACGCATTTCCTTCTCTTTTTCTCACATGATCTCAATACTGTCATATTCATTTTCTTCCTGTAGTTTCCTTTTTACATTGAATCAAGTATAATTTCCTGTAGAAAAATGCAGAAAATTGATTTTCTTACAGGACCTAATAATTTTTGAAAGAATACACTCATCTATGAAAATTGAGAAATGACTTTGCTCTAATTTTATTGATTTCCCCACATGCACGGGTCAGATGCACATCTCGGTTTAGTAGGACTTGATGTAGATTTGTCCTTTTCTCTCTTCCTTTGCTCATTATTTTCAGATACTCACAACAGATGTTGTTTTTCCTAAACTTACCCTTTGTCCTAAAAAAATTCCTCATTTTGTCAACTGCACTTATTAGGTAGAACTTCTCTCCACAGCAATCCACATTCTAAATCTTTGACATTCGGGTCAGCCCATTTTAATTGCTCACATTTTCAGCAAAATATGCTATTAAATCTTTCTCTTCCAGCCTTGTTCTTTATTCGTATTCATAAAATGAAATCACAGACAAGAGTCTGATGCCACAAGAGAGAATTATGAAGATGGGCTCAGCTCTAGGTGGCTGCAGGGATCCTCTAGGTATTAGTAGGTGAGCAAGGATGAATGGAGATACCTCAGCAAATCAGGAAAAATTAAGGATGAAGTTACGGAACTTAAAGTTATGCTTCCTTGGGCTTATTGACTTCTTGGCTTGTCTAACTATGGTAGAATCTTAGGTTCTTTCAGCCTGTAATCTACTTCAAGCACCCAGATTTCTCTCCATCCAATAGACTCAACAAGTTTTCATATAAACCACAGTGCCTGGGACTATTAGATTAATATTAGAGGAGGAAATATTAGAGCAGTTAATATTACAGTAGGAATATCAGGGTAGGAAAGTAGAATGCAAACATGATTCAGTTAATATCATGACTGAAAAAACAAGAACCCTTGCCTCAATCATCTAAAATATTTCAGGTAACAGTAGAACTTGATGCTGGAAATACACCCAGACCTCCACTTCAGAGGATTGGATTAAACCTGCCTCTGAAGGAATATACCAATGCAATTCTATGTGTTTAAGGGGAAGTTTTTGTTTTACTTCCTGTGCTGAATATTTCCTAGGACCTATCAAAAGGCATTATCACATTGTAGCTAGGCAGACTTGTATCTGGTGATACCAATAGTCTAAATAGGCAGAAACATTGTCTAATAATCATATGTGGTGATCTAATTATTGTCTAATAATCACACATCCGGCCAAATACAGGCACACACTCGTAAATGTACAGAAAAAACTTCAAAAAGGACACAAAGTAAATCATTTGCAGTGGTTTCCCAGAAAGTAGTAGGTGGGGAGAGGCAGATGGTAAAGAGATAGGGAGGTATTAAAAATAAGTATTTAAGACTTTTTGTGATTTTAATGCCAAATATAACATTTGAATAGAAATAATGCTCCTTGACAGAAGTAGGCAAGCTATCATGATATATATTCTCTGGTGGGTTTTTCTGTTTGGTTGGGTTTTTTTTTTTTTTGAGACAGAGTTTCCCTGTGTCACCTAGGCTGGAGTGCAGTGGTATGATTATAACTTACTGCAGCCTCCAGCTCCTGGACTGCGATCCTCCACCTCAGCCTCCTGAACTCAGGTAGCTGGGAATACAGGTGCACATCACCACGCCTGGCTAATTTTTTTTTCATTTTTTGAGATGGGATCTTGCTCTGTCACCCAGGCTGGAGTGCAATGGTGCAATCATGGCTCACTGCAACCTCCGCCTCAAGTGATCCTCCCACCTCAGCCTCCTGAGTAGCTGGGATTACAGGCACATGCCACCACACCCGGATAATTTTTTGTATTTTTGGTAGAGATGGGGTTTCACCATGTTGGCCAGGCTGGTCTCAAACTCCTGGGCTCCAGTGATCCACCCGCCTTGGCCTCCCAAAGTTCTGAGATTACAGGCATGAGCCACCACACCCAACAGATTCTCTGGTCTTTTAAGAAAATTCTTCACTTTGAAATTCCAAAGAAGCTTTGTGTAGCAATAATACAAGTTTTATAAAGAGTAAATAGGTTCATTTGCCACACTGTTACTCTTAAAGTTTGGCCTGTGTGCTATATTTTGCTCTGTTGCCCAGGCTGCAGTGCAGTGGTGTGATTATGGCTCACTGCAGCCTTAACCTCCCAGACCCAAGTGATCCTCTCACCTCAACCTCTAGAGTAGCTGGGACCACAGGCACATGCCACTGTGCCCGGCTAATTTTTAAAAAACAATTTGTAGAGGTAGAGACGAAGACTTGCTATGTTGCTCAGGCTGGTCTCAAACTCCAGAGTTCAAGTGATCCTCCCACCTCAACATCCCAAAGTGCTAGGATTACAGGTGTGAGCCACTATGCCCCACCAATACTCTAATTCTCTTATTAGAGGAATTTATTAAACAATGATGGAGTTGAACTGTTCTCCTCTCCTTCACATAGTTCAGGAAGGGGAGTAAGAACCTAGGGTACAGTGTCCCCCATGGGAAAGCAGTGCTTACCCTCTTGGATGTAGCTTGGGACCACAGTAACAGAAGTATTTACAGTTTGATTTTTGTAACAGGAGAAATCATATTTTCCTCTAAGTTGAGACACATTCTTCCATCTTCCTACCTTACACCCTCCCCCATTCCTGGCAGCTCTGAAACACTTGCTCAAGCCTTGCTTAATATAGCAAAAGCAGCTAATCTGTTGATCATCTGAGGTCAGAACTAACATTCAGAAAGTTCTCCTAAGGGTTTGGGTCTTCATTCCAAGTCAGTCATCCTACCCAGGAGACCACACCTCACCCACCTTCATGCACTCCACACTCCAATCCCACACACCTTGCTCCCCACTCCCCCCCCACACAAACCCTAAACCCTAAGCAGAATGACATTAAGATAATAATTTGTAATTGCAATACACACAGCAGGCATTCAAAAATGGAAGAAGAAAGGAAAAGCTGCAGAAAAATCTTTAAGTACTCCACAAACTGCACAAGCCACAGACGATTGAATAATCAAGCTGACTTTCCTAGGGAAAATAGCATTGCTATTAAAACAAGCTGAGTCATCAAATATTAGCAGTTATAAACAAACTTCTACATCATCCAGTCTAGTGGTCTGCAAACATACCCTATGGACCAAGTCCAACCTGCTGCCTGTTTTTGTAAATTAACTGTCATCAGGCATAACTCACACCCATTTGTTTACCTGCTATCTGTAAACAGAAGTTTCAGCGAATAGTTCCCTCTTTTAAAAGCAGAGTTGAATAGTTCCTGCAGAGTAGTCTCTGCAGGAATGTTTTGGCCCACAAAGCCAAATACATTTATGATGTGGCCCTTTACAGAGAAAGTCTGCTGCACCTATCTAATTCATCAAACCCATTCAAAGGTAAGGAAACTAAGGCCCAAAGTGGTGAACCTCCAACAGGAGGCAAAGTCAGAATAAGAAGCTCAGGTCTCTCAGTAAACAGCCCTTTGTTCCTTCGGTGCCCGGCTCTACAAATTATTTATTGCTTGAGTATGAAGTTAATCTGAACTTCAGTTTCTTCATGTATAAAATGAGATTACAATGCTGATCCTCTTCCCAGCATTAATGACCATTTTTGGAGAATTCTTAGAGTTCGGGGAAAGCTCAGTTCTTTCTGCCAAGCACCAAGTTAATTAATAGATCCTTGTTATAAAGCAGGGAGGCAAAGGTTCAGAAGTCAAAGGGACAGATATCAATCAGAAGCTTTCTGAACAAAGCACCTTTCTTTTCTATTCAAGATAAAATCAAATAATAAATATTCAGATATTGCCTGGACTGGTTCCTTGTCCCTCTGCTAATGAGTTTTCCTTCTTTGAATCTCTCCAAGTGGAACTGGAGACATCGCGTACTTCCACCCTTGCAGGCTCAGACGAAAGAAAAAAGAGCAAGATTTATGACACAACCTACTCCTTTTGTGAGGCAACTTATCCTTGTCTGCTGTTACATTGAAGGAAACTGACAGTGATGATTTGCAGGAGACTTTTGGTTATAACTTCTCCTTTCTTCTGTGGGGCACTCGAGGTAGGATTCCTCTATAATATTAGGAAGTCATAAAAATGCAAAAGTCCTATCAGGCACAGAGCAAGATTTAAAATCTGAAGAATACCATGTGCTTCCATCTCCTGCAGTTGTTTTGAAGTACATAAATCACCTCTTGGGAACGGAGTGCCAACCTTGAGGGGCTATGCCTCACAGACAGCCAACAAGCAAGTCCACCTTTGCCCACATTCGGGGTTATTGCATGGCAAACAGTGAAGGGGCTTCCAGGGTTTTCTGGCACACTGGCCTTAAAGGCTGTTGTAAGGTTCACATGAGATCATTCACAAGGAAGCATTATGCAAATTACAAATTAGAATGCCCTACTTTGGCTTTGATTTTAAATCTCTCAATGTGGCTTAGTTTAATAATAATGATAATAGCTAACCTTTAAGCACTTATTATTTGACAAGCATACAAACAGCTGCATACATTGTCTAATGTAACCGTAATGAATACTCTATGACTTGCACATGATATTATCATTTAAATCAAACAGAGAAAAAAAAATGTAAGACTTAGAGAGGTTACACAACTTGACCAGGCCACACAGCTAGTAAGTGAAATTCTCTCTGTAATCACCAATAAATGCCTTGGAAACTATGGTATAATCTGAAATAATTTAATACAAATCCATTTATAGAATAAAAGGCCTAGGAGCTTTTTTCTTTCATTCTTTCCTCTCGCAAATATGCATTTAGCTTCCTGCCATATTTGAAATCTGTATTTTCTATATCAGTTTCTAAAAAATTCTCTTTTTTAAAGAAACATTTGTTCACATATTATTGACATGGCCTCTCATGTTGGTTTGTCTGTGAAATATCTGTTTAAAGAAAAAGATGAAAAAAACTAGACTGAAATTAAATTTTTTTAAAAGCCTATGAAAAGAAAATACTCTCTGGGTTTAAAATTTCCTGTTACACTTAGTCGTTTTCACATTATGCGGATTTGGAAGATCAAATATCCAATCCCCTGATCTAGTCATGGTGTTGTCAGACAGCACTAAATGGAGAAAATAATTTTTGCCAACTCATGCGTAAATTAAGCAGGTGGCAAATTCTGTTTTGAGGCTGATGAAGTGGTCAGATGTCTGTGCCCTTGGGTTAAGTAAAAAAATACTAAACTAATGTAATTCTGATCTGACTGGTCTCTTGCTTGAACTGTAGAGCAAAGATGTGAACAATAGCAACTCAGTTACAAAGGTCAATCAGAAAACACAAACTAGAAAAACAGGCTCTCTCAATGTGAATCTTTATCATTCACTTTTGTCTTTATGATACCTCCACAGACACCTTTTTTTTTCTGGAGGCAGAGTCTCACTCTGCCACTCAGGCTAGAGTACAGTGGTGCAATCCCAGCTCACTGCAGCCTCAACATCCTGTGCTCGAGCAATCCAGTAATCCTCTCAACTCAGCCCCCAGTATAGCTGAGATTATACCAGGCCCAGCTAATTTTTTTTTTTTTTTTTTTTTGTAGAGACAAGGTCTTAGTATGTTGCCCAGGCTGATCTCAAACTCCTGGGCTAAACCAGTCCTCCTGCCTCAGCCTCCCAAAGTGCTAGGATTATAGGTATAAGCCACTGTGCCTGGCCCATAAGCACTTTTATGATGGAAGAAACTGCCATTTAAAAAAGCCTTCATAATCCAGAGTTGTCTGATCCAGTTCATATTAAATGTTAACAAATATAGCAAACTAATAGCGGTTGGAAATTGTCCATGTAATTAACACTGGCAGTTGGACAATGCTGCAAAGCCACTTTAAGAGCAACATTATTCAGCTCCAGGTGGTAAATCCAAGACCTGAAGTTTTGCATTTCTGTCTACACCTACTGCCACTGACTTTCTGTCAAGTTTTCAGGGCAAAACTTTCCTGCTGCCAAGTGTCCTTGATTAAAAATAGAGAAGACCAAAATGAATAGTACCATGATTTTACTATAACGGCATTTGAAACAGTCTCACATTTATTTTAATGACAAATCAATGATCATGTAACTATCAACATTTTGAAAGCTTTCTTTGCCATCTGCTGGTGTCCTACTGACATGCAATTTCCACCAACATACAAGAGAATTTTTATTTTGTTTTACCTTTTTCTTCCAATTATCAATATTACTGAGAATACTAATTCTAATTCTATAACTTCTAATTAAACTTATGGAAGAAGATAACTAGTCTAAGTTATCTCTAATATATGACAAACTGTCAAAGTTTAATTAGCTTTTATCCCTAGAATATTCTGTGGTTTCAAAAGGGTACATAATATTATTACACTTGACATTGGTTAACCAGTTTCATGCTGTAGAGATGTATGTCTGACAAGAAGTATCAGATCTAATCAAGACGGAAGTTCATCCTGAATTTCTGGATAAGACTGCCATCCTGTCTCTCTTCAAATCCAACCTTAAATGTCTTTTTCACCTAACTTTCTTATTCCATTACATATTTGTCCCATAATGAAATTTTAAAATTTATGAAAATTGGTGAGTCCATCTCATCCACTATGTTGCTTTTGAAAACCTTTCTCTTTTCTAAAATGTTGATTATGGCCAGAGAATCACAATGATACTTTGATGTTTGCTTTTATCATTTTCAAGAAACTTCTTTCAATTGTCTTTTATTTTTATCTTGTTAATTAGAAACAATTATAGATTTATAGGAAATTACAAAGATAGTACATAGAGGTCCCTGTACCCCTCACACAGTTTCCCCAACAGTTACATCTCAACAATATCAAAACCAAGACATTGACATTGTTACAATGTGCATGAATAGTTCTTTCTTTCTTTTTTTTTTTTTTTTTTTTTTGAGACAGAGTCTTGCTCTGTCGCCCAGGCTGGAGTGCAGTGGCGCGCTCTCAGCTCACTGCAAGCTCTGCCTCCCAGGTTCATGCCATTCTCCTGCCTCAGCCTCCTAGTAGCTGGGATTACAGGTGCCCGCCACCACACCCGGCTAATTTTTTGTATTTTTAGTAGAGACAGGGTTTTGCTGTATCAGGTCTTGATCTCCTGACCTCGTGATCCGCCCACCCCGGCCTCCCAAAGTGCTGGGATTACAGGTGCGAGCCACCGCACCTGGCCAAATAGTCCATAATTTTATCACGTGTAGATTTCTGTATCCACCACTATAATCAAGATGTAGAACCATTCCATCACCACAAAGATCTCCTAGTATCCACATTTTGCCAGTTGGATGAAGTATAGAAACCTTACCTCCCTTCAAGTCTCTTTGCCCTCTCCAACTTAAAATTATCTTAAATATTTCCTACACATACATGAAGAGTTACATCACACAATGTTATACTTTCTGCTTCAAATGTCAAATATAATTTAGAAACTTTTAGAGAAGGAAAGTCTATTGGATTTGCTTGTATTTTTTTCCCAAATTGCCAAATTTGAGAAATTTTCAGCCATTATTTCTTTTTTTTTTTTTTTTTTTCAGACAAAGTCTCACTCTCGTCCCCCAGGCTGGAGTGCAGTGGCGCAATCTCGGCTCACTGCAACCTCCACCTCCCGGGTTCAAGAGATTCTCCTGCCTCAGCCTCCTGAGTAGCTGGGATTACAGGCACCTGCCACCACACCCAGCTAATTTTTGTATTTTTACTAGAGACAGGGTTTCACCATGTTGGCCAGGCTGGTCTCGAACTCCTGACCTCAGGCGATCCACCCGCCTCGACCCCCCAAAGTGCTGGGATTACAGGCGTGAGCCACCGTGCCTGGCCATTTTCAGTCATTATTTCTGTGGCTACTTTTTCATCCTCCTCCTTCTGAGATTCCAGTGACACAAATGGCCACAATTCTGTCAGTGGGGGTTTTGGGCAAGGCGGTTTCCTTAGAGGTGGATAGTTGGGCAGGCACTGTTTCATCTCCATCATATAACATCATCTGCTTGTTGAATACAAAAAATATTTCTTCCACGCATCCTAGAAATGCCCCCATCAAACATGACCCAACTTTCACATGGACAGTCACAAAGGGGAGGCCAGTCAAAGTTACACTGAGCCACTGTACCCAGCACACAGTGCCTCTTATTGATATAAGACCACTCCTGGCTAATTTTTGTATTTTTAATAGAGACGGGGTTTCACCATCTTGGCCAGGCTGGTCTCGAGCTCCTGACCTCGTGATCCGCCCACCTCAGCCTCCCAAAGTGCTGGGATTATAGGCATGAGCCGCTGCACCGGGCCTTTTCTGGTTTTATTAATGGTGCATTTGCTATATCCCTTTAAATAAAAAGAATGTTGACATAAATCCAGGTTAAACTGACACAAATTAAAGCAACTTTCTTTTTATTTAAAAATTGGTAACCTGAAACATGAAGAGCTGTTCTCGTTCTCAGAAAAAGAGAACGAGAAACTCACAATCCAAAAGCCCATAACACTTTCTAAATTAGTTAAATAAATAGGATGCAAGCACTTGACTTTGGCACGTAGCAGTCTTGAAGTTCCTACTTCCTACCACTCTAATATAAGATCTCAGCTACTACCTTGTGACCCTACAAGGAGTTAAAGACTTTAAATACCAGTCACTTTGTAGCTTTGCAGTGGTTCAGCAATTAGCCATCTAAACACAAAATCTATAGTTCTTGTACATAGAATTTGCCCCATGAATATCTGTTAATTGAGAGGTGAGAACATAAGATTTCCTCTGGAAATTTGCTGCTCCAGTGAACGCTGTAGCTTTCTGGGATGACTCTGATGTCTCCACAGAAGCATAAAATTCTTTACTGTTTTTTCAGTCACCTGAAAATAAACCACTTCATTTCAGAGACAGTGGGGTGGTCACATGTCACCCCAAACCACTTTGAGGAACAAAGTTTCAATAACTTCTTACTTGGAAAAAAAAGAACCTCTAGAAATGGGTGATAGCAAGAATCCAAGAGACTGGTAAGTGCTAACTTCTGCAGAGAAAGCCTTCCTTTTCTTTCTCAGGCTGTTCATCCACTTCGTGTTCTTTCTCTGCACTTTCTTGTCCAAAGCCCCGTGGAGGTGAAATTCCTACCCACCCTTCTTTCCTGTTCCCTCTCTTACCTGTGATAACTAAGTGGGGCTAATACAACCTTGGTACTAACCTGGTCTCAAATCTCTGTCTATAAACATCTAACTAAAGAGATTTCATGGACTGCTGATCACATTTCTAGAGTGAATATAAAACTATGAGAAAATCTATAGAGGATTTGCATCAACATATATTCTTTCTATTTTTTTCTAGTTTTCTTTTGAAATGCAGCATATTCCAAAAGGCTTACAAGATAGTATAAAGCTGCTGGGATGGAGGTCTCTTCCTTGTTTTGAATTTCCACTAAAAAAAAAAAAAAAAAAAAAAAGGCAAACTCACCCTCTTTGCACCGCTCCAAGCCATAAGAAACAACCCACTCTCTAAAAAAATTTTTAAATTTTTATAGAGACGGCACCTCTCTATGTTGCCCAGGCTGGTCTTGAACTCCTGGCCTCAAGCAATCCGCCCACCTCCGCCTCCCAAAGTGCTGGGATTAAAGGCACGAGCTACTGCACCCAGCCACAAATGTTTTAAAAAAGTTTATAATAATATGGGAAAGGAGAGGACTTTGGTATTATATTAAACTAGAAATCCACAGGACATGGGAACAGTATCCAAAATAGTGTGTTTTTGTACATACACACATAACTCAGAATGTGTCAAGAATTTTTGCTCAGGAAAAAAAAAATACTAGAAGGAAATGCACTAGAATGTTAAAGTGATTATCTTTGATATTGGAACCAAAATGGTTTTGTTTTTCTCCTTATACTTTAGTTTTCAAATGTTCTGAGGTGTGCATGTTTCGCTTTTATAATAAAAGAAAAAAAAATTTGAGACAGGGTCTCACTGTGTCACCCAGGCTGGAGTGCAGTGATGCAATCACAGCTCACTGCAGCATCAGCCTCCTGGGCTCAGGCAATCCTCCCACTTCAGCCCCCTGAGTAGCTAGGACCACAGGCACAAGCCACCATGCCCAGATAATTTTAAAAATTTTTTCTAGAGACAAGGTCTCACTATATTGCCCAGGCTGGTCTCAAGCAGTCCTCCCACCTTAGCCTCCCAAAATGCTGGGATTACAGGAATGAGCCACCATATCCAGCCAAGAAACTATTTTTAATAAAGAAATAGCTAGTGTTTCATTGGTTTGGTCCTACTGGAAGCAATAGTACATCTCATGTCAGCATATCCTTCAGGTTTCACCTTTTTTATATTAGTTTTCTTGACTAAATGAAATCTTTTGGATTCAGTGATTGGGCAGGATCATTGGAGATGATCTCCAGAAAGGTGCTGCTATGCTATTGTTATTTATCTAAGTATATAACATCTTCTAGTAAAGAATTCTTTTTAAAAATCAATACTAAATTTTTAAAAAATATTCTTTCCCTTGCTTTCCTTTACCCTCATACTGGTAGCAAGTGAGGTTTTGTAGATTTTTGTAGGGCTTTTTTCCCCCTCTTCAGATGTCAGAGGCAGTTAATTTGCAAACCACAGTTGCAGGTGGTTTTTGAAGTGGAGGGAGTTTAGGACAAAGGAATAAAGCTACATAAAACCAGTTCATGGTGTCTTTAAAAATATAAATCCATGCCTTTGTAGTCCTTACTCTAACAAAAGCTCAGCTCTCAAGGGCATGCTTTCAGTTGTACCTGTGTTCCAGCCAGAAAAACTCCCCAAGCAATTATGGTAAGAAAAAAAGGTTTCTGTCACAGCCACGACCTAATATAATAGTGTAAACCATCTGTGTTTTCAGAAAGGGAAAGTGCTCTCGAAAATAGGAAAAGTGAAGTGCTGGGTGGAATTGTGAAGAGTCATGGCAAATCATCATCATCGTTATCCATTCAGAGAGAAAGTGATATTGACAAACCTACGCTAAAAGAGGATTAAGAAACCTTGCATTGTGAGCTGTGTCAAAGCAATGAAACAAAGGATAATGCTTTCTCGTACACCTGTACACCTCAGTGCAGCACTGTGCAAGCTCTAGTAGGAATAGTGCTACTGAGTTAGCTGGTGACATTCATTGCAGCCTGTGCCTTTCCCTTCTCCAACCTCTTCCTTGACTTTTCCTTTGCCTTCCCTTTTTCTTGCTCTTTTCCAGAGAGAGCTCAAAGGCATTTGTCCATTTCTCACCCATTCCAACAGCTCTAGGGGAAACTTTAGGAAAAGTAAAAACAGCCATGCTCACCAGTTCTCTCTTTTCTGACCCATGTTCTTCTGGAACTCTCTGTTTGAGGGAATGTGGCAGGAATGAGAACCTAGAAATAAGCAGTTGAGCTTCTTCCATTCATATGGTTACACTGCCTTGGACAAGAGTACCAAAGGCTGGTAATTCCCAACCCATATTTTGTAGGACAAGTTACTTCAAAGCATTGTGAAGCCTTCATCTAAAAGAAAGAGAAACTACATCTGCAGTGTTGTCTGCGGAATTTTAAAACCTTACTGGGCGTGGTGGCTCACACCTGTAATCCCAGCACTTTGGGAAGCAGAGGCAGGCAAATCACCTTGAGGTCAGGAGTTCGAGACCAGCCTGGCCAACATGGCGAAACCCCGTCTCTACTAAAAAATACAAAAATTAGCCAGGCGTGGTGGCACGTGCCTATAATCCCAGCTACTCGGGGAGGCTGAGGCAGGAGAATCTCTTGAACCTGGGAGGTGGAGGTCTCAGTGAGCCAAGATCACACCATTGCATGACAGAGCGAGACTCCCTCTAAAAAAAAAAAAAAAAAAAAAAAAACCACGTAATCAGCTAATTCTTTTAAACCTATTAGTATGCTGTGGCAGTCAAGCTGAATGTGTGCAACAGGAGGCTTTCAACCCAAGATGATGAGCAAACCAAAGCTGATTTTCAGCCTAGTGCTTAGGTTTTGTCATGAACATTAATAGGAACTGTACGTGTTATCCAGAGCCTCCCATTTGGGGGTGCATCTCCATCCTTGTGGGGTTGTACCGTCATCCCTTCTGGGATTGTATTTCCATCCCTTCTGGGGCTATACATCCATCTACTCATGCACAACCTATGGCTGTGTTTGAGAAACAATGGACTATTCAAAACAGCATGTAGTTTGTAGTGATTCTTTCCAAAAACGACTCTTCTAGATTTCAGCTGCATAGCAGAAAACCCTAAACTGTCTTAGAAAATCATACGTTGTTTTGCTTTGCTTCCATGGAAAGTCTTCATAGGATTATATGACTGAACAGGACACCCATATCTGTCTCCCCTGGAATTAATTTCGAATCAAAATTGTTTTTTTAAAAAAGGGGATTAAGAAACTTGTGGTGCTTAGATAAAATTCTTTCCTAAGAAATTGTTTCTGATGTTAACACCGTACCTCCAGAAGCATTGGAACAGAATTGGTTGATCAAGTCGGCTTCCCAGGGCACATCCTCGGACGATGCTGTGAGGATATGTGGGTGTTTCAGAATAGGGCGGAATCCTGACAGTGTCCCCACTTGGCTGCCTGTTTTCCTATGTAATCCAACATGGTAAATCATCCTCAAAACCTTTTATTTTTGGATTTCCCATATGTTCAAATGTGAGTACTCTGCACAGCAGTCCCACCGTGGACACCCACTGAACATCTGCAGTGCGCCAGGCTCTCCTGAGTGCTCTGTGTCATAAACATGTTTCTTTCTATCACACAAGTGTCACGCTTCATATCAGAGGAAGGACCACCAAATACTTATGATTACTGAAGATACAATCAAGTGGAAGACCTAAAGCAAATTCTGAAAATAGAAGTATAAGCAAAGGCATAATTCATCAATGTGCCGCTTATTGCTTCTGCCTCCACTGAGCATACTTCTATCTTATACCATATGCCTTAATTTGATCCCAAACAGCAATTTGCACATGCTCATTCTTCTAACTACTAACAAGCCACTGTAACATTTACTCATTTCCCCTTTTAGACTGAAGCCTCCCCCACATGCACAAATCTTTCCAATTACTGTAAAAACTTCAGTTATCTGAGCGATGTGTCCACAGGCCTTCAACGCCATCCATCTTGGATTGACCTTGTCCTCATTCTTATCATTCTTTGCTCCTAATCTCCTCAGTTGTGGGGTTAATATCTCTTTTGTAGATTATGGCACCAATTGCATGTTCTGGAAAAGGCAACTGGGAGTCCAATCAGTTGCAGCTGTGCAAACTGTAGCTCAGCTGATCCGGCTGTGAACAGCAGCAAAGAAGCAGGGAAACAGAGAAACGGTAGAATGGTCCTGAGTCCACACGAACCCAGGCTGTACTTGTTGGTGGTTCAGGGTCTATCCTGTGTATATAGATCTCCCAATAGTCTGCATCTGGTTTTTGCACCAAGGCAGGGTTTGATGAGGATTGATTGAAAAGAATAACAGCTTTAAAGGCCAGTACTAGAGCTTTTGCAAATATTCACTGTGTCCTGCCCCATCCTTCTGAACACATCTGAAGGATAACTCTGTAAAGGAAACAGTACCAGTAGAACAACTTCACTCCCACGAATTTGCCTTTCCAACTGGGTAAGTCAGTTAGGAGTGAATTGATTCCGCTTCTATCTTTTCGGTGCACTTGCTTAAACTTATAGTCCTGCTAGCTACAGAAAGTAGTAACTTAAGCACTTTAACTAAAACTTGTGATTGCCTCCTTCATTTTCCCATATGCACTGTGGGAAAGCCCCATGACGTCAGCTGCAATAAGCCAAGGAATGATTAGCAGGCCAGTTCTGTGGCTTGACAAGCTCCCCAGTAATTAGCCCCCTGACACCACTGCCATTTCACGCACCATATTGTCTCCCTGTAATGGGCCTGCTTAAAATCAGAGCTTATTCGCTACTTGGAGAAAATAACACTATGGGTCCCTATTAGCTCTTAATAACTGAGGTTAAATAATTCCATGAGGTGTTCTGTAAGGAGTGCCTTGTGGGAGTTAACAGGTACAGGTGAGAAGCATGAGCCCCAGGTGAGACTTTCCAGTGGGAAACCCTGGGTATCTAGGCCTCGGCCAAGTGCTACAGAGACCCTGCGTGCCCAGTAGGGAGGGTCAGGACAGAGACGGGTGAGCTGCTGGGAGTGCAAGCCCCGCGGCAAACGCTGCTCTTGCTCCCGAAGTCCACCCCTGCTCACTACCACACTGATGCTGGGCTGACCCCCACTACAGTCCAGGCTGTTTTCCACCTCTTCTAGAACACTCAAGAAATAAAGGTGGGGCTGCATTTCTCAAGGAGAATTGAGAAGGCAAAAAGTGCAGTGAGATCCCCACTCAGTAAGTGTGTGTTCTGGGTTTGCAGCCTCAGCCTTCAGGAGCAGAAAGAAAACCCAAACTTCTAGCCATTAACAGGCCATGCTCCCCCCATGCCACCCCACCGGGGTCAGTGTGATCGTCACAAAAATACCTCTAGCCAGAACCCAGGAATAGTTTGTTAGGACTCATGCCTCCTTATACATTTCTGTATGCCTCCCTTCCCACAGCCCATCCCCACACTCCCCATCCCTAAACCACAACCTCATACTCCGATGCATTTCTGTCTTCCTTTTTTTATTTTTTTCTTTTTCTTTCTTTTTGAGACAAGGTCTCACTCTGTTGCCCAGACTGGAGTGCAGTGGCATGATCATGGCTCACAACAGCCTTGATCTCCCGGGCTCAAGCAAGCCTCCCACCTGAGCCTCCCAAGTAGCTGGGACCACAGGTGGTGCCACTGAGCCAGCTAATATTTTAATTTTCTTTGTAGAGATGGAGCTTTGCTGTGTTGCCCAGGCTGGTCTCAGACTCCTGGGCTCAAGTGATCCTCCTGCCTCAGCCTCCCAAAGTGCCGGCATTAGAAGCATGAGCCACCACACCCGGCTGGATTTCTGTCTTATTCCTCACCACAGTCAACACAGCTGATGATCTGGGTGGGATACGTGAGCCACTTTTAGGTGATTGAAGTTGAAGTTGTCTCACCTAGGTGGGTATTTTTATTTTTTGTTTTACATTCTATTTTTGTTCCAATAGACTAATTGGGCATATACATTTTATAAACAGGTCGATTTACCTGGCTATTCTTTAACACAATTTTTATCATTCATAGTGATATGATCTGATTCACTTGCATGATGAAAGCATTGATCACTGGAGTCATTACAGAAGGGGCATCAAGCTGTAGCTTTTATTCTCTCCAGTTATCAAGTTCTTATCAGATTTAAATGCCTGAAACAACAAGGATATGCCCTTGGCTTTGTTTTTACTTCCCTTTGTGCTGCCCTCTTACACTCTGTGGCTGAGATCATCGTGTTTATAGCCAAGTCTCTGCCAGACCTTGCCCAGGGCGGCCCCTCCTGGCTCTCTGACTTCCTCTGTCGTGTTTCTGGACTCTTCTGTTGCAGACGCACTGGCCTTCTTCTTGCCCTCACTCCCGTGTTTCCCTAGCCCTGCCCTCTGACCTCTGTGTGCCACCTTCTCAGGAACACCTGTTACTTATTAGACACTCACCAGGGAACCATGACCCACACATGGAGAGCTCTGACCTTCTGGAACCCAGCGAGCTTGTTCCTGCCTTAGGGCTCTGGCGCTGCTTCCACCCACCCCCTACACCCGTGCCTGGAGTCCTTCCTCCACCTCCCAACTCCATGTTCACATCTCTGTCTCATGGCCACTTGGCTCTGCCCCAAGTCAATCTCTTGTCCTTTGCAATGCTTACTTTTTCTTCATGACACTTACTGCCACATGAAATTAAATATTCACTTGTGTATTTGTCATCTCAATTCCAGCCAAAAAATTTTTCTGTCTTGTTCACTACTATGCCTCCAGCTCTTAGAACAGTGACATCTATAGTGAATGCTTTAAAAATATATATGGAATAAATAAGTAAAAGAGGGCTGTGCTTTCCTCTCCACAGTCATTGACACCGTCCTTGACGGGAGCTTTTCTGGGAACAGTGGGGAGAACATTAGACCAGAGTCTTTAACCTTCTAAACCTATACCTCTTCTTGATAAACTAACAAACAAACAAAAATTCAAATTCATGTCCCTCTGCAGAGCCTGAAGCTGGGTGTGGAGGAGAAAGGGCGGGGGATGACGTAGGGCCCCTATCAAAAATCTGCAGGGGCAGGTGAGAATTTTTTATCACAAGGAGTCTTGAGTCCCAGCCCCTCAAATCATTTTCCCTAAATATTCCTTCCTTTTGGTAGGAGTAGGATAAGAGTGTGTGAGAAGTGTTCCGTTTTGGTAGCTTGTCTTTCCTAGTGTAAAATGAAAGACCATTGGGTATTTATGGAGAGAGCCCACTGCACAGAGAAGCATAAATCCATCCATGTCCCAAGCTATATGTGCTAAACGTAGCCACACAGGAAGAATCACTTCCTCCACTACAGAAAATAGCAGCTCCCTATTTTAAATGTGCTTCTCATTGGCTGTAGGAGTAGCAGTAATTCATCTTCTATAGACCTGAGTTTTAGTTTTGTGAACTGATGTATAAAGGAAACCAGGTTTGGGCCTGTCCTGGGCTCCTTAGATCTCAGAGGCAGGAGATCATACCCTTATGCCCATGCTGTCTACTTCTAATTCCAGTATTAACTGGGCATGGCAACGGTAGGAATGCAGAGAAAAGAGGAATATCAAGTATTATTGAATCCTTCAGTCCCGCAAACACTGAACACTTCTCTGTGCCAAACCCCGGGTGCAGGGCTGGGGGAAATCGTGCCTGCCCTGGAGGGGTTCACAGTCTTGCATGGAAACCTACTTTTTCCATTGACTTTTCATGTCAATACCATGTGCTAAATCTTCAATTTCTGCACTGCTGCTTTACAGTGAGTCTCTAGGACCCAGTGCAAATGTACATGTTCTGCACAGACTGAAAAAATGTTGAAAAGCCTGGTGTACTGTCTCCCTAAATGACCAAGGGATTGTATACAGTGGACATGTGCAATTACTTTCAACTCTACTGGTACGTTGTTGAGAACTCAACTTCAGGTCAAACATGCTAACAGTTCAGCTCACATTCGAACAAAGCTTATCAGATCAAAGGAGCTGGCACAATACTGCTCTGTGGTTTACTGGTGTATAGTGAAGCATTCTTAAAATACATTCTTCAGTCTTAGGAAGGCTCCTAAAGGGGTGTCTTCGGTAAATATTTGGAGGCAGATTGGGCCAGCACAGAGTGAAGGAAGGTGTGTAGGGGGTTGGAGTGCATGTCAGGTTGCACGGCAGCTTTCTCATTTTATTTAGGCCCAGGACTTGGGTTCTTCTATGTAGTTTTTCTTCATAGCACTTGCCATCATTTGCAAGTGTATATTTATAGGAGCACTTTGAAGGAAGGACTATGTTTTTTCCACGGTTGTATAACCAGTATCTGGCATATAATAAATACTCAGTAAATATTTGTTGAATAAATTAACTAAACAAATAGACTTTGTAAATTTTTTTCTGTCCCAGTCTTTTTGGAGAGTGGATTCAACCAAACTGTAGGCTTTTGAAGAGGTGTAAGGCATCTCAAAGGCAGACAGAGATTTCCCTGAAAAATCTGTTTTTAAAGAAACCTGGTCCTCTCTCCCTTCTTCCTTCCACCTAATGTGCACCTGGGAGAGAAGCTTCAGAAAGTCATATCTGAGTCACAATGAGGAGTCTCTTTACGCGTACTGTCAAGTACGCTCTTACAATTTATTTTCTCCAAGAAAAAGCTAATTCAGGTCCTTTTGTATCCTTTTCCTTCATTACCATTTCCAAGCTTTAGCTTACTTACGATTGTGCTTACTTAAGCTTTTAAATTCTTGTTGTAGAGTGTGCCCCAAAATTTAAAGCCACTTAAGTCCAGATGCCCATCGCAAACAGATTCCCTCATCCTCCACCCTTCCTGAAGGTGCTCTTGGAGAGGAAGAGGCAGGAAACGGAGCAGAAATGAGACACTTGTATTGTCCTTTGCAGGGAGCCTTGACAAGAAGCTGGAATCCTGGGCGCTAGGGTAGGAAGACATGACTCCTCCACCCCTGATACCACTCAGGCAAAATGGGTAAAGATCACCCCATATGAACTTCAACTTGGTGAATTCACAGCTCTCACAATAAAAAACATTTTGTTTTACAACGGTCAGATGTGTGTTCTTGCTCAGATAGGAATTACAGCTGGGCACAGTGGCTCATGCCTGTAATTCCAAAACTTTGGGAGGCTGAGGCAGGTGGATCACTTGAAGTCAAGCATTCAAGACCAGCCTGGCCAACATGGTGAAATCCCGTCTCTCCTGAAAAGTACAAAAATTAGCTGGGTGTGGTGGTGCACACCTGTAGTCCCAGCTATTCTGGAGGTTGAGGTGGGAGGATTGCTTGAGCCCCGGAGGTGGAGGTTGCAGTGAGCTGGGGTCACGCCACTGCACTCCAGCCTGGGTGACAGAGTGAGACCCTGTCTCAAAAAAAAAAAAAGGAATTACAAAGGATGAGTTGTATGCAGTTTTTTGCCATTTTCTCATGGATGAAACAATGTCATTCTGAATTTCAAAAGAGATTGCAGACCTGGCCAAGAAGAGGTTCCTTCTGTGGTAGTCCTCTGCTCCTAAGCACCAAGTCACCCAGTGGCCCCAACATCCCTTCTTTAGAAGAACTTTATTCCTGTGCCCGTTTAATGTGACCAAAGAGCTCCAAGAAGCCCCTTTCAATCAGGCAGACATAATCCTTGCCTTCATAGAAACTGATTTCTACCTTCCAGGAACGCAGCACCAATGCAGGAAAACAGACAAATATATCCACGATTACAGTGTAGTATTCTAAGCGCAATGAAAAGACATGCACAAGATAATCTAGGGTCTGTTTTCTTTTTTTTTTTTTTCTTTGAGATGGAGTCTCACTCACTCTGTCACCCAGGCTGGAGTGCAGTGGCGTGATCTCGGCTCACTGCAACCTCTGCCTCCCAGATTCAAGCAATTCTCCTGTCTCAGCCTCCTGAGCAGCTGGGATTACAGGCACGCACCACCACATCTGGCTAATATTTTTGTACTTTTAGTAGAGATGGGTTTTCACCATTTTGGCCAGGCTGATCTCAAACTGCTGACCTCCAGTGATCCACCCACCTCGGCCTTCTAAAGTGCTGGGATTACAGGCATGAGCCACTGCACCCCGTCTAGGGTCCATTTTCTTCTGCTTCCATCAAAAGCATGAGAAGTAGTTCTCTTCCAAAGATAGAGATCTTCACACCACCGTCTTTCTCCCTTTCTTTTCTTAGAGCGTAGAGGTACAATGAGAGAACTTGCAAGAGTCATGAAATATTAAGATATAAACTGTATTCAGATAGGTGGGTTCAGGTGGGTAAATAAGAGATAAGCAAACAAATACTAGATCTTGGCTTACTAATTAATCAGTCCCTTAACAACCCATTTCTCCATTATATTCTCCATGTAACCCACAATTGCATGCGTAATACTTTGATGTCATTCAGTTCTCCCTTGCTGAACTCAGTTCTTCTCTTAAATTCCATATTAAAATTCCTTTTCCGCCCATTCCCAAACTCAGTGGCACTGATATCTTGTAGATGTTGGTATTCTTTTGAATACCTCTTTGTCAAGTTCTCATTTGGGGAAACTTTTTTCTACCAGGACGTATTAGTTTAGGGCTGTGTGCTTTCCTGAAGTTTCTTGCTTACTTGCCCCTAGTAAGTCAACATACCCTTCTGGCTGGAGTCGCCTCTCTGTGGTCTGTATCAGATCATTCTGTCATCTCTTCAGTTTCTCTCTGCATCCAGATCACAATGTTGCTCAACACATCACTGACGTCACTCAGAGTCTCACATGTGCAAGCCTTCGATAAGCTCCATCTCCAACATCAACATTTATGCTTGCAGACTAACATTACGTTTTCATACCTACAAGCTTTGGTGAGAAAGCTTTGGGTAAGAAAATTTATATCCTATTTTCCAGCTCCTTGGCCTTTTATTTTTGCCCGGGAGCTGTTGATGCTTGCTCTTTGCAGGAAGGCTGAAGGGAAGGAGTCAGCCTGTCCTCATTAAGCACATCAATGCTGTTCCTGAGTGTGGAGACACAATGGCCCTTATGTGTCCATCACCCTGCAAGCTTCAGGGCTGGTATTAAATGCATGCTGGCCATTTATTGTATCTTCCAAACTGAGTGTGAAAAATGCACCATTTGCCAGGCGTGGTGGCTCACGCCTGTAATCCCAACAGTTTGGGAGGCCGAGGTGGGTGGATCACTTGAGGTTAGGAGTTTAAGACCAGCCTGGCCAATATGGTGAAAACTTGTCTCTACTAAAAATACAAAAAGTTAACCAGGCATGGTGGTGAGTGCCTGTAATCCCAGTTACTTGGGAAGCTGAGGCAGGAGAATCACTTGAACCCCAAGGCAGAGGTTGCAGTGAGCAGAGATTGCGCCTGGGCAATCCAGCCTGGGCGATCCAGCCTGGGCGACAGAGTGAGTGAGATTCCATCTCAAAAAAAAAAAAAAATGCACCATTAATAATTATACTGGGGGCCGAGCGCGGTGGCTCACGCCTGTAATCCCAGCACTTTGGGAGGCCAAGCAGGGAGGATCACCTGAGGCCAGGAGTTCGAGACCAGCCTGGCCAACATGGTGAAACCTCATCTCTACTAAAAATACAAAAATTAGCTGCGCGTGGTAGCACAGGCCTGTGATCCCAGCTACTAGGGAGGCTAAGGCAGGAGAATCACTTGAACCCAGGAGGCAGAGGTTGTAGTGAGCCGAGATCGAGCCACTGCACTCCAGCCTGGGCAACAGAGCAAGACTCTGTCTCAAAAATAATAATAATAATAATAATTACTATTATTATTATTATACTGGGATATATGGTCACCTTAGTTAAAATGACATTTTGAGTCTGGAATTGTGTTTAAGTCCTGGGCCCTTGGTGAAACAATATTTTAATGCTCCTTGGGGTCTGATGGTTTGGGCAGAGTAGCCTTTTATGAAGAATTATACTGCGACTAAATCAGTATGATATGTTTAGCTCCATATTTTCCAGCAAATTTTTAAGGGATAAATACAGATAACTCATTGCAACTATAATACTGCACCATACAAGCACAATGCTGTTGACAAGGAGGTATACAGAGCAAAGCAAAACTGCATTCTAACCCCCTGAAGTTTCCTGGAAAAAAAAAAAAAAAGTAGCCTGAAAAGTTGAAAATGTTTCTTTCCACAAAATAAACTGGAATAATCCCTTCATTTATTTTAGAGTCCTTTCAGATAGCCTTGCAGATGGTTCGCTGAAGTCATCATGCCAACAAAATTCGTTTGACTCAAAAATTTAAATAGCCCTACCAAATTATGTGTGTTTCTCTTCTAATAAAAAACTGAATGTCTTATTTCTATCTGCTAAGCTTATTCCACTCTGCAGTTTGTGAACTGAACTACAGAAATAACTCCTTAGAGATGCACACTTTTGTCCTCTATTACCCAATTCTGGAATCCCCAAATATAGTGTTATAAATGCTGACTTTTCTCATTTGCTTTTGCATGTATTCATGTCTTGTCTCTTTACACAAGACTGCTATCCAAAACATCCAAAAGGCATTAAATACTAATATTATGGAATCATAAAGGTGTTCTTTCTTCTTCTAATTGCATGCATTCCTGCCAGTCTCTATGACCACAGCTGAGTGACAGATAAAGCCCAAATTAAAAATACTTCCCTCTTGGCAAGATACCTCCAACCCAGTGGGCTGCTCAGTTGGAAAGCTGGGAAGTGGAGAGGCATGAGTCACTGTGTTCTCTCAGACATTTTAATTCAGAGTTGTTTAAGAAGATTTAAAAAAAAAAATCAAGCAATGGACCCCCAAAATGACCATTTCTCACTAAGTCATGAAATTTAATTTTTTCTTTTTCTTTTTTTTTTAGATGGAGTCTCGCTGTGTCACCCAGGCTGGAGTCTGGAGTGCAGTGGTGCAGTCTCGGCTCACTGCAACCTCTGCCTCCCGGGTTCAAGCGATTCTCCTGCCTCAGCCTCCCGAGTAGCTGGGATTACTGGCGCCTGCCACCACACCAGCTAATTTTTGTATTTTTAGTAGAGACAGGGTTTCACCATGTTGTCCAGGCTGGTCTCGAACTCCTGACCTCAAGTAATCCACCTGCCTCGACCTCCCAAAGTGCTGGGATTACAGGCATGAGCCACCACACCCGGTCAATTTTTTCTTTAATGTGGGAAACAGAATTGCCACCTCTCCCTGCAACACCTGAAAGGAAGCATGGTCTCTAGGCAAAGCCATTCTTGCCAACCTCTGGGGTCCCTGGCATGTGGCACTCAGCCCTTCCCGTGGGCCCCGCAGAGCATCCTCCTAGGGGCTAGGATGTGGAGAAATGCAGTGAGGTGACTCAGCTGCTGTGTCCTTTCTGCTGTCACTGCTGTCTTGTTTTTACATTTTTTAAAGTATCTGTTCTTGGGTGCTTATGGTTTTACAAAGCAGCCCTAATGTTCCCAATGGTATAATTGCCTGATATAGCCATGACTGCTGCTCTGGGAACTGTCAAGATTAGAAGCCCTGCCTGTGAAGGGGAACGTGGGGAGGAATTTGTATCATGTAGGGTGCAGTAATCTCCAAGGAAATTCTCTTCGCAAAAACCGTGTGTGGAAAGTCTCCCTCTGGCGGCTGCTGAGGTGTGTTCATAGGGGAAAGAATGCATGTCAACCGTAAATGGAGTCTGTGAAGCTGCAACTAAAATGTTTCCAGAAAAGAGGGCATTTGGTTGCATCTTCGGGAGGAAAATAAGAAACAATTCTTTTCTAGAATTAAAAAACAAAAACAAAAAACAAAAAAGAACGAAAAGAGAAGAAGAATGCAGAGAATGTGTCCATATCTAGTGAACTTTCAAATATCCCTCCGTCTTCTAAAAAGAAACAAGTGGACAACAGCCACTCGCTCTCCTCTGAACACACATCCTCCTCACACTCCTCCTTCTACAGAGATCAGGGCCACTGCACTTTCGTGCTTGAAGCAGTTCTGGGAATTTCTGTCCTCTATTTTCTGTGTCTGTCTAGTTCACTACCAGTCTCATTTATTTGTCCTTTATAGTATTTCTTTATGATACTTCTCATGTTTTCTTGCCCTTCCTATTAATTTCTCCAGCCTATGCATGGACAACTGCCCAGTGGCATTTGGAGTAAATGCAATAAAATTCAGAGCACGTGAATCAAAGGCTCTCAGTTGGCAAGTTCAGGTCTTTTGTCAGGACAGCGCCACATTCCATCCCAAGGACCAGCTATATCCGGTGATCCTGAGACACAATCTTGACACCACTTCAAAGATTCTGGAATTTGGAATTCAGGACCTCTAGTGCCATCATGTGCCTGGGTCCCCATCCTCCTTCCTAACCCTTGTTTTCCCTGAATGGCCTCATGACCTGTTGGCACCATCAGGCTCCACATCTTAACCAGCTCTGGGCTGATCCTGCCTTCACAGAATTGAGAACACTCCAGAGACCCTTGCTTGCCTTTGTCCTAGCAAGTAAGCTTTCATGTCAATTTCTAAGACAAAGTCTCCATCTTATACTCCTTTCTGGGACTTGGATCCCTGTCCTCTCTCTTCTCCCTCTGTCCCTTACTGCTTCCTGGATGAACTGCCTGTACCTGAGTGGCTGCAGGAGCGAGCCTGTCATTCTCCTCAACCCCACTGGTAAGGGGCCTGCCACTGGGCTGCCCTGACTTTTCAGTTGTTACTTATTCCTCATCCAGCAGCTGTCTCCTTCCAGATCTGAGCCCTCTGGCTCCCCACAGAGATTTACTTAAAGTCTTCCAGCTGTGTGATTTGCTAAGATGCCAGCTACCTTGTTGTATCTGATTACTTCTAAGATGATACATATAGGATCCCATAGCCTGCCTCGCTCCCCTGTCTCTCAAACCCAGGGAAGGGTCTAGGAAGAAGCCCAGGATCCTAGGGCGCCTGCATGCAGGAAGTCCACAACCCTGCCAGGCTCTCCCCTAGGGGTCTGTTGCTGCCTCTCTTGGGAACTTGTCTATTGCCATCCCATAGAAAGGTAGCAATTTATGCCTTCCTGGTTTTGATAACATTTCCCAAACATGTTTACTCCTGTGAAGCATATCCAATTGAGCACCATGAAGCACACCTGCTATTTTAAAATTCAAGGTAGACGTCAGGAGCGGCTTACGCCTGTAATCCCAGCACTTTGGGAAGCCGAGGTGGGCGGATCACCTGAGGTCAGGAGTTCGAGACCAACCTAGCCAACATGGTGAAACTTCATGCCGGGCGTGGTGGCAGACGCCTGTAATCCCAGCTACTTGGGAGGCTGAGGCAGGAGAATCGCTTGAACCCGGGAGGCAAAGGTTGCATTGAGCCGAGATTGTGCCATTGCCCTCCAGCATGGGGGACAAGTATGAGACTCTGTCTCAAAAGTAAATAAATAATTAATTTAATTAATTAAAATAAAGGTAGTGTCAGGGTACTCATACATAGAGAATAACATAAATGTATACATCTCAACCTTACCCCGATATCTTGGCACACATTTGAAATCTTAAACAGTCACTTCAAGAACTCCCTATGTCTCTCCGTCTCTCACACACACAGAGCCCCTCCTACGACTCTTCTCACTCTTGACTCTTGAGGTCATCTTGTCTTATCTCTCTCTATGTCCATCTGCCAGATCGCAGCAGAATTACCTCAATTCATCCTAGAGAAACAGGTCCCTCTTTGCTCTGAACCCAAAATATACCAACCCAGCTTCAGATGGTATCTTCTCTCTTCTTTATCACCCAAAGTCCAAACAGTCTCCTGGACTCAGCCCACAGAGCTTCTCTGCACCAACCTCTTCTCTACTTTAGACCCAAATGGACTCCTTGGCCATATTCTCTGCTGCTTTAGCTGAAACCACAGATTCTCCAACAACTTCTAATCTCTCAGATTCCTCAGCTCAACTAGCTGGCACCAAATTTATCACATAAGCATGGGTCGAATCCTTCTGCTTTGCCCGGCTTTTTTCTTTGATGTTGCAGCACTGTCATTCTCCTAATCACATATTATTATTTTAACATTCTTCAGCAACCAGGATTCTCAATGATTTGTAGGGAGGGACGTGATTGCTTTTGGAGGCCCCAACACAGGGTCATTGCTTTCCCTTCTCACCCTTAACGGGAACACCACACATAGACACTACAGAATGAAGAATAGCTGAAGAAGGCTTTCACCCTGGATCCGGACTGTTTGGTTCTTTCTTCTTGAGTCATGTGGCATTTGGCTCCTCTGATGAGATCATTAGTACACTTAAAAAGCCATCATCAGGCCAGGTGCTGTGGGTCACACCTATAGTCCCAGCACTTTGGGAGGCCGAGCCTGGAAGATCATTTGAGCCAGGAATTCAAGACCAGCCTGGGTAACATAGCACAACCCCACCTCAACAAAAAATTTAAAACTTAGCCTGGTATGGCAGAGTGCACTCCTGTAGTCCTAGCTACTAAGGAGGCTGAAGCAGGAGGATCACGTAAGCCCAGGAGGTCAAGGCTGCAGTAAGCTATGATCCCACTACTGCATTCCAGCCTGGGCAACAAAGTCGGCTGGGCGTGATGGCTCACCCCTGTAATTCCACCATTTTGGGAGGCCGAGGTGGGCGGATCATGAGGTCAAGAGACAGAGACCATCCTGGCTAAAACGGTGAAACCCCGTCTTTACCAAAAGTACAAAAAATTAGCCGGGCGTGGTGGTGGGCGCCTGTAGTCCCAGCTACTCGGGAGGCTGAGGCAGGAGAATGGCGTGAACCTGGGAGGTAGAGCTTGCAGTGAGCTGAGATCACACCACTGCACTCCAGCCTGGGCAACAGACAGAGACTCTGTCTCAAAAAACAATTAAAATTTTAAAAAAATAAAATAAAATGCTAGGTGGCTGGCAAGATGGCTGAATAGGAACAGCTCCAGTCTGCAGCTCCCAGTGAGATCAACACAGAAGGCAGGTGATTTCTGCATTTCCAGCTGAGGTACACGGCCCATCTCACTGGGACTGGTTAGATAGTGGGTATAGCCCACAGAGGGCGAGCTGAAGCAGGGTGGGGTTTTGCCTTACTCGGGAAGCACAAGGGGTTGAGGAACTTCCTCCCCTAGCCGAAGGAAGCCTTGAGGGACTGTGCTGTGAGGAACAGTGCGTTCCGGCTCAGATACTATGCTTTTCCCATGGTCTTCACAGCCCGCAAACCAGGAGATTCCCTTGGGTGCCTACACCACCAGGGCCCTGGGTTTCAAGCACAAAAACTGGGTGGCTATTTAGACAGACACCTAGCTAGCTGCGGGAGTTTTTTCATACCCCAGTGGTGCCTGGAACACCAGCGAGACAGAATCTTTCACTACCCTGGAAAGGGGGCTGAAGCCAGGGAGCCAAGTGGTCTAGCTCAGCGGATCCCACCCCCAGAGAGCCTAGCAAGCTAAGATCCACTGGCTTGAAATTCTCATTGCCAGAACAGCAGCCTGAAGTCCACCTGGGACGCTTGAGCTTGGTCAGGGGCGGGGCGTCCACCATTGCTGAGGCTTGAGTAGGCAGTTTTCCCTTCACAGTGTAAACAAAGCCATGGGGAAGTTTGAACCGCAGCTCAGCAAAGCCACTGTAGCCAGACTGCCTCTCTAGCTTCCTCCTCTCTGGGCAGGGCATCTCTGAAAGAAACGCAGCAGCCCCAGTCAGGGGCCTATAAGTAAAACTCCCATCTCCCTGGGACAGAGCACCTGGGGGAAGGGGCAGCTATGGAGACAGCTTCAGCAGGCTTAAACGTTTCTGTCTGACAGCTCTGAAGAGAGCAGTGGATCTCCCAGCACAGTGCTCAAGCTCTGCTAAGGGACACTCTGCTTCCTCAAGTGGGTCCCTGACCCCCATGCCTCCTGACTGGGAGATACCTCCCAGCAGGAGTCAACAGACACCACATACAGGAGAGCTCTGGCTGTCATCTGGCAGATGCCCCTCTGGGATGAAGCTTCCAGAGGAAAGAACAGCAATCTTTGCTGTTCTGCAGCCTCCGCTGGTGATACCCAGGCAACAGGATCTGGAGCGGACCTCCAGAAAACTCCAGCAGACCTACAGCAGAGGGCAGGTTAGAAGGAAAACTAACAAACAGAAAGGAATAGCATCAACATCAACAAAAAGGACATCCACACAAAAACCCCATCTGAAAGTCACCAACATCAAAGACCAAAGGTAGATAAATCCACGAAGATGAGGAAAAACCAGTGCAAAAAGGCTGAAAATTCCGAAAACCAGAATGCCTCTTCTCCTCCAAAGGATCACAACTCCTCGCCAGCAAGGGAACAAAACTGGATGGAGAATGAGTTTGACGAATTGATGGAAGTAGGCTTCAGAAGTTGGGTAATAACAAACTCCTCCGAGCAAAAGGAGCGTGTTCTAACCCAATGCAAGGAAGCTAAGAACCTTGAAAAAAGGTTAGAGGAATTGATAGCTAGAATAACCAGATTAGAGAAGAACATAAATGACCTGATGTAGCTGAGAAACACAGCACGAGGACTTCGTGAAGCATACACAAGTATCAATAGCCAAATCGATCAAGCGGAAGAAAGGATATCAGAGATTGAAGATCAACTTAATGAAATAAAGCATGAAGACAAGATTAGAGAAGAAAGAATGAAAAGGAATGAACAAAGCCTCCAAGAAATATGGGACTATGTGAAAAGACCAAACTTATGTTTGATTGGTGTACCTGAAAGTGATGGGGAGAAAGGAACCAAGTTGGAAAACGTTCTTCAGGATATTACCCAGGAGAACTTCCCTAACCTAGCAAGACAGGCCAACATTCAAATTCAGGAAATACAGAGAACACTACAAAGATACTCCTCAAGAAGAGCAACCCCAAGACACATAATCATCAGAGAGAAAGGTCGGGTTACCCACAAAGGGAAGCCCATCAGACTAACAGCAGATCTCTCTGCAGAAACCCTACAAGCCAGAAGACAGTGGAGGCTAATATTCAACATTCTTAAAGAAAGGAATTTTCAACCCAGAATTTCATATCCAGCCAAACTAAGCTTCTTAAGTGAAGAAGAAATAAAATCCTTTACAGACAAGCAAATGCTGAGAGATTTTTGTCACCACCAGGCCTGCCTTACAAGAGCTCCTGGAGGAAGCACTAAAGATGGAAAGGAAAAACCAGTACCAGCCACTGCAGAAACATATCAAATTGTAAAGACCATTGACACTATGAAGAAACTGCTTCAACTAATGGGCAAAATAACCAGGAAACATCATAATGACAGGATCAAATTCACACAAACAGTATTAACCTTAAATTTGAACAGGCTAAATGCCCCAATTAAAAGACACAGAGTGGCAAATTGGATAAAGAGTCAAGGCCCAGCGGTGTGCTGTATTCAGGAGACCAAACTCATGTGCAAAGACACACATAGGCTCAAAATAAAGGGATGGAGGAATATTTACCAAGCAAATGGAAAGCAAGAAAAAAGCAGGAGTTGCAATCCTAGTCTCTGATAAAACAGACTTTAAGCCAATAAAGATCAAAAAAGACTAAGAAGGGCATTACATAATGGTTAAGGAGTCAATGCAACAAGAAGAGCTAACTATCCTAAATATATATGCATCTAATATAGGAGCACCCAGATTCATAAAGCAAGTTCTTAGAGACCTACAAAGAGACTTAGGCTTCCACACAATAATAGTGGGAGACTTAAACACCCCTCTGTCAATATTAGACAGATCAATGAGACAGAAAATTAACAAGGAAATTCAGGACTTGGTCTATTAGGACCAAGTGGACCTAATAGACATCTACGGAACTCTCCCACTCTGAATCAACAGAATATACATTCTTCTCAGCAACACATCACACTTATTCTAAAATTGACCACATAATCGAAAGTAAAACACTCCTCAGCAAATGCAAAATAACAGAAATCATAACAGTCTCTTAGAGCACAGTGCAATCAAATTAGAACTCAGGATTAAGAAACTCACTCAAAACCACAAGACTACATGGAAACTGAACAACCTGCTCCTGAATGACTACTGGGTAAATAATGAAATTAAGGAAGAAATAAATAAGTTATTTGAAGCCAATGAGAACAAAGACACAACGTACCAGAATCTCTGGGACACAGCTAAAGAAGTGTTTAGAGGGAAATTTATAGCACTAAATGCCCAGAGGAGAATGCGGGAAAGACGTAAAATCAACACCCTAACATCACAATTAAAAGAACTAAAGAAGCAAGAGCAAACAAATGCAAAAGCTAGCAGAAGACAAGAAATAGATCAGAGCAGAACTGAAGGAGATAGAGACACAAAAAACCCTTCAAAAAAAAATCAATGAATCCAGGAGCTGGTTTTTTGAAAAGATTAACAAAATAGACCACTAGCCAGACTAATAAAGAAGAAAGACAGAAGAATCAAATAGACACAATAAAAAATGATAAAGGGGATCTCACCACTGATTCCACAGAAATACAAACTACCATGAGAGAATACTATAAACACCTCTACGCAAATAAACTAGAAAATCTAGAAGAAACTGATAAATTCCTAGACACATACATCCTCCCAAGACTAAACCAGGAAAAAGTCGAATCCCTGAATAGACCAATAACAAGTTCTGAAATTGAGGCAGTAATTAATAGCCTACCAACCAAAACAGTCCAGGACCAGACAGATTCACAGCTGAATTCTACCAGAGGTACAAAGAGGAGCTGGTACCATTTCTTCTGAAACTATTCCAAACAATACAAAAAGAGGGACTCCTCCCTAACTCACTTTATGAGGCCAGCATCATCCTGATACCAAAACCTGGCAGAGACACAACAAAAAAAGAAAATTTCAGGCCAATATCCCTGACAAACATCAATACAGAAATCCTCAATAAAATACTGGCAAACCGAACCAAGTGTCACTTCAAAAAGCTTATCCACCACGATCAAGTAGGCTTCATCCCTGGGATGTAAGGCTGGTTCAACATACGCAAATCAGTAAACGTAATTCATCACATAAACAGAACCAATGACAAAAAACACACGATTATTTCAATAGATGCAGAAAAGGCCTTCAATAAAATTCAACACCACTTCACACTAAAAACTCTCAATAAACTATGTATTGATGAAATGTATCTCAAAATAATAAGAGCTATTTATGACAAACCCACAGCCAATATCATACTGAATGGGCACAAGCTGGAGGCATTCCCTTTGAAAACCGGCACAAGACAAGGATGCCCTCTCTCACCACTCCTATTCAACATAGTATTGGAAGTTCTGGCCAGGGCAATCAGGCAAGAGAAAGAAATAAAGCGTATTCAAATAGGAAGAGGGGAAGTCAAATTGTCTCTGTTTGCAGATGACATGATTGTATATTTGGAAAACCCCATCGTCTCAGCCCAAAATCTCCTTAAGCTGATAAGCAATTTCAGCAAAGACTCAGGATACAAAATCAATATGCAAAAATCACAAGCATTCTTATACACCAGTAATAGACAGAGAGCCAAATCATGAGTGAACTCTCATTCACAATTGCTACAAAGAGAATAAAATATCTAGAAATACAACTTACAAGGGATGTGAAGGACCTCTTCAAGAACTACAAACCACTGCTCAAGGAAGTAAGAGAGGACACAAACAAATAGAAAAACATTCCATGCTTATGGATAGGAAGAATCAATATCATGAAAATGGCCATATTGCCCAAAGTAATTTATAGATTAAATGCTATCCCCATCAAGCCACCACTGACTTTCTTCACAGAATTAGAAAAAACTATTTTAAATTTCATATGGAACCAAAAAAGAGCCCATATAGCCAAGACAATTCTAAGCAAAAAGAACAAAGCTGGAGGCATCACACTACCTGACTTCAAACTACACTGCAAGGCTACAGTAACCAAAACAGCATGGTATGGGTACCAAAACAGATATATAGACCAATGGAACACAACAGAAGCCTCAGAAATAATGCCACACATCTATAACCATCTGATCTTTGACAAACCTGACAAAAACAAGCAATGGGGAAAGGATTCCCTGTTTAATAAATGGTGCTGGGAAAACTGGCTAGCCATATGCAGAGAACTGAAACTGGACCCCTTCCTTACACCTTATACAAAAATTAACTCAAGATGGATTAAAGACTTAAACATAAGACCTAAAACCGTAAAAACTCTAGAAGAAAACCTAGTCAATACCATTCAGGACATAGGCATGGGCAAAGACTTCATGACTAAAACACCAAAAGCAGGCCAGGCTTGGTGGCTCATGCCTGTAATCCCAGCATTTTGGGAGGCTGAAACGGGTGGACCATGAGGTCAGGGGATAGAGACCATCCTGGCTAACACGGTGAAACCCCGTCTCTACTAAAAAAATACAGAAAAAAATTAGCCGGGCATAATGGTGGGTGCCTGTAGTCCCAGCTACTCGGGAGGCTGAGGCAGGAGAATGGCATGAACCCAGGAGGCGGAGCTTGCAGTGAGCCAAGAGCACGCCACCGCACTCCAGTCTGGGCGACAGAACAAGACTCTGTCTCAAAAAAAAAAAAAAAAAACAAAAAAAACACCAAAAGCAATAGGGACAAAAGCCAAAATTGACAAATGGGATCTAATTAAACTAAAGAGCTCCTGCACAGCAAAAGAAACTCATCAGAGTGAGCAGACAACCTACAGAATGGGAGAAAATTTTTGCAATCTATCCATCTGACAAAGGGCTAATATCCAGAATCTACAAGGAACTTAAGCAAATTTACAAGAAAAAAACAACTCCATCAAAAAGTGGGCAAAGGATGTGCACAGACACTTCTCAAAAGAAGACATTTATGCAGCCAACAAACGTATGAAAAAATGTTCATCATCACTTGTCATTAGAGAAATGCAAACCAAAACCACAATGAGATACCATCTCATGCCAGTTACAATGGCGATCATTAAAAAGTCAGGAAACAACATATGCTGGAGAGGATGTGGAGAAATAGGAATGCTTTTACCCTGTTGGTGGGATTGTAAATTAGTTCAACCATTGTGGAAGACAGTGTAGATCCTCAAGGATCTAGAACCAGAAATACCATTTGACCCAGCAATCCCATTACTGAGTATATACCAAAGGATTATAAATCATTCTACTATAAAGACACATGCACACATATGTTTATTGCAGCACTATTCACAATAGCAAAGAATGGGAACCAACCCAAATGCCCATCAATGATAGACTGGATAAAGAAAATGTAGCACATATTTACCATGGAATACTATGCAGCCATAAAAATGGATGCGTTCGTGTCCTTTGCAGGGACACAGATGAAGCTGGACACCATCATTCTCAGCAAACTAACACAGGAAGAGAAAACCAAACACAACATGTTCTTACTCATAAGTGGGAGTTGAACAATGAGAACACATGGACACAGGGAGGGGAACGTCACACTCTGGGGCCTGTTGGGGGCTGAGGGGGGGGTGGCTAGGGGAGGGATAGCATTAGGAGAAATACCTAATGTAGACAATGGGTTGATGGGTGCAGCTAACCACCATGGCACATGGATACCTATGTAACAAACCTGCACGTTCTGCACATGTATCCCAGAACTTAAAACTATAATAAAAAAAAATGCCATCATCAGCTTACATCAGCCACTGATACAAACAGTGCAACATCAGACACTGATCATGACACTGAGATGCTGAGACTAAATGCTCCTCTAGCAGCTTCCTAGCCCAATCTGGATTCCCTTTTGTCCTTTTCAATAAACAGATTTTCAGCAGAGAATAATACTTCCATTTTAAGTGTATTGGGGTCGTCTTACTTCAGCTGTGAAATCATAGAGAATTTATGGTCCTCAGTATAATTATATGCCAAATTGCACTGAGTCAATTACCCCTGGATGTGTGAGTTTCTCTTTTCTTTTTAATCATCTTCAGCAGGAAGCTGTACCACTAATCTGACTGGCACACATCTCTGCAGTGATTGCCTTCACATTAATATCCGTTTTCTAACATGTTTCTGCCCATGCAGTATAATTAAATATTTTGCATTTCTTCAACATGCAGATTAGTGTACATGGAAGGAGAAAATCAAATGTTAGAAGATGTAGTTTGTGGCCAGACACTATGGCTGATGCCTGTAATCCCAGCACTTTGGGAGGCTGGCAGGTTGAGATGGAAGAATCACTTGAGCCCAAGAGTTCAAGACCAGCCTGAGCAACATAGGGAGACCCCAATCTCTACAAAAAAAAAAAATTTAAATAAGTGAGACATGGTAGGGTACACCTGAAGTCCCAGCTATTCAAGACGCTGAGGCAGGAGGATCGCTGGAGCCCAGGAGTTCGAGGCTGCAGTAGCTATGATGGCACCACTGCACTCCAGCCTGAGCGACATAGACTCTGTCTCTGAAAAAGAAAATATAGTTTGCCTCACATTTGTTCCTTGACATTAGCAGTGCAAAGAAATGTAATGGCTTTTATACTGAAAAAGCCAGAATACCTTAAGCCAAGAGTTAAAGAGCTTTCAGTGATCCAGGGTGCCTGCTTCATGATAGTCATGCTGCGTGGCTTTCATCGGCATGAGCAGAGCCTTGAAGCTCCAAGTCCAGAATTACTAACCTAGGTCCCAGCTCTGTGTTGGCTTCAGGCCCACCTCATTTGCTAGTTCTGGAACACTAGAGAAGTTGTTTGAATTTCCAGGGACAGAGCTTCTTGATTTCCTAATGTGGAATGAGAAAAGTTAATAACAGAAGTTGTTTCAGGAGGATAATTCTAAGATAATATCCCTCTCCCAAGGAGTATATGTGAACTCAGTAACAGGAGAGTGCTTTGAATCTTTAAAGTACTGAGTAGCTAGCAAAGAGCTGCCATATGCAGATCTCAACCAGACCTGACCATTTGGCCCTCGCTTGCAGAAACAGGGTTAACTTCCCAAGACCTGAACCACTGCCAGTGTAAATAAATGGGAAGAGGTATTGAACAACCTTGAAGAGCTTATGCCTCCCCATCCTGCTGTAAATTGGGAGTGAAGGTAGGCCATTGTGTACATTGTCACAAGACACTCTGATGCCTGGTAAAAGGATAAACTACTAATTAAAATGATAAAATTACATTTGAACTCTGGAGACCATGAGAACTTTATAATTGACTCATAATATGCCTTGGCTGCACATACACAGCTATTAATGGTTTGTAGAGGGGAAAGTCCATTTCATTTTGTATTAACAAAAAAAACACTCCAAAAAATACACATAATGGAAATGATTACTTCTCTCCTCTGGTAAGAGGCACTTAACCTTTGATCTTGTGCTAAGTTACATTACCAGAGGTAGCTCACCAGCGGCCAGGAATTTGTTTCCCTTGGTATTGTTCTGAGGATATGTTAAAATAATTAGTAAATTTTTCAAAGTCCTCCTAAGGATAGCTCTTTCTTGATTAAGATGAACTAAAGAAAACATTGACTTAAGCAAATACAGTGAAAAATACAAACCACCATTACGTGGATTCAAGATTTTCTATTTTTCCTTCCTTATATGAAGTATTAAATGAACTAATTCCTCAACCTTTTTTTATTTTTTTTATTTTTATTTTTTGAGACAGGGTCTTGCTCTGTCACCCAGACAGGAATGCAGTGGCATGATCTCGGCTCACTGTAACCTCCACCTCCCAGGCTCAAGCAGTCTGCCCATCTCAGCCTCCCAAATAGCTGGTACTACAGATGCATGCCCGCCACCACTCTCAGCTAACTCTTTTTTTCTTTTTCTGTAGAGATGGTTTTTCACCATGTTGCCCAGGCTGTTCTTGAGCTTCTGGGCTCAAGTGATCCTCCTGTCTTGGCCTCCCAAAGTGTTGTGATTACAGGTGTAAGCCACTGTTCCTGGCCTCCTCAATTCTTTTTTAAAATGTTTGGTGGAATTATAAAGGACTTCTTTTGTTTTTCTTTTGGGTTTGTATTTATCTTTATATTGTTACAATAACAAATGTAAATACAGGCCCATAAATGTAAAGATATAATAAAAAAGCTTACTTGCTGGAAGTCATACACATGTTCATTTAACTTTTCTGAGTAATTTTTTTTTTTTTTTTGAGACAGAGTCTTGCTCTATCGCCCAGGCTGGAATGCAGTGGCGCGATGTAGCTCACTGCAACCTCCATCTCCCAGGTTCAAGGGATTCTTCTGCCTCAGCCTCCCCAGTAGCTAGGATTACAGATGTTCACCATCACGCAGTGGAGATGGGATTTCACTGTGTTGGCCAGGCTGGTCTTAAACTCCTGACCTCAGGTGATCCACCCGCCTCCACCTCCCAAAGTGCTGGGATTACAGGCATGACCCCCTGCACCTGCCCTTTTTCTGAGTAATTGATGTTCATCCTACTTATGATTTTTCGAATTAGCATATCAACTACGGAAATCACCTGGCCTGAGAAAAAAAGGGAGTCAGACCCCTTTGTCAGGAATGGTCTTTATGTGAGTGTCTCCACTAAACCAGACCCTTATATACACCTTCCACCTATACCAAATACTGTTTTGCATGGCAGGCCAATACTGTACCATTTTCCAAACTTGTATTTATTTCTTCAGCACATGATTAGAAGTTATATTTATTTCTTCAGCACATGATTAGAAGCCTGCTACCGCCAGCATGTCTGAATCATAAGTCTTGGCCTCAGTGATTAGCAGCATGAGATGTAGAGCCTAATTCTGTTGGTGGTGGTGAAAAAGACTAATAAATTAGGAAGCTGGAGGAAAAAACTACAGTATATGAAAACAAAAAAAGAATAGACATTACAAGGAATTTCTCCTTTAAAGAAATACTCGAGGAAGAAATAGGGAAGCGAAAAGACTAATCACTTCCTTTCCTTATTCCTTTTTAAAAATTACTCTCTTCTCTAAATGTGTTATTTCAGCCTGTACTTCCTCTGGGCACTTTCATCACTTTATTGCTCTGGCAGGTGATTCCAGGCCAGTATGAGGTCTTGGGGCTTCAGAATCAATCAAGGGCCCCAGCTCGTCTTTGGATATCCCAAAGATGACTCCAAGTCATTGGAATCCCCAAAGGCTTTTTCAGGAGCTAAACCAAGGCAAGGAAAATCTCTCCTTCCTTGATATTGTTTAAAAATACCCTTGCCCTGGGTTGGTAGCTCACACCTGTAATTTCAACACTTTGAGAGGCCGTAGGGGACAGATCGCTTGAGCCCAGGAATTTGAGACTAGCCTGAGCAACATGGCAAGACCCCAACTCTACAAAAAATACAAAAATTAGCCGGGCTTCATGACACATGCCTGCAGTCCCAACTACTTGGAAGACTGAAGTGGGAGGATCACTTAAGCCCAGGAGTTCGAGTCCGCAGTGAGCTGTGATTGCACCAGAGGGCAACAGAGTGAAACACTGTCAAAAAAAAAAAAAAAAAAAAAAAACCTCACCCAGCCCGCAGGGTACTGTTAATAATCCTGAAGTTCAGAAATTCTCAACAATGCTTAGGAATTCCACAAAAAAAAAATGGGAATCAAGGGGGAGGCTTGCTGGCCTTTCCAAACTATATGCCAGGATTTTATGAGGTGTTCTAGAAATAAATTTAAAAACAATAAAAGTATATCTTACCCTAGTTACAGGTTGTAAACCTCTTAAGAAATCACAGTGCTTATTAACATATCGAGGACTCTAAGAAACCCTACAATCAAGAAACCTCTTTAATTCTAATTGATCCAGAATTTTCCAAATTAACCACAAATTTTTTTTTTCTTAAGACATACTTTTATATCTCTCAGAACTGGTCTTCCAAGGCATACAATTTGGGAGATACTTGAACAACAATTATGGCACATTGGCCTAGTTATATTTGTGTGGGTCCTAGACCTAGACACATGGAAATATACCTTTAAATCCATCATTCATGTTCTGATTTGCTGAGGTGGGTAGCAATTCTCCACACATATCAGCTTCCCACTGAAATGGCTGATTACCTTCTCTTCTTGATGATATTTAGAGAAGGGAAAAGATAGGTCTGCTTAAAAAAAAGGATACAATGATACCGTTTGTCTGATACATACAAGGCTAGAGATTATTTTTCAGACATTCCCAGTGTCACCAAAATGAGGGCAACCTGACCCTGGATGATGGGGTATCTAAAATTACATTCCTGAAACCCATTAACGGTCAAACAGAGAGGAGAGTTTATTTGGCAGCCAGGTTTTTAACTTTGTTGCTCTAGCTGATGAAAAGGTTTGTTGTTTGAGGTCAGCAATTACAGTTTGAGGTTTAGGAGTCCTTTGGTTTTAACATGAGCAGAGAGATAAGTGACTTTAAATTCTTCCAGAAACCACAGATCCTGCATTGCAAGTAATACAATAAATAATACAAAGAATCTTCTTCAAATATTATTTTTTAACTTAGTAAACGTTCATTCAGTGCTTTAGTGTGCAAAAACATTGTGCCTGGAGGAGACAGAGCACAGGGGTAGGGCCTTATAGTCTTTCTAGAGAGGCAGACATGCATAAATAGATCAGGAATGCATGAAACCAGATCCGCTAAAGGTAAACTGAGTGTGAATGAGCTAAGCCCAGGGTTCTCCATGACAGCATTCCCAGTATCAAATCTGTTTCTTATTAACATGTCCCTGCAGTGGAGTCGACAGTAAAGGGCCTCGGAGGGTTCTGGAGACCAGAAAGGAGGCCGGATGAAAGAGGCCAGTCTCATGCATCATCAGACATTCCTGCAAATGTGTAAAGAATCCACGAGGAGGGAGGGGGAGGGCAAGCATTGCCAGATGTCTCCAAGCCAACCCTTTAACCCATTCCTTTACCTGCTTCCCACCTTCAAGTTTTGTTTCTTATTTTTGGTAGGGTGTGTGTGTGTGTGTGTGTGTGTGTGTGTGTGTGTGTGTGTGTGTGTGTGTGTCTTTTTTTAATACCTAGAATATATCTTAAACTGATGGGAAAAAAGCAAATATTATCAACAGTAACATTCTGAAGTTTGTTCTGAGACATTGTAGTAGTCACACATGAACAGGCATTTCACATTTTTCTTTTGTTTTTTTTTAATAATTTTTCAGCATTTCACTGATCTTTCCCTTAGGGTGCCAAGATGCCTCAAGGGTTGCATCCCTTCCATCTTTGAAGGTAACTGCCCTCTGCTTCCCTTTAGAGGGCTGGATTTCTACTTTGTATCTCACATCTTTGTCTGGTTTTAAGTCATACAGATTCTTTCATATGAATCAAGAAATTCACATTTGATAACCATTAACTATATCCATTTTAGATGAGAAAGAATTATCTTGTGATTAAATTTTAAAACAGTCTCTGGGCCGGGTGCGGTGGCTCACACCTGTAATCCCAGCACTTTGGGAGGCCGAGGCCGTTGGATCCCCTGAGGTCAGAAATTCAAGACCAGCCTGGCCAACATGGTGAAACCGCGTCTCTACTAAAACAAAATACAAAAATTAGCTGGGCGTGGTGGTGCATGCCTGTAATTCCAGCTACTCGGGAGGCTGAGGCAGGAGAATCAGTTGAACCTGGAAGGCAGAGGTTGCAGTGAGCCGTGATCGCACCACTGCACTCCAGCCTGGGTGACAGAGCGAGACCCTGTCTCAAAAAAAAAAAAAAAAACAGTCTCTGAGGATTGGGATAATTATACTCATTATTATAAAGCTATTGTTTGGTCAGAATTTCTCTTTCAATGTTATAGGTTGGTCATTTGTTTACTTCGGCCCTTTTTACATTCTATATACATACTGCACTTCCTGGTATAAAATTTGTTTTGCTTATTTTTTTGGCATTGAGTTCTGAGTTTTTTCTATGAAAGTCCTGTATACACTTTTGCAAGTTATTGTTTTTAAGTTCATAGCTATATCTTCAAGTATTTCTGAAAGTACTTTTCCATTGTGATGACTATATATAATTAGTTAATAAAGCTTCATATATTAAGACTTAGTTCTTCATTTTAAAGAGTAAATGTTCTTCAAAATTCTCAAGGATTTTAAATTTGTAAGCCAATTTCTTGTCAGATCTGATAAGATCATCATCATGTTTATAAAGTAATTAATGAAGAGCTATATCAAAGCAAGTCAACATTTTATTATGTTGTTGGCGTATGCTTACATTATTGGTATTATCGTTAATTCTTTTACACCATCTGTCCATTTCATGAAGCTAATTCAGAGAAAACTAGATCATATAATCAGAAAAGCCTCCTACCTGGGCACCCACAGGCTGAAGCACCTCAAAGTGAACTGAATACAAAAGTGTAAGAGAGAGTGCCTGTATTCACTTCTTATGGCTGCTGTAATAAACTTGGTGACTTAGATGAACACATATTTATCATCTTGGAATTCTGAAATGTCAGAAGTCCGATACAGGTCTCACCAGGCTAAAATTAAGATGTCAGCAGGACTCTGCTCCTTCTGGAATCTCTTGGGAAGAATCCATTTCCTTGTCTTTTCCAGTTTCTAGAGGCCACCCACATTCCTTGGCTGTTGGCCCCTTCCATCTTCAAAGCCAGCAATGGTTCACTGAGTCTTTCTTAGCCTGCAACACTCTGACTCCCCCTCCACTTACAAGGACCCCATGATGACATTAGGCCCACCCTAATAATCCGGGATAATCTCACCACCTCAGGATCCTTAATCAGTTCTGCAAAGACCCTTTGGCCAGATAAGATAATATTTATAGGTTCCAGGATTAGAACTTATGTATCTCTGGGGGAGGGGCATTATTCTGCCTCCCACAGAGCCTCTGACATCTGTTCTAGAACATCTGTTCTATGTGCAGGATCCCACCTTCCTACTCACTCTTGGAGGGCATGTGGTATGCACCCTACTTTATAGATTTTAAAAGTCAACTGAGAACCTGACCAATGATTTCTTTGATCTAGGCTAGATCTCTTCACTTCCTGGGGCAACTAAAGTCTCTTGTTCAATAGTGAAAATGCACAAGACAAAAGAAAAAATCTCAGGAAAGAAACATCTTTGTACAGAGCCCCCATTGCTATGCACAGCATTGATATAAGGGAACACTGTCTTTGCCCTACAATATATAAACTGAATAAAAATATGCAATATTTATTATTATCATAACCAACATAGTCTTTAAATAATGCTGTTAATTCTGTTAACAGTGTGCTTTGCTACAGTTCTCAAAACAAGAGCTGTCTAAACAACCTTCCCCCATGATTCCTTAATTGAAGGAATCTGTTAGGGATTCCTAGTGCTTTTTGAAAGGGTGTCATACTTGATCAAAGCAGTCAGGTTTCCAAGAAATACCCTTACACAGCATTCTCTTTCTATTTTCATTTTATTTATTTATTTTAGTTTATTCTGTTTGTTTGTTTGTTTGTTTGTTTTGAAATGGAGTCTCCTCTGTCACCCAGGCTGGAGTGTAGTGGCACAATCTCAGCTCACAGCAACATTGCCTCCTGGGTTCACATGATTCTCCTGCCTCAGCCTCCCAAGTAGCTGGGATTACAGGCACGTGCCACCATGCCCAATTAAATTTTTCTGTATTTTTAGTAGAGACGGGCTCTCATCATGTTGGCCAGGCTGGTCTCGAACTCCTGACATCAGGTGATCCTCCTGCCTTGGCCTCCCAAAGTGCTGGGATTCCAGGCATGAGCCACTGCCTCCGGCCTACAGCATTCCCTTTCTAAATTTTGCTACTGTATCATTATATGATGGCACGGGCCTTGAAGAGCAATTGTGTTTGATTATACAATGTGCTCCTAGGTTTCTTGGTTTATTCTTGTCTTATAATGAGGATTTAAAGGGTAGCATCTTGGGCTGGGCACAGTGGCTCATGGCATTCCCAGCACTTTGGGGAGCCAATGCAGGAGGATTGCTTAAGGCCAGAAGTTTGAGACCAGCCTGGTCAACACAGTGAGATCCCCATCTCTACAAAATAAATAAATAATTAAAGGGTACCGTCTCTGGATTTTTTTTTTTTTTTTTTTTTTTTTTTTGAGACGGAATCTCGCTCTGTCGCCCAGGCTGGAGTGCAGTGGCGCAATCTCGGCTCACTGCAAGTTCTGCCTCCCGGGTTCACGCCATTCTCCTGCCTCAGCCTCCCAAGTAGCTGGGACCATAGGTGCCCGCCACCACACCCGGCTAATTTTTTGTATTTTTTAGTAGAGACGGGGTTTCACTGTGTTAGCCAGGATGGTCTCGATCTCCTGACCTCAAGTGGTCCACCCGCCTTGGCCTCCCAAAGTGCTGGGATTATAGGCATGAGCCACCACACCAGGCCCCATCTTTGGATTTTTACCATGAGACACTTAATACTAGAGAAAGACACCTTGCTCCATGTCGTGCTCCTTTCTCTTGGTTGCTGATATATCATGCTTAAATCCACTTTTTACCATGTGATACATTTACCAAAAAACCTTATTAAGGCAATAACTAAAATCAAGAAGCATGGAAGATATGCTTATTTTTTACAAGGTAATGCAGGCTTCTCAGCAATACTCAATATTTTTATTCCAAATGTTTACAGGGGAAAATTAGCGCTTTATAAATAATGCCAAACATTAAGTTGTGGCTACTAAAAGGAATACCCAATACAGGATTACTGTTTTCAGCTTTTCATTTGAACAATCCTTAGAAAATTTTCACTGTATGCAAATCCTTGTTTGACTTTATCAAATAAGTTACTAAACTATGCTGCCTTCCCTCCTTACACGATTTTGGTTGCAATGTTGATGGCTAATGATGACCTTTTACATACAGGTGTGGTCTAAGTGACATTTTTTTTCCTGTTTCATCAGAATCTCTGCAATTTTTCTCCTGTAGAGAAAGACCCTCCCTCCCAGGTTTTGCCTAGTCTCTGTCAGTGAACACCGCAACTGCCCTGAAGGGGTGCCCCAACCCCGTTGTCTTTTCTTCTTTCACTTCTTATAGAGGATTAGTTCCTATAGCATTGGAATAGTAGAATCTTGGGTGAATTGCTTTTCCTGTTGTGAATGATTCATGCAATGAAAGTGGAAGATCACTAATTTTCAAAGCAGTATGGCTTAAATAAAAACATCTTGGCCAGGTGTGGTGGCTCACATCTTTCATCCCAGCACTTTGGGAGGCTGAGGCAGGAGGATTACCCGAGCTCAAGAGTTCAAGACCAGCCTGGGCAATATAGCAGGACTCCATCTGTGCTAAAAAAAAAAAAAAAAAAAAAAATTAGCCAGGCATGGTGGTGCATCCTTGTAGTCCCAACTACTCAGGAGTCTGAGGTGGGAGAATTGCTTGAGCCCGAGAGGATGAGGCTGCAGTGAGCTGTGATTGCACCACTGCACTCCCTCCTGGGGGACAGAGTGAGACCTTGTCTCAAAAAGAAAAGGAAAAAAAATTTTAATTAAAAAAAAAAAACCTTACCCAATCATATTATAAATATATGGTACTTTAACGAGCTGTCATCTCTCCTAGAGTGCATTTTTTGTATCAGTGATAGAATACAGCTATTTAACTAGCTGGATCAAACATCACCTTGTTTCTGTTCCTGAATAACAATAGGCACCACTTACTGACGGCTTAATGTCTCAGAACCAGTTCTCTGTGCCCTTATTTAATCCTCGTGTCCCCCCAGTGAGGGAGATATTACTTGCTCCATCTTAAGAGCAAGATGAAATTTTTTCATTAAGATGAAAAAATTAAGAATCTTGAAGAGTAAGTGATTTCCCAAAAAACATACCTCTAGTAAGAGATCGCAATACCACACTCCCTCCCAAACACTAACTGTATTTCCTTTCCTTTTTCTTACCATCATTTCTCAACAATACTGCTAACGATGTTTGCCTTTTACAGTCTTACAAGTGTTCTGAGATGATTTAATACTCTTTAATTATTTGCTTAATGCCTCATTTCCTCTCTATGATGATAATCCTTTGTCTGAGCCTCATTACTGCTGCACATCCCTCATATAGGGAAAACAGCAGCTATATTTATTTCTAGCCCACTTGAGCACTTATTATTTCATCCTTGGTTTTTAGCTGGTTCTCTGAAACTGAAATGCATCGTCTATCATCCCAAATAGAGATTTTAAAAAAAAAGTTTCTCTCTTGATAGATTTGGAGGCTTTCTAAGTCTAATCTTTTCTCTGTAAAACTTCAGGCTAGGTTTTAATAAAGCTATTTTTACAGGATTGTATCAGAACAGTTCTTGCTTATATATTGTTGGTATTTTTGGTTTGGGTTGTTTATTATAAAGAGATACTAAATTGATCTCTTGATGTGTTCTACATCTCTTGATGTGTTCTCTTGATGTTTGACCTTTTCTCACCTGATTTCATCTACCATCAGCTCCTTCTCTGTAACTGATCAGTAAGAGCACTCAGTAGGAAACATACCACTCAATGGATTTTCTTCCTCAAAGTTTTGGATATGGCCGGGTGCGGTGGCTCACACCTGTAATCCCAACATTTTGGGAGGCTGAGGCGGGTGGATCATGAGGTCAGGAGTTCGAGACCAGCCTGGCCAACATGGTGAAACCCCCAACTCTACTAAAAATACAAAAGTTAGCCAGGCGTGAGGGCACGCGCCTGTAATCCCACCTACTCAAGAGGCTGAGACAGGAGAATTGCTTGAACTGGGAGGCAGAGGTTGCCGTGAGCTGAGATCATGCCACTGTACTCCAGCCTGAGCAACAGAACAAGACTCCATCTCAGAAAAAAAAAAAAAAGAAAGAAAGAAAACAAGCTTTGGATACTAGTCTTCAATCAATCAAATAATGCTTATAAATAATGAGGATGCTCTAGGAGTCCTGTGTTATCAGTGCTTTCCCTAGAACCCAGTTAGAGGCCAGTGCCTACACCCCACACCAGTCCTCAGAGGGCTACAGCCGACAGGAACTTTGAGTTCATCTAGAGTAGCTGCCTCACTACAGATTACACAACTAAGACCAAAATAACTTAACCATAGCCAAACACCTTCTTAGAG
Organism: Homo sapiens; assembly: GCF_000001405.40. NCBI lineage: Eukaryota > Metazoa > Chordata > Mammalia > Primates > Hominidae > Homo > Homo sapiens. Next base: position 3,682,602 of record NC_000018.10, on the reverse strand, counting down.
AGAGTCAGGACTTGAATCTAGGCCTTCTGACTCATAAATGAATAGCATCTTTATAAAAATCAGAAACAGAGAGAGGATCGGGCCCAACTTCTTTTCTCGTGTATTTTCTGTACCACACATCTAAACCTCTGGCCTCAGACTTTATATCTAGAGCTTTTCCAAAAAGGCCATGTGTATTAGTCCATTCTCACATTGTTATAAAGGAATACTTGAGACTGGGTAATTTATGAAGAAGAGAAGTTTAATTGACTCTTGGTTCTGCAGGCTGAACAGGAAGCATGATGCTGGCATCTGCTTAGCTTCTGGGGAGGCCTCAGGAAACTTACAATCATGATGGAAGGTGAAGAGGGGGCAGGTGCATCACATGGCCAGAGCAGGAGCAAGGGAGTGTGAGGTGTGAGGGGGAGGTGCCACACACTTTTATTTTATTTAGTTAATTAGTTAGTTCGTTCGTTATTTTTATTTTTTTTTATTTTTTTTTTTTTTGAGACAGGGTCTCGCCTGTCACCCAGGCTGGAGTGCAGTGGTGCAATATCAGCTCACTGCAACTTCTGCTTCCCAGGTTCAAGCAATTCTCCTGCCTCAGCCTCCCAAGTAGCTGGGATTACAGGCATGTGCCACCATACCCAGCTAATTTTTGTATTTTTAGTAGAGACAGGGTTTCACCATGTTGGCCAGGCTGGTCTCAACCTTCTGACCTCAAGTGATCCACCCACCTCAGCCTCCCAAAGTGCTGGGAGCCACGGCGCCCAGCCACCACACACTTTTAAATGACCAGATCTCACACGAATTCACTCACTATCATGAGGACAATATCAAGAAGGGATAGTGCTAAGCTATTCACGAGAAACCATCCCCATGACCAAATCACTCCCCACAAGGCCCCACCTTCAACATTGGGGATTACAACTAAGCATGAGATTTGGAGGGGGACACAGATCCAAACCATGTGACTTGGTCTCTTAGTAATCACACAGCTGGCTTTTTGGGGAAGAAAGTTACTTATTTCATGTGAACCCAAGCATAAGGAATCTGCAGATTTTTTTCCAGCAATATCGATTTATGTAAATACTTTATATTCCATTCTTGGAGGAGACAAGCATTTCATTTAGTCATTGTTTTCAATCATATAAGGTAACTAGAGATCAAAGTTCTTTGAAGAAGATGGTTATAAGAAAATACCCTTGAATTTTAAAATGCCTTACACTTTTATTAGCATCACACAATGAATATTTGTCATTCTGTGGACTGTAAGCATAGTTTTCTCTCTGAAAATCCTGGCAAGGGAAATCCTTTTTTATTGATTCTCCTGGTCACAAATTATTATGAGAAATGCCCTTTTTTAGACATTATCTCTGACTCTAAGAAACTAAATGACAAAAAGTGAGAGGACAGTACTGTTTTCAAGTCCACTTAAGCCACTTGAAATTTCTCTAGGATGATGCCAATTCATAGCCCCACTCTAGTGTTGGAAACAGTCATTGAACTGAACTCTCATCAGCCTCCATTTTGTGTTGAAGATGTGCGTGCCTGTAAACTGAGATGATTTCTCAGCACAATTATCTCACCCTTTTTCATATCTCACCAGATCAACTGGGATTTCAGACTTACCATCATCCCATTGGGAGGAAGCCTTCTTAGCCTTCTTTCTTCATCTTTCACGAGGCTTGTGGAAACCAGAGTTTGCAGCATAGATTCAGGCTTCTTCATTCTTCCTAGGCCCAAGTGTGCAAATGATAGCATTTGTTTGTGAAAAACACTACCATGAGTCATGAGTCAAACAGTATTTTTCCTCCTTTTTTTTTTTTTTTTTTGAGACGGAGTCTCGCTCTGTCTTCCAGGCTGGAGTGCAGTGGCGCGATCTCGGCTTACTGCAAGCTCCGCCTCCCGGGTTCACGCCATTCTCCTGCCTCAGCCTCCCAAGTAGCTGGGACTACAGGTGCCCGCCATCACGCCCAGCTAATTTTTTTGTATTTTTAGTAGAGACAGGGGTTTCACCATGTTAGCCAGGATGGTCTTGATCTCCTGACTCCATGATCTGCCCACCTCAGCCTCCCAAAGTGCTGGGATTACAGGCGTGAGCCAGCACGCCCGGCCTCCAAATTTTCAATGGCTAAGCATTGAGGGTTAAAGAACAGAACATGTCTGACAACAGAATAGATTAGGTAAAATCATGACTTTCTCAGAAAGCTGAGACTCTGTGATCACTGTACTCACCTGTACCCCTTCCTTCTGCCCTCAGGCCTGTGGCTGCCACTGCTCCTTCTCCAGGTCCCCACACTCTGTGGATGCCCTGAGGACAGAGTTCATAGCTGCTCTTCCTGTGGCTTCCTTCAATTAACCCTAAGCAATTTGGAATGACTTTTGGTTTTGTTTCGCTCCCTTCTGAGGTCCCAACCATAACAGAGATGACAGATGGAGATGTCCAGCCAGGCTGTCCTGTCACCTACTGGCCTATCACCATTTTGCCAACCGTTAGAGAGAGGAGGGCCACACAGATTCTACAACCTCGACCAAGACCCCTGGTGAAGAATGGCCATGCTATTCTCTTGAGAAATGGTTCACATTTCATGCTATTCTCGTGGGAAATAGCTCCACCACCTAGTAAGAAACCCATGGCTGGGCATGGTGGCTCACGTCTGTAATCCCAACACTTTGGGAGGCTGAAGTGGGAAGACCATTTGAGTCCAGGAGTTCAAGACCAGCCTGAACAACATAGCAAGAACCCATCTCTATTTAAAAAAAAAAAAGAAAGAAAGAAAGAAAGAAAAGAAAAAGAAAACCATAATGATACTTCATGTCCCTTTGTTGTCTTTCTTTCTTTTCTTTAGCAACACGGTCTCACTACATTGCCCAGTCTGGTCTCAAACTCCTGGGCTCAACAATCCTCCCACCTCAGCCTCCCAAAGTGCTGGGATTATAGGTGTGAGCCACTTGTGCCTGGCCTGTTGTCTTTCTTAGAGCCAAACTACCACGGAGCTCATCGGCCCTATCTAGTAGCCCATATACTCTCTATTGCCTGCTGCCTGTGTGTTGCAGTGACCCATAAGAGGTAGGCCACTGGGGTGGCTGAACAGAAGGGGATGATGAAAACTGCAGGTGATCATCAAGTGCTCATTGCTGGTAGTCTGTACTTAGTCATTCTTGGCGCGGCTACACATGTTCAGTGTATTCAAGCTAGAGCTGTGTTTTTTGGGAAGTCAAAGTTGCTATTCATTCTCGCAACAGAAAGAATGCTGACAAGTAGTGTCATGTCACACAAGTAGTTTCATAATTACAGAGACTTCACTGTTTTTTATGTTGGAAAACCAACTAGTACAGAATTAAGGAATAATTATAAGAGAATGGAGGTCAACAAGAGCTTTTCTGAAAAGATAAAAAATCCATGGGGGTGGGAGTAGGGGGTGGGGAGGGAAAATGAGAAACCAATATTTGCTGCAAAGACACGGGGGCCTTGTTGATCAAGAACACAGCCAGGCACAGTGGCATGCGCCTGTAATCCCAGCTACTTGGGAGGCTAAGGCAGGAAGATTGCTTGAGCCCAGGAGTGTGAGCTCAGCCTGGGCAACATAACAAGATCCAGTCTCTAAAAATAATTAATTAACTGGTTTTTTAAAAAGAAGAAGAAGAAGAACCAGTGATAGTTATAGCTGTTCCTCTTCATTCACTATCCTCTGTGAGCTAAGAATTTCCCCCCAACATATATAAATGCAGGACACATCCCACACATGCATTTGCCATATAAACATCCCATGTATTGCGATGCATAGCAGAAACAAGTGTTCACACCTTCTTTTACTGGAGCTTTGTTTTATATTTGGGTAGAAAAGAATAATTTCTGTAATAACTAGGGGAGGGAAAAATCCTATTCTGCATTTCTATAAAATTTGAGAATTAAGTTGTGTGGTATAATAACCTATCAGAACATTGTAATGTTTATTTTGCCCTATTTTGCTTTCTGATCCTTGTTCGTTCTTGGAAAAGAAATTGTAAATGTATTTTATCCAAAGCCATAAAGCAATTATTTAATGTAATGGGGACTCTAAGAACAAATACAAGCATCCTCAAGAAGTTCAGCCTATTAGGAAGATAAGACACAAAAACAACGATCATATTAAGCAGAACATGCTTTGCTTTATAAAATAAGTAAGCAAACACAACGGTAAAGGAGAGATGGGGAAATGAGAGAAAACGTGAAGGAGATGTGATTTGAGCTGGGTCTTAAAGAATCTATGGGAATTCAATAGGCAGAGATAGAGAGATAATTCCAAGCAGAAGGAATCATCAAACAAATGACCTGGAGGTGGGAAAGGCCAAGGTATGTTAAAACAAGAGCAAGTAGGCTGGGCACACTGGCACACGCCTGTAATCCCAACACTTTGGGAGGCTAAGGCAGGCAGATCACTGGAGGTCAGGAGTTCAAGACCAGCCTGGCCAACATGGTGAAACCCTGTCTCTACTAAAAATACAAAAATTAGCCAGGTATGGTAGCACACACCTGTCTTCCCAGCTACTCGGGAGGCTGAGGCAGGAGAATCGCTTGAACCTGGGAAATGGAGGTTGCAGTGAGCCAAGATTGCACCATTGCACTCCAGCCTGGGCGACAGAGCTAGACTCCATCTCAAAAAAAAAAAAAAAAAAACCCACCGGGCACAGTGGCTCACGCCTGTAATCCCAGCACTTTGGGAGGCTGAGGCAGGCAGATCACTTGAGGTCAGGAGTTCGAGACCAGCCTGGCCAACATGGTGAAACCTCATCTCTACTAAAAATACAAAAATTAGCCGGGCATGGTGGCAAGCACCTGTAGTTCCAGCTACTTGGGAGGCTGAGACAGGAGAATTGCTTCAACCCGGGAGACAGAGGTTGCAGTGAGCCAAGATCGTGCTATTGCACTCCAGCCTGGGCGACAGAGTGAGACTCCGTTTCAAATAAAAAAAAGAAAAAAGAAAAAGAGAGCAAGTAGCTGGATGTGGCTGAGCACTGGATCCCTGAAGTGGATGGTCATAGGCACGCTAGAAACATGGATCTCTGTCTATTTAGCTGAGAATTCTGGATTAAATTCCTAGAAAGCCGCTGAAGGCTTTTAAGCACAAAAATGTCTTCAGAACTGCTGCAGGAATATACAGTACAGGTAATGAGTAATTTTAGAATGGATATAACTGGTAGGGAAGAGGACAGAGAATTCTCTTGTTGGAATGGCTAGTTTTGAGGGTGTGGGTCAGGTTAAGACAATAAATGAAACCAGTAGAGAGCTGATTCACTGGGGCAAAATGGAGCCAGGCTAGTGTTCACAAATGGCCCTATGGCAGATTCAGTGGACGTGAAGGAGTGATTACGGTGTAGGATAAAGGGATAGTTATCAAAGGAGTTCTTGACTCTTCCATAATTTAGAAATGGAACTGGTGGTTCAATTCCTCAACTGGTGGTTGAGGAACTGGAGATAAAGAGTCTTGAAGCTGGGGAAATTTGTGAGACCATAAACATGAATGTTGAAATCTCAGAGGATGGGATAGAAAGCCCAATGAAACGGGCTGAAGTCGCTACAGAAGATATTCCAGGAATATCCTGGAAGTTAGTAGATAATAGAGAAAACTGTATGAGTGGAATTAGCCTCAAAATAAGAGTTTAAAGGGTGGTGGCAACAGAAAATGCATCCATAAAGGGCAAGGGGAAAGAAAAAGTATGTCAATACACATGAAAACTGAGAACATTGATTGCATTCAGGGAGAGAAATCTGGTGATTGGAAACGCAGATAGGAGAGAGAGTTTTCAGTGACTACCCTGTTGAATTTGGGATTTTAAACCATGAAAATGCTTTAAATTAATTAGAAGAGTACTTTTTCTAATTAATTGGTTAATGTTTGTTTGTTTGTGTATACTGACCTCACAATTTCTTCTAAAAAAAAAAAACAGGAGAAGTAGCCTCAAATTGGCAAGGTCTTGAGGGTAATGGTATTACCAAGGAAAAATCCTTGGTTCCCTTAAGGCAGAGGTGTGAAAGAAGGAAGTTGCTCATTGTAAAAGGGGTTTTTGTAGGACCTTGAAGCCAGCTTATACTGAAGCTGCTACATTGTCTGGAGTAAATACCCAGGGTTTGTCATCTCGCGGCAGGAAAATTTAGGACATGGACACTCATGAGGAGTTTAGGAGCGGAAGTTTAACAGGCAAAAGAAGGAGGAAGAAAAAGAAAGGAAAACAGCTCTCTCTAGTGAGAGAAGGGTCTTCCGAGAGGACCTGCCAGTGGTGGATGTGCCAGATTTTATAGTCAGGTTTGAGGAGGCGGTGTCTGATTTACATAATGCTCACAGATTGGTTCAATTAAGTGTGACATTTACATAGCGAGCAGGGAAGGCTGGTTGCCCCACCCTAATCTTATTACGCAAATAAACTTTCTCCTTGGGCTGCGCCATCTTGTCTGCTCCTTGCTGTACACGCGGCTGGCAGAGGAAAGATGGGACTGCCATTTTGAACATGATTGGCACAACTGCCGGCATCTATGTCTGCAGCTTGATCTTACAGGCTGCTGTTTGTTAGAAAGGAAAATAGTTTGGGGCTGCTTTTCATTAAAAGGAAAACAAATAGTCTGGGGCTGCTTTTCATTCAAAGGAAAACATTACCAAGGACTTCCGTACCCTCACTATCTGCCTAAGTAATTTCTTCTTAACTCCTGTATCAATATTGGCTCATGAGAGCTGACTATGAAAGTTTTAATAATTTTTTCAGCTGGTTGACATCAAGTTGGTTGGTACAAAAAAAAGTCATGTGGCAGTATTTACACCATGGAAAACAGCAAATGCTACAAAGGAGAAATCCCCTCTGCCCCTCTTCAGAGAGCCTGTTGTTAAACATTTACCAGCACACCACTGCAAAGGCCTTAATGGAAAGCCCTGTTAGAGGGCACATTATGGAGTGGGTCAGATGGAGGTGGGGATGGGTGGCATGGATGAGTCAGCTGGAGGATGAGGCCGCTGGAGTGGATGAAGTGAGCAAAGGTGATAGGAATGCGGGAAACAAAACTGTAGGGTACCACTGCAGTAGCTTATTAGCAACAGATCTTTGGAGACGAAAATTCAGACTCTGAGGCCAGAGGGCCCCAAGTTAGAATCCAAACACTTCCACCCAAAGCTGTGCCATCAAACAGATGTTGCTGGATCTGAGTGTCAGTTTTCTCATATTTAATCGTGTTGTAGAGATGGAATGAGACAATGCATATAGAACAGCTAACCCTGGCTGGGTACGGTGGAGCACACCTGTAATCCTAGCACTTTGGGAGGCTGAGGCCGGCGGATTACCTGAGGTCAGGGGTTCAAGACCACTCTGGACAACCAACATAGTGAAATCCCGTCTCTACTAAAAACACAAAACTTAGCCAGGCGTGGTGGAGCATGTCTGTAATCCCAGCTACTTGGGAGGCTGAGGCAGGATAATCGCTTGAACCAGGAGGCAAAGATTGCAGCGAGCCGAGATCGCACCACTGCACTCCACCCTGGGTGACAAAGTGAGACTCCATCTCAAAAAAAAACCAGCTAACCCACTGCGTGGTACTTGGCAGTGCTCTGCCTATGCTAATGAATGGGGGTGATGATTGTGGTGGACTCGGTACTGATAGTGGAGGTGAATGGGGGTGATGATTGTGGTGGACTCGGTACTGATAGTGGAGGTGAATGGGGGTGATGATTGTGGTGGACTCGGTACTGATAGTGGAGGTGAATGGGGGTGATGATTGTGGTGGACTCGGTACTGATAGTGGAGGTGAATGGGGGTGATGATTGTGGTGGACTCGGTACTGATAGTGGAGGTGAATGGGGGTGATGATTGTGGTGGACTCGGTACTGATAGTGGAGGTGAGAAGAGTAGAGTTGGACGTGGTATAGGTGATGACAGTGGGGTGGTGATAGTAGGGGTGGAAGTGATTATAGTAGAGGTAGTGGGGTGGTAAAGGTGGTAGTGGTGGTGGCAGGTTTTTATTATTATTATTTATTACAGATAGGGTCTTGCTCTGTCACCCAGGCTGAAGTGCCATGGCACAATCATGGCTAGCTGCAGCCTTGAACTCCTGGGCTCAAGTGATCCTCCCACCTCAGCCTCATGAGTAGCTGGGATCACAAGTATGCACCAGTGCGCCCAGCTGATTTTTTTATTTTTTTGTAGAGATAGGAGCTCATTTTGTTGTGCAGGCTAGTCTCAAACTCCTGGCCTCAAATGATTGTCTCACCGCAGCCTCCCAAAGTGCTGGAATTATAGGCATGAGCCACCACACTTGGCCATGGCAGCATTTTTTAAAATATACATATATATATATATATTTTAATATTATAGAGACAAGATCTCACTCTGTTGCCCAGGCTGTTCTCAAACTCCTGGCCTCAAGAGATCCTCCCACCTCTGCTTCCCAAAGTGCTGGGATTACAGGCATGCGCCACCATGCCTGGCAATGGCAGCAGTTTTAAGAGTAGCAATCGGCCAGGCATGGTGGCTCACTCTTGTCCTCCCAGCACTTTGGGAGGCCAAGGCAGGTGGATAACTTAGGGTCAGAAGTTCAAGACCAGCCTGGCCAACATGGTGAAACCCTGTCTCTGCTAAAGTATAAAAATTAGCTGGGTGTGGTGGTGGGTGCCTGTAATCCCAGCTACTCGGGAAGCTGAGGCAGGAGAATCGCTTGAACCCAGGAGGCGGAGGTCGCAGTGAGCTGAGATCGCACCACTGCACTCCAGCCTGGGCAACAGAGTGAGACTCCCTCTCAAAAGAAAAAAAAAAGGCTGGGTACAGTGGCTCACTCCTGTAATCCCAGCACTTTGGGAGGCCGAGGCAGGCTGATCACCTGAGGTCAGGAGTTTGAGACCAGCGTGGCCAACATGGTGAAACCCCGTCTCTACTAAAAATAAAAAATTAGCTGGGCATGGTGGCGCATGCCTGTAGTCCCAGCTGCTCGGGAAGCTGAGGCAGGAGAATAGCTTGAACCCAGGAGTCGAAGGTTGCAGTGAGCCGAGTTCATGCCACTGCACTCCAGCCTGGGCGAAGAGTGAGACTCCATCCAAAAAAAAGAGTTGCAATCATCCTCCTCTCATTCACAGCAGCAATTGTGTGCTAACAATAGTTATTAAAATAGCTGTTTACTAGAATAGCTCTCTGCTATGAGTATCCTATCAACCATGGCTTTCTATCAATTAGTGCTTCTAAAGAGTGACAGTACACGATAACCAATGGGAGCAATGCTTTAGTAAACCAGACAGGTCGCTGAGGGCAACAGGAATATGAACAATTACAATGCCATCCAGTAAGGGCCATAATAGAGATATGCAAAGTGTTAAAAGAATGCAGTAGAGGGATAGGTTTGTGCCGCAGGAGGACCAGGGAGGCATCACTATCAAAGACAGTGAATTGAGCCCTGAATGTGAAAAGAAACTGGGGAGGGGCTCCCCAGGCACGCACAGAGGTGTGGAGGCAAGTAAGTACAAGGCATGTGAAGTAAAAGAGCGAAGCCAAAGAATAGGGCCTGGGGAACCACGGAAGACAGAGTTGAATCTAGACTAAGATAGACCTTGAACTTTATCCTTTTGCCAGTAGGAAGTAATCGGTGTCTTAGAGTATCATTCACTTTAATGTAGAATAAATTAAAGAGGCAAAAGACTGAAGACACAAAAACCAGTTGGAATACAACAGGCAAGAGGAGATAAGGACTTGCCCCAGGCATGGCACTGGGGATGGAGAGGAAAGAACAGGTGTAGGAATCCACCAGGGGAGGTGGCCAGGGAGAAAGTAGAACTACAGTGAAAGGAGGAGGCAGACTAGCTTGGTTCTTGCCAGCTAGTCTGCCTTGATGCCGGACATGTGCTCGCCACCACTATTGATGAATGGTTGAAACTGATACAACAAGATTAGGGAGAACACGATAACTTTAAGAGGAATACAAAGTAAGAACTAGAACTTAGTTGTGAGTAGTCTCTAAAAGTCTTAAACACTCCTGGGTTTATCTACCTGTTTCTCATTAACTTTTTTTTTTTTTTTTTTTTTTTTTTTTTTTTGAGATAGAGTTTTGCTCTTGTTGCCCAGGCTGGAGTGCAATGGCGAGATCTTGGCTCACCGCAACCTCTGCCTCCCAGGTTCAAGCGATTCTCCAGCCTCAGCCTCCAGAGTACCTGGGATTACAGGCATGTGCCACCACACCCAGCTGATTTTGTATTTTTAGTAGAGATGACGTTTCTCCATATTGCCCAGGCTGGTCTCGAACTCCTGACCTCAGGTGATCCGCCCTCCTCAGCCTCCCAAAGTGCTGGGATTGCAGGCGTGAACCACCGTTCCCTGCTCTTGTTAACTTTCAAGAAATAGATAAGTAGAAGCCAAAGAGCAAATTCTTGCCTCTGTGTGTGTGTGTGTGTGTGTGTGTGTGTGTGTGTGTGTCTAATCAGCAGTTGAATGATTAGTAATAATCACATTTTCTCCCATTGAAAAAAACTTCTAAAAGAAATCCCATCTTCATAACTTATTTTCAATGATTAAAAAAACAGAATATTAACTTTTCAAATCTGCTTTCTGAATGTCCCTCTTTCCTTTTTAATAATGCTTTTGTTTTTCCTGAACAAATATCTCATTGCAGAAAATTGTAAAGAAAAAAACACGAAATATACAAATAACATGAATTATGCAGGACTCTGTTGGCAATTGGAAGGATTTGGCTTCTACTCTGAGTGAAATATGATCATTTCCAGGTTTTGCCCAAGGGGGTGCATGATCCTGGCTTTTAAGAAATTATTATTCCTGCTCTGCTGAGAATAAACTACATGAGGGCAGGGGTAAAATAATCTATGACTATTTCCTTAAAATAGATTATTTAAAATGGAATTACTTCATCAAGACTATATTTGCTTAGGTTCTCTTAAAGATCATACTCCCATTATTTGTGAATGAGTATGTGTGGGAGAATATATCTGTTTCAAAAGTACTTAAGGAATACAAATGCAAAATCTGTTTTCAACCTTTATGAAAACAACTGGCTCCATCTTAGTCTTAAATAATCAACCTCTTGTGGCATGGTTGACATTTCTGCTCAAGTGCAGCCATGAAGCAGGAAAACATGCATTGCCAATTTAAGAGTCAGGTGGAACTACGAATCCCTTCCCTTATTTAACAAGCATTTATGGAGCACCTAACGTGTGCCAGGCACCAGGCTGCTCCTGAGGATACAGCAATAACACTGACCCAGCCTCTGCTCTGACTTCAAAAGCAAATAATCTGAGAGCTTTTTTTCTTGTAGTGTTTATACATAAAATGTTTACAGTTGCTACAAGTACTGTAAAGAGAGAGAGAGATAGGGGTGTTATGATCCTAGGCAACCATGAGCTGTGTGATCAAAGAAAATAAACTGCTTCTTCCTCAAGGAAGTCTGACTTGAATTCCAGGTGGAAAAAAAAAAAAAAAGCAGCAAAGAGCAAAGGCCAGAAGCAGGAATGAATATAAAATTTTGAGTAATTAAAAGAAGGCTAGAGTGACTGGAACACAGAGATGGAGGGGAGGGGAGGGAAGGTGGGAAAAAGAAAGAAGGGATGGGAGTGATCCAAGACAAAACTAGAAGTAATACTGGCTCAGGTAGCCCAGAACGTTGTAAGCCACATTAAGGATTTTGACAGTTTTGCGAAGAGCAGTGGGAGATTATTAAGCAGTTTCAATCAAGGGCCAAGCAAGCTAAACTTTTCTGATATTCTTAATAAGGTAAACTAAAATAAAACTAACAGATTGACCTTGATCTCAGTGTGCTTAGTTATGGGACAGTTAATGTTAGATGATTTGCCAACCAAAGAAAGCAGGTTTTGCTTAAATGACAGCAAACATTAATTTCAGGATATGGTTAATACAAGCAGGTATAATCAGAATTGTGACTTACATTTAAGCACACTGAACTAGACATTAATTAGAAATTTCTCATAAAGATACCACAATATTATGCTTGATTGCATCTGTAGAAAACAAACCCTTGAATTTTCACTTTAGGCTTAGAGAATAATCACCATTCTTCCAAATCCTTTGCCAAATGAAAATGAAAACTTCTAAGATGAATTTCTTTCTGCAGGGTAGAGATTACACTCATGTAAAGATTTAGCTGACAATTACCAAAAAAGAATTGGGGGAATAAATGGGAGAGACAGCTGTCCAGGAAGTTATCAGTTGCCAGATTTGCTTGTAATGCAGAGAAATTCCCAGGAAGTCAAAAAGTGTTCATTGGTGATTGCACGTCTTTTGAAATCGCATCAGAGGTCTCCATTTTCTAACCTCTTCTCTTGAAAATGAATATATGTTTCCAGTCTCCCACAGGATGTATAATTTTGCATGATTGTTAGTAGCTATTGGCACCATTTATCTCTCTAGTCATCCACTGTTCCATTTTGTATTAAGTCTGAATATGCTTTGCACACACTTACACTTCAAAAGACGGTAGTTAAAACGATCTCACTTCGATCGTCTTACTCCAGCAATACAATTTTTAGGGGTTTGTTTTGTTTTGTTTTGTTGTAAAACAATATACTCTTTTCCTATCGTTATAATGAAATGGGAAAGGTTCCCTTGTTCCCATCGCACACCCTATGTGGCTCACTTCTTCAGTGCCTCACTACGCATACCTCTAGGGGAGCATACAAACAGGCAGGCTGTAGGGCTCCCACCCCACGGCAGTGTCTAGGGGTGAATGTTTACAGCTGAAGCCCCAGTGGTCGTGTGTCGCAGGGTGTTCTTTTAGTTTAGCCCTATAGGCAGCTTGTGTTAGTTCACTTAGATCCGCTTCCTCATCACAAGGACAGAGGACTTTCTGTATCCGGGTTCTTGCCTTGGTGCACCGGAAGAACTGGATCACATGGGGGCTTGGATAATGAGTGGAAAGTTTTACTGAGTAGAAGTAGTTCTCAGCCATTGAGGAAGCCAGAAGGAAGATGGCCTTCCCCTAGAGTTGGGCCACCCGCTGCCCGGCTCTCCTCTGACTGCCCCGGACCAACTCTCCCTCATTCCGCAGGTCGCGGGTCGATGGCATCGATCCATGTGCGGGAGTCTATCGATGTGCTCTTCCGCAGACATGCTCTCTAATGACCAGACACATAACCACTCGTGTCTTCTTCTGCCGATGTGTTTCCCAACACGTCCAGCCGCTTGTGTCTCTTTCCTTACTAGGGTCTCGAATTTTTATAGGCCCAGGTTGGGGGTGTGGTGGGCCAAGGTGGTCTTGGAAAATGCAACATTTGGGCAGGAAGGCAGGAGTGCCTGTCCTCGCCTAGGTCCGTGGGGGTAGAGCCCTAGCCAGGGACCACGCCCTCCTCTACCCAGCACTTCCCTTCCCCTCTTCCGTATCATTTAAAGGCATCACGCTCTTCCCTTCCCAGCACTCCTTATCAATAATACGCAAGATTTTAAAGATGCAGTGCAAAATAAGAAAAACATCTGGAAGGTCTGGAACCCTAATACCAGTCTGCGTTGTCTTTCTTAAAGACTGAAATTGTACAACATTTATTTTCATTTAACAAACACTTATCACTTGTATTTGTCAGCCTTTGTTCAAAGATGCTGTACGAATATTAACATGTCAAATATTATGTAGATCATTCTATTGCTTTTTAATTTATTTATTTATTTATTTTGAGACAGAGTCTTACTCGGTCGCCCAGGCCGGAGTGCAGTGGCGCGATCTCGGCTCATTGCAAGCTCCGCCTCCCAGGTTCAAACGATCTCCTACCTCAACCTCCCAAGTAGCACCTGCCACCTCACCCAGCTAATTTTTGTATTTTTAGTAGAGACGGGGTTTCACCATGTTGCCCAGGATGGCCTCGAACTCCTGGCCTTAGGTGATCTGCCTGCCTCGGCCTCCCAAAGTGCTGGGATTCCATGCGTGAGCCAGTGCACTGGGCCAAGCATTCTATTTCTCATTTATGGTGCGTCTATTTGCCACCACTGCTTCGACTGAGGATAGCTTGGCACAAGATGTGAAGCTTGTTTTGAAGGCCTGAGCAGAGATTTTTTTTTGCACAGTGGAGTCCAGTATTTTGCCAAAGGCACAGAAGAAGGTACGGAAGATGAAAAACTTTTCCCCAGCCTGGGCAACACAGTGAGACCCCCATCTCTACAAAAATTTGCAAATTAAAAAAATTAGCTGGGTGTGGTGGCATGTGCCTGTAGTCCTAGCTACTTGGAGGCTGAGGGGGGAGGATCACTTGAGCTCAGGACTTTGAGGCTGCAGTGAGCTATGATCACACCACTGCACTCCAGCCTGGATGACAGTGTGAGACCCTGTCTCTAGAAAACATGGAAGGAAGGAAAGAAGAAACGAAGGAAGGAAAAACTGTTCCTTTACCCTCTTAAGTTCAGTGTTTTGGGGGCTGCAAAAGAAAAGACAGGCTTCTGTTCATTATGTATGGGAGTTCTCAGGAAAATATGCCTCAAGGGGGCACTTACAATTTGGGGCTTATGTGCCATCTGAACAAGAGAAGGGGAGGAGGAGAAGGGCACTTAAGGAAAAATAAATTACTTTTAAGAAAGATCATGGGCCTTTAGGAGAATAGATGGGAGATGATAGTTTTGTGACAATGCCTGTTTAGGTGTGCTGTGGGCTTCTCTTTGGTATTAGAGTCAACTTTCTCTGGTTGCAGAAAAATCTGTGGGAAGGGATTTATGACAATTGAGTTTTGGGAGGAGGTTCTGCTTTGGGGCAGATAAGGAGTTTAGAAATAAGCCTCTTATCAAATGCCTTCAGCTCAAAATCATTTTTATGCCACAGTGGCATATTCTAGAGGAACCTGGGCCAAGGAAGACCACCCTTGGCCTTACTCCTGGAGTCATTCCGGCTCTGGCCTAGCCTTGGGGGTGGAACTCTGCCCTGGTGTGGACAAGAATGGACCCTCTCAGGCCCCAGCATATTCTCAGAGGTCCAGTCACACCGACCTGGAAGTGTCAGAGATGTACTTAATTCTAGGTTTGCACTGAGGCCAGGTAGAAACCGCAGTACCTGGAGCATTTCTTTGTGTTTTGGGGTTTTAATAGACTTGGCCAGGAACCAAGTCCAAGCCCTTTCAACATCACAGAATGTTTTTTAATCTTCCCTAGTCCACCGGAGTGGAAAACTCACATAGTTCTCATCATTCACAAACACTTAAAGGGTGTTTACTAGGTACTAGATGGTATATGCTACTATTATCAGCCTCATTTTGTAAGTGGAGGAGACAAAGAAAGGTTAAGAGGGTTTTCCAAGTTCACATGGATGGTAAGCAGCACAGTCAATATTTGTTGACTGTGAGGCCGAGGCAGGTGGATCGTTCGAGGTCAGGAGTTTGAGACCAGCCTGGCCAACATGGTAAAACCCCGCCTCTACTAAAAGTACAAAAATAAGCTGGGTGGTGGTGGCGCATGTCTGTAATCTCAGCTACTCAGAAGGCTGAGGCAAGAGAATCGCTTGAGTCTGGGAGGTGGAGGTTGCAGTGAGCTGAGATGCACCACTGCACTCCAGCCTGGGCAACAGAGTGAGACCCTGACTCCCAAAAAAAAAAAAATTGACAAATTAGCAACCGGGCACAGTGGCTCAGGCCTGTAATCCCAGAGCTTTGGGAAGCCAAAGCAGGAGGATCACTTGAGGTCAGGAGTACCAGCCTGGACAACACAGTGAGACCTCATCTCTAAAACAAAACAAAAAAATTTAAAAATAAGAAAATTAGCAGGGTGTAGTGGTGGGCGCCTGTAGTTGCAGCTACTACGGAGGCTGAGGCAGGAGGCTCCCTTGAGCCTAGGAGTTCAAGATTGCAGTGAGCTATGATTGCACCACTGCACTGCAGCTTGAATGACACAGCAAGACCCTATCTCTAAAACAAATTTAAAAATTGTTTAAAAAAAAACTTTTTAAATTGACAGATTAGAATCTGATCAGTTTCTTTCCAGAGCTACTTGAACATCTCAGGAGATTCTGCTAAGGATGGAAAAGGAAGGAGTTTTAATTTCAAAGTTTCATTCCATGTCTTGTCAAACCAAGTCTAGATTTGCCATTTAGAACTGCATTCTCTGATCCTGTGTTTTAAGAGAGGTTTCTCCATGTAGATGAAACCAGGAGCTGCATCCTTCCTCGGATTGGTAGGTGTTCCATGGGCTTTATCTGTGCGGCGTAATGACAGCACACAAACGCCAGGGGGCAATGCAGTTTCACCGAAGAATCCTAGGAAACTCGGGTCTGGCTTTGACTAAGAACATTGGCAGGATCCTGGGGCAAAGGTGGAAATCCTTACTAAAAAGAGTTCCGCCAAGGAAAAAATATGTTTAAAAATCCTTTCTTTGAAAGCTTCCTGCATTGTCATCAAAATTGCCCTTCAGTATTTGTGCACAGCTGGAAGTTTTGTGATATTATTTGCAAAAGATTTACTTTTCGTTTTTTCTCAATGCGGCTGCCTAGTCTTTCCTGGAAGGTTTCCTGGGTCTTTCTGCGTAGGAAGGATTATTCTAACCAGCTCTCGGGTAGCCTGGATCACATTGTTAGGACTCTGTTGCGTCCTCTGCCTGACCGCGGGGCTCTCTTCCCCCGGTGCCCATTCAGCGCTTCCAGCTGCCTCTGCGGTTGGAGCCGGGCTCCCTTTAAGGTAATTCCAGTCTGGGCCTGTGTTTTGTTTCCAGCTCGGCAGCCGCCAGGTGTCTGCCCTCCCTTAACCTCCAAGGATGAGAGATCAAAGGTGCCCCTACATCTGCCTCCTGCCCAGCTCTTTAATCTGTTACATGTTCAAAAGGGACAAATGCAGTATTGTGCACTCAGGGAGGGAGGACAAATCAGAGAAGTGGAAATGGGCAGAGCCTCAGAATGTGTTAACTTACATAAATGATACGGAATATGCCTGTCGACATATTAGCCCTGCCACTGTAGAGGTGTTTTCTTCTTAAAAGAGCAAGAATATTATGCAGAAATGGAAATCCTCTTTTCTCCCTTTGGAAGCCTACTAAACCCATTTAATGAAATATCGTACACAGACCCATTTGGAGGTCACTATTAGAAATATAACGAGGTAAAACAAAATATTTTTTAAATTTATGAAATGGAAATTACAAGGGCACTTGTAGAGACCTGAGCTTATTTTATATGTGGCAAAAATGATAAACTAATCTTTAAGCAGAGCAGATATATTTTAAGAAAGACTATTCCCAGCGGAGCATGTATTTTCCATATCCGTAGAGCTAAGTAGGGGAATGCATTTTAAAACAGTAGGAATTCAGATTAGGTATTAAGAAAATAATACTGAGAGCAATGGTTATGGAAGGTACAGAATTTTCCTAACAGCACTAAGGAAGCAGCAATTATTTCTTCCATTTTTAGAGGAAGGGGTTGGGGGGAGGGGGAAGAGCTCCTGATCTAGTAACAAATTGTTTCTAAACTTAAATTTAGAAACATTTTAAACAGTTTGAGCATCCACGATTTTCTTTAGACTTTTAGGAGAGCTCCCTAATTTCCAACTAAAGACATAAATGTGAACAGGCACTAATTACTTTTTTCTCTATGCATTCCTGCGCCCACACACCCAGAGGCTCTCTTGTGCTTCCTCTTCCCCAGCGGTTACAAAAAGGAACTCCAGCAACTTCAGTTGTGCTTAGCTGCCGTCACAGACAATAGCATAGTAGGACCAGTGGCCTCATATTAAGTCACAGTCTTTCCCAGTTACAATGGCTGAGAACCCAGATTTTCACAAGGTGCAAAGAAAAGAATATTGACATGGTTATTAAAAGCTATGGTGAGAAGGGAGTCTTTATCAGCTGCTTCAAATATTTCATTCACCTTCTTAACAAATATTTATTCTGCACTTACTATGTCCAGACATGGTGCTGAACTCGGGGAATTCACTGGTGATCAAAAGCAGTCTTACCCTTTGTTCTCATGGAGTTTACCATCTAGGGGTAGAGACTAGCGTCAATCAAATAATCACAGAGATAACTGCGCTGAAAGAAAGAGACAGTTCTTGTGGGAGGATCTATTGTAACAAAGGGACTAATCTAGAGGCTCAGGGAGAACTTCCCTGAGAAAATCCTCATTAGCTAAGAGTCAAAGGATCAAGAAGGGTGAGGGATGGCACGTGCTAATTCTGCATTCAATATTAGTAGAACTGAAAGGGTGATGTGGCTGGAGTACCAAGAGCTAAGGGACAGGGCACATGTGTAGTCAGAAAATGTATGCACAGCTGACTATGTCTGTCATCTGTTGCTACATACCTTATTACCCCAATGTGGAGCAGCTGAAAAACAATCATTATATTATACCTTATGATTTTGAATCAGGAATTTAGGCAGGGTTCAGCTGGGCAATTCTTCTGTTCCACATTCAGCTAGAAGTTGGTGTATTAGTCAGAGTTCTCCAGAGAAGTAGTATATCCGTGTGTGTGTGTGTGTGTGGGTGTGTGTGTGTGTGTGTGTGTGTGTGTGTGTGTATACTGACCCATAATTATGGAGGCTGAGAAGTCCCAAGATCTGCAGTCAGCAAGCAAGCTTGAAACCCAGGAGAGCCAATGGTATAGTTCCAATCTGGGTCCAAAGACCTGAGAACATGGAGAACAATTGTGTAAGTTCCAGTTCAAGTCGAAGTCCAAAGGGAAGAGAAGACTGATGTCCCAGCAGAGACAGAGAATTCTCTCTTACTTTGTCTTTTTGTTCTATTCAGGACTTCAACTCATTGGACAAGACCCACCCACCTTAGGAAGGGAAGTCTGCTGTACTCAATGAACTGATCCAAATGTTAATCTCATCCAGAAACACCTTCACACACACTCGAAATAATGTTTGTTCAAATCTCTGGGCACCTCATGGCCCAGTCAAGTTGACACACAAACTAACCATCACAGTTGGGCTGGTCTTGAGAGTCCAAGACAGCATTATTCACATGCCTGGCACCTTCATTTCAATGGCTGGGAGTGTGGGCTCCTGATCAGTAGCAATATGGTAACTGTTGACTAGAGCACCTGTAATTGGCACCTCCAGCCTTGCGGCTTCAAGACTCCTTACATGTCAGTTCAGGGCTTCCAGAGACAGTTCCTATACAAGAGATAGGAAATCTTAAGGTCTTAAGGTCTGAGCCCAGATACTGGCAGAGCATCTTTTCCTTCATATTCTTGGTGACGGCCAAAGCAGTCCACAAGCCCACTCAGACCAAAGGGAATAACGAAGATGCCACTTCTCAATAGGAAGAGTTTCAAATAATCTGTGGTCATCGTTAGTCATCCATGCTTCAGCCTCTGGACACAAATTATTCACATCTTCTGTAAGGCAAAATATACTCACCCCTTCTAAAGACTTCAAAAACCTTATCTCAAGCTCAAGTTTGAGATTCAGGTTCTTTTTTTTTTTAGGGGGAGTCTTGCTCTCCTTGCCCAGGCTGAAGTACAATGGCATGATCTCGGCTCACTACAACCTCCACCTCCCAGATTCAAGCATTTCTCCTTCCTCAGCCTCCCAAGTAGCTGGGATTACAGGCATGCACCACCACACCCGGCTAATTTTGTATTTTTAGTAGAGACGGGGTTTCACCATGTTGGTCAGGCTGATCTCGAACTCCTGACCTCAGAATATCCACCCATCTTGGCCTCCCAAAGTGCTGGGATTACAGGCGTGAGCCACGGCACCCAGCCGAGATTCAGGTTCTTACCATCTAAATAAGGTTCAGTTGCTGATGGGGCCCATTTGATGCTGTTGTCTTATACAATTTCTCTCAATATGAAGACCTCTCAATATGAAAAAGGTATTTGCCTCATATATGTCCAACGTATACTGATAATACAGGGATGGGATAAGTGCTTGGGATATTCCCACTCAAAGAGTGGATAAACAGCTATACGCCAGGCATTACCATAGCAAGTCTGAAATCCACATGCTGCCAGTTCCTTGGCTGGAGGGCCGAGTCCTGCTCTCTGGAATGATTCTCTGCGGCTCTTGGATCCACCCTCCAGACTCTTGTTGCACCTTCTGAGTTGTCCCCTTTCCATAAGAAATAGCACTTTCAGCTGAATAATCTTCTCAGCTTATGTCTCACCCATAAAAGTCTGGGGGCTCTAAGGACTCTTTGCACTTTACCTCTGCCTGCTTTGTCCAAGCTGATTATGTGTCCACTAATACACTTCTCTCATAATCTTTGTGGGCATCCTTTGAATCTTACTGGGTTTCTTTCTGTTAAATGAAACACATACCTACAATTCTCTTCAAGATAGTCCCTTTTTTGGTCTGGGCTCAGAGTTGGGTGCTGTGGGACAATACCCTTAGGATTCTTAAAAGCCTTTTTGTCTATTTTGGAAACTCTATGAGGTACATCCTTAAATATTTCTACAGTCATTAAAAGGTATTTTACAGCCACCCCCTAGGAGTGTTAAAACAATTTTTGTTTTGTTTTGTTTTGTTTTTACTCAACACATTCTAGCTCTTTATTGTCTCCAAATTTTGTTTGAAAACTGAACAGTTCTTTTTTGACTCATCTTTCTCTACCTGCACCTTTTACTGTGTGTAGCTTTAAAAAAAATTTTTTTTTTAAATTTTTAAATGGCACTTTAAGCATTCTGCCTAGAAGTTTTCTTACTAAAATCCGTGGGTTCCTTGGGTATATTTTCTATTTTCCACATTACTACAAGTGATAATGTTAGCAAATTCTCTGCCACTACATTAATAGAGTTACCTTTTCTCCAGGCTCCAGTGACAATTTTCAGTCCTCCCAGCCTTCACCAGCAGTCTTCTCAAGACCTTACAGCTGGCCGGGAGCAGTGGCTAACTCCTGTAATCCTAGCACTTTGGGAGGCCAAGATGAGCGGATTGCCTGAGCTCAGGAGTTCGAGACCAGCCTGAGCAACATGGTGAAACCCCATCTCTGCTAAAATACAAAAAAAAAAATCATCCAGGCATGGTGGCAGGCGCCTGTAATCCCAGCTACGTGGGAGGCTGAGGCATGAGAATTGCTTGAACCCAGGAGGCGGAGGTTGCAGTGAGCCAAGGCCGTGCCACTGCACTCCAGCCTGGGCAACAAAGTGAAACTCTGTCTCAAAAAAAAAAAAAAAAAAAAAAAGACCTTACAGCTTCTTCCCTCTGCCTAAACTTGACACTTAGGCTCAGCTGATGTTTATGAGTGTCTGCATGTGGCCTTTCCATCAGGACCGTCTCAGGACTTGTAACCTGCTGTCTCAGGCTTCCCGGAGGGAGTGGTCCATGACACCAGAGGGGAAGCTGCCTGTTTCATGAGATCTGGGCAGACAGCATCATTTCCTCTGTATTCTAATGGTCAAAGCAGCCACAGAGCTTACCCAGATTCAAGGAGAGGAGACATAGCCTCCACCTGTCTGTGGGAGGAGTGTGGAAGAATTTGTGGCCATTTTTATTCACCTATAAGTGACATCATAGAGGGTTTTGCAGTCATGTTAAGGCTTTTTGTCTTAAGAATTTCACTGGGCACTCTGGTACATGCCGATAATCTCAGCTACTTGGAAGTCTGAGGCAGGAGGATCACTTGAGCACAGCAGTTTGAGACCAGCCTAAGAAACATAGTGAAACTTCATCTAAAAAATAAATGAATAAAATAAGAGTTGGAAGGCTGTCACATGATCTTTTGAAAAAGTCTCTCCACCTGCAGCATGGGAATAACTTAGAAAAAGGATATTAAAGGCTGAAGTTCTTTTTTAGTTCCTCTTTCTCTATTGTGCCTTATCATACAGTTTCCTGTGAACATTGCTGTCATAATTTGGCCCAGGGTGATGACAGTTGAGACAAGAGAACTGCAGATTATTGAGGTATTTGAATATAAAGTTAGTTAACTAATATTTCTTGAAGTCCATTTAGGGCGTAATTTTGTCTCCAAGTAGCCAATAAACTTACTTGTCAGATACCTTGCCAATATTGGAACCCTAAAACACCTAAATATTTACTGCAAGTTATATGTATTCACTCTGCACATAGATTTTGACTAACTCCCTATAAAGAACAGCCTCTGAGTAGAAATAGACAGTGGTCAATATAATGAAATCTCAGTACTCAGCTCAATAACATCCATAATTGAAATAACGTATTTGAAGTACATTTGCTGGGATTGATAAGATCCTCCTTGAGGATACTCGGGAATGATCACCTTTTCATTCAGTAAATATTTTTTGTGTGTTTGCTCTATGCTACAAATTTCTGGGCAGAGGAGTTACAGCAGCAAACAAAACAGACCAGGTTCCTGCTCTCCTTCTGATTATATTCTAATGAGGAGGACAGAGGTAAACAAGGACGCAGATGTGAAATCAATGAGATAACTGCAAACAGTGAAAAGTGCTATTTTTAAAAAATAAAAGAAAGCCAGTTGTGGTGACAGGTACCTGTAGTCCCTGCTACTTGGGAGTCTGAGGCTGGAGGATTGCTTGAAATCAGAAGTTCAAGGCCAGGCTGGCCAACAAAGTGAGACCCCCACCCCCAATCCTTTTAAAAAATAAAAATTAAGTAAACAAATAAATAAATAAGAGCAATGGGATAGAGTTATTTCTGGCCTGCTCTAAATATAGTAATCAAGGAAGACTCTCTGAGGAAGTTATATTTGAAGTCAAATGTGAACAAAAGAAAAGAGCTGGTTATAGGAAGATTGGGCAGTTTAGGGCAGCAGGCAAGAGGGAGCGAGCCGCAAGTACACCAGCCAAGGGCAGAAAGGAAATAGCATTGCAAAGCACAGAAAGAAACCATGTGGCTAATGGGTCCGGAATAAGGGGAAAAGTCATGTGAGATGAAGTAGAAGAAATAGGGAAATAGGCCGGGCGCGGTGGCTCATGCGTGTAATCCCAGCACTTTGGGAGGCCGAGGCAGGCGGATCATGAGGTCAAGAGATCAAGACCATCCTGGCCAACATGGTGAAACCCTGTCTCTACTAAAAATACGAAACTTAGCTGGGTGTGGTCAGGCGTGCCTGTAGTCCCAGCTACTCGGGACGCTGAGGTAGGAGAATCGCTTGAAGCTGGGAGGCGGAGGTTGCAGTGAGCCGAGATTGCACCACTGCACTCCAGCCTGGGCGACAGAGGGAGATTCTGTCTCAAAAAATAAGAAAAAAAAAAAAAGATATTGAGCTGAGAGAAAAACAGTTGAGTTTGTTTTTTGTTGTTGTTTTCAATTGTATTTTCAAACACTTCTGCAGACTATGAAAAAGAAACCGGGGGTGGGGGCGGCGGGGGGTGGTAGCATCCGTGTGTGTGTGTGTGTGTGTGTGTGTGTGTGTGTGTGTGTATAAATGTATGTGTTACGGCTTACCCTGAATTCCAGGCAATGTCAATGTCAGCCACACACCAGATAATGTCTATTGTGTGTCCTGGAAGTCAGCAGTGCTATGTGTAGCTTTTTAATATCAACATCAATCCCTTCTTAAATATTCAAAATTTTTAAAAACATTTACATTTTAAGATAAATGATCTTTCCCACTCGTTGTACAATTTTGTGTATCATGTTAATATAAGGTATCTAACTAGATATAGCTAATTCTAAATTTTCACTGTAACATAGTTACTTCCCAATATAAAGGCCTACCTTACTATACAGAATAATTTGACTTGGGGTTTAAAAATATAAGAGAAGTCTATTTGGAGCTAGTGAATCACACGTTTTTCTTAAAACAATGTTGATAATTACAGATCTAATTTTTGTTTGTATTTGAGCTTACCTTGTTTCCCCAACTCAGTAAATGATGATTGGGCTCTCCTTCACTGCCACCCCTGTCTTCCCTGATGATTTGTTTAAATTTTCTTGTTTTCTTGCATGAACTCTGTTTCTACATACTGATCAGAGCACATTGTTGTCTTTTCAGTTGAATGACATTTGCTGACACCATGATTATACTCAAAAATGAATATGGCTGAAAAACTTGATATTCTGATGTATATAAGAATTCTACTCTGAAAAGATGAGGTCATTGCTTAATAAGTCAATTACTTGTACCTGACCTTGCGTTTTGGTTTAGTTGCCTGACCAAAAGAATGTCAAATCCATTTATATTGTGATTATACTAGTTGATTGTCAATGACTGTTATCTCTAAGGTGATGTATGTATAGTTTATTTTTGCAATGAAAGGCTTCACAGGTTTTGAAATAACTGGCAAAAAATAATAGCAAATCCTAAGTTTACTTCCATTTGTCTTGTTCAATTAAATGATTACCCCCTTTATGAAGATCTCAGGAAGTATTCTGAAGTTCAAGGTCTTCCCTGGGCCTGACACAAGGAAGCATCAGTTATGGCAGTGGTGCCCTAAAGCGGGTTCATACCAGCTTGCAAGAGCCAGACGTTACAGTTTCAGACATTTTGGAAGCCCATTATTACAAATTAAATTGTGTAACTTACAATTAGATAAATTATATCAAAAACAAAAGTTATAAACATTTAAAACTCATCATTTCCTAGTCATGTTTCTATCCATGCTCTTGAGGTTACATTCTACCATACCCGTATGGTGGAAATACTACATGCTGGTGTGATCACTGCACATCTCTGCCCAACTTTATGTACAGTGACAAATATGCCATGGTATGGGTACTGACATAGTATTGAAGCTGAAAGAGGCTTATTTAATAAAAATAACTTATATCACATAAAAGATATAATAATAGTAAGTTTGTTGGGAAAAGGGCAAACTGAGATGCAACTGAATGAATGATTGTCTGATCATGGTTGAACTGCTGGCTACAGATACAAGAGTTTGGCCAAGATGAACAAAAGAATTCCATGGGAGCCGGGCGCGGTGGCTCAAGCCTGTAATCCCAGCACTTTGGGAGGCCGAGGCGGGCGGATCACGAGGTCAGGAGATCGAGACCATCCTGGCTAACACGGTGAAACCCCGTCTCTACTAAAAATACAAAAAAAATTAGCCGGGTGCGGTGGCGGGCGCCTGTAGTACCAGCTATTCGGGAGGCTGAGGCAGGAGAATGGCGTGAACCCGGGAGGCGGAGCTTGCAGTGAGCCGAGATCGCGCCACTGCACTCCAGCCTGGGCAACAGAGCAAGACTCCGTCTCAAAAAAAAAAAAAAAAAGAATTCCATGGGAACCAATTCACTATATGGAATTTGCCATAAAGAATACTGTATATTTCATTGTTACTTATAGACTGTGTGCCACATATCTTTCGTATCAGCAAAATTTATAATAAACATATGGACATGTATATGCATACTTCCTCCCCTATAGTGTTTCTTACTCAACGTTGGACCAGACACCATTGGTTATGCAGGAAAGATGAAATTCAATAGGAAACAAACTTAAAAGCAGCTTTTCCAGAAAGTCATAAGGAAGAGCAATGTGAACATAATCTGTTAAAAATCAGTGTATGTTCATACAGATACCAATTTGATTTACCAGTATTGAAAAGAATTTTGTTTGCAAACTCCTCCAGTTTGAAAGAGAACCAGGACTTCAACCGAATGAAACTGCAGACATTTTTGTTCAGCCTAAATGATCATGACTATTGCGTAAGATTAGATAATATTATTTATTTTTAACTATGACTTATAAAAAGTGCTCTTTAAATCAAATGATTGTTATCAGGTCTAATTTATCTTAGTTTGGTATTTTCACCTTTAAATTCACCGAAAAGCCAAATGTGGTGGCTCACGCCTGTAATCCCAGCACTTTGGGAGGCTGAGGCGGGCGGATCACAAGGTCAGGAGATCGAGACCATCCTGACTAATACAGTGAAACCATGTTTCTACTAAAAATACAAAAAATTAGCCGGGCGTGCTGGCGGGCGCCTGTAGTCCCAGCCACTCGGGAGGCTGAGGCAGGAGAATGGCGTCCACCCAGGAGGCAGAGGTTGCAGTGAGCCGAGATCCAAGATCCGAGATTGCGCCACTGCACTCCAGCCTGGGTGACAGAGCGAGACTCTGTCTCAAAAAAAAAAAAAATTCACTGCAAAGGTGCATAAATATCAGTCAAGGGTACTGACTTGCTTCATGAACAACTTGACTTGCTCAGATAACCCGTTCACTCTCTGACTTGAGGGAGCTGAAATCTAAACCCATCAGACCAAGAAAAGGGCTCTGGCCCAACCACCCCAGAGAAGAAAGTTACCAGATCACACCATGGTTTTTAACCACCTGTTACATGTTTCAACAGAAACTCTGTCCTAACATGCATCAGATGATCTCTAGATACAGTATCAAAGAGGAAGTGCTGGTCCCTAGCATCCTATTGTGTGAACTTTTATTGATCCATAATCTGGTATAATTTATACACAGAAATAGTCACTCAGGCAGACTTGGCCTTTGTCCCATCCAAAAACATGTTTGATCCCATTTTTAGTGAAAAATTTCCCCAAATGGTTTTAGTGGGGGAAAAGAAGACATCCATGAGACCTAGTTAAGACTAAAAATTATTTTATTTTTGAAGTTGATATTTGTTTAGTTACGTTCTTGCAATGCCAGCAGAAAAAGAAAAATCCAAATCTGAAGCATGCGTGTGTTATGAGAAGCCTGGAAAAGGCGATTTGGGTCCATTATATAACTGCCACTTTTTGTTTTTATTCAAGGTGTCATAAAACTGAGTTCTGCAGTTGAAGGTATGTTTTTACAACCACAAAATCAATAATGTTTTGCTTAAAGGTTGCATAGCGTGGCTTGTAGCTAAAAAGCTTCTGTGGCAGTGGTGTTTGACGCCATGTGCGAATTGCCAGCTATTGCCATTGCATCTGTGTTTCTCCTTGTTCTGGTCATTTTATGCTGCAAAGCTCTCAGCCCTCCTCAAGTGGCATTTGCACTGACCTGAGAGGGCAGCACCAACATGTCTGTTTCTGTCTCCTGATGTGACTGCCTCGGAGCCGGTGCTCGTCAGCGAGCCTGGGCTCTTCTGTGGCCTTATTTGAGGCTGGACATAGTCTTGTCAGGAACCTTTGCCCTGGATCTTTCAGCAGAGCCTGGTCTAGAGCGTCCTTTATCCCAACAGAGCAGACATGTTTGCCCAGGAAGTATGTGAGCAAGAAGAGTCATTTAAGCTTCTTCCTGATGAGACAATGAGATGGTTAAGGCATTTGCCGGTCTCATTGCGGGTTCCTCCTGGGCAGTGTGACCCACCACTATGAGGCATAGTGAAGACCAAGTTCCTTTACTGTTGTCCGTGTCAGTGAGTGGCAGTTCCCTTCAGTCATACGTTCAAAAAGCCGAGAAGAAAAGGAAGAAGAATTTAAGGAAAGTACAAAAGAGACGTCCAAGCAAAGTGTTTTGCTGAGTAACCCCAAGAATATTAAAATGACTTCATTTTCTGAAATGATTTATTGGTATAAAATTGATCTCCTTAGCCCCATAGGAGTTTCACAAATCAAAAGTAGAGAATGTGTCATTTTCTTCTTTTGTGAGTTTCTGTGTTTGTTTTGGGGGGGTGTGTGTTCTCGTTTATTGGGAGTTTGTCGGCCATGCTTTGGAGGTTTCTTCATCCTCACTTAATCAGGGGAGGCTGCATGGAAGAGGTAGTGGGCTTTCGGGTGAGTTTTCAACTTAAAGGGAGATGTGGCTGGCTTGGTGAATGGGCAATGCATGGAGGTGGGGAGTGGGAAATTGCAGTGGGGGTTGGAGTGGTGAGGCCGTTCAGGGGGCTGGAGTTTCAAGGTTGGGAGGTGGGAGAGTAGTAGGTCAGTTATGTACCCATGGGACTGGCAAATCCAAAGTAAGGGTGCTTTATCCCTTTGGCGGATTTAGTACCATTACATTTTACAAAACCAAGTTGAAAAGGCAGTATTTGTGGCATTCGTGGCAGAAAGTATGATGCTACTCTAAACTCAGCAAAAGGTGCAGGCAGCGGTGTTTCAGAGTGGAGAGAAAAAGACCTTCTCACCTCGAGGAGAAAGTGCATGTTGCAGGCCTGTGGTAGGCCAAGCAGAAATTCAAGTTCGCTTTGCGCATCAAAGTGGAATTTTACTGAAGGACAATCCAAGTTCCTCCCTGCCTAAAACGATATAAGAGACACAGAAACAAAATCAAGCAGCACCATGAGAATGACCTTGGCTGCAGAAACTCCCAGTAGCAATTTGAGCACTGAGTTTCAGTTAATTATCTGTTGAATTACAGATAACAGTTGGTTCACTCTGGGCCGTTTTGATGTTTTATCAAGGAATGGCTTTGAAGTCATAGTTTTACATTGCCTGCTTGGTTTGAGTGCAGTATTCCACTTGCCAACAAAAGGATACAGTGACAAAATACAATTTTCATTTTAAAAGTCAGAAAGTCAAGAGAGCATTAAGTAATTTTAAAACTATTGTTTTGCTAGAGGTTATTAGTGGGTGTCATGGCTGGTCTACACCCCCAGGACAGGGTTTTGTTTTCTCCAGAAAGATGAGAGTTTGAGGGAAAACAAAGGCAGGAAGCAGAGTGACTGCTTGGGGCTAGTCCGGCAGCCTCTGGCCACCTTCCTCATCACTCAGCCTCCTCTGAGTCCCTGGGGCTCACAGGAAGTTCTCTGGAGTGGCTGCGGATACCAGAAGTCAGGCCCACTGCGACTGTTGCTTGAGCATCTTTTTGGGCAGCTTATTGTCTGAGGCTCGGGAGCATGCTGTGTTGTAACCGTGTTAGAATATATGTGTGCAGGGGCAATTTGGGAGTGCGGTTGTTGGGCTGGGGGGACGTGTGTTCCATGCATGCATTCTCAGTGCATCTGAAACGTGGAACTCTTACAAGCATGCTCAGTGGCACGTGTGTCGGACACTATCTCTTGATGAGAAATCAAACCTCAGATGGTCGGCCTTGCCACTGCTTAGCTAATTACCGTACTTGCAACTTTCCATCTGCAGAATGAATTCAAGGCAGCTTCGTGCAGCTTTTCATGTCAAAGAGTGTGCACATCAGTGGAAGAAATCCACTGTCAGAAATGAAACCGCTTTCCTTTTTTAAAAAAAAGAGACTCTGCTCTATATTATCCTAGAGCTCTGAAACTAGTATTAATATTTTAGGTAGATTCTCTTATTCTTTTCAAGGAAAAATAATTGTCAAAGTCCTAAGAGAAAAACAAACCAAGATTCCATTTGCCACTCCCTACCAAGTGTCTATGGCAGGCAGTTTTGTTTCTTCTTTTCTGGAGCAGGGGTGCCCTCTTCCGCACTGTGCAGCTTCATAGCAGCTTTTTAAATCAGCAAAAAGAAAAACCCATTTTGTGTCTCATGAATGCTAAGGTTAAAGGTGGAATGTCCTTTGAATTTAAACAGAAACACTCATCAATGCTTTGATTATTTTGCAATGAGGAAAAATAAGTGAATAGGGAAAAAGTTCAGTTTGAAAGAAATAATTGCAAAGTCTTATCGATAACACTGATGAATTCTCACCTCTGATTTTAGATTGATAATCCCAAACTCCGAGAAAATTGGGGTCAGAGAGAAACATCTAGACAGCAATTTGACGGAAGGGGGAAACAGTCGCACCAATGGCAGGGAAGGAAAAACCACTCACAGCAAGAATTCCACAAGAGTCTTCTAAATATTTCTCTGAATAAGGTCTTTTCTCTTGAAACTGGAGCAGGGAGATAGATGTTAGGTCTACATATTTTCACCAGTAGGGCCAAAACATTGGCCTTATCAAGGAGAAGTGGGAACACAGGTCATGGAAGAGCTGAGTCACCCCTGAGTCAGAATGACTCTGATATTCTATAGGCAGCTATTTATTTCCAGGGAAGGAGGGGCCACCCGAGCTGGAAACTCTTGGTCCAACCGAAGTGGTGTATTCAGACATGGGGAGTGGGAGTGTTCCAGCAGGCACAGGCCTGGAGGGACAAGATGAGCCAGCCGTGGTGGCAGGCTGATGCAAGTCTTTGCCAGTGATAAGCAGCATGTGTTCTGTGTTGAGACTTGTCTGCAAGGCGATTTGTTTATACCTCATAGGTGAGAATCTAAAACACCAAAAGGACATCACATTCTTTTGAAAGCCCGTATGAAAAAAATGAAGGTTGTCTTCTTTGGAAAAGTTCCACATTTCTAAATATAGGAACAGATGAGCCTCTCTGAAGAAATCAAATAAATGAGGGCTGGGTGCGGTGGTTCACACCTGTAATCCCAGCACTCTGGGAGGGCGAGGCAGGAAAATAGCTTGAGGCCAGGTATTCAAAGTTCAAGACGGCCGTGAGCCACAGAGCGAGTCCCCCTCATCTCTACAAAAAATATTTTGTAAAAGTTAGCTGGTTGTGGTGGCATACACCTGTAGTCCTAGCTACTTGGGAGTCTGAAGTGGCAGGACCAGTTGAGCTCAAGAGTTTGAGGCTACAGTGAGCTATGACTGCGCCACTGCACTCCAGCCTGGTCAACAGAGCGAGACCCTGTCTCTAAAATAAAAACTTTTTAAGGAAATTCTGTTGTTCATAGTATGACAAGCCAGGTGTCCAAAAACACCCCAAAGGGATTTAATGTATTAAAAATATTCCTAATGTATTGATGTCATTCCCTCTGTAGGTGAACTCTGCCTTTGTCATTGTGTCTTTCTTTCTTTTCTTTTTTTTTTTTTTTTTGATACAGAGTCTCGCTCTGTCGCCCAGGCTGGAGTGCAGTGTTGTGATCTCGGCTCACAGCAACCTCCACCTCCCAGGTTCAAGCAATTCTCGTGCCTCAGCCCCCTGAGTAGCTGGAACTACAGGCGCGCGCCACCACGCCCGGCTAACTTTTGCTTTTTGTTTTTTGTTGTTGTTGTTGTTGTTGTTGTGTTTGAGACAGTCTTGCTCTGTCTCCCAGGCTGGAGCGCAGTGGCGTGATCTCGGCTCGCTGCAACCTCCGCCTCCTGGGCTCAAGTGATTCTCCTGCCTCAGCCTCCCGAGTAGCTGGGATTACAGGTGCCCGCCACCACGCCCGGCTATTTTGTATTTATAGTAGAGACAGGGTTTCACCATGTTAGCCAGGCTGGTCTCGAACTCCTGACCTCAAGAGATCCACCCACCTCGGCCTCCCAAAGTGCTGGGATTACAGGCGTGAGCCACTGCACTCGGCCTCCCAAAGTGCTGGGATTACAGGCGTGAACCACTGCACCCGGCTTAATTTTTGTATTTTTAGTGGAGACGGGGGTTCGCCTTGTTGGCCAGGCTGGTCTCAAACTCCTGGCCTCAAGTGATCTGACCGCCTTGGCCTCCCAAAGTGCTGGAATTACAGGCATGAGCCACCTTGCCCAGCTGAATCTTTCTATTTTTAGAGCAAAGCCATGTGCTCAGCGTGTCAAGGTAGACTGTGGTAAATCCTTTAATAAACAGATGCTGATGGATTTACCACCAGTAGTAAACTGAGAATGAAGTTTCAACTTTTTGTTTGTTTGTTTGTTTTTGTTTTTTAGGCAGAGTCTTGCTCTATCGCCAGGCTAGAGTGCAGCGGCACATTGTCGGCTCCCTGCAACCTCCACCTCCTGGGTTCAAGCGATTCTCCTGCCTCAGCCTCCCAAGTAGCCGGGATTACAGGCGCCTGCCACCATGCCCAGCTAATTTTTGTATTTTTAGTAGAGAGGGGGTTTCACCATGTTGGCCAGGATGGTCTCGATCTCCTGACCTCATGATCCGCCCACCTCAGCCTCCCAAAGTGCTGGGATTCCAGGCGTGAGCCACCGTGCCCAGCCAACTTTGTTTTTTTGAGACAGAGTCTGGCTCTGTCGCCAGGCTGGAGTGCAGTGGTGTGATCTCGGCTCACTGCAACATCCAACTCCCTGGTTCAAGCAATTGTCCTGCCTCAGCCTCCCGAATAGCTGGGATTCCAGGCACGCATGACCACACCCAGCTAATTTTTGTATTTTAATAGAGACAGGGTTTCACCATGTTGGCCAGGATGGTCTCCAACTCCTGACCTCATGATCCGCCCACCTTGGCCTCCCAAAGTGCTGGGATTACAGGCGTGAGCAGCCATGCCTGGCCAGTTTCAACATTTTTACTACCGGAAATCAAAATGTTAGTCAGATAACTGACAGAGATAGGATAGAGCTATCTCCCAGAAGGAGTTCCTTCCTTCCTTCCACCAGCGTGGTAGGTGGCAGTGTGTCAGGAATACTAAATGGAATATTATAGAAACTGAGAACAAAACTCAAGAAACTTGTTTCTGCAAAGAAACCCAGACATCCTGTTTATAAAAATGACGTGGAGGCTGGAGCACCACACTAAACAAACGAATGTTCTCTTCTCAGATGTATCTTTACTTGTCATTATACTTTTGGCTAAACGTTTCTTTTTTCTTTCTTTCTTTTGTAGAGACAGGGTCTCTCTATGTTGCCCAGGGTAGTGTTGAACTGCTGGCCTCAAGCTGTCCTCCTGCCTTAGCCTCTGCATCCAGCCAAAATATTCCTATGAAATATAAATGTTTCAACCAGGCACGGTGACTCACAACTGTAATCCCAGCACTTTGGGAGGCTGAAGCAGGAGCATCACTTGAGGTCAGGAGTTCAAGATCAGCATGGCCAACATGGTGAAACTCTGTCTCTACTAAAAATACAAAAAATTAGCCAGGCATGATGGCAGGTGCCTGTAGTCCCAGCTACTCAGGAGGATGAGCGGGAGAATCGCTTGAATCCAGGAGGTGGAGGTTGCGGTGAGCCGAGATTGTGCAACTGCATTCCAGCCTGGGTGACAGAGCAAGATCCTGTTTCCAAAAAAAATAAAAAAACAAAAAACAGTAATGTCTCTGGGAGCATTGAGAGTTTCCCAAATAGCTTCCTAAGACGAGGACCCTCCTGAAATGGCAGAGGTGGAGCCACGTGACCCAGAAACTGGAAGATGTGTGGAAAGAAATTTCCAAGGGTTAGCCATTTGTCATCTTGTGATTACCCTCACCTCAGATAAAGTTGACCTCAAATGACCAACCATTGACCTCATCTCAGAGCTCTCTCACATTTATCTTTTTACTTTTTTTTTTAAGTTTATCTTTTCCCCTCTTTGTTTCCCTCTCCCTCCTCCTCTTTTCCAACTGCCCTTTTCTATTTCTGCACAGTGTAGAAGAAAGTTTAAGGGGGACCCTAGGCAACAGAAAGCCAACCAGTGGCTGGAAGGGTCTGGCAAGGAGCCGCTATTTGCCTCAGTGTCCTAGCCAATAAAATAAAGACTTCTCTTGGGGCAGTTGCAGAGACTAAACTAGATGCTAGAGAGAAAGCCTTAACACAGTGTACGGAAGGCAGTAGGTGCTCTCCTTCCCGCTTTCCTCTTTCCAGTGTCTAATGATCATTTCTACTAGAATCATGGTGTAGCACACTGCTGAGAGTTTCATTTTCGGCAAAGCCACAAACAGAGCCAGTTTATAAATCCTTGCTTCTCCCCTTTGAGAGTCCTTAGAGGGAAGCGACTCCTCGTGTTGGATAGAGCTCTCTGATCACCTTTCTGGGACCTGTGGCATCTGCCAGGGGCAAGTCACAGCCCCAGTTTGGAGTGTTCGATTCAGATGAGATTGTCCCCCAGTCTGTTTTTTGAGTCCTGGAAGGTGGGGAGGAGAGGAAAGGTTTTCAGGCAACAAACAAGTGCTGACTGAAGACTGATTTCATCAATATTAATTGTGTTTTATTACAAAAGAGTTTATACTGGCACAGTGTTCCTGAGCAAGCCATTTGTCACCACTCATCAACGATATGAAAGTTTTTGAATAAGGAGAACCAAAGTAAATACAACCACAGCTATCCAGAGAGGAACTTTTCATAAATCTTTGAACTGTATAGCCAAAAACTAATCAAATCTGTGCTGAATAAGCGGCCTTGAGCACTTAACAACAAATTAGCATAACCCAGAAGACAGTGTGCATCCCAAGCACCATAACCTACCCTTCACCCTCCTCCCTGGGGCAGGAAGTAGGCATTTACAAATCAAAGGCAAGCTGCAAACGATAATCTGCCACTTGTCACTGATTTATTTTCCCTCTTTTCTTTTTGTTTTTCAAGAGTATAAGTTTCAATGTCTGTGTATTTGTTTTTGTTATTTTGGCAGTCTAGTGAAAGTTTTCAATGTAAACAAAACTCTTACTCTTAAAGAACAAGCAACTCTATTACATTGCATAAGAAGGCAGTTCTTAAAGACAATGGTCTAATTAGCAGTCTTTGAAGCCAATTCAATAGTAATATCAAAGCCACTTCTAGTATTTCAAGCCCGAATTTAGAAAATGGCCTTGATATTTTCAGTCTAAAACTATAGTCTGACCTTACTATTAATTTTGGAACACACCATAATGTAGACAACTGCTGAAATCACTTGATGTTATGAACCCGGAAATCACACCCTCTTAAACGATACATCACACCCATTAAAATTAACTGTAAAATCCATTTTGTATTGATTTT
Source organism: Homo sapiens (assembly GCF_000001405.40). Classification (NCBI taxonomy): domain Eukaryota; kingdom Metazoa; phylum Chordata; class Mammalia; order Primates; family Hominidae; genus Homo; species Homo sapiens. Next base: position 3,648,390 of record NC_000018.10, on the reverse strand, counting down.
GTTTGAATTTGGTATTCAACTAAGATGCTTTACATGCGTAAATATTGCCACAGCTGTATATACAACGGTTTTGTTGAATCCATTGATGCTTTAAGTTGAAAGAGCATACGTTATGGGTTTTGTTTGGTTTCACTGAGAAGAAGGCCAAAGGATTTTTCTAGCAATGTTTCAACAAAATGCAAAATTAGATGCCAGTCCAGAAGCCTTAAGGATGTGAAATGTTTTGAAAATACAGATTTTCAGCTATTTCCTAGCTTTAACCGACATGTGTGCTTAAGTGAAGGCAGAAGGAAACCTGGTACACTTCTGCTGAGTACAGTGTTTCTTAAACATGCACCTGTTAAGAGATAGAGAAGCAAATTTAATTTCCTTTTTAGCCTTCTATATCCCATTGTTGATTTTATACATGCCCTCCTTAAATATGAACTCCTAAAATTGTGTTTGGAACACATATTGGAAGAAAGTATAGAACAGTATATAGGACAGTCCTAGGTTCAAACTTCGTAGCCATAACTTCCTGGCTGTGTTGTAATCTGGAGCAAGTTACTCCGTCTGTACCACACTTTCCTCATCTGTAAAATGGGGTAATGCTACTTAGCACTCCAGTTGATTAAGAAGCTTAAATAGACCGGGCGTGGTGGCTCACACCTGTAATCCCAGCACTTTGAGAGGCCAAGGAGGGCCATCACCTGAGGTCAGGAGTTTGAGACCAGCCTGGTCAACATGGTGAAACCCCATCTCTACTAAAAATACAAAAATTAGCCAGGCGTGGTGGCACACACCTGTAGTCCCAGGTACTCGGGAGGCTAAGGCAGGAGAATCGCTTGAACCCCAGAAGCGGAGGTTGCAGTGAGCCAAGATCGTGCCATTACACTTCAGCCTGGGTGACAGAGCAAGTCTCGGTTTAAAAAAAAAAAAAAGGAGCTTAAATAAAATCAGATAATGTTGAAGTACCTAGTAAACTGTTTAGCATGTAGGCATTCAATATATTTTAGATATTTATTTATAGTTTTGTTATCGTTTTTGTTTTTATGGGCTCAAAAATTAAATTATAAAAAATTCATATGCTGCTACTTTTGCTTGATGTTATTATATATATAGACATGTATATTTTTATTTATTTATTTATTTATTTTGAGATGGATTTTCACTCTTGTTGCCCAGGCTGGAGTGCAATGGCACAATCTCAGCTCACTCCAACCTGCGCCTCCCAGGTTCAAGCGATTCTCCTGACTCAGCCTCCCTAGTAGCTGGGATTACCGCCATAAGCCACCATACCTATGCCTGGCTAATTTTTTGTATTTAGTAGAAACAGGGTTTCACCGTGTTGGTCAGGCTGGTCTGGAACTCCTGACCTCAGATGATCCACCCACCTCAGCCTCTCAAAGTGCTGAGATTACAGGCGTGAGCCACCGCACCCGGTGATGTTACAATAGATATATTTTATTTATTTATTTATTTATTTTGAGATGGAGTCTCGCCCTGTTGCCCAGGCTGAAGTGCAGTAGTTCGATCTTGGCTCACTGCAAGCTCCGCCTCCCGGGTTCAAGCCATTCTCCTGCTTCAGCCTCCCGAGTAGCTGGGACTACAGGCGCCCACCACCACGCCCGGCTAATTTTTTGTATTTTTTAGTAGAGACGAGGTTTCACCGTGTTAGCCAGGATGGTCTCAATCTCCTGACCTCGTGATCTGCCCGCCTCGGCCTCCCACAGTGCTGGGATTACAGGCATGAGCCACCGTGCCCGGCTGTTACAATATTTTTTAAAGAGCAATGATCATGTGTCTAAATAACATGAATTTGTTTTTTACTAAATTAAATATTATTTTATTACATGTAATCTAATGGCAATCTAACTAATGAGCTTGATGCAATCAAAACCACTCAAGAAAAATGATTAGAATTCTCTACACAACTGTTTCCTTTTCTTTATCTGATTATGGTTTTGGTTTAAGTATGGAGGGTTTTATTTGTTTTCTTTTCCTATCTTTTTCTTTTTCTTTTTTTGGAAACAGGATCTTGCCCAGGCTAGAGCGCAGTGATACAATCTCAGCTCACTGTAGCCTTGACCTCCTGGGCTTAAGTGATCCTCCATCTCAGCCTCCCGAGTAGCTGGGATCACAGGTGTGTGCCATCACGCTCGGCTAACTTTTTATTTTTGTAGAGATGAGGTCTCATTATATTGCCCAGGCTGGTCTCAAACTCCTGGGTTCAAGCTATCTTCCAGCCTTAGCCTCCTAAACTGCTGGGATTACAGGCATGAGCCACCACACCTGGCCTCCTTTTTTAAAAATATTGTTTTGGAGTAGCATTAGTTGAGTGAATACTCATCACATTAAAAATAAGACGTTTGAAAACTACCACCGTCAAATGATTTAGGGCATACCAGTCTCATATAGAGTATTTGTAAGGCACGATGATGTAAAGGATTCAGGCTGCTGAGGTCTGTGGCAGGAAGCACAGAAAGACTGTTTCCAAACATGACATATTATACTCTATTGCTTCATGCTTATTAATCTGTTTATGACAAAACTCATGAATAAAGTTAATAAATGCCCTTACTACTATTTCATGCCCTATCCCAGGCCATGGGGACAGAAAGATGGAAAGATGAGCCAGACATGGTTCTTCTATCTAGAGAAGGCAGCATACGTGTGAACAGGCCATTATGACTTAATATAATGAATGCAATGGCAGGAATATATAAAAGGAATTATGTGAACATAGAAGTCAGCCTAGGAACTCTGCCTGGGTAGATCAGAAGGATGCCCCAGTGCACATGTCTAGGTTTTGCAAGCTATGCAGAGGCAAACAGGAAGGGGAGGGCTCATTGAGGGAGACCTAAGCCTGCACACAGACAGAAGGATGAAAAACGCCTAGCCCTCCAGGAGTCAGATGTGACTGCAGCTCCATGCCCACAAGGGAAAACATCCAGGCATGAAGTTGGGAATGCTGGTTGGAAATACATTTTCAAAGTTCCTACAGGCAATACATAGCCAGAAAAGGATGTTATTTATTTATTTATTTTCATTTTCTGTATTAAAAAAATATATATATATTCACATAGCTCAACAATTGAAATATGGCAGCCTGGACCACATGTGAAACCCTGTCTCTACAAGAAATACAAAAATTAGCCAGGTGTGGTGGTATGCACCTGTAGTCCCAGCTACTCGGGAGGCTCAGGTGATCCTCTCACCTGGGAAGTCGAGGCTGCAGTGAGCTGTGATTCCTCCACTGCACTCCAGCCTGGGCTATAGAGTGAGACCCTGTCTCAAAAAAGAAAAACAAAAAAATTAAAATACGAGGGAAAAATGCATTGACTCAATACACAGTTCCCATTCCCCTTAACAGGTAACCTACCATGACCAATTTTCTTTTTTCTACATAGATGTATGCTTTTTGCATATTTAAACATTATGAGTATGTGTTTTCCCCTTTTTTACCCAAAGGATAGTACACTATGTACACTATTGTACAGCTTGCTTTTTTCACTTAACAATATGTCTTAGTAATATTTCCATATTTCCATAGAGAACTTTCTAGTTATGTTTTGCAGCTACATAGTATTCTACTATATGGATATATTACAATTTACATAACCAGTTTCTTCTTTGCCACACATTTAATTAGTCCCAATATTTAGCTTTCTCATACAGTGCTTTAATAAATAAATAATAGGCTGGCCGCAGTGGCTCACGCCTGTAATCCCAGCACTTTGGGAGGCCGAGGCGGGTGGATCATCTGAGGTCAGGAGTTCGAGACCAGCCTGGCCGACATGGTGCAACCTCATCTCTACTAAATATATAAAAAAATTAGCCGGGAATGGTGGTGAGCGCCTGTAATCCCAGCTATTCAGGAGGCTGAGGCAGGAGAATCACTTGAACCCGGGAGGCGGAGGTTGCAGTGAGCCAAGATCGCGCCATTACACTCCAGCCTGGGCAACAAGAGCAAAACTCCATCTCAATAAATAAATAAATAAATAAATAAAATAAAATAGTATTGTAAACATATAATTTTGTCCTAATATGTCTTCAGGATAAATCCCTGAAGTGGAGTTACGAGGTCAAAGATTGTATTAATGAGGTTACGTTTTGCTACAATAACAAACAACTCTCAAATCTGTCAATAAACATACCAAAAATATTCCAACCCCTAGTACATGTCCTGTGATGTTCGTTTTGCAGGAGATTCCTGCTCCACACAGTCTCTCAGAGACCCAGGCTTGGGTCTTGTGCCTGCACCATCTGGAACCCACAGCCTTCACAGTCATTGCCGCAGGGGAGAGACAACCTTGAACCAAAAGTGACAAACATTATTTCCACTTATATTTTATTGGCTAGAACTAGTCACATGGCCCTGCCAAACTTCAGGAAGGCCAAGAAGTACAGTTTTTGTGTGTGTTTCTGGTAGGAGAAGAGAGTACAATATGGGTGAGCACTAATTATATCTATCAGAAAGCATGCATGCTTTTTTCATTGGCAAAAGTCTGCCAAATTACCCTCCGTAGGCTTTCCCAGTGGACACCACTAGGAGTGCCACCAGCACTGTTGAAAGCGCCTGTTTCTCCACAGTTTCATCAACGTACTCTTTCATCAAACTTTTGGGTTTTCCATTTGTAATACTCTTATTATGAGCAATGTTGAACCTATATTTGAGTCATTTGTATTTCCTTTTCAATGAACTGTCATGTCATATCCTTCAGCATTTTTTTTTTTTTTTTTTTTTTTGAGATGGAGTCTCGCTCTGTCACCCAGGCTGGAGTGCAGTGGCGCGATCTCAGCTCACTGCAACCTCTGCCTCCCGGGTTCACGCCATTCTCCTGCCTCAGCCTCCCAAGTAGCTGGAACTACAGGCGCCTGCCACCACGCCCGGCTAATTTTTTGTATTTTTAGTAGAGACGAGGTTTCACCGTGTTAGCCAGGATGGTCTCGATCTCCTGACCTCGTGATCCGCCCGTCTCTGCCTCCCAAAGTGCTAGGATTATAGGCGTGAGCCACTGCACCTGGCCTCCTTCAGCATTTTTTAGATGACTGTTAGTCTTTTTCTTACTGAGTTGTTGGAGTTATATATTAGAGAGAATACCCCTTTGGTTTTGATTTACTTTTTCTTTCTCTCTTTCTTTCTTTCCTTTCTTCTTTCTTCTTTCTTTCTTTTTCTTTCATCTGTCCTCCCGTTTCTACGTATACAAAAGGTGGCATATTATACACTCTCTTTGCTTTTCAAAATTCTGTAGTATATTCTGGAAATCATTCATTTTATTAAAATCTTCTTCCTTCTTTGCTAGGGTTGCATGGTAGTCTATTGGGTGATTGTACCATAATTCACTCACACAATCTTCTATGGATGTGCAGTTTATTTCCAATATTTTGCTATAGCAAATAATGCCACAATGAATAACTTGAGTCTAGTTGTTTCATATGTGGGGAGGCATATCTTCAGATAAACTCCTAGAGGTTGAATTGTTGGGTGAAAGTGTCGAAGAGTAGCTGGTTTGACTAGACATTGCCATATCCCCCTCCCAAGGGGCTGTACCTTTTGTACTCCCACCAGCAGTATATTAAAATGCTTAGCTCTGGGGTGTGCTTTTTAAGTTCTGGACAAAGAATGTATCTTATCAAGAAGATATGAAGGCTTATGATACAAAGAGCTAACATTTGTTGAGCACTTTATAATACGTTCATAATTATAGTAAGCAAAGGCAAGGCGTATGTTATCTCATTAATACTTCACAGTAACTCAGTAGCCACTCTTATTATCCCTTGATTTGTAGAGGAGAAAACCAAAAAAGGCATGGAAAAGGTACTAGCTTAAGGTCATAAAGTTTCAAATGCAGGACTGAGTGAGTAATAATTGAATCCTTGAAGTCATCCACAGTAATACCCTCCTTTTCAGTATACCTATCTCCAGATAGGGCTAAAAGCAGTTTAAACTATCTGAGGGAGATGGTGCATAGTGAAATCTCACATTTACATATGCCAGGTAAGCATCCCAAATTCAAACATCTGAAATCGAAAATGCTCCAAAATCTGAAACTTTTTGAGCACTGAAATGATGCCCAAAGGAAGTATTCACTGGATCATTTTGGATTTTGGATTTTCAGATTTGGGATGCTCAACGAGTAAGAATAATGCAAAGATTCCAATCCAATTCAAAAAGATCTGAAATCCAAAACAGTCTGGTCTCAAGCATTTTGGATAAGGGATAGTCAACCTGCAGTACCAATGCTTCCAGGCACAATCTAATGAGATGGGGTGAGGGAGTAGCGGAGGAGTGTTTGTGGATAATGACAATGGACTTCAGGTAAATGAACATAATTTAGCACGTGTGTCCACAGTGACAGGCACTGGTCTATGAAACACTGTTTAAGAAGGGGACCCAGGTGTTAGTGGAGACAGATCCCTGAAGACAGAACAGAAGCAGCACTGTCCCACAGAGACCGGTTAGAGATTTAGCGTCCAAAGGCATTTAACTAAATTTTTATTAGTTTTCATGTTGCAGTTTTCTGTTCATGGTTTAGAGCCAGTGACTCTTTTTTCAAGACTCAAACATTTGTATCCTCTTGAAAGGCTCATAAGCCTAGGCCCAGCATCTATAGTACATATGAGACAACCACCTGTTCTATGCCCTTACAGGACTGCTATGTGGCTAAGTGAGATGATGAGGTGAAAGGACTTTCAAACTGTAGAGTGAAATATAAGTATTTGTTATGAATTTATTACAGAAAAACCAATCTACTATTGTTGCCATAGAGGACAGTATTATATACTGTGTGTGTCTGTGTGTGTGTGTGTGTGTGTGTGTGTATATATATATGTGTACATTGTCTTATGTTCTTTTTTTTTTTTTTTTTTTGAGACGGAGTTTTGCTCCTGCTGCCCAGGCTGGAGTGCAATGGTGCCATCTCAGCTCACCGCAACCTCCTCCTCCCGGGTTCAAGCGATTCTCCTGCCTCAGCCTCCCGAGTAGCTGGGATTACAGGTGCCCGCCACCACACCCAGCTAATTTTTGTATTTTTAGTAGAGACGGGATTTCCTCATGTTGGTCAGGCTCCCAGCCTCAGGTGATCCGCCTGCCTTGGCCTCCCAAATTTCTGGGATTACAGGCATGAGCCAGTGCGCCCGGCCTCTTGTCTTATTTTCAATGGAATGACTGCCCTGAGAATCCTTCATAATATACATTAATTAATAATTATGTATTAATATATGATATATAATACTAGTTATATGTAATTAAGTAATAAATGTTCATACACACATATAGTATTACATATAATACATTGTCTTACTTGTATGGAATACTAGTGTACTCTTGTTTGCTGTGCCTCATGAAGAAAATGTTTTGTACAGTGTAGTTGTTAAGAATTTAGTTCTAGATTCTGACTGCTTGGTTTGAATCCTGGCCTTCCTGCTTAGTAGCCATATGACTGTGGGCAAATAAACTGACTTCTCTGTGCCTCTCTTTCCTCATTAAAAATTTGAATGACAATAATAGTAAGGATTAAATTGTATAATACATAATAAGGTCTTAGGACAATGTATGGCACATTGTGTGCACTCAATAAATGGTGATAGTACTTGTAATAGTAACAGTAGTCATATTGGCGGAGAAAGGAGATTGAGAATGATTCTGGACATAAGCAGACATAAGGTTTGCTGTAAAGCACAGGAAACTGCCGGGTTGCTCCGCTTTTGGCATTGGTCATCACGTCTTTGGCCCTCAGCTAGGAAACATCTTTCATTTGCAAGCATGGTATAGGAAGAGCACAGGATCAGATTAGATGACCCCAGGGTCCTGAGTGCAGCAGTGGGACACTGGGGAACCACCCCTGGGGCCTGACCTGCCGGTGTCTCCACGTGCTTGGTTTCTCCTCAGTTTGGGAGCTTTGTTGGTTTCCATCACTTGTTCAACCAAGAATTCATTTCCGACCTGAGCTGAGAGCGCCCGCTGTCTGTCTCGCTGTGTAGCAGGTCCTGACTTTCCTGGTTGCTTTGAAGTGCTTTCGAAGATGGTATACTATTATTGCATGTTGGAAACAATTCTGGCTTTGCTCCTAAGAGTGTGCCATTCTCTGTTGCTTGGGCTATAGATCAAGGACTTCAGCACGTAGTCTGGAGTGAGAAGAGAACAGGACAACATAGTACTTAGCCCACAGCAGTCCTTAAGTAGGACTTTTATGTCAAGTTACCCCTGTATTTATTTATATCTATTTTTTAAATAAATATTTATTAAGCATCTATCACAGGGAAGACACTACTATCCTACGAGCTGTGAGGGATACGGAAAAAAAATAATGTACCCTATCTCACTAGGCTAATTAATTTAAAAGGCAACTCTGGGGCCGGGTGCCGTGGCTCACGCCTGTAATCCCAGCACTTTGGGAGGCCGAGGCAGGCGGATTACGAGGTCAGGAGATCGAGACCATCCTGGCTAACACGGTGAAACCCTGTCTCTACTAAAAATACAAAAAATTAGCCGGGTGTGGTGGCGGGCGCCTGTAGTCCCAGCTGCTCCGAAGGCTGAGGCAGGAGAATGGCGTGAACCCAGGAGGCGGAGCTTGCAGTGAGCCGAGATCGCGCCACTGCACTCCAGCCTGGGCGACAGAGCAAGACTCTGTCTCAAAAAAAAAAAAAAAAAGGCAACTCTGCAGGTAGCAGGAGAACAATTATGTCCAATGGTGTATTATGTTCACCAGACTGTTACTTCATCATCATCTGCATCAGAGATTTCAGAGGCTTTTTGCCTGAGTCACTGATATGCCAAGCTGGCCCTTCAGAAACCTCATCTGTAATCAGATTTTAAGCCAATGGGCTGTGATTCCTTTTAAGCCAATGGGCTGTGATTCCCATACAAAATTCTAGCCCCGTGACCGCCAATGCCCTGTGCTATCTCCACAAAGCATCAGTTCGTGCTCTTCCTGTGCTTCTGTGCAGGCTCCTCTGGACGCTGCTAATAGCACCCAGGTCATGGTTCACAGCTTTGGGGATTTTTCTTTTCTTTTCTTTTCTTTTCTTTTCTTTTCTTTTCTTTTCTCTTTTTGAGATGGAGTCTCGCTGTTGCCCAGGCTGGAGTGCAGTGGCATGATTTTGACTCACTGAAACCTCCATCTCCAGGGTTCAAGCCATTCTCCAGCCTCAGCCTCCCGAGTAGCTGGGACTACAGGCACCCACCACCACGCCTGGCTAACTTTTGTATTTTTAGTACAGACGGGGTTTCACCATGTTGGCCAGGCTGGTCTCAAACTCCTGACCTCAAATGATCCACCTGCCTTGGCCTCCCAAAGTGCTGGGATTACAGGCGTGAGCCACTGTGCCTGGCCAGATTTTTCCTTTCAAAACCGACGAGGGTAAAAAGCTATCTTAGGAAACTGAAGGCACAGTGTAGCATTAGTTTTGGAGTTCTTGTGGATTTATCACTAAGTGTGGTTAGATAAAGTAGATGAAAGGAAATGAGATTTATACAACGATTGCAACCTTATCTAATATCCACTTTGATGCCATAAGCCAATGTGACCATTTTAGGATCTTATTGGACTTTGTTATAATCAGACTCATTTAGGGTTGTTCTCTTGATAATGTAGGAATCAAATACTAATGGTATCAAGTACTGATGATATTGAATGTTTGCCTGATGTTAAAAACAGAAAGCACATAATGCCTCAAGAATTTGATATTATTCTTAAAATTTTCACACTTTTAAAAATGTAAGATTAACAGAATAGTCACTGTGATCTTTATAAAGTATAAATATCTCATTAAGATGTCATCCAAGGCAGTAAGATATACATTAATGTGACTGAGGGAAGAAAAACAAAATATAAAATCACAAGATGGGGGGAGAAAAGACAGCCATGTTGGCTCACACCTGTAATCCCAACAGTTTGGGAGGCTGAGGTGGGAGGATCACTTGAGGCCAGGAGTTCAAGAACAGACTGGGCAATATCATAAGACCCTATCTTTACAAAACAACTTTTAAAAACTAGCCAGGCATGGCGGTACAAGTCCATAGTCCTAGACACTCAGGAGGCTGAGGCAGGAGGATCACTTGAGCTCAGGAGGTCAAGGCTACAGTGAGCTATGATTGCACCACTGCACTCCAGCCTAGGCAACAGAGTGAAACACTGCCTCAAAAAAAAAAAAAAAAAAGGGCCGGGCACGGTGGCTCACGCCTGTAATCCCAGCACTTTGGGAGGCCTAGGTGGGCGGATCATGAGGTCAGGAGATCAAGACCATCCTGGCTAACACGGTGAAACCCTGTCTCTACTAAAAAATACAAAAAATTAGCCTGGCGGGGTGGCGGGCGCCTGTACTCCCAGCTACCCGGGAGGCTGAGGCAGGAGAATGGCGGGAACCCGGGAGGCGGAGCTTGCAGTGAGCCAAGATCATGCCACTGCATTCCAGCCTGGGCAACAGAGCCAGACTCCGTCTCAAAAAAAAAAAAAAAAAAAAGCTACCTAGCACAAAAACCTACAATAGTGATAATGCAACAAACCATAGAGTTATGAATTGAAAATACATTAGGTGCCAAAGAAACGTAAGTCAGGCATTAGTCTTTCTAATATATTTGGAATTGGATAAGTTTTAACAAAACTCTGTGTATTATATTGATATAATATTTAAATAACTAGAATTTTTTTTTTAATTTTTGAGACAGTATCTCACTTTGTTGCCTAAGCTGGATTGCAGTGGCACAATCATGGCTCATTGAAGCCTCGACCTCCCAGGCTCAATCAATCTTCTCACCTTGGTGTCTTGAGTAGCTGGGACTATAGGTGCATGCCACCATGCCCGGCTAATTTTTTTTTTTTTTTTTTTTTTTGGTGGGGGAGACAGGGTTTTGCCATGTTGCCCAGGCTGGTCTTGAACTCCTGGGCTCAGGCAATCCTCCCACCTCAGCCTCCCAAAGTCCTGGGATTACAGTTGTGAGGCACTGCGCCTGGCCTAGAAAAACATTTTTAAAAGAGCAAAATCGTAGATATAGGAAAGTGCTACCAGGAGCGAAGTGTGTCTCCTTTACCAAATAAACTAAACGTGTTTCTAGAAGGCAAACAAGAGGAGAGCCTCAGATGGAGACTTTTCTAGGGATTTGCACGTATCATTTTATATTACCAGATTGTGGGTCTTAAAATTAGGAAGAAATGAAATTCCTTGATCAGCCTTTGCCCCTTTCTTGCTCACTCACTATCCCTGCAAATATCCATAAACATACACTGCAAAATTTTACAACAATCAAAAGGATGGGGTATCACTGTTGCCTATTGGATAATCAGGGACATCCAGGGGTTCATTTTGTGATAGTTCAGTTTTGTTCTTAGGAAAAGATTGAGTTTCCTTAGAAAGACATATGAACTCATTTAAGACATGTAAAAGTGGCCGGGCGCAGTGGCTAACGCCTGTAATCCCAGCATTTTGGGATGCCGAGGCGGGTGGATCATGAGGTCAGGAGATCGAGACCATCCTGGCCAACATGGTGAAACTCCGTCTCTATTGAAAATACAAAAATTAGCCAGGTGTGGTGGTGTGCACCTGTAGTCCCAGCTGCTTGAGAGGCTGAGGCAGGGGAATCACTTGAACCTGGGAGGCGGATGTTGCAGTGAGCGGAGATCACTCCTCTGCACTCCAGCCTGTCAAGAGAGCAAGATCCCATCTCAAAAAAAAAAAAAAAAAGATGTAAAAGTGGCCGAGCATGGTGGCTTATGCCTGTAATCCCAACACTTTGGGAGGCCGAGGCGGGTGAATCACTTGAGATCAGGAGTTTGAGACCAGCCTGGCCAACATAGAGTAATCCCATCTCTACTAAAAAAAAATACAAAATTTAGCCATGCATTGTGGCGTGCGTCTGTAGTCCCAGCTCCTCGGGAGGCTGAAGCAGGAGAATCACTTGAACCCGGGAGGTGGAGGTTACAGTGAGTCGAGATAGTGCCACTGCACTCCAGCCTAGAAGATAGCGAGACTCCGTCTCAAAAAACAAACCAACAAAAATTATATACAAAAGTATAATTGAAAACAAATTCTATTGAACTGGGCACTCTATAGGGTCTGGACTCAGAAATAGTGAGGACATGGGTTCTTATCTCTTGGGGAGACAGAAATCTATAATTAGTTAATGAAAGGTGTAAAAGACAGCCTTTAAAGGCTAAGAGAGCATGAGGACAAAGCAGATAACCTAGGAAGGCTTCACAGGAGAGGTGACAGCACACCTGAAGGATGATAGGAGTTGGCCAGGTAAAGAAAGGGAGAGTGGAAACTCCAAGCAGAAGGGTTGCATGTGTCAAGTCAGGGAAACAGGACCATACACATATCTGAGAAAAGAGCGAAAGGTATGTGGGGAGAGAATAGGAAGAGGCAGAAGATAAAGGGCCCAACTGTCAAAATCCCCTCAAGGAATTTGAATTTCATTCTTTAGGAAATGAGGAGATATTGAAGATCTTTAAGCCAGTGAATGAAGTATTGAGTTGCTTTCTTCAAAATACAACTCAGAAGGCATTTCGAAGAGTGAATTAGGAAGGGTCTGGATTAGAGGCAGAAAATCCAGTGATTATTGAGGAAGGCCTGTCAAGACCAAGTCATCCATGGGATGAGGAGATTGAATTCATGGAATTGCTGACTATTTAAACATAGTTATGAGGGGAAGAATGAGGGCTTACAAATTGGATATTGCCAGTTTCTTTCTTTTTGAAGATTAGAATTCAAAGTTAGGGGGTTACATTCCAAGAGAGAATTGGGTTAAACATAAGGAAGTTGTTAGCAAGTAACTGACTGCAAGACAGAGATGGTGGCCATCTGCTGGTGAGTATTCTCATTAAAGTACATCCCCAGCAGCTTCCCTGGTCCCCAGGAGGTTGTCCTCAGCTAGTCACAGTAGAGGTCACCACACCCACTGCTGCAAGAATGAATGAATGAGTTGGCCAAGAAGGTGGAGCTCCTATTTGCTGACAAAAAAATGGGACAGACAGGCCGGGCGCGGTGGCTCACGCCTGTAATCCCAGCACTTTGGGAGGCCGAGGAGGTGGGAGGATCACAAGGTCAGGAGATCGAGACCATCCTGGCTAACAAGGTGAAACCCCGTCTCTACTAAAAATACAATACAAAAAAATCAGCCGGGCGTGGTGGCGGGCGCCTGTAGTCCCAGCTACTCGGGAGGCTGAGGCAGGAGAATGGCGTGAACCCGGGAGGCGGAGCTTGCAGTGAGCCGAGATCCCGCCACTGCACTCCAGCCTGGGTGAAAGAGCGAGACTCCCTCTCAAAAAAAAAAAAAAAATGGGACAGACAACCAGACTCTTGACTAGTTTGTATATGAAACTTTCTGTGGTCAGTAAGAGAGAACATCTGGACATTTCATGTATCTTCTATTGTAGTGATTTCTATGTTTATTATACACACTTCCCTGCTTCATTCCAAACCCTGCTCTAACAGGAGCCAGGGAAAATGTCTCTTTTCTAATGTTATTCAACACGCCTCATGTATGTCAGATAATAAAGTTAGAAAATTTACTCTGCTTAAAAAAATTGGATGTCATTGAGTTGAAATATCAAGTAGGAAATTTAATGTTTGGTAAAGATTAGAATTACTTTGTTCACCTTCGAATAAATTCATCTGTACAAATAAATGACAGGGAGAGTCCTTCAGTCATTCAGAGACCAAATCGTTATGTAAGAACATGGTATCTTTCCAATTACCTCATCTCATGTGGTTGACTATAACAGCATAATTTGAATTAATAATCCATGAACCAGTTTGTATTAAAATCACAAAGTGTGTCTTAAAAGGACATAAATTAAGTGAATTCATATAGAAATGAAGGCAATATTCTCAATATAATTTACATCTATCTGGATTTTATTATTATAATGTCAGGGCATTACACATAAATAAGAAATTGAAAACTTGAAGAAGAGAATCAAAAGCAAGATGATCAACCAGTGATGAGTCAAGCCAGGATGGAAAGTCCAAAAATGTCTCTTAACCTTTAGGTAAACAAAGAAGGAAAGGGAGATCAAAGTTTTCAGCTACAGAAAAGGATCTCACTTGAATAGCAATAAATACAAAGTCACTTTTTTCTTTGGAGTAGATTATAAATAAAACATTATGTATTATAAAAAAGATTCACCTTTTAATTAATTTGATTTTTTTCTTTAATATATGCAAAAAAAGTATACAAATTTATAGTGGGGGGGGATGTTCAAAGATAACTTATTTTAAAGAAAAAAGTCTCTATAATACTCATCCAGCCGCATTGTCCAAATTTCTTGTGTATTCTTGTGTATAATACTCATCCAGCCACATTGTCCAAAATTCTTGTGTATTCAGATATTTTCTATACACATACACAAATGGAATCATAACATACATAATATATATACACAACCAAAATTATTCTAATATGCTGGGCAAATTGCTCTTTTTACTTGACATTGTATCTTTAGCATCTATCTATATTGGTAAATATAAAGTTACCTTCTTTTTAATGTCTTCATAAAATTCTGTTTTCATGCATGGCCGTAGTTATTTAACTATTCCTTTACTTATGGAAATTCAAGTAGTATTCAGTATTTTTAGAGCTTACGTTCTTACACTGACTCCATGAATGGACTTTAGAGGGTCTCTTAAACCATTTGAAATTATAATAAAAGTGTATACATGTGTGCATATGTGAATTACCTCTGGAGAAAAGTATCTATAGCTTTTAGCACATTATCTAAGGAATCACAAAATATAAAGGAACTTCATTACAGAATTTGTAGAATTGCAATTTCAGTGAAATTTTAGAAAACAGGACTGAATACAGTTACAGAATAGTGTTTCTAAACTTTTAAAAAATCCAAGCTAAGTTTTTATATACTGTACATACATATACATAATCATCCCTGGCAGAAATCCCCACCTTCCACTCTTAATTCTGATAAATTCCCCTGAGGGAAGCATGCAAAGCACTCCCCCTCCCTATCTATTCAGCTTGATCTTCAGTTTAGGCTTTTTTTTTTTTTTTTTTGAGATGAAGTCTAGCTCTGTCACCAGGCTGGAGTGCAGTGGCATGATCTCAGCTCACTGCAACCTCTGCTTTCTGGGTTCAAGCGATTCTCCTGCCTCAGCCTCCAGAGTAGCTGGGACTACAGGAGCCCGCCACCATGCCCAGCTGATTTTTTTCTTTTGTATTTTTAGTAGAGAGGGGGTTTCACCATGTTGGCCAGGATGGTCTCAATGTCTTGACCGAATGATTTGCTCGCCTTGGCCTCCCAGAGTGCTGGGATTACAGGCATGAGCCACCGTGCCCAGCCCAATTTAGGCTTTGATGGTACCTAGAGTAGGTAGAAGCAGACTTTAAAGCCCAAAACTTGCCCAAGGCGTAGCCTAATAGGAAAATTCTATCCCATAAACCTGGCACCCCAAAAAGATTATACCCTAAAGGTAAAGATGAGCAAGTAGTCATTGCCATATGATCCACTCCCCATCTCAACTCAAAACACAAAAACAAACACTTGTCTTGGTACTAAAATTGGGGGTTATCCATTCATGAGAAGTTGTAACCATGAGCTCTCATTCAAACCTCAGCCCAAATTTACATCACCTGAACGGTCCAAAAAACTTCAAGCCATGAATGATATATTTCAAATGATAATCCTCTACAGAAAAAAAAAGACTTTTTCTAGGCCACATATAACCTTCCAAAATAAGCTCCCAAGGAAAGTAATCTTCTCACTGTCAAAAATAACCAAGCATACAAGGAAACAAGGCATCATAAATGAGAGAAACAACCCACCAAGGATTAAGACGTTGGATTATAAGAATTAGGATGGGCATGATGGCTCACACCTGTAATCGTAGCACTTTGGGAGGCCGAGGCAGGCAGATCACCTGAGGTCAGGAGTTCAAGACCAGCCTGGCCAACATGGTGAAACCCCGTCTCTGCGAAAAATACACAAAATTAGCTGGGCCTGGTGGCGTGAGTCTGTAATCCCAGCTACTTCGGAGGTTGAGGCAGGAGAATCGCTTGAACCTGGGAGGCGGAGGTTGCAGTGAGCAGAGATCGGTCCACTGCACTCCAGCCTGGGCAACAAAGAGCAAAATTCCATCTCAAAAAAAAAAAAAGAAAAGAAAAAATATTTTTCCAGAATGAAGACAAAATAAAGACACCCTCAAATGAAGACTGCAGACCACCGCTAAAGGAAATTACAAATGATTTATTTTATGTAGAAGAAAAATGATCCCTGATGGAAGATATGAGATGCAGGAAGAATGAACAGCAATACAGTGGTTAATAATTAAGTAAGGACGCATGGGCATTGATAGTGTAAAACAAAGATAACAACATCTTGTGAGGCCAGGCACAGTGGCTCATGCCTGTAACCCCATCTCTTGGGGAAGCCGAGGTGGGAGGATCACTTGAGCCAGGAGTTGGAGGCCAGCTTGGGCAACGGAGAACTTGCCTCTACAAAAAATAAGAAAATTCGGTGTGGTGGCACACACCTGTGGTCTCAGCTACTCAGAAGGCTGAGATAAGATGATCGCTTGAGCCTGGGAGGTCGAGGTTGCAATGAACTATGATCTCGCCATTTGCACTCCACAGAGCGAGACCTCGTCTTGAAAAAATAAAATAAAAATAACAAATTACATCTTGTGAATTTTATTTAATTTATTTACTTATTTGAGACAGGATCTTGCTTTGTTGCCCAGGCTGGAGTACAGTGGTGCAATCACGGCTTACTGCAGTTTCTACCTCTCAGGCTCAAGCAATTCTCCTGCCTCAGCCTCTCGAGTAGCTGGGACTATAGGCACACGCCACCATGCCTAGCTAATATTTTTACTATTTGTAGAGTCAAGGTCTCACTATGTTGCCCAGGCTGGTCTTGAACTCGGAGCTCAAGTGATCCTCCTGCCTCAGCTTCCCAAAGTGCAAAGATTACAGACATGAGCCACCACAACTGTCCAGAATATTTTTTAAAAGACAGAATTAAAAATACATATAACCCAGTAGAAGTCAGGAGTTAAAGTGTTTTAAGTACCTTGTATTTTCTAAGAAAAGGTTAAGGGTATTAAGTCTAGATATTAGTAAGTTAAATATGTGGATTAGAATTTCTAGACTAACTCCTAAAGTCATATAAAAAGAGTCAGCCAGGCACGGTGGCTCACACCTGTAATGCCAGCACTTTGGAAGGCCAAGGTGGGCAGATCACCTGAGGTCAGGAGTTCAAGGCTAGCCTGACCAACATGGTGAAACCCCATCTCTACTTAAAAAAAAAAAAAAATTAACTGGGCGTGCTGGCACATGCCTGTAGTCCCAGCTACTTGGGAGGCTGAGACAGGAGAATTGCTTGAACCCAGCAGGCAGAGGATGCAATGAGCCGAAATTGCACCACTGCACCCCAGCCTGGGCGACAGAAGGAGACTCAGTCTCATAAAAAAAATAAAAATAAAAAATAAATAAAAAGATTCAAAACTGCAAATTAGAAAGGTGTCAATTCACTTAAAACTGATCTATAAATTTAATGCAATATCAACCAAAAACCTGAATTTTGTTGTTGTTGTTGTGTTTTAGTTTTTGCAAAGTGCCACATACAGCCAAGATACTCTTGAAAAGCAGCAAAATTAGAGGATTTGCCCTATTGAGCATCAAGATTCATAATTAGCCTATAGTAATAAGACATGGTGTTAGCACAAGGACAGGGCAGTAGCCCAACAGAACAGACTACAGATTACAGAAATAGTCCCGTGCTCATATGGAAGCTTGAGAGGCATCTTTGCAATTCAGTGGGGAAGGGACAATATTCAGTAGATGGTGCTGTCACTGAGGAGTATTTATTTGGAAAAAAAATAAAATAAAATTGGACTATACCTTTGTATTAGCCAGGGTTCTTCAGAGACACAGAGACAACAGGAGAGAGAGAAAGACAAAGATTTATTATAGGGAATTGGGGCACACAGTTATAGAGGCCGAGAATTCCCAAGATCTCGAGTCATCAAGCTGAGGACCCAGGAGACCTGATGTGTACTTCCAGCTTGAATCCAGGAGCCTGAGAACCAGGAGAGCTGATGGATAGTTTCAGTCTGAGGACCTGCAGGCTCACAACCCAAGGAGGACCAATGTTTCAGGCCAAGTCTGAAGGCTGGAAAAAACCGATGCCCCAACTTAACCAGTCGGACAGGAGAAATTCTCTCATATTCAGTCTTTTTATTCTATTCCGGTCTTCAATTGATTGAATGAGGCCCAACCACACTGGGGAGAGCAATCTGCTGTACTCAGTCTACTGATTCCAATGTAATACTCTCACTTGGAAGCACCATCACAGACACACACAGAATAATATTTGGCCAAATGTCTGGGTACCACATGGCCCAGTCAAGTTGACACATAAAATTAACCATTACAACTTTATACTCCAGCCCTCCTAAGCAATTCTAGTTGAATTTAAGACCTAAATGTGAAAGGCCAAACAATAAAGCTTCCCAAAATGATATGGGGGTAGGGGAAGTTTCTGAAATAAAATATGAAGAGCATGAAAATTTTTAAAAAGATTGCTACATTTGCCTATTGTGTTCAAACTTTGCCCTTCACAAGAAAGGGACATCGAAATATCAAAACCTGCAAAAAGTGCTCATCTCATTAGGAATCCAAAATAAGTAAATTAAATCCACAGTGAGATACCAATACACACCTACCAGGTTAGCAAAAAATTATTTCATTATTTTTTATTTATTTTTATTTATTTATTTATTTATTTTTTGAGACAGAGTCTCACTCTGTTGCCCAGGCTGGAGTGCGGTGGCGCGATCTCGGCTCACTGCAAGCTCCGCCTCCCGGGTTCACGCCATTCTCCTGCCTCAGCCTCCCGAGTAGCTGGGACTACAGGCGCCCACCAACACGCCCGGCTAATTTTTTTGTATTTTTAGTAGAGACAGGGTTTCAGCGTGTTAGCCAGGATGGTCTCGATCTCCTGACCTCGTGATCCGCCCGCCTCAGCCTCCCAAAGTGCTGGGATTACAGGGTTGAGCCACCGCGCCCAGCCTATTTTTTATTTTTATTTATTTGTTTGTAGACAGAGCCTCACTTTGTCACTCAAGCTGGAGTGCAGTGCCACAATCATGGCTCATTGCAGCCTCAACCTCCCAGGTTCAAGTGATCCTCCCACCTCAGCTATTTATTTTTTTAGAGATGGCGTCTTGCTGTGTTACCCAGGCTAGTCTCAAACTCCTGTCTTGGCCTCCCAAAGTGCTGGGATTGTAGGTGTGAGCCACTGTGCCTGGCCACAAAAAATTATAAAGTGTAACAATATCAAATGTTGGCAAAGATATGCAGCAGCAATAGGAATTCTCATGCACTGTTATGGGAGTGTATGTTGGGACAATATCCACATTTTTAAAAATATTATTTGACATTATGAAGAAACTCATAGCAAACAACCCGAACATTTTCTAGAAAAGTCTTTTACTTGTGTGCCAAATACAGGACAGGAATATTCATGGTGGCATTGTTCAAATACCAAAAAAACCCTAAATATCCATCTATAGTAAAATGTATTTTTATTGTTTATTTCCATGCAATGAAATGGTATTTTCATATAGCAATGGAAATTGACAAGTTGTATGTAATTACAATATAGGTGAATCAACCCACAACATTAAGTAAAAGAAGCAAAATACAAAAGAATACATATATGTAGTAAGCTTCTTTTAATTTAAAGTTCAAAACCAGGCATAATCAAGCTATATTGTTTAGGAATGCATGCAGAAATACTAAAGGCAAGAAAATAATGACAAATATCAGCAGACTAGTTACTTCTGGGATAGGAGGGGTTTGTAACAGGGAAAAGATGCACGGGGAATGTGAACTGCAGGCTCGGAGGCATTCTATAGCTTGGCCTACGTGGTGGTTTCGGAATCTTCATTTTGTAATTATTCTTTAAGAATAGGCTGGGCACACTGGCTCATGCCTGTAATCCCAGCACTCTGGGAGGCTGAGGTGGGTGGATCACTTGAGGTCAGGAGTACAAGACCCCTGGCGGACATGGTCAAACCTCGTCTCTACTGAAAATACAAAAATCGTCTGAGTGTGATGGCACATGGCTATAATCCCACCTACTTGGGAGGCTGAAATAGGAGAATCGCTCGAACCCGGGAGGCAGAGGTTACAGCGAGCCAAGATCACACCACTGCACTCCAGCCTAGGTGACAGAGCGAGACTCCGTCTCAAAAAAAAAAAAAAAAAAAGAATATAGCACAAGGCCAGGCGCAGTGGCTCACGCCTGTAATCCCACCACTTTGGGAGGCCAAGGCGGGTGGACCACTTGAGGTCAGGAGATCGAGACCAGCCTGGCCAACATAGTGAAAGCCCATCTCTACTAAAAATACAAAAATTAGCCAGGTGTGGTGCGCGCCTGTAATCCCAGCTACT
Organism: Homo sapiens; assembly: GCF_000001405.40. Taxonomy (NCBI): domain Eukaryota; kingdom Metazoa; phylum Chordata; class Mammalia; order Primates; family Hominidae; genus Homo; species Homo sapiens. Next base: position 3,628,004 of record NC_000018.10, on the reverse strand, counting down.
CGGGAGGCTGTGGCAGGAGAATCACTGGAACCGGGGAGGTGGGAGGTTGCAGTGAGCCGAGATCGCCCCATTGCACTCCGGCCTGGACAACAGAGCGAGACTCCATCTCAAAAAAAAAAAAAAAAAAAAGGAAGGAAGGAGGGAGGAAGGGAGGGAAGGAAGGAAGAAAGAAAGAAAAAATAGCGGAGGGATTAATTAGATGGGCAGTCCCAGCTACTTGGGAGGTTAAGGCAGGAGGATCACTTGAGCTTAGGAATTTGAAGTTGCAGTGAGATGTGATTACATCACTGCACTGCAGCCTGGGCAACAGAGGAAGACCCCATCTCTAAAAATATATATAGCAGAGAAAGAAGGAATGCCCCACAACTAAATATTATATTACAAGACAAACTACTGTATGTTTTTTCAAATTACAAAAACTACCTGCTCTTCACTGTCTTCCTCCTCAAAATTCTGATACGCCCACCCATTAGAGAAGCATCCGGATAGCGTGTAGGACTGTAGCGTGTGGGAGAAGGACAGGAAAGATGGGGGATAAGAAAGCAAACATATATGCCTAACATTCCTCTATCTCATGGAACTGTACGAAGGAAACTGACAACACATTGGACTGAACAAATTCACTCACTGCATTTGCCTGCCTGGGACTCGGTCAGTGCCTTCCCTGAGCTCAGAAGCCTATAAACTTCTGCAATCTGTTCTTCTCAAGAGCATTGTATTAGTAATCACACACCAGAAACAACTGACAAAAAATTACTAGCACTAGGCCAGGTGTGGTGGCTCACTCCTGTAATCTTAGCACTTTGGGAGGCCAAGGCGGGAAGATCACTTAAGCTCAGGAGTTCAAGACCAGCCTGGGCAACATAGTGAGCCCTCATCTCTATTAAAAAAAAATTACTAGCACTAATAAAATGTTAGCAGTACTTTCATGAGACCATGTAATTCTTTCAGGTACATTGTTAATGACCTTATTGAAATATGACTCATATGTCATAAAATCCACTCGTTTAAAGTGCACAATTCAGCGTTTTTTGTGTGTGTGCTCACAGAGTTGTACAACCATCACCACAGTCTTAGCTTCAAATATTTTCTTTTCTTTTTTTTGTGAGACAGAGTCTCACTCTGTTGCCCAGGCTGGAGTGCAGTGGCGTGATCTCAGCTCACTGCAGCCTCCGCCCTCCCGGGTTCAAATGATTCTCCTGCCTCAGCCTCCCGAGTAGCTGGGATTACAGGTGCACGCCACCACAATTTTTATATTTTTAGTAGAGACAAAATTTTTCCATGTTGGGCAGGCTGGTCTTGAACTCCTGACCTCAAGTGATCCGCCCACCTCCACCTCCCAAAGTAGTGGGATGATAGGCATGAGCTACCACATCCAGCTTTCTTTTCTTTGCTTTTTTTTTTTTTTTTAACAGGTTCTTGCTCTGTCACCCAGCAGGGTGGAGTGCAGTGGTGTGATCTCGGCTCACTGAAGCCTTGACCCCCCACATTCAAGTGATCCTCCCACCTCAGCCTCCTGAGTAGCTGGGACTACAGACGCCCACCACCATGCCCAGCTAATTTTTGTATTTTTTGTAGAGACTGAGTTTTGCCATGTTGCCCAGGCTTGTCTTAAATTCCTGGGCTTACGCAATCCTCCCACCTCAGCCTCCCAAAATGCTAAGATTACAGATGTGAGCCGCCATTCCTGATCTTTTTTTTTTTTTTCTTTTTTGAGACTGGGTCTCACTCTGTAGCCCAGGCTGGAGTGCACTGGCGCGATCACTACTCATTGTAGCCTCAACCTCGGGCTAAAGTGATCCTCCCACCTCAGCCCCCCAAGTAGCTGGCACTACAGGGATGTGCCACCACGCTGGGCTAATTTTTTTATTTTGTAGAGATGGGTCTCCCTATGTTGTCCAGGCTGGTCTTGAATTCCTGGGCTGAAATGATCCTCCTGCCTCAGCCTCCTAAAATGCTGGGATTACAGGTGTGAGCCATGGCTCCCAGCCACATTTTCATCTCCCACAAACCTAGGCAAGCACAAGTCTACTTTCTGTCCCTCAGAATTAATTTATGCTTTTGGAAAATGAATAAATGTAGGCATGCATGAACAGAGATTTGATCATATCCTTTGAAAAAACTATTCAACTCCCTGGGTCAGGGGAGGTTAGTTCAACATTGGTAGTTCAAGGAATTTGTGACATGCCAGAAATTAAGAACTCAGGTTGAGAACAGTGATAGTTGCATTGTGTTAAGATGAAATTGATATTTATGATTTCCTTTTTTTTTCTGTTTTACAAATGCTTTCTGAACTAACATGATGTACTAATCTCTAAGAAAAATAAGCCTAATTGCCTCTCACTTAGATTGCAATCATGAAGGTCTAATTTTTCTGTAAGAACATTACTCTTCTTAGATTACAACATATTCATAAACAAAACCCCAAAAAAGGCATGCTTTGGGTTTAACTGCCTTAAAACAAGCCATTTTCTATTGTGAAAGCTTGAAGTTGTCCAACATCTAATCTCCTAGAAAATAATTTGCTAATTTGCTTCGATTTTTCTGTTTGGGGCATTGCGTGAAGTGGTGCCTCCTTGAAGAACTTCACACACACAGGAAGCAGTTCCACTGCAAGGTGACTCACCTGAGGAGGTCTCTCCTTCCCTCCATTAGCTTCCCAGCCCCCGCAAACACACACACAACCTCTCACGGGGTGGGAGGACAGAAACTGTCTGTGCAACTGCACAGAGATCTTGGCCACCTAAGCAAATAGGTGGAGTGTATCCATACCTGATAAAACTTTCCAAATAGTCATAGAATTTGGCAGTCGTAACATCACTGGGCATTTAATGACTAGGGCTTCATCTCTATGAAGGGGGCTGTGAAGCCTGCTCGGGAGAGAGGAATGAGGGACCATCTCCTTAGAGAAGTGGGTGGGTAGAAATCATTTCTTATACTTGGCAGGGGTGGAGGACAGCCTCCATGAGTCACGACTCAGGCGTTTAGGGACTTGTGGCTTGGGTTTTTCCCTTCTGCATATTGTGTGTGTGGTAGGTAGACTTTGCTTCTGGGAGCATCTGCGGGAAACCGCTATTTTTGGTTCTTATGAGAGGCAGGAAGAGCGTTCAGTGAGTACTACCTGGGTGGGTCTTAGTGGTCTATTTCTTGGAGTTTAGATTAGTTTGCTCTTGAGATTCCCCCTGGGTGCATATGGCCTAACTCAGATGTGATATGATCAAACCTTCCCTGTAGCTAAGCAGAAAAAAACAAAATAAATTTGAATTTAAAAGGGGATGGGTATGCTCAGTCTGTTTTCCCTCTTCTTTATCATGACTTTTGGGGATTTCTTGAATCTTAAAAAATTGAAGTCTTCCAATGGGGAAAAGTAAGTAGGCTTTTCCTTTCTAAGAAGGGTAATGCTTAACATTTGTGGGATTTTGGTGATAAGTTTGCTACAAAACTACTCCTACAGTTCAGAGAAAATGACGCGGCAGAAATGAGCTGCCAGCAGGGCCAGGCTGTCGGCTTTGAAATTCCAGAGGCCTGCCCAGCCCTTTTGGTTTCCTGGAATGCTTTCATTCAGTCGTCATGCGGTAGGTGAGGAAAAACCCTGCAACATCAGTGTTGAGCTGGAAGAATATCTCATCTGCCGTCAGGGGACAGCGGCCCAGGGCGACAGGCACACATCCCTGCCTGTGCTCAGCGGCACAGTCAATGGACCGCGGGGCAGGGGCACGCAGGCTCGCCCAGCAGCAGTGTCAGACCTATGCGCACAAACAGACGGTTCACGCCCAGGTCACAGGCGCCCGTTGTCTCCTGGCCAGAGGTTGACGCACAGGCCAACCGTTGGACAGGCTCATGCTCTGTGTCATGAGAAAGGTGGAGCAGAGGTGACTCAGGGAAAGGCTGCTTTCCCCTAACACTGGCATTTGATTAATCTCATCTCAAATGCTGTCACTCACCCAGAAAGGGCCTAAATGTGCCTTACTTCCGCTGCTGGAGCGGTGGAATGTGGCAGCAGCTGTCTGGATGATGTGGAAGCCCAGCACGAGGAGGAGGGAGGAAAAGTACCAGATCCCACTGAACCGGTCAGATGAATGCAGGCAGGAGGGGAAACGGGCATCCGCACGGGGACCGGCCACATCCTAAGGCTGGAGGCTGCCCTGATGAAAAAGGCCCATTAGCAGGGAAGCAACGGGAAAAGCATTTTCTAGGGGGGTTTTCCTTTTTTTTTTTTTTTTTTTTTGAGACGGAGTCTTGCTCTGTCTCTCAGGCTGGGGTGCAGTAGTGTGACCTCGGCTCACTGCAAGCTCCGCCTCCCAGGTTCAAGCGATTCTCCTGCCTCAGGCTCCTGAGTAGCTGGGATTACAGGCATGCGCCACCACGCCCGGCTGATTTTTGTATTTTTAGTAGAGACACATTGGCCAGGCTGGTCTCGCACTCCTGACCTCAGGTGATCCGCCCGCCTCAGCCTCCCAAAGTGCTGGGATTACAGGCGTGAGCCACTGTGCCCGGCTGGCTTTTCCTTTTCACACGGCCTTGAAGAACTTCAAGAAGAGTTGTCATTAGCAGAACCTAAGACGGACTGAATCCCTTGTGTAGGTGAATTTGTGTCTAGGACCTCTTATACATGCGAAGCCTGGAAATGGAAGATAATGTCAGGGCTCGTGAAAATAATCATAGCTATTAATTATGACATGTCATTAACCACAATTAATTGCATTAATAGGATTAAACATTTACTTTGTTCCAGGCCCTGATCTAAGACTTTTTCCTTGATTATCTCATGTGATCCTCTCAACAACTCTCTTAAATCAATGCTTTTAGCATGCCTGTTTCACCAGTGAGGACATGGGGACACAGAGAGGCAGCACACAAGATCACCCAGCTGACATGAGGCCATTCCAGTACTGAAATCAGGCCAGGCTGGTGGCTCACGCGTGTAATCCCAGCACTTTGGGAGGCAGAGGCAGGCGGATCATTTGAGGTCAGGAGTTCAAGACCAGCCTGGCCAACATGGTGAAACCCCTTCTCTACTAAAAATACAAAAATTAACAGGGCATGGTGGCACATGCCTGTAGTCCCATCTACTGGGGAGGCTGAGGCACAAGAATCACTTGAACCTGGGAGGCGGAGGTTGCAATGAGCCAAGATTGTGCCACTGCACTCCAGCCTGGGCGACAGAGAGAGACTCTATCTCAAAAAAAAAGAAAAAGAAAAAAAAAGAAATCAATGAATGTGTAATTTCAAACTCCAGGCTGTGGCTGGAAGGGCTGACCTCACTCATGTTTTCAAAAGTGATTATCTTTCCGCTAGCCAAGTTAGGATTGCCTCTGGCAAGCAAGAAATTGGGGAAAGATGAGAGGAAACAGCCCCCTTCTGCTTGCCCCAGTCTGGGACAGTGGTGTGGCAGTGCATGGCTGTCAGCCTGGATCTTGTCCTGTGGACACAGGCACAGGCTGGGTGAAGGAGGCCAGACTTGTGGCCACTTGGAAGCCGAATTCTGGACTCTCCCTCCTCCCACATTCCCCAGGGGACAGAGCCAATCTTTGAGAGAGTAACTTTCCCCATCATTCCCAGATCCCAAGCCAAGCATGAATCATGAAATAATCAGCTTAGGACGAGTGCAGTGGCTCATGCCTGTAATCCCAGCACTTTGGGAGAATGAAGCAGGCAGATCACGAGGTCAGGAGATCGAGACCATCCTGGCTAACACAGTGAAACCCCGTCTCTACTAAAAAATACAAAAAATTAGCCGGGCGTGTTGGTGGGCGCCTGTAGTCCCAGCTACTTGGGAGGCTGAGGCAGGAGAATGGCATGAACCTGGGAGGCGGAGCTGGCAGTGAGCCAAGATCACGTCACTGCACTCTAGCCTGGGCGACAGAGCGAGACTCCATATCAAAAAAAAAAAAGAATCAGCTTAATTGTAGAGTCAGTGGGTACACACACAGCCAACATACACATACACTACCCATACGCACATCAGAGGCTCCACAGGTACCCTCTGTTGGCAAAGCAGCAGCCCAGGTCACTTTTAACTTATGTATTTATTTTGTAGAGATAGGGTCTCACTCTGTCACCCAGACTGGAGTGCAGTGGTGTAATCACGGCTCACTGCAGCCTCAACCTCCTGAGCTCAAGCAATCCTTACACCTCAGCCTCCCTACTAGCTGGGATTACAGGCATGCCACCATGCCCAGCTAATTTCTTTTATTTTAAGTTTTTGCAGGGACGTGTTGAAAGAAAAACCTTAGCCAAATTAAGCTTAACAAAGTTTAGTTAAGCAAAGAATGCTTTGCGAATCAGGCAGCCTCCCAAGCCAGGGTAGCTCAGAGAGACTCCAGTGCAGCCACGCAGTGGAAGATTTATAGACAGAAAAAGGAAAGTAACATATAGAAAACAGAAGTGAGGTACAGAAACAGTTGGATTGGCTACAGCTTGGCGTTTGCCTTATTTGAACACGGTTTGAACAGTTGGCCCCCTTTGGCCAAAACTCTCTGATTGGCACAAGAGTAGGTTACAGTGGGTTTATACCTCCATTTAGGTTGTATATAGTTCACTATGTACAGAGAAACCTTTAGGCTGAACTTAAAATATGTAAGGAGGCCACTTTAGGCTAAACTTGATTTAACAGACAAGGTCTCACTATGTTGCCCAGGCTGGTCTCAAACTCCTATCCTCAAGCCTTCTTCCCGCTTCAGCTTTGATGAACCTTAGGAGGGGAGGTCATTAGCAGAACCTAAGATGGATTGAATCTCTTGTGTAGGTGAAATCTTGTATAGGATCCTTATATGTCAAGCCTGGAAACAGAAGATAATGTCAGGGCAGGTATAATAATCATAGCTATTATTAGCAGCCTCCCAAAGTGCTGGGACTACAGGTGTGAGCCACTGAACTCAGCCCCAGGTCACTTATCTTTAAGGTGAACCTTAGCATGCCTCAGAATTACCAGAAGGACCTGTTCAAACACAGGGTGCTGGCCCCACCTCCAGAGTTTCTGACCCAGTAGTCCTGGGTGGAGCCTGAGGATTTGACCCACGTGTTCCCAGGTGCTGACACTACTGGTGGGAGACCAACCTCTGGGAACCACTGTTTGAAGGGTGAAAGCTCTAGAAATATGTATAATTTCTGGTCACACATCACTGCCTGTTTAAATGTGATACCAGGCCGGACGTGGTGGCTCTGGCCTGTAATCCCAACACTTTGGGAGGCCGAGGTGGGCGGATCACCTGAGGTCAGGAGTCCAAGACCAGCCTGGCCAACGTGGTGAAACCCCGTCTGTACTAAAAATACAAAAATCAGCCGGGCGTGGTAGTGGGCACCTGTAATCCCAGCTCCTCGGGAGGCTGAGGCAGAAGAATCACTTGAACCCAGGAGGCAGAGGTTGCAGTGAGTTGAGATCTTGCCATTGCACTCCAGCCTGAGCGACAAGAGTGAAACTCCATCTCAAAAATAATAATAATAATAATAATAATAAAATGTGATAGCAGTTGTTCTCGAGGATTTTCATCCTTGCAGCCTGTATGCTTTCCTATTGCTGCTGTCACCAGTTACACCCACAAGCGGAGTGGCTTTACACAACACAGATCATCTCACTGTTCTGGAGGTCAGAAGTCAGAAATGGGTCGGCAGGGCTGCTTTTCCTTGTGGAGGGCATAGGGGAGAATCTGTGTCCTTTTCGGGCTTCTAGAGGCTGCCTGTGTTCCTTGGCTTAAAGCCCCTTCCTCCATCTGCAAAGCCAGCAGCAGAGGTGCATCTTCAACCCCTCTGCTCCTCTCTCGCACACACACACTTCTGCCCCCATCATCACATCATCGTCTTTGTCTCTGACCCTCCTGCCTCCCTCTTATAAGGACCTCACGATGACTTTGGGCCCATTCAGGTAGTCTAGGACAACTTTTCCATTTTAAGATGCTTACTAACATCTGCCAAGTCCTTTTTTTCCCTAGAAGGTAGCATATCCACAGATTTCAAAGATTAAAAGATGGGTGTCTTTAGGGACCATCCACCCATCCTACCACCTGCTTAAACTCCAGCAGGTGGCCAGGCATGGTGGCATGCACCTATAGTTCCGGCTACTTAGGAGGCTGAGGTGGGAGGATCCCTTGAGCCTAGGAGGTCAAGGCTGTAGTGCGCAATGATGGGGTCTATGAGTAGCCACTGCACTTAAGCCTCGGCAGCATAGCAAGACCTCATCTCAAAAAACAAAAAACAAAAAAAAACCAACTCCGGCAAATATCCTTCCATCCCATATCTCCCACCAAAAAAAAAAAAAAAAAAGGAAAAAACTAAAAGAGCATCAGGATTTGCATGACGCTAAGTCAGAAGGTAAAGCCAAATTTTCCCCTTCTTCTGACTTACCTGATAATAAAGCAGTGTCGCAGGACGGGGTGGTGGGAAAAGTCAAAGAGACTGGAAGAAGAGGAGAGAAGGAAGGACTAGGGCGGCTAGAAGAGGGAAGGGGTTAGTGACTTGCATCAATATGGGCCTCTTGACCATGCACCAAACACCTACTCAGTCTCCCTGCTACTTTCTGGACTTTCTAGGACTGGAACCCTGGTCCCTTCCCTTTTGAGTCAAGAGACCTTAGTGACCCCACTAGACTTGCAGGTCAGCAGCGCCCCTGCCCAGCCCCCAGCACTGCTTTACCATCCTGCCTGCAGGCCACCTGGGAAAGATGCAGAAAGAGAAACTGCGCTAAAAGGCTAGACTCTTGCATGTTGAAATTTCTGCTTATTACCTTTGGAATTTTTCTGAAGTCCCAGCCTTAAGGCTGTGAATTCTCTGTTTGTGGGTATGTTAGTTTGCTAGGGCTGCCATAACTAAGTACCATAGATGGGGTGCCTTAAACAACAGAAGCTTATTTCCTCACAGTTCTGGAAGCTGGGAGACCAAGATCAAGGTATCAGCAAGGTGGTTTCTTCTGAGGCCTCTCTCTGTGGCTTGCGGGTGGCTGGCCTCTCTCTGTCCTCACTTGGTCTATGCACGTAGGTCCTGCTGTCTCTCTTCTTAGAAGGACGCCAGTCATATTGGATTATGACCCTAATGACCCAATTAACTTAATCATCTCTTTTTTTTTTTTTTGAGACGGAGTCTCGCTCAGTCACCCAGGCTGGAGTGCAGTGACACGATCTCGGCTCACTGCCAGCTCCGCTTCCCAGGTTCACACCATTCTCCTGCCTCAGCATCCCGAGTAGCTGGGACTACAGGCACCCGCCACTTCACCCGGCTAATTTTTTTGTATTTTTAGTAGAGACGGGGTTTCACCGTGTTAGCCAGGATGGTCTCGGTCTCCTGACCTCCTGATCCGCTCGTCTCGGCCTCCCAAAGTGCTGGGATTACAGGCGTGAGCCACCCTGCCCGGCCCAGAACTGCCTTGTCATAGCTATGTTGGGTTAGGGTTGGGAAAAAGGCAGAAAAGGTCAAAGAAGCCTCCAAAAGCCCAGGCTTAACCTGTGTAAGCAAATAGCAACATTTATGGCTAGCAGTCACCAGTGCCAACTCCCTGCAGGTTATTTATTTGATGCACAATTCACAGCTATTCCCCTAAATTCCACCAAGTCCATACACACCCTGGACACAGTGGAAATAAAGGAGCAGCCAGTGAGTGTTTGTGTCGGATGTTCTTTGAAAGGGCTGTTTGACAGAAATGATTTCATTCTCAAGGCATGGCTTTGATACGGAAGTCAAACAGCCCGCAAGTTGAAACAAACCAAATAGCCTTATCTTATTATTGATTCATGGGTTTCTCTCTCTTCAAAGCCCCTTAAAGGCCGGACTCTGCGAATTGTAACTTGTTAGAGTAATTGCTGTTGCAAAGTCCTTCCTGGAACAGGTTGTGTCTTTGACTTACAGGATCTGAATTCTCTGACATTTTTCCTTGATAAACCTTTGTTAGACTCTGGTCAAACTCACTAGCCAATATAGGTTTAAATACAGGCACACATTGTTTAATTGTGCTTTTCTTTCTTTCTTTCTTTCTTTTGAGATGGAGTTTCACTTTTGTCACCCAGGCTGGAGGGCAATGGCACGATCTTGGCTCACAGCAACCTCCGCCTCCCGGGTTCAAACAATTCTCCTACCTCAATCTCCTGAGTAGCTGGGATTACAGGCGCCTGCCACCACGCCCAGCTAATTTTTTTGTATTTTTAGTAGTGATGGGGTTTCACCATGTTGCCCAGGCTGGTCTCGATCTCCTGAGCTCAGGTGATCCACCCGCCTTGGCCTCCCAAAGTGCTGGGATTACAGGAGTGAGCCACCATGCCCGGCAATTACACTTTTCTTTATCAGGCCTTGCAGATGTGTTTTTCACAAATCAAGGGTTTGTGGCAACCATGCATGGAGCAAGTCTATCAACACCATTTTTCCAACAGCATGTGCTCACTTCATGTCTCTGTGTCAGCAGTTTTCAACAATTTTTTTTTTTTTTTTGAGATGGAGTTTCACTCGTGTTGCCCAGGCTGAAGTGCAATGGTGGGATCTCAGCTCACTGCAACCTCCACCTCCCGGATTCTTCTGCCTCAGCCTCCCAAGTAGCTGGGATTACAGGCGCCCACCACCACGCCCAGCTAATTTTTTATATTTTTACTAGAGATGGGGTTTCACCATGTTGGTCAAGCTAGTCTTGAACTTCTGACCTCAGGTGATCCACCTGCCTTGGCCTCCCAGAGTGCCGGGATTACAGGTGTAAGCCACTGCCCCCAGCCAGCAGTATTTTTTGTTTATTTTTAATAGAAAGATCAGGTGATTGGGCTCAGGCCAGCCTCAGTTTGAATCCCATCTCTGCCACTCACTAGTTTGGGGAAAATGTTCTGTTTCTTTCTATGCAACGGATCACCCCCAAAACTTAATGTCTTAAAGCAATCATCTCATCACTTCTCAGTCTCTGGGGGTCAGGAATTTGGGGAGAGCTTTGGCGGGGTAGTTCTGGCTCAGCATCTCTCCTGAGCTTGCAGTCTCTCCAGGTGAGGGCTGGAGCAAGTGGGGCTGGCTGAGCATCTCCTACAGTTTCAAGGCTTTTCAGGTGGTCTTTCACATGGACTCACTTGGGCTTCCTTACAGCATGGCAGCCTCAGGACAGCTGGGCTACTTATGTGCTGACTGGTAAAAGTTACATCACCTGTTCTGATCTAGCCTCAGAGGTCATGCAGTGTCACTTCCTTCCAATTGTCTTAATTATAGGCAAATCACAAACCTCTCGGATTCAAGGAAAAGGGAATTCGTCCACCTCTTTTTTTTTTCCAGTTTGTTTGTTTCTTTTTGTTTTTTTGAGACAGGGTCTCCCTCTGCCGCCTAGGGTGGTTTAAGTGGCACAATCACGGCTCACTGCAGCCTCGACCTTCTGGGCTCAAGTGATCCTCCAACCTCAGCCTCTGGAGTAGCTGGGACTACAGGTGCACGCCACCACAGCAGGCTAATTTTTTTTTTTTTTGTTTTGTGGAGATGGGGTTTCACCATGTTTCCCAGGCTGGTCTCAAACTCCTGGGCTCAAGGGATCCTCCCACCTCAGCCTCCCAAAGTGCTGGGATTATAGGTGTGAGCCACTGCACCTGGCCTAGACTCTACCTCTTGAAGGGAAGCAGCAAAGTTCTAGAGCACAGATTGGCAAACTATCGCCCTCAGACCACCGAATGGGCTCACCTCTCAAACACAAACAAGGCTGTACATGTACACATCGCCCAGGGCTGTGCCACAGTGATAGAGTAGTCAGGTCAGACAGCGAATGATCCACACATCCTAAAATACGTGCTGGATGGCTTTTAACAGAAAAAGTTTGTGAACACCTGTTCTAGAAGGACATGTCAGATGGAAGATATTGTTGCAGCCACTTTTGGAAAATGCAGTCTCCCGAGGGCTGGTTACCAGCCTGTCAACTTTAGCTGCACCTCTAAATCTGTGAAATGGAATAATAATCCCACGTACAAATTACTCAGCAGAACTCTATGCCTGTGACAGGCAAAGTATACAATTTCATTTCTCCTTCCTGGGCTTCATTATGATTTGAGAGCCACAGAAAGGTCTTAGCTGCACTATGGGTCTGTTAGCAGTGCCAGAAATTCCCCACTTTAAATATCCCTCGGAGTTAAGGCCAACTTTATAGAAACCTCCCTTTTAAAATACACATTTCTTACCCTTGAGGGAAGAAATGTTTGCAAAAATTCCTGCTAAAATGCCCCCTCCCCACCTAAAATGCATTCTCTTATCAAACTAGCTAAATTTTTACCTCTCAAAGGCAAGTGTCTCAGGGAATGAGAGAGTGAGTTAATTTGGGCTGGAGCCAGTTGGGGGAAACAGGCTGTCAGGGTGTCTCCAGTTGCCTACAGAGACAGACTTGAGAAATTTTAGCTACTGCACAAGTGTGCCCAGGGCTCACTGCTTCAGACAAAGCAATGAAAAATGCAGCTTTCTTGGCCTCCCCCATCTCCATCGGCTCCATTTTCCTACTGGCCAGACTTGCTTCAATGCCCTCTCTGCTGTCAACATCTCCCTTGGGTGTTTTCTCTCCTCACCTGGGCGTGTCCAAGGCCAATCCTCCAGCAACCCCTGAGATTATCTTCTTGTGACCCAGTTTTCCTCCCTGCTGGAAATTCAAAAAAGGTCGTCCTGAAGCCTATTTGTTAACAGGCATCTGTGCTCTTTCTCTTTAGAAGTGAGTTTCTAGTCAAGAAAATAGAGGCTCCCCAATCAGCACCAACTATGTGGTAACAATACACCTTCCAGTCCCAGCTTTTCTACTCATTTACTCAAATACCACCAAAATTATCAACTCTATTTATGCATCTTTTTAAAAATTATTTTGTCTGCTGGGCACAGTGGCTCATGCCTGTAATCCTAGCACTTTGAGAGGCCGAGGCTGGCGGATCACATGAGGTCAGGAGTTTGAGACCAGCCTGACCAAAATGGTGAAAACCCATCTCTACTAAAAAATACAAAAATTAGCCAGGCATGGTGGCGGGCGCCTGTAATCTCAGTCACTCGGGAGGCTGAGGCAGGAGAATCACTTGAACCTGGAGGCGGAGGTTGCGGTGAGCCGAGATCGTGCCATTGCACTCCAACCTGGGCAACAGAGTGAGACTCCATCTCAAAAATAAATAAATAAATAAAATAAAAATAAATTATTTTGTCTCCTCTCCAAGTTATGTTTGACTCCAATAACTTTTTTTTTTTTTTCTTGAGACAGAGTTTCACTCTTGTTGCCCAGGCTGGAGTGCAGTGGCACTATCTCGACTTACGGCAACATCTGCCTCCCGGGATCAAGCAATTCTCCCGCCTCAGGCTCCCGAAACTGGGATTACAGGCCTGCACCACCACGCCTGGCTCTTTTTTTTTTTTTTTTGTATTTTTAGTAGAGGCGGGGTTTCTCCATGTTGGTCAGGCTGGTCTCAAACTCCTGACCTCAGGTGATCCGCCCACCTCGGCCTCCCAAAGTGCGGGAGACTCCAGTAATTCTTAAAATCTACTTAGCTTCACCCTACGCTATAATGAAAGAATAGTTTCTTTTTGATACAGCTATTTGCCACCATGGTATTTTCATATCAAATATTATGAGTGTTTTGGGGATGGTTGAGAGGGGAAGTGTGCAATTTATGATTAGAGATCATTTCTTTTGACCCATATTAATTTTTACAGCATTTTCTCCCTTTCTACTCAGCCTAAATGTACATTTATGCAAATTGTATATAATACTTTGCGGTATCCCAGAACCCCAGTTCAATATTGGCCAAGGCCAACACAACTTATGCTGTTCCAGGAAGAATTGTGGTTTGGAAATGTTACTCAGCTGGAGCCAGAAAAAAGTGACAACTGGCCAGGCACGGTGGCTCGCCTGTAATCCTAGCACTTTGGGAGGCCGAGGCGGGCGGATTGCCTGAGCTCAGGAGTTCGAGACCAGTCTGGTCAATGTGGTGAAACTGTCTCTACTAAAAATACAAACTTTAGCCGGGTGTGGTTGTGGGCACCTATAATCCCAGCTACCTGGGAGGCCGAGGCAGGGGAATCGCTTGAACCTGGGGGCGGAGCTTGCAGTGAGCTGAGATCGCGCCACTTCACTCCAGCCTGGGCAAAAGAGGGAAACTCCATCTCAAAAAAAAAAAAGTAACAACTGTTACTGGGTAGCTGCTGTGGCTTCTTTGCCTAGCATCTGCATAGCACTTTGCAACTTACAAAGGGCTTTTACATATTTTAAGTCTTTAATATTCACTGTAACAGCCATCCTGTAGTTATTGTCCCATTCCACAGATGGTAATAAAATGAAGCATAAAACTGTATTGCCTTTGGACACAGACCAACCAATTTATACCCAAGGTCTGTTAACTCATCTGGGCGTTAATTGTTCATAAATTCATACTTCCTAAGAGTACTGGGCACTGGACACTGTGGGCCAACATTGCTTCCTAGCCAGGCTCATGCCTGTAATCCCAACACTTAGAGAGGAAGTGGGAGGATGGCTTGAGCCCAGGAGTTCGAGACCAGCCTGGGCAACACAGGGAGACCCCCATCTCTGCAAAATTCAAAATTAAAAAATTAACCAGGAATGGTAGCATGCACCCATGGTCCCAGATACTCAGGAGGCTGAGGCAAGGAGGATCACTTGAGCCCAGGAGGTTGAAGCTGCCGTGAGCCATGATTGTGCCACTGCACTCCAGCCTGGGCAACAGTGAGTCCCTCTGAAAAACAAACAAAACAAAACGGAAGACAATAAACCATTGTTTCCTTTACTCCTTTCTCCAGAATGCTAACTTTTTTTTTCCTGAGAAGGGTTTTATATCTAATATTACTTATGAAGTGAGGTGCTACCAACAATTCATGTAACCTGAAAATTTGTCTTCAAAAACCTACTTCCTAATCTAATTCCTCTTACATTAGCAATAGAAAATGGACTAAAAGGCCAGGCGTGGTGGCTCATGCCTGTAATCCCAGCACTTTGGGAAGCCGAGGCAGGTGGACCACCTGAAGTCAGGAGTTCAAGACTAACCAACATGGTGAAACCCCATCTCTACTAAAAATACAAAAAAATTAGCCGGGCATGGTGGCGGGCGCCTGTAATCCCAGCTACTCAGGACCTGAGGCAGGAGAATCGCTTGAACGCAGGAGGCAGAGGTTGCAGTGAGCCAAGATTGCACCATTGTACTCCAGCCTGGGTGACAAGAGCAAAAACTCCGTCTCAAAAAAAAAAGGAAATGGACTAAAATATTGTGATAGACTTGAAGATATAGCTAACACAAAGGTTTTGGTTGTTTTATTTTTACATCAGCAACCATCATCTGAGAATAACTAAAAAATGTGTATGAAATGATTGGTCAATGTTTCAGAACTTCTTTTATGAAACTGTAATTCAAAGGTCCTATGAAGTCAGAATTTTGAGTGTGTTACAGGGATTCCACTAACGAATGAACTGAACAGCAGAGTTGCAGCCTGTGATTCTGTTGTTTCATTGTACACCACCCGCCTGGCACTAAACTAGATACTGGAGACATCTGGTTGCCATGGATACGGGATGGCATCATCTGACCACGTTGGTGTAGAAGTTAGCTTCAGATGTTCTCAGACCTTTCACAAGGGCCACGGGTCCCCTGGTTAAAATGAAGGGATTCCCCTTATGGAACTGTTGATGGCTGTTGTTACTGTATGCCATTTACTGAGTTAATACACTGAGCATTTCCCATATATTGCTTCCTTTCAGCCTCTCTACAACCCTATAAGGAAGTTTTTCATTCTTATCCTCATTTTAGACAATAAAAACCAGATGTTTATAGAGATTCAGCAACCTTCCCTAGGTAACACACTTTTAAATCAAGGTCGGCCTCCTGAACTTACATTATTTTTAATATTTTGAGATCGGATCTTGCTATGTTGCCCAGGCTGGACTCAAACTCCTGGGCTCAATCAATCATCCCACCTCAGCCTTCCAAGCAGCTGGGACGACAGAACTGTGCCATATTCTTAAACATCATACAATATTGCCTTTCAGGCATGAAAAGCAAAGGGAATTATTTGTTCATTTGATAGCGCTTTAGTAATGTAAGTGGATACACTTAGGGCTAGCCCTCTGGCTTGTTACCATGGTAAGCTAGGGGAATATAGTTGAGGGGTCTGCAGCAGAGCTTGGAGAGGATCTGGGATGTTAAATTCTCAAGTACTTGAACTTAGCAACAGGACTTGGTCCCATCCACACCCTGCTCTCTACCCCAGCTGGAAATAATTAGTGCTGACTATGGAGGCAAAGAGAAACATACTTGTAAGCTTTTTTGTTTGGATTTTCTTTGGGGTTTCCTTTTTGTCTTTTCTGAACTGGAGGGTGATAGAGAAGGTGCGGAAAAGGTTTGAAACCACTGGCAGGGGTCCACCATACAAGCCCTGAGAAACGCGTGGTAAGTTCTGCCATGTTCCAAGGTGCAAGGAAGCAGGGGCTGCAGCGGGTCCTGCTATGTAATTTCGAGGTGGGAGGCGGGGACGCGTTAACAGAAATGACAAGCAGGGGCTTTGGAAAGACTTCGTGGGGCCTTGGTCATGGGGAGGGTGAAGGCTGCTAACTAGAACGTAGGGAATCTGGAGACAGCTGCCGTTGGAAGGCTGTGGAGGGCTGGGGCGAGTGCAGTGGTAGAGCCGGTCAGGACTGGGTTGAATGAGCAAGCTGCAACTTTGCACTGCCCCGACCCCAAAACTTGTAGTTTATAAAAGATGGAGCAGCAATCTTATTTTCTCCAGGCATCTCAAATCAGTTAGGGGGATGCGGGCCTGGGATGGGAGGGTGTGAGGCTGCTGTAAGCTGGGTGATCAGGGGAGCTGTAGGGAAGTTTACATTTTCCCCCTGAAGCCTTGATAATTTGAGTCTATAAAACAAACATATAGTAAATTAACAGGAAAAAAAAGTATACACTTTTTTTTTTTAAAGACAGGGTCTTGCTCTATCGCCCAGGGTAGAGTGCAGTGGTGCGATCATAGCTCACAGCAGCCTCGACCTCCTGGGCTCAAGCAATCCTCCCGCCTCAGCCTCTGAGTAACTGAGACTACAGGCTTATGCCACACATGGCTGGCATACAAATTTCGCTAACGTGCACACATGTGCATGAGTCATACAAATTATGAAAACTCTTCTGCCATAGGAAAAAAATACATATGAAAACTCAAAAAAAAAAAAGACCATACAGTTAATACTTTTATACCATCTTTTTTTATTTTTTTGAGGGACAGAGTCTCACTGTCACCCAGGCTGGAGTGCAGTGGCGTGATCTCAGCTCACTGCAGCCTCCATCTCCGGGGTTCAAGTGATTCTCCTGCCTCAGCCTCCCAAGTAGCTGGGATTACAGGCATGTGCCACAACATCTGGCTATTTTTTTTTTTTGTATTTTTAGTAGACAGCATTTTGCCATGCTTGCCAGGCTGGTCTTTAACTTCTGGGCTCAAGGGATCTGCCCACCTTGTCCTCCCAAAGTGCTAGGATTACAGGTGTGAGCTACTGCCCCTGGCTGAGTTGATGCTTTTATACCATCTTGATGTTACTGAGGAGTAGGGACTCAGAGCATGGCAAAATAGGTTATGGCAGGGAGGGGAGAGGGAAGGTGAGGGCACAGGTGGGTTAAATCTCACAGGTAGCAGTCCTCAGAGAGAACAGAAGGTAGTCTGTGGTTAAGTGTTTCTCTGTCACATTTTCAAAGGTGTCAGACTCAGTTAATCTCTCCTAGGTCTGGATAGGCGGAGGGCCTCAGAAAAAGCCTAGCTGTTTATTTCATTGCTGCAGATTTTCTCTGCAGATGTACGTCTCCTCCACAAATGGCAACTTGGCAGGGCTATTCCTGCCTGTGGGCCCTCTGAACAGCCATCTCAAAAATATGCCAAAGAAGTATATTTTGAGGTAAAATAGTTTTAGTTTTTTTAAAGCCCTCTCGAAGGAGAGGACATATGAATTGAGAACAGCGATGAGATGAATTTTTATTTTTTAAAGCAATTTTTTATTTTATTTTTGAGACAGAGTTTTGCTCTTGTTGCCCAGGCTGGAGAACAATGGCGTGATCTCGGCTCACTGCAACCTCCGCCTCCCAGGTTCAAGCAATTCTCCTGCCTCAGCCTCCCGAGTAGCTGGGATTACAGGCATGTGCCACCACGCCCAGTTAATTTTTGTATTTTTAGTAGAGACAGGGTTTCACCGTGTTGGCCAGGCTGGTCTTGAACTTCTGACCTCAAATGATCCACCCACCTCGGCCTCCCAAAGTGCTGGGATTAAAGGCGTGAGCCACCGCGCCCGGCCTCCGAGATGGTTTTCATATTTGAATTTTGTTGCATCACATAATCTAGGAAGGAAAGAAAAAAGAAGAGCACCTAATTCCTATATGTCACAGGGTAAGTGGAACACTCTATCCCCTTTCCCTACATTCACCTCTTCGCTCACCGCATCACACTATGAGATAGGTGCTGTTATCCTAACTCAACAGATGAGGAAACTCAGGAAAAGATGATTTAATAGTGTAAAGTTAAGTAGCTTGTAACTGGCAGGTCAGGATTTGCACCAGGCAGACACAGCCTTTTCTAGCGTGTGGAAGAAATATCTATTCCACACCCATCGCTAGGTTCATGGCTAAGACTCCTATCACAGAAGACAGATTAGTAACAGAAAAATAAGCAAATTTATTTAACATAAGTTTCACATGATACAGCAGCCTTCCAAAGGAAGACTCAGGCCCGGGTGAGGTGGATCACACCTCAAATCCCAGTACTTTGGGAGGCCAAGGTGGGAGGATCACTTGAGCCCAGGAATTTGAGACTAGCCTGGGCAACATAGTGAGACCATATCTCTACAAAAAAATGTTTAAAAATTGGCTGGTTGTGGTGGTGCACACCTGCAGTCCCAGCTACTTGGGAGGCTGAGGACACTGCAAGGGAGAGTATTACAGATCAGGCTGGGTGCAGCAGCTCACGCCTGTAATCCCAGCACTTTGGGAGGCCGAGGCTCACTTGAGTTCAGGAGTTTGAGACCAACATGGCCAACATGGTGAAACCCTGTCTCTACTAAAAGTATAAAAATTAGCCAGGCGTGGTGGCACATGCCTGTAATCCCAGCTACTTGGGAGGCTGAGGCAGGAGGATCATTGAACCTGGGAGGTGGAGGTTGCAGTGAGCTGAGATCGTGCACTACACTCCAGCCTGGGTGACAGAGCAAGACTCTGTCTCAAAAAAATGAAAAGTTTCAGACTTTGGAGTATTTCAGATTTCAACTAGAATAAATTTATTATCTAACGGTAACAAACAACTGGGGGACAGTAGGGCAAGAGCTGTCTGTTCCTTCTTCGCCTCTGGGTATAGAGCGAGACCTCTCTGGAATGAGCATCTTATGACCTACTTTCAGACAAAGATAGGTCAGAGCATTCCCTCGTGGCCAGCTCTCACAGTGAGTGACCTTCTTGCTCCTTCAGTTTTCTCAATTGCCAAGTCACCATATTTTAGGGCATTATGTTCTGAGCCCCAACACATAGACAGCATCTACAAAGTCACTGCATAAGTGCCAAGCCAATCAAATCAATAAGCAAACAAATACAACTTAAAAAATAAAATCAAAGTGACTAAGATGGCAAAATAATTTATTTTCTCAAACAATACCAGGTCCAAGGGTAAGGCAATGAATTTACCAAAACCAGCAAGTTCATTACAGCTGGCCTTTCTTCCACCCGTCATCCCCAGTGTGAGCTCATCTTTTTTTTTTTTTGAGATGGAGTTTCACTCTCATTGGCCCAGACGGGAGTGCAGTGGCGCCCTCTCCGCTCACTGTAACCTCCACCTCTCGGATTCAGGCAATTCTCCTGCCTCAGCCTCCCCAGTAGCTAGAATTACAGGCATGCGCCACCACACCCGGCTAATTTTGTATTTTTAGTAGAGACAGGGCTTCTCCATGTTGGTCAGGCTGGTCTTGAACTCCCGACTTCACATGATCTGCCCGCATCCTCCCAAAATGCTGGGATTACAGGCCACCACGCCCAGCTGAGCTGGTCTTCTTAGGCCAGTACTTTCTGTGGTCCCCCGATGGCAGCCACAGTTCCAGCATCCCTTGCAGATGACAAAGTCCAGAGGAAGAAAAAGGATGTCCCTGACTTGGGTGGCTTTAAATAGTGAGGTAAACTTTCCCAGAACATTCCCATCCAACCTCCCTTCTCATCTCTTTGTCTGGTAGTCTGGTGAAGATTCAGCCTCCACGTGTAGGGAGGGGCTTAGCCACCCCTAAAACTCA
Organism: Homo sapiens; assembly: GCF_000001405.40. Classification (NCBI taxonomy): domain Eukaryota; kingdom Metazoa; phylum Chordata; class Mammalia; order Primates; family Hominidae; genus Homo; species Homo sapiens. The sequence goes on along the minus strand of NC_000018.10, from coordinate 3,607,804 downwards.
CAGCTGTGTGGAAAAGATCAACAGTACTGGGGTCTCATTAGCAAGCAGGATAGAGAGAATGGTTATGAGGAGGCAAACAACCATGTTTGCCACTGGCGTAAAGGCATGCAAAAGGATGGTATGTTCTGGAAATGATAAGCAGCCAGATAAGAAATTGTCAGGAGAAGGTAATAAAATATGCTGCAGCCCAGTTGTAAAGGAGTTACCGGCCAATATTTGGCTGCCTTGTATGGGTCCATGTTCCTTAAGTTTTCAAAGACAGTGAGATATCAAATAATGTTAGATTTTTAGTATTCCTTTTTTATGTGGTAATCATATAAAATTTCCTTCAAAAAACAAATGCTCAAGGCCGGGTGCAGTGGCTTATGCCTGTAATCCCAGTATTTTGGGAGGCTGAGGAGGGTGGATCGCTTGAGCCCAGGAGCTCAAGACCAGCCTGGGCAACAAAACAAAACCCCATTTCTACAAAAAATATAAAATATTATCTGGGTGTGGTGGCACCGGCCTGTAGTCCAGCTACTCTGGAGGCTGAGGCGGGAAAATCACCTTGTTGCAGTGAGCCTGGGTAACAGAACAAGATCCTGTCTCAAAGGAATTAAAAGAAAAATAAAAAAGGTTCAAAACAAAAATTACACGGCAACATACATGGTAATACAAAAATTCCATAATCTAGGCCAGGCGCGATGGCTCATGCCTCTAATCCCAGCACTCTGGGAGGCCGAGGCAGGTGGATCAATCACCTGAAGTCAGGAGTTCGAGACCAGCCTGGCCAGCTTGGCGAAACCCCTTCTCTACTAAAATTAGCCAGGTGTGGTGGCAGGTGCCTGTAATCCCAGCTACTGGGGAGGCTGAGGCAGGAGAATTGCTTGAACCCGGGAGGTGGAGGTTGCAATGAGCCGAGGTCGTGCCACTGCACTCCAGCCTGGGAAACAAGACCGAAAGTCATCTCAAAAAGAAAAAAATTGTAATCTAGTCATGTCATAGCAGTGAAGAAATAATAGTGTGTATAATTCTTATTTATACTTTTTTATAATTACAAAATAATGCAGGTGCTTTTTCAAAATATAGGAAAATTCAGAGAAGCCCAAAGAATAAAGTAAAAATCACCCGTAATCCCATTACGTGGCTGTAACGACTTGATGTCAAAGCTGGGAGCTCACATACATAGTAATTTGGTATAGTTACAATAGTGATTTTCTTTTTCCTTTGTAAGAATCCACTTCAAATTCAGTTTCTTCTTACTATACTTTTCTGTCAAACAAAGCAAAACTACTGGTCAGTGTAGAAGGGGGAAAAGCAACAAATGCATATGATGGCTTATGAAGTACAACATATTACAATTAGGGAAAGAAATAAGTATTATTGCTGTTGTATTTCTGTTTGACTTACTACTCATACAACTGGTTATCTAAGCCCAAACTCTATAATGTAAGGAAGTAATGAAAACGTCTGTCTTTGAGAGCAGCGAATTCTTTAGTGTGGTTCTGGCAGGGGAAGGAAGCGGGGAAGGGTTCTAAGAAGCGGGGCCCAGTTTCATCCTGGCGAGTTGCAGCTTTCTTCCTGAGCGTGGTGACTCGTCAAGGCACCAAGGCTCAGGAATGAGACAGACATTAGAGCTTGTTCTGGTTGGCACCTCTAGGATAGTTTTGTCTGCACACTGTGCCTCTGAGGAATGGCCTCTACAAAGGGTCAGGATGCCAAAATTCTTTAATCTTTCACTTTCATTTTAAAAATGAAATCTGAATATCTCTCCATCTAATAGCAAACCACAGCGAGACCTTTTTTTTTCTTAATGTCCCGACCTGCCTAGGCAGGAATCCATTATGGTTGTTGTTGATTTTAGTGTTTTGTTTGAAGTCTCCTATTTCTTCATGAATTCTCTTTCACACAAACTTGTTAGTGGCACTCAGTGTCCTCGGTAAACTTTTTGGTTTTTGTTTACGGCTAGCTTTTAAAAATCTATAGACAGGCAAAAAAAATCTCCTGCCGCTAAAAAGCTCCGTGACCTTGGAAAAGTCACTTAACCTCTCTGGAGAAAGCTCAAGTTAGAGGGTCAGAGTAGTGGACTGGAGAGGATTTTAGAGATCAGAGTTCTGCCCTTCCTGTTTACAGATCTGACATTCAGAGAGGCCAGAAGTCACAACAGCTTTCTTGAAGTTTTATTATTTTGATTTTTAAGGAAAGGAGTCCAATGAATTTGCAAATTAACGAAGCAGTGTTTGAAAAGAAAATATGCAAGAGATACTTAAGTGTTAAAGGAAACTAAAGCTTTGAGAACTAGAGATAAGATACTTTAAAGTAACTATCCAAATTGGTTTGTAGGCAGCAAACGTTAACTGTGTAAAATGTGGAGCATTTGATGCACCAAGAAATATTTACTGACTGCCCACTTGGAACTTAAAAGTTCAGTTGGGAACCAAGAAGATAATTATAATGTAATAAGTGCTCTGCCTGATTAAAAACTGCTGTGTTCTCATGAGAACTAGGAAAGGCATTCAGAAGGACATTCCTGACGTCTTCTTGGAAGAGGTCGAACGTAAGCTCGTATCTGAAGGAAAAACCAGAGGAAAGAATATCCCTAACGAGGAATCGATTGCACATGCAAACCCAGGGAACTTGATGGGTTGAATAACTAAAGGAAAAGTGGTCAGGAGGAGGCAGAATTCTGAGACCTGAAAAGGGTGAATAGGAACTCTTATCCTGAGGGGAGATTTGTAAACTGCAGACTGACAGGACCTGCTGGAGGGTTTCCACTCTTCCTCTAAGTGTACACAATAGTTTGGAAACAGAAAAGACAGACCCAGTGAGACTAAGTAGAAACGTATTTCTCCAAATATTTTGACCTACAAAATGCATTTTCCCTGTTGCCCAGTATGTACACAGATCCGGGGACACGCACACACAAACTGAAAGAGGTTTCACAACAAGACTTACTTTTTCTACACAGGATGTACGCTGACATTTTCTACCTAACATTTTGCATTTTCTAAATGGTGAAACTGCATGACTCATCTTATTTCACTACCCACTAAGTGACAACTCAGAGTTGGAGAAACCTTGAGTTAAGGAAGTTGCTGTGATACTCCAGAAGATAACATTAAAACTGTAGGATCTAGGGAAGCAGAAAGATGCACAGAAGGATGTGGAATGACTCCACAGGGATTTAAGAGACTGGAGAGAAGGACCCAAAGGAGTGCTTACAGATAATGCTGAGTTTTGGCTTGAACTCGGGGCAGATAAAGGGATCGTGTACTGAGATGGGGAACCTTAAGTGAAAAATAAGGAGGGTAAAGGTATCACCACTTGAGAAATGCCCGATTCTTTTGTGTGTATGTGTGTGTGTGTGTGCGTGTGCGTGTGTTTGTAAACATAAATATGCTCCTTAATTTGAAGTACATCCCAAGAAAAACATGTAACTCCAGAAAATGTCCAAGTTTTATTAAAAGAAGAAGGGAAATGGCAGAAATGGAAAGAAGGGAATCAGTGGGGAGGAAGGAGTGGGCTCTAGCACTTAGGCACAAGACTCCACTTGGAAAGGACAGGCAAGATTCAAATCCCCGAGGGAACAGACAGCCCATATCAGACTCACCTGATGCTTCACTGCAGCTGCCATGGGGCTTTTATAAGCTGGGAATGGGTTAAGCATAGTCCCAGCTGTTCATTCAGCCACGATGTTGGCAGGAGTTAGCTTCTTTACACATAAAGTTGGCATCAAATTTGGAATTCACAATCACTAGTTCACGAACGTCACAGGCATTTCTTAGGCGCTTCTTATATAAATGGAAATACCATTAACTTTCTTCTTCATGCACGCTCTCTGACAGCATCGGGTCAAAGGAACTTTTTTCCTGCCTCTTTTCATAGCTTCCACCGCCCCATCCTTCTTCTAAATCTTTAATTTTGCAAAGCCATAGGGAGTGGTGGTAGCCTGTGGCGAGTTGAAGATTTTGAACAATAGGTGTTTCTGAGCTGGATTTATTGAAAGGGTCTTGTCTGTGTCCTGGGGGAGATTGTAAATGAGATGTCAACAGGAGCTCTTTTGTGTGGATGGCATTCATCCTGAAAGACAGGAATTCCCTTACTGTGCTAGTATTTAAAGTACATTTGTTGCTGCTTTTGCTAAAACTTTTCATCCAACTGCCGGAGCTAACAGCAATGAATGAGTCACTTGGTGTGATTGTAACTTCCTTCCCTCCTTAGCAAAGCAATGACTCAGTCATTTACATTTAGAAAGGAAGGCTCCTAAGAAGATTTCTTGGATTTTCATCAGCTTGAGCCTCTTTTCTTGACCATCACGTGGGCCTGATCTGTCGGCAATCCTGTTAACCCAGGGTGAGGGGAGTCTAGCCGGGCTGCTTTTCTCACTCCCTGGAAAACTTTTTGCTGTTTTGCTCGTTTCTTTTTTAAATCCAAGGAGAAAGACAAACACAATTTCCTGCCTTAAGCCCTTTTCCTTTCTCTCTCCCTCCGCCTTTTTTTTTGTAAAGGACAGGCAATTTCAGTTTACTATAATTACCCTGGGCTGAGGTTTGACTCACTCCACCTTTAGATGATAAGGCAACCGTTTTATTACTTCGCAGCCAGGTGCCTGAGGGTGACAAGACTTGCCTTTATCTGGTGACCTGACAAGGTTATCAGCAACTGCAAATGGGCTGAACCTCGGAGCAGGGACCATCAAAACGCTTCCCTCTCCTTGATCCATTTCCCAACCCTTTATTGGTAATTCATTTCAATCCGAAGACTAGCTCTAGTTTCTGCAAGTTCTTCCGCATTCCTACACCTTAGCTCTGTCCTCTTGTGTTCTCTTTGGAACACAGGCAGCGGCAACAGCAATCTTAATTATGAGCAGTCAGCTGCCCCCATGAGCCCAGAGCACGACCATGAAGTCTCAACCACAGTCCAGCACACAACACGCAGGATATATTTGCGTCCTCTGGCTTAGTCGATTTGCAGTATTTATAGTTGCTTTTTCAGAGTCGATACTTAATAACGTCTTTGACCTATGATGCTAGAAATCCCTCCAAAATAAAATCGTATTGCTTGTATCTTCTATGGTTCCTTTTGAAAACTGGAATATAATCCGCACCAGGAGGCAGTGCTGTGCTGGAGATAATAAACATATCTAGTGCTCGATCTATTTATATCTGCAGTTCATGAATTTATTTGTCTACCAACACAAGTTTCTTTGTTTTTTTTTTTTTTTTTTTTTTTGGACGGAGTCTCGCTCTGTCGCCCAGGCTGGAGTGCGGTGGCGCGATCTCGGCTCCCTGCAAGCTCCGCCTCCCGGGTTCACGCCATTCTCCTGCCTCAGCCTCCCGAGTAGCTGGGACTACAGGCGCCCGCCACCACGCCCGGCTAATTTTTTGTATTTTTAGCAGAGACGGGGTTTCACTGTCTTAGCCAGGATGGTCTCGATCTCCTGACCTCGTGATCCGCCCGCCTCGGCCTCCCAAATTGCTGGGATGACAGGCGTGAGCCACCGCGCCCGGCCAAAACAAGATTATTCTTTAATTCAAACTGTGTTACGTGCACTGTCTCGGTTATCTGGTGGGTGGGAAATGTGGTATAAAAGCATGCATTTTGGGAAATGGTTTCCAAAAAGTGTGTACTAGGCAAAGCTTGAATGAATGAAGGGTGAGAGTACTTGCAGACACACTTTTAGGTCAGTGTCCTGGGCAGCATCAAAGCTGCGCGGCACCCGGCTTGTACATAGCACGGAGCTGCCACCCTGTAGTGCAAAATTATAGTGGGCCAAGGTAAATCATATGTTTTATTTATTTATTTATTCATTCATTTGAGAAGGAGTCTCGCACTGTAGCCCAGGCTGGAGTGCAGTGGCCCGATCTCCACTCACTGCAATCTCCGCTTCCCGGGTTCAAGCGATTCGCCTGCCTCAGCCTCCTGAGTAGCTGGGATTACAGGTACTCGCCACCACGCCCAGCTAATTTTTTTTTTTTTCCGAGATGGAGTCTCGCTCTGTCACCCAGGCTGGAGTGCAGTGGCGTGATCTGGGCTTGCTGCAACCTCCGCTTCCTTGGTTCAAGCGATTCTCCTGCCTCAGCCTCCCAAGTAGCTGGGATTACTGGGGCAGGCCACCATGACCGGCTAATTTATTTGTATTTTTGGTAGAGACAGGGTTTCACCATGTTGGTCAGGCTGGTCTCAAATTCCCGACCTCAAACGATTGGCCCACCTCGGCCTCCCAAAGTGCTGGGATTATAGGCGTGAACCACCATGCCCAGCCGTAGGTTTTATTTTTCTATCTGTGAAGTCGAACTGTAGCCTGAGGGTAGCAGATGGGAAAGGAGGGGTTGGGAAGAGAATGGAAAAGATGAGTTAAAACACACACACACACACACACACACCCTTGCATATGTGAAGTGTTTATCTGTAAGACCACATCAGATTACTCCATTCTGGGCCAGGCGCAGTGGCTCACACCTGTAAACCCAGCATTTTGGGAGGCCGAGGCGGGTGGATTGCTTGAGGTCAGGAGTTCGAGACCAGCCTGATCAACATGGTGAAACCCCATCTCTACTAAAAATACAAAAGATAGCTGGCATGGTGGCAGGTGCCTGTAATCCCAGCTACTTGGGTGGCTGAGGTGGGAGAATTGCTTTAGCCCGGGAAGTGGAGGTTGCAGTGAGCTGAGATCACATCACTGCACTCTAGCCTGAGCCACAGGGTGAGACTCTGTCTCAAAAAATATATATATCTATATATCTATCTATATATCTATATATCTATATATCTATCTATATCTTTATCTCTATATCTATATATCTATATATCTATCTATATCTATATATCTATATATCTATATCTATATATCTATCTATATATCTATATATATCTATATATCTATCTATATATCTATATATATCTATATCTATCTATATATCTATATATATCTATATATCTATCTATATATCTATATATCTATATATATCTATATATCTATATATATCTATATATATCTATATATCTATATATATCTATATATCTATATATCTATATATATCTATATATCTATATATATCTATATATCTATATATATCTATATATCTATATATATCTATATCTCTATATCTATATAGCTATAGATATCTATATAGATCTCTATAGATATCTATAGATCTCTATAGATATCTATATCTCCATTCTGTAATGTATATAGACATCATTCCACACTGTGGAAAGAAACAGTTCAAATCCCCTACCAGGGCCCTTACTACAATTATAATAAAAACGAATAAAAAGAATGTTTCTGGCCAGGCACGGTGGCTCATGCCTGTAATCCCAGCACTTTGGGAGGCCGAGGCAGGTGGATCACCTGAGGTCCGGGGTTCGAGACCAGCCTGGCCAACATGGTGAAACCCCGTCTCTACTAATACAAAAATAAGCTGGGAGTGGTGGCACTACTCGGGAGGCTGAGGCAGGAGAATTGCTTGAACCGGGGAGGTGGAGGTTGCAGTGAGCCGAGATCGTGCGTGCCATTGCACTCCAGCCTGGGTGACAAGAGAGAAACTCCGTCTCATAAAAAAACAAAAACAAGAAAAAAGAATGTTTCTGAGTACAGTGTGTGAATCACATGCATGGTGATGAACTAATGAACATCCAGAACTCCAACAGGAGACAATGTCAGAAGGATTAACAAATCTGACCTTGACCCTGGGCAACATAGTGAGACCCTGTCTTTACAAACAGTTTTTTAAAACTTAGCTGGATGTGGTGGTGTGCGCTTGTGGTTCCAGCTGTTCCGGAGGCTAAAGTGGGAGGTTCGCTTGAGCCCAGGAGTTAGAGGATGTAGTGAGCCATGATCACACCACTGCACTCCAGCCCTGGCAACAGAGCGAGACCCTGTCTCTTTAAAAAAAAAAAAAAAATTGGCTGGGAATGGTGGCTCACGCCTGTAATCCCAACATTTTGGGAGGCCGAGGTGGGCGGATCACAAGGTCAAGAGATCGAGACCATCCTGGCCCACATGGTGAAACTACATCTCTACTAAAAATACCAAAATTAGCCGGGCGTGGTGGCGCCTCCTGTAGTCCCAGCTACTCGGGAGGCTGAGGCAGGGGAATCGCTTGAACCCGGGAGGTGGAGGTTGCAGTGAGCCGAGATCGCGCCACTACACTCTAGCCTGACAACAGAGTGAGACTGTCTCAAAAAACAAAACAAACAACAAAAAACTCTCTGTCCTTGGAGCTGTCTTTTCTTTAAAGACGTGAAACCTTGCACGCCTGTCACCACTCCATTGCCACCCTCCACAGGTGGGCTTAGTTAGCACAGAGCTCCAGAACCTGAGATGCCTCTGAAGGTGGGAGTAGGATGGCATCCTTCTGCCCCAATTCTAAAAGCCACTAGCCAAACTTGACCTCGGAAACTATTTACAGTGCGGTGATGCCACCTCTCCCTGCAGACAAATTCAAGTACTCCATTAAGGGGCGTTCCCCAGACCTTGCTGGGCATGCCCAGATAAGCCTCCTTTTCATCTGCAAAATTGAGATCCTGACTTCCTATGCAGGATTGTTTTTAATTTAATGAGACTATAGGTAAAGCGCCTGGCTTTATTAAACACTCAACCAACGAGGAGGAGGATGGGGGTTTGTGGAGTAAATTGGTATAGATTTTAGTACTGACTTCACAGGTTCCTAGGTTCCTAGACTGTTTTTATTTAATTTTGGCAAATGACAAGTACCTAACAGAAAGGTAGTATTTTAAACACAGTCTTTGCTGGGCGCAGTGGCTCACGCCTGTAATCCCAGCACTTTGGGAGGCTGAAGGGGGCAGATCACTTGAGATCAGGAGTTCGAGACCAGCCTGGCCAACATGGTGAAACCCCCATCTCTACCAAAAAGACAAACATTAGCCGGGTGTGGTGGCGCCCGCCTGTAGTCTCAGGTACTCAGGAGGCTGAGGCAGAAGGTTGCAGTGAGCCAAGATCATGCCACTGCACAACAGCCTGGGTGACAGAGCAAGACTCTGTTTCAAATAAATAAATACAGTCTTTAAGGGACACTTAAGGAGTAATGGAGGGGACCGGGCGCGGTGGCTCACGCCCTTAATCCCAGCACTTTGGGAGGCCAAGGCAGGCAGATCGCTTGACGTCAGGAGTTCAAGACCAGCCTGGCTAACAAGTTAAAACCTCATCTCTACTAAAAATACAAAAATTAGCTGGGCGGGGTGGCATGCACCTGTAATCCCAGCTACTAGGGAGGCTGAGTCAGGAGAATAGCTTGAACCCAGGAGGCAGAGGATGCAGTGAGCCAAGATTGTGACACTGCACTCCAGCCTGGGTGACAGAGCCAGACTCTGGCTCAAAAAAAAAAAAAAAAAAAAGTAATGGAGGGGGAAAGAGCCCTGGGGTCACCTGGACAAGTTCTTCTCTGGATCTATGTCCTTCTCTATCAGTGACAAAGTTGGATAATGAATGAGACAGAATTTTTTTTTTTGAGATGGAGACTCACTCCACCGCCTGGGCTGGAGTGCAGTGTGGCGCAATCTCAGCTCACTGCAACCTCCGCCTGCCAGGCCTAAACGACTCTCCTGCCTCAGCCTCCCGAGCAGCTGGGACTACAGGCATGCGCCACTACGCCCAGCTACTTTTTGTATTTTTAGTAGAGACAGGTTCACTATGTTGGTTGGCCAGGATGGTCTTGATCTCTTGACCTTGTGATCCACCCACCTCAGCCTCCCAAAGTGCTGGGATTATAGGCGTGAGCCACCGCACCCGGCCCAAGGCATAATTTTTTTAAGCACTAACCCTGTTATCTGAGCATCAGTAAGGAGCTGGTATCCTTTCTGGGCCAAGTGGGCTGATGTAAACAGTATTACACGGGTTACCCAGATACGTTTTTCTGTTTTTCCTTTGAAAACGGCGGTTTCGGGAGGGCAGAGAGAAGGAGGAGGATGAAAAATTAAGTGCCTAACTACACAGATCAGGGGGGCCTGCAGCCTCCCACACGCCTGCTTTCCAGATCCAGGTAATTATTCCTCATCGTGCTGACACCAACAGGAAGGAACGGTGGATGCATTTTCTTTCTTCTTCACTTCACCATGCATCCTGTTTCCCCAGGTTTGGAGGTTTGAGCCGGCCTTGTGCAAAAGCTCCTGTACCAGGTCAAGCCCTGGCTCCAGGCCCTCTGTTCCTAGGGCAGTGGCAGCAATGGGCTGCTTTGGGGGAGGGTCAGCCTTTTCTCCAAAGTCCAGCAAGCCTGCCAGTGAACCAAGGTTACTGATGAATCCACGCTGAAGTCTTGGTGAGGACTCAGCCTGACCGGACTCTCATTAGATGGGACGGACCCTGGTTCATACACAGGCCACTCACTCTGCACAGCCACCCCACTTACTGAAGCAAGAATTGGCAATAAGTGCACAATACCCTGGTCCCATCTTAAAACAACCAGCTACCCCACAGTCTCAGAGTCAGGGATGCTCAAGTACTATTTATTCTGTTTACCAGACATATAGCAGCCGGGCAGGGAGTCTTCATAGCCTGTTGCGTCATGTGATTCCATTCCAGATTTTTCCTTTTATTCCTGTCTCCAAGGCCCCATTGTGCAGGTGCTACTAATTTTCATGAAATGATACTAGGAGGTAAAGAAAGTTCGCTGGCTCTCAGATATCCATCTGTGTGCAAACAGACAGAGTACAGAAAAATAAGTAGAATAACAAAGTTCCTAGTTTTGTGTGGGCTGAGAGTGAAAAAAAAAAGAGTAACGAGGAGTGAAAAGAATGAAGAAGAAAAACAGCTGCACAGGAAAAGGGCAGTGTCACAGGTGCCTCCCACGGTCCTTTGCCGAGAGCCTGTGGGGGAGGCCAAGTGGGGAGAATGGGGGACATCGGGTGGACGACCCAGGGGACCAGCTGGTGTCAGAGAATGGTAGATTAGGATTTGGCCTGCTAGATCATGCTGGCGGCATTGGCCAACATCAAACACGAGGGGGCTCTGGTGACAGGACATGACACTGCACAATCAGAGATCACAGCGAATGGCTTTGCTGAGGTGTCCACTTTACTCCTGCCCCGATCACCTCCCCTTCCTGATTGTTAGTCCTTTTGTTTCTCCAGGAAGTCTCTTCTCATCCCTGTTCACGCCTTCATGTAACAAGCATTTATCACACTAGTACCGTGAGCCACGCGTGTGCTGTGGTTACATCCGTGGAACAGACAGACAGCAGTGCCTGATCTTGTAATTCTTCCATCCTTTCATTCCTTTCTCTCAGTCTGGCCAGAAAAAAAAAAAAAAAGTTCTCCTAACAGAGAATATAGCAACAGGTTGCTGAAAAGTGACATCTGACAAGAAATGAAAGCTGGTTGATAAAAGATTTAAAAGAAAAATGTCAGGCCGGGCTTGGTGGTTCAAGCCTGTAATCCCAGCACTTTGGGAGGCCGAGGCAGACAGATCATCTAAGGTCAGGAGTTCAAGATCAGCCTGGCCCACATGGTGAAACCCCGTCTCTATTAAAAATATAAAAATAAGCTAAGCATGGTGGCGGGCGGCTGTAATTCCAGCTACACGAGAGGCTGAGGCAGGAGAATCGTTTGAACCTGGGAGGCGGAGGTTGCAGTGAGCCGAGATCGCACCACTGCACCCCAGCCTGGGTGACAGAGTAAGACACGGTCTTAAAAAAAAAAAGAAAAGAAAAATGTTCTTTCCTGCTCCTGGCACTCTCCCTGCCCTAGCCTCCTGGGCATGCTATCTCTCAACAAGACCCAGTCTGCCCCAACCAGAGGTGTTGCTAGACCAGCTGCCCAAACAGGAAACCTTATATAATTCTGTAACCCTGACCTTGGGCCTGAATCTTCCCCTTCTGTAAACAGTCCATTCAACCCAGGAAGACCTGCAGACCTGGTTGGGACACATTTTGAAAAACACACACATTGTTAAAAATGTTGAAAAAAGTCCCTAGGTCTAAGAGGAAGTGTTCTGTCTGACTCAGCAGTAGAAATCACTTCATATAAAGTAATGGAACAAATGGAAATTTAATCCTAACAGATGTAACAGGGCAGTCACTTGTGTACACGGATGACTTGATTGCACCTGTTGGAAAGGCTGGGAAAATGAGCCGTGAAATCCTGATCACATTCCCTACTGGAAGCAGCACTCCTGCCTTGCAAATTAGTAAGCCTGATGTTCTCAACATCCTGACTTCAACATGTGTGCCCTAGTTCTGTGCAGGCCATGACTCACTTTAGCTACTGGTCAAATGATTCTTACTCAGAGCCCTAGGTTTCTAATCTTTAGTGTTAAGTGGTCCAGGCACATACTAGCCAAATGTCTGTCTACTTCCTTTTTTTTTTCTCATGCCTGTTTCCCAGTCTGTGTCCTTTCAAGATACTCCCTTGAAATGACTGATTTCAGGCAACAACTGGATTTACATATGGTAGCCTTCAACTTCCTGTTTAACTTACTGCCAAACTTCAATAGAAGTCCAGATTAGAAGTTTTAGACCTCAGCCTCTGGCCCTGGGCCTTCTGAAATGACCTTCCTCCAAACACCATTTAATTTCCGCTAACTTAGTTAATGAATGGAACTTTCTGAAGACAGCAGTTACTTTGATCTGAACCCCTTTCCTAGTTTCCAGTTAACATAGCCAGAGGGAGACAGAAGGGGTGCCCGCCTCTCAATGGGTGCCCTCTCCTCCTGCGTGGCTGGAGCAGCTCCCAGCTGTAGCTATTCCTCTAACGCAGAGAGAGCTGCAGAAAGCAGTTCCCAAAAGGAAGAAGGCAAGTTACAAATACCGCCGTTGGCATTTTCGTGGGTGTTTCCCGCCACATAGAGATAAAAGCTTTGAGGTGGGGCTTTGAGGCACACTCTCTGGGTAGCTGGGCCTGCAGTCTGGAAATCCTAAGTAATCCTTGCAAATAGGCTAACTGGAAGCCAGCAATACAAATGAGCAGTGCTTCTGGCCTGAGAGAAAGGTGTCTGCATTCAAAGTACAACTTCAGATAAAAATGGAAAATGCCAGTCCCACCCTGCAGGAATCCTGTTTCTGGGCTGTTTATCCTCACTGCCATCCACCCTACCCTTGGCTGTGACTAGGATGTGAAGAAAGAGATTGGGTGGAAAAGGCTACCGCAGCTCTTGCTCCGTTTAACTCACCACCTTAAAAAACATGGCCTTGGCTGCTGCTTTAAAACAACAACAACGAAAATCCCCAGCCCCAACCCAGAGGTTTAACCCTGCAGCTAAGGTGAAGTTTTTGTTAAGGTGATAAGGTAAAAAAGGACGCCATTCTGAGCCTTGACTTCCACTCTTCATACTTTTCGGAAGACAAGTCCAGCAAAGACCTCCACCCCTTCCAAAGAGCGACTTACCTCGTAGCTGATCCACAGATTGCAACGTACAGATGTGATGTTCCAGGCTTGGCCACAAGGGGACACTAGAGAGTAGGACTGCCCGCGTCAATGTTTTGTTTTTTACAGACTTTTGGTTGGGAGGGAGGGAGGGAGGGAGGGGGGTGTGGGAGTGGTGGGGGAGATGCTGGCTTTAAAAAAAAGTCCATTTGTTCCCTGAGATTGTGCCACTTGCCCTTTTATAAGTCAAAGGTTGCCACGTTACCTGTTGCCAGGTTCCTGAGAGTGCTTGGGGAAAATGTGGGCGAGAGAGGCACAGCACAGTCCTCCGGCTTGGTAGGTTTCAAGCTCTTTTGACTGGGCTGGCGCTGACATTTGCAGGGGCAGCTGCTGTGGATTGCCTGCGCATTGTTTGGCTGTAGTTCTAACAGAGGAGTGGCTGCGTCTGACATCATTTCCAGGCATCAAGTGCCTGGGGCTTTTTTTTTTTTTTTTCTTTAATGACGAACTCTCTGACCCCTCCCTGCCTGGATTTTTGTACAGTACATGCACTGTGCAAAACAGCCTCCACTCAGGAAGCCCAAGTTTTGTAGCAGCTTGTTGAAACAACTTGGGTGCCTTTTAAAAAAAATAAAGTTGTGACTCTGAAACAAACCTTTCCATTCTTCCTCCTTGCTGAGAACAATGTTGCGTTTGATTAGCAGCGCAGCCAGTGCTTTCTGAAAGATCTGCTCTCCCCAGAAGAGGCGGCTGCTATCAGTTGAATAGATCTCTAGGCCAGACATGCCGAGGCTTGGGGCATTTGTCTGGCGTTAGGAAGTGTCTGGAATACTAGCAACTACCAACTGGCGTGTCTTATGACTACAGGAATTATTACACTACCCTCCATTTCATTCACATCCCCTCTCCTCCCCTTACACACACACACAAGCATATTTTTTTCTACTTTAGAAAAAGTTGAGCGAGTCATCTTGTGGTTTCCGTGGAGGATGTAACTGGGAGAGAAGACTGTGGGATACCTTGTATCTCCCAGAGGGGGGCCGGGAATCATGGTGTATGACCCACCCCAACAGCCTCTGATCTCTGCCTTCTCACCACTGACCGCCACGCTTTGGGTGGCCTTAAATGTGAAGCTGTAAATATTTTGAAATAAGGTAGTGATTTTTCCATGTGCATTTTGTTTTGTGGCATTTCTCTCCTTCTGCAATATTTTAAAAGTTGCAACTGTGCACCCCTTGTTGACCACTCCAAATTCATTCATTCACTGAAACTTAAGAGTTCCTGCAGAGTGAGGATGGCTGTGCACGAAGGAGTCCCTCGTGGAAACCACGGTGCTTTAGTGGACAAGGTGTTTACTAGAGAGTGTTTACTGGCGGGGGGCGGGGGAGATAAACAAAGGTGGTTTGAGTTAATGGTCAGATGGGAGTTGGAGCCCTGAGTACTCTAACTCTGTCACTGAATCTCTAGATGAGTTAGGGATGTCCGTTGCCTGCTCTGAGCCTTAATATTTTCATCAGTTAAATGGGGATAGTGGGATCTTTCACATATGTGAGATCATGTCTATTTTCTTCTTTTTCTTTTCTTTTCTTTCTTTTTTTTCTTTTTCTTTTTCTTTTTCTTTTTCTTTCTTTCTTTTTCTTTTTTTTTTTTTTTTTTTTTTTTGAGGCAGGGTCTTGCTCTGTCACCTAGGCTGGAGTGCAGTGGCACAGTCATGGCTCATTGCGGCCTCCACCTCCCAAGCTCAAGTGATCCTCCCACCTCAGCCTACCGAGTAGCTGAGACTTCAGGCGTGCACCACCATGACCAGCTAGTTGTTGTTGTTTGGGTTTTTTTGAGACGAGGTCTCACTCTGTTGCCCAGGCTGGTCTCCAACACCTGGGCTAAAGCGATCCTTATGCTTCAGCCTCCCAAAGTGCTGGGATTACAGGTGTGAGCCACCACACCCAGCCCCCATGTCTATTAAGTTCTTAGCACAGTGTCCAGTACACAGAGTAAGGATTTGCTCTCTGGTGATTAGGAAGATCTAATGGCATGTCACGGGTCTGGACTGAATCTCATCTCATCATCTTTGTTGTTGCCAGGGTTTGCGCATTTTTGCCGGTGGAGGACTCCAGCCAGACCGCTGATTTGTCTGGCATTTGTTGGAAAGTCCGGCCAGCATAACACATCACCGCAAGGAGCAGGAGCCCTATGATGCACTGTTAAGTGCACAACTATGGGGTCTGCTTGGCTGGAAGCAGCAGCAGCAAACTTGTCTATTAGTTATTTTGTCCTCATCAGTGCCAGCTGCTTTCCCAAGATGGCAGAACATTCATCATTGCTACCAGACAGCCTCGTTGGAGCTCTTTCTCTGGCCTCCTTTTTTGGCTTCTTTCTTCAGCTCTTCAGCATCATTCTCTGTGGGACCCTCCCTAGTTTGCAAATTCTTGTCTAAATTTCACTCATTATCATAACCATCCAATTTGAAAGAAACCTTGTCATCTAGTTGAGCCCCCTATCAGATGTTGGTACAATTGCTATAGCCTCCCAGCCAAAAGATGTGCTGGTCTGTGCTTGAACAGGTCCAGGGGCTGAGAACTCCCTCTGTTATGAGGTCCTCATATTCCTTCTATGGACGGACAATCAATGCCTGGAGAATTATTCTTTATGCCTCTCTGAGCCCTTGCCTTTGTTGTTCCTTTGGGGACTTATACAAAACAGGCCCATGCTATCCTCTAAGCAAGAGCCCTCCAAATAATTGAAAACCCCCCTTTCTTCTTTTCCAAATGAAACACCCCGTCTTTTTATTTTTATTTTTTGTTTTTTATTTTTGACGTAGTCTTGCTCTGTCGCCAGGCTGGAGTGGTGTGATCTTGGCTCACTGCAACCTCAATCTTTTGGGCTTCAGCAATCCTCCCGCCCCAGCCTTCCAAGTAGCTGGGACTACAGGTGCCACCTACTTGGAAGGCTGGGGCAGGATTCTACCACTCCTGGATAATTTTGTGGAGATGGGTTTCACCATGTTGCTCTAGCTGGTCTCAGACTCCTGAGCTCAAAGAGATCCTCCCACCTGGACCTCTCAAAGTGCTGGGATTACAGGAATGAGCCACCGCAACAGGCCTAGGTCCATACTTCTAATCCTACATGCCTTTCCTGAAATAGACACCTTACCTGACATTACAACCATAAGTCCAATCGTTCCCATTCTGTATTTCTACAATAGAAATACATTTATGTCCCCAGTTTAGGTCCTTCCAAGTTTCTTTTTTTTCTTTTGGCCTCTTCACATCATTTTGTTTTCTAAAATAGCCTGTGGCTTCAAGTTACCTCTTGAATATATTCTTAATCTCACTTGTACTACCTCTGCCCTGTTCCCTGGATTTGCAAATGTTCTTTTCAGTGCTTCTCAGCCTATCTCTGGTAAGGGACCAGTTTGTTTGTTTGCCCTCAATCTGCTGCAGATTAGTGCTTTGGTAAAATGCAACAAAAAAGAATTACTAGAAAGAGGACTTTTTTTTTAAGACATACAAAAAACAAACCCATAATTTTTGTTTTGTTTTGTTTTGTTTTTAGATTCAACAGGTAAAACACTCTATAAAATTGCTATAAAAGTTTCTAAACACTTACATTCAATTTTCTTTGTTTTTTTTTTTAGACGGGGTTTCATTCTTGTTGCCCAGGCTGGAGTGCAATGGCACCGTCTCGGCTCACTACAACCTCTGCGGCTCACTGCAACCTCTACCTCCCGGGTTCAAGCAATTCTCCTGCTTCAGCCTCCTGAGTAGCTGGGATTACAGGCATGTGCCACCACCCCCGGCTAATTTTTGTATTTTTAGTAGAGACAGGGTTTCACCATGTTCGCCAGGATGGTCTCAAACTCCTGACCCCAGGTGATCCACTGGCCTCGACCTCCCAGAGTGCTGGGATTACAGGTGTGGGCCACCGTACCTGACCCTACACTCAATTTTCATAGCATGTGTCACCCTGCACTGTGACACAGTTTGCAAACGGGCACCACTCTGCAGACCAGGCTTTGAATAACCCTGCTCTGTACACACAGGGGTGTTGGAAATGCTTAACAACCGGCTCTCTGATTGAAGAAAATCCACAGGGGGGAACCTGGATTTCAGGCATTTGCTGATTTCCATGGTGTAAATACACCAAGGTCAACAATTTCAAGCTAACAGTGAAAAGTGACTGAATACAGAGGTAGAAAGAAATGTGCACAATCGAGCTTAGCAAGCTGAGAAGGGCCAGTTCCAGCACGCTTCTGTCAACCCCATTAGATTTTAAAAATCTTTTTAATAAAGCCCTTTTGGCCAGGCACAGTGACTCACACGTGTAATCCCAACACTTTGGGAGGCTAAGGGAGCTGGATCACCTGAGGTCAGGAGTTCGAGACCAGCCTGACCAACATGGTGAAACCCCATCTCTATTAAATAAAAAAAATTAGCCTGGTGTGGTGGCACATGCCTGTAATCCCAGCTACTCAGGAGGCTGAAGCAGGAGAATTGCTTGAACCTGGGAGGTGGATGTTGCAGTGAGCCGAGACGGTGCCATTGCGCTCCAGCCTGGGCAACAAGAGCGAAACTCTGTCTCAAATAAAGAAATAAAGGCCTTCTTTTTGAGGGCTTGTTGAACAACTGCTGATCACCTGGACCAAATCGGGAGAACTTTGCCCTCAGCAGATTTTAGACAGTGGACCAAGGCAGCCCTTCTCTCTGGTAGTCTTCATCTCAGTAAGATGACACCATCTGATAGAACTCACAGCAAATCCAAGGTTGCTTTCCCCATGAGCTCTGTGTAGGCGCTGCCACTTCTCAAGGATGATCAAATCACAGCTTGCTTGATAATAGCTGCACTTAATAACAACGCCTTGGGGTAACAACATGTTTACATCAAAAAGATGTTACTTGACTCTGGGACATCTGCATATATATCTATATATAATTTAATTTATATATAAGTTTAATTACTTTGTCTTATTGTGTTTTTATTTGTGGTTCCTTATGGACTTGCTCTCTCATGTTTTAAAGAATTTCTAAAATGCAGTAATCAGGAACTGCTAAATAGTTGCTCTACATAGCTTATGGTGTATGATCCATTCGCTTAGCTGGTAAGGGTTTATGAATAAAAAGGCACAAAAAGGGAGTTTGATCTCACATCTGTTTTGTGGCCGCCTGACACTTGTGTGCTGTTAAACTTGAAGGATAACCAGAGTGGAAAGAGAGTCTGGATAATTTGCCAGAACATCTTCACCACTACAGAATAAAATAATCTCTGGCCCAGGCCTTCCTGAAGCTTGCAACACTTTCTTTTTTTCTTTTTTTTCTTTTTTTCAGACGGAGTTTCATTCTGTCGCCCAGGCTGGAGTGCAGAGGTACGATCTTGGCTCACTGCAACCTCTGCCTCTTGGGTTCAAGCAGTTCTCCCGCCTCAGCCTCCCAAATAGCTGGGATTACAGGCGCCTGCCACCACGCTGGGTTAATTTTTTTTTATATATTTTTAGTAGAGACGGGGTTTCACCATGTTGACCAGGCTGGTTTCGAACTCGCGACCTCAAATTATCCCCTGCCTTGGCCTCCTAAAGTGCCAGGATTACAGGCATAAGCCACCGCGCCTGGCCGCATTATCTTTCCATACAAATGTAGGCAATATTCAATCATGAGCTAGCTCGAAGCTGAAATGATAGGAATGTGTTGTTTTCTCTATAATGTCTTTCTTTCTTTTTTCTTTTTTTTTTTTTTGAGATGGAGTCTCGCTCTGTCGCTCAGGCTGGAGTGCAGTGGCGCGATCTTGGCTCACTGCAACCTCCGCCTCCCGGGCTCAAGCAATTCTCCTGCCTCAGCCTCCTGAGTAGCTGGGAATACAGGCACACACCACCACGCCTGGCTAATTTTTGTATTTTTAGTAGAGATGGGGTTTCAACATGTTGGCCAGGATGGTCTTGATCTCCTGACCTTGTGATCCACCTGCCTCAGCATCCCAAAGTGCTGGGATTACAGGAGCGAGCCACCGCACTCTGCCGTATAATGTCTTTCTTAAAAATATAACTTTTTTTTTTTTTGAGACGGAGTTTCATTCTTATTGCCCAGGCTGGAGTGCAATGGCGCAATCTCGGCTCACCGCAACCTCCGCCTCCCAGGTTCAAGTGATTCTCCTGCCTCAGCCTCCCGAGTAGCTGGGGTTAGATGCATGTGCTGCCACGCCTGACTAATTTTGTATTTTTAGTAGAGATGGGGTTCCTCCATGTTGTTCAGGCTGGTCTCGAACTCCCAACCTCAGGTGATCTGGCCGCCTCAGCCTCCCAAAGTTCTGGGATTACAGGCGTGAGCCACAGCGCCCGGCCCCAAAAATATATAACTTCTTAAATGTAAATACCAACCT
Organism: Homo sapiens; assembly: GCF_000001405.40. Taxonomy (NCBI): domain Eukaryota; kingdom Metazoa; phylum Chordata; class Mammalia; order Primates; family Hominidae; genus Homo; species Homo sapiens. The sequence goes on along the minus strand of NC_000018.10, from coordinate 3,588,139 downwards.
CTGGTCTCTCTGTGCACTACAGTATCCACTGAATGAAAATGTCACTGAAATCTGCAGCTCTAGTTCTGCAACTCTCTCATAAATGGATAAGAGTCCTTTCAGCCAGATGAGGAAAAAAATAATTTCATTTGAAATGAACAAAAAACTTATCAGGGCAAAGGAAAGCAGTAATGGTGATAAAAAATACAGCATCATTTCTTTTTTCAAGTTCCACTTACATTTTAAAAATCATTGTTTTTGAGAACGTCATTCTGTGTCTGGAATTTATTCCTTCTTGTGGGTTCCTGGTCTTGCTGACTTCAAGAATGAAGCCGCGGACCCTCATGGTGAGTGTTACAGCTCTTAAAGCTGGTGTGTGCGGAGTTGTTTGTTCCTCCCGGTGGGTTAGTGGTCTCGCTGACTTCAGGAATGAAGCCACAGACCCTCACAATGAGTGTTACAGCTCATAAAGGTAGTGTGGACCCAAAGAGTGAGCAGCAGCAAGATTTATTGTGAAGAGCGAAAGAACAAAGCTTCCACAGCATGGAAGGGGACCCAAGCGGGATTGCTGCTGCTGGCTGGGGTGGCCAACTTTTATTCCCTTATTTGTCCCCGCCCACGTCCTGCTGATTGATCCGTTTTACAGAGTGTTGATTGGTCCGTTTTTACAGAGTGCCGATTGGTGCGTTTACAATCCTTTAGCTAGACACAGGTGCTGATTGGTGCGTTTACAATCCTTTAGCTAGAAAAGTTCTCCAAGTCCCCACTCGACCCAGGAAGTCCAGCTGGCTTCACCTCTCAATTCTTGCAGGGAGCGGTGGCTCATGCCTGTAATCCCAGCACTTTGGGAGGCCGAGGCAGGTGAATCACCTGAGGTCAGGGGTTTGAGACTAGCCTGGCCAACATGGTGAAACTCTGTCTCTACTAAACCCACAAAAATTAGCCAGGCATGGTGGCGCAGGCCTGTAATCCCACCTACTCCAGAGGCTGAGGCAGGAGAATTGCTTGAACCCGGGAGGCAGAGGTTGCAGTGAGCCGAGATTGCACCATTGCACCTGGGCGACAAGAGCGAAACTCCGTCTCAAAATAAAAAGAGAACGTCACTCTTAAACAAATCAGATGTTTCACTTACTGTATAGAAACTGCTCGTTTTCTCTTTTTCTCTTTCTCATTTTCTCTTTCTGTTTTGACCAGGCAAGACAAACATATTGGCTGGTGTTTCACCCTCCTTCAGTCTCACTCTTATGTGTCACACACCTGCTGGTGCTCAGACCTTCTCAGTGGGTTCTAAATCTTTCCTGGCACTGAATTCTGAGAGTAGAACTGAAACCAACCAACCAACAAACAAAATACCCTTAGGAGAGAAGTGTGGGTTTAGGGCTTAGCAAATCTAGGAAAGGGGGATGTTGGGGAAAATGGAAGGATTTCGTTGTATGAGTTTTGGAGTGCAGAAGAATTGGAAAATGAAGAAGGGGAACTATGGGGAAGTGTGAGTTGTGATTTGAATCCCTTTCCTCTCCTTCAAATGGCAATCTTAAGCCGGGCATGGTGGCATGCGCCCGTTGTGCCACCTATTCAGCAGGCAGAGGGGGAGGATCTCTTAAATCTGGGAGTTCAAGGCCAGCGTACACAGCACAGTGAGATCCCGTCTGTAGTTGAAAAAAAAAAAGCAGTCATGAAGATTTGAATTCCTTTTACCTTCCTAGCCCATGACTGGACAGTGCCGCTCACTGCAGTGAAGCCTCATAATAACGAGTAAAGTCCCTCAGCATAACAGCATGGGAGATGGTTCCTGTCCTTAAGTCTCATAATAATGAGTAATGCCCCTCCGTATAACAACATGGGAGATGGTTCCTTTCCTTAAGCCTCATAATAATGAGTAATGTCCCTCCGTATAACAACATGGGAGATGGTTCCTGCCCTCCATTCAGCTCCCTTATTCGAAGTTGGGGGGGATCTCAAAATCTTATCTTCTTTGGGTGTTGGGGGCTGGACCACCCTGTTGGAGAAGCCATGTCTCCAGTATTCTCCCTGTCCAGTCTAACCATGGTAGATGTCAAGCATTACTGGAACTCTGCCAATGTCCCTGTTGAGCAAGGTATCCAGAGTTATCCCTATCGATAGCGAAGATGAGCTGACAACAGCCACCAGGTGGCGTCCAATTGCAGTTGGCCTGGGGAGTGTAGGAGCCGCACTGGAGGCTCAGTCCCCAAGGTCAGTCATGCGTTGGAAACAATGTGAACTAGCCCCTCCCACCCCCACTTATCACATCATGGCAGGATTTTTACTGTATGTCACAGCAAATCAAATGATTCCATATTTGGCTGAATTATCTAGCTTTTTTTTGGAGGGGGACTGTTTGGTTTTGTTTTCTAATTGTGTAGAGATGGGATCTCGTTATCTTGCCCAGGCTGGTCTGCAACTCCTGGACTCAAGCAGTCCTCCCACCATAGTCTCCCAAAACGCTGGGATGACAGGTGTGAACCACTGTGCCTGGCCTCACTGTCCAGTTTGGATTATCCACACTAAAAGAAGAAACCAAGGAGAGCTAACAAGAAGCAATACATAATCCAAAAGATCAGACATTTGATGTTGGAATATGTTATTTAGCTTCTTGAAATATCAGTGGGCGGAATGTCCTGAGAATCCATTTTGAACAAAATAGTGAGTTCACGTTGTAAAGACATGTCTTAGGAGAAGTGGTACAATGCTGTAGTTTCATTCAATTTTAGCAGGGAGAGGTTCTATCCTAATTATGGCTCCCACCCACTCTGGGTCTTCAGCTGAATCACTGAGATGAGCGTTACTCCCAGCAGGACTACCATCACTCATGCCTCTCTGGGAACCAGAGCTCCACCATGGTTTGGATGCAAGAAACTAAATTGAGTGAGGCAAGATATTTACAATGTATATGCACTGGCATTGTTTAGCCAGAGGCTTAGCTGTGGGCTAGTGGGAAGAACCTGAGGCTGGCTGGCTCGCTCCTGACTCTGCACCTTGCAAGCACTGTATTTTCCCTGAGTCGTATTTCCTGTCAGGTGCATTAGCTAAAAAATGAGGAAGTCGACACTTATTGTTGAGCTGCATTCAAATGATAAAGATGGGCCGGGCATGGCATAGTGGCTAATGCCTCTAATCCCAGCACTTTGAGAGGCCAAGATGGGAGGATCGCTTGAAGCCAGGGGTTCAAGACCAGCCTGGGCAACACAACAAGACCCCCATCTCTACAAAAAATAAAAAATTAGCTGGATGTGGTGGTGCACACCTGTTAGTCCCAGCTGCTCAAGAGATTGAAGTGGGAGGATTGCTTGAGCCTAGGAGATCGAGGCTGCAGTGAGCCATGATCGTGCCACTGCCTTCCAACCTGATGACAGAGTGAGACCCTATCTCTAAAAAAAAGAGAGATGAAGTTGTGTGTTTCATGAGTCAACATAGATGGGAAGTTCTCCTGGGCTGGGCCTCTGCCAGTCATCCACCCAGGGAATGAGGGGTGACTGCCTCTATGTCATGCACCTTGTCTTTCCCCATCCCAGAGTCCATATGATATTGTAATGAGACATTTGCTTGATTTATTCCTCCAATACTCAGGCAATCCCTGGGAAATAGCCAAACATTATTGTCTCCATCTATTTTATGGTTAAGGAAATTACTCCAAATCATAGGCCACTGAAACAGCAGGACAGCATAATAGAGTCCTTTTGTTTATTGTTCATTATAGGGTGTTTCCTCTGAGTGGCCAGAGGAAACATCTTCAATGTTGAAGCAAGTATTTCATTCAGTGAGATGGCCTGAGTTGGCAGCTGGAACTGTAGGTAACAAGTTGGGACTGCATGGCCAGGTCTAGCTGATGTGATGGAGCCACAGTGACACCACCTGTGAGAGTGGGTGGGCTGGGGTGGGGTGGGGAGGAAATGATGGAAGCATAATTATTTGAATGAATTTATAATAGCTGCTTAAGGAATTGTGCTTCACTGACCGGAGTCCCACTTGGAAACTTAATTCATTTTTGATCCTTATTTTCTTAAATCATGCTTTACAAATGAGAAACTGAAAGCCAACGTGTAAAGCTTCTTCAAAACCCTCAGCGTTGTAATCAAATGGCTAGAGGGAGGGGCTGAGGCTGCTGTCGGGAGCCTCCAAATAGACCTTGACCCCCTTGTACGGGTCCAAAATTGTACTCAGCAGCCTAGATTCAGGCCCCCACCATTTTTTTTAGACCGAATCTTGCTCTGTGGCCTAGGCTGGAGTGCAGTGGCACGATCTCAGCTCACTGCAACCTCCTCCCCCCAGGTTCAAGCAATTCTGCTACCTCAGTCTCCCAAGTGGCTGGGATTACAGGCATGCACCACCACACCCGGCTAATTTTTGTATTTTTAGTACAGATGAGGTTTCACCATGTTGACCAGGCTCGTCTCAAACTCCTGACCTCAGGTGATCCACCCGCCTGGGCCTCCCAAAGTGCTGGGATTACAGGCGAGAGCCACCACACCCAGTCAGATTCAGGCCCTTGACTTGACCAAGTTGCCCTAAAGAAAGACACTTTAGGGAGTGACTCATACAGACCAAACCCACGAAGACTGATTTATAAGCTAGCATGTGGATTAATTTCTACAATAGGAGACTTTTGTACAGTGTAAATACTCTCAGTGAGTAGTTCTGCTCAGAAACAAGCAAAAATTAAACAAAAGAAGTTTATATAGTGAGAGTTTATCCAGAAAAAGACAGAGAGAGAGATAGGCAAGGTGGAAGTGAAGAAGGAAGACAGAGAGGAGGAGGAAGGGGAAAGACAAGAAAGAGGGAGACGGAGAGAGAGAGAGAAGGAAAAGGAAGGATGACAAGACAGGTAGACAGAGAAAAGAAAAAGACTGAAGGAGGGAAGGAAGGAAAGAAGGGAAGGAGGTGGGGAAACACAGAGGGACAGAGAGAGAAAGGGAGGGAGGGAGGAGGGAAGGAAGGAAGGAAGGAAGGAAGGAAGGTAGGTAGGTAGGTAGGTAGGTAGGTAGGTAGGTAGGTAGGTCGGTCAGTCAGGCAGAAAGACAGAAAGGTGGGAAGTGGCCGGGCCCGGTGGCTCACGCTTGTAATCCCAGCACTTCTATGTGTCTGTCTGTCAGGATATAGGCAACAGCTTCCTCTTCTGTCCTTTGAAAGGAGGCCTAAGGGAGAGGATCTCTTGAGCCCAGAGTTCAAGACCAGCCTGGGCAACACAGAGAGACCTCCTCTCTATTTTTTAAAAATATTTTTACAGGAAGGAGGGAAAAAGGAAAAGCAGGGAGGAAGAAAGGAAAGAAGGAAGGAAGGAGGGAGGGAGGGAGGGGGGAGGGAGGAAAGAAGGAAGGAAGGAACTGGCTTCGATAAACAAGTTGCAGCAGCTACCATGGCGTGTGTACCCTTCTCCCCCAGACACCTCGTCCTTGTTATTAGGATCAGAACACGCATCCTCACAACCTCTTTGCCTTCCTTTTTTCTTTTTCCATATTTATTATCAACCACTAAAATCTCTTCTAATGAGTTACTCTGTTTAATATTAGCTATATTTAGTTTTTTCCCTGAAGACAGAAACTCCCCTCACCTTTTCTATGTGCCTATACAATTTGTTGGCTGGGAAGGTTTCGACAGAGGGCTAATCGTATCTAGTTTATGTTGATTCATATTAATTTCCATTTTAGAAACTTCCATTTCAGAGATTGATATTTCCCGGTGTTTTTCTCCCTCAGTTTTGTGGAGGTGTCACCTCAGAGGAGACCCAAACCACCTCCGGAGAGCAGGGGTCTCAGCCTGTCAATGGAACTTGTTTTCCTGTTAAATGTCTCAGTGTGTTTCATGTGCCCTAATTCCCAATGGCTGTCAGTTACAATATCAGAAATTAAAACCCACGCAGAAATCACATTGTCTTTGTTTTCACTGTCTTCCAGTGTCATCTTGCATTACAACATATAAGAAGACACCACCTCCAGTCCCACCCAGAACTACCACGAAACCTTTCATTTCTATCACAGCCCAGAGTAGCACAGAGTCAGCCCAGGATGCCTACATGGACGGACAGGGCCAGCGAGGAGATATTATCAGCCAGTCTGGACTCAGCAACTCCACCGAGAGCCTGGACAGTATGAAGGCTCTGACAGCCGCCATCGAAGCTGCAAACGCCCAGATCCATGGCCCTGCCAGTCAACACATGGGCAATAACACTGCCACCGTCACCACCACGACTACCATAGCCACCGTCACCACGGAGGACAGGAAGAAGGACCACTTTAAGAAAAATCGATGCCTGTCTATCGGGATACAGGTAACAGCCTCCCTTTCTATCCTTTGAAATAGGAACTTAAAACTAAGGAATGTAACACTTTTTGTTTCCCCGGAAGATTTGCTTTCTTGCCGCTTGGAATCATAGATCTATGCATAGGACCAGATTTTCAAGTGATTGGCTGTGGACTCCGTATACTGTTAAATGTGACCAAGATTATGAAAGTATTTTCTTTTCTTTTTTTTTTTTTTTCATGGTGAGAAGATTTTTTTATTTGAAATATAGTCTGAGCAACATGAGTGTAGCCAAGAGGAGTAGGGGCTGGCCTGCCTGGGGCAGCAGCCTCTCAAATGGCACGAGAGCAGTACAAATATTCCAATGTCTGTGTGCCCCAACCCCACCTGTCAGGAAAGGCAGAACAGCAGAACAAAGACCCACCCACAGCGCCTTCTCAAGGGGTCTGGTTCTTGGTGCCTGCCTGCCTTTGCCTTACCTCCTGCTCTGCCCAGGTTCCAAACAGAGGTGTGCAGCAGAGGCTTCTCCCACCTCACCCACAGAGACATGATAAGCCAGTGTGACAATTAGTTCTCAGGACTATTTTGAGGGAAAAGAATCAGAGAAGACAGGGAGGAGGGCCAAGGTGATCAAGGGCCTCACCAAACCAGACTAGGCAGAGCTCTCCCAGAGGGACTGTGTCAGCACCCCTCATTTCCCTCCTTCTCAGGATCTAAAGGCAGGAAGGAGAGCTGGTGTCTGCAGGAAAACAGGGCTCTGAGGAGCGCCCTGGCTGAAGGCAGCAAGCGGGAACCTCCCAGAAGAGCACAGCCGCTGTGGGGTTCAAGCCTAGTTGACAGCATTGGGGTTGGGCCACATAAGCAGCCTGGGGTTGGAAGGACACAGACAGGAGATGGGGTACCAAGAAGCAGCAAAAAGCCGTAAATAACAGAAGCAAATTCAGAGCTGTGAGGGTCCCGGCCGACCCCACATTTCCTGGGGCTGGGGGATACCCAGCACTGGCAGCTCAGGGCAGACGCTACTGCAGGGTACAACCGGCCACACTCACCCCGGGGGCAGAGCCTTTTATTTTCCACGGTCCGCACGGCAGGTGGAAGACGCTTCGGCACCACCCCTGACCATGCACACTGCAAAGTCTCCGGTCACACCTGAGGGGATGGTGCGTGGCTGTCCTGGTCCTGAGAGGCCTGTGGTTGACTGTGATCATTGTGGCCACCGTCGTCCTCAGGGGCCGGGCCCAGCAATCTCCTCGCCTCTGGGTCAGCCGACAAAGGCTCACCGGCACATTCTTCCAGTCCATTCTCTCTAGTCTCCATGGGCACCTCCTCCCCGGAGCCCTCCTCTGGCTCTGCCACCTCCACTGCCATCTCCGCTGCCGCCGCCTCCTCTTCCTCCTCCTCCTCCTGGTCTCTCACCTTGTGGACAATGAAGAGGTGGCGGCTGAGGGAGCTGGCAGAGGTGTAGCACAAACCACAGAGGAGACATTGGGCTGTGGAGCTGTCCACCTGGTGCTTAGGTATGTGGCTCTGAAATTCGAGCCCCGAGTCTGTGGCAAAACTACATTTCGCGCACTGAAAAAGGGACTTGTGCCTTTTGGTGGAAGAGACAGTTGCGCCATTGCTGGTGCCTGGAGCGTCCCCCACTCCACTGACTGGTCTTTTCAGATGGTTCACCTGAGGGGAATGTCCACCCGGAGGTTTGACTTTGGACGTCTGGCTCAAATCAGGGTTTCTGAAAGTATTTTCTTTGTAGACATTATTAGCAGCTATTATTTTTGTTCTCTAAATTGAATGTGTGACTCAAGCTGCAGGATAATTCAAAGAACATGAACACAATCAAACATGAGGTGCTTTTAATTCCTAACGCACATTTCTATTTTTAGAAAAGAGAGTGGACTTGCAGGAATAGCCGGGGTCATCGAGCCACATAACAGTATGTTCAACACTATTGAATGACCATATGAGAACAAAAATGTGAATCACTTCCCATAGATGTGGGAGTGAAGGCGAGCAAGACCAAAGTGACTGACAGTGTGGAAAGCAATAACACACATCACAGCATCATGAGGAAAGAATGTGCACTAGTTTCAGCCTAATCAAGCATTTCATGAAAATGGTAGAAAACTCAGTAGGCTTCTCAGTTCAGTTCACTGTTTTTCTGCTTTTCAAAGATAAGATCAAACTGATTCCACCTTGTTTCTTTTACATCTGTTTAGCTTGGGTTACCCTGCTAAAAGTGTTCTTCTATCAAAGAAGAAAAATCATCCTCTCTCTCCATTTTTGTTGTGCTATATCAGTCTGCGGGTACCCTTTGAATAATAACTTCTCAATTTGCTGTTGAATAAATCCATCCACATTGAACCCACTCTAAGGCTAATTTAAAAGCCAGGCGTGGCCAGGCACAGTAGCTCATGCCTGTAATCCCAGCACTTTGGGAGGCCAAGGCGGGTGGGTCACCTGAGGTCGGGAGTTCGAGACTAGCCTGACCAACATGGAGAAACTCCATCTTTACTAAAAATACAAAATTAGCTGGGGGTGGTGGCGCATGCCTGTGATCCCAGCTACTTGGGAGACTGAGGCAGGAGAATCCCTTGAACCCGATAGACGGAGGTTGCGGTGAGCCGAGATCATGCCATTGCACACAAGTCGGGGCAACAAGAGCAAAATTCCATCTCAAAAAGAAAGACCGTTTTAACTATTTTTACACCTACAGTTCAGTGGCACTAAGGACATTCACATTGTTGTGTGACCATCACTATACTGTGTGTGTTTAGTGGTGATGATGCACCCACCAAACTATAACCTCCACAGGAAGCTAGATTTTTTAAAACAGTTTCAGAATAATAATAATAATTATTATTTTCACCCAGTAGGATGGAACTAGACTTAAATCCACGTATACCATTGGGGAGAAAAGTTTTTACTTGAGACATTATCTCATGTCTTAAATAGTTGGATATTTTAGTGAATAAAAAAATTGTTCTTATTCTTCCTCTAATCATTGTACACTGCTATGTAAATTATAGCAAAGTACTGAGTACTTTATGTGACTCTCATTTGACTCATCCAACCACCTTATGGCGTAGGTGTTAGGATCATCTCTGCCCTACAGATGAGAGCACAGAGAGGTTGGAAAACTTGCCCAAGGTCACCTGCTTTTTGTTGACAGAGCCAAGATTGTACCTAGTGTCTAACATGATCACATTATACTACTTCTTTGATGGAGAATAATAAGAAAAAAAAAAAATGGCCGGGTGCGGTGGCTCAGGCCTGTAATCTCAGCACTTTGGGAGGCTGAGGTGGGCAGATCACGAGGTCAAGAGATCGACACCATCCTGGCCAACATGGTGAAACCCCATCTCTACTAAAAATACAAAAATTAGCTGGGTGTGGTGGCACACGCCTGTAGTCCCAGCTGCTTGGGAGGCTGAGGCAGGAGAATCACTTGAACCCAGGAGGCAGAGGTTGCAGTGAGCCAAGGTTGTACCACTGCACTCCAGCCTGGCGACAGAGTAAGACTCCATCTCAAAAAAAAAAAAAAATTAAAGACGCAAACTATTCATTGAATTTCGTTATACAGAAATCAAATTTAAATGCAAGTTCCCAAAATATGTCACACTAGAATCTTAGACTTCCTTCCATGCTTTCTCTCTTAGGGCCAGAGTTTCCAATCCTTTACCAAAACTTTACATTTAATTCATACCCAATAGCTAATACTACAACTACTTACTTTATAACCTCTGTGAACTTAGATCAATTACTTAATATTTCTGTATCTCAGATTCTTCATCTGGAAAATGAGAATAATAATAGTCCTTATTTCATATGGTACATTTTGGGTATGGTAAAAATTAATTGATAAAATATATGTAAGGCCGTAAGCACAGTGCCAGGCATAAGTGTTCAACAATTATTAGATTTAGTTGTTATGATTAATATTGTCCTTTAAAATTATAATTAGCTAAATATGCTGAACTAAATATGCCATGGACTTTCTCAATTATTATTTTTTTGGACAGAGATCTCATATCCTGCAACTTCTTTTACAATTTTGAAAGCCACTTTATAAATTTAAGTAGATTACCCTAGATACAATACATAAAAGATGCCATTTGCCAATATTTGGAGCTAAGAGTAAAAAATCACAGATAAATTTATATACAATGACTAAAGCTTAGAAGATGCTAATACTTGATGCAAATGAGCTGGCAGTTCTAGGACCAGTGGGGATGAGGCTTGGACCAGGCAGAGAACAATATCCTCCATTCTTGTTCTGATGAACCCTCCTTCTTTTCTGTCTCCTCTTTTTCATGCATTGAGGATCGTGCTTCTTCAGGGAAATAACTACCATGCGTCTTCTGAACAAATTTCATTGGATAGTTTTATACCACCGCATAGTAGAAGACACAACATCCTACTTTGGCTGACATCCTAAGCGTTTTTAATTTACAAAAGTGTAGTCATATGGAATTGGTTAAAATCTCATCCAGGAAATCACAGACCAGGCTCACTTCTTAAACAGAGACAGTTTAATACACAAAATTGGTTACACAGGTATGGGAAGACTGAGAGAGCAATAAAAGGAACAAGAAGGAAAAGGTGGGGTTACCAGAAGTTTAGGAGCTCAGAAGAAAGGCCTGGGGTAGCCCGTGCTCAGACTGTGAGGTGGCAGGGTCACGTGGTGCTGGGACTTCAGAGTGGTGCAGAGCAGCTGGTGCATGGGCTGTTGAAAGGAGCTGAAGGGCCAGGCACGGTGGCGCACCCCTGTAATCCCTGCACTTTGGGAGGCCGAGGTGGGTGGATCACCTGAGGTGAGGAGTTTGAGACCAACCTGACCAACATGGTGAAACCCCATCTCTACTAAATAAAAAAATTAGCTGGGTGTGGTGGTGCATGCCTGTAATCTCACCTACTTAGGAGGCTGAGGCAGAAGAATCACTTGAACCTGGGAGACGGAGGTTGCAGTGAGCCGAGATTGTGCCATTGCACTCCAGCCTGGGCAACAAGAGTGAAACGCCGTCTCAAGAAAAAAAAAAAGGCCGGGCGTAGTGGCTCACGCCTGTAATCCCAGCACTTTGGGAGGCCAAGGTGGGCGGATCACCTGAGGTTGGGAGTTCGAGATCAGCCTGACCAACATGGAGAAACGCCATCTCTACTAAAAATACAAAAAATTAGCCGGGCATGGTGGTGCATGCCTGTAATTCCAGCTACTCGGGAGGCTGAGGCAGGAGAATCGTTTGAACCTGGGAGGCGAAGGTTGCAGTGAGCCAAGATCGCGCCATTGCACTCCAGCCTGGGCAACAAGAGCGAAGCTCCATCTCAAAAAAAAAAAAAAAGGAGCTGGAGCTGGCTGCGCTGGCTCATGCCTATAATCCCAGCACTTTGGGAGGTCAAGGCAGGCGGATCACAAGGTCAGGAGTTCAATACCAGCCTGGCCAAGATGGTGAAACCCAGTCTCTACTAAAAATACAAAAAAATTAGTTGGGCATGGTGGTGGGCACCTGTAATATCAAGTACTCGGGAGGCTGAGACAGAGAATTGATTGAACCCTGCAGGCGGAGGTTGCAGTGAGCCGAGATCGCGCCACTGCACTCCAGCCTGGGCGACAGAGCAAGACTCCGTCTCAAAAAAAAAAAAAAAGGAGTTGGAGGGTGGAGCCATAGCTACCTTCACATGCAAGAGTGATGCCAGAAGAAGGTGGAAACAGGAAGGAAGTTTCTTCTCTTCTTCCACCTTCCTTTGTTAGAACACAGCTGGAAACCAGCTGACAAGGAGGCCTAGGAAATGTAGTTTGGGAGTCCTGGCCGCAGTGTCGAAGAGCAGCTAAATGTAGAAGATGGGCTCGAGGCTGCTAGACAGTAAGCAAATCACCAAAACAAAGCTCTTTGTCTGATATAATAAATAAATGTGCTGTTTCCTTCAATCAGCATGTGTGTTAAAAGACCTAAAATGGACATGATCCGTGTGCAGTCTTGATTCCTATGTTCTTATGGGAGCACCTTGTGGCACTCTGCTTCTAGAATATTTAAAGATATAAATTTCTGTATAATATGGCACCAAAACAAGTCAAGTACTTTATCTGGTGTTTTTCTTGATACCCTAGTGCTGGGGGTGATGGGGGCATTGTGGGGACTGGCTGCTCTGGATTTAGAGCAAAGTTGTATGTCTAAACTAAAAGTCATAGGCACCTTTAGGATAAATTTTTTTTGTTTTCTTATAATTACAAAGTGAGTAATTCATGTATACAGGATTATTATAAAGAGTTCGTACAGTACAGGAGTGTATAGAGCAAAATATGAGATTTCCCCTTCTTTCCCACTCCCACCTCGTATTCCTACTGTACTCCCCAAAGGTGACCCCTGGCAACAGTTGGTTACATTGTCTTTTAGTCTCTCAAGAGTAATTCTGACTACAGATGAGTTTCATGTACTACCTTTAGGCCCTGACCCCTCTACTTCCTGATGGTACATTATGATTTCCATATATTATCATTTAACTCAATTTGCAAAACAGATGAAAAGAACAGCTTAATCTTCACATTATATGAAATGCAATGGCTTTCTCTATTCTTTGAATTAAAAATAAAAGAAAATTTAGTTATTTTAGATCATACTCTTAAGACTTATTTATTTCCTTTAATACCTGTCCAAGTGTACAGATATATATTAATATTTTATGCTTATGTGAAGAAATAAGTCCAACTGCAGATAATGAAACTTGTCTCTGCCAAGTAAAGTACAAACCAAAGGAATGGTTACTATTTGAAAGAAAGCTTTGAAAAATAAAAAGGCCCATGCATGGTGGCTCACGCCTGTAATCCCAGCACTTTGGGAGGCCTAGGTGGGCAGATCACGAGGTCAGGAGATTGAAACCATCCTGGCTAACATGGTGAAACCCCGTCTCTACTAAAGATACAAAAAATTAGCTGGGCGTGGTGGCGGGCGCCTGTAGTCCCAGCTACTCGGGAGGCTGAGGCAGGAGAATGGCGTGAACCCGGGAGGTGGAGCTTGCAGTGAGCCAAGATTGTGCCACTGCACTCCAGCCTGGGCGACAGAGCCAGACTCTGTCTCAAAATAAATAAAATAAAATAAAATAAAATAAAATAAAATAAAATAAAATAAAAAGGCACATTATCTTGGATTCATAATTTATTGACTTAAAATAGTAAAGGAACACTAAGGAGATAGTTTCAAAACATTTAAGCCTTGAAGACTTTATTTTGATGTCCTCGAAGTCAGCATCAGTGTTTATTTGGAAAGAGATTTTTGGAGGGACCTCTCTCCAGTCAAAACTAATGAACCTTACGGAGATCATTTTAATGAATTCCAAAAAGAAGAAATAATCAGTCATGTTTGCCAACCATGATGCATTAAAATTAGAAATTAACGCTAAACAGATAACAAAATCTAACCATTTGAAAATATTAAAACATCTAAATAACATTTGGATTACGGAAGGAATTCAAGATTATTTTGAAATAAATGACAGCAGGAATCCTATAAATCACCACTATGGGCTGTGGCCATAGTTATGACCTAACAAAAATTTCTAGCCCTATGTTCTTTCATAATTAAGGAAGAAATATTACAATATAAAGTAAACACTCAATTTACAAAGCTAGAAAAAGAACAACAGATTCAAAAGAAGGAATTACAAGTAAAGTGGAATTGATAAACCAAAATTGGTTATTTGAAAATACTAAATAAATAGACAAGTCTGATTGAGAGAGGGAAAATAGAAATCAACAATATTAGGAATGAGAATAGTATATGACCTTTCGAAAAACTATAAAAGATTCTTGTGACAGCTTAATGTTGGCAAATTTTAAAGTCAAAATAATACGTACACTCATGTATATTACTAATACCGATGCAAGAGGGAGTATTAAATCTGGGGAAAGAGGTCAGGCTCAGTGGCTCACACTTGTAATCCCAGCACTTTGGGAAGCTAAGGTGGGTAGATGGCTTGAGCCAGGGAATTCAAGACCAGCTTAAGCAACATAACGAGACCTTGTCTCTACAAAAAGTAGAAAAAATTAGTCGTGCGTGCTGGCACATACCTGAGTGCCAGCTACTTGGGAGGCTGAGGTGGGAGGATCACTTGAGACCAGGAGGTCACAGTGGCAGTAAGCCATGATTTTGCCACAGCACTCCAGCTTGGATGACAGAAACCCTCTGTCTAAAAAATAAATAAATAAATAAAATAAAAACCTGGAGGAAGAAATCTTATAACCATAGAATAAAGTGCAAAAAAAGTGAAGAAAAAAAAAACCTTTCACAAATGTTACGGACTTGGATCATTTTAACAGGAAAGGTTTTCTCAACATTCATGAAGCAAATAATTCCTATGTTATTTAAAGCATGTAATATTACAAAAAAGATCAAGACTCTTTTTTCTTTTGAGATGGAGTTTTGCTCTTGTCACCCAGGCTGGAGTGCGGTGGTATGATCTAGGCTCACTGTAACTTCCATCTCCTGGGTTCAAGCAATTATCCTGCCTCAGTCTCCCGAGTAGCTGGGACTACATCCACGCGCTACCACGCCCGGCTAATTTTTGTATTTTTAGTAGAGACGGGGTTTCACCATGTTGGCCAGGCTGGTCTCAAACTCCTGACCTCAGGTGATCTGCCCGTCTCGGCTTCCCAAAGTGCTGGGATTACAGGTGTGAACCACTGCGCCCAGACAAGATTCTTAATATATTTTAATCAAATAAGCATAACTCTAATACCTAAATTTGAAAGAACACAAGAAAAAATAATTATGGAATAACATGCTTACAAAAATACATGTAAAAATTCTTACCAAATTTGAGAATTAATCAAAGTGTATATATATTTTTAAAAATAATATACCTTTACTGATCTTTTTGTGATTCATCAGCATGATGATTGGGTCTTCACACAAAAGTTTAAGATGTGCCTCCCTCACATCTTATTATCGTGTCAGCATATTTCCTGTCTGAAGTAAGAAAAATGAAATAAAAATAATATACTATTACCAAGTAGTGTATGTCACAGAAATCCAAAGTTATTTTAGCCTTTAGGGGGAAAAGTTTGGTATCAGATAGATAGTAAAAACTATTGCATTTGGTAAAAATCAGAAGCCATTCCAAGTATCAACATGATAAAAAGCATTTATAAGAAACCAAACTAAAGGCCGGGTGTAGTGGCTCACACCTGTAATCCCAGTATTTTGGGAGGCTGAAGTGGGTGGATCACTTGAGATCAGGAGTTTGAGACCAGCCTGGCCAGCATGGCAAAATCCCGTCTCTACTAAAAATACAAAAATTAGCCAGGCATGATGGCACATGCCTGTAGTCCCAGCTACTCGGGAGGCTGAGGCAGGAGAATCACTTGAACCTGGGGGGTGGAGGTTGCTTAGTGAGCTTAGATTGCGCCACTGCACTCCAGCCTGGGCAACAGAGTGAGACTCTGTCTCAGAAACAAACAAACAAACAAACAAACAAATAAATAAATAAAAGAAACCAATCTAAACTTCTGCTTAAAGACGAAATGCTAGAGATATTCCAGAGTCAGAAGTCAAGTAAGGATGAATATTTTCTTAGGCTTATTCAGTGTTGTTTGCCTTTACTGGCCAAGACACAAAGCAAGAAATGAACTGTAAATATTTCAAAACAAAGCAAAATTGCTTTTATTCGTAGATAATATACATGTCCACCTTTAAAATTCTAGCGGAAACCGGGAGGCTGAGGCGGGAGAACCGCTTGAATCCCGGAGGGGTAGGTTGCGGTGAGCCGAGATCGCGCCATTGCACTCCAGCCTGGGCAATAAGAGCCAAACTCCGTCTCAAAAGAAAAAAAAAAAAAAAAAAAAACCTAGAAGAAACCACTGAAAATCCATTAGAATTCAGCAACGTGAAAGAATATAATATAAATACAGAGGAATCAATAACTTATCTATATATTATCAATAAACAAAATATAAAGGTACAAAAATAACCCATTCACAGTAGTAACAAAAACTATAAAACAACACAATTGAGCTTCAGAAATAATATGTAACTCCTATTTGAAAACAATATAAAAACTTACCTTACATAAAATATAAGACCTCCAGGCGGCCGGGAACATTGGCTCACGCCTGTAATCCCAGCACTTTGGGAGGCCGAGGCGGGCGGATCACGAGGTCAAGAGATCCAGACCATCCTGGCCAACATGATGAAACCCAGTCTCTACTAAAAAATACAAAAATTAGCCGGGCATGGTGGACGCGCCTGCAGTCACAGCTATTCAGGAGGCTGAGGCAGGAGAATGGCTTGAACCCCCGAGGCGGAGGTTGCAGTGAGCCGAGACTGCGCCACTGCACTCCAGCCTGGGCGACAGAGTGAGAGTCCCAAGACTCCATCTGAAAATAAATAAATAAGTAAATAACCTCCATGCATGGTCATGCACACCTGTGTCTCAACTACTCAGGGGGCTTAGGCAGGAGGATCACATGAGCCCAGGAGTCTTGGGCTGTAGTGCACTATAGTGATGGGGTGTCCACAGTAAGTTCAGCATCAGTATGGTGACCTGCCAGGGGCAGGGGACCATCAGTTTGCCTAAGGAGGGGTGAACTGGCTCAGGTCAGAAAAGGAGCAGGTCAAAATTGCCCTGCTGATCACTAATGGGATCGACTTTGTGAATAGCCACTGTACTGTAGCCTGGGCAACATAGCAAGATCTCATCCAGCAAATAAATAAATAAAATATAATACTGTAATAAATGGAAAATTATTTACTATTCCTACACAGGAATACTACATAGTAAAAAGACAACAATTTCCTGAAAATTAATACAAATATTTAAAGAAATTCCAATAAAAATTCCAATATGATTTTTATCACTTGGTGGAGGCTAACAGGACGAGCTTGACAATTTGATGTTAAAGTTTACTTAGAAGTTAATACTCCAAAATAACCTAGAGATTTTTGTTTTGGTTTGTTCTGTTTTTAAATTACCTTTTTTTTTTTTTTTGAGACACTGTCTTGCTCTGTCACTCAGGCTGGAGTGCAGTGGCATGATCATGGCTCACTGCAGCCTCCACCTCTCAGGCTCAAGCAATCCTCCTTCAGCCTCCTGAGTAGCTGGGAGTACAGGCGCATGCCACTATGCCCAGCTATTTTTTTTCTTATTTTTTGTAGAGACAGGGTCTTGCTATGTTGCCCAGGCTGGTCTTTAACTCTTGGGCTCAAGCGATCCTCTCACCTCGGCCTCCCAAAGTGCTAGGACTACAGGCATGAGCCACCTCACCTAGCCTAATTATACTTTTTGAAAAAGGAACTACAGGAGGAGACTTGCCATAGAAAATATCAAGACTGATTACAAAATTATATTAGGAAAGGCCAGACATGCAACCAGCACTTTGAGAGGCTGAGGCGGGCAGATCAGCTGAGGTTGGGAGGTCGAGACCAGCCTGGCCAATGTAGTGAAATCCCGTCTCTACGAAAAATACAAAAATTAGCCAGGCATGGTGGCACACACCTATAATGCCAGCTACTTGGGAGGCTGAGGCAGGAGAATCACTTGAACCCGGGAGGTGGAGGTTGCACTGAGCCGAGATCATACCACTGCACTCTAACCTGGGCAACAGAGTGAAACTCCATCTCAAAAAAAAAAAAAAATTTAGGAAAAAGGAGAGGGAAGGTCAATAAGCCCAGCAGATCAATAGGCCAGAAACAGGTCTTTATATGTATGTCACTTAATGACAGGGATACACCTGGGAAAATGTGTTATTAGGTGATTTCGTCATTGTGTGAACATCATAGAAGGTACTTACACAAACCTGGGAGGTAGAGCATACTACCCACTTGGGCTATATAGTATGGCCCATTGCTCCTAGGCTATAAACCTGTACAGCATATGACTATGCAGAACACTGTAGGCCATTATAACATAATGTTAAGTATTTGTGTATCTAACCATAGAAAAGGTACAGTAAAAATACAGTACAAAAGATACAGAATGGTACTTCTGCACAGGACAGTTCCATTATAATCTTATGATCACTATTGTATATGTGCTCTATCGTTAACAGAAATGTCACTATGTGTGTCATGACTGTATATGAGAATGCCTATATGAGAATGTATGGGGAAATATATGTGAGTAAAGTTTGGTATCAGATAAAGCTGGCATCTCAAATAAAAAAGGCGAATTAGTTAATAAACGGAGCCAGATCCATTCATAACCCAAGGGAGGTAGTACAGGAGGGTAATAGTAGATCTCTAGGTATGTGTCTTTGACAGAAACATTTCAGGATGGTGGATTTAAGAATTAAATACGAAAAAAAGATAACATGAAAGCATAAAAGAAAATACAAGAAGACTTTTAAAAATATGCTCAGAGAAAAAGCCTTTCCAAACCATAAAAGCTGGATGTGACTACCTAAGACTCTCTCCAATGAAGGGCAAAGTTTAAAAGACACATGATAAACTGAGAGAAAACTTTTGCAGTATATGTAACAGAGAAAGAGTTTAGGTTCATAAAATATAAAGAGATCCTATGATTAAGAAAATAAAAAACAGCCTAATTAGGGAGGAGACTAGTAAAGGATATGAACAGACAACTTACAGATAGAAACATAAGAAGTCAATAAATATTTTTGTCCAGGTGCGGTGGCTCACGCCTGTAATCTCAGCAATTTGGGAGGCCGAGGCACTCAAATCACGAGGTCAGGAGTTCGAGACCAGCCTGACCAACATGGTGAAATCCCATCTCTACTAAAAATACAAAAATTAGCTGGGCATGGTGGCACGCGTCTGTAATTTCAGCTACTCGGGAGGCTGAGGCAGGAGAATTGCTTGAACCCGGGAAGCGGAGGTTGCAGGAGCTGAGATTGCGCCACTGCACTCTAGCCTGGGGGACAGAGTGAGACTCTGTCTCAAAAATAAAATAAAATAAAATAAAATAATCATTTAGGCCAGGCGTGGTGGCTCATGGCTGTAATCCCAGCACTTTGGGAGGCCGAGGCGGGCGGATCACGAGGTCAGGAGATCGAGACCATCCTGGCTAACACAGTGAAACCCCGTCTCTACTAAAAATATAAAAAATTAGCCAGGCGTGGTGGCGGGCACCTGTAGTCCCAGACACTTGGGAAGCTGAGGCAGGAGAATGGTGTGAACCTGGGAGGCGGAGCTTGCGGTGAGCCGAGATCGTGCCACTGCACTCCAGCCTGGGTAACAAAGTGAGACTCCATCTCAAAAACAAACAAACAAACAAAAATTTAAATATATATATTTAGACATATATATAAAGATAGACAAATATACATCAAATAATTGACAATAATTCTTGGGAGACTTTCTCTTTCTACATTATATATTTCTGTATTTTAATTTTATATAACTTACATTGAATTGTCTTTATATTTAGAGACAACATTTCTTAAACACATAGTAGGAAAACGGAATAAACCTAATAATTCTAAAATTTTCTTCAAATTTGGGTTGGAGCTAATCTGTTGCATAGGTTATTAGTTCTATATGGTATATTTTCTATATAGCTGTAATATACACATAGCTATTTAGAAACTATGGAGTGATATTCAAAGTCAATTCTTTATTTAAGGGGAGAAAAATGAAGACACTCTATAGTTTATCTTAATAAGGTTAATATCTAAATCTCCCAATGTCAACAATTATAATTACAATATATAAATTTTCCTCTTTATTTTGTATGTTGTTATCTTCAAATTCAAAACTTCCAGGCCGGGCGTGGTGGCTCACGCCTGTAATCTCAACACTTTGGGAGGCCCAGGCGGGCAGAACACTTGAGATCAGGAGTTTGAGACCAGACTGGCCAACTTGGCAAAAACCTGTCTCCACTAAAAATACAAAAATTAGCCGGACATGGTGGCACACACCTGTAATCTCAGCTATTCGGGAGGCTGAGGCAGGAGAATCCCTTGAACCCGGGAGGCGGAGGTTGTAGTGAGCTGAGATCACACCACAGCACTCCAGCCCGGGCGACAGAGGGAAACTCTATTAGAAAAAAAAAACTTCCAAGAACACATTTCCATGTAGATTCCCTTCTAATATAGTATTTACAGTAAGATACTTAAGTCTAAGTACAGACTTGCAAATCTGTGGAGGAATCATAAACATTTATCAGCTACCTTGAGAGTGGATAAAATTGCATTTTACTAACAGCAACAGAGTCAAAGAGCGTGCAGTGAAGGTAGTGTACACAAATATTGAACAAGGAGGTTATAAATTACAAAACATTCCAGTCATATTAGAGATTTTTCTCATAAAATGTGATGTTTGTTTTTCAAGCAAGATGACTGAAATGGAACAACTCTATTTATTTGATGATTTCTCCAGGTGGATGATGCTGAAGAACCTGACAAAACAGGGGAGAATAAAGCACCCAGTAAGTTCCAGTCCGTGGGAGTGCAAGTAGAAGAAGAGAAGTGGTAAGTCCACATGCACGCATCCTCTTTTGTCTTGATGTTTTGAAGTAAGGTAAAAGCATTTTTCCCCGTGATAAGTCTACAAAATTCAATGATATTTTCCTCTAAGTTTTGGGAGTATTTAAAGGGTGAAGTTGAATCAATATTAGTTGATTCTCTCCTGTACTTTAATACTAGACACCACTCCATTTGAGTTTTGTTTGAATAGTACTGTAAGCATATTACATACATATAAATACTGTGTGCAGTACTCTTGGGTTGCCAAACTATACCTCTGAAAACAAAAAAAATAAGAGACCTTCCCATATGAGACAGTGCACTTTTTATGAGAAGAGAACTTACCTTATTTCTATTTCTATTCCCAACACTTAATAGTGTCTGGTGTTTAGTGTGTGCTCAATGAATGATGAATGAATGAATGATGAATGAATGAATGAATGAATGAATGAAAAAGAAGATATTCCCTGTCATTATCCTGAATCACCAGTCCTTCAGATTACTCTTTACCTACTTTAGAGCCTTAGTATCTATAAATGGGAAATGTAGGATTTCATAAAATTACAGAATTTGGGGTCAATAATTTCATGTTGTAAATGAGAATCTGATGGAGAGAGGCATGTGAATTTCTCAAACTGGGAGTTTCTTGGTGGGTAGAACCATGTTTTATTGCTAGTAGTACCCCCAGCTTCCAGCATTGTGATTTGCACATACTAAATATACAGCAAATGTTGGCTGAATAAAGTAAAACTGGAGTTACGGTGAGAGAAACTACTCTAAATTATAAATCAGTGTATCATCTCAACTTTGCTACTAACTTTCAGTGTGTTAATTAGGAAGAATCATTTGAATGTCACCTATCCATCCTTCCATTATCCATCCATTCAATAAAATCTATGGAATGCCTCCTATAATCAAGGCTACATGTAACGTAAACTGAAAATCTGAAAAGGAGGAATTTATCAGTTTATGGAAATGGTCCTGTTTTAGAACCTCTCACTATTGATTGACACTATACTTTTAAGAGGTGTGTATATATATCATATACATATAGTTAATATATTTATTAATAAATTCTATGTGTGTATATGTAATATATATATATAGTGTGTGTGTGTGTATAATATGGCAAAAACCTCAATTACTTTTGCACCAACCTGATATAATTATGCAATGCTGGAAGCCCAGAAAACTGGTACGATCATTCTGGAAACAAATATGACAAAAGTTAGCAATAGTTACACATCTATCCGTACCAATTGACCCAAAAATCACAC
This sequence comes from Homo sapiens, assembly GCF_000001405.40. Classification (NCBI taxonomy): domain Eukaryota; kingdom Metazoa; phylum Chordata; class Mammalia; order Primates; family Hominidae; genus Homo; species Homo sapiens. The sequence continues at coordinate 3,566,218 of NC_000018.10, read as the reverse complement.
TCTTGGGGCTTGAGTTAAATTACTCAATGAAAGGTAAACAATTGTGAAACATTATTTATCATTGTAAAAGAAAAACACTAATTATCAAATAACCAATAATAGCATGCTTTTGTAATTTATAGCACCTCACCAAGGTAAACTATTATACAGCTATTAAATATCATTTATTTAAAAAGGTGGAGAAACATGGGGAAATTCCCATGATACAATGTTAGGTGAAAAACTTTAATATATAATATCCACGCATAGTGTTCATGCAGATGGACAAGGACTGAAATGTAATACGTACAAATGGTAGGTTTAGGAGTGACTTTTTTCTTTTACTCTGAAAAGTTTTAGTAATCATTTTTTTTTGTTTGTTTGTTTTTTGTGTGTGGTTTTTTTGAGACAGAGTCTCACTCTGTCGCCCAGGCTGGGGTGCAGTGGTGCAATTTCGGCTCACTGCAACCTCCGCCTCCTGGGTTCAAGCGGTTCTCCTGACTCAGCCTCCCGAGTGGCTGGGACTACAGGCACGGACCATCACGCCCAGCTAATTTTTGTATTTTTAAGAGAGACGGGGTTTCACCATGTTGGCCAGGATGGTTTCGATCATCTTGACCTTGTGATCCACCCGCCTTGGCTTCCCAAAGTGCTGGGATTACAGGCGTGAGCCACCGCGCTGGGCCGGTAATCATTGCTTTAATGTCCTAGGCATATGTTTCTTTATTAAGTGTTTTAGAAAAATTTTTGAAAGTATACATTTAGTAGACATTAAAGAAAATATATTCCTGGACATGGGCAATGGCTCACGCCTGTAATCCCAGCAGTCTGGGAGGCCGAGGCAGGTGGATCACCTGAGGTAAGGAGTTCAAGACCAGCCTGACCAACATGGTGAAACCCGTCTCTACTAAAAAATTACAAAAATTAGCTGTGCGTGGTGGTGGGTTCCTGTAATCCCAGGAACTCGGGAGGCTGAGGCAGGACAATCCCTTTAACCCAGGAGGCAGAGATTGCAGTGAGCCAAGATGACGCCATTGCGCTCCAGCCTGGGTGGCAGAGCAGACTCTGTCTTAAAAAGAAAAAGAAAATATATTCCTCCATCTCCCACCAGCCCAGCTTGGTGCCTTTTCTCAACGATGTAGTGGTTGACAGCACAGACTCTTGAGCCAGAACACCAAATCCTGGCTGTGCCCCTTACTAACTGAGGGGCCATAAGCAAATTACTACCCATCTTTGTGCCTTAGTTTCCTTATATGTAAAAAGGGGGTTACAAGCAGTTTCCACTATAAGCTAAAAGGAACTCGGAAGTCACCACTCCATCTTAGCAAGTAAAAATCTCAACAAACTAAAAAATCAACATCTCTTTGTATATCTCTTAGAGAAGGGAGGTCACAGGGCACACTGCTTCTCCCAAAATTGGAAAAACAGACAGATACAGAGACTTACAACTTACTGGAGTAGAAACACAAGTAGAAATCTCTGCAGGAACCAGCACAGGGTAAGAAAACGTAAGCAGTAACTGAAGAATTGTTGGAGGCTCAATATTGACAACTCTGAGAGTTAAAAGCTCCAAGGAAACCCAGTCATAGGGAGAGCTCACACTTTTGTGAGTTTTACCTCCAGGAACTCTACCAGGTCCTCAAAGTGAATATCAGAGAAAAAAAATCTCCTTGTGCTTCCAGAAAGGGGAAGGAAAAAATAACTACTTTGAAATATGCCAGCACTTTCTCTTCTTATTCACAGGGCCTGCACGCAGCAGAAACTATTTTACCAGAACCTTTTGCTGGCTGGGGTTTTATCAGAGCCTAGAACCTACCTGGGGGAAGGAAAACACTCAGCTCTAGTTTCCTCTAGCCTTCCACATGGGGGAAGGGACATACCCAACCTCAGCCCCCTTCAGGCACCTTATCCCACGTAAGAGAAAAAAATAAAAACAACTGAGAAACACTGATGAAGTTCACAGACCAGGAGCACAGGCTCACCAAAAGGCTGAGACTAATCATAGAACTGTAGAGCACTTTTCCCTCACACACACCTTACCAGTACATTACTAAATGCCAATTTACCACAGTTCCTTTCACCCAGTACATCATGCCCACTTTTCAAAAAATTACGAGGCATACTAAAAGGTAAAAAACACAGTTTGAAGAGATGGAACAAGCATCAGAACCAGAGTCAAATATGGCAGGAATGTTGGAATTACCGGGCCAAGATTTTTTTCTAATTATGATTAATATGCTAAGGGCTCTAATGAAAGAAGCAGAACATGTAGAGAGATGGAGAATGAAAAAGAGTTCTAAGAGAGATTTAAAAAGAAATGCTGGAGATAAAAAACACTCTAATAGAAACAAAGAATATCTTTGATGGGCTCACTAGTAAACTGGACACTAATGTCTAAACTTGAGGATATAACAATAGAAACTTCCAAAACTGAAAAGCAAAGAGAAAGAAGACTGATAAAAAGCCAGATCAGCTGGGCACGGTGGCTCATGCCTGTAATCCCAGCACTTTGGGAGGCCAAGGTGGGCGGATCACCAGAGCTCAGGAGTTCAAGACCAGCCTGGCCAACATGGAGAAACCCCATCTCTACTAAAAATAAAAAATTAGCCGGGTATGGTGGTGCATGCCTGTAATCCCAGCTACTTGGGAGGATGAGGTAGGAGAATTGCTTGAACTTGGGAGGCGGAGGTTGTGGTGAGCCGAGATCGTGCCACTGCACTCCAGCCTGGGCAACAAGAGCGAAATTCCGTCTCAAAAAAAAAAACCAAAAAAACAAAAAAAAGCCATAACAGATTATCTGAGAACAGTGAGACAGCTACAACAGGTGTAACTTTACATGAGAGAGGAATACAAGAAGGAGAGGATGGAGAAAGGAACAGAAGCAATATTAGAAGCAATAATAACAGAATTCCCCCAAATTAATGTCAGACACCTCAGATTCAGGAAGCTCAGAGAATACCAAACAAGATAAATGCCAAAACAAACAAACACAAACCAAAAAACTACACCTAAGCATATCATATTCAAACTTCAGAAAAATAAGACTTTAAAAATCTTGAAAAAAGTGAGAGGGAAAGAACATCTTACCTATAGAGGAGCAAAGATAAGAACTAGGCCGGGTTCAGTGGCTCACATCTGTAATCCCTGAATTTTGGGAGGCTGAGGTGGGTGGATCACTTCAGCCCAGGAGTTCAAGACCAACCTGGGCAATATGGCAAAATCCCATCTCTACAAAAAATACAAAAAGTTATCTGGCTGTGGTGCATGCCTGTGGTCCCAGTTACTCAGTAGGCTGAGGTGGAAAGATTGCTTGAGCTTGGGAAGTGGAGGTTATAGCGAGCTGAGATCACACCACTGCATTCCAGCCTCAGCGACAGAGAGAGACCGTGTCTCAAAAATAAACAAACAGAACAAACAAACAAAAAAGATAAAAGATAAGAGTTATATCTGGCCAGGCACAGTGGCTCATTCCTGTAATCCCAACACTTTCGGAGACACAGCGAGACTTAGTCTCAAAAAAAAAAAAAATTAACCAGGCGTGGTGGCGCGTGTCTGTAATCCCAGCTACTTGGGAGGCTGAGGCAGGAAAATCACTTGAACCCAGGAGGTGGAAGCTGCAGTGAGCCGAGATCACGCCACTGCACTCCAGCCTGGGTGACAGAGTGAGACTCCATCTAAAAAAAAAAAAAAAAAAAAAAAAGGGAGAGAAGAGGGCTTCTGCAGGGAAATTCCCATTTTTAAAGCCATCAGATCTCATGAGACCCACTCGTTATCATGAGAACAGCATGGGAAAGACCCACCCCCATGATTCAATCACCTCCTGCCAGGTTCCTCCCACAACGGGTGGGAATTGTGGGAGTTACAATTCAAGATGAGATTTGAGTGGGGACACACAAAACCATATCAGTTGCCCAGGATGGACTTGAACTCCTGGCCCTAAGCAATCCTTCCACCACAGCCACTTGGGTAACTGTGGCCACACAGATATAATTATTATTATTATTATTTTTTGAGACGGAGTTTTTGCTCTTGTTGCCCAGGCTGGAGTGCAATGGCATGATTTCGGCTCACTACAACCTCTGCCTCCTGGGTTCAAGCAATTCTCCTGCCTCAGTCTCCTGAGTAGCTGGGATTACAGGTGCCCGCCACCACGCCTTGCTAATTTTTATATTTTTAGTAGAGACAGGGTTTCACCATGTTGGCCAGGCTGGTCTCAAACTCCTGACCTTATGATCTTCCCGCCTCGGCCTCCCAAAGTGCTGGGATTACAGACGTGAGCCACAGTGCCCGGTTACCCTCTTCTCCTGTCTGCCACCATGTGACATGTGCTTTTCACCTTATGCCATGATTGTGGGGCCTCCCCAGCCACATGGAACTGTAAGTCCCATAAACCTCTTTCTTTTGTAAATTGCGCAGTATCAGGTATGTCTTTATCAGCAGCGTTAAAACGGACTAATAGCAACATAGCGAGGCTTAGTCACTATAAAAACACTCAAAAACGAAAAAAATTGAAAGAAGTATATCCAACTTCTCGGAAACCATGCAAGAACAGAGTGAAATATTTAAAGTATTAGGAGAATAAAAAACCAAAAACACCCATCTAGAATTTTGTACCCTGTGAAATTATCCGTAAAAGTGAAAGAAAAATAAAGACTATTTCAGATAAACAAAAATTGAGGGAATTTGTTGCCAGCAGACCTTCAAGAAATGTTAAGAAGTTCTTCTGAGAGAAGGAAAATGACATAGGTCAGAAACTAAAATAAAAACTTTCATTTTTCTGTTTTTTTTTTTTTTTTTTTTTTTGGAGATGGAGTCTTGCTCTGTCGCCCAGGAAGGAGTATAGTGGCAGGATCTTGGCTCACTGCAACCTCCACCTCCCAGGTTCAAGCGATACTCCTGCCTCAGCCTCCTGAGTAGTTAGGATTACAGGCACCTGCCACATCTGGCTATTTTTTGTTTGTTTTTTTTTTTTTGTTTTTTTTTTTTAGTAGAGACGGTGTTTCACCATGTTGAACAGGCTGGTCTCAAACTCCTAATCTCTGGTGATCCGCCCACCTCAGCCTCCCAAAGTGCTGAAATTATAGGCGTGGGACAGTGTGCCCAGCTCATTTTTCTCATTCGTAATTGATCTAACAGATAAGTTTGTTCAAAATAGCAATTGCAAAAATGTATTTAAATACATGTACATTTATTTATTTATGTATAAGTGAAATGAATGGCAGCAATGATACAAGGAATAAGTGGTAGGAATTGGAAATATTTAATTATTACAAAGTACTTGCAAAACCTGTGAAGTGTCACAGTGTTATATGAAAGTGGATTGGATTCGTGGTAAATACATAATGCAAACTCTAGGGTAACCACTACAAAGAGGTAAAAGAGAAGTAAAATTAGTATGCTAAGAAAGAAAAGAAAATTCAATCACATAAATGCTCAATGGAAAATTATTAACAGCAGAAAAAATGTGAAATACAAAAATAAGAAGAAAGAGCAAAGGCAAAAAAATAGAAAGTAGTAACAAATATGGTAGATGTTAATCCGACTAGATAAATAATCAGCTTAACCCTTTTCCCATTTAGAAAAAAATGTGCAGCTTGCTGCCAGTGCTCATTTAATTTTACATAAACATGCTTTTTTTTTTTTTTTTTTTGAGACTGAGTCTTGCTCTGTCACCCAGGCTGGAGTGCAGTGGCACAATATTGGCTCACCACAACCTCTGCCTCCCGGGTTCAAGAAATTCTCCTGCATCAGCCTCCCGAGTGGCTGGGATTACAGGCCCACGCCACCACACCTGGCTAATTTTTTTTTTTTTTTTTTTTTTGAGACGGAGTCTCGCTCTGTCACCCAGGCTGGAGTGCAGTGGCGCGATCTCAGCTCACTGCAACCTCCGCCTCCCAGGTTCAAGTGATTCTCCTGCCTCAGCCTACCGAGTAGCTGGGATTACAGGCACACACCACCACACCCAGCTAATTTTTGTAATTTTAGTAGAGACGGGGTTTCACTGTGCTGGCCAGGATGGTCTTGATCTCCTGACCTCGTGATCCGGTCATCTCACCCTCCCAAAGTGCTGGGATTACAGGCGTGAGCCACTGCGCCTGGCCCATTTTTCTCATTCTTAACTGATCTAACAGATAAGTTTGTTCAAAATACTAATAGCAAAAATGTATTTAAATATATGTACATTTACTTACTCATGTATAAATGAAATGAATGGCAGCAATGATACAAGGAACAAGTGGTAGGAATTGGAAATTATTAATTATTACAAAGTACTCGCAAAACCTGTGAAGTGTCATAGTGTTATATGAAAGTGGATTGGGGCCTGGAGCAGTGGCTCATGCCTGTAATCCCAGCACTTTGGGAGGCCGAGGCAGGTGGATCACGAGGTCAGGAGTTCAAGACCAGCCTAGACAATATGGTGAAACCCCGTATCTATTAAAAATACAAAAATTAGCTGGGCACGGTGGCACTTGCCTATAGTCCCAGCTACTCGGGAGGCTGAGGGAGAAGAATCACTTGAACCCAGGAGGCAGAGGTTGCAGTGAGCTGAGATCGTGCCACTGCACCCCAGCCTGGGCGACAGAACGAGACTCCGCAAAAAAAAAAAAAAAAAAAGTGGATTGGATTCGTGGTAAATGCATAATGCAAACTCTAGGGCTCTAGGGTAACCACTAAAAAGAGGTAAAAGAAAAATAAAATTAGTATGCTAAGAAAGGAGAGAAAATTCAATCATATAAATGCTCAATAGAAAACTATTAAAAGCAGAAAAAATGTGAAAGACAAAAATAAGAAGAAAGAACAAAGGTGAAAAAATAGAAAATAATAACAAATATGGTAGATGTTAATCCAACTAGATAATCAGTTTAACCCTTTTCCCATTTAGAAAAAATGTGCAGCTGGCTGTCAGCGCTCATTTAATTTTACATAAACACACTCCTTGAGGCCGAAGCAAATATGACTGATTTTCAATGTGAAAATAAAATGTAAAAACTGTTCTTCGAGTTATTTCTAAACAGAACTAACATCAGAATCATCTGAATCATCAGAATCATCTATTTCAGAAAAATTGGATTCATCAAATGAATCTCGGCCACAACTCTTTGAGGACAATGTTAACATCACGTGTAGGAATGCTACGTTTTCTAGGATTTGCCATTTTCAGCAATGGAGAATTACTATATTTTCTAAATGGAAATACCACTGCTAAGACCAGAATGCTATAAATAGGATGATGTCTTTGTTTCCAAAGTCAATATACTAGAGCAATGTGAAAATAATAATAAAACAAAATATTTTGTGGCAAAGTTATCTTGGGTTAAAGGCTGTAGCTGCAGGTGCCACCAGCAAGTATTCTCAGGGCAAATAGGAACAGGGTTAAACATTAGTATTTTACATATATCATTAAAAGACAGAGATTGTCAGAGTGGATAAGAAAACAAGACTTAACTATATGTTGTCTACAAGAAACCCACTTTAAATATAAAGACAGATATAGATTGAAAAGTAAAGGAATGGAAAAAGAGAAAATGTCTAGCACTAATAAAAAGAAAGTGGGAGTAGAAATATTAATCTCAGACAGAGCAGACTTCAGAGCAAAGAAAATTATCAGGGATAAAGATGATGATAAAGGGGTCAATTCTCAAAGAAGACATAAAAATCTTTAACATGTATGCACCTACCAACAGAGTTTCAAAATACATGAATTCTAGCTGGGCCCGGTGGCTAATACCTGTAATCCTAGCACTTTGGGAGGCCAAGGTGGGCGGATCACTTGAGGTCAGGAGTTCAAGACCAGCCTGGCCAACATGGTGAAACCCCATCTCTACTAAAAATACAAAAAATAGCCGGGTGTTATAGCACGTGCCTGTGGTTCCAGCTACTCGGGAGGCTGAGGCAGGAGAGTCACTTGAATCCAGGAGGTGGATGTTACAGTGAGCCAAGAGCGCTTCAGCCTGGGTGACAGAGTGAGACTCAGTCTCAAAACAAACAAACAAACAAACAAAAACTACAAAATACATGAGTTCTTGAACTGATAGAACTGCAAGGAGAAAAAGATGTATCTACTATTATAATTGGAGACTTCAACAATTCTCTATCAGAAATGGACAGGTCAAGAAGGCAGAACATCAGTAAGCACACAGTTGAATGCAACAACACTACTGAACAGCTAAATATAGTTAACTTCTATAAACTACTTCATCCAACAACAACAGATTACACATTCTTCTCAAGCTCATATGGAACATTCACCTAGATAGGGCAGAACATATTCTGGGTCATAAAACAGATCTTAACCATTTTTTTTTTTTTGTGAGACGAAGTCTCACTCTTGTCCCCCAGGCTGGAGTGCAATGGTGTGATCTTGGCTCACTGCAACCTCTGCCTCCTGGGTTCAAGCAGCTCTTTTGCCTCAGCCTTCCGAGTAGCTGTGATTATAGGCACCCGCCACCACGCCAGGCTGATTTTTGTATTTTTAGTAGAGACAGGGTTTCACCACGTTGGCCAGGCTGGTCATGAACAAATTTTTAAAATTATAAATCATATCATATCTGCTCTCAGGCCACAGTAGAATTAAACTAGAAATCAACAACAGAAGGATAGCTGGAAATTCCCAAAATACTGAGATTTAACAGCACACTTTAAATTACAAATGAGTCAAATAAATCTCAAGAAACTAAATATTTTGAAATAAATGGAAATACAACTTTTTTTTCTTTTGAGACGAAATCTCACTCTGTCACCCAGGCTGGAGTGCAGTGGTGTGATCTCAGCCCACTGCAACCTCCGCCTCCCAAGTTCAAGCGATTCTCCTGCCTCAGTCTCCCGAGTAGATGGGACTACAAGGGCACGCCACCACACCCAGCTAATTTTTATATTTTTTTAGTAGAGACGGAGTTTCACCATATTGGCCAGGCTGGTGTCAAACTCCTGACCTTGTGATCCACCAACCTCAGCCTCCCAAAGTGCTGGGATTACAGGCGTGAGCCACCGCACCCGGCAGAAATACAACTTATTAAAATTTATGGAATGAGGCAAAAGCAGTGGTTAGAGGGACAGTTATAGCATTGATTGCATGTATTAGAAAAGAAGAACAATTTCACATCAATTATTTAAGCTTCCACCATAGGACACTAGAAAAAGAAGAGCAAATTAAATCCAAAATAAACACAATAAAAGAAATAAATAAAATTATAACAGAAATCATGAAATTGAAAATAGTAATCAGTAGAGAAAAATCAACAAAACCAAAACCTGACTCTGAAAAAATTAATAAAATGATAAGCCTTTAACTAGGCTAACTAAGAGAGAAGACACAAATTACTCTTATAATATCAGACATGAGCAATCCATATGCCTTGGCCTCCCAACGTGTTGAGATTAGAGGCATGAACTACCTTGCCTAATCAACAGTTTCTTACAAAACTAAATATATTCTTTACCATACAAGTCAGCAATTTTGTTTCTTGGAATTTATCCACATGAATTGAAAACTTATGTTCACTCAAAATCCTGCACGTGGTTATTTATAACACCTGTATTTCTAATCACCCAAACTTGGAACCAACCAAGTTGTCCTTTAGTAGGTCAATGGATAAATAAACTGTGGTGCATACAGATAATAGAATATTATTCAGCACTAAAAGTAATAAGCTATTGAGCCACAAAAAGACATGGGAAAAACGTCAACGTATTATTACTAAGTGAAACAAGCCAATCTGAAAAATCTATATACTGTATGATTCCAACTATGTGACACCCTGGAAAGGCAACGAGACAGTAAAAAGATGACTAGTTGCCAGGGGTTAGGAGGAAGGAGGTATGAATAGGCTGAGGATGTCTGGGGCAGTGAAACGATTCTGAATGTATAATGCAACGGTGGATACGAGAATGTACAACACCAAGAGTAACCCTACTGTAAACCATGGACTTTGGGTGATAATGACAGCCAGTGTAGGTTCCTGAACTGCACCAAAAGTGCCACTCTAGTGTGAAATGTGGATATCAGTTGAGGCTGTGTGTGTGTCGGGGGAAGGGGTGTATGGGAGTTCCCTACTTTGTGCTCAATTTTGCTGTGAGCCTAAAACTGTTCTAAAAAAACAAAGTTTATTAATTTTAAAAAGGGGTTGGAGGAAAGCGGACTATAGCATTAACCTCAGTGTGTTGTCCTGGGGTGTTTTGTTTAATACATGTAAAACTTTTAGAGCAATACCTGATATATACAATGCTCTGCGTGTTTCCTAGTCTATTAAGCACTCAAATAGAATCTCTCTAAAGAAAGAAGTTTCAAGATAATAATTATGCTGCCTTTTCTTCAAAAAAAAGGAGGAGAAAGTCGTCTCCTTTACTTTACTTCAAACATTTCTCCTGCAATCAGCCAGTCTATCTTTCCAGGTTTTTAAATTTATTTGTTTATTTATTTATTTTTTTTGAGACGGAGTTTCGCTCCTGTTGCCCAGGCTAGAGTCCAATGGTGTGATCTTGGCTCACTGCAACCTCCGCCTCCTGGGTTCAAGCGATTCTCCTGCCTCAGCCTCCTAAGTAGCTAGGATTATAGGCACACGCCACTACACCCGGCTAATTTTGTATTTTTAGTAGAGACGGGGTTTCACCATGTTGGTCAGGCTGGTCTCGAACTCCTGACTTCAGATGATCCGCCCGCCTCGGCCTCCCAAAGTGCTGGGATTACAGACGTGAGCCACTGCCCCCGGCCTCAAATTTCATTTCCACAATAATGCTAAATATTGCATTGTTTGGTCATACCTAGTAGCAACCTAAAAAACTTTATACGAGCCATTTTTATCATTATTTTTTAAAGTTGAACTTTATTTGAATTATTGAAGTTTGTAGAATGGTCAGTTCCTCAGTAAACTGAGTAAAATATTTAAAACTCATCCCCAAAACGGTTGGCAGGCCAATTTTAGTACTTAGCTTTCCAAAACATACCCTTCTTCAAAGGTCACTTTATAGTTAACCACTGTAAAGTAAATAAGCATTGAAATTGATGTTAATGATTGTTTTCAACCTCTCCAAAAGAAATCCATTGTCAAACAGGAAGAAGGGATTACCAATACCTTCTGTCTCTAACTTAATTCTTTTATGATTTTGCTGGTTGTAATTCATTTAGATAGGATCTTAAAAAGCAATATCGGGCAGATGGGATTACTTAATGACAGCTGAGGGGTATTTTTTTTTTAATTATCTGGTGATAAAGGTGAGGCTGTTGTTTTCACACTGAATGGCCAGTTAACAACTTATCTCTTCCTTTTTCAAATAAACAGACTGATAAAAGACAGCAACCTAACAAAAAGTGAGAAAAAGAAAGAAAATTGAGCTGAGAAAGAGATAGTGCAAAGAAATGATTAAAAGACCTTGTAAGAGGCCAAGGGACTCATTTCCTTTTGAATCAATTATAATTTAGGAACAAAAACTAACCCAGCAAGGCCCACCTAACTGATTGATCTATTAAGGAGTAGACTTCTAAATTTAGTGTGGTTTTCAGTGTTCCAAATCAAAACAAAAAGAAGTTAAAAACTCATTAGTAAAAACTAAAATGCACCAGGTAGCCCTATCTGCTTCAATAACAGGAGTTGAAATGGAGCATCACAAATATCCCTGTTACATTTGCAGGCCACCATGACATTCTCAAAATGCCATGGATCGCAAATGCACATTGTCCATTCTCTGGGGCTGCCTCGCGGTGAGGACCGTGGACAGAGGAATGCTGTCTGAAGATCACTAGTTTAAATGCCGTGGCAGCAGGAAGCCAGGGATAATGAATGCGTATGTCGTTTTGAAAGGAGACTGCTCCTCTCAAGCCAGTGCAGAAACCCATCATCTTCATCAAACATTAGCTGTTTTCCCCCAATTCCTGTTTCACAGGTCAGCTAGTGGTACCGCTCTATAGGACACACATAGCATGTGTTTGCTGATATGCAGGACTGATCCTAAGTAAAGCAGGCAAATCTTGGCAACATCTCCCCAAGGGGCACTCACCTCCGCCAGTGGCCCCATGCAGAAGTCTCCAGCATCATGTCCCAATTGTCTCTCATCCTTTTGATGGTCCCCAGGAATTTGTATGAGGTCCTTTTGTCTTTCAGGCTGATAATTAGCAAATCTAGTAAGCCAATCCTTTCTGTTGACTTAGGTGAGAAAGCTAAGAGGTTCCCAGGAATCTCCCATTTCCTTCCAAATAACAATTCTATTTTAACAGTGGCTTCAAACTAGACTTTCTTACATTAGCCCATTAGTGACTCTAAGACTCCAGCAGTGGACACAAAGAGGAAGAATATTACTGTTTTCATTACAAAAGTAGTATGCAAATTTACTTGGAAGAAAACATATCTTAACATATTAACAGTTTTTAATTTTGATAGGCTTTGGAGTAATTTTTTAAAAAACTATGTGTGGGCCGGGCGTGGTGGCTCACGCTTGTAATCCCAGCACATTGGGGGACCGAGGTGGGTGGATCACCTGAGGTCAAGAATTTGAGACCACCTGGCCAACATGGTGAAACCCTGTCTCTACTAAAAATACAAAAATTAGCCAGGCATGATGGCGCACATCTGTAATCCCAGCTACTCGGGAGGCTGAGGCAGGAGAACTGCTTGAACCCGGAAGACGGAGGTTGCAGTGAACTGAGATCACGCAATTGCACTCCATCCTGGGCGACAGAGTGAGACTCTGTCTCAAACAAACAAACAAAAAACAAAAAAACTATGTGTGTATGTATCTTCTTTTTACGTATTATCTACCTTTTCCACAGTAATTACATATTATTGAACAATGCAATTAATGATAAGAAAAACAAAGTAGTATTTACATTGTAAAAATGTATAAATTACAGAAATAAAATAAAGTCGCCCATAATCCTATCCATTAACCATGAACAAATAAATAAGTATATTTTTACCCACACTTTTTCCACGAACATTTAAAGAGTTGGTGGAATAATCCTATGTATAGTCTTACAACATCTTTAAAATCAACAAACATTATTTAAAAAGTTTTCTTTTTACTATTGAAAATTCATAGCAAACACCTCTTTTAATGAATGCACAATACTCAAATTCATAGGAGGACCATAATTTCTGCCCCTTTCTCCTTCTGCCGGATTATCAACATTACTTTTAGATGATTTCTGTTTAAAGATGGTGAAAAAAAAGGATACACATGTATCTTGGAGGCCTTCTGAAACTAAATGACAATAAAAGGAATTTTTGTTTGTTTTGGCATTAACTCCCAAGGAGGAAGAGAACAAGAGAGAAAAAAAAAAACAGCAAAATTTAGCAAGCTAGAAAGCAGATATGGAAGTGACAACCGATTTGGCAGACCAGAGAAAGCTGAATCGAAAGCCAGTAGTGCAGGAATCCAAGATGTAATCCCATTTAAATTTAAGAACCCACAAAATGCATGTGGATGGGTGGCATTGGGCGCTCTGAAAGCGGGGATGAAGATGGAGCTAAAAAGTCCTTGAATCTGCGGAGCCAAGTGACAGTCCTTCCTTACCCTGACAGAGACTGAGGGTGTCTCTTCTTCAGAGGCTAAAACTAAGGGTCTCTGGCCTGGAGGAGACCAGCATAGTTGAGAGCAGGGTGACTATACTGAAAATAGGAGGATTAAGTGAAGATATACAAACAGTGTTGAGGCACACTGCCCTGAGCCTTCTTAGGCTCGCTCAGCCCCCAGGGTCCCGACAGCAAGGCACAGAACCCTCTACATGGCAGTGTGGCAGAGTCCATTGTGGAGGGCTGACCCTTCTGAGCCCAAAGACCAGAAGATGCTGACATCCGGGATTTTGCAAGATGAAAGCCCAGCCAGATCACCCTACAGTGAGGATTAGAGAGGATAAGCTCTTCCCAAAAGCATAGACTTCTAAGCTGGGTTTAGTGTGCTTCTCAAGAATGAGAAGACAAGGATCAGCAAACTCAGGGAGATAAGACAAGAGCCAGAAAACTAGAAACAAAAATTGTTCAGGAACATTCAGAAAATTAAAAAGTTATTTTTGAGAGAAAAGAGAGGAAAGGTGAGTAAAGAAGCATCCATGAGGGATGTGGAAGTTGTCAAGGTCTTCCTCAAAGAATCTTCTTATCCACCTGGAAGAGATGAGGGAAGGGGCAGAAGTGAAAAGTGCTCTTGCTAGGAGTGGTAGCTCATGCCTAATCCCAGGTCTTTAGGAGGCCAAGGCAGGAGGACTGCTTGGGCCCAGGAGTTCAAGACCAGTCTAGGCAACATAGTGAGACCCTCTATCTACAAAAAATAAAAAGAAAGAAAAAAAAAAACAATTTAAAAATAAATTAGCCAAGTGTGATGGCGGCTGCCTGTAGTCCCAGCTACTTGGGAGGCTGAGGTGGGAGGATCCCTTGAGCCTAGGAGGCAGAGGGTGCAGTGAGCTGAGATTGTGCCACTGCACTCCAGCCTGGGTATCAGAGTGAGACCCTGTCTCAAAAGAAAGAAAAAAAGGAAGGAAAGAAGGAAGGAAGGAAGGAAGGAAGGAAGGAAGGAAGGAAGGAAGGAAGGGAGGGAGGGAGGGAGGGAGGGAGGGAGGGAGGGAGGGAGGGGAGGGAAAAGAAAGAAGGAAAGAGACAAAGAGAGAGAGAAAGGAAGGAAAGAAAGAAAGAAAAAGAAAGAAAGAAAGAAAAAGAAAAAGAAAGAAAGAAAAGAAAAGTGTTCATAGAAATAATAGTGGAACTGTGGCTGGGCATAGTGGTACACACCTGTAATCCCAGCACTTTGGGAAGCCAGGAGGGCAGATCACCTGAGGTCAGAAGTTCAAGACCAGTCTGGCCAACATGGTGAAACCTTGTCTCTACTAAAAATACAAAAATTAGCTGGTCATGATGGTGGGCACCTGTAATCCCAGCTACTCAGGAGCCTGAGGCAGGGGAATCGTGGAACCTGGGAGGTGGAGGTTGCAGTGAGGCAAGACCACCACTACATTCCAGCCTGGGTGTCAGAGCAAGACTTCGTTTACAAAAAAAGAAAAAAAGAAATAGTAGCAGAACTGAAAAATTCAAAAGGACTTGGAAGATAAATTTCAGAAAAAAAGCATTTATATGTATGTGTATATATATATATATATATGTATATAATATTAGTCAGTTTGGGCTGCCATAACAAAATACAACAAACTGATGTCCTAAACAACAGAAATTTATTTTCTCCCAGTTTGGAGGCTAGAGGCATAAGTCTGGTTCTGGTGGGCTGGACGTGGTGGCTCACGCCTGTAATCCCAGCACTTTGGGAGGCCTAGGTGGTGGATCACCTGAGGTCAGGAGTTTGAGACCAGCCTGGCCAACATGGTGAAACCCTGTCTCTACTAAAAATACAAAAATTAGCCAGGCGTGGTGGTGGGCCCCTGTAATCCTAGCTACTCGGAAGACTGAGGCAGTAGAATCACTTGAGCCCAGGAGGCAGAAGTTGTAGTGAGCTGAGATTGAGCCACTGCACTCCAGCCTGGGCGACAGAGTGAGACTCTGTCTTACAAAAAAAAAAAAAAAAAAAAAAAGGGTCTGGTTCTGGATCAAGATGTCAGCAGTGTTGATTTCTCATGTGGTCTCTCTCCCTGGCTTGCAAATGGCCATCTTCTCCCTGTGTCTTCATGTCGTCTCTCCTCTGTGTGTGTCTGTGTCCTAATCTCCTGTTTTTATAAGGACACCAGTCATACTGGATTAGAGCCCACCCTTGGGGCCTCAATCACCTGTTTAAAGGCCCTAAGGCCAGGTGCAGTGGTTCACACCTGTAATCCCAACTCTTAGGGAGGCTGAGGCAGGATGATTGCTTGAGTCTAGGAGTTCCAGACCAGCCTAAGCAAAATAGCCAGACCCTCTCTCTTAAAAAATAAAAAAAATTAGCTGGGCGTGGTGGCATGTGCCTGTAGTCCCAGCTACTCGGGAGGCTGAGGTAGGAGGATGGCTTGAGCTCAGGAAGTTGAGGCTGCAGTGAGCCGTGATTGTGCCACTGCACTGCAGCCTAGGTGACACAGTGATACCCTGTCTCAAATAAAAATACAAATTAAAAATAAAGGCTCTGGCCGGGCGTGGTGGCTCACGCCTGTAACTCCAGCACTTTGGGAGGCCGAGGCAGGTGGATCACGAGGTCAGGAGTTCGAGACCAGCCTGGCCAACATGGTGAAACCCCGTCTCTACTAAAAATACAAAAATTAGCCGGGCATGGTGGCATGCACCTGTAGTCTCAGCTACTTGGGAGGATGAGGCAGGAAAATCGCTTGAACCCGAAAGGTGGAGGTTGTGGTGAGCCAAGATTGTGCCACTGCACTCCAGCCTGGGCAACAGAGCGAGACTCCATCTTAAAAATAAGTAAATAAATAATAAATAAATTAATTAATTAAATAAAGGTCCTATCTCCAAATACAGTCACATACTAAGATACTAGGTGTTAGGACTTCAACATATGAATTTAGGGAAGGGGCCCACAATTTGGCCTGTAACACATATTCAGTTGTGAATGATATTTCCTGGTCATAACAATATAGTCATAAAAAACAAGTTCTGAATATAGTTATCCAAATTAATAATACAGCTATATCAGGGGAATGGAAAAATACAGGGACAGACCGGAAGTGCATGTATGTGTGTGTGTAAGAAAAAGAGGCCAGGGGTGGTGGCTCACGCCTGTGATCCCAAAACTTTGGGAGGCCGAGGCGGGTGGATCACGAGGTCAGGATTTCGAGATCAGCCTGACCAACACGCTGAAACCCTGTCTCTACTAAAAATACAAAAATTAGCTGGGTGTGGTGACACGTGCCTGTAATCCCAGCTACTCAGGAGGCTGAGGCAGGAGAATCCCTTGAACCTGGGAGGCGGAGGTTGCAGTGAGCCGAGATTGCGCCACTGCACTCCAGCCTGGGCAACAGAGTGAGACTCCTTTTCAAAAAAAAAAAAAGAGAGAGAGAGAAAGTGAGGAATAGGAGTGTTGGAAAGGTGAGAGAAATCTAAATCTTCAGCATTCCTAAGGACAGACACTAAAAAATGTGTAAAGATTTATTTTTGTTATTTAGAAATAGTGTTTAAAAGTGGCTGCCTCTGAAGTAGAAAATTGCTCTATAATTGGGCCAGGCATTTCTATTTTTCATAACCAGCCTTTTAGAACCATTTGATATTTTAAAACTGTGCATATATAACTGTGATAAAATTTCCTGAAATGAAATAATCCAGACATTTAAAAAATATTCTTTTTTCTTCGAGATGGAGTCTCGCCCTGTCGCCCGGGCTGGAGTGTGCAGTGGCGCAATCTTGGCTTACTGCCACCTCCCACTCCCAGGTTCAAGCAATTCCCCTGCCTCAGCCTCCCAAGTAGCTGGGATTACAGGCATGTGCCAGCACACCCAGCTAATTTTTGTATTTTTAGTAGAGAGGGGGTTTCGCCATGTTTGCCAGGCTAGTCTCAAACCTCTGGGCTCAAGCAATCCACCTGTCTCCACCTCCAAAAGTGCTGGAATTACAGGCCTGAACCACTGCACCTGGCCTAGTGCAATGTTGAGTAGAAGTCATGAATATGGACATCCTTGCCTTGTTACTGATCTTAGATGAAAATATGTAGTTTTTCACCTTTAAGTATGATGTGCAGTGGCGCGATCCGAGGTGTACCACCACGCCCAGCTAATTTTTGTATTTTTTGTAGAAACGGGGTTTCACCATGTTGCACAGGCTGAGCTTGAACTCCTCAGCTAAAAGCAATCCACACCCCCCTCAGTCTCCCAAAGTGCTGGATTATGGGCATGAGCCACTGTGCCCGGCTAGCTTTAGGTTTTTTTTTTTTTTCTTTTTATAGATGCCTTTTTATTTACTTGAGGAAGTTCCTTTCTTTTCCTAGTTTGTTGAGGATTATGATCAGGAACAGATGTTGGATTTTGTCAAATGCTTCTTTGACATCTATTGAGATGTTAAAAAATTTTTCATTTTTAGACTGTTAATATGATGAATTGAATTGCTGATTTTTTTTTAGAAAAATTATACTAAGATACATATAACACAAAATTTACCATTTAAACCATTTTAAGGTATACAATTCAGTGGCATTAACTACATTTACAACATTGTACAACCATCATCACGACTTAGTTCCAAAATATTTTGATCATCACCAACAGAAATCTCATACCCATTAGTACTCACTGCATTCCTTTCTCCTCCCAGTCTCTGTAACTGCTAATCGGTTTGCTGTCTCTATGGACTTGCCTCTTCTAGATATTTCTTATAAATTGAATCATACAATATGTGGCCTTTTGTGTGTAGCCTCCTTCATTTAGTGTGATGCTTTTGAGGTTCATCCATGTTGTAGCATGTGTTAGTACTTAATTCCTTTTTATGAGTGAATAATATCCAATTGCCTAGATATACCACATTTTGTTTATTCATTCATCTGTTTATGGATATTTGGGTTTTTAAAAATCTTTCATCTATTTATCCATCATGAATAGAGCTGCTATGAACATTCATGTACAAGTCTTTGAACATCTGTTTTAAATTCTTTTTGATATATACCTAAGAATAGAATTACTAGTTAATATAGGAATTCGTTCCACAGTGGCTGCACCGTTTTACCATCCCCACCAACAATGTATGAGGGTTCCAGTTTCTCCACAAACTGGCCAACACTTACTTTCCTCTTTAAATTTTTTCCCTTATGGCTATCCTATTGGGTATGAAGTGGCATGTCATTGTGGTGTGGATCTATATATCTGTAATGACTAATGATGTTGATTGTCTTTTCATGTCTCTATTGGCCATTTTTATCTCTTTGGAGAAATGTCTTGTCATGTCGTATGCCTATTTTTTAATTGGGTTATTTAATTGGGTTGTTTGTCTTTTTGTTGTTGAGTGTTTTAAGAGTTCTTTATACATTCTGGATACTAGATCCTTATTAATATATGATTTGGAAACATTTTCTCCCATTCTTTTTTTTTTTTTTTTTTTTTTGAGACGGAGTCTCGCTCTATTGCCCAGGCTGGAGTGCAGTGGCGCGATCTCGGCTTGCTGCAGGCTCCGCCCCCGGGGGTTCAAGCCATTCTCCTGCCTCAGCCTCCCGAGTAGCTGGGACTACCGGCGCCCGCCACCACGCCTGGCTAATTTTTTGTATTTTTAGTAGAGACGGGGTTTCACCCTGTTAGCCAGGATGGTCTCGATCTCCTGACCTCGTGATCCACCTGCCACGGCCTCTCAAAGTGCTGGGATTACAGGCGTGAGCCACCGCGCCCGGCTCTCATTTCTGATATTGGTAATATGTGTCCTTTTTTTTTTTTTTATCTGTCTGCTAAAAGATTATCAATTTTATTAGCTTTTGAAAAGAACCAGCTTTTTATTTCTTTATTCTTCTGTATAGTTTTTCTGTTTACTCCTTCATTGATTTCTGCTTTTATCTTATAATTTCCTTTATTCTGTTTACCTTGAGCTGCATTCGCTCTTCTATTTTTAGTTTAAGGTGGAAGCTGAGCATTGATTTGAAACCTTAATTCTTTTTGACTAATGGTGTCTACTGCTTTAACTATATCCTACAAATTTTGATACATTGTTTTTTCTTTTTCATTCGGTTTGAAATACTTTCTATTTTCCTTTTTGATTTTTTTTTTCTTTAACCCATGGGCTACTTAGAAGTGTGTTACCTAGTCTCCAAAAATTTGAGGATTTTCCAAATATTTTTTAGCTATTGTCTATTTAATTCCATTGTGGTCAGACAACATACTTTTTCTTGAACCCTTGAAAATTTATCGAAACTTGTTTTTTGGGCCAAAATATAGTCTATCTTGTTAAATGCTCTGTGTGTACTAGGAAAAAAAATGTGTACTTTGCTTTTTTTTTTTTTTTTTGAGACAAGGTTTGGCACTGTCACCAAGGCTGGAGTGCAGTGGCTCTATCTTGGCTCACTGCAACCTCTTCCTCCCTGGTCTCAAGGGATCCTCCCACCTCAGTCTCCGGTGTAGCTGGGACTACAGGTGCATGCCACCATGCTCGACTAATTTTTGTAGCGAAGGCGTTTCACCATGTTGCCCAGACTGGTCTCAAACTCCTGGGCTCAGACAACCTGCTTGCCTCAGCTTCCCAACTGCTGAGGTTACAGGCGTGAGCCACCAAGCCTGGCCTGTTTTTCAGTGGAGTGCTCTATAAATGCCAATAAGGTCAGTATAGCTGCTGAATTCTTCTATATTCTCTAATTTTCTGTCTAGATGTTTTTTAATCTATTATCGAGAAAGTATTGTTGAAATATCTGACTCTAATTGTGAATTTGTCTATTTCTTCTAGTAGTTCTATCAGTGCTTGCTTTATGTATTAAGAAATTCTTTATTAAACTCATAAATGTTTAGGAATATTATGGTCTTTTGATGAATTGATCTCTTTATCATTAGAAAACATCCTGTTTCCTACCTGGTAATATTTTTGGATCTCAAACCTACCTAGTCTGATATTAAGACAACCAATCCAGCTTTCTTTTCATTAGTATTACCATGTATCTTTTTTCATCCTTTTACTTTAAACTATTTACGTCTCTATTTTTATTTATTTTAGTTTAGTTTAGTTTTTGTAATTTTAGTAGAGACAGAGTTTCACCATGTTGGCCAGGCTGGTCTCGAACTCCTGGCCTCAAGTGATCTGCCCACCTCAGCTTCCCAAAGTGCTGAGATTATAGGTATAAGCCACGGCTCCCGGCCTATTTATTTCTCTATTTTTAAAGTAGGTTTTTCATAGGCAATATATAGTTGGTTTCGCTTTTTATTTCAATCTTACAACCTCTTCCTTTAAATTGGAGTGATTAGACCATTTACATTTAATGTGACTGACTGTTGATATGTTTGGGTTTAAGTATGCCGTATTGTATTTATTATTCATATCTCTTCCTATTTTTCATCTTTTGATGAAATACTTGGAAAAGTATGAAGTATTTGAAAAATACTTCTTTGGGGCTAATTATCTTTCTATGATTCCATTTCTTTTTTTTTTCTTTTTGTTTTGGAGACGGGGTTTTGCTCTGTCACCCAGGCTGCAGTGCAGTGGCGTGATCTCGGCTCACTGCAGCCTCCACCTCCTGGGTTTGACTGATTCTCCTGCCTTGGCCTCCAGAGTAGCTGGGATTATAGGCATCTGCCACCACTCCTGGCTAATTTTTATATTATTAGTAGAGACAGAGTTTCACCGTGTTGGCCAGGCCAGATTGGTCTCGAACTCCTGACTTCAAGTGATCTGCCCACCTCGGCCTCCCAAAATGCTGGGATTACAGGCATGAGCCACTGTGCCTGGCCTCCATTTATTTTTTTAATGGAGAAATTAAAATGACTTTATTGTTGTATATATACAAAATAGAATTTAATAGAGGGCAAAATTTATTGAACTGTATACACTGCACCTGTAGTCTCAGCTACACAGGAGGTTGAGGTAGGAGGATCCCTTGAGACCAGGGAGGCAGAGGTTGCAGTGAGCTGAGATGGAGCCACTGCATTCCAGCCTAAGCGACAGTGCCAGACCTTGTCTCAAAAATAAATAAATAAATAAATAAATAAATAAATAAAAGCAAAGTACACATTTTTTTTTCCAAGTACACACAGAGCATTTAACAAGATAGACAATATTTTGGCCCAAAAAACAAGTTTCAATAAATTTTCAAGGGTTCAGGAAAAAGTACGTTGTCTGACCACAATGGAATTAAATAGAAATCAATAGCTAAAATATATTTGGAAAATCCCCAAATTTTTGGAGACTAGGTAACACACTTCTAAGTAGCCCATGGGTTAAAGAAAAAAATCAAAAGGGAAAATAGAAAGTATTTTAAACCTTTCTTATAGGGCATGACTGCTGGCGATGAATACTTTCAGCTTCTTTTTATTTATTTATTTATTTTTCTGAGATGGAGTCTCGCTTTTTCGCCCATGCTGGAGTGCAGTGGCACAATCTCAGCTCACCACAACCTCCACCTCCCGGATTCAAGCAATCTCGCGCCTCAGCCTCCCAAGTACCTGGGACTGCAAGCACATGCCACCACACCTGGCTAAGATTTGTGTTTTTAGTAGAGACAGGTTTCGCCATGTTGGCCAGGCTGGTCTTGAATTCCTGACCTCAGGTGATCCACCCACCTCAGCCTCCCCGGGTGTTGGGATTACAGGCGTGAGCCACCGTGCCCGGCCTACTTTCAGCTTCTGTGTATATAAAAAAGTCCTTATTTTGTCTTCATTTAAAAAAGATATTTTTGCCACATACAGCACTCTAGATTAATGGCTATGTTTTTGTTTGTTTGTTTGTTTGTTTTCTAAAGAGGAATAAAGATATCCCAGTCTTGGATAGTCATGCATTGAACAGTACTTAGGTGAATATGCTATTGGGACCCGTGCAGATCTCAGACCTTCACTCTGTGCAGTTCTCTCCTCTTCCATACACTGCCATGCAAATTCCAGCTGCCTTGTCCTCCTCGTACCCCTAGCAATGTCTCATTAGTCAGGGAGACTGCCGACTCCCCATGGGGACCACTCCCTGGAAACTCGCTCCAGTCAGTCAAAGGCCCCATTTGTTTCCCATATCTCAGTGATCACTGTTCTTCATTGTCTGATATCAAATGTCTTGGAAACAGTTGTTTCATATATTTTGCCAGGTTTTTAGTTGTTTCAGATAATATAGTAAGTTCAGTCATTCTTACTCCATCATTGCCATGCACAGAAGTCGTCCATATAGGTTTTATCTGGCCTATATGTAAGTAAGGCAAGCCCTGTTATTTAGCACTACTCTCTGGCTTTGAAGGTCTTGGAATGTATTGGAAAAATATTGGAGTCATGGGGCCGGATGAGGTGGCTCACACCTGTAATCCCAGCACTTTGGGAGGCCGAGGTGGGTGGATCACGAGGTCAGGAGATCGAGACCATCCTGGCTAACAGGGTGAAACCCCGTCTAAAAATACAAAAAAATAGCCAGGCGTGGTGGTGGGCGCCTGTAGTCCCATCTAAGGGGGAGGCTGAGGCAGGAGAATGGCGTGAACGCGGGAGGCGGAGCTTGCAGTGAGCCGAGATCACACCACTCCACTCCAGCCTGGGTGACAAAGCGAGACTCCGTCTCAAAAAAAAAAAAAAAAAAAAAATTGGAGTCATGGGAACAAAAGAGTATTCTAGTTTAGAGATCCAGATTGAAAGTCGCTTTACCTCTCTGTCTCTAAAATTTGGGAGTTGACTACTATTAACAACAATAACATTTTTTGGTGTAAGTTCTCTGATTCAACACCATCAGTGTTTCCTCAACTTTAGGGTTGTGTTACATATAGATAGAGACTCCTAGTTGAAGTTTAGGACCTATGTCCTGGATTTTGCCTTTCTGCTTATTACTATAGTTCCCAGGTAGCTATATTGCTGTCATAATCTCCACTTCAGAAACAAGAGATAAGTGTGAATAAGTGTGTGGTACAGGTTCTGGCTTCCTGCCTCCATTCCAACTCGGCTACGTTTCCTAAAGTGAGATATTTCTGATGTAATTTGTAATAATTTATAAAGCAATCATCGCCCATCTTCACAACTGAAAGTGTTAAGGGGAGGCAGAAACTTTGCAATTGTATACTCCTTAGTTCCTTACTGACAGTGTCAAACTGACAAGTGACAACTGTCATTCTTGGGGGTATGCAAAGAAGCTACTGGTCTCATAACAATGTTCTGGAAAGCGAATTCCAGGATGTTATTTTTCTGGTGTATGTATACTTAATATTTTCATCTGTGCCTTTACAAATGATTTATCCACTGTCTGAAATCTTTAGAGATCATCCAAGTGGAATTCAGTGTTGCTGCGAGAACTCTTTTCCTTCAGCATCCAGAAAATCAGAAGAGAACACTTTTCCTAGAAAAAGGGATGGCAAACTACTCTGTGGCCTCTTTTTCTGCCTCATCAACTCTCCAGCCTTATCAATTTTTAATAAACAGGTGAAATTGACTAATAGTGAATGTCTAGAGCAAGCTTTGTGTGTTCAGAGGTGTGTATACCTAAAGGGAAAGCCAGGATCTTTTCATTTACATCAGTGGGGTGGAAATGGGAGCAGATGCGTATTTTGATGATTTGCATAAAAGTTTCTGCTCTTTCTGATCTTCTGTTGGTGGAGCAACCTCCTTCTCTCCTAGTATACCTTTTATACATTACACATAACATTTAGACCTCCAGGACATACTTAATGTGAAAGAGAAAAAATG
Source organism: Homo sapiens (assembly GCF_000001405.40). Lineage (NCBI taxonomy): Eukaryota > Metazoa > Chordata > Mammalia > Primates > Hominidae > Homo > Homo sapiens. Next base: position 3,542,076 of record NC_000018.10, on the reverse strand, counting down.
CTGGCATTAAATATGCCTGTGAATGGCACCTACCATTCCAGTAGATCTGTGAATGCACAGACTGAGTCAGAGGTGTTGAAGGAAAGCCCCGGTGACATATTATGAGAGCCACTCCTCGTCTCTAGAAACAAATGCCTCAGTGAATAGGACTGTTACCCCTTTTTTTTTTTCCACCAATATTGCCTCTGTTTCCATTTGCATTTCCAGAAGTGACCCAATTCTGAGTTTTTAAAATCTTCCTTGCTTCACACATCAAAGCTCACAGCCTTCGTAACTGGGTGGAACAAGCAAGTGGAAAGGTAGCATTGTTTTCTCTTATAGCACAATGTCAGCTACTATAAAAGATCTCTTTTGATCGCAAGGGACTTAAATATGTAAACTTTAGGGCTTGTAGTGATTTGTGCCTTTTCAACTAAGCAGGATATTAAAACATAAAGCCAAAATTGAGGCAACATCTGACAGCCAGTTCAGGGACCACAGACTTGGAAAGACCTTTGGCAATCAAAAAACATTGCTTCTTTGTCAACCCAGGAGCTTTGGATCAGTCCCCACTCTTCAAAGTTTCCTTGGAGTACCTCACAGCCCAGTACCCACCCTTGAAATTGCACTTGAAAAGTAATCTCTTTTCTTTGCCAAGTTAACAATATCATGACCTAGCCAAATAGTTCCTTACTGTACACCTGAGTTTTAAAGGCGTGGCATTCAGGCGTTTCAAATTTCAAAAGCCTGAAACTTGGCATAACTCCTGATAAGCCTCACAGCTTCCTTTTTTCTTTTCTTTTCCTTTTCTTTCCCTTCTTCTTTCTTTCTGCCATCCCTCCCTCCTTCTCTTTCTCTCTCTCTTTCTTCCTTTTTATGTATTTTTCAAAATAACTTAGTGTGCAGAAAGAAAACCATCGGACTTACAAGCCTACAGCCTCCATTTGACAAGACTCAGTAAAACATAATTGTTAGTGAGACTGCTCATGCTTTGTTAGTTACCTCGGGTCAGTAGCCAAGGAGTGACCTAACCTTCCAGTTGCGGAGGTAAAGCAGTTCCTTCTGGGGGCACATTCAGTTCAAGGATGTTTTGTTGAGACTCCTAACCAGGGTTCCTATAGTGACAGCCCATCAAAGGTATTAGCACCTGCCCAGCTGGTGCTAAAAAGAGGCTGGCAGCATGCTGGGCCCTCTCAGAAGTTACCAGATGACAACACGTCCACTCTCATTATTTTCTATTTCCTCCCTTTATTTTATTTGAGAAAAACATCACAATTATTTGGGGTAGAGAAAATTTTTTTATAGAAAGCCTATCCTATTTTCCTTTACTTTAAAGACATCTTCAAGCATGATGTATTTAAGCAAAGGAATGATGAACATAGAGGATTTGAAATAACAGATGGATGTTTGTCTTGAGATAGTTTTAAAATCTGGTGATAGGACAGTGCTAACCGTATATAAATGGAGGGTAGGAGGGTTCCTCCCACCTGAATTTTTGCACAAGGGATGCTTATGCCTGCGCCCTCCCATGCATGATTCTAATTTGGAAGCTGATCCAAATTAGTAAACCTAAGTAAACCTCTTTTGGGGGAGCTTGAATTTTTTTTTTTTTTTTTTTTTTTTTTTTTGACACAGGGCCTCACTCTGTTGCCCAAACTGGAGTGCAGTGGTGCAATCTCGGCTTACTGCAGCCTCTGCCTCCCGGGTTCTTCAAGCCATTCTCGTGCCTTAGCCTCCCGAGTAGCTGGGACTATAGCCACGTACCACCATGTCAGGCTAATTTTTGTATTTTTAGTGGAGACGGGATTTTGCCATGTTGCCCAGGCTGGTCTCGAACTCCTGGCCTCAAGTGATCTGCCCGCCTTGGCTTCCCGAAGTGCTGGGACTACAGACGTGAGCCACTGCACCCAGCCAAGCTTGAATTCTTGATCTCGGTCTCCTCACGCCCGTGCCTTATTTTGATCTGTCTTTTATTTTATGTAATGAGACATCTTGGTTTTTACATCAGTGAAAGGGTGCCATTTCATAAAATACCAAGATGGTTGCACTTTCTAGGAGTAGCATTTCAGATCCCACATATATTCAGCCTTGACAGAAGGCTTAGTTTAAAATGTCTAAAGGCATGTACAAAGAAAGAAAGAATAGCAGAGTGCTAGCATTGCTCTCTTTGAAACTGGACTTAGCCTTGAAAAGCAGCCATTATGTGAATGAGAGGGATAAAGACGCTAAGCAGAGGCCAGGGGATTCTATGATGGAAAGACTAAGCTACTCTCCTAAAAATAAGTTCATGACTTGAGTCTCATCAGTTGAGTGTCTTGTAGTTCCAAAGCATGGATGTCATAAAGATAATGACTGTGCTTAGTTTTTGTGCACAATTTCTTTTGTTTAACTGCAACTCTATCAGACAGGGGGACAAGAATGGAACCTCTTCAGTTTACCCATATATGTTTTGATTTGTAACTTGCTGTACAGAAAAGTTGTAGGAAGTGGGAGAGGGTAGAAACTCCTCTAGTTAGAAATATAAACTTGTTTCATAGAAGGAACATAAAGCAACAGCAGAAGTGAATGCTAACAAGTGACTTTCTTCTGGCTATTCAGAACAGACAGAGTATTGTGTTCCATACTGGTTGATCCAGTCTTTGCTTTCATGGTTTTCTGCTTCTTGGGCCAGAATATTGGCCAGCATTTTTCAGAAGTTGTAATTATTACACACTGTGCCTGCAGGGGCATGAAGAGCCAAGGAAGCTTCAAGATTGAAAACTGTGGGTTGGGAAACAGCAAGCCACTGGGTTCAGCTTTTGGGTTGATATCATCAACGAGGAACTGATCAATTCTTTCAAAAAATAAAGAAATTAATCTAGGGACCTCATTTTGTGTTCCTATCAAAATTGCAGAAAAACAATAACAACTTGACTGCACTCTTCACCCAAAAGGAACTTTGCTTATGAAAGACATAAATCATTTTGTAGAGCAGAACATTCTTTGAAAGCTCTGAGTAGAAGAAAGCACTTGCTTAAGGAACTTAATTGATAGAAACTAGCAGGTTGGACAGGGCTGCCTGAGTTCAAAGGCGCCGCTTTTAATCCCAAACCATTTTAATTTTACTTAACTTTTCTTTCTGAGTGACTACACTGCAAACTGCAAACTTCTATTAATCTACTGCCAAGTAATTTTTCTAAGAAGGTGGATCCTTTGCAAGATCCATAGCCAGGAGATGGCTGTTAGGAATGCGGGTAGTACAGTTCTGTGTAGATAAAAACAGAGGCACAGGAAAGTAGGTCATTCTGTTTTATATGTGGAACAGATTCTGGCTGTGGCAGTTTGCTCTGATTGAAAACAATGAGGGACTAGTACTTCTTTAAGTTTGGAAATGTAATGCCTCTGGCAATACAGGATCTTGGAGCGTGGAGGCTAATGTTTTCATAGTTGGGATTTCATGTTAGCAGAACAGCCAAAATGTCAACTGTTTGCAAGGAGAGTCATCCAATTCACACATATGCAGCTGGAGAGAAAGCTTAGCTTCAGATGACAGTTAACATTTTGGGGATGAACGGGAAGAATGCAGAAATAGCCTACTGCAGCCAAGAAATGAGTGGTTGTTGGAAGAACCACTTTCGCAAAATTGTTCTTTCTTTCATTGCTAGCACAAGAGACTTGTAACATTGCATTCAGATTTTCACACTATGTGATTTTTTTTTTCTTTTTCTTTCTTTTTTTTTTTTGGCTCATTTGAGAGTTAAGAGCTTACAAAAGTGACTGGGTTGGATAACTTCATCAGAATTGATTTTTTGAAAACAGCAAATGGGTCAACTTTGGCTAGTTTATCTTCGTAAAATGGATGGCCAGAATCACAACGTATTTGGTCATTTTGGCCATCTTAATAACTGACACAGATCAATACCTTAGCCACTTTTTTTCTTGACTTTTATTCTCTAGAGAAAAAATTGATTTATTGAGATGACTCTTCCTTTTTGTGACTCTTAGTCTTTCTACAGTCTTGCAAATAACTACTTGTCTGTATTGTTCTGGTCATTCTTTATTTTTGATGGACTAGAATATTAGTTTTTATTGGCTTCAAGAGCATAGTCCAGGATAGTTTTTTAAAATCCCACATAATCTGGTGTATTTAGTGTTGTATAAATATTGTTTAGTGCACTATTGTTTAAGGCTGGCACTACTGAATATGAAACAGTTGAAAATCAACTGGCCAACAAACTATCTTAAAATGGCACAATCATGAGCTACTCAAAGAAATGTACCACCTCACACATTCAAAAACACAGAAATCACAGAACACACATTCTGTCAAAAAACAGAAAATAACAAATGTTGATGAGAATGTGGAGAAATAGGAATCCTGGTGCACTGTTGATGGGAATGCAAAATGGTGTAGCCACTATGGAAAATATTAGGGTTGTTCCTCAAAAAATTAAAAACAGAATTACCATGTGACTCAGTAGTTCTACCTCGGGATATATATTCAAAATAATTGAAATCAGTGACTCAAAGAGTTATCTGTATACCCATGTTCATAGCAGCATTATTCACAATAGCCAAAAGGTGAAAGCAACTTAAGTGGCCATCAGTGGAAGAACGGGTAAGCAAAATATGGTAAATACATACAATGGGAATACTATTCAGCCTTAAAAAGGAAGGAAATTCTGACATATGTTACAACATGGATGAAACTTTGAAGATGTTCTGTTGAATTTAAAAAGCCAGTCACAAAAAGACAAATAAATACTACATGATTCCACCAATAAGAGGTACCTAGAGTAGTCAGACTCATAGACACAGAAAGTGGAATGATGGCTGCCTGGGGCCAGGGGGAGGAGGAAATGGAGAGTTAGCATTTCATGGGTGCACAGTTTCAGTTGGAAAAGATGAGAAAGTTGACATGGATGGTGGCGATGGTTGCACATGCAATGTGAATATATTAAGTATTGAATGCCATTGAACTGTACATTTAATAATGGTTCAGCTGGTAAATTGTATGTTATGTATATTTTATCATAATAAAAAATAAGTAAACTATTAGGCCAGGAAGCGACTTTAAAAAAAAAAGACATACAGGGCATCGTAACAGACACATGGTGCTATCTTCAGTGGACTTATATTCCGTCATTGTTTCCTGTCTTCTCCAGAGGCAGCAAAGCTCTTTTTGTATGTCTTAAATGACATCAGGCCCACGCCTTCCTTGCCCCTCATCTGAGAAAGAGTTCCTTGCTTCTCTCCTCGTGTCTCTCCCCTCCCACCTTCCCCATGTTCTCCCCTTCATCGCAGGGTTCAGCCAGAGATATATAGGGCGCTTTGGTTGAGAAACACTGATCTCATGGACATCCATGTAAAATGCTCAGCCTTAATCTGTGAACAAGGTGTCTTTCATCACCTCGCTAGAACTGTGAAAAGAAAATTAAAGGCACAGGAGAGGGCAGAAATACAGAACCCTAATAGAGAACTATAAGCTGATGTTTGCGCCCAAGGCTTTGTACCTGTATGACTAAGAGAAAGGTAAACCTTTACCAGGCAAATGAGTTTTAATTTTAAGAGGTAATTATTGAAACCTCAGTTTGGGCTGGGTGTGTTGGCTCACACCTTGTAATCCCAGCACTTTGGGAGGCAGAGGCAGGCAGATCACCTGAGGTCAGGAGTTCGAGACCAGCCTGGCCAACTTGGCAAAACCCCGACTCTACTAAAAATACAAAAATTAGATGGGCATGGTGGTGCATGCCTGTACTCCCAGCTATTCGGGAGGCTGAGGCAGGAGAATTGCTTGAACCAGGGAGTCACAGGTTGCAGTGAGTTGAGGTTGTGCCACTGCACTCCAGCCTGGGCAACAGAGCAAGACTCTGTCTCAGAAAAAAAAAAAAAAAAGAAAGAAAGTAAGAAAGGAAAGAAAGAAAGAAGGAAGGAAGGAAGGAAAGAAAGAAAGAAACTTACTTCAGTTTGCTTTCAGGAAGTCTTAACTTGGTAAGAGTTGCCCCTGGAAAAATGTGGCTTTGCAGGATTCATGATAGTTTTGGTCCAGGTTAGGTTATGTTTTTCCCATTTCTTTTCTTTTCTTTCTTTTTTTGAGACAGAGTTGCCCAGGCTGGAGTGCAATGGCATGATCTCAGTTCACCACAACCTCCGTTTCCTGGATTCAAGCGATTCTCCTGCCTCAGCCTCCTGAGTAGCTGGGATTACAGGCATGTGCCACCACGCCCAGCTAATTTTTTTTGTATTTTTAGTAGAGACGGGATTATTCCATGTTGGTCAGGCTGGTCTCGAACTCCCGACCTCAGATGATCTGCCCGCCTCGGCCTCCCAAAGTGCTGGGATTACAAGCGTGAGCCACTGCGCACGGCCTTTCTTCCCATTTCTTTTTTTCTTTTCTTCTTTTTTTTTTTTGAGACAGAATCTCACTCTGTCACCCAGGCTAGAGTGCAGTGGTGCGATCTCAGCTCACTGCAAGCTCCGCCTCCCGGGTTCATGCCATTCTCCTGCCTCAGCCTCCCAAGTAGCTGGGACCACAGGTGCCCACCACCACGCCCGACTAATGTTTTATATTTTTTGGTAGATACGGGGTTTCACCGTGTTAGCCAGGAGGGTCTCGATCCCCTGACCTTGTGATCCGCCCGCCTCAGCCTCCCAAAGTGCTGGGATTACGGGCGTGAGCCACCACGCCCGGCCCTTTTTCCCTATTTCTAAGCAAATTACCCCGACTAAGATAGTAGTGAATAGTTTCCTTACTCATCACCAACCTGAATTTCAGGACTTAAGTCACCCCAGATTTGGGGAGGAAGTTGGACACTTCAGGTAATGGATGACAGAGCTGCACATTCTACTGGCTTTAATAGTTCAGCACTTTTCCACCTATAAAATTTCTCTTGATATGCTTTAATATTCCATATTGAGCAAAAATGAGATTCGTGCTCTTCACATTGAAGCTATGACAATCAATATGCTTGCCTCAAGGGTCTACCCCTGCCACCACCACCCCCAACACACACACACACACACACACACACACACACACACACACAGAGAAGATTGAGAAGATGAGACTTCTAATGGTCACACCTGCCAAGTAAAGTAGAAAGTAGTTTTGCTTCAAGAAATATCCTTGCCAGGCACGGTGGCTCACACCTGTAATCCCAGCACTTTGGGAGGCAGAGGCAGGCAGATCACTTGAGGCCAGTAGTTCGAGACCCACCTGTTCAACACAGTGAAACCCCTTCTCTACTAAAAATACAAAAATTAACCAGATGTGGTGGCATACACCTGTAATCTCAGCTACTCGGGAGGCTGAGGTGGGAGAATCGCTTGAACCTGGGAGGTGGAGGTTGCTGTGAGCCGAGATCACGCCACTTGCACTCCAGCCTGGGAGACAGAGTGAGACTCTGTCAAAAAAAAAAAAAAAAGAAAGAAAGGAAGGAAGGAAGGAAGGAAGGAAAGAAAGAAATATCCTCTAACTAAATTTCTTTTTTCTATTCTCCCAAGCTTCCGCAGGTTCACTCGATCCAACAGTGTGACGACAGCAGTACAGGCCGACCTGGACTTCCATGATAATCTGGAAAATTCTCTGGAATCTATAGAGGACAATTCGTGTCCTGGCCCCATGGCCAGACAGTTCTCCCGCGATGCCAGCACCTCCACAGTCAGCATTCAGGGCTCAGGAAACCATTACCATGCCTGTGCCGCCGATGATGACTTTGACACGGATTTTGACCCCTCTATTCTGCCTCCTCCGGACCCCTGGATTGACTCTATCACTGAAGACCCTCTGGAGGCCGTGCAAAGGTCAGTGTGCCACCGGGATGGCCACTGGTTCCTGAAGCTTCTCCAGGCAGAGCGAGACCGCATGGAGGGGTGGTGTCAACAGATGGAGCGGGAAGAACGGGAAAACAACCTGCCCGAAGACAGTAAGTAATGCCACCACGTGCCACACCCGTCCCCTGGGGCTGGGGTTGCTTTGTGTGTGCAGACCTTGTTGTTTTCTTCTCTGCCAGCTTCACTTGTATAACCTTGACGTTCCACACCCCAAACCAGAACATGCAGGAGAGCTAGGTGATTCCAGCTGAGTCCAGAAGTCCCTGCACAGCACAAAACCAAGAAAACTCCTGGGTAGATATAACACTGTCCTTAGCTCTAGGCCCATGACGTTCTTTTTCTTTCTGAAAATACCAAGCTCTGTGTGGAGGTGCTTTCATGTCTCTAACTTGGTCCCTCTTCTCCAAGATGATCCTGGAATGTTGCTGATCCTCAGGGGATTGAAAATAATTCTAATCAAAACATCTCATGTATCCTATGAATATATACATCTACTATATACCCACAAAAATTCTTTTTAAATAAAAAAAGAAAATAATTCTAACTAGCCCAGTGCAGTGGTGCCCACCTGTAGTCCCAGCTCTTCGAGAGACTGAGGTGGAAGGATCACTTGAGTCCAGGGGTTAGAGGCTGCAGTGAGCTATGATCACACCACTGCACTCCAGCCTGGGTGACAGAGCAAGAACCCATCTCTAAAAATAAATATATAAATAATACTAACTTTTTTCAAGGTCCATAGATACAGGTACATTGGGGATTTATATTCTTTATGATTTTGTTATTCTCATTAACATACAGCATTAAAACAAGGCTTATAACGTATAGGCCGCTAGAAACCCCCACCTATTTGTATTCTTAAGCCTGTTTGACAGGCACTTTCTCTTAGGATTTACAGGGGCAAACCCTTTAGCTGCCAAAGAAACACATTTTATAATCTTATTACAGTTGAATGGGCTAAAGTGAAATACACGATGAATACATAAAATAAATAATGGACACTCTTTTTCGCACACTATTCTTTTCTTTCTTTTTTCAGACAGGGCCTCACTCCTCACCCAAGTTGGAGTGGCGCAATCATGGCTCACCCCAGCCTTGACCTCCCAAGTAGTTGGGACTACAGGCATGCACCCCATGTGCAGCTGATTTTTGTATTTTTGGTAGAGACGGGGTTTCGCCATGTTGCCCAGGCTGGTCTCAAACTACTGAACTCAGGCAATCCGCCCACCTCGGCCTCCCAAAGCGCTGGGATTACAGGCATGAGCCACCGTGCCTAGCCTGCACACTATTATTTTCAAACTTGACCTTTTAACATTTGAAAAAGAAAAATTAACAATTGAAAAAGAAAAATTGTCAAATTATATTAACAGTTGAAAAAGAAAAATAATCAAATTACCTCAATTCTGAGGCATGTTTTACATGTTTTCAACAATTCTGAAATTAGAATGTAGCTTATATATAATCAGTATGTATTTTAATGTTGTATGTTTATTTTCCTCTGAAACATTATTATTAAATTAATGGTGGATCCTCCAACTGATGATATTTTTGAAACAAGGAAATTTGGTGGTAGGCATTAATGCCTGCTTCATGTCTGTGTGCAAAGCATCTAAAAGAGTATTGCTATGAAGTAACTTTTTAGACTTGTTTTTTAAATTACTTTTTCAATTTTTATTATGAGCTTTTTCTTTTTTTTTCTTTTTTTTTTTTGAGATGGAGTTTTGGTCTTGTTGCCCAGGCTGGAGTGCAATGGTGCCATCTTGGCTCACCGCAACGTCTGCCTCCAGGGTTCAAGTGATTCTCCTGCCTCAGCCTCCAGGTAGCTGGGATTACAGGCATGTGCCACCACACCCAGCTACTTTGGTATTTTTAGTAGAGACGGGGTTTCACCATGTTGGTCAGGCTGGTCTTGAACTCCTGAGCTCAGGTGATCCACCCGCCTCGGCCTCCCAAAGTGCTGGGATTACAGGCATAAGCCACTGTGCCCGGCCTATTATGAACATTTTTAAACATGCACAAAAGTAGAGTTTAACATGATGAGTCCCCATGTACTCGTCACCTGCTTCAACAACTGGCCAGTCTTGTCTCCACCATTTGTAGTTATTGTTGTCAGAGTATTTTTAAGAAAATCCAGCACCAGGTGTGGTGGCTCATACCTGTAATCCCAGCACTTTGGGAGGCCAAGGCAGGAGGATCGCTTGAGGTCAGGAGTTCAAGACCAGCATAGCCAATATGGTGAAACACCATTTCTATTAAAAATACAAAAATTAGCCAGGTGCAATGGCACACGCCTGTAATCCCAGCTACTTAGGAGGCTGAGGCAGGAGAATTGCTTAAACCCAGAGGCAGAGGTTGCGGCAAGCTGAGACTGTGCCACTGCACTCTAGCCTAGGCAACAGAGTGAAACTCTGTCTCCAAAAAAAGAAAAAAAGAAAATCCAAGGCATCGTGTCACTTCCCTATGTAGCTCACACTTATAGAAAACATTTTTTATATGTATAATCATAGGCCTTGTGCGGTGGCTCATGCCTATAATCCTAGCACTTTGGGAGGCTGAGGCGGGTAGATCACTTGAGGTCAGGAGTTCTAGACCAGCCTGGCCAACATGGTAAAACCCCATCTCTCGTAAAAATACAAAAATTAGTCGGGTGTGGAGATTGGCCCCTGTGATCCCAGCTACTCGGGAGGCTGAGGCAGAGAATGGCTTGAACCCGTGAGATTGAGTTTGCGGTGAACAGAGATCGCAGCTACTGCACTCCAGCCTGGGTGACAGAGTGAGACTCCGACTCAAAAAAAGGTAAAATATTATCATGCATTATCGTACGTAACAAAAACAATAATTTTTTTTTTAAAAGACAGAGTCTTGCTCTTGTCACCCAGGCTGGAGTGCAATGGCCTGATTTTGGCTCACTGCAACCTCTGTCTCCTGGGTTCAAGTGATTCTCCTGCCTCAGCCTCCTGAGTAGCTGGGATTACAGGCACCTGCCACCATGCCAAGCTAATTTTTGTATTTTTAGTAGAGACGGGGTTTCACCATGTTGGCCAGTCTGGTCTTGAACTCCTGACCTCAGGTGATCCACCCGTCTCGGCCTCCCAAAGTGCTGAGATTACAGGGGTGAGCCACAGCGCCCGGCCAATAATTTCTTAATTAGATTTAACATCTACTATAAATCATGTTAAGTGCATTTACTAAATGCACCAAACTAGTGGTGTCAAAGAGTAGTGAGTTTTTCCCTAGGGGAATCATTTTTTTAATGAAATGGAGTCTGGAAAATAACAGTTGTCATCAGACTGGGGATATCTTCACTGTGTCCACTCTCTCACTCACAGCTCCAGTCTGCTCCTCCTGCCTGACCCCTGTCAAATGACTGACTAGCTTATCGCTTGCCTTTATGGGCAAGTTAGGAAATTCATTAACGGGTTTCTGTAAAACCCATAAATGGGTTTCCTTTGCTTCTTCATATTATGAGTGCAAACAACTTGGCAGTGGAAAAGTAAATCTCCTTGACATTTGCCCCTGTTAGTGCCACTGCAGACTCACCTGAGTGTTGACCCCCAAGCACAATTAGGTCTTTGCCCTGGTGACAGGTAAACAAGGTATGTCTCAGCAGCAGTGGGAGCAGGGGTAGTTTTCAGTAAGAAAGTCTTAGTTGGATCATCTTATTCACTTTTCTCCTTGTGGACATACTCACAGTTTATCAGATTTTCCTAGGAAAAATGCCAGCAACTAAGGAACAATGACATCCCGTGCCACTGCTCAATGGCACAAACTTTCAGATTTCAATTCTCAAATTTGGTTCTCCTTCTAGCTTCCTGATTGGTGTTCTCTCTCTCTCTTTCTTTCTTTTTCTTCCCTCCTTTCTTTGGTTTTCTTTTCTTTCTTTTGGCAGAGTCTTGCCCTGTGACCCAGGCTGGAGTGCAGTGATGGGATCATAGCTCACTGTAGCCTGGACGTCCTGGGCCCAAGTGATCCTCCCACCTCAGCCTCATGAGGAGCTGTCACTACAGGTGTGCACCACCATGCCTGGCTAATTTTTAAAAAATTTTATAGAGATAGATTCTCACTGTGTTGCCCAGGCTGATCTCAAACTCCTGGCCTCAAGCAATCCCCCCACTTCTGCCTCCCAAAATGCCAGAATTACAGGCATGAGCCACCCACCCAGCTCCTGGCTGGCTTTCAACAGGACTCTTGGAAACTACTTATCTGTTGTTTTCTTTTAATGGGCCTTTCAGTCTGAGACTTGATCTACCTCTCTCAACCCAACTCTATAATGATGTGTGAGGATACTCATTGTATAAAGATTTAGGAAAAACTAAAGGAGCTAGGAAAACAAGTCAGTTGTATTGTAATACAATAACATATATTTGAAAGGTTGAAAATCTTGTCAGAAAACCAGCTTCTCAGCCTATGTTCAGGATGAAAGAGAAACGTATTTGTATTTTGAAATGTACACTGCTGGCAAAGTCCCAAGATAATGAACATGAGGGAACTGCCCAACCATCTGTTGTTCCAGGCCTAATTTGTTGTTCAAGCTGAACTGGGTATCGCCCTGGTGCTCCTGTAATGCCCTGTGTATTTGTCCTTCAGGTACTTCCCACATTATTTTATAATAACCGATGTATCTTTCTCTTCCACTAAAAAGTAAGCTTTCTGAAAACAGAAATTATTCTTGTCTTACTCATCTTCATATCACCAGACCCTCTGACGCATAACAGGGGATCAGTAAATATGTATTTGAGTCCTTGAAATATTCTGGAAATTCTGTTTTATAAAAGTATTTTACTTAGCAAAACCTTTCTTCCTAATTAGCTAAAAAAAAACTTCAATAAGTAATACCTCAGTCCTTTCAGGCTGCTATAACAAAATACCCTAGACTGGGTAATTTATAAACAATAGAAATTTATTGCTCACAGTTCTGGAGGCTGGGAAGTTCAAGATTAAGATACTGGCAGGTTTGGTGTCTGGCAAGGGCTGCTCTCTGTTTCAAAGATGGCGCCTTCTTGCTGCAGCCTCACGATGGAGGCAGCAGACAAGCTTCCTGGGCCTCCTTGATAAGCGTAGTAACCCTATTCATGAGGACTCTGCCCCTGTGACCAACTCACCTCCTATAGGCCCCCTGTCTTACTATTTATACATTGGTAATTAGGTTTCAACATATGAGTTTTAGAGGAGCACAGACATTCAGACCATAGCAAGTAACTAACAGTTCTTGTTGCCAAAAGCTGGAAAGGTGTTCCCGTGACAGATGATGAGCTCTTCTGATCAGGACAAGGATGTGGAAGAGAGAGATGGGCACCTGCCACAGAAGTGATGGAAAGCACTTCCGTGTGGGACAGGTGGCTAGTCCAGATGAACCTTGTGTGTCCTGTCTCATTCTTAAGACACAGTTCCATTCCACAAACACTTGAAGGCTTTCTCTATTTTTTCATACTTTGAGAGACACGAAATAGGAGCTTCAAACTACTGGGATTCCAAAATTCTAGTCAGTGCCGTGGCAAACCCTGCGCCCAGGACAGAGTCACCAATTTCAAATGCGGCCAATCCAGATCAGGGAGAATTGGACCATAAAGCAGTAGCAACCCTCTCCAGGAAGAAGGGAAAATATCAGTGCATGAAAGAATATTCATCTTGCCCTCACAATACCCCTGACGATGGCCTAGAGACTTTGACAGGTGCTGTTTTATTTGCCCTCACAACAGTTCTCTGGCAGTATCTTGTCCAAGGTCACAGAAAACAGAAGTGTCTGATAGAACAGATACACATGAATAACATTTGACAAGATAATGATACTTTGCGTTGCCTGGCACTGTCCTCCTTAAAGCCCGCCATGCAGATCTGTCCCTGACTCCTTGGCAAGCACCACTCTGTTCTGATAACTGGGCCTAGAGTTGCAGAGGGCCTTTGTTTCACCAATTCTCTGACTTAACCTTTTCTTTTTTTGTAAGAGGGGCGGTAAGGAAGAGAGGCCAATCCCACTTGGCAGGCATAGCCAAATTCTAAGCAACCAGCTTTTGTTTGTTTTAATTCTGTGCACACCAGAAAAATAGCTTCGATAAATGGGTCAAGTACAGATACCTCTATCCCTTGGCCAAGCCAAGGGATGTTTCAGACCTGCAGAAGGAGGGCCTCTCTTCAGGGTGCCTGACAAACGTGGTGCCATAACAAAATCCCCCCAGGAGATCTGGTCTTGAAGTCATCATGAAAAGATAAATAGGATAGAGGGAAAAAACGGAAGATTCTAATCACGCAATTTATTTTGTGGGGTACCAGAATTATCCCAATTTTTAAATATTTTAAAATGTTTGGTGAATGTACATAATGCCTCCGAATGGTACACTTCACTGTGGTTAAAATGGCAAATCTTATGTCTATTTTATCACAATTTTAAAATACCCCCACTGGGCGTGGTGGCTCCTGCCTGTAATCCCAGAACTTTGGGAGGCCATGCCATGAGGATCGCTTGAGCCCAGGAGTCCAAGATTGGCCTGGGCAACAGAGACCCTATCTCTACAAAAATATATATTTTTTTAATTAGGCAGGCTTGGTGGCATGCACCTGTGGTCCCAGCTACTCATGAGGCTGAGGTGAGAGCATTGCTTGAGCCCAGGAGGTCGAGGCTACAGTGAGCCGTGATCGTGCCACTGCACTCCAGCCTGGGAGACAGAGGGAGACTCTGTCTCAAACAAACAAAAAACAACAAACACAAAACAAAACAAAAAAAACTAAAAAAACAAAAACTCAGAAATAGGCAGCAGCAGCTAAAGATAAGCAGAACAACCATGTTCATGTTCATATTCATGTAAGAATGTATTTTGTTAATTGACTCCCTGAATTCAAAATACAGTGCATCCATGGCAAAAAAAAAAAAAAAAAAAAAAGTTTGGAAAATAACCTGTTTACTCACTGGAAATTTGAGGTTCAGATATTGCATGTGGGGTAGTTGTAATCATCTTTCTCTATTAGAGAGTTGAAGAAGAAAGAGTCTATCTAATTTTAAATAGTTATTTAGTTATTAATTATTTTGTGATGTCATTATGCTAATTGTGACAGCTGCTTTTGGCCTCACAGGGCTGGAAAACACCTTCCTAGTTCACCTGAAACTGACTAAATGTGGGTAACAAAAGGCAGACCGAAAACAAGCATTTGGAGTAGCCAGGAGCCTCAAGCTATCTTTTGAACAGTGTAACTATACATTCTTTGGGTGCCTGGAGTTACTGTTTTCCCTGATAAATGCAAAGCAGAGCAAAGACTTTAGTTCTTGTTTTAAACCTTCAACCCCAACCGTCGACAGTACCTTTTTTTTTTTGGCTTGATAATAAAATAATGAAACTGCAGTGAGTGAGGTTTCCTCCAAGCCAAGACAGCTGACAGAATGCTTGTTCCCGCAGCACTTGAAGTAAAATGATACGAGCTCTTCTCAGACAATGAAGCCCTTGTGTGAAACAGCTGTCTCAGGGAGATGGCTCAGTGCTATTTGACAGTGGCTTGTATGTTACATAGATACGTCTGGTATTATCTAACCGGGGATGAAACGACCAGATGGAGCTGAATGCCTCCAACTAGGAATGCAGTCTACCACTGTGGGGAAAGAACATAGGCTCAGGTTTCAATGGCCCTAAGATGAAATACCGGTGATTGTACTTCTAAATCTGTCTTTGCCTTCTGAATTGTAGACAACAAATACGTGGAATTTTCAGGCTTTATCTGAAACAAACTGATAAACCTAGAGCATGTGCCGGAGGCAGATTAATTCTTCCACTTTAATTTTGCCTGGTAATAGCATCCAAGCTAGTGAAACTTGGCCTTCAGTCCCCTAGAAGGCTTGGGACCCTTGGCAGCGAATGCGGGGCTGGTAATGACACCTGAAATGGGGTTTGCCTGGTTTCAGGTTTGGTTACGGAAACTGTGCACAGTCATTGTGATGGTCTATCGGTGCCATCACCCAGGGTTTATCCGCCTGGGATTGCCTCTGCTGTGTCTCTGCGGCCTGTGAAACAGTGGGTGGCAGACAAAGCTGTATCTGTGAGTTCTGCAATTCATCTGCCTCCAGCCCGTGTGTGTTTCTAAGTGGGGAGCAATGGCTGCATTCTAGCCTAGCTCCTTTCTGTTTTATTCTCATCTAACTCTTGCAATGAACCCTCAAAAGGTCCCTCCCACTCCACCACACACACAGACACACATACTTGCATGTCTCTTTTTGTAAGCTCCAGACAACCTGAAATTAGTGACCGCAGAGGAAGTGGCAGTAATGAAAAGGAAATCGGCTGTAATGTGCCATATGTTTAACCTTGAGAATGCTCCATTCATGCCGCTTTGCACAGCGCTGGTGCCAGAAGGCCATTAGACACCATCCTTTTGTGGATGTGCTTCTTGAGGGTGGTGTCTCCCAGCTCAGGAGGGCACGAAAGCATGAAGAGGTGAAGTGATGTGGTTAATTGGGGGCAGAACTGGGCCTGGAAACAGATCTGTTCCTAGGCCAGTGGTGTTTCTGTCATTCCAGAGATGGCAAAGAGAGGGACTGGCTCACGGAGCAAGACCTCCTATCATTTTCTCCAATAACTGTTTCTGTGAAATATAAATGCAATGGACTGGTGGGGCGCAGTGGCTCATGCCTATAATCCCAGCACTTTGGGAGGCCGAGGCAGGCAGATCACGAGGTCAGGAGTTGGAGACCAGCCTGGCCAACATGGTTGAAACTCCGTCTCTACTAAAAATACAAAAATTAGCTGGGCTTGGTGGTGCATGCATGTAATCCCAGCTACTCGGGAGGCTGAGGAAGGAGAACTGCTTGAACCCAGGAGGTGGAGGTTGCAGTGAGCCGAGATCACGCCACTGCACTCCAGCCTGGGTGACAGAGCAAAACTCCATGTCGAAAATAAATTAAAAAATAAATGCAATAAATGCAATGGACTTCAAATAAAATATACAGTTTTTTTCATTTAGATTACCTAGGGAAATAGAAACTAATTTCATTTCATCCAACTTTCAAAGGCTCAAAACTGTCTTTATCTATATGATGTATATGATGCTACCATTTCGTGGCTGATATAAGTCAAGATATTGATCCAAAGAATGACCATCTTCTACGAGTAAGGCTCCTGGAGGGGTTGGAACTGGGAAAAAAAAATTAAAATTAGCTGAGTTTTTGAAAAACTTGCTCTTTAAAAACAAAATAATGTTGTTGATTTTTTTTTTTTTCCCCCAGAACACTGTGGAAACTCTGGTGTTAGTCTATGGGAAAACTTCTACTAGAGAATCCATTCTTTATTCATTAGCCACCAAGTTTCAGCTAAAAACAAAACAAAACAAAAAAAGCACTGTTGTGCAATGCAGATCAGCAACTGCCAGTCAGGAATGAAACAGATCCACGTTTTCTATGGAGACGTTTTGTTGATGGCAGCTCCGGATCACAAGTGTGTCTGAGAAGCAGCTGCTGGGCAGTAGGTTGGGGAAATTTTTGCCGCAAGGACACACTCGTAAATGAGAATGTCTCCACATGGATAATCCCAATGCCATGAAATCACACAGACTCAGAATGACAAATCCACATGACTTTCATTTATTTATTTATTGAGACAGGGTCTCACAATGTTACCCAGTCTGGTCTTGAACTCCTAGGTTCAAGCGATCTGCCTGCCTCAGCCACTCAAAGTGCTGGGATTATAGGCAAGAGCCACTGTGCCTACCTGACTCGATATTTTTGAAATAAATTTTGTGTATATTTGAGGTTTATATGCTATTGAATACAGATAGAAAGTAAGTTGGTGACTATTATGAAGCAAATTAACATATCTGTCATCTCACATAGTTACTTTTTTTGTGAAAGAGCAGCTAAAGTCTACTTATTCCACAAGACGCCCTAATACAAGATAATTTTACTTAGCATAAGGTCCTCCAGTCCATCTATGTTGTGGCAAATGGCAGGAGCTCCTTCTTTTTTAGGGCTGAATAATATTCACTATATATATGTGGTATATATATACCACAATTTCTTTCTTTCTTTTTTTTTTAATTGAAACAAGGTCTCACTTTGTCACCAAGGCTGGAGTGCAGTGGTGTGATGATAGCTTACTGCAGACTTAACTGCCCAGGCTCAATCAGTTCTCCCACCTCAGTCTCCTGAGTAGCTGGGACCACAGATGTGTGCCATCAGACCCAACTAATTTTTTAAAAATTCTTATTTGTGGATACAAGATCTCACTATGTTGCCTGGGCTGGTCTTGAACACCTGGGCTCAAACATTCTTCCTGCCTTGGCCTCCAAAAATGCTGGGATTACAGAGAAGAGCAAATGCACCTGGCCTGTTGTTATGTTTCCTTTAGAGAAATGTCTGTTCAGATCTTTTGCCCATTTTTGTTTCTTCTGGTTTTGTTTGTTTGTTTTTGTTTTGTCTTGTTCAAACCCTGTGTCAAGGACCTTTGCCCTCCTTTTTTTTTTTTTTGAGACAGAGTCTTGCTCTGTCGCCCAGGCTGGAGTGCAGTGGCGCTATCTCAGCTCACTGCAAGCTCCGCCTTCTGAGTTCACACCATTCTCCTGCCTCAGCCTCCCAGTGTAGCTGGGACTACGGGCGCACGCCACCACGCCTGGCTAATTTTTTGTATTTTTAGTAGAGACGGGGTTTCACCGTGTTAGCCAGGATGGTCTCGATCTCCTGACCTCGTGATCCGCCCTCCTTGGCCTCCCAAAGTGCTGGGATTACAGGCGTGAGCCACCGCACCTGGTCGGACCTTTGCCCATTTTTAAATTGAGTTTTTTGGGGTTAGTTGCTTTCTTGCTATTGAGTTGTAAGAGTTCTTCATTAATTTTGGATTTATAGTCTGCAAACCTTATTGGTTATGTGGTTTGCAAATATTTTTTCCCGGGTTGTAGGATGCCTTTTTATTTTTATTTTTTTTAATTTTTTTTTTTCTTTGAGATGGAGCCTTGCTCTGTTGCCCAGGCTGGAGTGCGGTAGTGTGATCTTGGCTCACTGCAAACTCTGCCTCCCAGGTTCAAGTGATTCTCCTGCCTCAGCCTCCTGAGTAGCTGGGATTACAGGCATGCACCACCATGCCCGGCTAAATTTTTTTGTATTTTTTAGTAGAGACGGAGTTTCACCATGTTGGCCAGGCTGGTCTTGAACTGCTGACCTCAAGTGATCCACCTACCTCAGCGTCCCAAAGTGCTGGGATTACAGGCGTGAGCCACTGTGCCTGGCCTTTTTATTTTGCTGAGTGTTTCCTTTGATAACAGGAGCTTTTTCATTTTACACAGTCTCATTTATTTATTTTTGCTTTTGTAGCCTGATCTTTTGTTGTGATATCCAAAACATTATTGCCAAGGCTAATGTTGAGGAACCTTTCCCTTCCGTTTTCTTCTGGGAGTTGTGTGGTTTCTGGTCCTACACTTAGGCTATCCTTTTCCCATTGTATCCTCTTGGTGCCCTTGTCAAAAATTAGTTGACTGCAGCTGGGTGCAGTGGTTTACACCTATAATCCCAGCTCTTTGGAAGGCCGAGGTGGGCAGATCATCTGAGGTCATGGGTTTGAGACCAACCTGGCCAACATGGTGAAACCCCGTCTCTACTAAAAATACAAAAAATAGCCAGGAGTGGTGGTGGGCCCCTATAGTCCCAGCTACTTGGGAAGCTGAGGTGGGAGAATTGCCTGAACCCGGAAGGCGGAGGTTGCAGTTAGCCGAGATTGGGCCACTTCACTGCAGCCTGGGCGACAGAATGAGGTCTCCAAAAAAAAAAAAAAAAAAGAGTTGACTGCACGTGTCTTTAAAGTAAGTGGATAGACCCACTTTTAAAATTCCCTTTCTCTTTCTTCACCCCTAAAGTCTACAACATTGGGGGAAAAAGCTAGGTGGGAGGCCGAGTACAGCGGCTCACACCTGTAATCCCAGCACTTTGAGAGGCTGAGGTGGGCAGATCACTTGAGGTCAGGACTTTGAGACCAGCCTGACCAAGATGGTGAAACCCCGTCTCTACTAAAAATACAAAAATTAGCTGGGCGTGGTGGCACGCGCATGTAATCCCAGCTACTCGGGAGGCTGAGGCAGGAGAATCACTTGAATCCGGGAGGCGGAGGTTGCAGTGAGCCGACATGGTACTATTGCACTCCAGCCTGGGCAACAAGCGTGAAACTCTGTCTAAAAAAAAAAAAAAAAAAAGCAAGAAAGAAAAAGGCAAGTGGGTAAAAAAAAAAAGGCAAAACTTGAATATAAGGAAATATAATTCATCATCCACAAACACAACTCAACTTATCCTAGATGGTGTGACTTTTCCAGGCTAGTCACTACAACTATTGCATGACAAACAGCAATGCAAGAGGAATAATACCCCAGCTAAGACTATATCAGCTAATTAGTCAACACTATAATTAAAAAGTGGTGCTAGACATGATAAAACCCTAAAGAATTAGAATGCTCAAGGATCAGAATATCACAGGTAGTTTGTTTTTCTGGTTGATATAGAATCTGTAAATAACTCAGTTAATTTCAAAGCATATTCCTTCAGTGGAGATAATAGGAGTTAGTTACATGGGCACAGTCTAGGCCATCAAAGAGCTCACATTCTGGTCGGAAATCTGACATATTAACAGAACATGTTGAAAAGAATGAGGAAAAGGCAGAGACAGCTATGCAGGGGAATTTTAGGAGCAGTGAGGAGGGAGAGGTGAAAGGAGGTAAGGCTTTCTGGCAAGGTGCACCCAAGCTGAATCATAAGGATGAGGACTTTGCTAGATACAGGGAGAGGGGCTTGCCTAGGGCACCAAAGGGAAGAGACAGTCTCAGCTTAGTGCTTGGTGTGAAGAAGACACTCAGGAGAGAAAGACCTTGGGGGATTTGGGAAGCCGTGGGCGCTTGGAGCACCGAAGGAGTCAGCAGAGAGAAACTGGACAGCTTGGCCTGCACCTGCCCTGCTGAAGGGGGCTGGGGCTTATCATATGGAGCAGGGGAACCAAGGAAAAGTTGTCAGCATGAGAATTACATGAGATAAGAAAACCCTATAGTTCCCTTAATGAAACCCAATCTCCAAGATTGGCAAGGGATGGATAACATTTACACTATGGATGGATTGATCAAGCCTTGTACCCCTAATTGTAATCAACAAGGGAATCCTGAGGGGAACACAGATTTGGGGAGACAGGAGGTGTTGAGCTAGTGGTTACACATGCTCCTCTAAAGCGTCTGGGGTCAGTACACAGTGGAGTCACAAATTCGAGAAAGTGGAATGAGGGAAGTGAGTGGAGAAGTGAGCTCAGGATTACATTTTGTGTTCAACATTTACAAGGTGGAGTGAGAGAAATTCTACCAAGCACAGGGAAGGCAGAATCGGGGAAGGGCAGAGTCAGCCAGAGAGCGTTGTTGGGAGACCCAGGGGATCTGAGTTTCCTCTGTGCCAAAGGCAGAGTCCAGAAGGTGAAGAGGGTGGAGGCAGCTGGGCTGCAGGGAGTGGAGACAATGGAGAGCAGAAGAAATACGAGAGCGAAGGCATGCTGCCCTTTGGAGAATGGGGATTTAAAGGGAATGTAATAATTTGCTAAGGCTGCCATAATAAAGTACCCATGGAACAGGTCACTTAAACAGGAGAAATTAATTTTCTCACAGTTTTGGAGGCTGGAAGTTCGAGATCAAGGGGCTGGTTTCCCCTCAGGTCGCTCTCCTTGGCTTGCAGTCCACCACCCTTTCCCTGATTCTCCCCTCTGTGTGTGTGTCTGTGTTCTCATCTCCAGTTCTTATAAGGACATCAGTCGTAGTGGATTAGGGCCCATGAGAATGACCTCATTGTAATTTAATCACCTCTTTAAGAACGTTATCTCCAGAGTCACATTCTGAGGTACTGGAGGTTAGGAATTCTACATGTAAATTTTAGGAAAATGCAATTCAGCGAATAACAGGGGGAGAAGAGGAATTTTATGTTAGCTGGAGGGGACCATGAGGTTGGGAGGAGTTGCCCCACTTAGAATGGGAAAGACTTGAGGATGCTGCCAGACATCTCAGGTAAGGCACTGGCAGAAGGAGTTCGGAGAGAGGGAGTGGCTCACACAGCAAGGCCTCAGGGTAGCAGGGAGAGAATCAGACCAAGGACACACGTAGATGGGAATAGTGGGTGTAGAGAAGACACTAGGGTGGGGGCAGAAAGGTTTAGGGAATTGGTGGGGGAAGAGTATTAAGAGACACAGAACATTAAGACTATTTGTCTTTGTTTGTTTGTGTTGCTCCAACAAAATACCAAAGACTGGGTAATTTTTTTTTAAATTTTACTTTAAGTTCTGGGATACATGTGCTGAACGTGCAGGTTTGTTACATAGGTGAACATGTGCCAGGGTGGTTTGCCACACCTATCAACCTGTCATCTAGGTTTTAAGCCCCACATGCTTTAGGTATTTGTCCTAATGCTCAAGACTGGGTAATTTTTAAATAATACAAATTTACTTCTCATTACTCTAGTTGCGGAGAAATCCAAGATCAAGGTGCCAGCAGGTTGTGTGTCTGGTGAGGGCTGCTCTCTGCTTCCAAGATGAGGCCTGTTGCTGCATCCTCCAGAGGGGACAAACCCTGTGTCCTTGCATGGCAGTAGGGTCAGAAGGGCAAGAGGCGGTCCCTTCAACCTTGAGTCCTTTAATAAAGGCACTAACCTCATTCAGGACAGCCGAGCTCTCATGACTTAATCACCTCCTAATGCCCCACCGCTTATTGTTATTGCCTTGGGGATTCAGTTTCAACATATATTTTGGAGGAGACACTATCATCCAAATCACAGCAGTGTTCATGCCTGATTCCCTCCATTTTCATCTCATAGGAGGCAAGGTTGTTGAAGATGAGGGAATAGGGGTTGAGTTGAGAATGGATAAGATTCAGGAAATTAGAGTTAGAGAGGGAGGTAACCAAATACATTGCAAAGGACTAACGGGCAGCAGTGAAGGATCAGCCAAGTTTGGGGACCATTGGTTTATGGTGTCATCAAGTCACATGGCTAAGCACAATCTGGAAAATACGATGGGACTATAGCTGTACAGGCTAGTGGGGTTTATCTGCCATCATCTCTGTACCTGAAGGTGGACCTTGTTTTGCCATAGAAGCTGCCATTCTTAAGGTGGGCTCTGACCCTTCGTTTTGCAGTGAGTCTGTTTTCCGAGCAAGGCTCTGATTGAATGTCCAGTGTGCTTTAAGGTCCTGTCTCCTCTGTGTGTCTGTCACCCAGCAGCCAGTTGGCCACTGTTCTAGCTCTGATGGCTGGGGGAAACTGTGCTAGATTATACAGAGAGGCACTAAAATCTGAGCCCCTGAAAAATTGTTATGGATTTCTTATACTCATAAAAAAAGAAATTATTCACCAATCAGTGACACTTGTGAAAATCTGCCTGAATTAAAGTCAGCAAAAAAGGACATCAAATTAGTCCACACTACTGGGGAGGGAGGTTGGAGTGTGAAGATTTGCAGGAGAAATCATGTCCTTTTTTGGATACTGCCACCTTTTAGGTAAATGCCCAAGAACTAAAGAATGTAGATCAGTTATAGGAGTTAGAATTCCTACTGCATTCTCACGTTTACCTATATTATTCCATTAAGTAATCAGCAATGCTATGGAGATGATATTATGGCCATTAAAGGAAAAAGAGTCTGAGTCTGATCAACTTTCCCAAGATCAATAGCTGGTAATTGGTGAGCTGATTGTTCCTGACCCCACACCTACACTTTTTCCCACACACAGGTGTACCTCATTTTATTGGCATTGCTTTATTGCACTTTGAAGACACTGCTTTTTTTTTTTTTTAAACAAATTGAAGGTTTGTGGCAACCCTGAGTTGACCAAGTCTACCAGCACCATCTTTTCAAAAGCATATGCTCATTTTCTGTTTTTGTGTCAGACTTTGGTAATTCTCACAATATTTCAAGTGTTTTCATTATTATTCTATCTGCTATGGTGATTTGTGATCAGTGATCCTTGATGTTACTATTGTAATTGTTTTGGAGCTCCATGAACCGTGCCCATATAAGACTGTGAACTTAATCAATAAATGGTGTTTATGTTCTGACTGCTCCACCGACCTGCCATTCCCATCTCTCTCCCTCTCCTCAGGCCTTCCTATGCCTTGAGTCACAATAATATTCAAATTAGGCCAATTAATAACCCAATAATGGCCTCTATGTGTTCAAATGAAGAGTTACAATCTGTCACTTTTAATCAAAAGCAATAAATGATTAAGCTTAGTTAGGAAGGCATGTCAAAAGTCAAAATAAGCCAGAAGCTAGGCTTTTTGTGCCAGATAGCCAAGTTGTGAATACAAAGGAAAACTTCTTGAAGGAAATGAAAAGTGCTACCCAAGTGAACATACAAATGATAAGGAAGCGAAACAGCCTTTTTGTTGAT
This sequence comes from Homo sapiens, assembly GCF_000001405.40. Classification (NCBI taxonomy): domain Eukaryota; kingdom Metazoa; phylum Chordata; class Mammalia; order Primates; family Hominidae; genus Homo; species Homo sapiens. Next base: position 3,517,928 of record NC_000018.10, on the reverse strand, counting down.
ATGGATGAAGTTTGAGTGGTCTGGAGAGAAGAACAAACCAGGCACAACATTCCCTTAAGCCAAAGCTTAATCAGAGACACATTGTGACTCTCTTCTTTTTTTTTTTTTTCCGAGACAGAGTTTCTCTCTTGTTGCCCAGGCTGGAGTGCAATGGCACGATCTCGGCTCACTGCAACCTCTGCCTCCCGGGTTCAAGTGATTCTCCTGCCTCAGCCTCCTGAGTAGCTGGGATTACAGGCATGCGCCACCGTGCCTGACTAATTTTGTATTTTTAGTAGAGACTTGGTTTCACCATGTTGGTCAGGCTTGTCTCGACCTCCTGACCTCAGGTAACCCACCCGCCTCAGCCTCCCAAAGTGCTGGGATTACAGGCATGAGCCACCGCGCCCGGCCAACTCTCTTCAATTCTATGAAAGCTGAGAGAGGTGAGGAAGCTGAAGAAGAAAAGTTTGAAGCTAGCAATCGTTGGTTCATGGAGTTTAAAGAAAGAAACTGTCTCTGTAATATAATGCAAGGTGAATTCCTAGTGATGATGGAGAAGCTGCAGTAAGTTATCCAGAAGATCTAGCTAAGATCATTGATGAAGATGATTACACTAAACAACAGATTTTCAATGTAGACAAAACAGCCTTCTATTGGCAGGAGATGCCATGTAGGTCTTTCATAGCTTCAAAGGACAGGCTCACTCTCTTGTTAGGGGCTCAGGCACCTGGTGACTTGAAGTCGAAGCCAAAGCTCATTTACCATTCTGAAAAGCCTACGGCCCTTAAAAATTATGCTAAATTTGTGTGCTCTTATAAAGTGTGCTCTATAAGTAGAACAACAGAGCCTAGATGAGAGTATCTCTATTCACAGCATGGTTTACTGTACACTTTAAGCCTACTGTTGAGACCTATGGCTCAGAAAAAAAGATTTCTTCCAAAATATTGCTGCTCACTGACAATGCACCTAGTCAACCAAGAGCTCTGATAGAGATGTACATGGAGATGAAAGTTGTTTTCATGCCTGCAAACATGACATCTGATTTGGTTTGGCTGTGTCCCCATCCAAATCTCATCTTGAACTGTAGCCTCCATAATTCCCATATGTTGTGGGAGGGACCTGATGGGAGATGATTAAATCATGGGGGTGGTTCCCCTATACTGTTCTCATGGTAGTGAATAAGTCTTATGAGATCTGATGATTTTATAAGGCGTTTCCCCTTTCGCTTGTCTATCATCATTCTCTCTTGTCTACCACCATGTAAGACGTGCCTTTCATCTTCCACCATGACTGAAGCCTCCCCAGCCATGTGGAACTGTGAGTCCATTAAGCATCGCTGTTTTATGAATTACCTAGTCTCAGGTATGTCTTTATCAGTAGCGTGAAAACAGAGGAATACGACATCCATTCCACAGCCTACGGATCAAAGAGTCATTTGGACTTGCAAGTCTTCTTAGTTAAAAATACATTCCATAAGGCTATATCTGCCATAGATAGTGAGTCCTCTGATGGACCTGGGCAAAGTCCATTGAAAACCTTCTGGAGGATTATTTGTAATCCAAAGGATAAATGCTTGAGGGGATTGCTTGAGGGGATGGATACCCCATTCTCCATGATGTGCTTACTTCACAGTGCATGCCTGTATCAAAACATCTCCTGTACCCCATAAATTTATACACCGTGCACCCAAAAAAATTTGAAAAAATAATTTAAAAATTAAAAAAAAAAGAAAAACTTCTGGAAAGGAATCACCATTCTAGACGCCATTAAGAACATTTATGATTCATGGGAAAAGGTCAAAATATCAACATTAGCAGGAGTTTAGAGGTTGATTCCAACCTTCGTGGATGACTGAGGGGTTCAAGACTTCAGTGGAGGAAGAAACTGCAGATGTGGTAAAAAGTGCAAGAGAACTAGAATGCGAAGTGAAGCCTGTAAATGTGACTGAATTGCTATAATTTCATGATCAAACTTGAACAGAGGAGTAGTTACTTCTTATGGATGAGCCAAGAAAGTAGTTTCTTGAGATGGAATCTACTCTTGGTGAAGATGCTGCGAACACTGTTGAAATGACCACAAAGGCTTTAGAATATTACATCAACTTAGTTGATAATATAGTGGTAAGCTTCGAGAGGATTTTGACTCCCTTTTTTTTTTTTTTTTTTTTTTGAGACAGGGTCTCCTCTGTTGCCCAGATTGGAGTGCGGTGGCACAATCACGGCTCACTGCAGACTCAACTTCCCAGGCTCAGGTGATCCTCCCAACTCAGCCTCCTGAGTAGCTGGGACTTCAGGGATGTGCCACCAGGCCGACTAATTTTTCGTATTTTTAGTAGAGATGGGGTTTTGCCATGTTGCCTAGGCTGGTCTCGAACTCCTGGGCTCAAGCAATCCTCCTATCTTGGCCTCCCAAAGTGCTGGGATTACAGGCGTGAGCCACCACGCCCAGCCTTGACTCCAATTTTTTTTTTTTTTTTTTGAGATGGAATCTCGCTCTGTTGCCCAGGCTGGAGTGCAGTGGCATGATCTTGGCTCACTCAAGCTCCGCCTCCTGGGTTCAAGCCATTCTCCTGCCTCAGCCTCCTGAGTAGCTGGGTCTACAGTGCCCGCCACCACGCCTGGCTAATTTTTTCTATTTTTTAGCAGAGACGGGGTTTCACCGTGTTAGCCAGGATGGGCTCGATCTCCTGACCTCGTGATCCACCCACCTTGGCCTCCCAAAGTGCTGGGATTACAGGCGTGAGCCACCGCGCCCGGCCCCTTGACTCCAATTTTGAAAAAAGTTTTACTGTGGGTAAAATGCTGTCAAACAAATATTGCACGCAACAGAGAAACCTTTCATGAAAGGAAAAGTCAATTGATGTGGCAAACTTCATTGTTGTCTTATTTTTAAAATTGTCACAGCCAGCCGGGGCAGTGACTCATGCCTGTAATGTCAGCAGTTTGGGAGTCCAAGATGAGTGGATCGCTTGAGGCCAGAAGCTTGAGACCAGCCTGGGCAACATAGCGAGATCCTGTCTCTACAAAAAATACAAAGTGAAAAAAAAATTTATTTTAAAAAGAGACATTGCCACAGCCACCCCTACCTTTAGCAACTACCACCTTGATCACAGCAGCCATCCACATCGAGGCAAGACCCTCCCTCCGCAAGAAGATTATGACTTGCTGATGGCTCAGATTACCATTAGCATTTTTTAGCAATAAAGTATTAGGTACTTTTTTGTGACATTATGCTATGACACACTTAACAGACTACAGTATAGTGTAAACATAACTTTTATATGCACTGGGAAACAAAAAATTCATGTGACTCACTTTATTGTGATATTCATTTATTGTAGTGGTCTGGAACTAAACCCACAATATGTCTGAGGCATGCCTGTATTGCCCAGAGAGAAAGTTAGACTAAAATGAAACATACTAGGTGAATTATAGTGTAGGTGGCAGAAAAATGTGACGAGTTCTATGTAGCATATCTACCGTAGTAACCTTCACCACGGGGAGCCAGTCAGAGGTAATCCATTGCAGGGGTGTCTGTCGTATCCAGGCTTCAGGGAACCTACTTTGAGGGTATAAGAAATATGTCTATTCTTCTCTGTTTCTGAGGCCTTAAAGTAAGGTCTGATGATCGTGGAGTTAGGTGTAGCATCATGTAAGAATTAGAAGCAGTCAGAGAGGCAGGGCACAGTGGCTCATGCCTGTAATCCCAGCTACTCGGGAGGCTGAGGCAGGAGAATCACTTGAACTCGGGAGTTGGAGGTTGCAGTGAGCCGAGATCGTGCCACTGCACTCCAGCCTGGGTGACAGAGTGAGACTCTTGTCTCAAAAAAAAAAAAAAGAAGCAGTCAGAGAAATGAGCACGTCTGCCTTTTTAGTTCTAGAGACCTAACTCCTCTTGAAATAGGAAAGGATGCATATGCTAATTATGCTTAAGGATTTGTAATCCTGATTTTAACTCAGCAAAAAGATCACCAGCACACTGAAACTCCTTGCAGCTTTGCCATAGACCCACTGGGAGGGTTAAAGGAAAGTGTTTTTTCTCTTCATCCTTGTGCCTCTTATACTACCTCCTTTTCTCAAAATAACAACCTATCCCACAGAGGTCAGTGGGAAAGAGGAGGTATGCTCTCTTCTAAATGGCTGGGTCTTTGAATGTAGTCAGGAGATTTCAAATCATAGATTGCATAAAAGACTCCCCTTTCCCACAGCCAACATAGTTGTTCTCTGCTTCTCATTATGACACATAATCTGTAAAAGAAAAAAAGAGCTTGAAACACCCACCATCTCTTTCAAGGTGTCCCTGGTTCCTCTTTTCTGTTCAGGATTGAAATTGCCTTGCCTGCCAGTCACTTCAGGTAGATGGATGTGCTTTGCTCTTGCTTCCTAATGTGGGACAGTGATCAGGCTTGGCGAATTTCTTCCAACTCTCCCACTGACTTATTATGCCACTCACCCCTATCCATTGGCACTGGCTGGGAAATGTTGATAAAGAAATTACATGCAGCCTGGCATAGTGGTGCATGCCTGCAGTCCCAGCTGCTCAGAAGGCTGTGGCAAGGAGTTCAGGGCTATAGGACCCCATGTTCATGCCTATGAATAGCCACTGTCCTCCAGCCTGGACAACACAGTGAGACCTCATTCATAAATAAATAAACACATAAATAAACAGAAATCACACTCAGTGGATAAATGGAATGTGGTATAAACATACAATGAAATATTATTCAGCTTTGAAAAAGAAGGAAATTCTGCCATATGCAACAACATGGATGAGCCTGGAGGACTATATGCTAAGTGGAATAAGCCAGTCACTGGAGAACAAATGCTGCATGATTCTGCTTATATGATGTATCTTAAAATAGTCAAAACTCAGGAAACAGAGAGTGGAACGGTGGGTGCCATGATGTAGAGGGAGAGGGAAAGGGAAAGGGGAATTGCTGTCCAGTGGATCTAAAGTTATGCAAGGTGAATAAGTTCTCGAGATCTGCTGTACAACGCTGCGCCACCATTAACAAAACTATATTGTGCACTTAAATATTTGTTAAGAGGGTAGATTTCATGTTAAGTGTTCTTACCACAGTAAAGAAAAAAAAGAAGGAAATCACACTCGGATAGCTTCCACTTAAGTAGATTCAGACGCAATTTTCTGCGAGTGTTAGAGAGAAGAGAGCCCAAATAGACTGGGGTCAGAAGACGGGGATTGGCCACAGCAGATGTCCGTGGGGAAGAAACTTTGTAGTTTGAGTACAAGTTTTTTCAAATGAAGTTATCTGCTCTGCCTCACAGGGTCCTGCGAGGATCTAATTAGATGCCTGTTTGTGAGTTTTGAAATACTAAGTGATGATAATTTAAGTAAACACATGTTCACAAAGGCCTCCCAAAAGTTCCTCCTGACTTTATGTGATTCACTAACCCAGGCCTGTACTCTCTATTGTGGGTCTTCTTAAATATCTGTTGTGGGGTGAGAGGTTTGAAGAATTATAAGTGGGGGAGTTTATAAAGAGTGCTTACTTCTTAAATAGGAAGAATCCCATTCAACTGCATTTTCTGTTTTGTTTTGTACTTCCACTGAGGGACAGATTAACAGAGTAGCTGGGGAAAGAAAGGAAAGGGAGGAGTCTATAAGCCTCACCATCAGGTGCCTATACGGTGTCTGGGGAGGCTAGATTTACTTATGTAAAAAGAACTGCCCAGCAATACAAGGCTTATTATCTGATTAAGTATTACACAAATAGATGGTATGAGTCATGGTTAAACGGCTTGCCTGGCTGACACAGCAGAGAAAATTATTCTGTAAGATGCATTTGAATGTGCCCTAAGGGAGATGGGTGGCAAAAACTGTTAACCACATCTGGGTTGAACAATCTGTAAAAAAAAAAAAAGCATGACCAGAATGTGAAAGAGATCAACTCAACACCCATAGAGCTTTAAAACCCCCATTCTAACTTTCAGAGAAAATCTGCTGATGTTGACTATGGGTGCTACTGTGCTGGTGAGATTGCCCCAGTCTAACACTCAAAATGACCCTTAGCGATCACCTTTCCAGGACCAGAAAAGAGACCTTATGAATTCAGTGATGGGACTGAAATAGTCATTCTCTACTGCAATGGTTTCCTCTGGGGATGAAAAGGAATGGGATAGGAGTGGAGAACATATATTTTATCTGTAGGGCTTCATTTCATAGGAGTGAGAGAAAAGGGAAAAAGAAAACAAATTCAGCAGGATGCAGTGGCTCATACCTGTAATCCCAGCACTTTGGGAGGCTGAGGCAAGAGGATTGCTTCAGCCCAGGAGTTCAAGACCAGCCTGGGCCACATAGTGAGACCCAACATTGGTTTAACTCACAGATGCAAAACCCATGGAAACAGAGAGCCAACTGTTTTTTTTTTTTCCACCGTGAAGGTTGGTATTGAACATTTTAGAGTAGTTTCAAAACAACATCGAGATGCTTCTTTCTTCTTCATTTCATTTCTTTATCAACTTTCAGTCTTTTTATTTCCACTTTTTACTTCTACTGGTGTTTACCATTTATTGTTTATTAATTTCAACTTCCTCAAGGCATGTGCAACAAATGTGAAATTTACTTTTGGAAGAAAGAACTTACCTCACACACAGAGTGAGTGTCTAATGGAAAAAAAATAAAACAAAACAAAACAAAACAAAAAAAACCTCCATTACAGCTTCTTTCTTAAAATTAAAGTGAGTTTTTAGTTCTCCGGAAAAGAAAGTGTGGAGGACAAGGAAATATGAGTTGTCATCTGCTTCTCCCAAGCCTCCCTGTTTCATGATCTCATTCTAGGCCCAAGCAGTCATCTCCCCACCCTGGGCCTAGGAACGGTCATCTCCTGGACACAGGAATTGCAAGTATCCTGGAGCCAGTAGGGAATTTCCATGCAAGGAACATGACGGCAAAAGCCCGGGAAAGAGAAGGGCCACAACTCCACCCCAGATACTTTGCCAGGGCTCTTGCCAGGCCATGCTGAATGAAGAAAGATATCCCTTGTTTTACTTTTGAGAAGACATCTGACTTAGCCCCAACTTGTGTGGTTGCATGTTGCCCTAATAATGGCTTAGAACAGTGCTGTCTCCTCTTTTGAGAATCACTGTCTTACTCAGTTACTTTTATTATGGCAGTCTATTATATAGCTCAGGCATCAGACATAATTGAGAACCATCAGCTCAAAGTTTTTAGGTAAGTCAGAATAGCTGGAGTTTCTGCGATAGCTCCCAGGAGCTATGGAACCCAGCCATCAAAGTGGAGACCTAGGTACCCTGGTCATAACCTCCCAGGATTCATTCTGAGATTTGCCGATCTCACAGTCCTACCCTTCAGCAAGATAATTCAGAGGTTTCCATAAACCTCAGAGCTTACCTACAGCCACATGCTCACTTAGGAAGTGCCTGCTCCATATACCTTCTTGGAGCTGGAACAGGTCACCCAGAGAGCATACCTGTCCCAGGAGACCAAGATGTCCAGTCACCTTAGATCATCCAGACTTTGTTTTTTCCTTTTCTCTCCTAGCCAGGGCAAGTGTGGCTCTCACAGTGGGCACACCCATAGAAGAGGTAGAGGTTTCTGATCCTAGATAATAACAAATAATTATTAAGTACTTACTGTAAATCCAACACAGTCCTAAGCAATTCAAATACACTAACGCTTTTAACCTTCCCAACAACCCTCCAGATAGGTACCATTAGCCCCATTTTACGGATGGGAAAGTAGAGATAGTGACTTGTCCAGGCAGTAGCTATTGAGGACTCTGGCCCACTCAGGCCCTGTGTCTCCATAAGCTGTCCTTTCTGGGGATGTTAAGAAAAGGAGAGGAGGTCTTGCACAATTGATTTATTAGTTAAAGAGGAAAAGGATAACCATCCCAAGAGATTTTAAAAGCAGAGCAGAAAAATTGTTAAAAACTTAGGCCTAAGAAATTGCTGCTAGACAGCTGTCAAGGGAGACCCCCTCGAGATCACGGAGGGAGGGGGCAAATATCTGTCTGTGAGCTGTTTGGTGTGGCTGGTGACATATTAGAGGAAATATAAATGCACTGAGTGACTTGTGGGAACGCTGAAATACTTGAGTAACGCCTAGGTAGAATGTGCATCAGAAACCATTATCTAGCCTAGCAGTTTAAAACAAATAAAGGAGCAAATTGCTAGAAAACCCTGGGCCAGAATGGAGTTTCTTATTCTTCAGTTTCCGTCGCTCAGAATGTGTGGGGAATGAGGTTGAGAAAGGCTTATTCCACTCGGGTACCTGGCTCCGTAAATTCAGAACAACAGGATTGCTTAAATCCTGTACTATATCATCCCGTGAAGATTTCCAGAGAGGCAAGTGCTCTTGTGAGAAGTTCTCCTGCTCTAGTTTTTGATTCCTTCCCGACCATGAGAGCATGTTAAGAACACCCTGGTGGGTAGCAGGGCAGCTGCACCCAGTCCCAAAGGGTGCAGGCGAGCCCCAGGGACACTGCAGAGCTGGGCATTGCTCAGCGGAAAGCAGCTCCGCTCGGTCTGAGCACGCCTGCAGGCAGCTGAAAGGTGCCTTAGACTGCTGGGGAGACAAGAAGTAGCCTGCTTGCAGAGACGGAGATTTTCAGCACAGTGCCTAGGGAATTCACCCTATATTAACAAAATGATTGGGCTGCAGAGTGTAAAAGCTGGGACGGCCCTGGCGTTTTCTAGGCCACAGGCTGAACATGTTCGCTCCTTAGAAAATATTTTAATCAGCCACAGCTCTTTCCTGACGGTACCAGTGGCTGAGCTCCGGAAAAATAAGAAAGGATGTGGATGGGATATGGTGAGTGCCAAGAGATTCCCCCTCTAGTTTAGTACTGCTTTCCTTGTGTTTGGGCTTGTTTTAGAAAAACAAGCCAGCCGACCATGACGGCTGACTCCATCAATCCAGAGCTATACTGGTAAACACTTGAAATTCATCCTTGCGGTAAAGGAAGTTTAAAAAAAAAAAAAAGCAACAACTGTTTGCCTCTTCTCTTGGTAACATCCAGTTCTTGGTAACATCAGTGCTGGAAAACTCCATTGCTCCCAAGAAATATGCAGGAGGAGCATGTGTTTTTCCAAGTTGATTTTATTACTTTAACCCAGGAGCCTCTGTGACACAGACCAACAGGGTGACAACAGTGATTGGGCTGTCTGGGTGGGCATGAGTGTTCAGTGTGTGTGTGTGCCATTTTCCCTAATTATTACAGCATAACTTCCTCTTTGCTTTACCAGACTAAATCTCAACAATGAAGCATGATGTGTAAATTTCTCGTATGTTTGCTCTTTCCAGTTCTAGGAAAAATCCGAACCGCAGTGGGCAGTGCCCAACTTCTCATGGCCCAGAAATTCTACCAGTTCAGAGAACTGTGTGAAGAAAACCTGGTAGGTAACACTCTCCTTCTACAATTTCCCTGCTAGTGCCATGAGAAGAACATGTCACCAAGACTGGCCCAACTAAAGTAAAACTGATTTTGAACCAAGTCAAGGTCCATTGGAGTCTCTCACTTGGAACAGAGAATTTTCTGATGAATCTTATTTCCTGATTGTCTTAAAATTAAAATATTTATTTTTCACTTAAATAATCTTAGAAAAAATTCAGTCAAGTTAAAATTATTTCCTGCTTCTTTTGTAACTGAAAATTTTCCATTTTCCTGGCTTTCACATAGCTTTTCTGATTTTATTGTTCTTATCAAAATATGAAGCAGCTTGATATTTCAAAAATAATATTGCCCAAAAAAAATCATTTTGGATAGTGATTTTCTTTCTAAAATAGCAGTCAATGACTATTTCCTAATCTGAGTTCTCTGTTTTAATTCAAGAGCTAGAAGTCAAGGGCATCACAAAGTGTAGATTTGATCTTCTTGAAACAAATGAAGAATTCATCCTTCTTGGACATGCAAAAACAAAGCAAAACAGGCTGGGCGCAATGGCTCACGCCTGTAATCCCAGCACTTTGGGAGGCCAAGGCAGACGGATCACCTGAGGTCAGGAGTTCGAGACCAGCCTGGCCAAGATGGCAAAACCCTGTCTCTACTAAAGATACAAAAATTAGCTGGGCATGGTGGCAGGTGCCTATAATCCCAGCTACTCAGGAGGCTGAGGCAGGAGAATCACTTGAACCCAGGAGGCGGAGGTTGCAGCGAGCTGAGGTTCATTGCACTCTAGTTTGGGGGACAGAGTGAGACTTCATCTCCAAAAAAAAAAAAAAAAAAAAACCTTCAAGAATAGCTTTTATTGCTCAATTGTTGGTCAAGCTGGATCTAAAACAAAGAAAATGAAAAGCAATTTGTTTACCTTTTGGCAAGTGAAGACAATTATTAGCAATCTAAATTACTTAAAATATGATCTTAGAGGTTTTTTGTTTTTCTTTTATCCCCAACAATTGACAGGCATGATTTTTGAGGGTTTGTTTTTGTTTTTGTTTTTGTTTTGAGATGGAGTCTCGCTCTGTTGTCCAGGCTGGAGTGCAATGGCACGATCTCGGCTCGGCTCACTGCAACCTCTGCCTCCCAGGTTCAAGCGATTCTCCTGCCTCAGCCTCCGAGTAGCTGGGACTACAGGTGCATGCCACCATGCCCAGCTAATTTTTTGTTTTGTTTTGTTTTGTTTTGTTTTGTTTTGTTTTGTTTTAGTAGAGACGGGTTTTCATGGTGTTAGCCAGGATAGTCTCAAACTCCTGACCTCATGATCCTCCCATCTTGGCCTCCCAAAGTGCTGGTATTACAGGCACGCCATCGCACTTGGCCAGTTTTGGAGTTTTAACCACTTCTTGTTAACAAGGAGAAATACAGACTGAAAGAAATTTATGTAGACAGGGATCAACCGAGAGAAAATATAAAGTATGGAAAAGGTGGTAGTCTCCATCCCTCTTTTCTCTTTGTAATCTCTCCTTAGGGCTATTCGCACACCCTCCCACCCCCTGCCCCATACACACACGTTTATAATTTGTTTTCCCTCTCTCAGAAAAAATAAACTCACCCTTCTTCCAATTTTTCAGAAATTTATTCTGGCTTATGAGATCATTTATATTAGTAAATGTATTAATAAGTGAATTTAAACCAACGAGTATTCTATCAAGCTTCAGCTGTGGGCCAGGTACAGAACTCCTGTTAATTTGCAAACTTGCTAATGTGTCACAGATCTCAATTAACATGATTCTCTGTGCTTTAAATATAAGAAAGCTTATATAAAGCCGTGTTGCTCAAACATGTACATGAAGAATAGGTACATAAGGAAGTCCATGTGTACACGATACAGGGAAAACACAACATACCTTGTTAAAAGAAATATGTGATGAGCAAGTATATTATGAAGAAGAGTGTAAACATTGTACATATTTTAAAGATGAAATTGCAAACAAAAGTTTTGAAAAATTTGCAGATTTCTTTTTTTTTTTTTTGACATGGAGTTCCACTTTTTTTTTTTTTTTTTTTTTTTTGAGACGGAGTCTCACTCTTGTTGCCCAGGCTGGAGTGCAATGGCGCAATCTCGGCTCACTGCAACCTCCGCCTCCTGGGTTCAAGAGGTTCTCCTGCCTCACCCTCCCGAGTAGCTGGGATTACAGGCATGCGCCACCACAGCCGGCCAATTTTGTATTTTTAGTAGAGACAGGGTTTCTCCATGTTGGTCAGGCTGGTCTCGGACTCCTGACCTCAGGTGATCTGCCCGCCTCGGCCACCGAAAGTGTTGGGATTACAGGCGTGAGCCACCATGCCCGGCCGAGTTTCACTCTTGTTGCCCAGGCTGGAGGGCAGTGGCGTGATCTTGGCTTACTGCAATCTCCACCTCCTGGTTCAAGCTATTCTCCTGCCTCAGCCTCCCAAGTAGCTGGGTTTACAGGCACCCGCCACCACACCCAGCTAATTTTTTGTATTTTTAGTAGAGACGGGGTTTCACCATGTTGGCTAGGCTGATCTTGCACTCCTGACCTCAGGTGATCCACCCTCCTCGGCCTCCCAAAGTGTTGGGATTACAGGTGTGAGCCACCGCACCTGGCCCAAAAATTTGCAGATTTCTAGAAAATGTTAACCTCCTTAAAGCCAGCTTTTGATGTTTCCTAGTTCTTGATGGGCTCACATTCCTTGGCCACTAGAAGGGCATAGGTGGTAAAATGTGCTTCTCATATTTTAGGTAGACTGAGGCACAATGGGGGAAGACAGTCGCAATGCTGGTCAAACCAGGCCCCTCCAGAAAAAAGTCAAGAGCCTAACATGTGCCTGACACCCTGCTGAAAGCGTTTAGATTTCTGGGCTGGTTACATGCTCAAAAAGAACACATGGAGTTGATAGTGACTTTTTTTTTTTTTTTTTTTTTTAGAGGGAGTCTCACTCTGTTGCCCAGGCTGGGAGTGCAGTGGCGCAAACTCAGCTCATTGCAATCTCTGCCTCACGGGTTCAAGCAATTCTCCTGCCTCAGCCTCCCGAGTAGCTGGGACTATAGGCGCCCACCACGACACCCAGCTAATTTTTTATCTTTTTAGTAGAGACAGGGTTTCATCATATTGGCCAGGCTGGTCTCGAACTCCTGACCTTGTGATCCTCCCGCCTCGGCCTTCCAAAGTGCTGGGATTATAGGCATGAGCCAACTCGCCCGGCCCGATAGTGACATTTTAATGACAGTTTACAGATGAGGAAAATGGGCACGGAAAAGCTAAGAAACTTGTTCACAGCCCCATGGTAAAAGGCAGAGCCAAGATTCAAATCCCAGTCTATTCAACCACAATCCTTATACATCCTACCCAGGATTTGAGTTCACTACTCCTGCTCATGGAGCAGACTCAGCTCCATGCTCCTTTGCCCCAGGAGGCACAGTGGCCTGGTCCACAGCTGCATGAAAGTGGCACCATGATTGGTCAGAACCAGACCCAGCTTCCTTTCTTGAGTTCCTATTCTGAGGAGAAAAATCATAGCTCTATTTTGAAAACACTTACTCATTATCCTAACTAGACTCCCAGGCTTAGAATGAGTAGACAAAAGTTGGCCTCTTCCAACGTAACTAAACCAAGGACCCCAGCCTCCCTTGGCTCTCCCCACTCTCCCCTCCAGCACCCACCTCTGGTCTCCAAGGCAGCATGTCTTGGATTAAGGAGTGAGCTGCCACTGTTGTGCATGGTATGTCACATGACTCACTGATTTGGAGAATGGCTGAGGCTAAACGCTTTCTCTCTGTTTCTCTATCTATCTTCTTAATGATGTGGGAGCAAAGAGATTCTTTATGAGAAGGGAACGAGTTGCCCATTATACAGAGTTAAATACATTCAAGAAAACACTGGCGGGGCGAAGTGGCTTGTACCTGTAATCCCAGCACTTGGGAGGTCGAGGCAGGAGGATCTTGTGGCCAGGAGTTCAAGACCAGCCTGAGCAACAATGTGAGACCCCATCTCTACAAAAAAACACAAAAATTAGCCAGGCATGGTGGCACACACCTGTAATCCCAGTTACTCAGGAGGCTGAGGCAGGAGAGTCGCTTGAACCTGGGAGGCAGAGGTTGCAGTGAGCTGAGATTGTACCATTGCACTCCAGCGTGGGCGACAAGAGCGACGCTATGTCTCAAAAATAAATAAATAAACAGATATATCTATAAATTTATAGTTCCCAAAGTGCCTAATAATTCTAAAGTTCATTTAAAAAATAAGTTTTAAAGTTTGTAAGTGTCTGATTCAGTATTAAAATCTATTCTAACGATGTCTGAATTAATGAAAGGGTTTCTCTGTAGTATTCTGATTTAGTAAACTAAAAAAAACTTTATAAACTTTAAAATTTATTTCTTCTAATGAACTTTAGAACTTTTGGGCACTTTAGGAACTATAAATTTATAAATATATCTATCTATCTATCTGTTTATTTATTTATTTTTGAGACAGAATGTCGCTCTTGTCACCCAGGCTGGAGTGCAATGGCACAACCTTGGCTCACTGCAATCTCCGCCTCTCAGGTCCAAGCGATTCTCTTGCCTCAGCCTCCTGAGCAGCTGGGATTACAGGTGTGCACCATCGTGCCTGGATTATTTTTGTATTTTCAGTAGAGATGGGGTTTTGCCATGTTGGCCAGGCTGGTCTCGAACTCCTGACCTCAGGTGATCCACCCACTTCGGACTCCCAAAGTGCTGGGATTACAGGCATGAGCCACCACGCCCAGACTTCATTTATTTTTATTTTGAGGTAGGCCAATAATACTGGTGCACCCAAGGACTTAAAATGTCTTTCCAATCCATTATTTTGATGGTCTTCAACCTTGTACTTTCCAAAATTCTGATATCATTTTTATTAGGGGTTAGTTTTAAAAGCATACACTGGCCTCGTGTTATCATAGGACATGGAGTTTCACAGTCTGTCCAGTTGCCTGAAATACCAAGAGGTCACCAAAACAGATACCAGCTAGGATCTCTTGACATATGGAGGCTGCCACCCGTCTAATCATGAATGCCTTTAGCTACTGCTGCAGGTAGTAATTAACAAAGAGTATGATATTTTCAGTCTCCTAGCTGTGTTTTTCCTGTCTTAGGGCATATAAATTCAGGTTTATATGTTCTGGTATCAGGGATATGTGGATGGGGCAAAGAAAGTCAATCCTGAAACACTGAAGAATGTTTACTATCACTTAGCAAATGGGTCATTACAGACATATAGATGTAGAGATGTATGTAGAGATAATGTGTTCTCACATTTGCTATATTATTTTATGGTCAATTTAAAATGAATGAATTTTCAAATGATTTTGTCAAAGCAGTCATATGATAAAATTACTTCCTATGATAAAATTACTTCCTATATTAGTAAACATCTTAATTATTAAACACATAGTGCTTGGAACATCCAATATTTTATTACTAATCATTTGTGTTTTACTTAACATGAATATTTAAACTAATCTTATTTTAGATTCCTTATCTGTTCTCTGAATAAATTGTATGGCATGTAGTGGAATACAAACTCTAATAATAATACACTGTATTTTTTTTTTCAGAAATGTCATTTTCATTTGAATATGGTGTTTTAAAATACGTCCTGTAGTAGATCACACATTCTGGAATTTTTCATATGTTTAGACCCTTCCCCCATACCATATTGAATTGATAGATGTGGTATCACAACAGAAGAGTTTTACAACCTTGACATTTGAGAATCACTGACTCAAACGGATGAGTGTATAAAATTAACATTTGTAACCTCACTTTTACCTCGTGTCGGAAAACCAAAAGGAACTAGTCCTCCTTATGTTGTTTGAAATATTTGAAAATGCCTTTTTGGCCCTGTGCTTGTCAAGAATTGCTTCTAAAGCATGAATGTTTTTCTTTCTCTTGTGCAGAATCCTAATGCTCATCCAAGACCCACCTCCCAGGATTTGGCGGGGTTTTGGGACATGCTGCAGTTGTCCATAGAAAATATTAGTATGAAATTTGATGAACTTCATCAGTTAAAGGCCAATAATTGGAAACAGATGGATCCTCTTGACAAGAAGGTAGAACAATGTAGATTTTGTATGGTTCATTTAAAAACCTGCACAAACACTGGACAGTCTAAATAGGCTTCTGCATTCAGTCCTGCTGTTTACAATGTGAAATGGAGCTGATATCATATTAATTTCATTGTAATGACAATGTTTACATAGTAATCATTTGGGATATTATCTGTAATATGTTTCAGGCATATTTTTAAAGAAAAACCTGTCTTTGTGAATTGGAAAATGGGAATGTGGCTTTTTTTGTTAATTAAACTTTAAGTTAAACCATTTTAGTCACTGGAAGGAACTGCCTCCATTTTGCTTTTTAAACTAAAATAAATGACATCTTCAGTGCATGAATCCATAGAACAAGAGTTCAACTTCCTTACACCCCTAGGATGTGTTTTCAAGAAAAATAGGATGCCCTGAAAAATAACTGACTTTGATAATCATTTCATAAATATAGTAATAAAGAAATTACTGTTGTTCAAGTCTAAAAATATATACCATAAAGTTTCACAGTAATTACATAAATGTTGGGTTTTTTTTTTTTTTTTTTTTCAAAACAGTTTTGCTTTTGGTTGATTTGCCTTGGGGAATATTGCTCACTGGGGTCCTCATGCATCAGTTTAGAAATAAAGACTTAAATTCTTTTACTTTAATTAATCAACTCTAATTTTCACATTTGATTATGGTGTTCCACGAGGCTCACACGGGTATCCAATGTCCAGCTCCCCAGGCTGGCATGTCAAACGTGACTTTTTTAACCCTTTGCTTTCCTATGGCCTCAGGTCAAATAATTCCAAGAGAATCAACCTCTGAAAATTGGAATGGCTGTTCCCTTGAAATGCTGGTGGCCCTGTTCTTTTCAGGTCCCCTCACCTACCAGAAAGCTAACAGCAATCTAATCCATTCTGCTACCGCATATCATGTTTTCAGGGTTCTTGGGGTCAATGGTCTCCCAGGAAAAATCCAGTCCCAAGGGACCATCTGTAAGTGACAGGAGGGTGATGCTCTCATCACTGTCCCCCGTTTCCAATTCTGTCACCATCAAAATGGGGGTCGTAGTGTTAAGTTGGAAAGTACTGTTGATGTACATGTGGCCTCTCACTTGGGAAGCCAAACATTTGTACCCAATCTAGTTTTCTTTAATCTGTGTTTAAAACTATCTGCTAGATAAGCTTTAAATCAGTCTTATTTTAAGAAAACACTACAAATGCACACATACTGGTAATTTAGTTTCCAGAGCTGATGCATCTAATTTTTTTTTTTTTTTTTTAAATAATCATTGTTGGCTGGGCATGGTGGCTCATGTCTGTAATCCCAGCACTTTGGGAGGCTGAGGCGGGTGGATCACTTGAGTCCAGGAGTTCAAAACCAGCCTGGGCAACAATATGGTGAAACGCCGTCTCTACAAAAAGTACAAAAATTAGCTGGGCGTGGTGGTACACACTTGTAGTGCCAGCTACTTGGGAGGCTGAGGTGGGAGGATTGCTTGAACTCGGAGAGTTTGAGTCTGCAGTGAGCCGTGGTTGCGCCACTGCACTCCAGCCTGGGTGACAGAGCGAGAGCTTGTCTCAATAATAATAATAATAGTAATCATTGTTTAAAAAATCCAAATGTATAAGGAAAGGAAAATGACTAAAAAATATCCAATATTCATATTTCTAAAAATATCCACTGAGTTATTCCACAATGAAGATTTAAAATGTCTAAAAGAAGAGATGCTAAGAATTGATATATGTAACCTATTGATATTTACATAGTAAATCATTAGTTAGCTTGATTTTTACGGTTTTTAATGGACTTTGCCTGTGATCAGAGCTTTTCATCACCCCATGAACCTGAGGAGAAAAATGAACAAGCACAATCAGAGTTGGGAGAATATAGTTTGCACTCCAGGCTCTCCTTTTTTCTCTTTTAAGCCACACAGACTCCACCTTAGACAGCCGGTGGGGTAGCTCCAGGGTGAGAAGTTGAACTAGGCACTTGCTCTGGCAAGCAGGGAGGAATTGCTGTGCTGAGCATTGGTGTTAAGATACAAAGAGTACTCTTTGGAGAATCACCGAAACTATATTTTAAGATAATGTTCACGCTTCATTTTATGAGAATGGAGGGTATTTTATTTAAAATGAAAACATCAGTTTTATGTGCACCCTTTCACAGTCTACAACTTCAACCTTCTTTGCCTAAAAATCCTTTGTGGTCTAGACGCCATTCTTTCCTGCTGCATTTTTTTTAATGCCAAAGAGATGACTGTCTTTTGTTTTTGCAGTGGCATTGAAAATATCCGCCCATTTCATAGTTTGCTGCTGATAAGAGGAATGACCTCTTTCATCCTGTGTCAACTTTTCATGGCACAGTTTCTGCCCCTGTGATTGGAATTGCTTCCTGGGCCACCACAGTTATCCCGAGGCCCCTAGTCAGAGTCACCTTGGAACTGACTTAATTAACTCTCGAGTGTAGGAAATATCAATGGCCTCCCTCTCCCGTGACCCTGTATATTGTATATTGCTTGTGTGTTCGTGTGTGGTGTGCAAAAGGGTCTAACCTGGTGTAGCACCAACAAAGCTAAAGAACACAATCTGATATCTCTTCTTCCTCCTCTGTTTATTTAGGTTTGGTGGGAAGGGGACGGTGGGCGGGCCGGGGACAGAGCGGAGATGTTTTTAAGCTCTGAACCAAGCTTGCACCCGGTGACTTGCATCCTTAGAGGGGATGCAGGGGTTCTAAGATGCTGCTGCAGCCGCTGCTTCCTGGCCCATCTCTGGCACCAGGAGGAGTCTGGAGTCTCCAGAGAGAACCGCACTCAATGTGCTGGGAGCCGCAGGCTTTCCGCAGGGGGCCTTTAAAATACCCACTTCCTTCCCTTGGAGAGACCTAGTTCTGCAACCCAGCCTTACCCTGGGCCTTAAGCTTACCGGGATTTTTTTTTTTCTGCATCTTTTGAATGCCCAAGCCAGAATAATGAAGAAAAAAGTAGATATGCAGTGTGCAGATCAGAACTAACCACCCCTAGGTAAAAAACTGTGTGTTCTAACTACTGACCTATCCCAGTTTTTCCCAAGCTTGTCCTGAGAAGCTGTGTAATGTCCTGAACCTTCTGCTTTGATCAGGAGAGAAGGGCCCCTCCTCCAGTGCCAAAGAAGCCGGCGAAGGGCCCCGCGCCGCTGATCCGGGAGCGCTCGCTGGAGAGCTCGCAGCGCCAGGAGGCCCGCAAGCGCCTGATGGCCGCCAAGCGCGCCGCGTCCGTCCGCCAGAACTCGGCCACCGAGAGCGCCGAGAGCATCGAGATCTACATCCCCGAGGCGCAGACCCGGCTCTGAGCGCCCCGCAGCCCGGCCGCCGCCGCCAAGCATCTGTCCCCTCCTCCCCCGGCCGCTCCTCTGCCGGCTGCCTCTCCCCCTCCGAGCCCGTCCGCTCCCGAGCTCGGTGACTTCCACTGTCGCGGTGTAGTTGTCCACCTCGCAGGAGCCGCCCCCCGGGCCCCCCTCAGCCCCCCACTTCCCGTACCCGTTTGCCCATCTCCTTCTTCACCGAGCTTCGCCCCCTGTCCTGATGCCGTCGCCCTGCCTCATACTGAGATCCAACCCTTTATTTTCTGGGCAAAGCCAAACCCACCTGTGTAGAAGTGATGCCTTTAGGTCACCCGCCGTCCTCAGTTCTCTCGAGCTAGTCTGTTCAGCAATATAAAACCATAGGGTATTTCAGAAATCCAGTATCACAGGGTGATCCTTTGGGACTTACCGTCTTCCACGTGAAAGAAACTAGGCCTCCGATTCCCTTTATTTCCCCTAAATGGTTATTCTTTTAAAAAAGCAGATGGAGCACTTTATTCCCAACCTCAGAAATCACACCATCTCACTGGAATCCATGAGGGACACAGAGAGAGGGGACCAAGCCTGGCCTGGGGGTGGGGGACCTGGATGTGTAGCAAGGATGGGAGAAGCGAAATCTGCAGGTGCTGGGGGCACCTGCACACTCACAGCTGCACAAACTGCCTCACTGTTACTTCATCAATCACAGCTTCAAATGTCTCAATCAGCAGAAGATTGTAAATTCGATCTTTCAGGGAAATTAATCTATTCTGAAAGGCAATAACATGAAGCAAGGCAAAGGAGGCACTGATGGTTTAGTATACTACATAAGGGATTTTTTTGTTCTATTATTAAGAAAATCTAGACCTGAAATGTTTTCTCAACTCTTATTGTACTGTGTATATTTATATTGTTGTCGTGGCGGCTGTTTTTAAAGGGAAAGTGTTGGTTCTATTAATTTGTTAAGTGTCCATCCAGGTGGGCCTACCTGATTCCACATATATAAGTACATATCTGCTTATAAAGCGCTGTAAATGGCAGCAAGGCTGTTTTTGGAGAAGAGTTTGGGTTTTCCTACCATCCCTTTGAATGCTACACATCCGTCTATTTTAACCCAAGTAGTTCGTATTTCAGATATATTTTCTCCTTTCATCTCCTCTCACTACTGCAGAGTCCAGTAATACCTAGCATAGGATTCTGTCCTGTGTCAAATGGCTAAAATAAATTTTTGCCCCAATAGACATGCTGCCTCATTCAAAAGAGCTGCCGCTGTCATCTTGAGGTTCCAGGTAGTGAGAGAAGAAACTCGACCTGCCAGGGTCAACAGCCATGAAGAGGTGGGGGGAGTCATGATTCATAAACACTGAAAGAAGTCAAGGCTTTTGGCAGAGAGTGTTGATTTAGATTTTTAGTCTTGATTGATGGGCAGTATGCATCGGTGTCTAGCTGAAGTTGTCTTTAAATGCCCTTACTCGTCACAGTTTAAACACTTAGGATGTGGCAATCTTAAGTATCAATGGCATTTTATGTCCAGCTAACATCCTAAAGCATTAGAAATTAAAAACGAAAGACTTTTAAAAACATACATCAAACATGCTTGCACCAGAGAAGCTTTTTAAAATAATACACTCTCATAGCCAGGTGCTAATTTAATTTTACTTATGAAATTAAGAGAGGTGATGGGTTCTAGCAACAGATATTTTCACGGACATATTCTAAAACCACTAGAGAATTCGCTACCTCTCAGAGCCATCGATGCTTTGAGCTACCTTTATAAACAGGGCACAAATGTTTACTGCTGTGGTTTACAAGAAAAGGGCTACTCACTTATTTTGAAACCAACGAACCAACTTTTAACTAGGGTGAACAAAGCACTCAAAGTGCTTTGTGAAATTGGAGCATACAGAGATTTTGAGCTTCAAGTATTTGCTAGTTTTAAAAAGAATACACCTTTTCTTTACCTTGTAGCAGCAATTAAAAGTCACACAAAGCTTGCATCGAGTAGGGCCAACTGCCACTTGGGTAGCCTATGGTCACATTCAATACTGAGAATGACTTGGAACTCACAGATTAATATGAAAGAAGCAGCGTTCATCCCAAGACCCATGCTCACAATTACAGCTCCGTGCCCTGAGGTAGAGTTGAGATTTGGATTAAGAAATAGATTTCTAATACGACTCAAGATCATCCTACAATATTTTCTTTGGAAACTAATTTAGCCCATGATATTTTAAAGAGAGACAAGAGAAGGCCTATTTATCTTGTCTAAGTGAACGGCATTTGTATATTCATAAGCTATTTTTGGTAAGAATTTTAAATCTTTTAGCTCAAGGCCTACAGGGCATCATGATCTTTGCCTTCCTTGAAAATACAATTTAAATTGTACAAACACTTTATAAAAAGCTAATTATTGGTGTTAGAACATGACCCCACACAATGCTGCTTGACCCCTGAAACTGACATTCATGAGCATAACCTTTGTTACATTGTTCTTTTTGATGTAATTTGTAGAAATGTTTTTTAGTTCGTAATGGAAAATGTATGTACCCTGAAAAATTACTTATTTTGTTTAACTTTGGTATAAAGGTGTTGGGCATTTTCTTGGGGAGGGGGGGATTACAAAAGAAGTTTGTCTCCCACATCAAAAAACGTTCAAAGAAATTAAGTATTTATTATATTTTTTGCAGATGTTTCCATACAATTCACATAACCTTTTTGTAAAGAGAGATGAAGAAATGGATTAAAGATTTTTAATATTTGAAATGGTAAATAGAACTAATTTATTGTAATATATTTCTGTTATTTATAGATGTTTCCTTAATGTTTTACTGTGCATTACCACTTTCATTTAAGCCTTATCCTTGTGAATTTACCATTTCTTTTTTAAAACATGTCTAGATGCATATTTTAAATAACTGGAATGTAAATCACTAGCATATCTGAATTCCCAAATGTAATTTTTAAAAATTATTTTGGTTTGGAAAAAAAAGATTCATTTGAAAGCCTTCAGATGGAGGGGTGGGAACATTTTTATGGCTTTATGAATTGGAATTTCATAGGCTTATTTACCTAGATTGTGTGTGAACAAAAAAATATTGTAAATAGATGAATGTTTCCCATAATGTAAAAAGAAGAAATTAATAAAATAATTAATGCACTGCTTTCAGGTCTGTGTGTTTTTACTAGAGTCCCACTTCTTCCAAAATATGCTTTATTGTCTTTTGACGGGAATACTTCTGCAATTAAGAAGCGTATCATTCTAACTTTCACTGTACAGCACGTGTGCTATTCGTTGTTGATGACGTAGGGAGAACTTACATCCTGTTTAAAGGGGTTTCAATACCGAAGAACTAAAAAGTCCTTTTACTCTGATAATCCCACTCGTGAAGTTTCAGTTCAGAAGCTGAGAATAACTGTCTATCTTATGAAGGAGTGATGAGCCTTTCAAATGTGCAAATTCATGTCAGTTTTACCTACTTTGATTTCTTTGCATACATTTCATCCACTTTGTTTCCTACACAACTCTCAAGTGTAGGGAAAATCAGAAAAATGCTTTGTGGCTTCCATTCCATCCTTGCAATAATGAAAAACTGTGCCTCACTGAGGTTTAGTGACTTGCCCAATGTGCCACAATGATTAAAAGACAGATCTGAGTCCAGAACCCAAGGCTTTATTGAGCTCCTTTAGTGCCGTCTCTGTCATTCTTGCCACATTTAAAATTGGTAATTATTTGCCATTGTCAATTTTATCTGGTTTTCATTTAGGTCATATTTGTAAACCTTACTTTATATAAAAAAATACAAATTTGGCCAGGCGCAGTGGCTCACGCCTGTAATCCCAGCACTTTGGGAGGCCGAGGTGGGTGAATCACCTGAGGTCAAAAATTTGAGACCAGCCCGGCCAACATGGTGAAACCGCGCCTCCACTAAAAATACAAAAATTAGCCAGGCATGGTGGCACATGCCTGTAATCCCAGCTACTCGGGAGGCTGAGTGAGGCAGGAGAAACGCTTGAACCCAAGAGGTGGAGGCTGCAGTGAGCTGGGATCGCACCACTGTACTCCAACCTGGGTGACAGAACGAGACTCTGTCTCAAAAAAAAAAAATACAAATTGACCCCCAAAAAGGGTAAATTAGAATTTTTTATGATGTGGACTTGCACTTATTTGTTGCCTGAAAATGCCACAACTCTAAAATTTGTTTCCACAGTGCTTTGTCCTAATCCCCACCAACTTTTCACCGACATGCAACAACCTTGGAAATTAGTAAGCACAGGAGCCACTTTTTCTGATTTTTGTACATAAGCAAGACCTATGCCAGTCACCAGAATAACACACTGTACTTTTGAAACTGCTTTGAAAGAGGAATGATCAGGTGACTGAATCTCTGTGAGGTTACAAAGGCCTCATCGCTTTGGTTCGTGCACTGACTATTCATGTAGTCTGAACCGTGATTACACTTTTTGCCTTTTCACAAATTAGTTCATCTGTTTCATCGGGGCTCTTTAAACATTTTAGCTAATCCCATAACAAAATGAGTCAGCTTTTGCATGTAGAAATCTGAATTTCAGTGAAGCCATTTCCCATATCACAGAGTCTACTCTCCAAAAAAAAAAAAAGTGTAATTTAGGTTTTATATAGAAATTGAACAAAATTGTTTGTTCCGAAAATGACTTTTCTTTTTATATCTTTGAAATCCACCCCTTGAGAATATAAACTGATTTTGCTTTAAATAAATGACATCTTAAAAATCAAAGCGTCTGAATGTGTTCATTCTCGAATGCCATTGATACTAAAGGGTGCTGAAATTTACCTTGGGTTTGCTCAATAGGTTGTTTGACTTGCAGCTGCTAAGCCAAGATCGAATCAACTCATTTTGCAAACAAACTAGTGGCCCTGTCTGAAAACCCTCTCTCAGCTCTAATTCAATTACCAGCGCAAGTTTACTTACAGTGACTGTAAGTCACTCATCCTCTCCCATAAAGCATAGAGATGGGAAATAGCGTGCTACCCCCTAGTCGTATGCTGTCCTCTGGGTTTGCTGCTGGTCCAGGAAGGCGTCATCAGAAAATCACAGGAATGTGAAGCTCCAGTGTGATTCCTGATTCCTGTGTCTCGACTTAGACAGCCAAGGGATTATTCCAATAGGTCTTCTTTGTAAATGAGCACAGGCCTCAACTTAGAGAAAATGGCTGAGAGCAAGCAAACATTTTCATAAATGCCAGCTCAAGCTCTACCACGCAGCTGATTGAACTGTTGCTATTCATGGGGCAGAATATTTTCACTAGTGCTGATTATGATTGCCACGTTCCCTCTTCACACTTCTTGTCTGTCTTCTTGAAGAAGTAGGTGCTAATTTCATCTGGAAACTTGATCGATAAATTAGTGTTATTAGCAAGCTTCTTTTGAGATCTCAATGAAGAGGTTCTTCAGTTGAAAAACTCTTCCTTTCACTTTGGAAAAGGGGAAGTCGGAGCAAATAGAGCCTGCGTTTTCTCTTCTGTTACTGAGGGGGAAAATGCATTCTTCCTGTTGACTCTACAAGGAGATTATAAGCAACAATTTCAGATTTCTGTAGTCTTAAATCCAGATGCTTTTACTGCTTGTGAGGACCAATGCTCTACAAATAAAAACCATTCCAGCATAGCTACCCTTCAGAGATTTGCATATATAGTTGTCAGTTGATGAACACTTCCTTCTTTCTCTGAGCAATTTCAATTATGAAAAGTAAGCAGGAACATTTAAGGAGCTGGAAGATACAATAGTTGTCCCCATAAGGTATTGTCGAAGAAACATCTCCCCAGGTTTCAATAAAAATATTCTACTCTGTGTGTGTGTGTGTGTGTGTGTGTGTGTGTGTGTGTGTCTTAGGGAATAAACACTTGCTATATGAAAATGTGTACTGCTATATGTGACATTTTTTAAAAATACCAGATTTGTCACACCATTTCCTTTCTAGAATAAAATCTAATATGCTTTATAACCTCAGCCAATATGATGTTTGTCTGTAATTCCCAAGTGAGAGAAGAAGCAAATTTCACAGACAGAACTTGAGCAAAAGTGAAAAGGGGATAGTTTAAATCATTTACCCTTAGATTCCTTTCCTGTTTGGTTTAATTTAACATATTTCTTGAGAAGCCCCTCCTCCTCAACATGCTCCTGGAAAAAAGTCCTGCTTCCTTTACTGAGGAGGGGTTTAACTTTTCTCTTCTCTGCAGCCTGGCCGCTGGCCGGAGCAATACCTGGGAGGTCTTGGTGAGCCTGGCACTTCCAACATTGAGTTTGGCAAACATGAAAACAACTCAAGGGCTCCTGAACTTTTCCTCAACATTAGTCAAGCAAGGAAATGAGTCTGGAATGACTGAAGAGGGATCCTTTCCAAGGAGCTGGTGCCTGTGTGTCTAGTTTTGAGTTAATGCACCAGGGATACCTTGACCAGCAGGTTGTTCAAAATGAAATCCAGGGCATCTTGCAGAGAGAGTGAAAACTGATCAATAGTTTGGAACATTGGAACAGTGGAGAGGGGTTGGCACAGGAAAATGGGGATTTCCAAAATGAATTCAAGTGAGGGTTAATCACTTCGTCAATAATGGTGATGTGGGGAATGATTATTTAGATAATTCTGGGTAATTCTGCAGACAAAGAAAGAAAGAAAGGAAAACACTCTACCAGGGAGGACCTAAGATGTTTTGGCATCAGCCTATTCAAGGACCATCAGTGGCTAAACTCATCATGTTCTCAAGGGCACTTCATTTGAAGATAGAGTGAGGCCAATGACCAACTATTCTTCTAGCAAAGACAACACATTAGAATTGAGTTAAATATTCAACTGAGAGAATTTGGGTTAAATATTAAAGAAATGCTTACCTAAAAGAAAATACCAGGTCTCAACAGCCATGAGAAACTCAATATACCTCCTGAGATAAGTCCTTCTGACAGAACCATGTCACCGGGAGGAGCCTCATTAAGAGGGCAGGTCTTCCATGCCTATTAAGTATTTGTCTGTTGGATGGTAGATGCATAAAAGACAGGGTTCCCTACTCCATGATCCCTGTTGGCTTCAGCCCAAAGTAGTGATTCCCCAGTAACTCCAGAGTCACAAAGACAGGGGGGAAAGTCCTCACATACTCCACTAGACACACCCAGGTGTCATTTTGATTATCACATTCTGGCTTGGTGTCAGATGGGAAAGCATTTCCATGAGCTTATAAGTTGGTTACAAATATTTCCAGCATTTCTCTTGAAAGCTTGACCCACTCTCTCACCAGCCTTAACATTTTGCCCAGCAGGTTCAAGGCCATTCTGTAAGTGGGTAAGAGCCTAGATTTGAAGCCAGACCACCTGGTTTGATCCCAGCTCTACCCTTTACCAGCTGTGTATTTTTGGCAAGTTAGTTCATCTCTCTGTGCCTCATTTCCCCCATTTGTACAATTAGGATGAAAATAGTACCCATTTCATAGGGTTTTTATAAGAATTAAATGAATTAATCTATGTAAAACTGTTAAAACAACCCAGGTACATGGTCAGCACTAAATAAATGTTAAATGTCATTATTATTATTATTATTATTATTACTATACATTTGTGCCCTGGCTGGACTGTTTCATGTGTATTCTGTAGCTCAATCCTTATGGTAACCCTGTGCTATGAGGTGGTCACTGCAAGTGAATTACAGAGCTCTTAGGGAGGCTCCCAAGGTTCCTGGCAAGTGACAGAGCTAGTATTTGAATTCAGTCTGACACCAGATCTTTTGTTCATACATGTGTGATACATGCAAGACAAAGCCATTTATTTGTTGTGTTCTTTTTGCTGATAAAAAGTACACATGAAAGTTTTAAAGACAACAAAAGGGTAGACAATGACAGGAGAGCCACTTTACACTCTAGTTGTTTGCTGTGATACTGAACATATTTGAACAGCTTATTGTATGTACACCCTGTATGTTTATTGTATGTATATCCTTCTACATTTATCTATGAATATGCAAATATGTATATAATTTTTTCCCACAAAATGGTAGCATGCTATACACATTCCCTTTACTGTTTGCCTTTTCTATTTTGTAATGTATTCTTCCATTGCAGAAAACTGTGATCTACCTTTTCTCTTTGATGGCTTCATATGTTTCCATGTTATGAATGAGCCATAAAACATTATCTGGTCCATCTATTGATAGACATTTAGGCTGTTTCTGTTGCTTGCTATGATAAAAAAAAATCTGCAGTGAAAATCGTTTTACAATATATTTTCAGTACATGTGGAAGTGCATTTATAGGTTCTTTTCATAGACAAATAGATATGCATTTTTGTTTTTAAATATTATCAAATGGCTTTCCAAAACGGCTGCATTGATTTCCACTTCACCAAACATGGATAAGTTTTAGCACCTACCTTTGCAAACAATGAAACAAAGCATTCAGAAAGTGAATTCGAAGAGATGCTAAAAAAAAAAAAAAAAAAAAGAAAAAGAAAAAGAAAAGAAAAAAAAAAGCTGGGCACGGTGGTTGTAATCCCAGCACTTTGGGAGGCCGAGGTGGGCGGATCACGAGGTCAGGAGATCAAGACCATCCTGGCTAACACGGTGAAACCCCATCTCTATTAAAAATACCAAAAAAAAAAAAAAAATTGCCGGACGTGGTGGCAGGCGTCTGTAGTCCCAGCTACAGACTGAGGCTGAGGCAGGAGAATGGCATGAACCCGGGAGGCGGAGCTTGCAGTGAGCTGAGATCGTGCCACTGCACTCCAGCCTAGGTGACAGAGCGAGACTCTGTCTCAAGAAAAAAAAACCAGAAAAAAAAAATCAAGAATCTTCCAATCTTCCAGTTGGGTTTCAATGAGGCTTGGGGGGTGTATCTCTAGAAATGTGTAGGGAGGTGGTTTTCGTGCAATCTTTTCTATAATTCCCAGAATATAGAACTGAAGGAGGATGTAAGCATAGTCTTCGCCCTATGTGAATGCATCTGGGAATTGGGTCTATTTGCGCACACCTCAGATGCTAGCATAAGAACCCTCTACTGAACAAGGCAGGTGCTCAACATGCGGGACCAGTCAGGAAGCAGACAGAGCAGAAGCACTTGAGTGGTGAGGTTTATGCCACAGGACACCAACTCTTAGGCTTGGCAGTCCGTCTTTCTTTCCTCTTCTTCTTCTTCTTCTTCTTCTTCTTCTTCTTCTTCTTCTTCTTCTTCTTCTTCTTCTTCTTCTTCTTCTTTCTTCTTTCTTCTTCTTCTTCGCAGTCCTTCTTTCTTTCTTCTTCACAGTCCTTTCTTTCTTCTTCTTCTTCAATTCTATTTCTAAAAAGACTTTAAAATGCTTTACAGAATTAAAGCATAAAACACACAGCCACAAAACAGAACAAAACACGTCCTTTTCAGGAACATGGGTGCAGCTGGTGGCCATTGTCCTAAGAGAATTAACACAGAAATAGAAAACCAAATGCTGCATGTTTTCACTTATAAGTGGGAGCTAAATGTTGAGTACATATGAACACAAAGATGGTGACAATAGACAATGGGATTTCAAAAGGAGGAAGTGGGGAATGGGGCAAGGGTTGAAAAACTACCTGTCAGATACCGTGTTCACTACTTGAGTGATGGCATCATTAGAAACCCAAACCTCAGCACCATGCACTATAACCACGTAACAAATCTGCCATGTACCCCTAAAATCTAAAATTTAAAAATAATAATAAGAAATAAGAAATAGGGCCGGGTGCGGTGGCTCACGCCTGTAATCCCGGCACTTTGGGAGGCCGAGGTGGGCGGATCACGAGGTCAGGATTTCAAGAGACGGCCAACATAGTGAAACCCCGTCTCTCCTAAAAATACAAAAAATTAGCCAGGCATAGTGGAGGGTGCCTGTAATCCTAGCTACTCAGGAGGCTGAGGCAGGAGAATCACTTGAACCCAGGAGGTGGAGGTTGCAGTGAGCCGAGATCATGCCACTGCACTCCAGCCTGGGTGACAGTGTGAGATTCTGTCAAAAAAAAAAAAAAAAAAAGAAAGAAAGAAAAAGAAGAAAGAAAAGAAAGAAAGAAAGAAAAAGGAAAGAAAGAAAAGAAAGAAAAAGGAAAAAAGAAAAGAAAGAAAGAAAGAAAGAAAAAGAAAGAAAGGAAGGAAGGAAGGAAGGAAGAAAGAAAGAAGAAAGAAAGAAAGAAAGAAAGAAAGAAAGAAAGAAAGAAAGAAAGAAAGAAAGAAAGAAAGAAAGAGAGAGAGAGGCCGGGCACGGTGACTCACCCCTGTAATCCCAGCAACTTGGGAGGCCAAGTGGGGTGGATCACCTGAGGTCAGGAATTTAAGACCAGCCTGACCAATATGGTGAAACCCCGTCTCTATTAAAAATATAAAAAAACTAGCCAGGCATGGTAGTGGACGCCTGTAATCCCAGTTACTCGGAAGCCTGGGCAGAATTGCTTGAACCCAGGAGGCGGAGGTTGCAGTGAGTCGCGACTGAGCCATTGCACTCCAGCCTGGGCAACAAGAGTGACATTCCATCTCAAAAAAAAAAAAGTAATAAGAAATAAATAAAGCATATGGCCAGGTGCGGTGGCTCACGCCTGTAATCTCAGCACTTTGGGAGGCCGAGGCGGGTGGATCACGAGGTCAGGAATTCGAGAACAGCCTGGCCAACATGGTAAAACTTCATCTCTACTAAAAATACAAAAATTAGCCGGCGTGGTGGCGGGCACCTGTAATCCCAGCTACTTGGGAGGCTGAGGCAGAAGAATAGTTTGAACTCGGGAGGTGGAAGTTGCAGTGAGCTGAGATTGTGCCATTGCACTCCAGCCTGGGTGACAGAGTGAGACTCCGAATCAAAAAAAAAAAGCATAAAAAAACCGAACAACTTTTTAAATGAAAACAAACAGACAAACAAACAAAAAGCACTGAAAGACAGTAAAAGAAATTGGTAAATAACATCTTCAAACTCCCAGGTCCCCAGGGTCCCTGAGTTGTGGCCAATGAAAATGAAATGTCTCTCTAGGCTTCCTGGTAGCCAGGGCAAAGTGGACAGCATTTTAAAAAGTTAGTCTCTGGAGTACAGGCCGTTATTCTAAGTAAAGTAACTCGTATGTTCTCACTTAAATTGGGAGCGAAGCTATGGGTACACAAAGGCATCCAGCTTGGTATAATAGACACAGGAAACACAGAAGGGAGAAATAAAAAAACTATATATCAGGTGTAGTGTACCTATTTGGGTGGCTGGTGCACTAAAACCTCAGACTTCATCACTACGTAATTCATCCATGTAGCCAAAAACAACCTGTACCCCTAAAGCTATCGAAATAAATAAACAGAAAGAAAAAAAAGGTACTTGAAGTGCATTTAGCCCCCAAAATTTTAACCTGATAGAAATGAAACAAGTAAAGAAAATGACCATGCAAAGTCCTCTTCTTTCAACTCTAGAATAAAAACTGAGCAGAAAAATAGATTGTGGCAACTCCTGCCACCTAAATTTTCTGAACATAGAATCAGTTTCACAGTTAATTAACATTCTACAATAATATCGTAGTTAATGGCCATCAATTTATTAACATTTTATAATTATATTAATTATGGGATATAATTATAAATAATATAATTAATATTCTGTAACTAATTAATATTCAAACAGGAAACAGGAAAATATTTCCAAAAGCCTATTATGAATACTTAGAAAATCTCATAGCAGGCAATTGGAAATGCTGTATTTTTTTAATCTTTATAAGAAGAAAAAGATACGTTCACAACTTCTCAGATTTCATTCTATAATTCCTAGCTACGCTAGAAAACAAAGATGATTGACTGATTTTCCTAAAAGCCTTTTATTAGGTAGTGGGCATTATGCATACATTATTACCTTATTTAATAAAATGTCTGTTGTTCTGTTAGAAATTTTCTACTTGTTATGATGTTATGATGTTGATATATGCCATTTGGAAATGTGAATTTATTTTTCTCCAAGAAATAAAAAGACATTTTCATGTTTGGAAATTTTTAAGAAAAGAGTCTCATTCACTTTGCAGACACCAAAACTTTCAACACCTCTTCTCTTTCAGAAAGCTACCAAATGATTTTGCATACATTGCAAACCTAATGTGTGAGCTCACAGGAGCACAACTTGCTAATCACAACACTGATAAATGACCACATAGAATGAAGTACAGCCATGGCATCTTTAAAATCAACTCTCTTTTATTTAACTGGTTTAAGTGACTTTTAGTTCTTAGCAAGCAAGTGGTCCCAGAATATGGTGGGGTTAGTTCTGACATCCTTGTTAAGTTCAACATCCTTTGGGGTTCAATCCAAGAATGTGTCCTTCTCTCTAGGAAGTAAGCAATATTTCAGTCAGTATTTTTTTTTCTTTTCTTTTCTTCTAAAGCAGACCTGACAGATGAGATGTCCTGGTTTTCCTGTTCAGACAAGGCCCATATCAGAGCCCGTGACTTTCGAGACCTGCTCGTCTGTGAGCAGGAACTCTTCATTTCCCAGATGTATCCCTTTGTCACGCTTGAGGGTGCCACCCTTTCCGCCCTGCAGCCTCAGCCACTCCTCACTGGGCAAAAGACTTATCACTGGTGTCTGTGCTGTGACCCTGGACAGTAGTTTCAGCTGCGTTTAAGCCAACAGCTCTGTGCCTTTTAACACACATTAGGACGACTCTTCCTCAGTGTGAAAGAGCTCACAGAGGACTTCACACAGAAGCTGCCATTTTCTAAGGTCTGTTTAATATCTCTGGCCCAGACCTGGAAAGACTATGCTTTGGCACTGAATTTATTCGGCAATTTCTTTTCTTTCTTTCTTTTTTTTTTTTTTTTAAGATGGATTTTTTGCTCTTGTCACCCAAGCTGGAGTGCAATGGTATGATCTTGGCTCACTACAACCTCCACCTCCTGGGTTCAAGCAATTCTCCTGACTCAGCCTGCCAAGTAACTGGGATTACAGGTGCGCGCCACCATGCGCAGCTAATTTTTGTGTTTTTAGTAGACACGGGGTTTCACCATGTCAGTCAGGCTGGTGTGGAGCTCCTGACCTCAGGTGATCCACCCGCCTTGGCCTCCCAAAGTGCTGGGATTACAGGCGTAAGCCACTGTGCCTGGCCGATTTCTTTATTAAATATAAAACAATGGACTAAGCTGTCCCACCCCCTCGTAGCCACATTCTACTGCTTGAAAGGTGAGAAAGAGGGAAAAGGTTGCACACTGCAAATGCAATAGAAGCAAACCCAACAAAAACTGGAAAGTGGCCAAAGCATTCTACCTCTTACAAAATACACTCATGGACACACAAAGTGATGAATTGGAGTGGAGATAGGCAAAGATTTATGGAAGAAGTGGAGTTTGACTTGCAGGCTTTTGACAGCCTTCAGAGCAATGATTCTCAAACATCTGTGTTCCTAAGAATCGCTTGGGGCCCCCAAGCAGATCCTAACTTTGTAAGTCTATTCTGACAATCTGCCTGGATTTCTCACAATTCACCCAGTTGAGGCTAATGCCAGAGTTCATGGGCCAGCCTCCAAGACTCTGCTGTCCAGCAGTGCTTTTCAACCTGGGAAGCTTTGAGAAACCTGCACAGCAAACCAATTATATTAGACAAATGCACCTATGTTTTGCATGTTTTTGTGCCGCTGAGGTTGAGAATCCCTACTGCAGAGGTATTTGAAGCAAAAGAAGTAGGCTGAGCCAAGGCCGTGAGGAAGGTGGGAGCAGTGAGTGTTTGAAAACTCAGTCACAGGGAAGTATCATGGCTAGAATGACCCACTCATCACGGGAGTTGTATTTTAACTCATATTACAGGGCAAAGACAAGTAAGAACTAGTGGACTGTGTACCAGAAAAAAAAAAAATCTATCCTCACCTAAAGCATTACTAGGAAATGTATGACCCACTTACTAGTGGGACACAAACAATTTCTTGATTTGTATCTAAGGGGCATTTGTCTGGGGCATAAATGAGTATATCAGTCCGGTGTGAGGTTTCCCGTTGAGGTTAAACTTCTTGGTCAGCCTGGCTCTTTGGCAGTCATTCTGAGAATTAGAATGCAGCAGGCAGAAAGCTCAACAATGTACAGCACATTCTGATATAGTGACTAGCTTTTATCGGCTTATTTTCCAAAATATACTTTGCAATAATATGTGAATCAATTACTACGAAATGAGACTTTTCTGCATAGATACCTAGCACAGAGAATCAGCATCTTATAAGGAATGACCTAAAATGACAGTTTTCTTTTTTTTTAGAGACAAGTTCTCACTATGTTGCCCAGGCTGGTCTCAAAGTCCTGGCCTCAAGTGATCCTCCTGCCTCAGCCTCCAGGGTGGCTAGGATTACAGGAACAGCCACTGTACCCCGCGACAATTTTCTTATCTACCACTTTCCTGCTTTTATATAACCCCAGAATGGAGACTAATTGGTCACTTGTAGTCCATTTTTAACATAGTAACTAGTACTATTAATTCTCAGTTAGGAGCCCGGTGCAGTTGCTCACACCTGTAATCCCAGCACTTTGGGAGGCCAAGGTGGTCGGATCTCTTGAGGTCAGGAGTTCAAGACTAGCCTGATCAACATGGTGAAACCTTGTCTCTACTAAAAATACAGAAAATTAGCCAGGCGTGGTGGTGCATGCCTGTAATCCCAGCTATTCAGGAGGCTGAGGCAGGAGAATCACTTGAACCCAGGAGGCAGAGGTGGAGGTTGTGGTGAGTCGAGATCGCACTGTTGCACCCCAGCCTGGGCAACAGAGTAAGACTCTGTTAAAAAAAAAAAAAAAAAAAAGCCGGGCACAGTGGCTCATGCCTGTAATCCTAGTACTTTGGGAGGCCAAAGCAGGTGGATCACTTGAGGTCAGAAGTTCAAGACCAGCCTGGCCAACATGGCGAAACCCCTCCTCTACTAAAAATACAAAAATTTGCCAGGCGTGGTGGCACGTACCTGTAATTCCAGCTACTTGGGAGGCTGAGGCAGGAAAATCTCTTGAACCCAAGAGGCGGAGGTTGCAGTGAGCCAAGATTGCGCCACTGCACTCCAGCCTGGGAGACAGAGTGAGATTCTGTCTTAAAAAAAAAAAAATTCTCAGTTATGGTCTTAAAGTCTGAGAGGCCAATTCCTATACAAGAAAAAGATAGTGATAGTCTGTGTCATGAAAAGATCCTCAGGCACACTGGCCCGTGGACAGACACCTTGCTGCAATCAACCTTTACAGCAATGAATTTCCTCTACAACCAAGCTCAAGATTTCTCTCTAGATACTTGATACAAGAATGAGATTTGAACAATAAGGAAGGAAACTGCAGATCCTGAATTTTCCAAGACAATTTAGATGTTAATCAATTTTGTCTATAGGTATCGATATTGGTACACATACAACCCAGAAAAAAAAAAAAGTCCTTTGTCAGACCAAGCGTCCTGGTTTTTAGTTCAGAAGCATCGTGTTCTTCCTTCCCTCAAATCACTGCTGCTTCCTCTTCTCTCACCTGGAAATCTATGTGGATTTTCCTACAGATTATAATTTGCTGATCTAACTAGTCTCCAGATTCATCTCTCCTGCTCCTCCCTGCTTTAAAATAGCTCATAGGACTGCTAATCGTATTTATGTATGTATATGTAGACTTAGGCGTGCATAAATATCAGAGATTACATAGGCTTTCTGTGGCCCAAGAGGTGAAATTATTTTGAGCTACCCACTCCATCTTCCCTTCTCTCCCCACACCAGTTCTCTATCTGTGGAAGCCCAAAGTGATTGCATAGGATTTCTATTAATTCTCCAGCAGAGACTTAAAGCCTGGGGTCTTGTTAGCCTTTGGGTTCCTGCTTCCAGATATGATGCTTCTATTCTGTATCATGTTGATTTGGACCTAAACCCAGTCCCTCCTTCCATGTACACACGCACACACTCACACTCACACATGCACGGAGTCCAAATGACTCCATACATTCAGGATGTGGGGTACAAGGAGAAGAGTAGATGTCAAAAGCACCCAAAAGCAGTCTGCATAAAATGGTTCTTAAACTGGCCGGGCACAGTGACTCACGCCTTTAATCCTAGCACTTTGGGAGACCAAGGCAGGTGGATCACCTGAGGTTGGCAGTCAAAGACCAAACTAGCCAACATGGCAAAACCCCGTCTCTACTAAAAATACAAAAATTAGCCAGGCATGGTAGTGGGCACCTGTAATCCCAGCTATTTGGGAGGCTGAGGAAAGGAGAATTGCTTGAACCTGGGAGGCAGAGGTTGCAGTGAGCAGAGATCGCACTACTGTACTCCAGCCTGGGCGACAAAGCGAGACTCTGTCTCAAAAAAAAAAAAAAAAAAAAAAAAGAATAAGTAAATAGATAAGAAAGAAACTAACTTTACACATTACAATTCTCTCTCTCCATGTGTATATATATGTGTATACATACATCTATACACATATATATGTATAGATATGTATGGTGGTGGGAGGAAAGGAGACATTAACTGCAGAAGATGAGGTGACACTTTGGCAAAACTGAAAATTCGGAGTAGAAGATGTCAATAAGAATGTAAGCTCCTGGATCCCTCCCCTAAAATTCTCAGCAATATTGGTGGTTGGAGGGAAGTACTAAATTCTCCCCATCCGGTAAGATGAGGGCTACAGTACATTTAGACAATTTTTTAAAGAAAGGGTGGTTGAACCAGAGGCTGAAAAACTGGAAATTTGAAACCTCAAATTCCAAAAATACACAAAAAGGAAGACACAACCACAGCGACCCAGAGCTGATGCAATGAGAATTCATGGGATAATAGAAATATCAGAAGCCAGAAAGCCAACTTTTCCGTATCTGAAATGTTACTACATGCTCTCTGGAGCAATTTGCCTCAAGTTGAATTTGGGTGAGAGGTTTATAATCCAGGAAAATCCTACATGTAGTTATATTGCCAATACTTTAGAAATTTTAAAGCACCCCTACATGTTTATCTTATTTGATTCTCCCAACATCTTCCTAAGTACCCCTCACACTGCACATAGCCACTGAGCCATGCCGCCCTAGTTCGGGAGCTGGGGCTTTGCTTCCTCCACCACTGAGCCGCTAGTGTCAGTTATCCTGCCCCGTTTTGGGTGTCCATGTGGGGAAAGTCTGGGGCTTTATCTATAGAATGAACCATGGGCAGTAGGCAGGCAGCTGGAGGAACAGCTGCCTTGACTCAAATAGCACAGAAGGCGATACTCTCTAAAACAGAGCTTGCCACCAGGGGTGCTGTAGGGGAGAAAATATTCTTTTCCTTACCCATTGCTAGGTCCATGGCTGAGGCACCTATAGCAAAAGACAGATTAACAAGAGCATACCAATTTATTTAAATTTCATGTAACACAAGAGCCTTTGGAAACCAAGGCTCAAAGAAACAGGGAAACGTGTTTTTATGTTAAACTTGATGAAGAGGGGACAGTGGAGGAGAAGTGTGATGAGACAAAGGGAGTGTGATGTAATAGTAATAAACTAGAGGGAACTTAGCAAGGCCAGTTTACTCAGATTCTTCTCTGTGTTCCTGGGTGTTCATTGATAAGGACTGTTCAGCCCAGCGTGGTGGCTCACGTCTATAATCCCAGCACTTTGGGAGGCCCAGGTGAGCGGATCCCTGGAGCCTAGGAGTTCGAGATCAGCCTGGGCAACACAGGGAGACCACTGTCTCTACAAAAAAATGTAAAAATTAGCCTGCAGTCTCAGCTACCTGGGAGGCTGAGAGGTGGGAGGATCGCTTGAGCCCAGCAGGTCAAGGCTGCAGTGATTGTGCCACTGCGCTCCAGCCTGGGCGACAAGAGTGAGACAGCGAGGACTTACCTCAAAAAAAAAGAAAAAGAATGCTCCTTTTCTCTGGGTATACAAAGGGCACCTCTCACATGAGGATCTTATGATCCACTCCAGAGGCAGGTCAGAGAATTCTTTTATGGCCTTCTTCAGGGGACAATGGCAGAGAAGATTAGAGAGTGAACTTCTTGCTTCTTCAGTTCTCTCAAATATAAGGTGTCATATTTTGGGGTAGTGAAGTCCCAAGCTCCCAAACTGCACACAGCACCTAGCATGGGCTTGGTTTGGAAGACTTTCATTTGCCTGACTCTTTTGCTGTCTCCCTTTGTATCAGCACCTCTCATCACCAGCCCCGACTATCTCCAAGGCCAGGATGCCCCATCTTTCTCTTCCTCACCCCTGCAGCACTGGTCATCTTTTGTGGTGACCTTGGCCTCATCACCCTCATCCCCTCACCTCACTTCCCTGCTGGGGTGAGTCTGCCAACTCCTCACTTCTCTTTTCATCCTATATTTACAGCATAAACCCTATGGCTTGCTGCTCCATTCCCTCTTTTGATTTCAAAAGTATACTTTGAGGCCAGGTGCAATGGCTCACATCTGTATTCCAAGGACTTTGGGAGGCTGAGGCAGGAGGATCGCTTGAGGTCAGGAGTTTGAGACCTGCCTGGGCAACATGGTGAGACCTCATCTCTATAAAAAACAAAAAAATTCACCAAACATGGTGGTACATACCTGTAGTTCCAGCTACTTAGGAGGCTGGGGCAGGAGGATCCCTTGAGCCAAAGAGTTTGAGGCTGCAGGGAATTATGACCTTCCTGTTGTGCTCCAGCCTGGGCAAGAGCAAGACCTTGTCTCTCAAAAAAAAAAAAAAAAAACCCTACTTTGAAAGCAAAACCAATGAGCAAGATGTATGTCTCTTTCCCTGCCCTTTTGCCATACACTCCTTGTGATCCTCAAGGCCTGTGAGCATCTCTGTCTGAACCTGGAAGAGGATGTACAAAGAGGTGAGGAGGAGGAAAGCACACAGCATCACGGTCTTTCTCCATACAGGTGAGATTTATTACCTGCATTTGCATATGAAGACATTGGGGTGAAGATCTGTAAGTGACTTATGCAAGTTCAGTCAGGCCAGCAGCAGCAGCACCGCTGGAAACAGAACTTCTGACCCATGCAGGCAGGCAGGGAGGGAGGTTTTACTGTATTGGGTGGCTGCTCAGAAGCCCACAGGGATTGGCTAACATATTCTAGACGTATAACCCTAACTTTATCGTCAACTTTATGACATGTCAATAAGATTAAAGCAGCAGGCAGGCTGGGTGCAGTGGCTCATGCCTGTAACCCCAGCACTTTGGGAGGCCAAGGCGGGAGGGTTACTTGAGCTCAGGAGTTTGAGACCAAGCATGGTGGTGCACACCTGTAGTCCCAGATACTTGTGGCTGAGGTAGGAGGATCACTTAAGCCCAGCAGGTGGAAGCTGCAGTGAGCTGTGATCATGCCATGGCACTCCAACCTGGATGACAGAGCAAGACCCTGCCTCAAAAACAAAAAACAAAAAAAAGCTCTACAAATAATTCACCATGTTTGTATAATATTTATGCTTTACCAAGCACATCACCATCCATCACCTCATTTATCCTTATGAAATCTCCATAACACAGATGTTATTCACATTTTATATGTGAAGAAATTAAGGCTCAGACAAGGTCATAATACTGGGAATTTGCATAATCAAGAATTAAAGGCTGTTCTTGTCTTTGAAAGTGGAGGTCATTCTCCTGCACTTGGCTGCTCTGAAATCCTTTTATGTTGTTGTGGACAAAGAGTTTCACTCTGTCACCCAGGCTGGAGTGCAGTGGGGCAATCTCAGCCCACTGTAGCCTCAACCTCTCAGGCTCAAGTGATCCTTCCACCTCGGCCTCTCAATTAGCTGGAACTACAGGCGTGCCCCACCAGGCCTGGCTAATTTTTGTATTTTTTTGTAGAGACGGGTTTTTGTCATGTTGTCCAGGCTGGTCTTGAACTCCTGGGCTCAAGTGATCCTCCCACCTTGGCTTCCTAAAGTGCTAGGATTACCGGCCTGAGCCACCGTGCCTGACCTGCTCTGAAATCCTTCATGACTGACCATCCCTACATCTCTTGGGGTTGTGGGTCATTGTGGCACAAGTAGCTTTAACTCAATTGCTCCATGAGTCTCAACAACTAAACAGTGTTGTAGGTTTGCTTTCTGTACGCCCCAGTTCACTTTATTGCACCTCACAGTCAGAGACCATTTGTCTAACCCAGGCCAAACATCTTTCAAATGGGTGTTTGTTCTTAATGACAATTCTATGTGCGTGAAAAATTGGGATAGATTGTTCCCTAGTGCTACTGGAAAAGCGCTTGCCATGGATGCCTTAGTATTAGACATGGCACGAGAGCCTGTGTCAGTTAGGATATAGACAGTCACAACTAAGAGGAAAGGTAACTAGACCCGGTTGAAACTATAACATGATTTTATTGGTTCTTCTAAGTGCCAAGTTTACAAACCACATAATCCTCAGGTATGGAATTATCTGGACATTTATGGCACAATCAGGGCTCTTGGACTCCATTCATTATCTCTACCCTCTTCCAAGTATTTGGTTTCTTCATTGTTCTGGCCTCTGTCCTAGTGGTGTAATGGACACATCAGTTCCTGTTTCCACATCTGTGCATACCCTGTCAGAAGGAAATGAGATCAGTTTTGTCCCAGAGGTCTAGGCTAAGCCATGAGTTTTATTCTTAATGGACTGGTGGAGTGCCGTGCTGGAACCAGTCATCAAGGCCAAGGCCATGGATGCACCAATTGACTTAGCCCAAGTCCGCATTCACCCTTTGAAGCCAGGGCGAGTATCACCTTTTCCTGTACCATATGGTCCCCCAAATGGAAAACATACACTGTTGGAAAGGAGAAAGGGGGAATGGCTATTGGGGAGGGAACACCAAGTGTCTACGCCTGCAGAGCTTCCCACCCCGCATGCCAGGGCATGTGGAGTGACTAGATTAAGATATGCTGAGATCACAGCAGGCCTTGGAGCTCACATAAGGCTGGAACAGCCAGAGTACCCAGTGAGATCTCCATCCTTGAGCCATTGTATACGCTGTACAAATGTGTCTACTTTCTAAGCTTGCCGTGATAAGAAAGAATTGCCAAGTACTGTGCTACCGAGCCATTTTGATGATTCTTATGCCATGAAAATAATTTCACAGTAATAGCCTCAGGCAATCTTCTCCTGACGGTAGTACTTTTATGAACTATCTTAAATTTCCATTTCTAGAAAAGGTTGTGGAAAAACTAGTTTGGATAGCACCTAATCTCTGAGTCTGAACATAAAGTATAGCTTTGATATCAAGAATCGATTGAGTGCTCTTCCCCAACCTTCCCCATAAGTGGGTTTGGGATTTATCCAGCTAGGTTTGATTGGAGATGATACTAGACTTTAGCCCTCTAGCTCCCCTAGACCAGGGTTTCTTATTTGGGGGCCTCAGAGATAAACACTCTGCCCTCAACCTGGCTTCCATCACAGAGCTTTGGTTCCTAAGGTCTGAAAACAAAATGTAGGGTGAGAAGGAAGGGTATATCCCTCCCCAATGCCTCAAGCTGGTCCAACTCTTAAAGTTACAAAAATAATCTATCCAGAGTTTTTCCAGGGCTGACCTGAAGCTTGGTGGTAGTGAACTCTTGAACTTACACTGAAAATGAGGACATAGGAGGAAAGGGAAAGAAGGGGCTAGCCAGAGTCCTTTCCTTTCCATCCTTTCACCCAGGCCTTTAGCAAGTGATTGGGGCCTGGCTCTTTCTTACTTTCCCCTCACCCTGCCTTCGTTCTAGAGACCCTCAGTGCAAAATATAGAGAATATACCAGTCTGAAGTAAGATGTGTGTTGAGAAATGCTGAGGTGGGGCCAGGGCCACTCATGAGCATGCAACCGCTGGAGTCACAAAGGGCTCCTTGCTCAGAGGGCCCTGCACTCAGACCAGCACTTTGCTATCCCCATCCTAAAGTAAGACGACAATGAAGTTTGCCACATCGATTGACTCTGCCTTTCATGAAAGACTTTTCTGTAGCATGTGATGCTGTTTGGTGGCATTTTACCCACAGTAGGACTACTTTCAAAATTGGAGTCTGATAAGGTTTGGCTTTGTCCTCACCCAAATCTCATTTTTTTTTTTTTTTTTTTGAGATGGAGTCTCGCTCTCTTGCCAGGCTGGAGTGCAGTGGCACAATCTCGGCTCACTGCAACCTTTGCCTCCCGGATTCAAGCAATTCTCCCGCCTCAGCCTGCCGAGTAGCTGGGACTACAGCCACCCGCCAGCACGCCTGGCCAATTTTTGTATTTTTAGTAGAGACGGGGTTTCACCATGTTGGCCAGGATGGTCTCAATCTCCTGACCTCGTAATCCGCCCGCCTCGGCCTCCCAAAGTGCTGGGATTACAGGTGTGAGCCACTGCGCCGGCCTTAACACTTCTTTTTTTTAAAAAAAATCAAGTGGTCTTTGGTATTTTTCTATTGATTGAATGTTTCATAAAATGAGACTATACAGTAGTATATGGATAGAACTTATAAATAAACATATATAGGTAGTACGCCCCCAATTTTTTTTAATTGAGAGTACTTGATCATAAAAGTGCTGGAATTACAGGCACGAGCCGCTGCGCCCGGCCAAATCTCATCTTGAATTGTAGCTCCCATAATTCCCACGTGTTGTGGGAGGGACCCGGAGGGAGATAAGTGAATCATGGGGGTGGTTTCCCCCATACTGTTCTCGTGGTAGTGAATAAGTCTCACGAGATCTGATGGTTTTATAAGAAGTTTCTTTCCCCTTTTTGCTCGGCTCTCATGCTCTCTTGTCTGCTGCCATATAAGACGTGCCTTTCGCCATGATTTTGTGGCCTCCCCAGCCATGTGGAACTGTGAGTCCATTAAACCTCTTTTTATTAGGCTGGGTGCAGTGGCTCATGCCTGTAATCCCAGCACTTTGGGAGGCAGAGGCAGGTGGATCACCTGAGGTCAGGAGGTAGAGACCAGCCTGGCCAACATGGTGAAACCCCATCTCTAATAGAAATATAAAAAGTTAGCCGGGTGTGGTGGCACATGCCTGTAATCCCAGCTACTCGGGAGGCTGAGGCAGGAGAATTGCTTCAATCCGGGATGTGGAGGTTGCAGTGAGCCAAGATCGTGCCATTGCACACAGCCTGAGCAACAAGAGCAAGACTCCATCTCAAACAAACAAACAAACAAAAACCGGCCGGGCGCGGTGGCTCACGCCTGTAATCCCAGCATTTTGGGAGGCCAAGGCGGGCGGATCACCTGAGGTCAGGAGTTCAAGACCAGCCTGGCCAACATGGTGAAACCCCGTTTCTACTAAAAATATAAAAACTAGCCGGGCATGGTGGTGGACGCCTGTTATCCCAGCTACTCGGGTGGCTGAGGCAGGAGAATTGCTTGAACCCAGGAGACAGAGGTTGCAGTGAGCCGACACAGTGCCGCTGCACTCCAGCCTCAGCAACAGACTGAGACTCTGTCTCCAAAAAAAAAAAAAAATTCTTTTTATTTATAAATTACCCAGTCTCGCGTATGTCTTTATCAGCAGTGTGAAATTGACTAATACAGAGTCAATTCTTTCAAACCCTGCCACTGTTTTATCAATCAACTAAGCTTCCAGAATATTCTAAATCCTTTGTTTTTTGGTGTTTTTTTTTTTTGAGACGGAGTTTCACTCTTGTCACCCACGCTGGAGTGCAGTGGTGTGATCTCAGCTCACTGCAACCTCCACCTTCCTGGTTCAAGCGATTCTCCTGCCTCAGCCTTCCGAGTAGCTGGGATTACAAGCGCCTGCCACCACAGCCAGCTAATTTTTGTATTTTTAGTAGAGATGGGGTTTCATAAAATGAGACTATACAGCAGTATATGGATAGAACTTATAAATAAACATATATAGGTAGTACGCCCCCAGTTTGGCCCCATGTTGGCCAGGCTGGTCTCAAACTCCTGACCTCAGGTGATCCACCCGCCTTGGCCTCCCAAAGTGCTGAGATTACTGGAGTGAGCCACCATGCCCAGCCTTTTGTTGTCAACAGCATTCACAGCATCTTCATCAGGAGTAGATTCCATCTCAAGAAACCACTTTCTTTGCTCATCCTTAAGAAACAGCTCCTGATCCATTCACATGTGATCATGAGATTGCAGCAATTCCACCACATGTTCAGGCTCCACTTCGAATTCTAATTATCTTGCTATTTGCAGCACATCTGCAGTGACTTCCTCCATTGAAGTCTTGAGCCCCTCAAAGTTACCCATGAGAATTGGAATCTTCCAAATTCCTGTTAATGTTGATATCTTGACCTCCTCCCATGAATCATAAATGTTCCTAATGGCATCTAGAGTGGTGAATTCTTTCCAGAAGGTTTTCAGTTGACTTTGCCCAGATCCATCAGAGGAATCACTATGGTAGCTCTAACCTTACAAATTGTGTTTCTCAAATAATAAGACTTGCAAGTTGAAATGACTCCTTGACCCATGAGCTGCCAAATGGATATTATGTTTGTAGGCATGAAAACAACATTCATCTTCTTGTACATCTCCATCAGAGCTCTTGGGCGACTAGCTTCATTGCCAATAAGCAGTAATATTTTGGAAGGAATTTTTTTTTCTGAGCAGTAGATCTCAACAGTGGGCTTAAAATATTCAGCTCACGCCTGTAATCCCAGCACTTTGGGAGGCCGAGGCGGGCGGATCACAAGGTCAGGAGATTGAGACCATCCTGGCTAACACAGTGAAATCCCGTCTCCACTAAAAACGCAAAAATTTAGCCAGGCGTGGTGGCAGACACCTGTAGTCCCAGCTGTAGGAGGCTGAGGCAAAAGAATGGCGTGAACCCAGGAGGAGGAGGTTGCAGCGAGCCGAGATTGTGCCACTGCACTCCAGCCTGGGTGACAGAGTGAGACTCCGTCTCAAAAAAAAAAAAAAAATTCAGCAAACCATGATGTAAACAGATATGCTGTCATCCAGGCTGTATTGTTCCATCTGTAGAGCACAGGAAGAGTAGATTCAACATAATTCTTAAGGACTCAAGGATTTTTAGAATAGTAAGTGAGCATTGGTTTCAACTTAAAATCACCTGCTGCAGTAGCCCCTAATAAGAGAGTCAACCTGTCTCTTAAAGCTTAAAGCCAGACATTGACTTCTCTTCTCCAGCTATTAAAGGTCTAGATGGCATCTTCTACTAGTAGAAAGCTGTTTTGTCTACATTGAAAATCTGTTATTGAATGTAGCCACCTTCATCAATTACCTTAGCAAGATCTTCTGGATGAC
Source organism: Homo sapiens (assembly GCF_000001405.40). Taxonomy (NCBI): domain Eukaryota; kingdom Metazoa; phylum Chordata; class Mammalia; order Primates; family Hominidae; genus Homo; species Homo sapiens. The sequence goes on along the minus strand of NC_000018.10, from coordinate 3,474,119 downwards.
TTGCTGCAGCTTCCCCATCAGCACTTGCTGCTTCACCTTGCACTTTTATGTTATGGAGATGGCTTCTTTCCTTAAACCTCTGGATCAAGCTCTGCTAACTTCCAGGTTTTCTTCTGCAGCTTCCTCACCTCTTTCACCTTTTTCTTCTGCAGCTTCCTTCACAGAACTGAAGAGAATTAAGACCTTGCTCTGGATTAGGCTTTGGCATAAGGGAATGCTGTGGCTGGTTTGATCTTTATCCAAACCATTCAAACTTTCTCCATATCAGCAATAGGGCTGTTTTGCTTTCTTACCACTTGTATGTTCATTGGAGTAGCACTTTTAATTTCTTTCAAGAACATTTGGCCAGGCACAGTGGCTCACGCCTGTAATCCCAGCACTTTGGGAGGCGGAGGCAGGCGGATCGCCTGAGGTCAGGATTTCGAGACCAGCCTGGCCAATGTGGCGAAATCCCATCTCTACTAAAAATAGAAAAAATTAGCTGGGCTTGGTGGCGAGGGCCTGTAATTCCAGCTACTTGGGAGGCTGAGGCAGGGAGAATTGCTTGAACCACGGGAGACAGAGGTTGCAGTGAGCTGAGATCATGCCATTGCACTCCAGCCTGGGCAACAGAGTGAGACTCCGTCTCAAAAACAAACAAACAAACAAAATAAAACCATTTCCTTTGCATTCACAACTTGGCTAACTAGTTGGCACAAGAGACCCAGCTTTTGGTCTGTCTCAGCTTTCAGCATGTCTTCCTCACTAAGCTTAATCATTTCTTGCTTTTGACTGAAAGTGAAAGACCTCTGACTTCCTTTCACTTGAACTCTTCTGGGTGATTATAGTTATAAATTGGCCTAATTCCAATATCATTTTATCCCCCGGAATAGGGAGACCCGAGGAGAGGGACAGAGATGAGGGAACAGCCAGTCAGTGGAGCAATCAGAACACACACGTTTATTGATTAAGTTCATTGTCTTATATGTGTGCGGTTCGTGGTGACCCCAAACAATTACAATAGTAACATGAAAGATACTGGTCAGCCGGGCACGGTGGCTCACGCCTGTAATCGCAGCACTTTGGGAAGACAAGGTGGGTGGATCACGAGGTCAGGAGTTCAAGACCAGCCTGGCCAAGATGGTGAAACCCTGGCTCTACTAAAACTACAAAAATTAGTCAGGCGTGGTGGCAGGTGCCTGTAATCCCAGATACTCAAGAAGCTGAGGCAGGAGAATCGCTTGAATCCTGGGCGGCAGAGGTTGCATTGAGCCGAGATCGCATCCCTGCATTCCAGCCTGGGCGACAGAGTGAGACTCCGTTAAAAAAATAATAATAATAAATAAATAAAATTACTGGTCACAGATTACCCTAACAGGTATAAAAGTCATGAAAAAGTTTGAAATACTGTGACAGTTACCAAAAATGTGACAGAGACCAGAAGTGAGCATATGCTACTGGAAAAACGGTGCCGACAGACTTGCTTGACACAGGGTTGCCACCAACCTTCATTTGTAAAATATGTGGTATCTGGAAAGTGCAGTAACACAAAGCACAATACAAGGCTAGTACAAGGTGCACTTGTATTAGCCAAACACTGATGCTGAAAACAATGACATACAAAGACAGGGAAAGAGAAGGTACCCCTCAGTTCCTTTTCCTTTCAGTCCTTCCTTACTAAGCCAAAGGTAGAGTGATGGTAGGATACGAGCATATTAAGAAGTGAAAAAAAAGCCAGTGCAGTGGCTCACACCTGTAATCCCAGCACCCTGGGAAGCCGAGTTGGGAGGATCACCTGAGCCCAGGAATTTGAGACCAGCCTGGGCAACATAGCGAGACCCCATCTCTACAAAAATTACAAAAAATTAGTGGGGCTTGATGGAGCATGCCTGTGGTCCTAGCTACTCAAGAGGCTGAGGCAGAAGGATCACTTGAGTCCAAGAGTTCAAGGCTGCAGTGAGCTATGATGGCACCACTGCACTAGGCAACAGAGCAAGACCCCATCTCATAAGAGAAGAAGTGAAGAGGCCCTGCACAGTTGCTCACGCTTGTAATCCTAGCAGTTTGGGAGGCCGAGGTGGGCAGATACCTTGAGTTCAGGAGTTCAAGACCAGCCTGGCCAGATGGCGAAACCCCATCTGTACTAAACGTACAAAATTAGCCAGGCTTGGTGGCACACATCAGTAATCCCAGCTACTCAGGAGGTTGAGGCAGGAGAATCACTTGAACCTGGGAGACGGAGGTTGCAGTGAGCCCATATCCCACCACTACACTCCAGCCTGGATGACAGAGCAAGACTCCATCTCAAAAAAAAAAAAAGTAAAGGAAAAAAATCTTAGTTACTTGTATGTAGTGTTTCCCCTGTTCTAGTAAAAATAAAACATATATCTATGCATAAGCAATGAAATAGAAAGTGTGTAACTTAGGTGATTCTAAGTTAAATGCGCTTATCTTTCCCATTGAAAACTGCTACTGCACAATGTAAAGCCAAGTGGTAAAAATTCATGTGAATAATTTTAAATTGTAGTTTATCTCTACTTAAAACAATTTTAAATAGCAAACAGAAAACACCAAGACAAGTTGGCAGAGAGGAAAAAGACATTTGAGTACCTTTAATGATACTGTTTTTTGTGTTTTTGGGAGGGGCTATATATATGTACTTTGCCCTGGGCCCTGTGAATTCCAGAGCTGGCCCAGGGCTGAGCTTAGACACCTGCATTGGAAAACCACTGCCAGAAGATTCAGGTGCACAACCAGAGCTGGGGATCTTGGGTCTATTTCAAAGGCTTCGGAGTCCTCTACTCATACCTGCCCGCTTCACTGCACACCTGGTCCCTCTCCACGTTTGCCTAAGGCAGTCCTGAACTCAAAGTATTCTGCCTTGCATAGCTGCAGCTCTCTCTCAAATAAGACTTACCCTATGTGCTTAATTTTTATTTTTTTATTTTTATTTTTTGAGACAGAATCTTGCTCTGTTGCCTAGGCTGGAATGCAGTGGCACAATCTCAGCTCATTGCAACCTCCGCCTCCCGGGTTCAAGCGATTATCCTGCCTCAGCCTCCCAAGTAGCTGGGATTACAGGCACGCATCACGACATACAGCTAATTTTTGTATTTTTAGTAGAGACGGGCTTTCACCATGTTGGTCAGGCTGGTCTCGAACTCCTGGCCTCAAGTGATCTGCCCACCTCTGCTTCCCAAAGTGCTGGGATTACAGATGTGAGCCACTGTGCCTGGCCAAATGTGCTTAATATTAAAGCCAACACTTGCCCAGCTGCTCTGAAAGGACAGCTCAGTTTTAAAAGCACTATGTCCTGACTGCACGTTACACATTTTTATTCCTTGAAGTAACAAGGCTCTTTTCTCTCAGTTTCCAAATGCTCCTTGACTTCTCAACTAAGTGTACATTGATACAATCACAGTCATTTTCCTAATCAATGCCAGGTTTTCCATCCTTGGAGGTCCTTGAGGCTCCCTGAGGTCTTCTCACCTTCTTCTTCCGATGAAGAACATCACCCTTGGTCTTAGCAGGGCTGGCCTGGCTCCACCCACCAGGCCATGATGCCCCCTCTCTTCCTGCCTCTGTCTCCTCCACCCCTTTCTGTTCACCCTCCCTCTTCTGCCCTGTACCACCCTGGTGTTCTGCTCTCCACCATCTGCCCTGGCATCAGGGGATGCTTCCTCTTCACATCAATTCCTATTACTTCGACTAAAACAAACCCTTAGACCAGACTGTTATTTTCTTTTTCTTTTTTTGGGATGGAGTCTCACTCTGTCTCCCAGGCTGGAGTGCAGTGGTGCGATCTCAGCTTACTGTAACCTCTACCTCCCAGGTTCAAGCGATTCTTCTGCCTCGGCCTCCCGAATAGCTGGTATTACAAGCATAGGCCACCAGGCATAGGCCACCATGCTTGGCTAATTTTTGTATGTTTAGTAGAGATGGGGTTTCATCATGTTGGCAAGGCTGGTCTCAAACTCCTAGCATCAAGTGATCCATCGGTCTTGGCCTCCCAAAGTACTGGGATTGCAGGCATGAGCCAAGCCACCGTGCCTGGCTGACTGTCCTTTTCTCTGGACAGAAATGTCATCCCGAAAGTTTCAAATCACCCTATTGATGGTTTTGCCCAAAGAAACCAATCATTTCATCATTCTGAGATGCCCTCTACTGAACTTTTTATTTGCATTTTCTTCTATGGCAAACCTTTCACCTAGGCTTAGGATGAGAGGTATCTTATGGAACTTTCACTGATTTCAAATAGCCTACACTGTTACTAGATCTATATGTATTATTTATGTCCTTAGAAAGTTAGAGATTTCAGAGGCTAAAGATATCATCTAATCCAACTCTATGCTTTACTGACAAGAAAACTAGCTCAAAGAAGTTAGTTTACTCCTAGCCACCCAGCTAGTATTATGCTGGCCTAGTGTCATAGTTAGGTCTTCTGGAGCTAAGCTCAGTTCTCTTCCTTCTGTATCGGGGGCAGCTTGGGTTACTGCATATCGAAATCACAAAAAGCAGATTGAGGCTTCTTCAGAGTGTTCTACTTACGTGAGCCCAGAGGGAGAAGGAGAAAGCAAATTGGAGGCTCTGAGTGGTTAGCCCTTTAGTAATAAAGAACCGGTGTTGGGCCAGGTGCGGTGGCTCACGCCTGTAATCCCAGCACTTTGGGAGGCCGAGGCGGGTGGATCACAAGGTCAGGAGTTTGAGACCAGCCTGGCCAACATGGTGAAACCCCGTCTCTACTAAAGATACAAAACATTAGCTGGGCGTGGTGGCACACGCCTGTAATCCCAGCTACTCGGGAGGCTGAGGCAGGAGAATCACTTGAACCCAGGAGGTGGAGGTTGCAGTGAGCCGAGATTGCGCCATTGCACTCCAGCCTGGGTGACAGGGAGAGACTCGGTCTCAAAAAAAAAAAAAAAAAAAAAAGACCTGGTGTTGTTTTCTGCATTATAGGAATGATGCCAGTGGTAAAAAAAAAAATCACGCAGCTTGGTTTCAGGGATGATGATGACCTCATCAGCACTACAACAGCCACCACTATCTCCAGCCTACAGCCCCCGCCTGAAGCCCTCACACTACTTCCTTGTATAACATCATAGGAGAGAAGTAAAGACAGCATTAAGGATCGGGGGAAGGGAACTTTACTGCTGCTGTTGTAAGAAACTGGAGAAAGGCAGACGAGAGGTGTGGGAAATAGGCGAGGCCAGGACCCAGCAGGACCACCTCAGAGGCGGACTTGGGGACAGTCACCTCCCAGGCGGCAAGTGGAAACCGGAGTCAGAACCTGAGCCAGGTAGATTTGCTCATCTAAGATCCAACAATAACATGGATTTGTAGGTCAATCAGCTTTGCTCTAAAACTCTAAAGAGGTTCTACATTGTTACCTCATTTAATCCTCAACAACCTTGAAATTTAGGTATCTGTTTTTTTATATAACGAGAGATGAAGAAGCCCAGATTTAGAGATGCCAAATGACTTGAGCAGCTACAGAAGTTCAATTCTCTTTCCCCTGTTTCCTTAGTGTTTTTTTTTTGAGACAAAGTCTCACTGTTGTGCAGGCTGGAGTGCCATGGCACAAATTCAGCTCGCTGCAACCTCCGCCTCCCAGGTACAAGTGATTCTCATTCCTCAGCCTCCTACTGATGCGTAGCTGGAACTACAGGCATGCGATACCATGCCTGGCTAATTTTTGTATTTTTAGTAGAGACAGGGTTTCGCTATGTTGGCCAGGCTGGTCTTGAACTCCTGACCTCAAGTAATCCACCAGCATCAGCCTCCTAGAGTGCTGGAATTACAGATGTCAGTCACCGCGCCCAGCTCCCCAGTGGTTCTAAAATATCTCCCAATGCAATGTAAAAAATGCATCAATTTTTTAAAATTCCAAACATGGGAGTGTAAGACTCTGGAGCAGAGTTAAGGGAAATGTGCCTGGAAAGGGAAATAAAGCCCAAGGGCAAGTATGAACCTGTCATTGAGAGTAAAAAGGATGAGAGGCCAAGGGCAATGGCTCATGCCTATAATCCCAGCACTTTGGGAGGCTGAGGCGGGAGGATCACTTGAGCCCAGGAGTTTGAGACTAGCCCCGGCAACATAGAGAGACCCTGTCTGTACAAAAATTTTTTTTTTGAGACGGAGTTTCGCTTTTGTTGCCCAGGCTGGAGTGCATGATGCGATATCGGCTCACTGCAACCTCTGCCTTCCGGGTTCAAGCAATTCTCCTGCCTCAGTCTCCCGAGTAGCTGAGATCACAGGCACGCACCACCACACCTGGCTGATTTTGTATTTTTAGTAGAGATGGGGTTTCTCTATGTTGGTCAGGCTGGTCTTGAACTCCCGACCTCAGGTGATCCCCATGCCTTGGCCTCCCAAAGTGCTGGGATAACAAGCGTGAGCCACTGCGCCCAGCCTGTACATTTTTTTTTTTTTAAATTAGCCAAGTGTGGTGGTGTGCACCTGTAGTCCCAGCTACTCAGGAGGCTGAGGTGGGAGGATCACTTGAGCCTGGGATGGTGAGGCTGCTGTGAACTATGATTGTCCAGCCTGGACAAGTGAAACCTTGTCTCAAAAAAAAAAAAGGGTAAGAGCTCAACTTTTCGAAAAAATACCCATGCTATCTGACCTACCACCCTGGCTTAGTAAAGGGTACTGCCATTATGTTTCTAGCTCAGAGTTCTCAATCCACTGCCAAAGCCTCAGTTACTATCACCCAAACCTGTTATCCAGGTGTCAACTTCATGGACAGAATATGTTGCACTTAGCAGCTGCATTACGACAACAGAGTTCCCCGGAACTGAATTGTTGTTACTTCCAGCATTAGACGCAGGCATTAATTTACATATACCTGCATACACATCACTGTAAACGTGCCTGAGTCCAGCTTCTCCTTTTGCAGAGAGATTTGATAGCCCCTGGATGTGGATGCAGGGCTTCACACCTGATGCCTGGGATGATCATCCATAACGCACAATGTGGAAAATGCCCTTCCAGGAAACCAGGCTGCTGTGTGTGAACCTAGTGAGCAAGCATAGAAACAGGAAGGCTGAGATTAGAGCCTGCTCTACAGCGTTTTGATGTTTCCTGAGCCACTGCTGAGGCTCTGAGAGCTGATCAAAGGTACCTCTGCAGGCTCAAATTAACACAGAGTTGGTGAATCAGGCCAGCACCTGCCTGCAAATAGCAGCATATTTCACCAAATCAGGTTAATCTTTTCATCAAGGCAGGAGGTGGCAATCCTTTCATAAAACCTTCACAAGTTAAGTTTATTCCTGTTGTACCTTAGCTTTCTGAAGGAAAAGTAATGAATGGCCTGTTCAATTTTCTTCCCTTGGAGGTACGTATTTATTTTAAAGCTGATCTTTACCTCATGGTGTATACCATTGAAGACCTCCAGCCCTAAAGAACTTGCCTTGTTTCAAAAATGGTGGAGGTTTTGGGGTTGAAAGAGAAGAATGGGAAGGCATTGTCATAAATCTTCACTTTCCTTTTAATGCAGGTGGGATTTATAACTTCAAGTATTTGTATAAGAGCAGTACCTCACCTCTGTTTGGGGAAATATAGCTAAAAAGCCATAATTTTTGCAGAGAGAAAGCAGAAAGGCGCAGCACAGAGTAAACTATAGCCACTGGATAGATCTAAAGATTCTAACAGAGCTCAAATAAAAAACAGAAACTAACTTAAAAAAAAAAAAAAAGGTACTAGCCTAAGGCTGCAGGCTCAGAAAACCGATACCTACAAAGGGAAATGAAATGCATCGAATAATAGATTAAGTGTTAATACTTACGCAGAGAAGCTTCAAAACAGATTTCTTGCCTTGGAGGAGTTCATTATTTCAGGCATTGGCTAGTCATAAGACTTAGGAAACCAAGAGGATGTGTCAGATCCTGCAAGTCTCTCCAAGAAGCAGATGTGGTCACAAGGAAATGGAATGGGGGAGGGGAGGGAGGAATTCGAGAGAGCAGAAAAATAAGTTGAGATATTTGGAAAATAGAGCTTGCATATGATTATCTGCCAAAGCAACCCCCAAATTTTTATTGAACAGTATAATAAAAATGGAGACAGTTCCAAGTTGTTTCATTTCGGGGATAGGGTGTGGAAAGAGTGTGAGCAAACAGAATCACCCCATGACTGGGGGCCCCATTACAGCTGGTAACCACAGACAAGCTGAACTTTGAAGAGTGTCAGTTTCCTCAGCTACACAATGGGAATAACACGTCCCATTAGGGTTGTGAGGACTAAATATGTATATGTGGTATTCAACAAATACAATAATAATATAATAGATAATAATTTAATATAAGGTGTTTGATAAGTACATCTTTTCCTTCTCAAATTAATCCAACACTTTCACTTCAATACTGGGTTTACAGATGATACCAGAAAATAACACTATAATGGAAAGAGCTATTGTTATTTATCTATTTGTTTTTGAGATGGAGTCTCATTCTTGCCCAGGCTGGAATGCAGTGGCGTGATCTCCTCTCACTGCAACCTCCGCCTCCCAAGTCCAGGCGATCCTCCTGCTTCAGCCTCCCAAGTAGCTGGGATTACAGGCATGCACCACCATGCTCTGCTAATCTTTGTATTTTTAGTAGAGATGGGGTTTCACCATGTTGGCCAGGCTGGTCTCGAACTCCTAGCCTCAAGTGATCTGCCCACCTTGGCCTCTCAAAGCCCTGGGATTACAGATGTGAGCCATCACGCCTGGCTGGGCTATTTTTTTGTTTAAGTTTCTTACTTTTATTTTTTCAATTAACAAAAGTATATATTTATGGTATACAACATGGTGTTTTGATATGTGTATACATTGTGAAATGACTGAATCAAGCTGTTAATTAGAGAATTTAAAATAAATGATGTTCTAGATTGTGTAGATTTATTGTACAAGCAGGCTAGGGGAAAAAATGTTTTGTTCGTTTTGTTTTGTTTTGTTTTGTTTTGAGACAGAGTCTCGCTCTGTCGCCCAGGCTGGAGTGCAGTGGCGCGATCTCGGCTCACTGCAAGCTCTGCCTCCCAGGTTCACGCCATTCTCCTGCCTCAGCCTCCCGAGTAGCTGGGACTACAGGTGCCCGCTACCACGCCCGGCTAATTTTTTGTATTTTTAGTAGAGATGGGGTTTCACCGTGTTAACCAGGATGGTCTCGATCTCCTGACCTCGTGATCCGCTGGCCTCGGCCTCCCCAAGTGCTGGGATTACAGGCGTGAGCCACAGCACCCGGCCAATGTTTTGGTTTTTTTTTTGAGACAGTGCCTTGCTCTGTTGCCCATGCTGGAGTGCAGTGGCGCAACCACGGCTCACTGCAGCCTCAAACTCCTGGGCTCTAGCAATCCTCCTGCCTCAGCCTCCCAAGTAGTTGGGACTAAAGGTGCACACCACCATGCCTGGCTAATTTTTAATTTTTTTGTAGAGACAAGATCTCGCTATGCTGCCCAGACTGGTAAGCCCCCACGCTCAGCTGGGAAAAGATGTTGACTAATGTAATACACTTGGGCTTTTCACAGAATCATTCAAGTAAATCAAATTTCAAAATGAAAATCAGGCTAGGCACAGTGGCTCACACTTGTAATCCCAGCACTTTGGGAAGCCGAGGCAGAAGGATTGCTTGAGCTCAGGAGTTTGGGACCAGCCTGAGCAACACAGCGAGACTTCATCTCTATAAAATTTTAAAAGCTAGGCCTGGTGGAGCTCACCTGTAGTCCTAGGTACTCAGGAGGCTGAGGCAGGAGGATCATTTGAGCCCAGGAGTTCAAGACTGCAATGAGCTATGACCACATCACTGCATTCCAGCCTGGGTGGCACAGCAAGATCCATTCTCAAAACAATAACCACCACCACCAAAAAATCCCTGAAAATCATTGGAAAGAAATTAAAAGCAATAAAACATTAATAATCAGACTAGGTAACAGTCAAAAAGTTGTTTTGACTTGTTAAACAGGATAATTTTTTAAAAGAGGCATATGTAAAAATTTAAATGTGTACCTTTTGTTGCATTTCAACCTATTTACAGTCTCTGAAAGCCTTATCCTCACATTACAATTTATATGGAGATAATTTATGCCTTTAGAGTATTAAAATATATATTAGCAAAAATTTGAGACAAGATAGGAGAATTGAATTTGTCCTAAGATCATAAGTTAGAATGATCTGATCAAATAAGAATATGTTCAAGTTTCAGTAATTTTCTTTATAAAGAAAATAATTTGGAGGCTGGGCACGGTGGCTCACGCCTGTAATCCCAACACTTTGGGAGGCCAAGGCGGGTGGATCATTTGAGGTCAGGAGGAGTTCAAGACCAGACTAGCCAACATGGTGAAACCCTGTGTCTACTAAAAATACAAAAAAAGAGTGGGACGTGGTGGCACACGCCTGTAATTCCAGCTACTTGGGAGGCTGAGGCAGGAAAGTCACTTGAACCTGGGAGGTGGAGGTTGCAGTGAGCCGAGATTGAGCCACTGCACTCCAGCCTGGGTGACAGAATGAGACCCTGTCTCAGGAAAAAAAAAAAGGAAAATAGTTTGGAATATTTTTAAAAAACAAAACAAGCTGACACTTCCTAGAGTAACAATTTATCTTCTGAAATCCCTCCATGGTTTTATTTTCCTTACCTCTATGTTAAATATTTGTCTATAAATATGTTCCTTCTAAACCTGAGTAAATTTCCATCATTGGATTTGGTTTCCTTTCTAAGTCACCCACAGTGTGCTTCAAAGGTTGCACATTCTATTGATGTCTATAACACATTTCATTCAAAAACCCCGTTTCCTTGATATTTAGTTAAATCTCTGTACTACTTATTATTTTTATTCATTGATTTCTCATGCTTCCTTTCTTTGCCAGCTGTGCTATTGTAACCATCAACCCTAAGTTACTGCTCTTCTTTCAGCCACAAAGCATTTGTTGAATGTCTCTCTTTTCAGCCTCTGAATCATAAAACTCAGCCCAGAACATAGCCTGTTTTTAATTAGAGGTCACGATTTTTGGAGGTTAAGACTTGACACATTCTCCTGTTAATGAGCTGAATGAGACCTAAAACTGATCTCTAAACATTGCTTTTTGCTCTCTGGCCAGTTTCCAGAGATAAATTTTACTTTTTGATTGAATACAAATGAATATTTTGTATTCCTGCAGTAAGTTTTGGGGTCTATCACTCAGAGGCTTAGCTTTACATATGGTATGAGCTATGTGTATATAGTACCAAATATCAAATTTATGCTAAACTCTAATTGAACAAGCTGACCTGGGTGACAAAATAATTCTACAGCAAATTATATTTCTGTAAGACAAATTACATTTCTGTAAGACTCTAATTTTCAGTCCTTCTGTCCAAACAAAAAAGACTACAGAAACAATTTTTGTTTTGTTTTGTTTTTAGGTCTGGAAAAAGAACGGTCAACTCCCCATGTTCTGGATAAGGACAGAAACAATGGCTGATTTAAAGAATTATTTAAGGCAATGGTTCTCAATCTTGTCTATGCATTGGAATCACTAAGAGATCTTCTAAAAATTCCCAACTCGAGGCCACAGTTTTTTTTGTTTGTTTTGTTTTGTTTTTTGTTTGTTTTTTTTTAGCTTTCTAGGTGATTCCAGTGTTCAGTTAAGTTTGAGAACCACTGATTTGGAGTTTCAAAGTAACTATAGTAAAATTCTAGTTTCTAGTAATAGTGGATTTTTTTTTTCCTTTTTCAGACTAATTCCCTCCAGGTTAACAATCATGAAGTGTGAATGAACAAAAAGTTAAACAAACAAAAAGCTAGTTGAAGGCCTGAAGAGTAACCAAAAGCATAAACTGGAGGGTCGTCTTCCCCTAAAAGAAGAGAACTTCAAGATGTACAAGTTTGCACCTTTTGCCTGAAGGCAGTCCTCATTCTTCAGAAGGTTAGGGGTGGCAGAAAGCTGCATCTTCAGTGGCTTGAGATGTCAAGGACAGAAATGGGGTGGGCAGAGCAGAGCAAAAGTTAAGAAAGTTAGGAGAAGAATTCTGGAAAGAGGGGAACTGAAGAAGGAGCAAATCTCAACCTCTGAACAGAAATTTTGTTCAAATCCCTAGTTGGTTTGTGCAGCAGGGGAGACGCCAGTGGGCCCATTGAAAGGCAGCAGCCGGAAGCTGAAAACTAATCAGAGACTTCGGCTGCTATCCATTACAGGATGGTTTGAAGTTTCAGTTCAGGCGAATGAGCTGCTTGAGGACAAAAGTTAACTATTCTGAGGAATGTAGCCAAATCCGTAGTCTTTATTAATGTACCATCCATACTGTCCAGCATGTAATAAAAAATCACTAGACAAGCAAAAAAAAAAAATGACCCCATACAGAAGTGAAATATAATCAATGGAAACTGATTCTGATTAGGACATGTTACAATTAGCAAACAAGTATTTAAGGCAGCTATTATAAATGCTTATAAGGATATATATTCATAATTAGTAATGAGGAATCTCAGAGAATTAGGAATACTAAAGAACCAAGTGGAAATTTTACATGTGAAAAATACTAGTACTATAATGAAAGTCCACTGGATACGTTCATGAGCAGACTGAAGACAGCAGAAGAGTTAGTGAATTGCAAATAAATTATACAAATTATTCAATCTAAAACAGAAACAAGACTGAAGAAAAGAGCTTCAGAGACATACAGGACAACCTCAAGTGATCTAATGTAAATTTGCTGGAGTTCTGAGACAGGAAAGCAAGAAATAAATGGAAAAAATGGCCAAAATTTCCCCAAGTTTGATTTTAAAATAAATAAAAAAAATAGATTTACAGATCCAAAAGTTCAATGAACCCCCAGCTAAATAAGTACAAACAAACCATACCTAGGCATATTTTAGTGACACTGCTGAAATTCAAAAATAAGACAGCCAGAGAAAGACATTATATTTATGAGAATGATACAAATGACAGCTGATGTCTCATCAGAAACAATGGAGGCCAAAAGACAATAAATGCCTGCCAAGTGCTGTAAGAAAAAAAGCTATCAACCCAGAATTCCCCATCAGTGAAATGATCCTTCAAAGATTAAAGTGAAATAAAGTCATTTTCCATGAACTCATTTTCAAAGCGTTTCAATGAGCCTAAACTTGTCACTGGACTACAGTTCTCAAAGAAATCATTCAAGCTGAAAAGGAAAGACCTCAGATGTCACTCAAATCTATAGGAGACAATGAAGAACATCAGAAATGGTCAATGTTTGGCAAATATAAAAGATACATTCTTTTTTCTCTTAATCATTTAAATGACGCTTGTTTTAAGTGAAAATGATAGCATCGTACTGTTGCGTTTATTATGTATGTAGCTGTAATATATGTGAAAAACCAAGGAAGAGAGGAGAGGGTGAATGGAACTATACTGTTCCAAGGTTCTGTATTTTATGAAGCTGTATCATATTAACCCTAAGTGGATGGTAGTAGGTCAAAGATGTATGCTGTAATACCTAGAAGAACCATTTTAAAAATATGGTGTATAGTTTATAAACCAATAGAAAAATTAAAACACAAAACTGTACTTGTACCCCCTAAATCTATAAAAATAGGCCAGGCTTGGTGGCTCACATCTGTAACCCCAGCACTTTGGGAGTCTGAGGAGGGCAATTCACTTGAGGCCAGGAGTTCAAGACCAACCTGGGCAACATGGCGAAATCCCATCTCTACTAAAAATACAAAAAAATTAGCCTGGCATGGTGGTGCATGCCTGTAATCTCAGCTACTTGGGAGGCTGAGTCACAAGAATCCCTTGAACCCAGGAGGTGGAGGTTGCAGTGAGCCAAGATCACGCCACTGCACTCCAGCCTGGGTGACAGAGCGAGACCCCGTCTCAAAAAAAAAAAAAAAAAAAGAATACTTTTTTAAAAAGAGAAATTAAAACAAAATCAGAGAAAAAGACATTATATATATGAGAATGCTGATATTCTCATATATCTTAATATATGATATATAATATATAATAATAATGATATAATGATATATAATAAAAATATTCAACCTGAAAGAAGGCAGGAAAAGAGGAGCAAAGAAAAAAGCCAAATGGTAAACTCAATCTAAACATATCAATAATTACAGTAAATGTAAATTGACAAATGCTAAGTAAAAGGCAGAGATCATTAGACTAAATAAAAAAGCAAGACCCAAACTATATGCTATGGGATGAACTTCAAAAACACAAATAGGTGAAAAGTAAACAAATTAAAAAGATATATTGCACCATGTAAATTATAAGCATAAAAATCATTTCTATTTGGCTTTGATATGAACAGCTTTTTACATTTATCTTTTCACTTAAATGTACCTGTTTTTAAATAATGGATTACATTCATTCAACACCAACTATTATCAACCATGACCTGTAACAACCTCAATAGGGAAAAAATGAAGTAAAACATAGGGAATTTAAGGTGACTTACAGTTTTTCTTTTAAATGAGTCATATGGCTCCTTTCCTTCTCCTTCCAGTATGAGTGATGAAACACCGTAACAGGGCAAACCTTTTAGGACTTGCTCATTTCCCTCATCTATACTAAAGCAAAATGTTCAGCCTTTGATCTAGCTGTTGGAGCAAGTAATGATTCTGGATCACCTTTGCGTCATTCATTTTTATTAATGTTTATTTTGTTCCTTGTATTTACTTTACTAGTACTTTTTGGGTTTTTGTCTATTTCTGTGACTCTCTGAGGTGAGGCCAGACCATTCTAAGCTGATGTGCCCTACGAAGCTGCACCCCACAGGCTAGAGCACAACATTCCCTCACCTAATTTTCTTACGCCTCTTGGTAATCATCAGCAGTTTTTTTCTTTCACTTACAAGGAAAGTCTTTGAGTTTAGCTCTTTCTACAGTAGGGACTTTCTAAAATAGTTTCAAAATTAGACAAATTTGTATTTTTCTACATTCTTTAAACAATACTGAAGCTCTGATGCTCCCTCACACTTAGACAATTCATAGCTGGGGCAGGGCTGGAAAGAACATGACCGTAACAACAAAGCAAGCTCATACTAAGCATGACTACAAAGAATGGTTTTGTGGCATGTGACAAATCTGCTCAACCATACAAGTGAAAGGAGCAACACCAATTCCCTTCTGGCCATCTGGGCTTTGTAAGTGATTGTCTATCCCAACAAACTCCACTTGTACATAGCACCATTTTTTCACAAACTGAGACCTTGGAAAATACTCACCTAATAAACTGACAATCCCACCATAGACAGAACCCCACCGTTTATTTCATCATTTTAGAAAACACTTTTGAGATGTTTTAAAAGGTAATTTCTCTGCAAATACTATGCTACATTTGAATACAAATGCCTTAACTAAATGTACCACTGAACAAAGGTTATTTTAAAGGGTAACGTGGAAAAAGGGCAAGAGATTGCTTGCGTTGTTTTCTTCTGAAAACTCAGCAATAACCGGATGCTTCAAGACTTTTCTTTATAACATGGCCACGTTTTAAACTACGCAGGACAGATCAGCAAGGGATTTAGTGGCTAGCTAAACACTAAAATGATTCATTTCAATTTGCCATGCAGTTTAAGTAAAGCTCTAAGGGCCTGCTATGCCTCCTATCAAGAGTAAATATCACACATCCTGTTTATGCAAACTGGCTTGTTGTCCACAGGTTTTCAAAGAGCTGGTGACACCCCCTAACACTGCACCCTACCCCCCCAGCTTCCTGCTCACTGGGGTGCTATATTCCTACTTATTTTTAAGAAGCACCTCCCTCAACAGAAATACTCTGAATTACAACAATTTTTAAAGAAAATACTTTATTATGTCATGAAAAAAAAGGCATCAACCAACTAGATTCATACTTGTTTGAAAAAAAATGGAAAATTTATTAATTAGACAGTATGTGGGCATCCTGTTCCACATGGGAATGAGAAGATGCTATAGGTTCTCTAAGTATTGCACAGTCTGAAAAAATAACAAAAAAAGGGAAGGGGAGGAAAAAAAAAATCACATGATATTGGGAACCATCTCACATTATGAATAATCTACCAAGAAACATTTAAAAAAGAAAACCCTTTGTTTCTACAGTAGCTTTAAGTTTATAGTTCTTGGAATGACTGTATTCCATTGAAGACATCTCAGTAACAGGAAGCTGTTTTAGCAATCCCATGTGCAAATATTAATAAAAAATATATAAAATAATGCAATTCATCTCTTGCCTTCACCCCGGCAATCATGACATTTCTGAGAACTGTTTTGCTTGAAAATGGGTTAAGCTGTAAGTTTTGCCTGAAGCTCCATCTCTGCAGCCCGTTTGAGTGCAACATCCACTAGAAGCTGAAATCCACTGAAGTCCTGGTTGAGGTCCGGTGGAGTAGGGGGAGGAGTGTTGAAAAGACCACTCTGTGTATTCGTACTTGGTCCAGATTTACAAGTGTCCTCTGGGTACATGAGAGAGGTGTCTGTGAAGTTTTTGGCCGCTATCTGCTGTATATCTGTGTTTTGTCCCACACCGACCGACTGGCAGAGAGAGAAAGGGACATCTTTCAATGCAGTCACAGTGGTATGGCAGATCACTGATGGACGAGCCAAAACTGATCCCGGGGATGACGGCTTAGGAGACAGTGGCCTCCCTAGGGTTGGGTTTGGCCCAGCTGTACAGGAATGAAATGGGGTCTCCTCTAGAGCTGGCATGAAGTTTTTGATGCCCATCACGGACTCCACAGAGCTCGTTTCAGAAATCTTGGCCCCACGGCGGGAAATTGTGAACTGATTTGGATCTTTGCCATCCTTTCTCAGCATGTCAGGGAGGAGCCTGCGGCGGGCGTTGATGAACCAGTTACAGACCTGAAATCATATCGGTACGCTTTAACATTTTCCTCATTCACTCAGCCAACGGGTTCTGAGAATGTTCTATGGGGTACCTAATTGATCTTGCTCTCTGAATTAAAGAAAGCATGAAAAGCCTTATCTGAATTTACAATGTTATTTCAAGGTATCTGAGCTCCGCCAAGAAAGCAAGCTACCACCTGTCATAAGCCTTCTAGTTTCTAATACAAATTTCCTTTTTTGTCTCTTCATACTTAAACCTTTTCAGGACGAAGAAAAAGACATACAATCTCAAATGCTTAAAAATGATTTGAGAGAGAGGTTTACTTTTTAACTCTCCCCATTTTAACCTATCACCTACTGCCCCAACATTTAAGTTAATCAACTACAGGAAAACCTCTCCTTATGAAAAGGGCCACTCCTCCCAGTAACTGATTTTTCCCAGTTCAAATGACTGTGTCAACAGACATAACATGAATTACCTCACTGAAGTCGTCCTTGTTTAAATATCAAACCAGTTTCCTGGACAATAGAGTAAGGTTTAACCTCCTTTTAATGTCTGTTGCATAAAGGAAGGTTCTTTTAGGCATTAAAGGAAATGCTATCTGATAGATGACTGTCAAGTGTTTCTGTGTTCTCTAAATAGCTAGTTATTAGCTTTTAACACTATCAAGTTTACAATAAAAAGATATTCCTTCTGTCTTTGAGTGGCAAGGAGCTTAATGACTTGACACACAGGAATGCCATAAAATGACTTTGAAACTAAAAATGCATCCATAAACCTCACGCTCTCTTTCTTTACCTGTAGCGTAGACAGGTGTGTTTGCTGGGACAGCAACGCTTTTTCTTGCTCTGAAGGATAGGCATTGTAACGGTGCTCATACAGCCAATCCCGAAGAATCTGCACAGACTCCTTGGGTAGGTTGCCCCTTCTCCTTCTCTTGCCTGAGCCAGCGGATGAAGAAAGGTCCAAGGGAATGTCCATGCTGTCCTCATCCTCAGTCTCACTGCCAGATGCTGCAACAATACCTAGGAAAGGACAAGGGCCAGTTGTCAGTTGCTTTATAAGCACAGCAACTATTGCAAAGCTCACTTAACGCTGACCATTCAATGTAACCATGCTTTCCCAACAACTGAGAGCGAGGAGAAGGAGCAGTGTTTTCTGTCCTGAATTCAGGGTCCAAGTAAAAGTAGTTTGACTAGCACCACATAGGAGGCTCTCAACCAAATGCCAGATGCCTTTTCTCAGCCGCTTTCCTCTAGGATTCATTAACTTCTCACATTCCTTTTGAATGATGGTCAGAAAACTCTTTCGTCTAATCATTGGAGGAGACAAACTGCACCCAAAATGAATAACCTGCCACATTTGAAACAGGAAGGGTGCTGTGGCAGTTGGAATATGCCTACCAACCTTCTTTCTAAGATCAGTGCTAACTAGGAAAAGCAACCTAACCAGTCCTAATGTACATTTTAAATGCTACTCTTCCTCCTTCCTCTACTGAAGGTTTGAAATGAAAGGGAGCACTCGTACATTTTTTTTCATGGATATAAGGAAGGAAAATTACATACTACGCTGAACCCAGTTAGTATTCTAAAGGTAAAACACATGTTAAAATTTTCTGCTAACACCATGCATGGTCATTTCTTATTCATTGCTATCCACATTTATTCAAAGTTAGACACCTACTTTAAATGGGCAGTACTAGTCACCTTTTATTAAATACGACCACTGATGTTTTCAGTTTCATCACACAAAAATATTTTTCTACTACTGGTACTTTAGTAAGGTCAAAAGATGCCTAATACTAAATGAATTAAAAATGTCTCCTAAATTTCAGCTACCAGTTTGAGCTCAACCTAGAATAGAATACTACATATCAATAAGCAGAGTTCAGTCTTAAATGATTACATGACAAAGGAAACTGAATATGCAAGCCCCAGAGGAAGCTCTTTTGGCTGTAAGTACTTTAATCCTGCCAGAAATTTTAAGAATTCACAAGCCATAGAGAATATTTAAATCACAGATGGACGGGGTTCAATAAAGCTCCAGAACTGGCCTTTACAGATATTTAAACATCATTCTGAACTTAAAAAAAATTAAATAACAAACGCTATTAATTCCACCTTTCAAAAACTACAGCAGGCTACTCCGAATGACTAAAGAAATACATTCTTTTGCTTGTAGACAATCTAGAATCTTAAAAACAGAAATGAATTACAAACAATGGCATGCTTGAAAAAAATCAGTACTTCTATATTAGGGGAAGTAATTAAAATAACAAAAATGTAAAGGTAAGCATTTTTAGCTTTGTATGCTTTCTTTCCTCTGTAGTATGTAATTTTGGTTGAAAATATGACTTGACCTTAATTGAGCCAGTTCCCCTTGACAGGAAATAAACACGGAATATTCCTCTTAAGCTAAACACCGTGTTTTTTAAAGGAATTTTTCCCACCCTTTTAATGACTCTGACTTGGTGACACATTTTTAGTTTTGGACTGCAGGGGGCAGAAGGTGCTGCAGGGTATTCCTACAAAAGGCAGAACTCTCCAAAGACAAAGTAAAGTTCTAACAAAGAGGTGGATGATCTTGCAAATTCACTTTAGCTCACAGCTTAACAAACAGCTACAAATAAACTGCACAAGAATCCTAAGTTTTAACTGCCATGTATTTGAAATTCCCCTCCCCTGATGATTTAAGTTTTTAAAAAGGTTTTTAAAAGTGCCCATTTAAAACTGAAACTACTTTCACTATTGGCAAGATGAGACTTTCAAAACCTATATTGAAATTTGGGTGAAGAACTATTAATAAAATAGCTTAAAGAAATTATAGCTGAGTTCCTGTCTCACATTGGCTTTAATAATTAAAGAAATCGAACTTTTAAAAAAAGTGTTAAGTTAATTAAATGACTAAAGCAAATTTGAATAAAGCAATTTGTTTAAACTCTCCAACGTCTGAAAAGCCAGACATTCTTCTCAAGGCTATTATCTCCTTCCTTTTTTTAATCTAGAAAAAGTGTGAAAATTTGCTCATTGAACAGTGAATTCCCAACTGTAAGTTGGTAATCACAAAGAGTTTGAAACAAAAAAAGCCCCTGAAGGCTGCCCTTTGATCTGCTTGCCTAGTTTGACAAGAAGCCTGATCTTTCAGAATAGGTTAGTGACACACAAAAGCAGGTTTCAGTTAAGCAACACCAAACTGCAGCGCGACTTTACTCTGTTCTCAGTTCATTTAAATAAATGAATGCCAGACCTCTGGAACTCTTAACAAATATTTCCAATATGTGCACAAAAGCTGAAGTAACAGGAAGTTAAGACTTCAGTGCCTTGGCTACGCCAGCTGATATTTCACTGCAGTAAAACCACGTTTGCTGCTGTCAGGACTGTTTTCATTAAAACTCTCCCTCCTAGTTGTGGCTCAGCTTGGAAAAACAAAGACTTTTTTCCTCCTTACTCATTTCCTATTGTAACAGCGCTTTTGAAAAGTTTCCCGGTTAAGACTTGTTTCCAAACGTCTTGCTTTGCTTACACTTTAAAAAATGTGGCGGTGGGGAGGGTGGGGGCAGGATCACAAGCTTCTTTCACGCTATCCACATACAAGGAAATGTTGTGGAGAAAGCCACAACATGGCCTGAGGATCCCACCGCCCTAAGCAGCGACCTTGTTCCTGCACGTTCTTTTTTTTTTTTTTTTTTTTTTGAGACAGAGTTTCGCTCTTGTCACCCAGGCTGGAGTGCAATGCCGCAACCTCGGCTCACCGCAGCCTCCGCCTCCAGGGTTCAAGCGATTCTCTTGCCTCAGCCTCCCGAATAGCTGGGATTACAGGCAAAAGCCACCACGCCCGGCTAATTTTGTGTTTTTAGGAGAGACGGGGTTTCTCCATGTTGGTCAGGCTGGTCTCGAACTCCCGACCTCAGATGATCTGCTCGCCTAGGCCTCCCAAAGTGCTGGGATTACAGGCGTGAACCACCGCGCCCAGCCCTGCACTTTCTTTTCTGAATAGCTCGGTAACATCATGAGACAGGGAGGCAGGGAGACACCGGTTGTGAAGAGACTCTAGAAATAAGATTGATGGGAAAAGTCGAGATGCACAATTAGGAAAAAGCAAATTTAACTCAACAAGTTTCCTGACCAGAAGTTCTCCTTTGAGCTGGGAGCAATGTCTCTTGCCTGTAATCCCAGAACTTTGGGAGGCCAAGGCGAGAGGATTTCTTGAGCCCAGGAGTTCGAGACCAGCCTGGGCAACATAGCCAGACCCGGTCTCCAGGAACAAAAGAAAAAAAAAATCAGTATCTCCTTGGGAGAAGCAACAGGCATTGAACACTCAAGCCACCAAATCCAAGGTATGGTTGGCTACCCCAGCCAAAGAGCAATCCCAAAGCAGGAATTCAACAGTTAAAAACTGGGAGCAAAAAGACTTAGTGGATTTTCCTTATCGATCCTTCTCATTGTTTTTAAGTCATTTTAGGAGATCTTTTGGCGTCACTCTCAGCTTTCTGGGAGGACACACTATTATCACAAACCAAGCTTACCCCGGGCTCAGGAATGGAGCTGAAAGTGCACTTGTTTTAAGAAAACTTGAAAAGATTTGCAGACTTTTATAAGACAAGACAGTAAGGAGGGCCCGACTTCCTCAGGAGTCTTTCCAGAGCCGACGGGGAAGGCTCCCCCCTCCCAGGTAGTTTTAGAGGAGGACGGCGGAGGAGCACGGGGAGAGGGAGGGGCCCAAGGAGGAAAAGCAAGTAGCTTTTGTTCTTGAGAGTTCCTCGGCCTCAAGTGAAACAGGCCGGCCCGCACACTGCACGAGTTAGCACAAGCAAAGGAACTCCAGGACCCAAGAAACTAGAAATGAGGCCGTGAATCCCACCTTCTCAGAGGCCTGCCCACC
The DNA here is from genome assembly GCF_000001405.40 of Homo sapiens. Taxonomy (NCBI): domain Eukaryota; kingdom Metazoa; phylum Chordata; class Mammalia; order Primates; family Hominidae; genus Homo; species Homo sapiens. The sequence continues at coordinate 3,452,497 of NC_000018.10, read as the reverse complement.
CCAGACGACTCGCCAGGGAAACCTAAAAGGGGAAAGAAACCCGGGTAACCTCGGCAGCCTCGGCTCCCCCAAAGAGCCCTGAACCAGTCGCAAAGTTTCCCCTTCAGCCCGTCACCTTTCATTGTTTCCAGGAGTCGGCGCCGAGGAGCTGGACCCTGTGCGCCCTGGGATGGGGACCGCGGAAGTTCCCACCGATGCGGCCGGCGGGGCCCAGCCTTGGTCCCCAGCTCCGGGGAGAGGGCACGCGGCTGTGGGCAGCGCGCCGGTGGAGGAGGGGGGGCGCAGGAGGACCCCAGGAGCGCAGAGGGGGTCGCCAGGGAGGACCACGGCGCTGGGGGAAGGTAGGCCAAAGTGCCGCGGGAGAGTCGGGGGGACGCCAGAAAAGCCGTGGAAAAGGAGCACTGGGGATTCCCGGGGTGGGAGGCGGGCCATGGAAAGGAATCAGAGCCGCCCCCGCCGGAGCCCGAACAATGCGGGGAGCCCACCCCGGCAGACACCCGGCTCTGCGCTAGAACCATCCTCGAAACACAGAGCCCCTCACTTATTCCCGGGAGGCCCACCACAACAGACAGCGCGTGTCTCTAGACCTGTCAGTCCTCCCAAGGGTCGGCACGGCTTTCACGGGGCGTCTCGGACGCCCCCCGCGCGTTTTCTCCCAGGGCCAATTCCCTGTCCCGAGTCCTCCCTCCGTCCCGCGGGGAGGGGTCCTTAGGGCGTTCTACCAACAACGACTGCCAGTTGATCCGAGTTTCAAGTTTAATTTCACTCTCGCTGGGAAAGCCTGGAGGCAGAGGGAAGCTCCGCGCGTTTCAGGGCCTCCCACAGAAACGCAGCCGAAGGAACCCCGCTGGCCTTGAGGCTACCCCCCAGGAACGCCCCGCAGCGGGCCGGGTCTGAAAGAATGTGGAGTTCCAAACTCCAGGCGGCTCCCGGGCATGCGCAGTAGCGCCGCCCCTCCCGTCCGCTTCCCGAGTGATTAACTTCTGTTTTGAACCACTCCACATAAATCACGACAGAAACGCCACCTCCAGCCCACAGCGGAACACTCGGGGGACCTCCCAGCCAGGGACTCAATTTTTGTTAACTTCAAAAGGGACTTCACACTCTGACCTTTCGGGGTGTTTTGTGTGGTTTCTCCACCCCCCGTCCCCCTCCGGTGTATTTTGTTTTTAAACCAAACTGACGGCAAGTTTTAGTTGTAAAGCTTCCAGAACACTTCGTGGAAACAATGACAGCCTTGCTCTTTGCACTTACAACCAAGCCTGCTTGTCACATTTGGACGCATTTTGACTGCATGCCGCTTGAAGCTGCTGGCCCTGGGTGCTAACTCTTCCTCCTGCCCCAAAATTCATCGTGGGAAAACTTTTAGAGACTGGGGATTTGTAAAAGTCTAGCTTTCCAAAGCTGTTTACACCCGAGGGCGATGAGGGGGTCCAGAATCGCATTCCTTCGATCGTAAAAACACCACATCCCTAAAGAACAGTGCTAGGGCCCGGCTGGGAGTAGGGGGGCGGCGGGGGCGGGGGCGGGGGGAGCCTAGGAGTGGAACTTTCAGACAAAGCCGCGGCGGTCCCGCGGCCCCGGCCGCCTGGGTCCGGATCGGGAAAAACGAGGGGCTGGGTCCTCCCTACTCGGACCCCATATCCCCAGCACGCGAGAAAGAGCGAGAAGCCACGCGGCGGCTGGGCCGAGCGTGGGGTGTCGGCGGAGACAATGAAACTTGCAGGCGCACAAACAAGGCGCTGAGCGTGTTTCTTGACAACGTGCCAGCAGCGTGGAGAGGCTCGCCCCACAACAGCCCCTCGTGTTGTGTCTAGCAGGAAAACAGCCGCTGCCGTTTCAGACGCAGCCTCAACAAAGAGCACGGCCGCCACTCCAGCATGAGAGCCCCTGGGCGGAAAAGTCCACCAAGTGACTCCGCGCGGCGCGGCCCGGCCAGCACGTTTCCCCGGACTCGCGTCTTCTGGTGCGCGCAGCCCGCGGCCGCCTTACCTTTCTTGCCTTTCATTCTGGATCTCCCCTCCCAGCGCGAGGCAAGGCGGGGGTCTGGAGGGGCCAGGAGCGGGGACACAGGGGATAAGCGAACGTCTCCTTCACAGCCGACTCTCCCGTAACTTGTAGGACGTGCTCCAGCCGTTATTGCTAAACAGGACGCTCTGATCCCAGGCGCCCGCTCCTTGGGTGGAATTCAAGTGACACTTGGGCTTCCTCCCGCCGGGATCTTCTGGCAGCCGGCCGGGGGCTCTCCCTCGCCCAACTCTCTCCCCTCCCCTCTCCGCTCCTTTGTTCCCTGCTCCTGCTCGGCGCACCTCGGCGCTGTCAGAGTGAGAGAGGCGAGGAGGGAAGGTACAGGAGGTCCTGCCTCCGCCCCCAGCCGCCCGCCCCGTCCCCCTCCCGCCCCGCCGCTCCTCCGCCCCTCCCCCGCACCTTCCAGCCGGGAAGACTGGACCGAGCGCGGCGGCCGCTGTCACTCGTCCCTCGGGGGCGGCGGTGCGGACGCGGGGGGTGGCCGGGTCCAGAAACACGATCCTTTCCGCCTGCCGCGCACGGACCGCCCGCATCCCTCGCCCGGCGGTGGGGGCACCAGCCGAGCGCCCCAGGTTTCTCCCTTGGGCCTTTCTTCCCGGGGCTGGCGAGGGTGCGTTTGGTTCGGAAACTGCAACAGATGGAAAAAAGGACACCTCCCTCCTTCCCTCCTCCACCCCCGGGAAGAAAAGCCTCCCCGTCTCGTTTTTGACAGCTGCCCCGAACTCTACTGGCCCTGCTCTAGCCGCACGAGACAGCCGCCTCTGATTCAAGGGGCGGGGCACGGGAGGAAAAGTATTCGAGACAAGAACCAACTTCTTCCAGAATGCGCGGCTGCCATTGACACGCGGGCGCGGCGCGGCGCACCCTTCTCCTCCCGGGGCTCTTCCTCCAGCAGCGACAGTGGGAGGTCGGCGGGGGTGGGGCGGGGGGGAATGATGAGACACAGCCTAAACGAACGTCTGTTCCCCCGGGCTAAAGCTGCGAGTTCCGGACTGGATTGCAAGGCAGTTTCGAAATCTGACACGTTGCGGACAGACACTTGTCACGCTCACATGCTCTTTAAACGTCTCTGCCCGGGGACGGCCGGGCGCGCGCCTGCCTCACCAAGACTCCGCCTGACACCCCGAGTCGCCGAACCCCGGCAGCGGCCACTTTTATAGCTAAGGGGTGACCACGCCGTGCCTGCTCGTCTGTTTCGGTCAACAGTGTCTACTCTTCGGATTGGAACCCTGCTAGGGGATCCCTCCTCCCATTTCAAACAGAAACTAGCCATTAAGTAAACACCCGTTCCTGTTGGCTTATTTTGGTCCACAGTTAGGAGGGATCCAACAGGAGTTTCTTGATGAAATTGCGCTTTCAAAGACCAGATGCTGTTTGGCTGACTTGAAGAAACGCATGCCCCCTCCTCTGGTTCTAGTTTTCGCGTGGTTACGTCCTGTTGTTTTGAAGCAAACGAACTGTCACATGCCACACAATGAGACTTCCCCCATCACTTTAAAAAAAGGAAAGAAAAGCCCTAAACGTAAATAAGCCTAGCAGAGACAGCGCCCGGGTCTGCCTCCAGTCTGGGCTCTGTGCTGTTTTTGTTCGGTAACCTCGGTGGAGATCCCGGCAGAAGAAACTCTGTGGAAATAAGATTAAACCCGAGGAGTACTAAGACGGCCAAGGGATAACTAACTCGACTTCGGAGCGTCTGTTTCAGGAACTAGAGCTAGCCTGCCACCCTCCCTCAAAAAAAAAAAAAAAAAAAAAGACACCCCCGCCCCTAGAATGCGTGGAGGCCAGAGTTTAAAAAGCCTGGGTGGTTTTTCCAATTACAGGACTAAAATGAATCAACAGGGAAAAAAAGCGTCTCTCTAAGAAGGCAGCAACCTTACGATTTTTTTCTTCTGTGGTTTGCTGACTGCTCGGGACAGAAGAGAACACACACCTAAAACGGCTCGGGGGGAGCGCGGTCCTGGGGACAAGCCACCCGCCCGGACGCTGCCCTGCAACTGCCGGGAGCACAGTTCCTTCCCGGACCTGGCTGCAGATGAATCAGCTGCTGCGCCCGGTGCGGGACAGATGTGGCGCAGGGAGGGGGCCAGCGCCCCCGCCGCCCGTTAGAGGGGGCCGCCTCGCTATTTCGTTTGAAGGGTTGTCTGTGGCTGGGATTGGTGGCTCCTATCCGCTGGGGAGCCGGGAGCGGAGGGAGGAGAGACGCAGGGAGGAGGAGCCGGGGGCTGGGCGACGCTGCGACTCCGCGGCCTGAGTGGCAGGAGCCTCGTCTGGAACCGGGCGGTTACTGGGGAGACGCTTTGTTTGCTAACTTCGAAAGCGGCTTCGGCTGCCTCGGCCGCTTTCGAAGCCACTCCACAAAACACGCCTTCGGTCGGTTTAACCCTACCTCCCCCCCCGCCCGCTTTAGCCAGCTCGAGACAAAAATGTTTCCCTCTTCCCCGTGGTTCTCCTTGGCCACGCGGTGGCTCTCATTATGTACACAAAGGTAGCTTTGCTTTCGTCCAAGTGGACTTGGCTAATGACTGCGATTCTCAGGCAACCGAGATGGGAACCGAGAATTGGAAAGGGTTTATAGCTTGAAAACAAACTTTCCAGGAGAAGGGGGGAGGGGCGGAGACAATTGAAAGCCTCTTTCGAATTAGGGGGAGGAAAAAACGGAGATGTGAACTCACCTTGGCTAGAAGTCAGGCTTGATCGGGCCAATGCACAACTTTTGCCCGAGCAAGTCATATCCAAACGGTTGTTAAAGCTGGCGAGGCACTCCAAAGAGAAACACTGGCACAATTCTGTGATGTAGCGAAAGCTTACAGCCCAACCGCTCCCGTAGATGCACCCCCACTGCCTCCCCCCAGCCAACGCTGATCTCAAACTTGTTTGGAGTTTCGGATTCTTGGTGCATTCTGGGAAGAAAGTGCCTAGGGTCAGCGCAACGTAACAAAGGGAACAGCCTCAAAAAAGTGGGCTTCAGATACCAGCAATTGCTTAGGGTATTTTTTGTTGATTCGTTTTTCTCGAGGTGGAAAAACAAGTTTCATTTCTAGCTCTGTCAGTCCCTTCCAGTCTCGGGGCCTTGCTATAAAACGGATTCAATGACTTTTAAGATTCTTTCCAGTGCTTTTTTTTTTTTTTTAAAGTATATAGATTCAAATTTGCTACATATTATTTGCTGATTCATATGAATGTTACTTGAATTGGGAAATTGCTTGAGTAAAATTGAGGCGTTGCTTGGTGCTGGCGGAGGCTACTGATAAACGTTTTTCACCATTATTTTTTTTCTCTCCAGGCACACATAGTTCCTTTTGGCGTCTTATCTTCTGAAGCTGCCTCAAGGCCAAGCAAAGAAAGTTGTTAAAAAGTTAAGTTACTTTTCACAGCCTGCAAACCCTTCAAAGGCAAGAACTCAAATAGAAACTTGGAAAGGCAGATAAGCCAGAAAAGTGTACTAATAAACGCACTTAATATGATTATTTTTTGATGCCAGGTCCACCAAGTGAAGATTGGAGGATGTATTTGTTTCTTCTACTCAACAACAATTGATAAAGCATGAGTTCCATCAAGGACTGTGTTCTAGGTGGAGAAAGGGTGACTCACCCAGTCATTGGATCTCTTTCACTTCCAGTCTCTGGAAGGCAGATATCTTTATAAAATATGCAGACAGCTAGGCTCTAAACACTGGACAAGAGGTCTGTAATCATCCAGTCACATCTCAGGTCAGAGGGTCTTGGACTGCTTAAGAAAGAGCTGACCATTGTCTTAAGAACCTGGGGTGGCCTAGAGCCATCTTGAGGTGATTTTATCAGCCCCATCAGGATAATTCTCCTCAGCTTCCTTGCATGAATAGTGTAACTGGTGCTACTACTTTTGTTTTTAGTCACTTTTCCTAGCCTGCACTTCCCTTCCCGGCCCTCCTTTTTCCTCTGTAGCCAAGTCATCACTTCTCTTTACCTAAATGAGTTTTGGAATCCAGGGGATAAAACGAAAAGATAGGCAGGGCGCTGTGGCTCACACCTGTAATCCCACCACTTTGGGAGGCCGAGGTGGGTGGATCACCTGAGGTCAGGAGTTTGAGACCAGCCTGACCAATATGGTGAAACCCCATCTCTACTAAAAATACAAAAATTAGCCGGGCGTGGTGGCGTGTGACTGTAGTCCCAGCTACTTGGGAGGCTGAGACAGGAGGGTTGCTTGAACCTGGGAGACAGAGGTTGCAGAAAGCTGAGATCGTGCCATTGCACTCCAGCCTGGGTGACAGAGCAAGACTCTGTCTCAAAAACAAAAACAAAAAAACGGAAAGATAATTCCTTGAGCACAAGCTTCACTCTCCTTATTCTCAACATCTGTGTCTGTATTATTCTTTACAGTTTATGAAACACTTATTTAATCTCACTTAATGCCCAAACTAGTGATGTTAGTTATTTTTTTTAAAAAGTCAAGATCACTTAACACATCCAAATATAACAAAGTTAAAAGGCATAAAACTGGGTACCCAACATAAATTATCTGATTATAAATCAAGTGGTCTCTGGGAAATCTTGTCATTTCAGAAGGTCAGATGGATGTGGAGGGCAGAAACTAACCTCAGATTATGCCAGGGACGCCAGGGCCTCCTGAACACTGTGGGGGGTTGTGCTCTGAAATCTACCTCCAGTTTTACAAGAAGCTCTCTTCCAATCTGTCTGCGCTTTTTTTTTTTTTTTTTTTTTTGCTTTTCTTCTCTTTTTTTTTTTTTTTTTTTTTTTTTTTTTTGAGACAGAGTCTTGCTCTGTCACCCAGGCTGGAGTGCAGTGGCGCAATCTCGGCTCACTGCAAGCTCTGCCTCCTGGGTTCACGCCATTCTCCTGCCTCAGCCTCCCGAGTAGCTGGGACCACAGGCACCTGCCACCACGCCCGTCTAATTTTTTGTGTTTTTAGTAGAGACAGGGTTTCACCATGTTAGCCAGGATGGTCTCGATATCCTGACCTCATGATCCGCCCGCCTCAGCCTCCCAAAGTGCTGGGATTACAGGCGTGAGCCACTACGCCCGGCCTTCTTCTCATTTTTTAACTACAAAAAAAGTTCTGAAAATTCAAGCAAGAGAGAATATACTAAGTGAGACATGGCCGACCTGGTAACTGCCCCCTTCCATTCTTCATTTAGGCATTTGTATATTATGCACAAAGGCAATGGGTTTTCCATTGTTACTTGTTCCCAAGTCCCCTCTGCCCGGGATGTTCCTTCACCACTTGTTGATCCTCTGGCAGTTTCTCACCAGTCAAGGCTAGGCCTAAATGTTACTTCTTAGAGGAGTCTTCGCTGATCACCTGACCTAAATTAGGTAGCCCCGCTGCCATCGTGTGGCTCAGGAGTTCTCAACCACAGCCCTATTGACGTTTGGGGCTGGATCATTCTTTCTTGTGGGGCTGTCCTGTGCATTGTAGGATATTTAGTGACATCCCTGGACACTAACCAGTGTGTGCCAGTGGCATCCTTCCCCCAAGCTGTGACAAACACAGATGTCTCCATATGTTGGCAGATGTTCCATGGGGATAGAAATCCCCATGGGGAGGAGGATCACCCCTGGTTCAGAACCACAAATCTAGCTCAATCCTTTATTTCTTCCATAACATCACAGTTTTCAATTATTTTGCTTACTTGACTGTTGGCTTGGTTTTTTCCCTCTGACCTCCCACTCAAATGTATGTTCATTATTAAATCTTTTTTTAAATTTGTTTTGTTTTTTTATTTTTAAAAAATTTTCATTATTAAATATTTATGCACTTAAGTGAACCGAGATCGCACCACTGTACTCAAGCCTGGGTGACAGAGTGAGACTCCGTCTCAAAAACAACAACAACAAAAAACAAAAACAAACAAAACCTTTATGTACTTAATACAGTGCCTAACACATCATAGGTACCCAATATTTATCAAATGAATAATGCATGAAAGTGAGACTATATGGGAGCTAAATGATAAGAACTTACGAACACAAAGAAGGAAACATCAGACACTGGGGTTTACTTGAGTGAGGAGGGTGGGAGGAGGGAGAGGAGCAGAAATTTTGGGTACTGGGCTTATCTGGATGATGAAATAATATGTACAACAAACCCTGTGACATGTTTTCTTATTTAAGAAACCTTCACATGTACCACCAAATGTAAATTAAAGTTAAAAAATTTTAAAAAGACAAAAAAAAAAAAAAAGAAAAGAAAGTGAGACTATAAGAATAATTTAAAATAAGAATACAGGCCGGGTGCAATGGTTCATGCCTGTAATCCCAGCATTTTGGGAGGCTGAGGCAGGTGGATCATGAGGTCAGGACCTCGAGACCAGCCTGGCCCATATGGTGAAACCCGTCTGTACTAAAAATACAAAAATTAGCTGGGCATGGTGGCACAGTGGTGGCACGCGCCTGTAGTCCCAGCTGCTCGGTAGGCTGAGGCAGGAGAATCGTTTGAACCCGGGAGGTGGAGGTTGCAGTGAGCCGAGATCGTGCCACTGCAGTCCAGCCTGGGTGAAAGAGCTAGACTCCGTCTCAAAAAAAAAAAAAAAAGAAAGAATACAATCATTTATTGTATACAGCATGCCAGGCAGTATGCAAATACTTTCCTTCTTTTATTTTATTTACTACTTAAAACAACCCTAAGAAGTACTCATGGCCAGGTACAGTGGCTCATGTCTGTAATCCCAGCACTTTGGGAGGCCAAGGCGGGCAGATCATCTGAGGTCAGGAGTTCGAGACCAGCCTGGCCAACATGGTGAAACCCCATGGTGAATTCAAGTGAATTTCAAGTGAATTCGTGAGGCACGAGAATTCACTTGAACCTGGGAGGTGGAGTGAGCCGAGATTGCGCCATTGCACTCCAGCCTGGGTAACAGAACGAAATTACATCTCAAAAAAAAAGTTCTCATTATTATTATTTTCATATTATATTGGCTGGGCTTCGTGGTATACACCTGTAGTGCACAGAGTTAGAGCCTGCAGAGCCTGGAAGTTCAAGGCTGCAGTGAGCTATATTGCACCACTGTTGTCCAGTCTGGGAGACAAGAGCGAAACCCTATCTGGAAAAAAAAAAAAAGTATTATTATCCCCACCTTACAGATGAAGAAGTTGTAGTCTGTGGGAGTTAATTAATTTATCCTGCCAGTATAACCCATGAGCCAATAATCTAAACAATACTAATATTCTGCAATTTGCTTTTTCATTTATTTTCTTAGTAATGAGCATTTAATTGTTTCCAATGTGTAACTCAGCACAAAAAGATAGTGCAATTACATTTGAAATATTTAACAACTGATAGAATACGCGCATCAGCCAATTAGAAGAGCCCCTTCTGATTGTGTACTGGGGCATACTGATAATGAACCGGCTGGGCCCAACAGAATGTTAGTTTGTATGCAGATCTTTTGGGGCTTCTGTGAGCATATCTGTAGGAGTTTCTGGGAGGTGGAATAGCTGCATCAAAACGTGTTTCATTCAGAATTTTGATAGATATTGCCAAATTGCCTCCAAATGATCTTACCTATTTAAAATCTCACCAAAGTTATGTGAGATCTCTTTCTTTGTGCCCTCACTAACGCTGAATATTATCAATCAATTTCCTATTTGTCTATCTCCCAGGTAAGTAAATGGAACCAAATGTTTTTATTGTTCACATTTCTTTGAGAGGGTGAGCCCATTTTTGTGTATGTATTAGTCATTTTTATTTCTTCTTCTTGCTTATTCATAACATTATTTTTTAAAGATTTTTTATTTATTTAATAAAAGTAGAGATGCGGTCTCACTATGTTGCCCAGGCTGGTCTTGAACTCCTTGGTTTCAAGGGATCCTCCCATCTCAGTCTCCCAAAGTGCTTGGATTACAAGTTGAGCTACTGCACAATCCTGTTCATAACTTTTGCCAACTTTTCTATTGTATTGATTTTTTTTGTATATTCTTTTTTCTTTTCTTTTTAAAATGATAAGTAAGGGACAGCCTATTTTTGTATTAGCTTAAAAGCTCATCTGACAAAGAGCAAAAAGCAGTGAACTAATATTATAAATGCAAGAAGGCAATGTGTCCCCATTTGTTTAAAAAAAAATCATTGGACTAAGTACTATATTTATATTATAAAAGACCTTCAGAATACTGTACCAGTTTTTAACTTATTCCTTTTCTTTCCATTAAAGGGCTAATTCATCCACATTTCCATTTATCACAGTTACTTCTTCCCAAAGCTCTAGAGTAGCCATTTATAATAGCAATAAAATGATGAAATATCTAGGAATAAAATTGACAGAAATTTCTGCAAGTTTTATAAAGAAAACTTTAAAACCCTACTGAGAGACATAAAGGAAGACAAGTAAAATAAAAGACAACTTATTCTTTCTAGCAAGATCCAATAGTGAAAGTTATATAAAGATGTTTATTCTCCCCAAATCAGTCTTTAAATTCAAAGTGATTTTCATTAAAATACCAACAGGGCTTTCTTTTTCTTTTTAATTGATGAAACAATGCCACAGTTCATTGAAATTAAAACCTCACAGCAGCTGGGGAAATTCTGAAAGAGAAGAGCTGGTATAGGGGAACACTGGGGAAGCCTTCCAAATATTAAAGCATATTTTGAAGTCTATAATTTAAATGTAAAAGTTTTATGCTGGAGAAATAATAAAGAAGAAACAATAAGGAGGCAGATTAGAATATAATGGGGATTTAGATTTTGGCAAAGGTGGCTTTTCATATCAGAGATAAATTGAATTGGGATAATTGACTACCTTCGGTTAAAAAAATAAAGCTAAATCTCCATTTCACTCCCTTAACATAAGTACAATTCATCTGAATGAAATGTAAAAGTAATTTAAAATGCACCTATGTATATTCTAGAATAGTGGTTCTCAAAGCAGGGTGTGTATGTGGCAATTTTTCCTTCCAGGGAACATTTGACAATGTCGGGAGACATGTTTGGTGACTGCAGCTGGAGAGGAGGTGTTGCTACTGGCATCTAGTGGATAGAGACCAGGGATGCTGCCCAACATTCTACCACGCACACCACAGCCCCCACACCAAGAATTCTCCTGTTCAAAATGTCAGTAGTGCCAAGGGTGAAACACACACTTCTAGAAGAAAGCATGAGTAAATGTATGATCTTGGAGTGGGGAAGGCCTTTCTAACCAGAGCACAAAATCAAGAAATGATGAGATATAAATGTTTATAAGTACTTTGTTTCTTAGAAAGAATTTATGTTTAAGGAAAAATTGTATAAAATTTTCAAAAGCTAAGAAACTTGGAAAAATAGTTGTAGCACATTCAGGCATAAGCCCAATTGACTTAATTCATGAAGGGCTTATACAAACCGTAGAAAAGAAAAACTCTGTGTTTAAAAAGTTGGACAGCCTGTAGATTTGTATTTTACCTAAAAAGGAATCCAGATAACCAAAAAACATGGAGGGGGGGACATGAAAACTTTGTTTTTCTGTCATTACAACAATAAAGTAAATCAGACTGAACTGACATGGAAAGATTATTAATAGATGTTAAGTTGTTTTATTTAAAAGCCAGGTATAGAACTCTACAATATTATCCCTTTTGCATAAAATTTTTGTATGCCTGTATTTTTCTGGAAGGATAAGTGTAGAAAGATTAACAGTTACTACCTTTGGAGTGATGTAAGTGTGGAGAGGAAGACACCAGCCCAATCTTAGACTGACTCAGGGAGCCTACATCCGTTTTTAACAACTAAATAATAGTCCATTGTAACTATGGATATAATTTATGTACCAATGCCCAATTATCGGACATTTACGTTTCGTTCTCATTTGTGTTAAAGGAGATTTTTCACAAATCTTGTATAAAAACCTGAGCAGGCATCTGAAATGGGACACAGTTGTGTTTAGACTGGGGAAGGCCTTTCTAATCGGGGCGGAAAGTGGTAAGTTGAAGTCAGTGTCTGGAGTCCAAGAGCCATTAGTGGTTAATCATCAGCAAATGTGAATAACCCCTAATGACACTCTGGGAGCCAACTATTCATTGCCTTTTACAAGAAATAAGAACAAATACTGTCAAACCATTTACCAACCCAAATGGCTTTGGATTTGGATGACCAAATCTGCAAAACTGGAAATGTTAATCCTAATGCAGGTAATTTTTTTTTTTTTTTTGGAGAAAGAGTCTTGCTCTGTCACCCAGGTTGGAGTGCAGTGGCACGATATCGGCTCACTTGCAACCTCTGCCTCCCAGGTTCAAGCGATTCTCCTGCCTCAGCCTCCCAAGTAATGAGGAATACAGGCATGAACCACCATGTTTGGCTAATTTTTGTATTTTTAGTAGAGACCGGGTTTTGCCATGTTGGCCAGCCTGGTCTCAAACTTCTGACCTCAAGGGATCTGCTCTCCTCAGCCTCCCAAAGTGCGGGGTTACAGAGTAGACTAGTAGAGCTCCTTTTCAAGGGTGAAATAAATGTCTAAATCAGTACTTTTTTTTTTTTTTCTTTGAGACAGGGTCTTCCTCTGTTGCCCAAGCTGGAGTGCAGTGGTTCGATCTTGGCTCACTGCAACCTCCACCTCCTGGGCTCAGGTGATTCTCTCACCTCAGCCTCCCTAATAGCTGGGACCAAAGGCGCCCACGACAACGCCTGGCTGATTTTTGTATTTTTTTTAGAGACCGGGTTTCACTACGTTGCCCAGTCTGGTCTTGAACTCCTGGGCTCAATCTATCCGCCCACCTTGGCTTCCCCAAGTGCTGGGATTACAGGCATGAGGTGCCACGCCTGGCCCCATTCCTATTTTTCTTTTCTCCTTTCCCTGAGACAGGCAACAATTCACACACGTCTACTAGTCCTGAATAAATTTTATTTTAAAAAAATCTTTAGAGCTGGGCACGATGGCTCATGCCTGTAATCCCAGCACTTTGGGAGGCTGAGGCGGGCGAATCACCTGAGGTTGGGAGTTCAAGGCCAGCCTGACCAAAATGGAGAAATCCCATCTCTACTAAAAATACAAAATTAGCCAAGCATGGTGGAGCATGCCAGTAATCCCAGCTAATCGGGTGGCTGAGGCAGGAGAATCGCTTGAACCTGGGAGGAGGTTGCGGTGAGCCGAGATCTGCCACTGTACTCCAACCTGGGCAATAGAGCAAGACTCCGTCTCAAAAAAAAAAAAAAATTAAAATAGTGAGGTGACTTCAGAAACAAGGACTCTGTTGTGTCCAGAGTGTTTTTGTTTGTTTTGCTTTTTTTACTTTTGATTATGGAAAATTTTAAATATATCCAATAGTGAGGAGATCCTAGTGTAATAAATCCCCAAAGAACCATCACCCAGCTTCAACAATGATCAATTCATGACCCATCTAGTGTCACCTTCTCCCTTACACACTTCGTCTTCACCTATATTACTTTAAAGCAAATTCCAGACATCATATGTCTTCTGGATAAGCTCTCATAGTGAATGATCCTGCTTGCCTGATCAGTAACTCCTTATTCCTCGGTCTAAATGATTTGTTTACTAATGGGGCCAAGTAGTCCCAGAATTATGCTCTATTGTCTTTTTCTTTCTAGCTATTTATATTCCTATGTTTATACAATTTCTTCTTGTCAGAGAGAACAATTCCATTTTATTTTTAGATGGAACTTTAATGCTTTTAGTTCTACTAGCTTATTTTAGACCAATCACAGAAGGAAAACTTCTCTTCTGGATAGTCCTACTCTCAAATATTTATTTCCACTTCTGTTTGCACCGGTCAGACTACGCGCCTTGATTTTTTTTGGTTCAGGAAACATGTTCACCAAATCAGTATCTCACTTTGAGATCTCCAGGAACATTGTTTTACTTTATTGACTAGACAAAATTAACTTTTAGAAAAAGTAATGGCTAATGATTTCCTTCTCGTGTGTGTGTGTGTGTGTGTGTGTGTGTGTGTTTGTGTGTATGAAATGATGGGAATGGAAGATGGGGGGTGAAGTCTAGAAGGACTTGATACATCCAACATGGAGCTGTTTTTAGCCAGCACAGCCAGATGGTGACATAGAAACACAAACAGCCATATTACAAAGTTTTAAAACATAACATTCTGACCTTTAGGTTTGAAAAAAGTAGGAGAATTTCAGGTAACTTATCTGCATGCTTGTCCTCCCTCCCTCACCTTCTCTCTCTTCTCCCATCTCTCATAACTCTTGCACACATGACCCTTCACTGCAAGTCACACATCTGTAATTTGTGACTAAATATTTTTTGCTTCACGAGAATCCCATTTGGTTTTAAAAACTAAACCAACTTTTTCAAAAGCAGGGTCTAGATTGCTTGACTTAGGTTCACTGCGCTTTCAACTAATAAAATGATATATTGATTCTATCAGCTTCTTTATGGAAAAAAAATACAACAACAACCTACACTAACTTCTATTTAATTAGTCACTTGTCACTTTTTTTTTTTGAGACGGACTTTCGCTCTTGTCACCCAGGTTGGAGTTCAATGGCGTGATCTCGGCTCACTGCAACCTCTGCCTCCCGGGTTCAAGCGATTCTCCTGCCTCAGTCTCCCAAGTGGCTGGGATTACAAGCGTGCACCACCACACCTGGCTAATTTTTGTATTTTTAGTAGAGATGGGGTTTCACCATGTTGGCCAGGCTGGTCTCGAACTCCCGACCTCAGGTGATCCGCCTGCCTTGGCCTCCCAAAGTGCTGGGATTACAGGCATGAGCCACCGTGCCCGGCCACTTGTCACTTCTTGTCTGATCACAAAATGCATTTTCCAAGGGGATTAGTGATTCTATAACCATATGTGCTTTGACTTCTGTCATCATTTTGCTGAGTTTCCAAGAAGCATCTCTTTGAACCACCACCCCCAGCCAGAAATACAAGCCCTTCCGTGTAGCTTTGAAATACAATTAACAAATAACCTCTGTTTTTCATACGAAAATTGCTGTTTAGAAAAAAGCTTTCTCTCTAATATAACTTCAATATACACTTTCTGTTCCCATTTCTCCCTCACCCACTCCCAAAATACATCACTTATTATTTTGCAAATGGTAATCATTAAAAATGCAAAATAAATTTTAGTCCAGGAGAAAAATAATATAAATTATGTATTGTTGGACTTCAAGATAGGTAAAGGTTTAATTAATTTACTGCTAGGAAATCCTTATCTGGTAACAGGTGGCCTAAGCTAGAAACAAGAAAACGTATACAGGAATGGAACGTTTACACTCATTCCTCATTGATTATCTGCAGGATAAGAATGCAGATCCCCCATGCTCGCACACCTCCACACACAGAGAAGTCATGTCAACTATCGATTGTTCTTGAAAAATACAGTTGAGAAGGTTTGGAGGATGTGCAAAAAGAGTTGGCACTCTTTTTTCTGGGTAAATAAAATTGAGGGTTTATTTTATTTTATTATTATTATTATTTTTGAGATGGAGTCCTGCGCTGTCACCCAGGTTGGAGTGCAGTGGCGCAATCTCGGCTCACTGCAACTTCTGCCTCCTGGGGTCAGGCCATTCTCGTGCCTCAGCCTCCCGAGTAGCTGGGATTACAGGCATGAGCCACCAGGCCTGGCTAATTTTTGTATTTTTAGTAGAGATGGAGTTTCACCATGTTGGCCAGGCTGGTCTTGAACTCCTGACCTGGAATGATCCACCCACCTCGGCCTCCCAGAGTGCTGGAATTACAGGTGTGAGCCACCAAACCCAGCCCTCTTTTTTTGAGTCTCCCTCTATCTCCCAGGCTGGAGTGCAGTGGCACCATCTTGGCTCACTGGAACCTCCACTTCCCGGGTTCAAGAGATTCTCCTGCCTCAGCCTCCTGGGTAGCTGGGACTACAGGAGTGCGACACCACAACCGGCTAATTTTTGTATTTTTAGTAGAGACGGGCTTTCACCACGTTGGCCAGGCTGGTCTCGAACTCCTGACCTCAGGTGATCCACCTGCCTCAGCCTCCCAAAGTGCTGGAATTACAGGCATGAGCCACCATGCCCGGCTACATTCAGGGCTTCTTTTATTTAATCTGGGGCCTATAGATTTACATTCTAACCTACATCCACTCCAGACATTATTTGAATGTTCACAGAAACAAAGCAAAACACAAATTAAAATTTTGTGCCTCTCTTCTGGGATTCAGCTTCATCTGCTGGATAAAGTTTGACTATTTGTCAGCCAAAATGTAAATAATGCTTATGCCCAAGTTGTGGGATTATGGCTCTTCACTGTTTTTAGCCTTTTGCAAGTTTTCTGCAATTAGCTGGTACTGTCTTACTTTTATCATCATAAAAAGCAATAGGCATTATTTTTTAAGTTAATAAAAAAAGTTGCTGAAATAGTGATATTCTCACTTGACAAATATTGACAAATATTCCTGAGGGCTCACTATGTGTGAAGTATTAACCTTGCTGGTGTGAAAATAAGTAAACAAAGAATAAAAGAGGAACGTGCTCAGGCGTTCAGAGGAAGAGAAAAAATGAGTAGCTTGGGAATTTCAAAAATCGAAGGAAGGCCAGGTGCACTGGCTCACGCCTGTAATCCCAGAAACTCAGGTGGCAGAGAGACAGGAAGATCGTTTGAGCCCAGGAGTTCGAGACTGTTATGAACTATGATCATGCCACTGCACTCCAGCCTGGGTGACAGAGTGAGACCTTGTCCCTAAATATATATACATATATATTTAGTCCTCCTTTATCACAAACCCTTACCAACTAGTTTGGGGAAAAGGAGACCTTTTGTTCACAGCTAGTGAGAGAGCAACTCATCAATGCATATGCAAAGTTTTGAAAATGCGTACATTCTGTGGCCGAGCAATTATTGGGGATTTATTCTAAAGTTTGGGAGTCTAACTTGACAGCTACAGAAGGAATAGCAAAAGGGAAACCTCAAAAGATACACTGAGGTCAAGTTACTAGATTGAGATGGGATCAGTGCCTTATTCTATAAGAAATGATGACTATGTGGCAACAGTTGAGGAAGATGAAGTTTGCAATTTTCTCCAGAATCAATTAGAGACAGAGTCTGGTTAATAGGGTTTTAAGGCCGGGAGCGGTGGCTCACACCTGTAATCCTAGCACTTTGGGAGGCCGAGGCAGGCGGATTGCCTGAGCTCAGGAGTTCGAGACCAGCCTGGGCAACACCGGTGAAACCCCATCTCTACTAAAATACAAAAAATTAGCCGGACGTGGCAGCATGCGCCTGCAGTCCCAGCTACTTGGGAGGCTGAGGCAGGAAGGAGAATCGCTTGAACCTGGGAGGCGGAGGTTGCAGTGAGCCGAGATCACACCACTGCACTCCAGCCTGGGCAAGAGAGCAAGACTCCATCTCAAAAAAAAAAATATATATAGGGTTTTAAAAGATTAAAAGCCTGAAATTTAATTGTGCCTTTGAAAATGGAAATGAGTTTTTCACTTGGTACTTTAAGTTTTTAAAAATAAGACAAGATTGACTGTGCCTTGGTATTTGACACTTACATACAAATTACTACAGACACTTAAAGCATGAAAGACACTTTACCATTGCTTATACTGTAAAAAAGCAATGAGTAACCTTAATGAGAAGTGAACCCACTTCAGGCCAGGTCCATGCCAGAATGAAGACTGTATAAGTCAGCTATTTTACTTGGCTTTATTTTTCCTGTTCACATTGCAGAGGTCAAAGGGTGTGAAAGGGAAGAACTTGCAAAATGCTTGGTTCCTGAGGGTCACGGGTCACCAAACATGCTTGGGAAGTGTTATCATGAAGTCTTCGATGTTGTCTAATTACTGTAGTGTTTACCTCCTGAGCCTGCTCATAACTATATTTACTTATTTATTTTCGTTTTCTGAGACAGTCTCACTCTGTCGCCCAGACTGGAGTGCAGTGGTGCAATCTCAGCTCACTGCAGCCTGCGCTTCTTGGGTTCAAGCGATTCTCCTGCCTCAGCCTCCCGAGTAGCTGGGATTACAGGCGCATGCCACCACGCCTGGCTAATTTTTTTTATTTTTTTATTTTTATTTTTTGAGATGCAGTTTAGCTCTTGTTGCCCAGGCTGGAGTGCAATGGCATGATCTTGCCTCACCGCAACCTCTGTCTCCTGGGTTTAAGCGATTCTCCTGCCTCAGCCTCCCAAGTAGCTGGGATTACAGGCATGCACCACCACGCCCGGGTAATTTTGTATTTTTAGTAGAGACGGGGTTTCTACGTGTTGGTCAGGCTGGTCTCGAACTCCTGACCTCAGGTGATCCACCCATCTCAGCCTCCCAGTGTGCTGAGATTACAGGCATAAGCCACCGCACCCGGCCCAAGGCCCAGCTAATTTTTGTATTTTTAGTAGAGATGTGGTTTCACCATGTTGGCCAGGGTGGTCTCAAACTTCTGACTTCAAGTGCTCCACCTGCCTCAGCCTCCCAAAGTGCTGAGATTATAGGCATGAGCCAGCGCACCTGGCCCATAGCTATTATTTAAATGGGCTGTTTCTCACTTCGACTGGCAAGATGGTACAAGATCTCTGGTAGGGAAGGAGGCTGTTCCTTAAATGTTTTTATAGAATGAAACTGCATTTTGTAATCAGTTCTGGGGAAGACATGCTGATATTGTAGTTAAAGTATAAACCTGGGACTGTGAACCCTCATTTACTTTTTTTGTATATGTGGTACAATATACTACACAACGTAAAATATACCATTTTGACCAATTTTAAATATACAGTTCAGTGGCATTAAGTATATTCACTTGGCTGTGCAACCATCATGACTATCCATTTTCAGAACTCTTTTCATCTGGCAAAACTTAAATTCTTCAAGGTTACATTGAGCTATTATTAAACCAGAGCACTCCAGACTGGGTGATGGAGCAAGACCCTGTCTCTAAAATAAAAAATAACCTCTTTACCCATTAAACACTAAGTCATCGTTCTCTCCTCCCCACAGTCCCTAGTAACTTCTCTTCTGTATTCTAGTTCATTCTAACATGGAGGCTTTCCGTCTTAACCTCCATGAATTTGACTATTCTAGGTTTTTCATAAAAGTAGAATCACAATATTTGTCCTTCTGTGTCTGGCTTATTTCACTTAGCATAGTGTCTTCAACCTTCGGCCATGTTATAGAATATATCAGAATTGTATTACTTTCGTCTTGTAATTTTTAATCTTAAAGTGATTTTAGCCTTATAGAAAATTCATAAGGGCCAGGCGTGGTGGCTGACGCCTGTAATCCTAGCACTTTGGGAGGCTGAGGCGGGCGGATCACGTGAGGCCAGGAGTTGGAGACCAGCCTGGCCAACATGGGGAAATCCCGTCTCTACCAAAAATACAAAAATCAGCCCAGCGTGGTGGCATGTGCCTGTAATCCTAGCTACTTGGGAGGCTGAAGCAAAAGGAGTGCTTGAGCCCAGAAGGTGGAGGCTGCAGTGAGCTGAGATTGCTCCACTGCACTCAAACCTGGGTGACAGAGTGAGAATCAGAATCAGTCTCAAAAAAAAAAAAGAAGAAGAAGAAGAAGGCCAGGCGCAGTGGCTCACGCCAGTAATCCCAGCTCTTTGGGAGGCCAAGCCGGGCGGATGACCTGAGGTCGGGAGTTCGAGACCAGCCTGACCAACGTGGAGAAACCCCGTCTCTACTAAAAATACAAAATTAGCCGGGCTTGGTGGCGCATGCCTGTAATCCCAGCTACTCGGGAGGCTGAGGCAGGAGAATTGCTTGAACCCAGGCGGCGGAGGTTGTGGTGAGCCGAGATCACACCACTGCACTCCAGCCTGGGAAACAAGTGTGAAACTCCATCTCAAAAAAAAAAACAAACAAAAAAAGAAAAGTCTGAAGAATGGTATAAAGAAATCTCATATACTCTTCACCATCCAGATTCCCCAGATTTGATCCATTATTTTCCATATAGACAAACACAGGCGCACACACTACATATAATCGTTTCCCATATATGTCTTTTATTCCTGAATCATTTGAGAGTAAACTGCAGATATGTTGCCCTTTGTGCCCTAAATACTTCAGTGTGTACTTCCTGAGAACAAGGACATTCTCTTATACACCAGAGAATGTATTACAATTATCAAAATTAGGAAATTAACATTGATATAATGCTATTACCTAGTATACTGACCATACTCATATTTTTTGTTGTCAAATAATGTCCTTTATAAGAAAGCAAAAATTTTCAGACTAAGATCCGATGTAGGATCACGCACTGTATTGAGTAAGCATATCTCTTTAGTCTCCTTTAATGTAGAATGGTCTGTATTTGTCGTTCAGGACCTTGGCATTTTTGAAAGTAAAGTCCTGTTAGTTTATAGCACATCCCTCACTTTGGCAGTCCCATGTTTCCTCATGATTAGATTGAGGCTGTGCATTTTGGACAGATATATCACAAAATTGATATTTCGCCTTCCTTAGCTTTCTTAGTGTTTTTTTTTTTTTTTTTTTTTGACAGTTTTGTTCTGTTGCCCAGGTTGGAGTGCAATGGCACAATCTCGGCTCACTGTAATCTCCGCCTCCTGGGTTCAAGCCATTCTCCTGCCTCAGCCTCCCAAGTAGCTGGGACTACAGGTGTGTACCACCATGCCCAGCTAATTTTTGTATTTTAGTAGAGATGGGGTTTCACCAGGTTGGCCAGGATAGTCTCGATCTCTTGACCTCATCATCTGCCTGCCTCAGCCTCCCAAAGAGCTGGGATTACAGGCGTGAGCCACAGCACCCGGCCCTTAGTACATTTTATTAGGTGGCACGTGATTTTAATGTGGGCTTGTCCCCTTACTGGTAATGTTAACTTTGATGATTAACTTTGATGACTTGGTTAAGGTGGTGTCAGCCAGGCCTCTCCATCTGAAATAATAATAAAGTTAATATTTCTCCCTATTTTGAAACAAGATAGATGTCCTATTCCTCAAACTTTTACCCTTTAGTTTTATCATCCATCGTTTCTTCTACATTTATTTGTTGGTTTTCTACTCTGTGGAAAAGCTTTTCCTTCTCCATTTGTTTGTTTGCTTATTTGTATCAGTATGGATTTGTGGAGCCCTACTTTATTCACTAGGTTAAAAATCCATTACTATTATTTATTTATTTATTTATGATTTAATTATTTTATTTTAGTTTTAGTTTTTATTTTTTTTGAGACACAGTCTCGCTCCTGTCGCCCAGACTGGAGTGCAATGGCACAATCTCTGCTCACTACGACCTCCACCTCCCGGGTTCAAGCCTTAGCCTCATGAACAGTTGGGATCACCGGCACCCACCACTACACCCGACTAATTCTTATATTTTTACTAGAGACGGAGTTTCACTATGTTGGTCAGGCTGGTCTTGAACTCCTGACCTCAGGTTATCCGCCTGCCTCGGCCTCCCGAAGTGCTGGGATTAAAGGTGCGAGCCACCACGCCAGACCTGCTATTATTATTTATTTCTGTGCTCAGATTATCTTGGATTTGGCCAGTGGGAGCTCCTCAAATTGGGTGCCTTATCCTTTCGACTTACCTCCATCACTCCTTCAGGGTTTTTTTATTTTCTGGCATAACAAAATGTTCCAGGTTCATATCGTATTCTCCCTGCCCCAGCCCTGGAATCGGTCATTTCAGATCATACAGACATGTGTATATTTGTTATTATACAATAAGTAGTAAGTCTCAGATTGTTTTAGGCTCAGGACTTCTTCACCCTATTAAAAGCTACTGAAGAGCCAAAAAGCTTTTGTTTATGTGGACTATATCTATTATATTTACTGCATTAGACACTAAAACTAGCCGGGTGCAGTGGCTTGTGCCTATAATCCCAGCATTTTGGGAGGCTGAGGCAGGAGGATAAGCTGAGCTCAGAAGTTTGATAACAGCCTGGGCAACATGGCAAGACCCTATCTCTACCAAAAAAAAAAAAAAAAAAAATTAGCCGGGTGTGGTGGCATGGGCCTGTAGTCCCAGCTACTCAGGAGGCTGAGGTGGGAGGATTGCTTGAGCCTGTGTCAGGTGGAGGCTGCAGTGAACTAATATCACACCACTGCACCCCAGCCTGGGTGACAGAGCAAGACTTCGTCTCAAAAAAAGAAAAAACAAAACAAAACTAAACCAAAACTGAGAAATTGTAAAAATACGCATTTATTAAATACATGTAAAATAATAATATAAATTCATGACACGTTAATATAAGTAACATTTCACATTTTTATTAATAAAAACTCCATTTTATCAAATAAAAATATAGAAAGAAGGATAGCATTGTTTTATATTTCTGCAAATCTCTTTAATGCCTGGTTTAATAGAAGACAGTTGGATTCTCATATCTGATTCCTCTAGTAATCTCTTGAAATACATTGTTTTGGTAAAAGCATCTAAAGAAAACTTGGCATCAAACAGATATGTAGTTGGAAAAAGGATGAGTATTTTCACAGTCTTTTCTCTTTTGTTGAGACAGTCTTACTCTGTCACCCAGCTGGAGTGCAATGTTGCGATCTCAGCTCACTGCAACCCCTGCCTCCCAATTTCAAGCAATTCTCCTGCCTCAGCCTCCCGAGTATCTGGGATTACAGGTGCCCACCACCACGCCTGGCTAATTTTTTGTATTTTTAGTAGAGAAGGGGTTTTGCCATGTTGGCTAGGCTGGTCTCCAACTCCTGACCGCAGGTGATCCACCCACCTTGGCCTCCCAAAGTGTTGGGATTACAGGCACAAGCCACTGTGCCCAGCCTCAGCCTTTTCAGGTAATTGTGTTTGTTCCTCTTTGACAACACTAAAACACAATAGTGATTGTTTCTCAGAAGTTAGTTGCAATGTGGATTCTGAAATCACATTCACAAACTTTTTTGTGGTGTTAACATTAAAATGCATTGCCCTATCTTGTACTTTGATTGTGTTTTTTAACCATGCGTGATTTTGTAACATCATGCTTTGGTCACTTGGAAAATAATGGTTCACTGAAGTATATACATCTTCCAAATGTTGACACATTTCATTGTACATAAAAGAAGTTACTTCATTTACTATCTTCTCTGACTCGATTCGGTAAAGCCCATGGTAGCGGATGAGAGATTTTCCAAATTAAATTTAAATTTAAATTTTGAATCTTTCCATTAGCAACATTTACTATCCATTTTTTTTTTTGCTTGGAATGTTAGGCTTACTTCACTCATAGTTGAGAAAATAACTGTGAAATCCCATGTCCAACTAGCAGTAGTTTGCCTTTCCGGTTTCACCTTGAAATGGTGTTCCACAGGCTGAGCATGGTGGCTCATGCCTGTAATTCCAATGCTTTGGGAGGATTGTTTGAGCAAGAAGTTCAAGACCAGCCTGGACAAACAAAGCGAGACTCCAGTCTCTACAAAAAAAAAATTACAAAATTAGCTGGGCCTGGTGGCACGTGCCTGTAGTCTCAAATACTCAGGAGGCTGAGGCACAAGAATTGATTGAGCCCAGAAGTTTGAGGCTGCAGTGAGCTATAATCCTACCACTACACTCTACACTGGGCAACAGAGCAAGGCCCGTCTCTATAAAATAATTTTTTTTTTTTGGAGACGGAGTCTGGCTCTGTCACCCAGGCTGGAGTGCAGTGGCGCGATCTCGGCTCACTCTAACCTCCGCCTCCTGGGTTCAAGCACTTCTCCTGCTTCAGCCTCCTGAGTAGCTGGGACTACAGGGGCACGCCGCCATGCTCGGCTTATTTTATTTTTTATTTCTGTATTTTAGTAGAGACAGGGTTTCACCGTGTTGCCCAGGCTGTTCTCGAACTCCTGAGCTCAGGCAATCTGCCCACCTTGGCCTCCCAAAGTGCTAGGATCTCAGGCGTGAGCCACTGCGCCTGACCTATAAAATAACATTTTTTTTTTTGAGATGAAGTCTTGCTCTGTCGCCCAAACTGGAGTGCAGTGGTGCGATTTTGGCTCACTGCAACCTCCACCTCCTGAATTCAAGTGATTCTCCCGCCTCAGCCTCCTAAACAGCTGGGACTACAGGCGCGTGCCACCATGCCCGGATAATCTTTTTGTATTTTAGTGGAGATGGGGTTTCGCTATGTTGGTCAGGATGGTGTCGATCTCCCGACCTCATGATCTGCCCGCCTCAGCCTCCTAAAGTGCTGGGATTACAGGCATGAGCCGCCACCATACCCGGCCAAAATAATTTTTAAAAATAAAAAAAAAATTTTAATTAAAAAATTAAAAATGATGTTCATGAAAAAATGGCTACCTCATCTTGCAACTCAAACAACTGCAGAAACACTGTTGCACAAGATCACCATCATATGCCATGCACGTCGGAAGTGCTCCTGTGAACCTCCCATTTGGTCACACAGAATAGTAAAAAGATGTGAACTCAGGGTCAAGTTCTGACAAAATTACCAATTTTTATTGCTTCATCAAGGAAATTCTTAAGTAAAACTGTCTCTCCCTCCCCCCAGCCCCCAGAGTGTGTGGCAGTGGAGAGAGCTTGCCATGGCCTTGATTTGTGAAGGGCTAGCAGTTTTATCTGCATCCGTTCCACATCAACAATGCAAATGTCAGCACAGTGAAAAAGGCAAACAATGCATTATTTGGAAAATAGTTTTAACCTCATGGGCCACCTGAAAGTGCCTCAGGTACCCCCAGGGGTGTGGCCACCACGTTTTGAGAACGGCAGCCATAGATTGTTTTTGGCATTTTCCTTTATTCAGTTAAGAATATATTCTGAGGCCGGGTGTGGTGGTTCACGCCTATAATCCCATCCCTTTGGGAGGCCCAGGCAGGCGGATCACCTGCAGTCAAGAGTTCGAGACCATCCTGGCCAACATGTCGAAATCCTGTCTCCACTAAAAATATAAAAATTAGCCAGGTGTGGTGGCAGTTGCCTGTAATCCCAGTTACTCGGGTGGCTGAGGCAGGAGAATTGCTTGAACCCGGGAGGTGGAGGTTGCAGTAAACTGAGAGCCCGTCACTGCACTCCAGCCTGGGTGACAGAGGGAAACCCCGTCTCAAAAAAAAAAAAAAAGAATATATTCTGGCTCAGGCACAGTGGCTCACGCCTGTAATCCTAGCACTCTGGGAGGCTGAGGCAGGCGGATCACTTGAGATCAAGAGTTGGAGACCAGCCTAGCCAACCTGGGAAACCCCGTCTCTACTAAAAATACAAAAATTAGCCACGTGTGGTGGCGCACACCTGTAGTCCCAGCTACTCGGGAGGCTGAGGAAGAGAATCACTTGAACCTAGTGGGGTGGAGGTTGCAGTGTCCCGAAATTGTGCCTCTGCACTCTAGCCTGGGCAACAGAGTGAGGCTTCATCTCAAAGAAAAAAAAAAAAAGGGAGAATGTATTCTGGAAATCACTCCGTATCAGTTTATAGAGATCATTGGCTGGGCGCGGTGGCTCACGCCTGTAATCCCAGCACTTTGAGAGGCCGAGGCGGGTGGATTGCCTGAGGTCAGGAGTTCGAGGCTAGCCTGGCCAACATGGTGAAACCCCGTCTGTACTAAAAATACAAAAATTAGCCGGGCATGGTGGCGCAAGCCTGTAATCCCAGCTATTTGGGAGGCTGAGGCAGGAGAATCGCTTGAACCCGGGAGGTGGAGGTTGAACCCGGGAGGCGGAGGTTGCAGTGAGCCGAGATCATGCCATTGCACTCCAGCCTAGGCTACAAGAGTGAAACTCCGTCTCCAAAAAAAAAAAAAAAAAAAAAAAGAGATCATCCTTATTACTTTTTTACCGCTGCATAGTACCCCACTGCTTGGCTGTACCATGGTTTAATTACTTTCTCATGTTTGGCATTTGGACTGCAATTCTAAATAGTGCTGCAAAGAACAATCTTGTTCACATGTATTTTCATATTATTGAAGCTATATCCTCAGAACAACTTCCTAAAAGTGTGATTCTTATGTCAAAAAATAAACGTGTGGCTTTGTTAGATATTGCCAAATTCTACTTCACAAGGGTTGTACCAATTTGCATTTCCACTAGCAATGAATGGGAATTCCTGCTTCTTTCTCCACAGTATTAGCAAACAAAATACAAATATGGAAGACAGACATATATTAGGCCCATAGGTTATCTGTACAGCTAACACCAGTCTTTTCTGAGAACATTCTCCATTATCAGTCTATGGGTTGACTGAATAAGTGGACCCTAGCTGGGCCAGGGGCAGTGACTCATGCCTGTAATGCCAGCACTTTGGGAGGCAGAGGCAGGCGGATCGCTGGAGGTCAGGAGTTTGAGACCAGCCTAGACAACACAGTGAAACCCTGTCTCTATACAAAACACAAAAATCAGCTAGGTGTGGTGATGTGCATCTGTAGTCCCAGCAACTTGGGAGGCTGAGGTGTGAGAATCACTTGAGCCCAGGAGGAGGACGTTGCAGTGAGCCAAGATTGTGTCACTGCACTCCAGCCTGGGCAACAGAGCAAGACCCTGTCTCAAAAAAAAAAAAAAAAAAAAGGACCCTAGCCAGAACTGGGCCTGAGATTAGGGCTAAAGTCTTAGTGTGTCTCAGGAAATTCGAAGTTGGGGGACTGCTCACTTATACATGGCCATATACCAAACAAAATAGATAAAAGGATACATGTAAAAACACTTTCTCCTACTATACTCTCACAACGTAGGATGCTGCTGTGACCAAATATGGGGCGGGGGCAGGGCAGGGCAGGGGGATGGTGCGGGTTTCCTGACACACCAAGCAAGCAATCAATTCCGCAAGAGATTCTCCAGCACACACCAGTTGGATGTCCTCGTAACTGCCTGATGGGTTCTTCCCGCACAGGCCCAATCCACTGAGCCCATGGCATTGCAGTCAAGAAAGAGTTCAGTTGACACGATGCTGGCACCACGCAGGAGACAGTCATCACCCAAATCAATATCCCAGCATGCCTGGAGGTTAGGGGTTTTTCAAGGATAGTTTGGTAGGCAGGAGGCTAGGGACGGGGCCATGCGGATTGGCTGGGGATGCAATCATAGGGGTGTGGAAAACAGTCCTTGTATGCTGAGTTGGCTTCTGGGTGGGGCCCACCAGAGGAGTCACTGGTCTGGGTGGGGCCATCCAGTACTTAGAAATGCAAAAGCCTGAAAAGACGTCCCAAAAGGCCAATCTTAAACTCTACAATAGTGATGTTATTTACAGGATTAATTGGGGAAGTTGCAAATCTTATGACTTTCGGAATAATGGCTGGTAATTATTTAACTACACCCACATCTTAGTAGAATTCAGGCCCCTCTCATCCTCCTAACTTCATGATGTTCATCAGTTTTACAAGGGTAGTTTAGTTTTTGGAAAGGGCTATCATCACGTAAACTATAAACTAAATTTCTCCCGTGGTTAGCTTGGCCTATGCCCAGGTATGAGCAAGGACAGCCAGTCTGTGAGGATAGAAGCAAGATGGAGTTAGCCATGTCACATTTCTCTTGCTGTCATAATTTTGCAAAGGCAGTTTCATCCTCTAGAATTCAGTTCAATTCTGACACTATCTACCTGAAGGTAGCATCAAACCTCACGGGTTGAGAGTTCAGTCCCACAAGACTGCCCCACTTTAGACATCATAAGTAGTAGGTTGTCACCAATACTTCTGACCAACTGGCTATACATCAGGGTTCCCATGGCCCTTCCACAGGTTTGATTAATTTGCTAGAGCAGCTCACAGACCTTTGGGAAACACTTACTTATGTTTACCTGTTTATTATAAAGGATATTAGAAAGGATACAGATGAACAGCCAGATGGAAGAGATGCATAGGGCAAGGTATGGGGAAGGGGTGCAGAGCTTCTGTGCCCGCTCCAGGCATATCACCCTCCCAGCACCTCCAAGGGTTAAGCAACTCAGAAGCTCTCCAACTTCTATCCTTTGGGGGTTTTATGGAGGGGTCATTAAGTAGGCATGATTGATTACATCATTGGCCATTGGTGAATAACTCAAACTTCAGCTACTCTCTCCTCCCCGAGGCTGGGGGTGGGGCTGAAAGTTCCTACCCTCTAATCCAGTGGCAACCACTATCCTGGGGCTATCCAGTAGCCCCTACCCACCCACCCAAAGGTCAATTCATTAGCACACAAGGAGATTCCAAGGATTTTAGAAGTTGCTTGCCAGGAAATGGGTAGAAGACCAAGTAGTATTTCACAATATCACAGGAGAGAAATCTGGTTTGCAGAAGCTGATATGAGAATGACCTCAGTTACTGATGGCTTCTCTATTTCCTGTTTCAGATCCTGCAAGGTGTGGCTGAACTTCCCACCCATGGATTACAGTAAAAACTTGACTGCATGTGATCCTTTGTAGTTAATAACATGATGATTGTGTTTTCACACTCTCGTGTGAGATATGCCTCCCTCAAATCTTGGCACATTACCCATCTGACATTAAAAAAAAACAACAAAAAAAACTTACTTTGCTGATATTATTACTGATGATTACTTATAATAAAATAATCATAATTAGAGAAATAGCTACAATACAATGAGATATGTACTTGATCATAAACCTACATTAATTAGGTCGCAGCTTGAGTTGCTCTCACATAGACCCAAATAAACATGAAAGAATTTGACTTGTCTCTGTGTCACAGTGTGAACATAAGCACTCCAGGGCTGCGGAAGCGCCACAATGTTGGTGACGCAGACCCCTTCTGTATTGTCACTCCATCGTGGCTGCCCTCTTTAGTTTAAGATAGCTGCTTTAATTCTCTCTACCTCTCAACATTTAGGCCACTGGAAAGAGAGGAAGAAACGAGGGCAGGTGTGCCTTTTTTTGTTTTGTTGTTTTTGAGACAGAGCACTGCTCTGTCACCCAGGCTGGAGTGCAGTGGTGTGATCATAGCTCACTGCAGCCTTGACCTCCTGGGCTCCAGTGATCCTCCTGCCTTAGTCTCCCGAGTAGCTGGGATTGCAAGTGTGCACCACCACACCCGGCTAATTTTTAAAACTCTTTTTTTTTTGAGATGGGAGTCTCGCTCTGTTGTGCAGGCTGGAGGGCAGTGGCGCGATCTCTGCTCACTGCAAGCTCCGCCTCCTGGGTTCACGACATTCTCCTGCCTCAGTAGCTCCTGAGTAGCTGGGATCACAGGCGCCCGACACCAAGCCCGGCTAATTTTTTGTATTTTTTTAGTAGAGACGGGGTTTCGCCGTGTTAGCCAGGAAGGTCTCGATGTCCTGACCTCGTGATCTGCCCGCCCTGGCCTCCCAAAGTGCTGGGATTACAAGCGTGAGCCACTGCGCTCAGCCTTAAAACTTTTTTTTGTAGAGACGGGGTCTCACTATGTTGCCCAGGCTGGTTGAGAACTCTGGGCTCAAGGGACCCTCCTGCCACAGCTTCCCAAAGTGTTGGGATTAGAGGCCTGAGCCACCACGCCCAGCCATGCCTATTTTTTCAATAGTACAATATGTGATATACTGTCATGCATCAACGACGGGGAGACATTCTGAGAAATGTGTCTTCAGGTGTTAGGCGTGTACTCAGACAAACTTAGAGCCGACTACATGCATTAGGCTTATGGTATGGCCTATTGCTTCTATGCTACTAGGAGTGATGTAACCATATGAGTACTGCAGGTGATTGCAACACAATGGTAAGTATTGATCTATCTAAACCTAGAACATGTATAGTAAAAATATGGCATAAAAGACAAAAAAAGCCTGGGCGCGGTGGCTCACGCCTACAATCCCAGCGCTTTGGGAGGCCGAGGCAGGTGGATCATGAGGTCAGGAGATAGAGACCATCCTGGATAACACGGTGAAACCCCGTCTCTACTAAAATACAAAAAATTAGCTGGGCGTGGTGGCGGGTGCCTGTAGTCCCAGCTACTCAGGAGGCTGAGGCAGGAGAATGGTGTGAACCCAGGAGGTGGAGCTTGCAGTGAGCGGAGATCACGCCACTGCACTCCAGACTGGGCGACAGAGCCAGACTCTGTCTCAAAAAAAAAAAAAAAAAAAAAAAAAAAAAAAAAAAGGCCACCTATATAGGGCACTTAACATTAATGGAGCCTGCAGGACTGAATGTTGCTTTCAGTGAGTCGGTGAGTGAGTGGTGAGTGAATGGGAAGGCCTACAAAATATTACTGTACACTATTGTAGACTTTATAAATGATATACACTTTGGCTACATTTTATTTTTTAAAATTTCTTTCTTCAATAATAAATTAACTTTACCTTACTATAACTTTTTTATTTTATAAAGTTTTAAATTTTTAAAAACTTTTTGACTTTGTCACAACACTAAGCCTAAAAACAAGCACACTGTACAGCTCTATGAAAATGTATTCGTTCTTCATGTCCATATTCTATAAGCTTTTTCTATCAAATTTTTTTTTTTTTTTTTTTTTTTTTACTTTTTAAACTTTTTGTTAAAAACTGAAACACAAACACACACATTAGCCTAGGCCTACACAGGGTCAGGATCATCAACATCACTGTCTTTTTTTTTTTTTTTTTTACGGTGTCTCACTCTGTCGCCCAGGCTGGAGTGCAGTGGCGCCATCTCTGCTCACTGCAATCTCCGCCTCCCAGGTTCAAGCGATTCTCCTGCCTCAGCCTCCTGAGTAGCTAGGATTACAGGTGACCACCTCCACGCCCAATTAATTTTTGTATTTTTAGTAGAGACGGGGTTTCACCATGTTGGCCAGGCTAGTCTCGAACTCCTGACCTCAAGTGATCTGCTCACCTCAGCCTCGCAAAGTGCTGGGATTACAGGCGTGAGCCACTGTGCCCGGCCAATATCCCTGTCTTTCACCTGTATATCTTTCCCACTGAGAGGTCTTTGGGGCAATAACACTTATGGAGTGTTCAGCTTCCATGGTAACAATGCCGTCTTTTGCAATACCTCCTGAAGGACCTGCCTGAGGTTGCTTTACAGTTAATTTTTTTATTAAACAGAAAGAGTACACTCTAAAATAACAATTAAAAATATAGTATAGATGGGCGCGGTGGCTCACGCCTGTAATCCCAACACTTTAGGCGGCCGAGATGGGTGGATCACCTGAGGTCGGGAGTTCGAGATCAGCCTGGCCAGTATGGAGAAACCCTGTCTCTACTAAAAATACAAAATTAGCTGGGTTTGGTGGTGCATGCCTGTAATCCCAGCTACTCAGGAGGCTGAGGCAGGAGAATCACCTGAACCTGGGAGGTGGAAGTTGCGGTGAGCCAAGATCAAGCCATTGCACTCCAGCTTGGGGCAACAAGATGCAAACTCCATCTCAAATATGTGTGTATATATATATTTTATATACTATATATATATAAATGTATATATATAGTATAGTAAGACGCAAACTCCATCTCAAATATATATATATTTTATATACTATATATAAATGTATATATATAGTATAGTAAGACGCAAACTCCATCTCAAATATATATATATTTTATATACTATATATAAATGTATATATATAGTATAGTAAACTCATAAACAGGTAACTTGGTCATTTATTATCAAGTGCTAGTACCATCAAATACAGTAGATTTGTTTACACCAGCATCAGCATCACCACAAACATGTGAATAATGTGTTGCACCACAAAGTTAGGACAGCTTTGACGTCACAAGGCAACAGGAATTTTTCAGCTCCCTTATAATCTTATGGGACCACCATCATATACGTAGTCTGTCTTTGACCAAAATGTTATGAGGTACATGACTGTATATAATTTCTCCTCACATCCCATTGATTAGAACCAAGTCACACTGTCAAACTCCTCCTGTGAGGAAATGTATTCCATTCTAGTCTGCTTTCTAACTGGCTAATTCTTGCTTTGGTTCATCAGTCTTACAGAACTTGGCTAAAAGCAGCAAAAAGCAGTCAAAATACATAAATATTGATATTTCTTAAACACCCCTCCTAGAACTAAGGGCTAAGGGCCTGACATGTGAACTGTCTTCCAAGATATTGCAGGAGATAATTTGTCTGAAATTAACATAGCTACCATAGCTTTCTTTTGATTAGTGTTAGTGTGGCATCTCTGTATTCATCCTTTTACTTTTCACCTGTGCCTGCATATTTAAAGTGAGTTTCTTGTAAACAACGTATAGTTGGGTGATGTTATTTTATCCACTCTGATAGTCTCTGTCTTTTAATTAATGTATTTAGATCATTCACATTTAAAGTGATCATTGATATAGTTGGATTAACATGTACCTTAATTGTAGTTTATTTTATTTCATTGCTCTTATTCTTTGTTTCCTTTTTGTTTTCCACTCTTTTTCTTTCTTGTTTGGTTTTATTAATATTATTTTTTTTTTGAGAGGGAGTCTCACTCTGTTGCCCAGGCTGGAGTGCAGTGGCGCGATCTTGGCTCACTGCAAACTCCACCTCCTGGATTCAAGTGATTCTTCTGCCTCAGCCTCCTCTGAGTAGCTGGGATGACAGGCACCCACCATCAAGCATGACTAATTTTTGTATGTTTAGTAGAGATAGGGTTTCATCATGTTGGCCAGGATGGTCTCAAACTCTGCCTGACCTCAAGTGATCCACCCACCTTGTCCTCCCAAAGTGCTTTAATTATAGGCTTGAGCCACCATGCCTGGCCACTTGTTTGATTTTAATTGAGCATTTACATGATTACAAACCCGTGTTTAAATCAGGTTATTTTCCTTTTTTCTTTTTCCTTTTTTTTTTTGAGACGGAGTCTTGCCCCGTTACCCAGGTTGGAGTGCAATGGCACGATCTCAGTTCAGTGCAACCTCTGCCTCCCGGGTTCAAGTGATTCTCCTGCCTCAGCCTCCTGAGTAGCTGGGATTACAGGCAGGCACCACCATGCCCAGCTAATTTTTGTATTTTTAGTAGAGGAGGGGTTTTGCTATGTTGGCCAGGCTGGTCTTGAACACCTGACCTCAGGTGATCCACTCGCCTTGGCCTCCCACAGTGCTGGGATTACAGGCGTGAGCCACCGTGCCCAGCCTGCTTTTTTCTTGTTGAGTTGGAGACTAATTTTTATATGGAGCATATAGAATCAGATACACACCAAGGGTAGTCCAGTGATGGAAATTAGAAGTCATTATGTGGATTATTAGTTTTGTACATTTTATCTATCAATAAAGAAGATCAACAAAAAGAAGATCAACATAAAAAAGACTGCTTCAAAAGAAAGGATAGAAAAAACCAACTAACCAACCAACTAACCAACAAACACACAAAAATAAAAAGCATTCTCCTGACCTAATACAAGCGTGGTGTCTTCTATATGTGGTGTATGGTTTGCAGTTCTGGTTGCTGAAGGTCAAGGAAAAGATAATTATTCTCAATAAGGTCCAGAAATCTGTCGAATGGGGGACCAACTAAAGCAGGGGTCATAATCTGGTTGCCATTTTCATCTATATTTCCCTACAGAAAGTTAAGTTTTTATGTGGAATGAATTTTGTCATTTAATCTAACTTTGTTTTTTCCAAATGGTTTTCCAATTCTCTCAACATTATTGAGTTTATTTTCCTCCATCTTAACTTATATGCTTTAATCTTATATGAATTCCAGTGTATTTATGGTTGTCCTAATCTTTTTATTTATTCCTGTGCCAGAATCACAGTATTATAACTATTGTACATTTTTATTTATTTTTAAATTTTTTTTGAGATGGAGTTTTGCTCTTGTCACCCAAGCTGGAGTGTAATGGCACGATCTCGGCTCAATGCAACCTTGGCCTCCCAGGTTCAAGAGATTCTCCTGCCTCAGCCTCCTGAGTAGATGGGATTACAGGCACCTGCCATCACGCCCATCTAATTGTTGTATTTTTAGTAGAGATGGTTTTTCACCATGTTGGCCAGGCTGGTCTCAAACTCCTGACCTCAGGTGATCCGCCCACCTTGGCGTCCCAAAGTACTGGGATTACAGGCGTGAGCCACCACGCCCAGCCTAGATTTTTAATATCTAAATAAGAGTCCAATGAGTCCATCTCTCACTATTCCTACTCATCTTTAGTAATAATCCTTTCCCCCTAAATTTTAGCTGAATACACACACACACACACAGTTGGCCCTGGGTTTCCATGGGTTCTGTATGTGCAGATTCAACCAACTGTGGATAGAAAATGTAGTTAGGCCTACTATAGTTGCATCTGTACTGAATAATACAGTATAACAACTATTTATATAGCATTCACATTGTATTAGATATTATAAGTAATCTAAAGATGATTACAAGTATGCAGGTGGGTATGCACAGGTTATATGCAAATACTATGCCATTTTATATAATGAACTTGAGCATTTGCACATTTTAATTTCTGAGGTAGCATCCTGGAACCAATCCCCCATGGATACCAAGGGACAACTGTACATGGCTGACAGCTGGAGACTATAGATCGCAGCCTGCCTTCTTGACTGATGTGGTCACATGACTAGGTTCAAGCCAATGGTGAGTGAAAATGAAGTGTGCAACTTCCAGGTCATCCCCCTTAAAGAAATATCTACTTACCTTGGACTTTCCCTTGGGCTGGAATGTGGAAGTGGAGGTTAGCCAGCTTCTACCACGTGGAAAAGACACCAACCTAGATAACAGCAGCACAAAATCAGGACCCCTGAGTAACTTTGTGGAGTACAGCTTCATTGTAACACTGGGCCCTTCACCGATAGACAATTTGGGGAGAGGAAAAAAAAAAACCAACTTCGATCATATGTAAGCCCTATATTTTTTGTATCTCTGCTTTTAGCTTAACTAACAAAAAGCTGTTAAGAATAACTCCCCACTTTTTTTTGTAGAGATGGGGTCTTGCTATGTTGCCCAGGCTGGTCTTGAACTCCTGGGCTCAAGGGATCTTCCTACCTTGGTCTCCCAAAGTGCTAGGGTTACAGGCATGAGCCACTGCACCCGGCCAGAATAACCGTTTTACTATTCCAAAAGTGATATATGTCAATTGTAGAAAATTCAGAAAACAGTGAACAGAAAGAAGAAATATAACATATTTCTTAATAATTCCATTTTTAAGAAATGAATATTTGGAAATATCTATTTTTGTTTTGTGTGATCTCAATGATAGATATATACACGAATAGGTAGCTAAATTTACAATAACAGTTATATAGACAAAAATAGATATAGTTATATAAATACAAATGGGATTATACTTTACATGTTGAGTTGTGATATACTTTTTTAATCTAACAGTGTATCATGAACGTTTCCATGTAATGAAATATTTCTCTGGATGTAGTAGAATTTATTTAACAAACAGGGTAGGCACGGTGGCTCATGCCTGTAATCCCAGCACTTTGGGAGGCTGAGGCAGGTGGATGACCTGAGGTCAGGAGTTTGAGATCAGCCTGCCCAACATGGTGAAACCCCATCTCTACTAAAAATACAAAAATTAGCCGGACGCGGTGGCTCATGCCTGTAGTCCCAGCTACTCGGGAGGCTGAGGCTGGAGAATAGCTTGAACCTGGGAAGTGGAGGTTGCAGTGAGCTAAGATTGCACCACTGCACTCCAGACCAGGCCACAGCATGAGACTCCATCTCAAAACAAACAAACAACGAACAACAACAACAACAAAAAACAAATAAAACCTTGCTGGACGTCTAGAGTGCTACAAAATTTTAACCACTATAAATAGTATTTAAATAAACATCTTTATAAAAATATATTTTTGCTTATCCATAATGATTTACTTATGATAAATTCCGAGTGAGATTTCTTTTTTTAAAAAGAGTATCAAATTTTATTTGATTTTATTATAAATCTTTTTTTTGTTGTTGTTGTTGTTTTGATACAAAGTCTTGCTTTGTTACCCAGGCTGGAGTGCAATGGGATGATCTTGGCTCACTGTAGCGTCCGCTTCCTGGGTTCAAGCGATTCTCCTGCCTCAGCCTCCTGAGTAGTTGGATTACAGGGGTGCGCCAACACGCCCGGCTAATTTTTGTATTTTTAGTAGAGATGGGGATTCACCATGTTGGCCAGGCTGGTCTTGAACTCCTGACCTCAGGTTATCTGCCCCCTCTTGGCCTCCCAAAGTGCTGGGATTACAGGTGTGAGCCACCCAGCCCGGCCTTATTATAAATCTCGCTTTTCTTAAAAATTACAAACATGAGAATAAACTAAACACACCCCAGACTCACTAGCCCTTGCAGGACAGGAAGAGGCCCTAGACAGAGAGCCTGCAAATGCTTTTCTTTGTTTTTTTGAGACAGAATCTTGCTCTGTGGCCCAGGCTGGAGTGCAGTGGCGTGATCTCGGCTCACTGCAACCTC
This sequence comes from Homo sapiens, assembly GCF_000001405.40. Taxonomy (NCBI): domain Eukaryota; kingdom Metazoa; phylum Chordata; class Mammalia; order Primates; family Hominidae; genus Homo; species Homo sapiens. The sequence continues at coordinate 3,416,448 of NC_000018.10, read as the reverse complement.
TGCCTCCTGGGTTCAAGTGATTCTCCTGCCTCAGCCTCTGTAGCTGGGATTACAGGCGCGTGCCATAACACCCTGCTGATTTTTGTATTTTTAGCTGAGATGGAGTTTCATCATGTTGTCCAGCTGGTCTCAAACTCCTGACCTCAGGCAATCCACCTACCTTGGCCTCCCAAAGTGCTGGGATCACAGGCATGAGCCACTGTGCCCAGCTGCAAATGTTTTTCTTTATACCTAACGTCCAAGCTTCCTCACACATTTTAGGGTTCCATGTTTTGTTACCTCTTACAAGGGAAAGGAAACTGGCTAGAAGATTCATGTACAAGAAGGTCATAACAACTTTCTAGATATCTGATGCTAGTGGTTTCTACATTCCAGTTTGCAACTCTGAGAAACAATATCAAATAAGCACCATCAAATACCTACTCCCAGCCACCCTTTATATTGTTATTGTTCTTTGAAATTATCTTTGGGACTGGTTACTTTCTCTCAAACTGTAGCTTTGGTATATTCCAGAGCACAAACTCTAAAGTCCACACAGAGACTCCACGTTCAAGTATAAAAGTCTGTTTTAGGACAATCCCAAGTTACTATAGTGTTTCTTTATCTCTCTGTAGTGTCTACCGGGTGTTGTATCCTTGGACAGGCTGACCAAATGGCAGCACAATGCAGGGGACAAATTGGTCAACATCCCCACTGCCAAACTTGCCCCCCATTCAAACTTGGACACTGCCCACAGTCAAGGCCGAAATCTTGAAATCAGTGAGACCTTGGCCTATCTTCATTCTGAAGTTGCACTCTTATGTAACCAAAGTCACTTCTTCACCGATAATTAAATAGAGCTTTCAAAAGGCGTTGGGCATGTTCCTGAGAACCGCCCTAGGCTGGAGCTGGAGGGTCCTGGTCTGCGGGCTCTAAAGGGGGTGCTGGCACCATTGCTGTCTTCTGGGCACCCAGGAACTCATGACTTGCTCCTTCCGTTGGTGGCCTGAGGATGTGGTTTAATTTTGGATCCTCTGCCTGAGAAATAACCCTGTCTACTCCAGCTTCCAATGTCCCTGACTGAATCTCACTCTGCCTCTGACCATTTCGCAATAGGCTTTTGCGCATCATAAGATTCCAGTTCTGCTCATCCAGGTGTGTGGACACCGAACCCTCAGCTTTCTGCCTCTGGTTTTGGTAAGCTGGCTTGGTGTCCACAGGGGCCAGGCAGCATCGACAGAAGCTGCCAAACGGGCCTGGCTCTTGAGCCACTCCAGGATGAGAGCAATGAGCTCCGGGTCGCCGGAAGGCAGAGCCGGGATCATGGTGCCTGCGTTGCCTCTGTCTCAGCCATTGAGGGAGACCAAATATGGCTTCTTCTCCAGGACAGAGGTGGTGACAGGGGTGGAGGAGAAGGAGGCCAATAAGTAAGATTTCTGAGTCAAGGAATATGCAAAATTTTTTACATGCATTGTCAAATTGCCCTTTAGAAAGAATTTAGAAGTGTAGTGTAGAAAAGTATCACTTTCTCCTTGATCTTTCTGACATTGGACATTGGGTCTTTCAATATTTTTATTTTTTAGAGACATGGGGAGGAGAGGTCTCTTTACTTTTCCCAGGCTGGCCTTGAACTCCTGGTTCAAGTGATCCTCTGATCTCAGCCTCAGAGTAGCTTGGACTACAGCTGTGCACCACCATGCTGGCATAGAATATTATGGGGTTTTGATGAAAAAAAATTCTTGAAATTCCTTATTTTCTGTTTTCAAAGATATTTGAAAGGAATGTTGAGAGAGACTTCATCTGTTGGTAAAAGGAAACTGGACTTAAATAGGATGGGGTTCTGAGGTCTAGAGAGGACACAGATGGGTCACCTCTTTAAGTTCACTGGGTAGAGCCAAGGGACCGTTACTAGAAGTATGTCATAAGAAAGTACAAGATTAGATTCACGGTAAACAGGATCACCAACCCAACTGGGGCTAGACTTAGAGATGAACTCTGGCTACAAAGCCAGAAAACTGAAGGGAGGTGGTGGAGAAGGTTTGAAACATGTGGATCATGCTAGAGTGGCCTGGAACATGCTATAATAAGGTGCAGTAGCTCTTGAATTAGTTGTGTAAATGAGAATATCAATTCTAGACTCAGACTGCCTGGGTTCACAGTAAGTGTTAGGGATTATTGTGATCATTATTTCCATTGACTGCAGCATCATATACTCATATCCACTGAATGGAAAAGGGTTTAGAAGTATTTAAGTGAGAATAATTACTTAACATTGTAATATAATTATGACCAGTTCAGTAAAGTGTAGAACAAAAATTGGACACACAGCCTTGGGAAGAGGAGACAAAACTGTCATTTTGTATAAATGATACGATTGTGTATCTAGAAAACCTAAGAGAATTAATTAGTGCTTAGTAATGAACTCTGTGACCTTAGGCAAATTATGTCATCTCACTGGGTTTGTTTTTTCATCTACACATTAGGATAATAACTATAATTAATTTATAGGATTATTGTGAAGATTTGCTGAGAAAATACATTTAAAACCCACGACATAGTGCCTGCCATTTGGCAACTGCTCAATACTTTAAGATACAACTGTACTTTTTGTATCACTCTTGTTATTTTTATTACGGCAGCCATAGAATGAATTTGTAAAAATAATTCCCTTGACGATATATCTTCTATAAACAGTTAAAACCATGAAGGAGAGAAAAGTCTCATTTGTAATCAGAAAAAAATTTTTTTTTAATTGAAAAAATTATAGAGACGAGGTCTCCCTGTGTTGCCCACGCTGGTCTTGAACTCCCGAGTTCAAGTGATCCTCCCGCCTTGGCATCCCAAAGTGCTAGGATTACAGGCGTTGGCCACCGTCCAGGCCAAAAAAAAACCTTATAAAATTCTCAAGAATAATCTTTATAAAGAATACTAGACTCTATGAAGAGAACTCCAAAATCTACTCAGAGAAAAATAACAACTCGAATAAGCAAAGGAAACTATCATTTTCCTGAAAGTTTCAATATTATAAAGATGTCAGGTTTAATAAAATTCGAATCAAATCTCAACCTGATTTTGGGGTGAGAAACTTTAATGATTCTAAATAAATCTCTCTGGATTAATGAGTGGCAAATGAGATAATGGTAGTTAGCAAACTTTATTGTACAAGGGCAGGGCCAAGAAGAATAAAAATATTCATAAGCCATGTTCCCATCCTTTAACATAAAAACAGTTCCGTGAATTTAATTTTTTAAAAATCCTCATTCTTTTTTACTCTATTAAATAAAAGAATGCTAGCGAGACAATGAGCATTTCTTTGTAGACATTACACTATTAATAATCCGGATGTATTTGAGATTTACATATATTTTATCCCCAGCATTTCTGAATTCACCAAGGGACATTCAATATATTATCTCATACCTGGAAGAGCCTTGTGAGGTTTTTGGTGTTTGGGGACAGAGCCTCGTTTTGTCGCCCAGGCTGGAGTGCAGTGACGCCATCACAGCTCACTGCAGTCTTGAACTCCTGAGCTCAAGAGATCCTCCTGTCTCAGCCTCCCAAGTAGATAGGACTACAGGCGTGTGACGCCACACTCGGCTAATATTTTATTTTCTTATTTTTTGTAGAGACAGGGTCTCCCTGTGTTGCCCTGGCTAGGTAAGTCTGTTTTATCATCAGCTCTAACGAGAAGGGGAAAAACCGACTCAGGCTAGGAAACTTGACAAGGGCAAAGAATGAGTCAACGGCAAAGGCCGGAATGCAGTCATGCCACTCGATATAAGGAACCACAGCCTGTGCCAGGTCCTGGGGGCCCACTTAATCTTAAATGCAGTCTTTCACTTCATACAACACACAGGAGATAGGATGCAGCAAGTTAGAAAAATTACTCATACCACCTCCCAGATGTGCAAAGAATTTAGAGTGCATTTTCCCTATGCGTGCTCGTTTAGAAGCGCACCTGCTCCTCTTCACCTCCCAGGTAGCAGGGGAAAGGCTAGATTTAATCTTGTTACAATATTTCCATTTCTTCTCATTGATACAGGCTTGTTTCAGTGTAAACATGTGGTCCATTTGAAGTTCAGCTTCCCACTAGTGCTAATGAAAATAATGAAAATCTTTACCTGGTTGAGTAAATGTTTTCAGGTAAAATACTCTATCTCTCAAATTTAGTCTCCTCTTCCTCTTCCTTGACCTGGTAGAAGGGGCAGGACTTACCTGGGTTTCTCGATGAGGAGCTCCTGCGGTAAGGAGGGAGCCCCGCGCAGCACCGAGCATGCGCAGGCCTCGGGATCGCGGCGGGGCCGGAACCGCGGCGGGGCTGGAACCGCAGGCTCGAGTCTCTGGCTCCCTGCGGCCCTCGGCGAAGGCTGGGCTCTTCCGTCAGGCCTGGCCTTTGCCCCGCTGAGGCAAATCACTGTTGTCCTGGAGGTGTCTTTCCCCCTTGTAACAGATGTGTTTTTGAAAGATTCCCGACCAGGCTTCCTTAAGATAAGCTGGTCTGTGTTTCCTGAACCCTTCCCACCCCGAGATGCGGGCGGGAGTCACTCCCGGAAGGAGGAGCGTAGGACAGATGCTCTTCCAGGCTGGAAGAGGGCAGGCAACTCCCGCCCCTGCTGCTGGGGTCACTGCAGGTAGCCAAAAAGAGCGGGGGAACGGGATGGATGGTCAGATGTTCCCAATGTCTGTTTTTGGGCTGAGATGAGGTCATGCAGCGTGGCTGGGGCGGAGTAGGATGGTCTTGGTCCCCAGCAAGTGTCACCAGGCTCAGAAGCTCCTGCAGGTCTTTTGGATGGAGGAAGACACAGAGGTGGCTGACTTGAGGACCAGGGGCCTTTTGGGTCCCCAGAGGGCAAGAGCGAGAGGGCTTGACAGCAGGAGCTTGTGTGGCTCCAACGGGGGAGAGTTTTGGTGGGGGTTGTGGCATAGGCTCAGAGGGAGTGACTTTACTGAAGACAGCCCACTGGGCACTGACCAAGCCACGAATGATCCCAGCAGCAAATTTCACCCCCCAACAGCAGCAGAGCAAACAGTAATCAGGCAGGCATGGGGCATTGCCTCTGAGACCAGAGGAGGCCTGAGACAACATACCACTCAGGAACCCTTTTATCCTACAGGCATCACAAGGATATAGTAAGTCCTGCCCTTTCTACCAGGTCAAGGAAGAGGAAGAGGAGACTAAATTTGAGAGATAGAGTATTTTACCTGAAAACATTTACTCAACCAGGTAAAGATTTTCATTAGCACTAGTGGGAAGTTGAACTTCAAATGGACCAAATGTTTACACTGAAACAAGCCTGTATCAATGAGAAGAAATGGAAATATTGTAACAAGATTAAATCTAGCCTTTCCCCTGCTACCTGGGAGGTGAAGAGGAGCAGATGTGCTTCTAAATGAGCACGCATAGGGAAAATGCACTCTAAATTCTTTGCACATCTGGGAGGTGGTATGAGTAATTTTTCTAACTTGCTGCATCCTATCTCCTGTGTGTTGTATGAAGTGAAAGACTGCATTTAAGATTAAGTGGGCTGGCCAGGCACGGAGGCTCACACCTGTAATCCCAGCAATTTGGGAGGCCGAGGTGGGCAGATCACTTGAGGTCAGGAGTTCCAGACCAGACTGGCCAACATGGCAAAACCCCATCTCTACTAAAAATACAGAAAAAAAACAAAATTAGCTGGGCATGGTGGCGGACACCTGTAATCCCAGCTACTCAGGAGGCTGACACATGAGAGTTGCTTGAACCTAGGAGGTGGAGGTTGCAGGGAGCCGAGATCGTGCCACTGCACTCCAGCCTGGGCAACAGAGTGAGCCTCTGTCTCAAAAAAAAAAAAAAAAAAAAAATGAGCTACTCTGATTCAAGTGAGGTAAGATCCAGGGTCCGGACCAATCCCTGGGACATTTCAATGAAAGTATCTTTGTAGCACACCAAAGCGCCACCGGAAATGATCTGAAAGCTATTACCTTACATGTCACTCCACTCCCAAACCACTTCAACCTCCCCCATTTCCACCCATAATTACTTGGTGTTGAAAGCAGAGAGTCTGACATCAGCTTTTGGGTACAGAGTAAATCACAAACAGGACAGTATGGTAGGAGGAAACATACCAGCTAAATGTAAAGACATAGACATGGTTTAACTGATCTTCTTACAACATACTAACTACTATTACTGTTTGAACAAGTGCTTTGGGGCCAATGATTGTTGAAATATTATGACTTTCCATGTTGTGAACATTCAGCCTCCTGGTCAGAACTGAGAGGCTAATGAGGAGGATTCTCCAGGTGAAAACATCCATTACCCATTAAGGCTGTGTGTTGGACATCTGAACGAGAGAGCAGGGTGGTCGAGAGGAAATTCTACAAGAGGTGACAGCAGCAAGCCTGCCAACAGACTGCTCTGAGCGGTTCCCATTCACCCGGTACAGCTGTCTAAAGGATTATGCCAATGAGGAGAGGGCCTTTTGTCAGAGACCCTGTCCCATCCGACCATTTGTAAAGCTGCCTCATGAGACAGGGCTGGCGGAGGCTCTGCAAACATTCTGGTGACCCCCTCCTGGACAAAGCAGACCTTCACAAAGAGACTCTCAGAGCGGGAGGACTCTGTCCCACCTTGTGTATAGCCCCTCTGAAAGCATAATTTTTCAATGGTTCATTATAAGCATATATGCCCTAGGTTAAAAAAAAATTAAATAGTACAGAAGGATTTATAATGAAAATCAATAGCTCTCCTCTCACAGTCCCCATCCCAAAGGGAAAATTCTTTTTAACTAGTTGAATCGTCTCTGTTTTTATTCTTATGGTGATTGCCTCATATCCTTAAACAATATGCTAACGCAGGTATTATTTTGCTTTGGTTTTGGTTTTTGTGAGACAGGGTCTTGCTCTATCACCCAGGCTGGAGTGAAGTGGCACCATCTTGGCTCACTGCAGCCTCGGCCTCCCTGGCTCAAACAATCTTCCCACCTCAGCCTCCTGAGTAGCTGGGACTACAGCTGCATGCCTCCATGCCCGGCTAATTTTTGTATTTTTTTGTAGAGATCAGGTTTCATCATGTTGCCCAGGCTGGTCTCAAACTCCTGAGCTCGAGTGATCCACCTGCTTTGGCCTCCCAGAATGCTGGGATTACAGGCATGAGTCACCGTGCCTGGCAGTTGTTTCTTGATACAGTATTTTATAGCTTTGTTTGTTTTGTTTTGTTTTTAGAGACAGGATCTTATTCTGTCACGCAGGCTAGAGTGCACAATCAGAGCTCACTGTGACTTTGAGATTCTTGAGCTCAATCCATCTTCCCACCTAAGCCTGATGAGAGGTTACAAGCGTCCATCATCACGCCTGGTTAATTTAAAAAATAATAATAATTTTTTTGGCTGGGCCCGGTGGCTCACGCCTGTAATCCCAGCACTTTGGGAGGCTGAGGTGGGCGGATAACCTGAGGTCAGGAGTTCGAGACCAACTTGGCCAACATGGTGAAACCCCATCTCTACTGAAAAAAATACAAAAAAATTAGCCAGGCCTGGTGACGCATGCCTGTAATCCCAGCTACCTGGGAGGCTGAGGCAGTAGAATTGCTTGAACCCGGGAGGGGGAGGTTGCCGTGAGCTGATACTGTGCCACTACACTCCAGCCTGGGCGACAGAGTAAGACTCCATCTCAAAATAATTAATTCATTAATTTTTTTTTTGGTAGAAATGGTGGTCTCATTATGTTGCCTCCAGGCCTCAAACCTCCCACAGCCTTGGGATTAGAGGCATGCACCACCTTGTTTGGCCTTAATATAGTATTTTCGGGAACTATCTATTGACTTTCTTTTTATGCAAAATGAAGATTTAATGCACATTTACCCAGCCCCTTCTAATAATAGAATTATGTTCTTATTTTGAATTCCTCTTTCCTTGCATTTATGATTTTAAATTAGCACCTTCATTTCTCATGATGTCGCCTATTGACTTTATCTCTTCCCATTTTCTTACATCTCTTCTCTTTTTAAGTTTCTTTTTTCTTTTCTTTTATTTATTTATTTTGAGACAGGGTCTCACTTTGTTTCAAACAAAACAAACAAAACAAAAAACAGGTTGCTGGGATCCATTCACAGACATTCCAATTCAGTAGGTCTGGGGCAAGACCCAAGAATGTACATTTCCAACAAGTTCCTGGGTGATGCTGGTGCTCTCAGTATGGTAATCATACTTTGAGAACCATTGGTCTAAGGGAAGCATGGCCACTGCAGTAATCGGGATATTGCTTTGGCTACTTTAGGAAGTTTCTGGGTTTTTTTGTTGTTTTGTTTTGTTTCGTTTTGTTTTTTGAGACAGAGTTTCACTCTGTTGCCTAGGTTGGAGTGCAGTGGCGCAATCTTGGCTCACTGCAACCTCCGCCTCCTGGATTCAAGCAATTCTCATGCCTCAGCCTCCCAAGTAGCTGGGATTACAGGTGCCTGCCACCATACCTGGCTAATTTTTGTATTTTTAGTAGAGACAGGATTTCACCATGTTGGCCAGGCTGGTCTCGAACTCCCGACCTCAGGTGATCCACCCGCCTTGGCCTCCCAAATTGATGGGATTACAGACATAAGCCACAGCACCCGCCACTACTTTATTTATTTATTTGTTTATTTATGAGACAGAGTCTCACTGTGTCACCTAAGATGGAGTGCAATGGCACAATCTTGGCTCACTGCAACCTTTATCTCTCAGGTTCAAGCGATTCTCATGTCTCAGCTTCTTGAGAGCTGGGATTACAGGCGCCTGTCACCACACCTGGCTAATTTTTGTATTTTTAGTAGAGATGGGGTTTCACCATGTTGACCAGGCTGGTCTCAAACTCCTGACCTCAAGTGATCTGCCTGCTTCAGCCTCCCAAAGTGCTGAGATTACAGGCATGAGCCCACGCCTGGCCCCTGCCACTACTTTAATAGTCACCAAAATAAATAGAGTGGACCTCTCTGTCAGATAGAATTCCTAGCTAGCCTACAGTGTAAGAGGATAGAGAGGCTGAGCATCAAGAAAATGTCCTGGGTCCCCAGGCTCCTTCTACCCATGGCTCTGTCATCTCCTTGGGAGCTGCCCTCATCTTCATGTTTGAAGCTGACCTACTACCACCAAATCTTCATATTAGCCAGAATGGAGGAATTGAGCCAGTGGAGAGCACACAACTTCTTTTAAAGAAAAATTTACAAATTGCCCACATCATTTCCACTCATATCCTATTGGCCAGAACGTAGTAACATGACCACACCTAGGTGCAAGGGAGGATGGGAAAAGTTGCTTCTAGCTTGGTGATTACGTGTGGAGATACAATTCAGAGAAGTTCTATCATAGAAAGGAAGGAGGGGGAGATGGATATTGAGGGGCAATTAACAATCCCTGCTGCAGTGGTTCCATTTTCTTTTCCAGTAGTTGTTCAGATGTGCACAGGATACAATTTTAGCCAATGAGATGGGAGAAAATGCCTACTAGGGGCTTCTGGAAAGTTTTCCTTTCTCTAAGGGAGATAGAGTATTTTTCTTGGGATTCTGCCATGTTGGATATGAACCCTAAAAGAGCATGTACATCTTGTCACCGTGAGGGGAGCCTGCCTTTGGATGAGTGAAGATGGCAGAAAGAAAGATGTAGCCTTTTGGCCGGAATCGCCATCTTCCAGTAATTTGTCAAAATGACAAACACAAAAGGAAAGAGGAGAGGCACCCGATATATGTTCTCTGGGCCTTTTAGAAAACATGGAGTTGTTCCTTTGGCCACGTATATGCAAATCTATAAGAAAGGTGACATTGTAGACATCAAGGGAATGGGTACTGTCCAAAAAGGAATGCCCCACAAGTGTTACCTTGGCAAAACTGGAAGAGTCTACAATGTTCCCCAGCATGCTGTTGGCATTGCATAAACAAACAAGGGCAAGATTCTTGCCAAAAGAATTAATGTGCGTATTGAGCATATTAAGCACTCTAAGAGCTGAGATAGCTTCCTGAGACGCGTGAAGGAAAATGGTCAGAAAAATAAAGAAGCCAAAGAGAAAGGCACCTGGGTTCAACTGAAGCCCCAGCCTGCTCCACCCAGAGAAGCACACTGTGTGAGAACCAATGGGAAGCAGCCTGAGCTGCTGGAACCTATTCCCCATGAATTCATGGCATCATAGGTGTTAAAAAGATAAAAGATCTCTGGACTGTCAAAAGAAAAAGAAAAAGAAAAAACAAAAGAGAAATGTAAAGAACCTATGCACTTGAAGAATCAGATACTGAATTAACCAGTCAACTGAAGCTTCCCTGCCTATGAAGCTCTTGTTATGTCAGATAGTAAATGTCTTATTTTTAAGCGTTTTGGGTTTGGTTTTCCTGCTGCTTGCAGTCAAATTATCCTAATAAGGTGGCTTTCTACTTGTTCTCCTATCTTTCTTTTTATTTGTGTATTGTTGGTATCTTTCTATTATTACAAAATCTCAAAGTTAGTGTAAGATTTTGAAAAATACTCAACTCTCTTTTTTCCTCAAGATAACTTCCTCCTAAGGCCTTTGTTGCTTGCTGCCTTGATCTGCTACACAGCTATCACCCAGGGACTTCCCTTAATTACTTACCTCATTTGAAACCACTGTTTCCTGGATCCTCGTGTCTTTTCCTTGCTTTACTCTTTTGTATTGTTGAGGCACATTGCCAATTAATTTGCAAAGAAAAGATAATGCGGGAAGTGAATTTTCTGAGCCCGTGCACATTGGGTCCTGCAGGCAGATTGGCTTCCTTCACAGATATGGTCTCTCCATGCATCCTTCTGGCTGAAATTCCCTTTATAGAGGAAGCAAAATTTTTATCTCTACCCTTTTAGGGTTTTTTGGCTGAGCCTGATACTTAAATTGACATAAGCTATAGCAGTGGAAGAAAAGCATGCACATTTATTTAATGCAAGTTTTACATGGCATGGGAGCCTTCAAAAAGGAATGGAGACTCAAGGAGGCAGTTAGAGATAAACACAGAGATACTGAAGTAGACAACGCAAAGTAAATTGTGAAAATGTGACAAGGCAAAGGAGCTTGAGCTAGGGTGGTTCATTGGACAGAGAAGTGGCTGGGAGGATAAGGATTAGTCTAACATGGTTTGTTGGTACAGATTTTCCTTGGCCTCAACTTCTTGTCCTTGATGATGATAAGAGTGATATTTTCCTTCCGGTACAGGGAGAACATTTGTCACACAGGAATTTAATCATCTGCTTTTAATAAGCAGTAGGAAGGTCAGAGTGATCTTGTTCTTGCTGTTTTTTTCAAGACCCTTAACTCAAAATAGTCTATTTGCCAGAGTGGCATATTTATTTATTTATTTATATTTTTTGAGATGGAGTCTCACTCTGTCGCCCAGGCTGGAGTGCAGTGGTGTGATCTCAGCTCACTGCAACCTCTGCCTCCCGGGTTCAAGCGATTCTCCTGCCTCAGCCTCCAGAGTAGCTGGGATTACAGGCATGCGCCACCATGCCCAGCTAATTTTGTATTTTTAGTAGAGACGGGGTTTTGTCCATGTTGGTCAGGCTGGTCTTGAACTCCCAACCTCAGGTGATCCACCTGCCTCTGCCTCCCAAAGTGCTGGGATTACAGGTGTGAGCCACTGTGCCCAGCCTGAGTGGCATATTTTGAGTTCCTTTACCTCCACTGTGTTTCTCTAGTTATCACTTCCTGCTCTGTCTTCTAGAAGTTTATTGAAAGATTTAGATCACTGATGATGATCGGTGATCATCATTAGATCTTTCTTTTCTCTTAATTGACCTTTGCCCTTAGATTCTGCCTCTTTTAATTTCTTTTTTCTTTTTTTTTTTTTGAGACGGAATCTCGCTCTGTTGCCCAGGCTGGAGTGCAGTGGTGCGATCTTGGCTCATTGCAAGCTCCGCCTCCTGGGTTCATGCCATTCTCCTGCCTCAGCCTCCCGAGTAGCTGGGACTACAGGCACCCACCACCACGCCCAGCTAATTTTATTTTGTATTTTTAGTAGAGACAGGGTTTCACCGTGTTAGCCAGGATGGTCTCGATCTCCTGACCTCGTGATCCACCCGCCTAGGCCTCCCAAAGTGCTGGGATTACAGGCATGAGCCACCATGCCCAGCCTAATTTCTTTACTATTATTTTAATGGGATCTCAGAAGGATGATCACATAAATAATATGTCATTCCCCCATACTGAATGACAAATTTTATCCCTTTCTAGTGAGACTAATACATAATTCAGACTTTTAAACTGAGTCATTAGGTTGGATAATTCACATTACAGTACTCTTGGAAAGACTATCATTTTACTATTTCTAAAAATATATATTTTTAGCATATAATTAAAGGGATAAACTTTTTATAGGGAGTTTTCATCCACCACATCTCTTGTGTGGGACACTTCCTTTCCAGAGTGTTCTTTAAACCAGGGGACTAGAGTTTCTTTGACTGAACAGAACTGTAGAGCACATAAATAAAATGGTTGTCTATTTCCCATTAACTATGAATAATTCATTTTTTTATCATTACTGACAAAAATGTTACTGAACATCCAGGTCACTAGAAGTTCAGATTTATAGATACTATTTTTTTTTTAATTATTGAAAAGAAAAAAAAGCTTTTAATTTCCTTGACCACATAAAATAATATTAACGGACTACTTAAATGAGCTCATATATACAGGTTGTAAATTAGTATTTTTTGAGAAACTATGTGTCCCATAACTTTCATATATTCACCAATCACCAATTGATGCCTTCAACAATCTTTTTTTTTTTTTTTTTTTTTTTTGAGATGGAGTCTTGCTATGTTGCTCAGGTTGGTCTCTAACTCATGGGCTCAAATTATCCTCCTGCCTCAGCCTCCTGAATAGCTGGGATTACAGGCATGCACCACCATGCCTGTATCTTATGAAGATCTTATTTCTATCATGTTGCTGAGGAAATCGGCTACCCTAATTACCCTGTGTAAAGTCACATAGGAAAGAATTGACTGGGTTGGGGTTAATTTCCATTTCTGCTGGACCCCAAAGCCTATGCCCTTTGTACTATGTCATAGACACAAAGACAGGTGGGTACATCTGTTCCCATCTGTTTTTATTCCCCAGGGTTGTGATAGCAAAATATCACAGCTGGGTGGCTTCAGAACACAGGAATTTATCATCTCATACTTCTGGAGGCTGGAAGTCTGAAATTAATGCGTTGGTAGGGCCATGCTCTCTCAAAAGCTCTAGGGAGAATCTGTGCATGCCTTTCTCTTAGTTTCTGGTGTCACAAGCAGTGCTTGGCTTGTAGCTGCATAACTCTAATCACTACCTCTGTGGTCACATGGTCACATGACATTCTTCCTGTGTGTGTCTGTCTTCACATGGTTATCATCCTGTACCAATCATAGTGGATTAGGAGGCCTCCCCATTCCAGTATGATCTCATGTTAACTAATTAGATCTTCAATGATCCTATTTCCAAATAAGGTCACATTCTGAGGTTCTGGAGATTAGGATTTCAACATATGTTTTTTGAGGGGACCCAGTTCAACCACCACACCATCTTAATTGGGTTTCCTTGTCTAAAAGGACTCGATTTCAATCACTTACTGATGAATAAATGTATGATTAGCTAAAAATTCTCAAAATTAACTCATATAAATACCTACACAATTTCCTAAAAGGAGAGTAAAATTCCTTTTGAAGGAAACCTGATGTTTTCATCTTGAATCTGTATTGGAATCATGTCATTGAAATATTTCACACTAGTGGATGGTTTTTATTTTGAGTTAAAATATTGCAAAGATTAAAATGTACCCAGGAGTTACTGTCATCACATTAGAAGTAACAGAATCACATTCATTCCTAAAAAGCATAGTCTCACAGACAAGTAGTTTTAGAGTATTAAAACAATGCATCATGATAAAAACTAGATCTTTTTAGAATGTAAAGATTTCTTTGGAGTACTTCACTCTTTGTAGAATCTGAAGAAAAACAATAACTAAAATCAGTGTGGAGTTCACCTCAGTGCTGAGTTTAATTATTGTCTTGCAAATATTTACAATACTATTGTTTTATTGCAGATGGCTCTTCCAGAAATGTCAAACTGCCCATTATGACTGGATGTACCTACTGTATACTAATATTTTCTTTCTGTTAATAGATAGCAGTTATTTCAAATATACAAACAGGATTATTTCATGTATGTAAATAATTACAGACTGTTTTTTGTTACTCAGATATCTACTGTATTCCTTATAAAAATGAATGTCAATAGAACCTGAATTCCCCGGGTCGAAACAGTGATCTCTCTGGGCTATAGCACAGGGCCCCTCTCAGATGTCTAAAACCATTAGGAGTGACAAAGCTGTACTTTCAAAAAGGCACATATTTACATATGGCTTGAATAAATAATTTTCCCTCTAGTTGCAGTTCTGTTACTTGTATGGTTTCATTTCCCTTCACTTACTATCAATCACTGTCCCCCATCACCCACAAAGACAGTCTGAGTATAAGGTAATATCATTTTCTGGTTATATACATTTCTCTTCTAAGATTCAGGATATATGGTAGTTCATGTATTTAACAAAAGTAACCTGAATGTTCCCCGGGTCCTCCAGCTTTCAACATGCTTGTGGGCATATGTATGAACTTGGGTGTGTGTATGTGGCCAAGGGAACACGTCTATTTAAAGCCTATACAAAGCAGCTGAAACTCCCACCCTACTTGTCTGCAGCAAGTCCAATTTCCTCCACAGCCGTTTCTGAGTCTCCTTCAAGGTAGGTGAGGGTTGCTTCTCTTTTTGACATTTTCTTTTTTTTTTTTTCTTTTTGAGACAGAGTCTCATTCTGTTGCCCAGGCTGGAGTGCAGTAGCATGATCTCAGCTCAGTGCAACCTCCACCTTCCAGGTTCAAGTGATTCTCCTGCCTCAGCCTCCAGAGTAGCTGGGATTACAGGCACCCACCAACACGCCTGGCAAATTTTTGTCTTTTTAGTAGAGATGGGGTTTTGCCATGTTGGCCAGGCTGGTCTTGAACTCCTGATCTCAGGTGATCCACCTGCCTTGGCCTCCCAAGATGCTGGGATTACAGGCGTGAGTCACCATGCCTGGCCATCCTCTTCACACTTTCATTCTGGTTATCTTGTCTCAGATCTTATACTCCCCACACCTCAAGGCTTCTCTGCCATTCACCTCTGGCTGTTTCATAACTATTTTTCAGCCTGCTACCCTTCTCCGTCACCTCTTCCCCTCCTACACTAGGTGCAGAGCCCTGGGCCTTATTTTTCAAAGGATGGAAGGCAAGGCTGCCATGTTTAAGACTTTACATGGGTAGAGATGGACACAAAGGAACTGTTCTGCAGAAAAGGGAACCTTAAATCTGGATATCTATTATCACTGCTAGTGCCACCCGTTGGCCACACTCCTTCAGTTGAAATCCCCTTGGGCCATCTGTTTTCCATCCTCAGCCTACCACTTTGTTGTTCAGGCTCAGTTCCTCCTTTTCATCTCCCTCACTTCTACTACTTTCAGGTATAAGAAGCAAAAATCTTGTAGAAATTATAAAGAAAATCTCTGCTCAAGACAAAGACACTCCCTGCCTTAGTCCATTTTTTGTTGCTTTAACTGAATACCTAAGACTGGTAATTTATAAAGAAAAGAAACTTATTTCTTATAGTTCTAGAGGCTGGAAAGTCCAAGAGCATTGCACCAGCCTCTGATTAAGGGCCTTCTTGCTACATGATAACATGAAAGAGAGCATCACATGGTGAGAGGGCAAGAGGGTGAGTGTCACCTGAGGCTTCTCTTCCTCTTCTCATGTAGCCACCAGTCCTGTTGTGGGTCCCCCACCCTGATGACCTCCTCTAATCCTAATTGCCTCTGAAAGGACTCATCTCCAATCAGCATTTGAATTGGGGGATTAAATTTCCAACATGTGAAGTTTGAGGGGCACATTCAAACCACAACATTCTGTACCTTTACATTATTGAAAGTTATATTAATGACAGCATTATATTATTAAACAACACCTACCATCTCAGTCTGAAATATGTGCATTCAGATTATTCAACCGCTAGCTATCCTTAAGAAAGATGAACTGAAAGGGCTCAGAAAAGTTCCCTTCTAGAACAAAATAAAAATATCTTCCAAGCTTCTACTTCAGAATACAGGCACCACTCCAGTTTTAAACTAGCACTTTAAAATTCTTTCTGCTACTGAAATTTTTTTTTTTTTGAGACAGAGTTTCACTCTTGTCACCCAGACTGCAGTGCAATGGTGTGATCTCAACTCACTGCAACCTCAGCCTCCCAGGTTCAAGCGATTCTCCTGCCTCAGCCTCCCGAGTAGCTGGGGATTACAGGCACCCACCATCATGCCTGGCTAATTTTTCTATTTTTAGTAGAGACGGGGTTTCACCGTGTTGGCCAGGCTGATCTCAAACTTCTGACATCAGTTGATACACCTGCCTCAGCCTCCCAAAGTGCTGGGATTACAGGCGTGAGCCACTGTGCCCAGTCTCTGTTACTGAAATCTTTCAACAATATCTATTTAAGATCTCTTATGGATTCTGTATTACCATATTAGTGACATGAGAGATCCCAAAGAATAGGGACTTTTTCTGGCCTCCAGAGGTTCCATGACATAAGACCACTCATTGAATTTGGATTCTAGTGCTGGCTGTGTTACGTGTTGGCTAAGTGACCTTTGACAAGTCACCTAAGCTCTCAGAACTTTAGTTATCTCACCTGTAGAAGGAGGAGAATAATACCAGCCTCAAAGTGCTTTTGGGGTTTTGTAAGAAATAAGTGAGAACAATTGTTAAAAAAAAGTAAGGACTTACACAACTGTGTGCAAATATACACTGTTACAAGAACTAAATCTTGGTTTATTCTAAGAAGTTCTTGTGATGAGCAGACATCGTGAAAAGTATTTTTTATGGATTCCAGGATGTTTCTTGAAGCTGATTAGAAGCTGGAAAGAAGAAAGGGGGACTTTTTGAAGGCAGAGTCACTCATAATATCTCTGCCCAGTTCCCCAAAGTTATGTCAGACTCCTGAGCAGATTGGGGTACTATAATTGTATTAGTCAGGATTCTCCAGAGAAACAGAACCAATAGGAGGTAGATGCAGATAAAGATGCAGCTATAGATATAGATAGGATACAGAGATTTATTATAAGAAATTGGCTCACATGATTAGGAAGCTGAGAAGTCCCAAGGTCTTGCCATCTGTAAGCTGGAGACCCAGGAAAGTCCAGTCTTAGTCTGAAGGCCTGAGATCCAGGGAAGCCCACGTTGTAAATCCCAGTCCAAGGGCAGGAGAAGACCTCCCCTAACTCAAGTAGCCAGGCTGGAAGCAAAAGGGGGCAAATTCTTCCTTCCTCCACCTTTTGTTCTTTTCAGGCTGGAAATGAATTGGATGGTGCCAACCCACATTGGAGAGAGTAATCTACTTTACCAAGTCCACTGATCCCGATGTTGATCTCAGACAGAAACACCCTCACAGGCACACCCAGAACAATATTTATTTATTTATGTTTTATTTTTTTTTTGAGATGGAATTTTGTTCTTGTTGTCCATGCTGCAGTGCAATGTGCGATCTCAGCTCACCACAACCTCCGCCTCCTGGGTTCAAGCGATTCTCCTGCCTCACTCAGCCTCCCAAGTAGCTGGGATTACAGGCACCCACAACCATGCCTGGCTAATTTTTGTGTTTTGTAGAGACAGAGTTTCACCATGTTGGCCAGGCTGGTCTCGAACTCCTGACCTCAGGGGACCTGCCCAACTGGGCCTCCTAAAGTGCTAGGATTACAGGTGTGAGGCACCATGCCCAGCCCCCCCAGAACAATATTTAATCTGAGCACCCCTGGCACAATTAAGTAACTTTAAGACATGTGAAATTAACTATCACAATAATAAACTAAAAGGGGAGGCCAAATAGCAAGCTTTCAAATGTGTGCATTGTATGAAAACTGGAGCTCCAACTGGGCGCGGTGGCTTACGCCCGCGATCCCAGCACTTTGGGAGGCCGAGGTGGGTGGATCACTTTGAGGCCAGGAGTTCAGGATCAGCCTGGGTAACACAGTGAAATCCGTCTCTACTAAAAATAGAAAAAACTAGCTGGGCATGGTGGCACACACATGTAATCCCAGCTACTCAGGAGGCTGAAGCATGAGAATTGCTTGAACCCAGGAGCTGGAGGCTGCAGTATGCTAAGATCTCACCAGTGCAGTCCAGCCTGGGTGACAGAGCAAGACCCTGTCTAAGAAAAAAAAAATTATATATATATATATATATGAAAGAAAGAAAACTGGAGCTCCAGCCTCCTGGGTAACAGCTGGGTTCCTCGATTAAAAATCTTGTCCTGACAATAGCAGCAAGACCTTGGCTAAGCTACTTAAACTTTATTTATCTCAGTCTCATAATTTGTCAAATGTGCATCCAATCACACCTGTTTCATAGTGTTTCTGTGAGGAGTCAATAAGCTAATACATCTAAGGCTTTGGGAGGGTGCATGACAATGGCATAATGCAACAAATGTTAGCCGCTATTTTATCCGAACAGCTTGAAGGTAGAGCTTATCCCAGACTGGGGGAGACTTTTCCCTTCCCCTTAAGCTCAGAATGCTTGACTTAAACCTTTGAATTTGATCATTGGACCTTATGCTTCTGCCAGCAAATGGTGGGAATTAATCCCCACAATTATTCCCTTCTCACTACCTTGCTATTTCTTTAAATGCAAGCACTCATATATTTATTGATTACTATTGCACTTGTATAAACATCTTAGTTTTTATTCACTCTGTCCTCACAGTTTGTTTTCCCGACTCTCTGCTATCATTGTGGTTCTGTCTGCAACAATACTCGACTTGTGTCTTCACTAGAGAGGGCCAGAGAAAGAAATAGAATTGTCTTACAGACAATGCTTTCATTGAACATCCTCAAACACTGTGTGTGTGCCTGTTTCTGTTGCTTTGTTGACTCATGTCCAGCTTGTGGCCCTGCCTTCTTTCCTAGACTTTCTTCCCTGTTCCATCTAATCAATGGTTTTCCAGTTTGTGTTTATGGAATGTATTCCTTCCTTATCCACAAAAATCTGCCTCCACAACCTCAAAATGTATGTGGGTGTGACAGAAGCAAACAGTAGATGTGTTGTGTCTTGGAGCCAATTTATAAGCGTAGGAGGTCCTGGGACCTGAGCATTTCATTTAGGCCCAAATATGAAAAGCTGGTATCTTTGTGGAATGATCTCAAAACTCTCTGGGGTGAGGAAATGGGAAAGGTCTATAGGCAGTTACAGGTTGAACCTGTTTGGTTTCTTTTTGCTAGAGCAAGGTGAGCACAGTTTAGGGTTTGCTTTCTCTGCTCTGAAGTTTCAGAGCTTCCATGGTGAACTTGGAAGTGAACGAGGTAACTGAGATCGACATTTCACTTTGTCTAAACAGGGGGCTACTTTGTAAGCCAGACGATCAGCCTAGCATTCCAGCCGAGAGAGGAAAGTTCTCCAAAAATCAGAGATACTTGGGAAAGCATTACCTTCCCTATGCCAACATACTTAGTAAGCTTAAAAATCATAAACCCAACAGAGGCAGCTAACTCTGCTACCAAATATTTTTACCAAAATATAAAAATCTATCATGTGTCTGTCTGCTCTGGGATCTCTCTACCTCTGGTTCTTGACACCGATGCCAAGAAGCCTATGTTTTCTTGCCTTTCTTTCCTGTTTCTGGAATTCTTTTGATTATCTCGATTTCCCTTTTTCCTTTTTTCTTTTTAGATAAGGTCTCGCCCTGTTACCCAGGCTGGAGTGCAGTGGCACAATCTTGGCTTACTGCAGCCTCAACCTCCCAGGCTCTAGCCATCCTCCTACCTCAGCCTCCTGAGCAGCTGGGACTATAGACACGTGCCACACACCCAGCTAATTTTGTATTATTTGATAGACATGAGGTTTCGCCATGTTGCCCAGGCTGGTCTCGAACTTCTGGGCTCAAGCCATCCTCCTGCCTTGGCTTCCCACAGTGTTGGGATTACACGTGTGAGCCACTGTGCCCTGACCTTTATCCGCTTTTTAACTTCATATTACCTTCTAATCATTAAAAATGCACATTATGTTCATTTACATATGATGCATTTAGAATTTTACTGTGCTTTTCTTTTTTCTTTTTTTTTTCACTTAGTATATATTTCGGGAATTTCTCCATGTAATCAAAATCTTTTGAAAATATAACTCTTGGCTGGGCGTGGTGGCTCACGCCTGTAATCCCAGCACTTTGGGAGGCCGAGGAGGGCGGATCACCTGAGGTCGGGAGTTTGAGACCAGCCTGACTAACATGGAAAAACCCCATCTCTACTAAAAATACAAAATTAGCTGGGCGTGGTAGCGCATGCCTGTAATCCCAGCTACTCGGGAGGCTGAGGCAGAAGAATTGCTTGAACCTGGGAGGCGGAGGTTGTGGTGAACCCAGATGGCACCATTGCACTCCAGCTTGGGCAACAAGAGTAAAACTCTGTCTCCAAAAAAAAAAAAAAAAAAAGGAAAGAAAGAAAAACAGAAAAGAATATAACTCTTGAAGATTATTTAATATCACAACATATACTCTAATTGCTTAACCACTCTGTTTTTTGACATTTAGATTGTCATTTTTTTAAGAGTTGAAGTCTTTGCCTGCCTGTATCAAAACATTTCATGTACTCCATTAAATATATATACCTACATTTACCCCCAAAAATTAAAAATAAAAATAAAAAAATAGAGTCAGGTCTCACTACGTTGCCCAGGCTGGACTCCAACTCCTGGGCTCAAGCAATCCACCTATCTAGCTTCCTGAGTAGCTGGGACTGCAGGTGCGTGCTGCCAAGCCTGACCTGTCACTTTTTGATATTGATCTCATTCAGATGTTGGCTAGCTTTGTCATCTGCATGAGATGACTCTTGGCAAGTCCTCTGCTGGCTATGACACAAAATCCAATAAAGTCATATTAACAAGTTAATGAAATCATGCATTCAGGTGTATCTGTGTTGAAGGCCAGTGGTCTTCACTAATATTCACATCTTCTTTTTTTTGTTTTGTTTTTGTTTTTCTGTTTGACAATGAGGATACTTATTGAGGGTTTATTGGGTACAGGGAGAAGGGCTGGATGACTTGGGATGGGAGGAGAGACACCTCCCCTGGGATCCTCCAGCTCCAGGCCTCCATGGGTGGGGTGAGGGCCAGGGACCTAAGAACATTCTGTATGGGCCATTGTCTTCTCCAGGGTGCTCCTTTTATGCATGGCCCAGCAGTTGTAGCTGCTGCGGGATCTCCACTGTTCAGGCATCAGGCTCAGGTAGCTGCTGGCCTGTTTCTTGCTCTGTTTGGGAGGCTTAGTGGTCTCCACGTCCTGGGTGATGATGATGCCGTCTGCCTTCCAGGCCACTGTCACGGTGCCCAGGTAGAAGTCATTCATGAGACACACTAGGGTGGCCTTGTTAGCTTGGAACTCCTCAGAGGAGGGCGGGAACAGAGTGACCAAACGGGGAGCCTTGGGCTTACCTAAGACAGTGGGCTGGGTCTTGCTGCCAAACATGTGCGACAGTGAATGATGCTTGGATCGAAACCCTTAGGGCCAGAACCTGGGGCCAGTCCAGGAGCTGGGCTGCAGCAGAAACAATCATGGTGGAAGGGGAAACAAACATGTCCTTCTTCACATGGCAGCAGGAGAGAGAATGAGCATTCACATCCTCTTCTAAGGAGACTTCTGCCTCTAATAAGCTCTCCCACACCACTCACAGCTGATTGGACCAAGGATGGACACCTGACCCAAGACAGGCCAGATACTGTGGTGTCGGCCAGTAGGAAAGGTAAACTGGGTCACAAAGAGGAACCATGAGAGTAGGAGGCAGCTACCCTAGGGAGCCAGAGATGAGAACATGCAAAGAAAAGCTTTGAGGGAGAAATCACAGTTGGAGAAAGACTGGAGATTACAGCTCCCAACCTGGCTCTGCCAGCTGGTTTTGTCCCTCAGCTTTCTTGAGCTGTAATTGACAAAGAAAAGTTGTATGTGTTTAAGGTATAATGCGATGTTTTGATACACATCATGAAATACATCATGAAATGATTGCCGTAATCAAGCTGATTAACAATACAATCTTACCTCACATAGCTACCATTTGTGTGGTGTGATGAGAACATTTAAGATCCACTCTCTTTGCAAATTTCAAGTAGACAATACAGTATTGTCAACCATAGTCAGCAGACTGTACATTAGATCTCCAGAACTTACTCATTTTCTAAGTGAAACTTCACACCTCTTGACCAATATCTCCCATTTTTCCCACTCCCCAGCCCCCGGTAACCACTGTTCTACTTCCCCGGCTCCTAGGAGCTTGACTCTGTTAGATTCCTCATGTAAAGGAGATCATGGGACATTTCTGTGTCTGGCCTACTCTACTTAGCATAATATCCTCCAGATTGTCACAAACGACGGGATTTCTTTCCTTCTTAAAAGTATATATGTGTTTCCAGTACACATATATACCACATTTTCTTCATCCATTTATTCATCCACATTTGTATAGGTTGTTTCTGTATCTTGGCTATTGTGACTTATGCTGCAATAAACATGGGAGTGCAGATATCTCTGCGAAACTGCTTTCATTTCATTCAAATTCTGCCACTTGATCTTGAGGAATCAACATAACTCCTTAAACCTCTGTTCTCAGCTGGGCGCAGTGGCTCACACCTGTAATCCCAGCACTTTGGGAGGCGGAGGCGGGTGGATCACCTGAGGTCTGGAGTTAGAGGCCAGCCTGACGAACATGGAGAAACCCCATCTCTACTAAAAATACAGAATTACCGGGTGTGGTGGTGAATGCCTGTAATCCCAGCTACTCGGGATGCTGAGGCAGGAGAATGTCCTGAACCCGGGAGGTGGAGGTTGCAGTGAGCCGAGATTGCGCCATTGCACTCCAGCCTGGGCAACAAGAGCGAAACTCTGTCAAAAAACAAACAAACAAACAAACAAATGAAAAACAAAACCTGTGTTCTCGTCTGTAGAAGATTAGAGATAGTGTATATAAAATGTATATAACACAACAGGACCTCAATAAATGGTGGCTATATTACACATAAAAGTATTTTTTAAAAAAGAAAAGAAATACTGTGAAATCTTCTAAAAGCATCATTTATAATAAAGAATGGAGTGCACGGAGGAAGTAAAAGATTTATACAACACAAAAGCAAGGTTTCAAGCTCTTAAGACATAGTCTGTTTTAATCACCCATGTTTATACTCAGTACTTAGCTTAGTGCCTAGCAAATCTTCAAGTGCTCAACACGTATGTATTGCTTTCAATGAATAGCTTCAAGGCAAGATTTTTCTTTGACTCAGGTATCTAGCTGATTGGGCATTCTTACCCATGGAATTGCTCTGTCGTAATTCACTGAGCCCCTCGTATGTGAAACCACTGCAGCAACCCCAATTTCTCTCTGAAAGATTGGCATTTATGAGGTCATTTTCCCTTCAGTCTTTTCCCCCATTCTTATTTATTCCACCATATTTCACAGGCAAGCAAAACAAAACCAAACATAAGACCTTTCATAAAAGTAACTTCCCACCGTTAACTCCTCTCCCTGAAATCTACTGGGAAGACAGAAGAAGAAAAAAAGAATCACAAGAGAGATGAAAATGCAAGCCCATGCAAGTTCCCCAAATCTTTAACAGGATATATATATATATATATATATGTGAAAGGCTCTGAAAGGCCCTGAAAATAACTCTTAACTAGAGGCAGGATGATCCAGGGGAAGGAAAGAGAATACAGCTAGGGCACATTTCCATACCAAAGAGTGTGAGGTGTGGTAGACATCTGTTGCTTTTGTCCTCTCAACAAAACACTCCTCTTTACACTGGAGAATTGGTCTTCACAGATCCCATATGATTCCCATGGGCCTGGCTATGGGGTGGGTATACAATCCACCCCCGTCCAACCACACCACCCCAGCCGTGTTTACACAATACAATTGGGCATTGACCCAATCAAGTCCAGTTATATTTCTTTCAAGAAATTTAATATAGGAAATACTGGGAAAGGGAGGGAGTGTCTCGCTTTCATACCATGAATTGTAAGTTTATACACAGGATTGGGACTACCAGCAGCCATCTCTCCTGCCACATGTAATGAACATATTTGTGTCAGGACAGAGTGAGGCCAAATGCAAAAAGAGGCAGAGACAAACATAACCTGAGAGGAAGAGTGGGAAATAGAAGCTTGATGACGTCATTTGAACCCCTGAATGCACCTGTAACTAAAGCCTTCAGTTGAGCAGATTGTAAGGGTAGAAGTGAGTTCTAAGTTCCCCAAGCCCACCCCACTCCCAACTCCAGGCTTGCTAAGTTGGTAAGAAGGTTTTAAGGAAAGAGAGAAGTTACTCTGCACCCACATGGGGGTAGAATTTGGGACTGGGGCCACCGTCTATGAGAGAGGAAACAAGGAACAGAAGGTCACAAACCCTCAAAGCTTAAGGACGCTGGTGTTAGTTGCTTTCTTGGGAAAACCAATTTAAAAAAAAGGTATGTGTTTTATAGCTGTGGGAATATGAAGAGAAACAGAGACAGGATTTAGTTGACATTGTGAGGTCTATGGTTTTTATAGGTCTTGGAGCTGGCTGGGACTTAACCAGTTATCTAGTTCTCAAAGGGCCAAGTGACTTTAGCTAACATCTGAGTCACAGATGTGAAAAGAAGCAAGGAAGATTCAGCACACACATAATACGCATTCCCAGGGAAAAACCAACAAAAATGGAACAGAAAAGTATTCAAAGATTTCATAGGCAATTCTCCTGAAAGAAAAGATCTAAATCTTCAGGTTGAAACAATGTATGCAGGAAAGGCTGATGAGTTCTAACAAGATTAAGACATATCCTGATGAATTAATTTCAAGGATAAGGAAAAGTCTTGCAAGCATCCAGGCGGAAGAAACTTGTCAACT
Source organism: Homo sapiens (assembly GCF_000001405.40). Taxonomy (NCBI): domain Eukaryota; kingdom Metazoa; phylum Chordata; class Mammalia; order Primates; family Hominidae; genus Homo; species Homo sapiens. The sequence goes on along the minus strand of NC_000018.10, from coordinate 3,391,566 downwards.
TTAAGGGGAAAGAATATATGTCAGGCAGGCTTTAGACTCCCATCCACAGCAACACTAGCTGAACAAGATAATGGGAAATGTTGAGAAGAAGAAATAGAACACAAGAATTCTTACTTGGCCAGGATATCTTTCAATTTTAAAAGCATGGGAAATACATTCCTAAATATGCAAGAACTGGCCGGGCGCGGTGGCTCACGCCTGTAATCTCAGCACTTCGGGAGGCTGAGGCGGGCAGATGACAAGCTCAGGAGTTCCAGACCAGCCTGGCCAATATGGTGAAACCCCGTCTCTACTAAAAATACAAAAATTAGCTGGGCGTGGTGGCGCGCGCCTGTAATCCCAGCTACTTGGGAGGCTGAGGCAGAAGAATCGCTTGAACCCAGGAGGCAGAGGTTGCAGTGAGCCGAGACTGTGCCACTGCACTCCAGCCTGGGCGACAGAGCGAGACTCTGTCTCAAAAAAAAAAAAAAAAAAATATATATATATATATATATATGTGTATATATATATAGATATGTAAGAACTTTATAAGTTTAGCATTAATAAAATCTTCCTGAAAAAATGTACGTGAAACAACTGCTGTCCAAAAGAAGGACCAAATTAATAATTTACAAATGGAGGCCAGGCATGGTGGCTCATACCTGTAATCCCAGCACCTTGGGAGATTAAGACAGGAAGACCACTAGAACCCAGGAGTTCAAACCCAGCCTGGACAACATAGGGAGACCCCGTTTATATGAAAAATCAAAACATTAGCCAAGTGTGGCAGTACATGCCTATGGTCCCAGCTATTCAGGAGGCTGAGGCGGGAGGATCACTTCACTTGGGCCTGGGAGGTTGAGGCTGCAGTGAGCCGTAATTGGGCCACTGCACTCAAGCCTGGAAAACTGAGTGAGACCCTGTCTCAAAGAAAGATAAATTTTAAAAAAGATGCCAAAGCAATAAAATGGCAGAGTGCTGGAAAGCAAAGAAAGAGAGCAGACTACAAAGCTACAAGTAAATATGCAAGATAGATATAGACAAGTTTTCAGGACCAAAAAGAGGGAAAATACCACAGCCCAAAATATCAGATGGAAGAGAGAATTTTCCTGAAGACGCCTCTGGAGAAGCTCTACAGCCAACAAATTCAAAGCACTGGAGAGGGAGGGGCAGCACCCCAGTTCCAGCCCTGGCCTTGAAGAGGATGGACAGCTTCCACTTCCTTCCTCTGGAAACTCTCAGCCCCAGTTGTCATGCTGTGGAAAGCAGAAGCCACATAGAAGGGCCAAGTGAGGGTCCTCCAGCCAACAGCCAGCATCCCTGCCAGCACTGGAGGGAGCTATCAGAATAGTGTCAACCGGTGGAAAGCCCCAATGAGTTCAGGAGCAGCCCACATCACTGGGGACAGAAAACCGGCCCAACTGAGCCCAGTTAACCCACAGAATCATTGGAGATAGTAAAAATAAATGGGCTTTGCTTTATGCCACTAAGTTTTAGGATTACTACGTAGTATACACAACCAAAACAAGGGCCCTGGGGCAATCATAAGTTATTCAAGAATGTCATGGAATTTTTGGGCCAGTTTAACTCTATCCCCTTTTTTTTCCCCTCCTTTCTCCTTTCCCTTTCCTTCTCTCTTCCCTTCTATGGAGCTTTTGAAGCTAGATTTCTATTTTTAGTCTTATTAGCATCAAAGTGGGAGAAGGCAAAAAGGTTTCTCCTGACGTGTAGGAATTTAAAAACTATGCAACTCGTAATAAGAACTTTACTCCTGTAAAAGGAAAAGGAAAAAAAATTTTCAAATGAGAACAATATGAAATCTTTTAATGCAGTGACAGATTTAAGGAGCTCCAGGAAAAAAGCAGAGACAGGAGAATCTAAAGAACTGTGGTGCTGGAGACAGTTTCCTTTGAGTGGTAGGGAGGGCTTTAGTGTCATAGAATGACAATTTCCTCCCCACAGACCTCCTCTGATTCTGCAGAAAATGTTGAAATGGTTATTACACTAAAAGTGGGATCCTAGAGTTTTTTGAAAATTCAATAAGCAAATAAAAAAATGTTTAAAGGATGACAGCAATATTCTTTTTTTAAAAAAAAGAATGAATAGCAACAAACCAAATAACGAATTAGAAGACTCATTAAATAACTCATTAAATAAGTTCTTGAAACACAACAAAAACAAAACCTATCCTATAAAACAGAATAAATGTAGACTAGCCATGGGGAACATTGTAGAAAGCCTAAATATACAAAGAACCGCAAAGGAGAAAACCCAAATGGACCCCTCCATTCCACTTCATTAGTCTGTGACTCCTGGTGAGAGCACCATGTCTTCAGGTGTCTCATTTGTGAAGTCACAACCCAGGAGACTCTGGCATCAACTCAGACAGAGGTAAATTCTGAGAAGTGAGTCAACCACTAAAACAACAATCATATTAATGTGAAGTCCTCAGGGCAGAGTGTTTCTCTGGTGCAGTTTAAGATTGAGAGACACAGCCGGGCATGGTGGCTCGCTTCTGTAATCTCAGCACTTTGGGAGGTCAAGGTGGGAGGATTGCTTGAGTCCACGAATTCCAGACCAGCCTGGGTAACATAGCAAGACCCCATCTTTACAAAAATAAAAAATAAATTAATTAAAATAAAGAAAAAGATTGAAATTCACACAGCTGTAAACTAATGAAAGTTCACTTAGAGCAACAGGCTTTGTCATGGGGAAAGAGCAAATCCTCATTTGATTTGCCACTGATCAAACACCCTTGCAGGCACCATTGAAAATGGATGTGGAAGCCACAGTTGATGTGATCTCATGGTAACAAGAGGTGTTGACTCAAAACCAAAAACCCTGCCACTTCTTACTGTAGAATATGATGTCAAAATAATATTATCATGTTGGGAAAATATTATTTAATTTAGCCACATCTTGACAAGTTTTTCTTTTATTGAGTCTCTCATCTCTTCTATTTCTTCTTCTTCTTTTTTTTTTTCTGTTTTAAAGGTTAATTTGTTTTTTTTTGTTTTTTTAAAGATGGGGTCTTGCTATGTTGGCCCAGACTGGCTTCAAACTCCTGGCCTCCAGTGATCCTCTTGCCTTGGCCTCCCAAAGTGCTGGGATTATAAGTGTAAGCCACCATGCCCGGCCTTACTTCTCTTTCTTTATAGCTAATAAATTATCTGGTATATATGCCAGATAATTGTTGAAGTGTTTGCTATTTCATTTTTTTCTTTTTTCTCTTACTGATTTCAATGGCCATGATGACAAAGATCAGCAAAAAACAAATCCATTCAAGGAAAATGCCACTTTCTTCCATGAGTAGCATGCCCACTGTACTTTTATACACAACTTCATGTGGTCTATAACTTCATAAGGTTAACAAACAAAATCTATATGCCTTTTTTCACGGGATAAAAATCAATGTTTTTCTTGTATCATTGTAAAACTGAAGCTCAATTCATAATTTTTTATGTACATAAGTCTACGAGAAAAAAATATTTGAAGGAAATTGATTCTAGAATCTAGAAGTTCTTCCTCTATGTAATGCATATTAATGTTTAAATACATTTATAGTTAAAATTCCAAGTATCTTGATTCTTTAGAATTTAAAATTTCATTACTAGTTTTTTGTTTTAGCACATTGTGGTCAGATAATGTGTGCTATATGTTTTCTGCTTTTAAATTTTATCAGTATTTTCTTTGTTGACTAATACATTTCATTTACATCGGGAAAAAAGTATATTCTCCATTGTACAACATAACATGCAGCTATTAAAGTAAGCTTGTTGATTTTACTATAACATCCATAGTCTAGTTTATCTGTTGCTTGTGAAGTTTGTCAGAGACTGAGAATGATATATTAAAATATCCCATACTATAGTCCCAGCTACTTGGGAGGCTGAGGTGGGAGGATTGCTTGAACCCAGGAGATTGGGCCTGTGAATAGCCACTGGACTTCACTCTGGGCAACATAGTGAGACCCCCCCACTCTAAAAATAAATAAATCCTGTAGCATGCTATTCATTTCTTCTTCTGCATTTATATTTGGACACAATAGTATTCACAGTTTCCAAGTACATGAAGTGTAACCTTTATTAACATATGGGACAGTGGTTTCCTTTCAGGAACAGCTGGGTTCATGGGTGTGACAAAAGTAAAATTAAACTTTAAATTTTATAAGGTTCTGTATTATCTCTGCTTCCTAGAGTATGGTTTCTCTCTCTCAAAGATAAATAAGCAAAAAATACAGTGAAATAAAATAGCCATTTGTATCTCATTTGAGGCTTTTGCCTTGATTTCTTCTCTGTATATTAGTATTGTTATCATTGCTTTATGTATTTGCTTTTTGTTTAGGCATGTTTGATAAACCTTTGGCCATCTTTTCTTTTCTTATTTATATCAGAAACTACAGGATAATTCAATAGTAAAAAATGTATTACTGGCATGGTGTGGTACTCACGCCTGTAATCCTAGCACGTTGGGAGGCCGAGGTGGGAGGATCACTTGAGATCAGGAGTTTGAGACCAGCCTGGGCAATATGGCAAAACCCCATCTCTACTAAAAATACAAAAATTAGCCAGCTGTAGTGCCCGTGATCCCAGCTACTTGGGAGGCTGAGGCACAAGAATCACTTGAATCTGGGAGGGGGAGGTTGCGGTGAGCTGAGATTGCACCACTGCACTCCAGCCTGGGTGACAGAGCAGGACTCTGTCTCAAAAATAGAAAAGAAAGAAAGAAAATGCGTTACTATAATGTGTTATATTAATAGTCCAATACAGTTTTTTTTAAAGCAGCATATTTAAGAAAGCATAAAAAAATTCAGCATCTGCACTTTTAAGTTGTTAGAAAACTAGGAAAGAAAGCACTTTTAATGTTTTCTGATTTTTTTTTTTTTTGAGACAGTCTTGCTCTGTTGCCCAGGCTGGAGTACAGTGGCGCAGTCACTGCTCACTGCAACCTCCGCCTCCCGGGCTCAAGTCATCCTCCTGCCTCAGTCTCCTGAGTAGCTGGGATTACAGACATTAACTAGCTAGTTTTTGTATTTTTTGTACAAAAATGCCTTGTCTGCCTTGGCCTCCCAAAGTGCTGAGATTACAGGCTTGGACCACCGCATCTGGCCTCTGATACTTGTTTTTAATGGTAACCCTATAAAATACCATACATTTGGAGTTGGACGCTGTTTTTTTCAAGTCAGTCTGAGAATTTTTGTCTTTTCATAAGGAATTTAATTTATTTATACTCATTGTTATAACTGATAGCTGATCTTTCTTGTGTTATTTTGTCTCATAACTGATTTTTAAATTCTGCCAGTGAGCACCTTTAAGTTTTTCAAATAAATCAGCATTTCTCTAAACGACAAAACCAAAAGTGACATGGTGCTATGCCCAACTCTCTACCCCCATTTAAGATAAGAAACATAATACATGTCTGCATTTCTTAACAGCCAAGTGTTCCTTGGTCTTTGTTACTATAACACATGCGTTTAAATCCAGATCATTGTTACTTTCATATTTTTCTATTATATGTCATTTCCTTCAATATCTCCATGAATACAGCTGTAAATATTAACAAAATATTAACAAATAAAATCCAACTAATAAACAAAAAGGGTAATATATCCTCACTAAGATAATGCAAGCTTGGCCTACTGTTTTTTAAAAAATCAATCAATGCAATTCACCGTATTAGCAACAACGTAACAACACAAAAAGGAGAAATACCATAAGGATATTTCAAAAGGTGCCAAAAAATGGCAAATGATATGAATGATTGATCGTTTGTTATAGTCCCAATAATACCTGAAATCTGAAGCTCTGCTTTTTTTTTCTTTCTCTGTCATTAGGTTAGTCATTTCTTTTGTTCTGTCTTCAAGTTCACTAAATCTTCACTTTGTCACTTCCATTCTGCTATTGAGTCCATCTGTGAGTTTTAAAAAAAGTTTGATTATTGTATATTGCAGTGCTCCCCAGCTAAAATAACAATACAAAATTAAAATATTGAAACTTACAAGAGCAAAGAGAATGGGAAAAGGAGACAGCAAATATCCACAGATATTTGCAAGGTGGTAAACTTATGATGGAATTTCCACTACCTTGGCAGGGAATTTGGATGCGCTCCTAACCCTGGCAGAGCAGGGCACCATGAGAAGTAAGACAATTATCTAGAGAAACTGAGAAGCCCAGGACTCAGAGGCACCAGGAAAGGCTGTATGGAATGTGGGTGTCTTCAAACAGAGCCTGAGAAATGTGCTCCCATGCAGATCGTTGATGTTGGGAAGTGGTTCTAATGGTGGGAAGGACTGGACAGGATGAAATAGGGGAAGGGTGCATTTTCAAACTGTTCATTGCTTTAGGTAACTGGAGTATAATCCTGCTGGAAAGTCTCTGAGAAGCCATGTATAATTCACCCTAGAATTGTCCCCTGGCAGGACAGAAGAGGATACTATTTATCAAGTATCTCCCAATCCCCTCAGATCAAAGGTCATTACCAGGTGGCACATGTGTCAGAATGACCCAGCAGAAACTGAGCCACGTAAGAGCAAAACCATGCTGCATTCATAAGTATTAAATCGGGTTTAGCCCAAAGCAGCTTGCTTACATATTTTAACTTTGGCCTAAAGGTTTCTTTGTACCTAGTGAACCATAACCTAAATGGAAGAGTAAACAGACTGTAACCTACTCTTGTGCCAATCACCAAGTTTTGGCAACTTAAAGGGGGCCAACTGTTCAAACCGTGTTCAGATAAGGCAAACACGGAGCTGTAACCAATCTGACTGTTTCTGTACCTCACTTCCATTTTCTGTTCGTCACTTTCCTTTCTCTATTTACGTCTTTCCAACACGTGGCTGAGCTGGAGTCTCTGAGCCTCCTCTGGCCCGGAAGGCTGTCCAGTTCACGAATTGTTCTTTTCTCAATTAAAGTCTGGTAAATTTAATTTGGCCAAGATTTAAGATCTCTTCCAGCTTTAAAATTTCCTGACCCCAATTTCATCTTCTCATTCACCATCCAGCCATGCAACATGATGGCCCATTATAGCCAAATTCCAACAAGGTAGAATGTTTGCTCTTTACAATTTCCTTAATTTACCAAAAGCATAAACTTCAGGCCAGGGGAATTTAACTGCATTAATTGTCTATTACATGTGGTCCAAAATAATTACTGTGTTTAAAGTACTAGAAAATAACTTACAAGCCTCAACATAAAATTTCACAAGACAAGGTTGAGAAAAGAAAAGCTGGGCTCGGTGGCTCACGCCTGTAATCTCAGCACTTTGGGAGGCTTAGGCGAGTGGATCATGAGGTTAGGAGATTGAGACCACCCTGGCCAACATGGTGAAACCCCTTCTGTACTAAAAATACAAAAATTAGCTGGGTGTGGTGGTACGTGCCTGTAATCCCCGCTACTCCGGAGACTGAGGCACGAGAATCGCTTGAACACGGGAGGCGAAGGTTGCAGTGAGCGGAGATCCTGCCACTGCACTCCAGCATGGCGACAGAGCAAGACTCTGTCTCAAAACAAAACAAAACAACCTTCTTTCTTTCCTCTTTTTTCAAGAGTCGAGGTCTCACTCTGCCACTCAGGCTGAAGTGCAGTGGTTCGATCACGGCTCACTGCAGCCTCAAACTCCTGGATTCAAGGGGTCCTCCTGCCTCAGCTTCCTGAGTAGCTTGGGACTACAGGTGTGAACCACCATGCCTGGCTAATTCTTTACATTTTGGGGTTATGGGGAACAAGCCCTCCCTATATTGCCCAGGCTGCTGTTGAACACAAGTGATCCTTCCACCTCAGCCTCCTGCTTGTCACTGGGATTATAGGATTGAGCCACAATGCCTGGCTTAGAAAACATCTATTATCTAAGGAATGCGAGTCCTTTTAAATTATCAGGACCAGAGAGCCATTGAAATGAGACAGCAATCACGTCCCCCTTAAGCTATGTATTTATCTCTTGAAACTGTTTGCTGTTGTCACAAGTAGCTATAAATTACCCTAATAATGCCACCCTGGACACTATAAGCCACACCCTATAGTTTAGCAGTGTATAGCCAGTCACTAATCCCTGTTATTTCTGTAAACCAAAGAGAATTCCTTACAACAACTTTGTATGAGCTCACTTCCCATCCCTCTTTTTTGCCTTTAAAAACTTGCTTGTAACAAAGGCTGGGCGGAGCTCACATTCAACGTTTCTTGGGTCTAAATCTTCCGGGCAGCTGTCTACACTTTGGCTCAGGTAAACTCTTTAAATCTTATTTTGTGCCACAGCCTCTTCATTTTATGTCGACAACGTAAGACAAAGACAATGTTAAGCAAAAATATGGATAAATTAAACATGCATAGTAAATAACCTTTTACTAGAGTTTTCTTAATGTAATTTTTCCCGTTTTCTTTTGAAAAATTTTGAACCTATAGACATGTTAAAAGAATAGCACAGTGGGGAAGGGGGAGGGATAGCATTAGGAGATATACCTAATGTTAAATGACGAGTTAATGGGTGCAGCATACCAACATGGCACATGTATACATATGTAACAAACATGCGCGTTGTGCACATGTACCGTAAAACTTAAAGTATAAAAAAAAAAAGAATTGCACAAAGAACTTCCCTCATTATGCTATATTCCTATTTAATTCCTAAATCCTAAGAAAAAGGATCTTTTCCTATATAACCGCTTCACCTTGATCATATTCAAGAAATTGACTTTGATATACTATTATCAAAAATTTACTTACTATTGAAATATTTAAAATAACCACCAATAATCAAGTTTCACCAGTTGTCCCAATAATGCTGTTCATAAACTCTTCTTTTTTAAAAAATCAGGGATTCAGTCTAGGATCAAGTATTGCTTTTAACGTCATATAGCTTTCATCTCCTTTAATTTCAAGCGGTTCTGCTGCCTTTTTTTTTTTTTCTTTTGAGATACAACCTGTGAAGTGTCCAGGCCAATTGTTTTGTAGACTGTCTCGGAATTAAATTCAGATTATTCACTTTGGCCTGCCCAGGTGGTAGTGTGCTCTTCTCATACCAGCAGGTGTGTCAAGTCAGTTTGCCCTAACATCAGGGATGTCATATTTGATCATTTGGTTAAGGTATTATGTGCCAGATATCTTCCTCTCCTCTTTGCAATTAATCAATAACCTGTGATATTTGGATTAGTGTATATCCACTGGGTCCCAGCAATTTTTACCTATAGGTTTAGCATCCATTGTTGATACTTGCTGGAATCAGTCATCAAATTGGTGAAGTAATAGTGATTTTGAAATCAGTTATTCCTTCTATATTTCTTAGCTGAGATTCTTCTGTAAATAAGAGCCTCTCCTTACCTCACCTTTTGTTGAAGAATCCTGGACTCCTGTTTTAATTCAATTTGCTTAATCTATAGCCAACACTATTTTTTTTTTCTTGGGATCCTCAAAGTTTTCCAAATTTGGCCAGCAGAAGCCTCTTCTAGTAGACTCCTGTGTCTTTTTTTTTTTTTTTAATTAAATGGACACAAAGTCTTGCTCTGTCACCCAGGCTAGAGTGCGCTGGCTCACTCACTGCAGCCTCCAACTCCTGGTATCAAGGGATCCTCCCATCCCAGGCTCGCAAGTAGCTAGGACAACAGGTGTGGACCACCATGCCCAGCCAATTTCTAAAAAAATTGTATACAAATACAGTCTCACTATGTTGCCCAGGCTGCTTTTGAACTCTTGGCCTCAAGGGATCCTCCCACTTGGACCACTTAAAGTGTTGGGAATACAGGCGTGAGCCACTGTACTTGGCTTCTGTGCCGCTTCTACCGTCTTTGTGTGTTTTTGAACACTTTCTTATCTTCTGGAACAAAAATGATCCAGGCCTAACTTGTTGTACTTTCCCTGCCCCCAAACTGAAATTAGCCATTTTTCCAGACAGCCCTGGTTCCTTTTAGTGGGAATGCTATTTAGATTAATGAGCTTTAATATATAATACTTTTATGTTGTAAAATATTATGTTTGGATAGTTTGCAGAATTATGATAATTTACTTTAGAATCTATCTCTTCCATCATACATCAATTCTATGTACTTGCTAATTATGGAAATAATTTCTGAGAATTTTCTTTCTTTTTTCTTTTTTTAGACAGCCTCACTCATCACCCAGCCTGGAGTACAGTAGCACCATCCCGGCTCACTGCAACCTCTGCCTCCTGGGTTCAAACAATTCTCTTGCCTCAGCCTCCTGAGTAGCTGGGACTACAGGGCTATGTCATCATGCCTGGCTAATTATAATTTTTTAAAAAAATGTTTATCATTAGACAATGGTTTTCCTTAAAGTAGGAATAGTATTTAGTTTTCCCTACAGCAGTCTGTATAACTTTATAAAATAATGGTTCACAGATTTAAAATGTATTATTCAAAGTGATGAGGCTGGGTGTGATGGCTCATGCCTGTAATCCCAATACTTTGCGAGGCTGAGGAAGCAGGATCACTTGAGGTTGGGAGTTCAAGACCAGCCTGTGCAACATAGTGAGACCTCGTCTCTACAAAAAAAAATGTAAAAATTAATGGGGTGTGGTGGTGCATACCCATAGTCCCAGCTACTCAGGAACCTGAGGTGGGAGGATCGCTTGAGCCCAGGAGTTTGAGTTTATAGTGAGACATGATGATGCCAATGCATTCCAGCCGGAGTAACAGAGCAAGACACTTTCTCAAAAAAAAAAAAAAAAAAAAAAAGTGATGAGATAGAGGGGAAGTGTTTAACAATTTTTGGTTTCTGAATGAATAATTTTAGTACATCATCTTAAAGTTTTCTTCTAAAGCAATATGATATGATTTTGAAATGAATGGCAGCGGCCTCTACAGGAAATGATCATGTAATTGCTTATTTAATTGAATGATTCATTGACTATGACACATGAGGGAATTGTTTCTGTCACACTGTGGTATTGTCTGTCTAATGTTTAGCTATAGGCAATGGATGAGAAATCCTTTTTTGAGACGGATTCTCTCTCTGTTGCCGAGGCTGGAGTGCAGTGGCGCCATCTCTGCTCATTGCCATCTCTGCCTCCCAGATTCAAGAGATTCTCCTTCCCTTGCCTCCGGAGCAGCTGGGATTATAGGCACATGCAACCACGCCCAGCTAATTTTTGTAGAGACGGAGTTTCACCATTTTGGCCAGCTGGTCTTGAACTACTGACCTCAAGTGATCCGCCCACCTCAGCCTCCCAAAGTGCTGGGGTTACAGGCGTGAGCCACAGCGCCTGGCCAAGAAATTCTTCTTTGCTGAATTCACAAGAACAGTTGTGCAAAGTCTTGCACATATTTTAATACTTCTAAATATTTAAACATTTAATAATATTTCAGAAATTTGCCCTTTACCCATTTTTCTTTTGTGTGTGTGTGGTGGGGGAGGGTTATTGATTTCTTAATGCAAGAAAAAATGAGGAAAAGATAAAGTATTATCAAGAGAATATCAGTGGACACAATTGCTGGATATACATAATATTGGCATCTTTTCAGTACGAAAACATTTTAAGCTCTTTGGAAAATTTATCTCTGCTAGAGATGTTTATAGATCTAGAGTCCTGCTCTTTTAAGGCCCACTTAAACTTGAAAAATATGTGTTTTTGTTTTGTTGCTGTTATTGCTTTAGTGCGGTAAAATATCATTTTAACCATTTTTAGGTGTGACAGTTCAGTTGCAATAAGCACATTCACATTGTTACGCAAGGAAAAAGGCATGGTTGTAAGTGGCAGGTATTTCCCTATGGAGGTCTATTTTGAGTTATGTCAATCACAAGGGGAAATCTCTCAGAATATTGTTTTATTAAAGTCCATATGGAATGGAAACAGGAGTCAAGGTATATAACATTTCATCTAGTGAGGACAAATACTTCATATGTAAAATAAGAATGCTTTAAGGAGAAATAACTTTTTATTACATAAACCCACTTAAAAATAGACAACTAAAGCCTTTTGAAACTAATATACAGAGGGCAAATGCTATAGACAAGCCACAAAATGTAACAATAATAAAAAGATAGTACTATGGATGACAAAAGAGCAAAAATGTATTATGCTTTATTATAGGTCAAGTGCTGTTTTGGCATAGAAGCATTTGATTCTATTCTGTTACTTAATCCCGGTAACAATCCTATTAGGTAGACGCTGGTACATTGGAGAAGCTGTGCAGTGTTAAGCACATAGTTACTGGCCGGGCATGGGGCCGCACGCCTGTAATCCCAGCACTTTGGGAGGCTGAGGCAGGCAGATCACTTGAGGTCAGGAGTTTGAGACCAGCCTGGCCAACATCAGGAAACCCTGTCTCTACTAAAAATACAAAAATTAACCAGGCATGGTGGCCCGTGCCTGTAGTCCCAGCTGCTCGCATGGCTGAGGCAGGAGAATAGCTTGAACTGGGGAGGCGGAGGTGCAGTGAGCTGAAATCACGTCACTGCACTCCAGCCTGGGCGACGGAGCTAGATTCTGTCTCAAAAATAAAAATAAAAATAAAAATAACCTAGCTACTGCAGCCACAGTTCATCACCTGGGCTTAAGTCCTGGTCTTTAGTCCTGGTCTTCCACTTGCTGTGTGGCTTTGGGAGAGTTACTTAATTTCTCTATACTTCAGTTTTCTTATCTGAAAGATGGAGACTATGCCAAAAATAGTACCTACCTTATAAGATTGTTGTGAAGATTAAAGAAATCACTGTGTGGAAAACATTTGGAAACTTGAGCCAGATACTTTTTTTTTTTTTTTTTTGAATCAGAGTCTCGCTCTGTCGCCCAGGCTGCAGTTTCAGTGGCGGGATCTCGGCTCACTGCAAGCTCTGCCTCCCCGGTTCACGCCATCCTCCTGCCTCAGCCTCCCGAGTAGCTGGGACTACAGGCGCCCGCCACCACACCCGGCTGATTTTTTTGTATTGTATTTTTAGTAGAGACGGGGTTTCACCTTGTTAGCCAGGATGGTCTCGATCTCCTGACCTTGTGATCCTCCCACCTCCTCAGCCTCCCAAAGTGCTGGGATTACAGGGAGCCAGATACATTTGACTTTAAAGCTCCTGGCCAGGCTCAGTGGCTCACACCTATAATCCCAGCACTTTGGGAGGCCAAGGATGGAGGATGGCTTGAGCCTGGGAGTTCGAGTCTGCAGAGAGGTATGATGACACTGCTGCATTCTAGCCTGAGAGGCAGAGGGAGGCCTTGTCTCTGGGAAAAAAAAAAATCAGGAAAAAAATACAGCTTTTACTCACTTTAGTATGCTCTTCCAGTCATCCATTCATTCCCCAAATATTCACTGGTGATTTACTGACATGCTAGGCACCATGCTAGGTGCTGAGATGCAATAGTGATGAAGAAAGCCAAAAACAGCTTTCCAACTTGGGCCAGGCAGAATGACTCCAGCAAACAAAGGTAGCGAGAAGAAAGGCCATTCTGCCATCAATATTCACAAGTGCATACAGAGTGGGCTTCAAGAAGTGTGCCCCTCTGGCACTCAGAGAGATCCAGAAACTTGCCATGAAGGAGATGGGAACTCCAGATGTGCTCATTGATGCCAGACTCAACAAAGCTATCTGAGCTGAAGGAATAAGGAATATCCTCTACTGTATCCATGTGTGGTTGTCCAGAAAACGTAATTAGCATGAAGATTCACCAAACAAGCTCTATACTTTGATTACCTATGTACCTGTTACCACTTTCAAAAGTCTACAGACAAAGTGGATGAGAAGTAGCCACTGATCATTGAATACATCAAATAAAGTTATAAGACCACCAAAAAAAGGCCAAAAAAATCTCCGCCACTAAGACTTATAACATGGAAATTGTTCAGCCTCAGTGGTATTCAAAAAAATGAAAACGGTGTTAAATGTTAAAAGGCAGTGTCAACATAGGTTTACTGAAGTGATATTCTAATATACAGGAAATGAGTATGAAATTACTGTAGCTAAGCTGGGCACAGTGGCTGACGCCTGTAATCCCAGCACTTTGGGAGGCTGAGGTGGGTGGATCACCTGAGGTTTAGAGTTCAAGACCAGCCTGACCAACATGGAGAAACCCCGTCTCTACTAAAAATACAAAATTAGCTGGGCCTGGTGGCGCATGCCTGTAATTCCAGCTACTTGGGAGGCTGAGGCAGGAGAATCGCTTGAACCTGGGAGGCGGAGGTTGCGGTGAGCCGAGATTGCACCATTGCACTCCAGCCTGGGCAATAAGAGCGAAACTCCGTCTCAAAAGAAAAAAAAAAAGAAGTTACTGTAGTTATTTTAGAAAACAATATAGCTATAGGTATTGCCATAAAATATTACATGATTTATTGCAACAATCCTAGAAAAAAAACCAAAATACAAAATTCTATCTAAAAGGTGTCTGTTGTAATATCACTTATTACAGGAAAAGAAAAACAGATGCAAGGTATGTATCAACAAGAAAATTTTAAATAACGTATGATGTAGCTACTTAAAGTAGTGTTTTGGGCCGGGCACAGTGGCTCATGCCTATAATCCCAACACTTTGGGAGGAGGAGGCAGGCGGATCACCTGAGGTCAGGAGTTCAAGACCAGCCTGGCCAACATGGTGAAACCCCGTCTCTACTAAAAATACAAAAATTAGCCCAGCATGGTGGCACACGCCTGTAATCCCAGCTTCTCAGGAGGCTGAGGCAGGAGAATTGCTTGAACCTGGGAGGCGGAGGTTGCAGTGAGCAGAGATCGCACCACTGCACTCCAAGCCTGGCGAGAGAGCTAGACTCCATCTCAAAAATAAATAAATAAATAAATAAATAAAAGTAGTGTTTTGTAGCAATAAGGACATTCAAAATAATAATTGTAGCAGGCAGATGAGTGTCCTCCTGAAGACAGCCATGTCCTGATCCCCAGAACCTGTGACTATTTCAGGTTATGTGGCAAGGGGGTAGTTAAGGCTGCTGATGAGCAGACCTTAAAATAGGGGGATTATCCTGGATTACTGGGATGGGGCCGATGTAATTACAAGGGCCTTTAATGTAAAAGAGAGAGGCAGAGAACCAGTATTGGGTGATGCACTGGGAGAAGACTTGATCAGCCAAGGCTAGCTGTGAAGATGGAGGAAGGGACCATAAGCCAAGGAGTCTGGGCAGCCTCTAGAACCTGCAAAAGGTGAGGAAGCAGATTCTTCCTGGAGCATTTGGAAAGGAACACAGCTCTGCCAGCCTCTTGATGACCTCCAGAACTGTCACATATTAAATTTGTGTTGGCAAAGTCTAGCTCTGTGGCCCAGGCTGGAATGCATTGGTGTGATCTCTGCTCACTGCAGCTTCGATCTCCCGGGCTCAAGCGATCCTCCCACCTCATCCTCCGAGTATCTAGGACTGCAGGCACACACCACTATACCCAGCTAATCTTTTTATTTTTGTAGAAATGAGGTCTCACTATGTTGCCCAGGCTGGTCTTGAACTCCTGGGCTCAAGTGATCCTCGCTCCTCAGCCTCCCAAAATATCGAGATTTCAGGTGTAAACCACAACAAGCAGGCAATTTGTGTTGTTTTAAGTCAGAAGATCTACAGTAATTGGTCGCAGTAGCAATAGAAAACTAATGCAATAATCTTGGGTGGGAAGGTACCAAAAATTTACTGCCTGCTTCTAGGCTGCATCTCAACTGAGTCTTTAAAGTGAGCATGGCCACTCCCGTGGGAGGTGGTGAGTGAGTGGCCAATCCTAAGGAGAGGGAAGAGGATGGGCAGGAAGATGGTTTGAGTTCTTGAGTTCCAATTTTATCTTCTGCTGAATCCTTCATTTTCCTTCCTCAACTGATACTATTCCTAGTTTGACAAATAATATAGCTTTTCAAATTCTGGTTGGCTTCAGACAACCAGATATGCAACACTTTTGGATTTCCTTCTGGGATAAAAAAAGAGACCTCTAAGGAAAGCTATGTTTTCTTCCTTCTTTTCCTTCAGCTAAGTGTGTCTCTTTACTGTAGCTCCTTCCTGAAGGCTAAGGATGCATATAATATCCTGAGATTTTCCCACTAATGATGCAGTTCCACTCACTGATGCAAAGACACGCATTCTTTTTTTTTTTTTTTTTTTTTTTGAGACAGAGTCTGTCTCTGTCGCCCAGGCTGGAGTGCAGTGGTGTGATCTCTGCTCTCTGCAACCTCCGCCTCCCAGGTTCAAGCGATTCTCCTGCCTCAGCCTCCCGATTACAGGGGCGTGCCACCACGCCCAGCTAAAAAAAAGTCTACCTTCACTTTCGGGAGTTAATATCCTTGTTTAACTTCCCATTGCCTGTCCCAGAGAGGCTTTCTCATGTAGCTCAGTAATTCCTGTAGTTTACAAACAGGAGAGTTCCAGAAAGTTTAAGAACAAATTCTGAAAGACCTATGAGCAAATGGTGCTGAATTTAAATATGGCTTCTTAAAGTCACATTTCATTGTCTTAGTAAAAGCAGAATTATTAAGTGGTTATTTTAAATTCATTTTTAAAATTAGCAGCTTCAGGTATAACAACTTTGAAGCTAGAATAAATATTTATTTTATATTAATAACAATGAATTGTGCCAAAAAAACTCAGCTTCATGGTAACCAGAGAAACGTGGATTTAAAACACAGCAAGAGGCAAGTACTAGAAACAAACATAAAAACTCAGTCCAGCTACGTCTATGCCCAGTTCCAATATGACAAGGTCTCATGCCCACCCTTTACAGTCACTATTATTGATGGGTGGGCACCCTGACTGGAGCAGCTACCACCCCTGGGGTCAACTGGGAAGCGTCTGGTGCTGCGATCGAGGCACCCCCAGAATCATCGCACTGAGTAAAGAGAGAAACCTTTCAAAGGAAGGGATGCTTGGCAGAGGAAAATCAGCACTCCCATTGTAGCGTTCAAGTAAATAAATTCAAGGTAAGTGAACTGTTGTGAACTTGAACAAATCTCTTTACATTTTCTCCTTGGCAAAAGGACGATCAAAAGTCTACGCTCACTTCAAGGAGTTAGTATCTAACATGCATCAGTCTTTAAATCTGATGACTGTTGTGAAGTCGGCCTCAGAGGGGACTCCATGCCCTTGTCTTATTCCAAAAAATGTCCCACCACCACCTCACCGATAAGTTACAATTAGAGGTATAACACATTTTATGTCTATCATTTGGGGATCTCCAGCTACGATAAGGAAGTGTCATAAAAGATGAATTTAGGATAAATGTATGGTGTCTGACACAGCTCGCTGCTGAGGAGCCCTGACTTGGGAGTGGACCATGGTGTAGCCCCGACAGCAGGCAAGCTGAAGGAGGAGCGTGACCTCTGAGCCAGCGGGGAGCAACTCAGCATCGAGGCACCACACACACACACACACACACACACACACACACACACGACTCTGCATCCCAGATATCCCCCCACCCAGCCTGCATTCCCTGGCTGGAGAAGGCAAGAATGAGTCACCTGTCCCTTCCTCACTGCCCAGCTGAGCTGTTGGGGCAGCTACAGCCACAGGAATACTCTTGAGAAAGGAGTGTAATACCTGTGTCCTCGGGGAGGGCTTGGAAGAATAAAGAAGGAACCTGGACAAGGACAGCTCGAGGGGTCCTTGCTTCGAGCAGACACCAACAGGATTCGGGAAGTCCAGTGACTGACCCCTGGACAGCAGGCAGCAGGAATGACTCCGAACATGCTTTAAAACCATGGTTTAAAGTCACACAAATTTTATCAAAAAAATAAAATTTCTGGAACTCAAACATCCAAAAGTGGATCCAACTTCAGGCAAATCTGGACTTTGAGAGCCTGGCAGTGTCATCAGGATATTTTTTTCTTGTTTGTGTGTTTTTGTTTGTGTATGTGTGTCTGTGTTTTTTAATGCCTCCCATCTTGAGCTTCTTTTTGCAGATAGAGTCTCCTCATGAGGCTGGGAAGTCAGCTGCCAACATCCTCAGATTCACTTTCTCTGTTTGGGGACCAGAACAGAATATAAGCCCAGTTCAGCCCAGCTGAAGTACTGATATAGTTTGGACGTTTGTCCCCTCCAAATCTTACATTGAAATGCAATTCCCAGTGTTGGAGGTGGGGCCTGGTGGAAGGTGTTTGGATCGGCGGGGTGGATTCCTCGTGAATGGTTTAGTCATCCCATTGGGAATAAGTGAGTTCTCTCTCTGAGTTCAGAGATCTGGTTATTTAGAGTCTAGGCCTCCTCTCCCTCTCGCTCCTCCTCTCACTATGTGATATGCCGGTACCCACTTCACTTTCCACCATGAGTAAAAGCTCCCTGTGGCCTCACTAGAAGCCAGGCAGATGCTGGTACCGTGCTTCCTGTACACCCGCAGAACCATGAGCCAATTCAACCTCTTTTCTTTATAAATTACCCAGTCTCAGCTATTTCTTTATAGCAATGCAGAAAAGAACAAACACAAGTACCTTCAGCCAAATGAGCCCCAAGTGGCTAAAACAGATCCACCTAACACATGGTGTAGAAGGTAGTACCCCAAACCAGTAATAATGAAAGCAATAATCTAAAACAATAATAAATACTATTCAGAATCACTGAAATAATTATTTCAGTAGCAAGGATAATATAATATATTGAATTCTTACCAAGTGTCTGGCACTGTCCTTTACAAAGATTCTCTGGTTTAATCTCTACAGCCCATTAAGTAGCTGTTATCCCCATTTTACAGATGAGAAAACTGTTCCATCATAGGTTTTGCATCTCTAGTGCCGGCAGAGCTGTCAGATGCCATGGGTCTCTTGCTTGTGTTTCAATAATCAGTTCTTACTCTCCAGTCCCATTTTTATCGAGCATAAAATGCACTAGTACCTCTTATGCTGATTTTACAATCTATCTTGGCCACCACCCCTAGATTCATCCATCAGCAGCCCTATCCCAGGGTGAGCTGCTTCTGTGACAGACGTACTAGTTGGCGTCTGCATTTTTGTTTCAGAGGCTAATCTTTTAGGCAACCTTGTCTCCAAACCTGGAGAATATGAAGAAGCTGGCTCTAAATATGAGTAAGATCCTTGGCCTTCTCCACAGAAGTGAAAGAGAGAGGCATCCAGACGAGTGACTATCCTACAATTGTCTATCATAGAAGTGTGCCATGTAAAAGGGAAAGATGAAGTTCTGTAGAGGAAACTGAGGCAAGTAAAGTCCAGGAGGGCAGAAACTTGATGTTTTTTCATTGTGGAATTCCCCCCTCCTGGAACAGATTCATAGAGCACATGGGAAACATCTCTCTAAAAAATGGATGAAGCAAGCGGCATTTGACTTGACTCTGAACAGATGAGCAGTGCTCCAGGCGGGGCTAGCACGTGCAAAGACACAGCAGGATCAAGACCTTTGTATGAACTGTATGCGAACACTTTGGGCCCAATGTGGTGGCTCATGCCTGTAACTCAGCGACTTGGGAGGCTGAGGCAGGACGATCGCTTGAGGCCAGGAGTTCAAGACAGACCTGCCTGGGCAACATAGTGAGACCTGCACCCTTCCATCTCTAAAAAAAAAAAAAAATTAATTCCGCTCCTAAAAAACATTTTGGGATGTTTAATGTGGTTCCCCCATCCCTTTCACCCCTTTACACAAACATATGCTGGGAGAAAAAAACTGTGTTTAAAATGCCATCTCTGGTGGTAGTATGGACTAGAGAAATGAGTCCTTCAGAAAGTTAGTAAAAATGATTTTTTTTTTTTTCTGAGACAGAGTCTCGCTCTGTCGCCCAGGCTGGAGTGCAGTGGCGCTATCTCGGCTCACTGCAAGCGCCGCCTCCTGGGTTCACGCCATTCTCCTGCCTCAGCCTCCCAAGTAGCTGGTACTACAGGCACCCGCCACCACACCTGGCAAATTTTTTTTTTCTTTTTTGTATTTTTAGTAGAGACGGGGTTTCACCTTGTTAGCCAGGATGTTCTCGATCTCCTGACCTCGTGATCCGCCTGCCTCGGCCTCCCATAGTGCTGGGATTACAAGCGTGAGCCACCACGTCCAGCCAAAAATGATTATTAGAATGATTGTTCTGAAATACCCTTTGCATGACTCCTTTGTGATATTCATCAAATATTTCTTGCTCTCCACCCTCCAGACACATGGTAGGGTTGCAGTTTTCTACTCCACTGCCATTGACCTTTGGGTGTGGCCCTATGACTTACTTTGCCTCCTAAAATGTAATAGGACAGAATAGAAACTTTAAGTCAGAGGGCAGAGTCCCCACTGAATGAATGGGTGGCAAGAAATAAACCATCAATGAATGGGTGGCAAGAAATAAACCATCAATGAATGGAAAGCAAGAAATAAACCTTCTTGTTAGAAGCCACCCTACGCATTCACACTTCATGGTTTCATTTAATCCTCACAGAAGTCCTATGAGGTAGGTATTATTCCAGTGTCCCAAAAAAGGAAATCGGGGTTTATTCACAGCCAACATAACTCTGGAGCTGTGTCCTTCAACAGCATGGCCACCAGCCCCAGGCAGCAATCAAGCATTTGAAATGTGGCTGGTCCAATAAAACACATACCAGATTCAAAACTGGCATGAAAGAGGAATGTAAAAATCTCATTAATAGTTTATATTTTACCTGCTCTTGGTTGTTGAAAAAAATAGTTTCTATTAATTACACGACGAAATAATATTTTAGAGACACTGGGTGAGTTAAATAAAATATGATCTTAAAATTAATTTTGCTTGTTTATTTTTATCTTTTAGAACAGAGCTACTAAAAATGGAAAAGTACATAGGCAGCTTGCATTTGTAATCTGTGCTATATTTCTCTTGGACAGCACTGGTTTACTGGTTATAGATTGAGGAAGCAAAGATAGTTGCTCTGAATGTAAATTCAGGGCTCTTTGGAGCATGTATTCCTCCCCTCTCAAAGGGAACTTATCTGGTGGTGGTGATTTGACTGGCTGCTCATCTAAATGTATTTATTCATGGATTCATACAACACATATTTATTGTGCAGTTACTGTATACAAAGCTCTGCAGGAGGTGGTATGATTGTGCTCTACCCTGAACTCACAGTCCTGCCGAGGACAAAAGTTTTGTGGGTGAAGAGCTGATAAATGGCCAAGTTTGAAGGTAAATGAGATGCTAATAGGAATGCTGTTCAGGAAAGGGAAGTCTGACCTGGCTTGGAGTAGTGAAAATAAAAAACCTATCTGAAGACCATACTGCCCCAGCTTTAAATGCAATTTGCTCCTTGAACTTTCCCAAAAATACTCACAATTCATGTAATCTCAGCAAGTCTATACATTAACCCACTTCTACTCTCTACTTGTTACTTTAAAAAGAACTCAGTCACTCTGGATGCAAGTGTTTACCATGTGGGGAAAAACACTAAGGAATTCAGCTTCATTTTGTCCCAATTAGGCTTATTGAAATAACAACATCAATGCCATTATCTCAGAGGTGAAAATAACTGGACAATTCCACTATTTATTCTTCAATGATTAATTAATAAAAGGAAAATTATATCTAAAATGTCAGCTGATGAACCAGTATCACATTTTCATTTCTAATGGTTCAAAGCTCATGTCAAACCCTTTGATTTTCTTTTCTTTTCTTTTTTATTTTTTGAAATAGGGTCTTGTTCTGTCACCCAGGCTGGAGTGCAGGGGCATGATCACTGCTCACCCCAACGTCAACCTCCTGGATTCAACTGATCCTCCCAATTGAATGATTGTTCTGAAATACCCTCTGCAGGACTCCTTTGTGATATTCATCAAATATTTCTTGCTCTCCACCCTCCAGACACATGGTAGGGTTGCACTTCATTACTCCACTCACATTGACTTTTAGGTGTGGCCCTATGACTTACTTTGCCTCCCAAAGTGTAATAGGACAAAATAGAAACCTGAAGTCAGAGAGCAGAGTTCCCACTCTGAGTAGCTGGGACCACAGGCGCAGCTAATTTTTTATTTTTTTGGAAAGATGGAGTCTCACTGTGTTGCCCAGAATGGTCCCAAACTCCTGGGCTCAAAGAATCCTCCCACCTTGGCCTCTCAAAATGCTGGGACAAGCGTGAGCCACCACGCCTCACCAAACCCTTTGCTTTTCATGTAATCTTTTAACTAAATCTTGTGGATAATGAGCAATTTTCTTTCTTTCTTTTTCCTTCCTTCCTGCCTTTCTTTCTTTCTTTCTTTCTTTCTTTCTTTCTTTCTTTCTTTCTTTTTCTTTCTTTCTTTCTTTCTTTCTTTCTTTCCTTCTGTCTTTCTCTCTTTCTTTCCTTCTTTCTTCTTTCTTTTCTTTTCTTTTAAAGATGTATTAGTCTGTTTGTGTTGCTATAAAGGAATGTATGAGACTGAGTAATTTATAAAGAAAAGAGGTTTATTTTGGCTCACAGTCCTGCAGCCTGTACAGGAAGGATGGTGCTGGCCTCTGCTTTTGGTGAGGGCTCCAGGGAGCTTACAATCATGGCGGAAGGTGAAGGGGAAGCTGCTGTATCACATGGTGAGAGAGGAAGCAAGAGAGAGAAGCAGGAGGTCCCAGACTCTTAAACAACCAGATCTCGTGTGAACTAAGAACTCACTCATCACCAAGGGGATGGCACTAAGTCATTCATGAGGGACCCATCTCCATCATCCAATACCTCCCACTAGACTCCACTTTCAACATGAGATTTGGAAGGGATAGACATCCAAACCACATCACAGCTTTTTTTTTGAGACAGAGTCTCTCACTATCACCCAGGCTGGAGTATGGAGTGCAGTGGTATGATCTCAGCTCACTGCAGCCTCCTGAGTTCAAGCAATTCTCCTGCCTCAGCCTCCCAAGTAGCTGGGATTACAGGTGCCGGCCACCACGCCCGGCTAATTTTTGTATTTTTAGTAGAGATGGGGTTTCGCCATGTTGGCCAGGCTGGTCTCAAACTCCTGACCTCAGGTGATCCCCCCGGCCTCAGCCTCCCAGAGTGCTGGGATTACAGGCATGAGCCACCATGCCTGGCCTTCAAAGCACTTTTTTAGGATGTTCTTTATCTTTTATATCTCTCTGCCAGTGATTTTCATGGTGTGATATATAGTCAACCCCACATCAGATCACCTGGAATCATTGTCGATATTGGGTACAACTTGCCTCACCCCAGAATTTCAAGGAGTGTGACCTGCGAGTCTGTATTTTTACCAGGTAATTCCTATGTTTGTTAAAGTTGGAGAAGCATTGCTGTTAGTCCAGGAAACAAACAAGTTGGTCTCTTAGATTCTCCCTGACAAGATCAAAGGGCAGTAGAAGTAAAGACTAGAAAATATTTTGAAAGTCCTCCAACAGTCAAGGGGAGTGGAAAGGATTATTCATAACCCTTTGGTGCCAAGAAATCTGGAACTTCTAAAGCTATGGGCTAATGCATCTTGCATTAGCAATTTGGCATGCAGGAAATCCCCCCACCCAGAGTGCCAGGGGCACAGGGAGTCTTGGCATCCCTTAAATAAAACAAAGTTGGGATTTTCAATTTACCCAAGGCTTCTGATTTCCTACTTTGTGGTCTGAAAGAAAACAAAATGACTATATTCTTTTCCCAAGGTTGGCGATTATATGTGATAATTTTTCTTAATGGCATAAATGAAACTGTGGCTTGAGGGGAAGTAATGAACAAATGGTTCAGGAAAACGGAATTGGGAAAATCCTGTTCCTTGGTGAGAACAGATCAGCCTCTTAGGTGTCGATACAGCCTTTCACTTGCTGCAGCACAGCACAGTCTAGTGTTCTTGGAGGGTTCAGACCTCCTTTGGGATCCAGATGTAGTTTGGATTATCTTTAAATTGGGGCATTGGTTGGATCTAAATACTTCCTTTTTAGCTTTTTGTTTTGAATTACTTTTAGACTTTCGAGAAGTTGTAAAAATAGTACAGTGTGTTCCCATCACCCTGCTTCCCACATTGATAACATCTTACATAGCCACAGCATATTTTCAAAACCAAGAATTTGAAATATGTGCAATATTATTACCTACACCACAGACTTGGTCCCTGTTATAGTCTGAATGTTTGTGTCACCCCCAAAATTCATATGTTGAAATCTTTCTCCAATGCATTAGTGTGAATAGGTGGGACATTTATGAGTTGATTAGGTCATGAAGGTAGAGCCCTCATGAATGGGATTAGTGCCTTATAAAAGCGGTCCTTTGTTCCCCTCTTTCATCATGTAAGGACACAGCAAGAAGGCCTGAGGAACGGCCCTTACCCAACAGTGAATCTGTTCGCACGTTGATCTTGGACTCCTCAGCCTCTAGGACTGTAGGAAATAGATTTATGTTATTTATAAGATATTTTGTTATAGCAGCCAAAATGGACTAAGGCAGCCACGTTTGTGTAGCATGTAGGCAAGATGTCTCAGGAGCAACCTTAGGAAGCATCTTATGATACATATTGGACATGTGCACAACACACATAGAACACTAGTTTGGTTGCAGACTCCACTGGTGTTTTGTTTCATAAGAGCAGCCACAGTGCCCTGTGGAAGGTGGCACCATCTTCTTTTCCATAAACATTAGCCATGCCATCTACTATGAATGACAGAGATTTTTCAGTTCAAGTTTCTGAGGACTGCAAACAAGTATCAAAGAGCCAGATGTTTCTTTGCATTAAACCAGTTTTATTACTCGCCTTTTGTCTTATACACTTAATAAATACAATTTTCTACATTTCTATGGTGCTTTAAATTTGCAAAACCATATATCTTAGTTTATTTATCCCTTGCAATCAGCCCAGAAAATTATGGTCCATACTATAATTTGTATTTTATATGTGAGGAAACTGAGTCTTACAGAGGTTAAAAGACTTGGGCCCCAGCCTCCCATTCTGGTAATTACCTCATTACGATGCCTCTTTTATTGTTCCTACTCTCCAAATATTTGGTTGTTATTTATTATACATATCACTTTAATGAATGAAATGATTCTATAAGGTTTACTGTAAAAAAAAAGAGCAGTCCCTTGCACTGCCCTTTCTTTCTAGTTCTGATTGTCCAATGTCCAGAAATGTCTTAGTCTATTTTGTGTTGTAATATTCGAATACCACAGACTGTGTATTTTTTTTTTTTTTTTTTTTGAGACAGAGTTTCGCTTTTGTTGCCCAGGCTGGAGTGCAATGATGCGATCTCGGCTCACTGCAACCTCCATCTCCCAGGTTCAAGTGATTCTCCTGCCTCAGCCTCCTGAGTAGCTGGGATTACAGGCACGCACCACCACACCCAGCTAATTTTGTATTTTTAGTAGAGATAGGGTTTCTCCATGTTGGCCAGGCTGGTCTCAACCTCCCGACCTCAGGTGATCCACCCGTCTCAGCCTCCCAAAGTGCTGGGATTACAGGTGTAAGCCACCGCGCCCAGCCTCGACTGTGTAATTTTTAATGAACAGAAATTTATTGGCGCACAGTTCTGGAGGCTGAAAGTCCAATATCAGATGTCAGCATCTGGTGATGGTCTTCTTGTTGCCACATAACATGGTGGAAGGTGCCACGTACTGGAAGGGTCAAAAGAGGGTGAGAGAGAGCACAAAAAGAAGTGAACCTATTCCCACAATAATGCAGCGTGAGTCCATTCATGAGGCTGGAACCCTCATGACCTCATGAACACTTCTTAAAGATCCCACCTCTTAACACTGTCGCAATCACAATTACATTTTAACATGAGCTTTGGAGGGAAAAACATTCAAATCGTAGCAGAAGGAAACTACTCTCAAACTTTCAGCGACAACTGTTGGTCTTTATCGTCCTATCGCTGATAGCACACTTACACTGCTGTTTCTTGATTTTTCACTTTTAGGTACCATCTGCTGACTTCCCACATCAGAAGGTAAGGACTTACTTCTTCGCTGCCTCTGTCCATGTCCCCATCTCCTACACATATGACTTGACCACCTCCCATACTCCCATTACATATCCCAATTTTGGCTACATTGGTATTCACTGATTCCTATGACTGTAAGTGCTAGCCACTGCTGTGTAGCTGAGCCATACAGTATACGATGATTACTTTTCCTCTACTGCTAACTTTGTATTTTCACTGGAGTTAGCAAATGTCAAGTATTTTCCTTTGCTTAGTTTTCTAAGCAACATACAATAATTAACATATTTCTCAATTTTCCCATGGTTTAAATCTCCTCTCAATACATCTGATTTTCTCTCAGTCTCTTCATGGAATCATCCCTACCTGAATGTTCCAACCTGCGCCTCTCTCTGGACTGTGACTCTCTAGGCTTGCAACAAAGCTGTCTTCCTGGGTCTTCCTCATCTTTTCCCTGGGGGTACTGTTCACATCCTTCTTTTGTTGGATTCCCTAAATTCAGTGTCTTCTTCTTTTAGGTTCTTTCGCTTATTTTGGTGGAGTACTTCCTCTAGTATCTTTCTGGGAAAGCGTACTCAGAGATCAATTTTTTGAGCCCTTGAACATCTGGAGAGATCTTCATTCCAGTCTCATATTTAATCAAAATTTGACTGGAAAGAGAAGTCTAAATACAAATATCATTTTCCTGTGAATTTTTATGTTATTTTATTTTATTTGCATACAATGTAGTCATTAAGAGGTCCAGAACCATTCTAAGACCTGTTCCTTTCTAAGAAATCAGATTTTTTTTTGTGGAAGTTTTCTTTGTTTTTGTTTTTAGAGATGGTGTCTTGCTGTATCACCCAGGCTAGAGGTGTAGCCTCAAACTCCTGGGCTCAAGTGATCCCACCCTCCCAAGTAGCTACAACTATAGGTGCACACCATTATGCCCGGGTAAGTTTTAAAATTTTTTTGTAGAGATAGGGTCTCACTATGCTGCCTCGGCTCGTCTCAAAATCCTGGCCTCAGGCAATTCTCCCACATTGGCCTCCCAAAATGCTGGGATTACAGGTGTGAGCCACCATGCCCAGCCCTGTTTGGGAGCTTTTAAGATCTTTTAAGTTCTTCATTCTTCACAATGATGTACCCTAAAGTCTTACTGTAACTATGCTTGGCACTTTGTGTGCTCTTACCGTCTGAAAGCTCTTTTTTGTTTTTGTTTTTGCTTTTAAAATTGAGACAGGCTCTTGCTCTGTTACCCAGACTGGAGTGCAGTGGTATAATCATGGCTCACTGTGGCAGCAAACTCCTGGGCTCAAGTGATCGTCCGACCTCAGCCTCCCAAGTAGCTGGGACTACAGGTGTGTGCCACCACACTGAGCTAATTTTTAAATTTTTTTGCAGAGATGAGGTCTCCCTATGTTGCTCAGGCTGGTCTCAAACTCCTAAGCTGATGTGATCCTCTGGCCTCCCAAATTGTTGGGATTACAGGTGTGAGCCACAGTGCTGGGCCTGAAAACTCTCATAGGTCAGTTTCAGGAAATGTTCTCAAATTATTTCTTTGTTGTTTTCTCTCTCCATTATGTTCTGTTCTCTCTTTCAAACTCTTGTTATTCATTTGTTGGACTTTCTGGTTTGATTCTCTAATTTTCTTATCTTTTCTCTTTCATTTTATTTTCCTGTGTCTTTTTTTTCCTACTCTCTGAGAGATTTCTTAAATTTTATCTTCCATCCGTTCTAGTGAGTGCTATTTTTTTCTTTTTCTTTCTTGCTTTTTTTATTTTTTTTGAGATGGAGTCTCACTCTGTCACCCAGGCTGGAGTGCAATGGCGTGATCTCGGCTCACTGCAACCTCTGCCTCCCAGGTTCAAGCAATTCTCCTGCCTCAGCCTCCTGAGTAGCTGGGATTACAGGTGCATGCTATCATGCTGGCTAATTTTTGTATTTTTAGTAGACATGGGTTTTCACCGTGTTAGCCAGGATGGTCTTGATCTCCTGACCTCGTGATCCGCCCACCTCAGCCTCCCAAAGTGCTGGGATTACAGGCATGAGCCACCGTGCCCGGCCTGTGAGTGCTATTTTTTAAATGTTCTTAATTGATTCTAAGATGCATATTTTTCAGTTTATAACCTCTGTGATCAGAATGTACTACATAAATAATGAACCGTGACAATGACCATTGTTCAGGCACCAGTCACAGCGTCATTGCCATTGCCCGTGTATGCACAAGCTTGCCATCTCCTCAGTTGAGTTACATGCATGGTTGATGCCACACATGTTGATACTACATGTCAGGAAATGCAACTGAAGGCAGTAAAAATGTCAAATCATTTGGAATAAATGAGAAAACTTTCAAAGCAACAAGGAGTTGGTATGACCAATTTGTGCATTGTACAGGTTTATCATTGAAGCATTGAAACTTAGTTTGTCAGAAGCTTCCTGCGGACCTTGGACCGAAACACCATGACATTCAGTGATGTGATTCAATGGAGAAAAAGTGAAATGATTATTTAAGTTAAATAAAGCCAAATTAAGTGCTAGCTTCAAAATTAAAAAATTGGTATCAATAGCTTAGAAAAAAATCCCTGACACACTAGTGGAACAATTGGCTAAAATATAATGCATCATCAATACTCTTAATGATATGGAGAAAGATATTAAATGGGGAAAAAACAATGTCAATAATTCTGAGCTGGGAACTGGTTTCACAGGACTCACACTTTAAATGTGAAGATGTTTATGAATTCCTTAAGTAAAGTGTTTTGCTTATTTTTTCTTTTATATATACAAACAATGGTGATGTTTAATACATTTATCTCTAAGTAACATTAAAAGATTTTTTCAATGGGCAAAACTTGTTATGTTAAGCAGTGTCATACATTGGTTAGCGGTTTTGTGTTTTTTTTCTTTTCTTTTCTCTTTTTTTGAGGCAAGATCTTGCTGCTCAGGCTGGAATGCAGTGGCATGATCATAGCTCACTACAGGTGTTTACCACCACACAAGGCTAATTTTTATCTTTTAATTTTGTAGAGATGGGGTCTTTCTCTATTAGCCAGGCTGGTCTTGAACTCCCAGGCTCAAGCAATCCTCCTGCCTTGGCCTCTTAAAGTGCTGGGATTATAGGAGTGAGCCACCGTGCCTGGCTTTCTTTTTTTAATGGTACAGAAAATAATTGGGTGTCTTATAGTTACAGGCATCTTAAATGTGGGTATTTTAATTTTTTAAGAGTTGGGTTGCTGGGCACGGTGGCTCACGCCTGTAATCCCAGCACTTTGGGAGGCCGAGGCAGGTGGATCACGAGGTCAGCAGTTCGAGACCAGCCTGACCAACATGGTGAAACACTGTCTCTACTAAAAATACAAAAAAATTAGCTGGGTGTGGTGGTGGGCGCCCGTAATCCCAGCTACTTGGGAGACTGAGGCAGGAGAATCACTTGAAACTGGAAGGCGGAGGTTGCAGTGAGCCGAGATTGTGCCACTGCACTCTAGCCTGGGCAACGAAAGCAAAAACTCTGTCTCAAAAAAAAAAAAAAAAAGAGTTGGGTTTTTCCTGAAAAGTTTTTTGGTGACATCTTGTTTCTGCTGCATGGATAAAATATTTGTTCATCTCTGTGAGAATGTTCCTGATTTTTTTTAAGTTTTCACTTCTATGTATAGTCCAGGTTTCCTCTGAATTGATTTTTCCCCCCAACTGATGTTTAGAACTACAACTTTCATATGAGAAACTCCCCCTCAGATGTCTGATCATCCTTGGCTTCCTGTCATTGCATAAAATTTAACTACTAAAAAGCTGTTTGAATACTTTGCATATATGGAAGGGGGCTTGGGCTTGCTTGGAGGCTGAGCTTCTTCAATGAGGGCCCTTCCACACCCTCAGTTTCAGGATTTTTAGGTATGTTTCTCTCATGCTGATCAGCTTCCCCAGAAGAAAAAAAAAAATCGATTTCTTGCCTGGGGGGTTTACACCTGACAGCCAACATTCAGGAAGCGACTTGCACACCCCCCCACCCCTCAACAAGGTGGGGCTCACTCCGCTGAAGATTTAGAGGGAGGGTCCTAAGGATGTACCCAACCTGTTCCATTCCCTCCTTTATGTCTCTTCCAGAAGGCACTGCCGTGCCATTTCCCCGGCTGCCTTGTGCTTCCCGCGGGAAACCAAGCTGCCTTACGGGGAGCTGAGTTAGCTCACCACTCTTTCTGCTTCCGGCCTTTGCTCTTGTCTTCCCTCCTGTACTCTTGGTTCTGTGTGTTTACAGCTTTTGTTTGTCCCTTTGTCATAATTTCAGTCATGTTTCTGGAAGGAGAAGCAGTAAATGTGTGTGTTCAGTCCACTGTCCATCAACAACAGAATCTCCTCATATTCCCAGGCCGATTGGCATATTTTCAAACGAAGTTGTATAATTTGCTTTAAGGTCAACGTTTGTAGGTGATTATTTTCTTTTTTTCCTCCTCACTTCATTCTCTCCAAAGCATGATCATTTTACTTGGTTTAACTTCACTTTCATTTTTATGAGAGTCTGGCTCTGCCGCCCAGGCTGGAGTGCAGTGCTGCGATCTCGGCTCACGGCAGCATCCGCCTCCCGGGTTCACGCCATTCTCGCGCCTCAGCCTCCCGAGTAGCTGGAATTGGAGGCGCGCCCCGCCCAGTCCAGCTAATTTTTACATTTTTAGTAGAGACAGGGCTTCACCATGTCGGCCAGGCTGGTCTCGAACCACGGCCGTCAAGTGATCCGCCCGCCTCGGCCTCCCAAAGTGCTGGGATTACAGGCCTGAGCTTCATTTTCATTTGGTGAGAGAAGAGGAATTTAATTTTGGAAAATGGAGAAGGGAAGGGACAGGAACCCAAGTCGCGAGTGAGTTCATTTAGCGCCCACGCAACCCCAGCAGGACAGGCACTAGCACCCGTTCCTTGGGGAAAAGGGCAGGAAGGTTCCACAGCTGGCTCATGGCTGCGCGAGGCCCCTAAATGGCAGATCCGCGGAGGCACTCAGACTCCGCCTCGGGGACTCCTCGATCTTTGCTGAGAAAAGATGGGAAATACCGGAAGCACGCGCTCAGACGCCTTGGCTATCGTAGGCCGGATGCTTTTTTCAGCCATCTTCTAGAACCTTCCCTGCCTTTTACAGCCGTGGCAGAACACATTTCCTCCTTCCCGCCTCCCTCGGCCTCCGGGCACTTCCTCAGGACCTGTCAGCCCCCGCCACCCTCACCCCTAACCCCGGCCAGCTGTAGATCGGCAGTCCCGGCTAAGAGCCTCTACTGGGGAAATCACTTAAGGATTTTCTTTCCCAGCTTAGAGCTGGGAAGGCTGATGTGCGGTCATTTCCGGGGATAAAGAGCAATGGAAGTCAGCCTGCCCCGGAAGCCTAAAAGGGGCATTGGTTCTTATAATCCAAGCGAAGGTGACCTGGGTCCGGGAGGCCTGGAGCGGCAGTGAGAAGGGAGCGTGACGGAGGCCAGAGGCCGGGCCCGAGGGGCGTGGCCCTACTTTGCTGCTGAAGGACGCAGGGCTCTTCCACAGCAGGGGTCGGTGAGACAAGGCAAGCTTTGTCAGGCTCTGGAGTGGGACAAAGGGCTGCCGGTTCACTGGGATGGGGAAGGACTGCCAGCTGACTTGGAATTTCACGTAAACAACTGATCATTCTTCAGTATAGATATGTCCTGTGAAAAATATGGGACATACTAATCCTAAAAAACTTTATTACATATCCGAAATTCAAATTCAGTTGAACATCATGTATTTTTACTTGCGAAACCTGCCGCCTTTAAGTGGGGGGGGCAGATATGAGTAGCCTCCAAAGATAGTTATTACTATAAACCATCTTGAAGGATTTTTTTTGAAACACAGTCTTTCAAGGATGCCAAAGGTGATGGCTAATTTTAGGTGTCAAGTTAAAGAACTGACAAAGCATTATTCTGGGGTGTGTCAGTGAGGGTGTTTCCGGAGGAGACTGGCGTGTCAGTCTGACATGCCTAAGTGGGGAAAATTTGCACCATCCAATCGGCTGGAGTCCTAGATAGAACAAAATCAGAGGAAAGGCAAATTGGTCTCTCTGTCTCTCTTCTGGAGCTGGGAAACGCTCTTCTTCTGCTTTTAGACAGAACTCCAGGCTCTCTGGCCTTTGTACTCCAGGACTTGTACCAGTGGCCTTCAGGTCCTGAGGCCTTTTTACTTGGACTGAGCCATGTTACTGGCACCTCACATTCTCCAGCTTGTAGATGGCCTATCAAGGGACTTGTTAGCCTCCATCATCAGGCGAGCCAATTCCTCTAACATGTCCTTTGCATCTATTTATCTATCTATCCATCTACCTATCATCTATTCATTTTGTTTCTCTGAGCAACTCTGACTAATACAACAAATATATGTTTTGAAAATAGGAATAAATCTGCTCAGGTTGAAGCAGTTATAAGGGGCCTCTCTCCCATTAGCCTTCTCCCAGACTCCCTTTCTTGCAATGGCTGAGGCGCCACAGCCAAATGTAAAAATGCACTGAAGAACAGGCAGCAATGGGAGGAAAGGGGGATGATTCTTGGGTTATTTCTGCAACACCCTTAGGAAAGTGCTGTGCTGCCGTGCCCCTCGGTGGAAATCCTACACTGAGAGTTGACCAGCTTTGGAGGAAGCAGAGGCCTCCCCTGCAGCAGTGCACAGCATCAGCACCAGGTGGCTGGGTGACATCCCTCATGGGAGCTGGGACTCACGCAGCCAATACAGGTTTTCAGTTGGTTTGGTCCTCGAAGAGGCCAATGTATAAGGTTTTGCAGGCCTTCTTTGGTGTTCAGAGATCTGATAGATCAGCCATGAATGGGCAGGTAAACATGTTCACTGGACAGGAAGCATGGAGAGAAAGAAATATGTACCTTCTGATACTGACATCATTTATGGAGAACAGAATGGTGTGATTCAGTACATGATGTATGTTACTTCTGATACTCATTTAAAAACGTTGGTAATATATGACAAAGACTCAAGATTAATTCAAAACTCAAAGGAATAGGGAAAAATAGAACTACATGTGGAATCCTTCAGTATGTTTATAATAATACAAATTAATCTATCATATCAATGGATCCTATAGTCAGCAAGGGAATCTTTGCAGCTCTGGATAGTATATCTTGAATTAAACTGATATCTACTTAATGAGATTTTGCAGTGTAAAGTATATATGGGACAGCGAATAACATTTTGCCCTGATAGAACCAGGAAAGACAAAAAGAAAGATCATCAATGTAAATGAAAAAATGTAATGTATCTGATAAAACAGCACAAAAGACAAAGCTTTTGTTTTCTCTCTCAAGCAGAATGATCTTCAACCCAAGACACAGGCAAAGAGAGCATCTAACTGCTTAAAATGAGAGCAGGAATGGCTGTTGGCTTAGATAGATGGCACCCCAGAGTCCTGAAAGAACTTGCAGATGTGATCACAGGACCATCTGAACCGGAGAAACCGGGGGGAATGGAGAGACAGCAAAAGACCGGAGATGGGTAAATGAGTTCCAGATTTTCCAACACAACAGGAAAGGTGACTTACGGGTCTGTGTGCTGGTTACATTTAATGTTGAGCTTCAGCAAAACTCCGGAACAGATGATTGAAGGGGCTTTGTGCGTATTTATTAAAGAAAGTAATGATTGCTAGGCACTCTCATGAGTTCCCCGAAATCTGAGCTCGTGCCAGACAACCTTGTTTCCATGCCATAGCACTCCACTGGACGAGCAGGAAAATATCATAGTCAGAAATGACTTATTTTAGCAAGACACTTAGCAAAAGTCTCACGTGACATCCTTGTGGACCGAGGAATGTGGACTGGTGGTTGCTTTGTGTCCACATTTCAGGGGACCCACTCAGGGTCCTCCTTAGGCCCCTGTCTCTACACGAAACCTCAGCCACAAAGGTGCAAGGGAAATAAACTGACTGTCACAGAGACAATTGCTAATGAACTTTTAAAAAACGAATGACTTATTTTTTAAAATTTTTATTTTTCAATTAACAGAACTAAATTTATTCTCAATGTTATAACTATGGAAAATGGAAAAAATTGCTACCTCTTACTTTCTTATTCCTTTTAATTGAATATATTTGAGGTGTACAGCATATTTTCATATACTTACCTTTTTTTTTTTCCGTGAGAGACAGAGCCTCACTCTGTTGTCTAGGCTGGAGCATAGCAGTGCAACCATGGCTCACTGCTGCCTCCAACTCCTGGGCTCAGGTGATCCTCCCACCTTAGCGCCCCCGAGTAGCTGAGACTACAGGCACATGCCACCACATCCAACTAATTTTTTTTTCTGTAGAGACAATCCTCCTGCCTCAGCTTCCCAAGGAGCTGGGACTATGGACACGCACCACCATGCTCAGCTGATTTTTAAATTTTTTGTAGAGACGGGGTCTCACTGTATTTCCCAGGAGTGTCTTGAACTCCTGGACTCAAGCAATCCTCTGCCTTTGCCTCCCAAAGTGTTGGGATTTCAGGCATGAGCTACTGTGCCTGGCCAATATACTTATCTTGATATGCATATACATAGTGAGGTGGTCACTATAGTCAAGTAAATTGATATACTGGTACATTATCTCTATAGCTACTTTTCCTCTGTATGTGTGTGTGTGTGTGATCAGAGTACCTAAAATCTACTCTCTTGTCAAATTACCAGTATAAAATAGAATATTATTAACCGTAGTCCTCATGTTGTACATTAGATTTCTAAACTTATTCATTCAACAGTTAGGGCGCAACTTTGTACGCTTTGACCTATATCTTCCCATTTCGACCCTTCGCCTCCAGGCTCCCTTCACCTCTGGTATCTGTCCTTTTACTTTCTGGTTCTACCTATTCAATTTATTGAATTTAATTTTTTAGATGTCACTTAAAAGTAAGATCATGCAGTATTTTTCTTTCTGTGTCTGGCTTATTTGACTTAGCATAATGTCCCCTAAGCTCATCCATGTTGTCACAGATGGCAGGATCTGCTCTTTTTAAGGCTGAATAGTATTCCATTGTGTATCTATGCCACAATTTCTTCATCTAGTCATCTGTTGATCGACACTTTGACTGTTTCCATACCTTGGCAATTGTGAATAAGAATGCAATGGACACGGAAGTGCAGATGTTTCTACGAGGTGGTGACTTCATTTCCTTTGGGTATATACCCAGAAGAAGCATTGTTGGGTTATATGGTAGTTCTATTTCTACTTGCTTTAGGAAACCCCCATACTGTTTTCCACAGTGGCTGTACGAATCTACATTGCCACCAACAGTGTACAAGAATTCTCTTTTCTCCACACCTTTACTATTTCTTTGTAAGAAGGATTAATGACTTTTTGGTAAAAGCCATCCTAACAGGTGTGAGATAATATCTCATTGTGGTTTCTATTCACATTTCCCTAATGACTAGTGATGTTGAGCACTTTTCATTTCACCTGTTGGCTGTTTTTATATCTTCTTTGGAGAAATCTCTATTCAAGTCTTTTGCCCAGAGTTGTGTGAGTTCTTATACATTTTGGATATTAACCCCTTATCAGATATGTGGGTCACAAATATTTTTTCCCAATCTGTAGACCAAATTTTCATTTTGTATACTGTTTCCTTTGCTATGCAGAAGCTTTTTAGTTTGATGTAGTCCTGTTTATTTTTGCTTTTATTGCCTGTGCTTTTGGTGTCCTATCAAAAAAAAATATATTGCCAAGAACAATGTCAAAGAGATTTTCCCCAAATCTTTTTGTAGGAGTTTTTATGGTTTCAGAGCTTCTGCTTAAGTATTTAATCCACTTTGAGTTGATTTTTGTAGATGGTGCCGGATAAGGGTCCAATTTTATTTTGCATGTAGACACCCAGTTTTCTCAGCACCATTTATTGAAGAGACAGTGCTTTCCTCATGGTGTCTTCTTCTGTCCTTGTTGAAAATTTGTTGACTGTGTGTGCTTGAGTTTATTTCTGGGCTCTGTATTATGTTCCATTGATATATGTATCTGTTTTTTTATACCAGTACCATACTGTTCGGGATGCCTCCAGCTTTGTTCTTTTTGCTCAGGCTTGCCCAGGCTATCCAGGGTCTTTGATAGTTCTATATGAATTTTAGGATTTTTTGTCAATTTCTGTAAAAATAAATGTCATTGGAATTTTGATAGAGACTGTATTTAATCTGTAGATCACTTTGGGCAGTAAGGCTTCTGGTCACAAAAGCTCCTTGTCTAGATGACCTGTGGCATCTACCAGAGTCACTTCAACACAACTTTGCTCGTTGCACCTTATCTTCCCTTTTATTTGGTCTGAATTGCCTTTGGAGCACTTTCTAGTTGAAAGACACATGTTCTTTTTGTTGTTGTTGTTTTTGAGACCAGAGTCTTGCTCTATCACTCAGGCTGAAATGCAGCGACCATGGCTCACAGCAGCATTGACCTCCCAGGCTCAAGCAATCCTCCTGCCTCAGCCTCCCGAGTAGCTGGAACTACAAGTATGTGCCACCACCCCTGGTTAATTCTTAAACAGTGAGATGGGATCTCACAATGTTATCTAGGCTTGTCTTGAACTCCTGGGCTCAAGCGATCCTCCTGCCTTGGCCTCAAAGTGCTGGGATTACAGGCACCAACCCCCAGTGGGCCCAGCCAAAGACACATGTTCTAAAGAATTTGAGGAAACCCTTTCATTAAGAATGAGATAGCAGGCCTGGCGCGGTGGCTCACACCTCTAATCCCAGCATTTTGGGAGGCCGAGGCGGGGAGATCACGAGGTCAGGAGTTCAAGACCAGCCTGGCCAACATGGTGAAACCCTATCTCTACTAAAAATACAAAATTAGCCAGGTGTGGTGGCACACACCTGTAGTCCCAGCTACTCGGAAGGCTGAGGCAAAAAATAGTCTGTACCTGGGAGGCAGAGCTTGCAGTAAGCTGAGATTGTGCCACTGTACTTCAGCCTGGGCAATGGATTGAGACTCTGTCTAAAAAAAAAAAAAAAAAAAGAATGAGATAGCAGACACTCAGATGTGTGCAGCATGATGTTCCAGTTGACCCTTGTGAGCCAGGAAAATTTTGTTTTTCAACTTTAACTCTTAAAGAAAGTTAAATATAGTCTAAAACTTTGGTCTATATCACTGACCTTTTTCCGCCCACTAAAGCATACAGCAGCAGAAAGTTTCAGGCAATCCCGATCAGTAAGTCTGTTTCTCTCTCAATGAGGCTATGAGAGAACCCCCTTTTCATGCTTATTCAGTGAGTCAAAGAGTCTGTGTGGGTAGAGACACTCAGAACATCTCTGAGGACAGACACGGTAAGATAAGACGCAAAGTATTGCCACAAAGTGTTTTCCAAGGTTACCTGCTACTTGCTGTGACTGATTTTGTTGTAGGCAAAAACTGTCTTATGGAAATGAATCAGTTCAGATTAGGAGCATTAAAAAAGCTCATAATACTCATGGCCTCAGTAAGGCAGAAGTTTATTTCTCCCACAGAGAAGTACAGGGGCTAAGAGCCCAAGGCTGCCGTGGCAGTTCTGTGAAGGCATTTCAGGGCTCAGTCCAACTGAGGAAACAAGACCAAGAACACTCTTCTCTCTCAAAGTCCAGAGGAGAGAAGTCAGCTTATTCTTCCTCTGTAAAGATCTTTTATCCCAAGTCAGATGTTAAACACAGGGTAGAGCTGACAAAGAACACTTCTTTCCCCCATAAGGAGAACGGTGGAATCTTGAGCTGTCACTTACATCTCGTTGACCTGAACTTGGTCTCGTGGCCACACCGGCCTGCATGGGAAGCTAAGAAATAAAACCTAACAACTGAAGTTCTATTATTAAACTGGAAGGGAAAAGAAACATCGGGAGGTAATTATCAATCCTTGCCACAACAACGTGGGGGCAAATTAGTCTCTACATGTGTACTGTCCAATATGGCCACCACCAACCACATGTGGCTACTGGGCCCTTGAAAAGTGGCTGCTCTGCTGATAGGATCATTCC
The DNA here is from genome assembly GCF_000001405.40 of Homo sapiens. Classification (NCBI taxonomy): domain Eukaryota; kingdom Metazoa; phylum Chordata; class Mammalia; order Primates; family Hominidae; genus Homo; species Homo sapiens. The sequence continues at coordinate 3,353,981 of NC_000018.10, read as the reverse complement.
ACAATGTGTGCATGTCTTGAAACATCACATTGTATCCTGTAAATATACAGTTATCATTTGTCCGTTAAAAATACAAGAAGACTTTTTTTAAAAAAGAAATGCTGCTGGTCCAAATTGGGATGTGTTATAAGTATAAAATACACACAGGATTTCAAAGTCTTAGCATGACAAAAAGAATGCAAAATATCTCTCAGCTTTTATATTGATTACATATTGAAGTGATACTATCATTGAAATAATACCCAAATATACTGGTTTAAATAAATGTTATTAAAATAATTTCATCTGTTCCTTTTCACTTTTTAAAATGTAGCTTCCCCGGGCGCAGCGGCTCATGCTTATAATCCCAGCACTTTGGGAGGCCAAGGCAGGTGCATCACTTGAGGTCAGGAGTTCATGACCAGCCGGGCCAACATGGTGAAACCCTATCTGTGCTAATAATACAAAAAGTAGCCGGGCCTGGTGGCAGGCGCCTGTAATCCTGGCTACTCAGGAGGCTGAGGCAGGAGAATCGCTTGAACCTGGGAGGTGGAGGTTGCAGTGAGCAGAGAGCGCACCACTGCACTCCAGCCTGGGTGACAGACTGAGATTTCATCTCAAAACAATAAAATAAATAAAATAAAATAAAATGCAGCTACTATAAAACTTCACATTATACATGTGCTGCACATTGTATCTCTATTAAGCAGTGCTGCTCTAGAACAACCCATACGGTCTTCTGAAAGACTCCAGGCTTGGAAAGTGGGACAGAGATGGGAAATTTAGCAGAGAACAAAGAAAGAGAAACAAAAGAGTTTCAGAGAGGAAGGGAGGGAGAGAAGGAGAAAGGAAAGAAGAAGGAAGAAAGGAGAAAGGGAGGGAGGGAGGGAGGGGAGGCACTAACGATGATTAAGTCATGGATGAGTTCTAGACTGCAAGGTTGACTTCCCCAAAGGAGTGGAAGGAAGAATTTGAGGAGATCCAGGGGTGCAGAAAAGATGTTGAAAGATGGCTTCATTGAATGAACCAAAAGGAAAACTGCATTTTTTATTTTCCAGGCCTGGACGTAAAGGTCTGAACCCTGGGGACTGCACATAGAAAATCCAGAACCAGGGCCCCAGCACTCTGGGGCATTTCTGGGAGCTGTCTCAGTAACTCTATATACCTGTCAGTTGTCTACCACCCTGACTCCCCTCAAACTCAGGCAGTGGCCGCAGAAGACTCTGGCAGCAGGCAGAGCAGGGAGCCCTGTACAGTAGTCCTGGTGCCTCGTCACAGATCCCAAAGTGCCTTTACTGGAAGGCTAGGACTATTGCAGTTGTTGCAGGGTCCCTGGGGACTGTCGAACATAAGCCTGGCCCCACAAGAAAACTGGGCCACGCACTGAAGAATGCAAAGAACACTCTTCTGTCTCCCAGAGCTCCAGAGGGAAGAATCCAGTTCACTTTTGCTTCCAAATGAATTTTTTTAAAATCCCAAACCAGATGTTAAGCACAGGTAGAGTTGAAAAAGAAAATGAAAGATTTGGCAATCATCCGGTGAATTTCAGCTGGATAGAGAGTTACCCTAGATCTGCTTTGGGAACTAATTGATCTTGGTGAGTTATTCACATTGATCCAAAAAAAAAAAAAAAAAAAACCAGAGAAAAAAATGCTCCCCCTTCATTTTGAGTGTTGATATATAGTGAGAGGAATCCAAAGGTCTCTTTATTCCTGAATAATATTTTCACCAACCATTACTCCCACTGTCATGACCATAAATGGAGCAAAACATATTGTTAAATACTTTGTGTTATTACAGGAAAGGGATGCTTTCGCCGCCCCCCGCTTTTTTTTTTTTAATTATAAAGACAGCGTCTTGCTCTGTCACCCAGGCTGAAGTGCAATGGCATGATCATAGCTCACTGCAACCTGGAACTCCTGGGCCCAAGTGATCCTCCCACCTCAGTCTCCCAAGCAGCTGGAACCACAGCCATGTGCCACCATGCTCAGCTAATTTTTTAAAAATTTTGCGGAAGGTGAGGTCTTGCTATATTGCCCAGGCTGCTCTCAAACTCCCGGCCTCAAGCTATTCTCCTGCCTTGGCCTCCCGAAGTATTGGAGTTACAGCCGTGAGCCACTACACCCAGCCCATTTTTATAATAATAAGAATTTTTATTATCATTAATGTTACTTTAAAGGCAATTCAGCTTTTCCAACTCGAAGTCTTTCTGTTGCAATTTAATAACTTTAAAAAGTGTTATTAAATATACTTTTCAAAGATTTGAACTTTTTGACAAAAATTTTCAATTTAGATCCACTGGAATTTGTATTGTACACTTCAATGCATTTGGTGTGGCCGCATTTAAATAGCCATTATGTTTTCTTTTACTGCTAGTATTAGAGAGTCAGGAGTTGCAGGCTTTCTACCAACGTCAGACACCTGCTGAGGGGTTTTGTTGACATTTAGAATGAAATAATTAAGGTACAAAACATAAATGTGGGTAACTGAGGAATTATTACCTGTACAATGAGCTGACAGTGGGTAGAGTGTGAAGCCTAGGGAACTCATGGTTACTGCCAGTCAGTAAGCAAGTAAACACAGTGACTGTGTGGAAGTTTCCCACCTGGGAAATGGCCCAAAGAGCAGTAATTCCAGAATCCTCTGAACCTGTTCAGACAGTTGGGGTGGAAGGTTTATGATGCTATCTGACTCGTCTCTCACTTGGAGTGTGAATATGCTTGTGTCATGACTCAGAGGGTTAATTTCCTTTTAAAAGGAGGCTTGTGGGCAAGGGCCAGAGGCAATTGCCTTTGAACAACTGCTCCTTTGGCACGTTTTGCTAATGAAGAAGAATGAATGCTGCTATTATTTAATAAAGATTTTTTTTTTTTTACTTAAGGTTCGGTCCTTTCCATTTTATGGTTTTAGTTTTTATTTTTCTTTTCTTGAGACAGTCTCAGTCCCTTCGCCCAAGCTGGAGTGCAGTAGTGCCATCCTGGCTCACTGCAACCTCTGCATCCTCGGCTAAAGCGATCCTCCCACCTCAGCTTCCGGAGTAGCTAGGACAACAGGCACCAACATGCGGGGCTAATTTTTTTATTTTTGGCAGAGACAGGGTTTTACCATGTTGCCCCGGCTGGTCTCCATCTCCGGGGCTCAAGTGAGCCACCCCTTCTGCCTCCCAAAGTCCTGGGACTCCAGGTGTGAGCCACCATGCCCAGCCACATTTTGTGGTTGTTATTTGGCAATAAAGCTGGAGGTACTTTGTCTCCTAGCTGAAACTAGCTAAGTGGTGATACTAACTCTGTTCTCTGAGTCAGGAAATTCCTGCAGCCTACAAAAGCCTGCTGAGGAATTGTCAAGTCAAAGAGTTCTAGAATGCCAAGAGACCTTCAGTCCAGCTGGTCTTCAGTCCAGCTTGTTTCACACGTGACAGGAATCTGACCCTCAGAAAATAATCACATGCGCGGAGCTCACTAGTGGCAGAGCCCACGACACCCGCTCCTCTCCAGCTCTCTCTTTAGGGACAGAGAGGTATCATTCTTATTTTTAATGAAAACAGGTGCATATATTGTGGATAGAATTGTTAAAATATCTAATTGTATTAGTTAGATATGCACTTTTAAATATTAAGCAATATTTTGGTTTCAACCCGCAACCCGCAAGCCACACAAAAATACAGAAATCCTCCACCTCAGGCCCTCTTCCCTGGTTCCTCCGCCGTTACCAATACGTGAGCCATGGCCAGGATTTGAGCTGAAGTGTGCGGGAAGGAAGGAAGCTGTGTGGCAGCCGGTGGAGCTGATTATAGGGTTGGACGTCGCAGAACTAGAACCCGTTTCTCTTCATTCCCAGCCCAGTCATCTTTACACAACTTTTTCTTTCTTCCTTCATTTTTCTTTTTAGAAACAGGGTCTTGGCCGGTCGCAGTGGCTCACGCCTATAATTCTAGCATTTTGGGAGGCCGAGGAGGGTGGATCACCTGAGATCAGGAGTTGGAGACCAGCCTGGCCAACATGATGAAACCACATCTCTACTAAAAATATAAAAATTAGGCCCGGCGCGGTGGCTCACGCCTGTAATCCCAGCACTTTAGGAGGCTGAGGCGGGCGGATCAGGTCAGGAGATCGAGACCATCCCGGCTAACACGGTGAAACCCCGTCTCTACTAAAAATACAAAAAATCAGCTGGGCATGGTGGTACTCGCCTGTAGCCTCAGCTACTCAGGAGCCTGGGCAACATAGCAAAACCATGATTCTACAAAAAAAAAAAATTTAAAGCTAGCTGGGTGTGGTGGTGCGTGCCTATAGTGCAAGCTACTCAGGAGGCCGAGGCAGGAGAATCGCTTGAGCCCGGGAGGCGGAGCTTGCAGTGAGCCAAGATGGCGCCACTCCAGCCTGAGTGACGGAGCGAGACTCCGTCTCCAAAAACAAACAAACAAACAAAAAACAAAAATTAGCCGGGCGTGGTGGCGGGTGCCTGTAATTCCAGCTGCTCAGGAGGCTGAGGCAGGAGAATTGCTTGAACTGGGGGCGGAGGCAGAGGTTGCAGTGAGCCAAGATCGCACCACTGCACTCTAGCCTGGGCAACACAGTGAGACTCCATCTCAAAAAAAAAAAAAAAGAAACAGGGTCTTGCTCTGTTTGTTACCCAGGCTGGAGTACAGTGGCACACTCATGGCTCACTGCAGCCCCGAGCTCCTGGGGCTCAAGCGATCCTCCCGCCTCAGCGTCCTGAGTGTAAGCACACAACACCACACCCAGCTAGCGTTAAAATTTTTTTTTGTAGAATCATGGTTTTGCTATGTTGCCCAGGCTCGTCTCAAACTCCTGGGCTCAAGCGGTCCTCCTGTCTTGGCCTCACAAAGTGCTGGGACTACATGTGCACACCATCGCATCTTGCCTTCAACAACGTTTAGTTGTTCCTTTTACTAGGGACGAACAGCAGCAGTAATAACATCCCCCTCACACTACTGGTAGGTTGGTTTGATTTCTTTTTTCTCTTTTTTTTTATTTTTATTTTTTGAGATGGCACCTTGGTCTGTCACGCAGACTGGAGTGCAATGGCGCGATTTTGGCTCACTGCAACCCCCACCTCCCAGGTTCAAGTCATTCTCCTGCCTCAGCCTCCCGAGTACCTGGGACTACAGGCGTGCGCCACCACGCCTGCCTACTTTTTGCATTTTCAGTAGAGACAAGGTTTCGCCATGTTGGCCAGGCTGGTCCTGTACTCCTGACCTCCAGTGATCCGCCTGCTTTGGCTTCCCAAAGTGCTGGGATTACAGGCGTGAGCCACCGCGCCTGGCTGGTTGGTTTGATTTCTATCAGACATATTTTAATTCCCTACATGATTTAATGTGTAAATGTAGAATTTCATGTTCTTTTTAGTGAAAGAAGTTCAGGTCTTCAGGGTATAATGAGGTAGGAAGGCTTAGTCATCTAGGGAAACTATACCATGTACTTATTATCTTTTTAGTGTTGGGATTAGGGTTGCCAGATAAAATACAGGATGCCCCACTAAATTTGAATTGCTAAACAACAGGGACATACTTAGACACAAACATTATTCAGTGTTTATCTGAAATTCAAATTCCGCTGGGTGTCAGGCATTTCTGTTTGCCAACTCCAGCAGCCCCAGCTGGGAGGTGCCCTCTGAGCTCCTCTCCCTGGAAGTCCTCTTACCTGCTGTCAGCTGAGCAATTTGCCAGGCTTGCTTTGGGAGCTGGCTTGAAGTTATTTGGATTTGATGACTCTCTTTCTCTTCTGTACAGGAATCTACTTACCAAGATGGCAGGAGCAAGTGGTTATCAGAGCCTGCTCTCTAGAAATACAATTAAACAAGCAGCCCCTGTCTCTTTTTCTCCACTTTCAGTCTTGGGGAAGGGATTGGTAGGTTAAAGTCATTCTACCTCTTTATTTAATAATTCTGTTTTGCATACCCTTTACTGGATGATCATTCCTTAGAGAGGTTTGCAGTCAAAAGCCCCATTCTTTATTGTATTAAACATCACAGAGTCCCATGTTTTCCTTCAGGAATATGTGAGCAGGAGAGAAGGGTCATGTTGGAGCAGCCAGGACTCAGAGCCTTTCCGCAGACTGAGTCTGGATCCTTTCCTTCAGCCTCCAGGAATACTCCCGGCTCCACACCCAGAATGGTAATCCAGGCAAGGGCTCTGGTGTGTGGCCACACTGCCACCTATTACCTGCGGGTCCAAATGCAGTGACTCAACTTCTCTGTGCCTCTCTTTCCACATGTATAAAATGAGGATAATGTTGCTATTGTAAGAATTGCATCAATTAATAAACAGCACTCAGTGAATCTGTTAGCCCATCAGTGGATCGCGCCTTGCATGCTGGGCATGTTCCCTCTTCTCTCTAGACCTCAGTGACCTCAACTGTGAAGTGGCTATAGCTAATCCACTTGGTCTATAGGATTTGTAAAGGAACATGTTAATAACCCTCAAGTGACTGCAGAGAATGGGGGCATTCTTTTTGGGAAAACTATAGATTGTTTATCATCAGGGATGAATACTTAAAAGAAAATCTGGGAATTTTTTTGTAAGTCACAAAGAAGGATTTGGGAGGGGTTGCATGCTTTTGAATGGGATTGCCTCTCTGGGAACTGTAGGGAAATGGGTGACACAGAAGTACTAGGGGTTTTGGAGCTGTTCTGAGTGAACACACAGGTCCAGTGTGGCTACTTGGAGGCAGGGCCCCTGGAATTTATCCTGTTTTGCCTGCAAAGCTGATTACCCAGCTGCCTCTTCTTTTCTCACCTCCATGATATTATCACCAAGCAACTAACAACAATTAAATCTGAGGACTCAACAATCACGCACTAAGATAAAAGACCACTGTGCTGTTGTGTTTCAATAGGTATATAGAGAGAAGTGGGAAACTTCAGGATTAATGAAATGTAGATAATGTCGAGAAATGGCCAAAACACTGAAGCACTAAATTAGGAAAAGAGCCTTATGCAAATATTTGGTACTAATGCCTGCTTTATTTTTTTCCTTTTTTTAGTTTAATTTTTGTTTTTTGATACAGGCTAGAGTGCAGTGGCACAATCACGGCTCACTGCAGCCTCTACCTCCCAGGCTCAAGCTACCCTCCTGCCTCAGCCTCTCAAGTAGCTAATTTTTCTGTGTTTTGAAGAGGTGGGTTCTCACTATGTTGCCCAGGCTGGGCTCAACTCCTGGACTCAAGTGATCTTCCTGCCCTGGCCTCCCAAAGCACTGAGATTACAGACATGAACCACCGTGCCCGGCCAATGCCTGTTTTAAACAGCAGGAATAGTCACTTATCAGACCTTTAGAATGGCGTGGGCATCCAACTGGAGTGAAGTCTGAGTATGGATGGTTTTGAAAAGCTCCAGGCGTTAAGAGTGACTAACTTAATGTATTCGAAGTCCCATACTTTCATTACGTTTTAGTGAAGACAAATTGGAAGCTGGTCCAAGAAACTCACTCTATATTTTTTGCAGTGTGCCGCATGTTTATATAAACTGTGTGGTCAGCTGTACATCATGCTCATTCCGTGGTGTGCATTCGTTCCTGATTACCTCCTTTTGTTGTTTATTGGTTCTGATTTGAATTACCCTCCAGATACTGGATCTAGATAACTCTTGGGATCAGATGGCTTTCTCTAGCCATGAGAGTCAAGAGGATAGTTTCGAGAGTGGGAAGTGTACATAGCCCCTCCTGCATTGCACAAAGTTAGCCAAATTTATGTCTTTTCCATGTGCACCATATGAGGTGTAAGTTGGAAGGATGAGTAGGCTTGGAAATAGAGCTGCAGCATGTTGGAACCTGCTCATAAGCATGTTGGACATCACAGAGGCTGGAGCCCTGCAGAAGAGAATTGTTGTATTCAAATGTTATTGTGAAACCACAGGAAGAGAGCTGACCTGCCAGCAAGAAGCCTAGTTCTTCTATTACTGAGCATGTGACCTTGTTGGATTATTTTAAATCTTCAGAATCACAGTTATAACACCACCCATCCTAACTTCCTAAAGAACAAGTGAGCCTGCACACATGTGGAGACCATAAAACCCTATCCAAACGCAATGCATGATTAAATAAGCACATGCTTATGTGAGCATATTGTTTAGGTTTAGTTTGCCCTGGAGGTTGTATTTATTATATAGTCTCCAAGGGCAAGAAAGCATGTTCCACTATATGATATTCATGTGTGCTAACTATTAATTCTCTGAAAATGATTCTGTTGTTATTACCAAAGGACAAGGGCTATAAGAGAGTTTTATTAAACAAACTTGAAGTCTGTCATCTCTATAAAACATCCTTATTTGGGTAAGCAGAGAGGCTTCCACAGGTTTACAAATGATTTCACAATCAAGTCTAAAATTAGTGACAGCATCCAAAAAGATCTCTGGTGTCTTTCCAAACTGCTCCAAGCATTAGACTCTCCGAAAGGGAGTGTTTCATTAAATCATCACAGAGCTGGCCTATTCTCTGTCCAGTCTGGGGTCCGTTCTTTGTAGAATTATGACCTTGTCAGGGCATCCAGAGGTGAATAGTTTCTCAGATTCTGACTCACATTAATCAAATTCACAAGAGAGTGGTATATAAAATAGAATATCAATTGATTGATTAATTGCTATATACTATCAATTAATTGATAGAAGTATTAACAAGGCAGATACTCATGTTTGCTGATGAGCACATTCATTCCCTGAAGGCAAATCCATGAGGAAATCCTGTTAAAATACGAAGCCTTCCTGCAGAGCGTGAAATCAGAACGAATTTCCGATTCAGCTGGAACCTCCATTTCCAGCTCAGGTGATCCCATCACACCGACCAGTGGGGCCTCCCTCCTGCCTTGTGAGGTTGCTAAATGAGTTGAGTAGGTCAGGGTCAGAATTTTTAAAATAAATAAATAGAAGATTAAAATAACAGAAAGCATCATACCTAGCAAGAGTAGGATTTGTTTCATGAAACCCGTTTTAATTTAGATAGATAGATAGAGAGATAGATAGAGAGACTGATAGAAGTATTGGGTCCTATGTGAAAAAAAAATGTGTTTCTTACAGTGACTGCTTTCCAAAACAATGTGTGAACATCACTGCTATAGAGATGCTAACATCTTTTATTTTTAAATGAATATTTATTAGGTGCCTATTCTGTAATCTTGTGGAGATTATACTGTAGGAGAGAGATTATGAGAGAGATGAAAGACAGGCAATAAACAAATACCAATACCCTTTAGGTCCCCTACCTCTTTCTCTAGTCTGATGCCTCCAGTGGTACATTTGCTCTTCCTACAGATACAGCTTAGGATGGACTCATCAGTCCTCCTGTCCTAGGATCATGCTTGGCCTTTGAACTGGCCTGTGCCCTGGCAGGTGGTCTCTTAGGCTGGATCTGTGCACAGAAGGGGCTGCTTTCAGCCACCACCTGCCTAGTTTTCCTTTTCCTCTTTTTCTTTTCTTTTCTTTTTTTTTTTTTGATGGAGTCTCTCTCTTTAGCCCAGGCTAGAGTGCAGCAGTGTGATCTCGGCTCACTGCAACCTCCACCTTCCGGGTTCAAGCGATTCTCCTGCCTCAGCCTCCCGAGTAGCTGGGATTACAGGCACCAGCCACCAGGCCTGGCTAATTTTTGTATTATTAGCACAGACAGGGTTTCACCATGTTGGTCAGGCTGGTCTCAAACTCCTGACCTCATGTAATCCACCTGCCTCGGCCTCCCAAAGGGCTGGAATTACAGGTGTGAGCCACCGCACCCAGCCTCCTTTCCCTCTTTTAACTCTTCATTGTTTATATCACCCACCCACCTTCTTGAAATAGCTGTTGTTTTTTTTTTTTTACTCTGTCTAAAGATAATCAGGCAAAATAGCACATAAATGTACAGTTCAAGGGCCTGAATGAAGAAAACTACAGTATGCAAGAAGCTGGAAGAAATCCTGGAAATTCTCCTTTCAACTTTCTTATTTTTAGATGAAGAAACAGATTCAAGAAGGCTGTGACTTGCTCAAGGTCAAAGTCATCCAATAACAGATCTGACACTAAACCCTGGATCTGTAGACCCCATGTCCAGTGCTCCGTCATTCTGCCACACAGCCTATCGAAAATAAATCTGCTCAACCTGAGGAAGCAGATTACGAAAAAAAAAAAAAAAACATGAAAGAAATCTGACTTTAGAGAACACCAAGAATGCTTCCTTCTCAGGTTACTGAAGATGCATCATTATTCTGTGTTGTGGTTCTAGATCAAGAACAGGCATGGAAAAAACTGATTGAGATATTTTCATGATGAAAGATAGAAGGAGCACCACTGAGATAAAAAAAATTTAAGGCAACCTTATATTTATAGTCTTAATAAATCTCCAACCTAGGAACTGATTTTATTTATTAACTTTTTCATTCACTCAACCAACCAATACTTAACCAAGCCCTACTATGAACCAGGCAGTGTTCTAAGTGCCAGTGGTATATCAGTGTTTATTAGACAACCAGTCTCTGCTCTCAGGAAGTTTTATTATCATGGTTGGGGGAGGTGGGTGGGTATGGTAGACACAAAGATGCTCCACTCAGATCCCCCTTCAAGGAAGAACTTGTTGCCCAGCTGTGGGGCGTGGTCAGCAGCAGACTCCAGCTGTCAGTTCCTTCAGGGCCAGCCTCAGTTGCAGGCTGCTATTTTGCCCTAGGTCATGCCCTTCCCAAGGCAACCCTCACCCAGTGGTTACACAAAGCAAGAGTATAGAGGCCTGGCCATTTCTACCTAATACAGACAACTCTGATGGGCAACATTTTCTCTACGACTCCCTGCCAAACTGGCCAGTGTTTTGTCAAGCCAGTATCTCAATTCAACTTCTCCCTCTGCTCCATTCTGCTTCTCTCCTTTCACAGGCACTGAGCCTTAATAAACATCCTGCACCCCAAACTCTGTCTCAATATCTGCTTTCAAAGAACCCAACTTGCAACAGGGTGTGTGTGTGTGTGTGTGTGTGTGTGTGTGTGTGTGTGCGCGTGCATCTGTGTACGACTATTTTATATAAGGTGGTAAATGAAGACTTTTTAAAATAAAATGAGATTTGAGCATCTGAGCAGAGACCTGAAGAACATCAGGAAGTAAGTCTTATAGAGATGTGAGGAAAGAACATTCCAGGCAGAGGGGCGATCGAGTGCAAAGGCCCTGAGGCAGGGAGCATGTTTGGTAGGTGTGAGGAACCGCACAGGGCCATAGGGAGTTGGAGCAAAATGGAGAAAGGAGGTAGAAAATGAGATGCAAAGGGCATGTAGTGTGGAGTGGGGAATGACACCATCCTACCATGCAGGGCTTTGTAAGCTATGGTAAAGACCTGGTTTTTACTCGGAGATAAAAGGGCAGCTTCAGAGGGTTTTGAGCAGAGGATTGACATGATTCAACTTATACTTTAAGAGTTTTACTCTGGACAAAGGTGGAAGCAGGAAGGTCAGATGGGAGGCTATGGTGAGAATTCAGTATGAGAAGTAAAGGTGGCTTAGATCCAAGTAAAAGAGCAGGTGGTGAGAAGCCAGAGGCTGAATATGTGCTGAAGGTAGAACCAGTATGGATTGGAAGTGAGGCATGAGAGAAAGAGAGCATGGGTAACTTCAAAGGTTTTGGTCTCAAAAACTGAAAGGAAGGAGTTGCCATTTGCTGGATCAGGAGTTAAGTTTGGGACATGTTATGTTTGCAGATAGAATCTGTTATGTCCCTAATTAATATAACTTATTATCCAAAGGGGAAAACTTTTAAGAATAAAAGAGGATGTGGCGAATAATTTCAGTGGTGTAAACCAGGATTATTCATGGCAAAGCAGAGCATATGACCCTGGGGTAGCCCAGGACTCAGAAAAGGGCCCTGCAGCATATGTTGGGAGAACTGGACTTAAGCTGGCACTCTGTCATTGCTGTTAGTAGGTGTATGGCCTGAATGTATATGTCCACCCAGAATTCACATGGTGAAATCTAACCCCCATGGTGATGGTTTTAAGAGATGGGACCTTTGGGAGGTAATTAGGTCATAAGGGCTGTGCCCTCATGAATGGGATTAGTGCCCTTATAAAAGAGGCCTCAGGGAGCTTGTGAGCCCTTTTTTGCCCTTCTGCCATGTAAGGGTCCAGCAAGAGGCACCATCTATGAAGCAGAGAGCAGGCCTTCACCAGACACCAAATGTGCTGATGCTTTGCTCTTGGACTTCCCAGCCTCCAGAACTGTGAGAAATAAATTTCTACTATTTATAGGCCGGGTGTGGTGGCTCACACCTGTAATCTCAGCACTTTGGGAGGCCAGGGCAGGCGGATCACCTGAGGTCAGGAGTCCAAGACCAGCCTGGCCAACTTGGTGAAACCCTGTCTCTACTAAAAAAATACAAAAATTAGCTAGGCATGGTGGCAGGTGCCTTAATCTCAGCTACTTGGGAGGCAGAGGCAGGAGAATCATGTGAACCCGGCAAGCAGAGTTTGCAGTGAGCCGAGATCTAGCCATTGCACTCCAGCCTGGGGGACGAGAGCGAGACTTCTCTCAAAACAAACAAACAAACAAGAAAATTCTACTATTTATAAATTATCTGGTCTAAGGTATTTATTAATAGCTGCCCAGACAGTCTAAGAGGAAAATTTTTTTCTCTACTCACTTTGGTTCAATGGTCAGAGGCCTGAGAATTAAGTAACAATGGACAGATTAACAAAAGAAAGGACAAGGTTTATTTACATGTACATGTGAAATATTCAATAATGGGCAACTCCCTGAATACTCAGAGGTAAAGGTTTTTGGTTTTTTGTTTTTTGCTTTTATTTTAAGTTCAGGGGTACAAGTGCAGGTTTGATACATAGGTAAACGTGTGTCATGAGGGTTTGTTGAACAGATTATTTCATCACCCAGCCATTAAGCCCAGTACCTATTAGTTATTTTTTCTGATCCTCTCCCTCCTCACAACCTCCACCCTCCAATAGGGCCCAGTGTGTGTTGTTCCCCTCTGTGTGTCCATGTGTTCCCATCCTTTAGCTCCCACTTATAAGTGAGAACATGCAGTATTTGTTCCTGTGTTAGTTTGCTTAGGATAATGGTTTACAGGCTCCACCCACTTCCCTGCAAAGGACATGATCTCATTCTTTTTTATGGCTGCAGAGTTAAAGGTTTATATACCAACTTAACAGAGAGGGGGAGTGGGGTTTGGACTCCATGGGAAAGTAGGGAAGTTTCTATTGGGCCTTGTGATGATAAGGGACAGCTAAATCCTCACTCGCTGATCCTAGGATGAGTCTTCTCACAATCGGGAAACTCCCTCAGAGGGGGTCATAGAAGCTGTAATTCAGGAGGCTCTGCCTAAGTTTAGATAATGTTTCTTTCTGTGGCTGCTGATTGTGAAGATGTTTTGAGTTTAAAGTAATTTTCACACCATTTTGGTGGGCTGTTAATTCCTTCCTTTCCCCCATTTAATACTTCCCCAGATGTTTCACAAACAAGGAAGTGGGTTTATTGAAGACACTGGTCAGGCCTTGTGAGGTAAGGATCTGCAAAGGGAAGGAACATACATCAGAACAAATATCAATCAGCACCAAAGACCTAACGTAGGCACACTACACCGTATTTTGTCGAACCAATCTCCTAGTCTTGGGCATGAGGGGTATTTTTATGGAAACATAAAGAAAAACAAAGATTAACGGTGAGAGCAGAAGATAGACCCAATTTCTGAGCCCACAGTTCAGCCAGTTGAGATGATTTCTAGATACTGGGCTTGAAGCATCATTAGATGATGGAGTGAAGATAGCAGTGGCAATCTGACAGATTTCTCAGTTCACAGGTCATTATTTTTGGTGACGGTATAGATATTACAGTCACAGTCATGGTTACTTCCCAGATCAGATCATGGAAGATATGGGTGTTGTGGTGAACTTCCTCAGTGACTCACACTGTTGTAGTGATGAGTCCTTTGAAGTTTATATCACGTCATCCAACTTCAGTTTATAGGGCTTTGGGTAAAGGACAGCCACAAGACAACCTAGAGTCTCAAAAAGGATCTCAGCAATCAGGTTTCAGGTCTCAACAACACCAAGTCAGAAAGGTGAGAGTAAAAATTGGAAATGTTAATTTGGAGCCTGGATATGGAAGAAAACTAGAAAAAATGAGAATTTGATAAAAATGTAGAAAATGGCAGAATTCAGTCAAGTTTATAGGTAGATAATAAAACCTCAAAGGCAATGAACAAGACTAGAATATGGTAACTCACAACGTTTGATGATAGTTTTCTATTGAAACATAAAATTTCTCTCAATCGCTATCCCTATTTTGATCAAAAATAATCAAAGTAAGATTATTGTTGTTTACAAGTCAAGTCTCATTAAGCTTGGCCTGATTATTTACATAAGTGCAGCAAGAAGAGTAATTGAACTCAGAGACTTTTAAAGTTTGCTTTGCTGGAATTTTCTATACAGAATCACGGATTCGACTTTTAAAAGCCTCTTGAGGCCAGGAAGCCAAGCCAGGAACTTCCTGTCAGACTTTGGCAATACCTATACATTTGGGTGAATGCTTCTTTTCTTGAGGTCCCCAAAATATCCTAAGTTTCTTGGACTTGCCAGAAGGTGGCCTTATTTACTCTCTTCAGGGCTGGGAACCCTATAAGTCAGGTACCGGGACAGTTTTTCCAAGAGGACTTTGTAAGCACTGGCTCCATAAGCCAACTTTAGTTTTTAAAACTGTCTGGTAGAAGCGGGAGGATGGGAGGGGGGCCAGGGTTGAAAAACTACCTGTCGTGTCCTATGCTCACTACTCGGGGTGATAGGATCATTTGTACACCAAACCTCAGCGACGTGCAAATTATCCAAGTAACAAATCCGCACATGTACCCTCTGAACCTAAAATAAAATTTAAAAAAACTGATCATATCTGATTCTATGCACATCATTCTTAAATATGACATACTAGTCAAAGCCTTGGTTATACAGCCAATGTTTCTAATCATGCCTTGTTATAAGAACAGAAAATTCTTATTGAATTTATGCAAATAAGTATGAAAATAATAGTACTCACTGAGAGTTAATGAATTCTGGAGGGATCAGACAGAAAGAAAAGAAAAATTTTTCATTTTGTTACAAACATTTAATCTATTAAATTGCTACAAGTATAGGCAACTAATGAGAAAAGAATAAGAGATTCCTTAAATCCAGAAAATGGAACATTAAAGAAACAGAAATGTTCCAAACAAAAGCCGTAATTATCTTTCCTCAATTCATTTAGTCCCATGTAACTAATTCTTGTTCTACCTGATCTTGGATTGGCAGTTTTATGAACCCATAGCTTCTCCACTAGAGTTCTAGAAACCCTTACTCAATTCAGTGATATGATTTCAGTTATTTAAGCAATGCCATCAGAAGCCTGTGCCCCAAAGTACCTGGCATGGTCCTCTTCATGGGTATCTGAAATGGTCCCCTTTTGTTAAAGATGAAGCATTCTGGCCTGTAGTTGATGGCAAGAGCTTTTAGAAAAGCATTGACATAAAACAATTGTCTGTGGATGACAAAAGACTTAAAATGACCATGGTTAAAAATCTGATGAGAGTTCATTATAAAAATAATGCAATTTGAGAAGAGAATTTGGTTGTTTCTGGCATACAACATTTAACATAATAACCGAAGTTGCCACCGATAATATTATACTGTGGTTGTCTAATAGCAGGGATGACATTACCAGGACACGTCATGTACTGTGAGGGCATTGCCAAACTTCTAGGAATTTTATATAACTTCTGAAATAGTTATAGTAATAATATTTACCCACATGAATATAATTAGGGAAGGTTAAGCATCTCTTCTTCCCTGACAATGCTTTTCATGCAATTCAACATATAAAAAAAAACTAATTTTAAAAAATTGCTCTCTTTTTATTATGTAAAATAACAGATTATTTAAGATTTTCCAGAAGGCCTCTGGAAAATCTCAAAGTCAATTGAGATTAAAATTTTATCTAGGATTTGAATATTGGAAGGCAATACATATGAGGTGTAAAATGTCAAAATGTTTGAGAAGAAAAGATAAATTTTGCATTTCTACTTGATTAAATAGGATGACAGATCACTGCAAAACAACAGACTTACCATATTTTCAGCTTACAATGGGTTTATCCAGATGTAATCTCATCGTAGTAAGTCAAGGAGCATATTAAATGTGTTTTACCTTCACACTATCATAAAGTCAAAAAATTGTAAATTTAACCATCATAAGTTAGGAGCTGTACTTAGTTACCTATTTAATCAAAGTGATAAAGATTTCAAAGGTAAATATAGGAGGTAACATGATTGTAAGGGAAATCTTAGCTCTTTTAAAAATGAGGTTTGGTTCCCTTAAATAATTGAGGACACCATAAAGACAACATAGAAAATTATCGTGCTAAGGCATAGAATCTTTGTTTTATGGGTAGATTACTTAAAAGGTAAGAAAAACTTTTTACAGTATTTTATTAAGAGCAGACCAATAATCCAAGAAATTTTTGTCATTTTAAGAAAGATTGAAAATCAAACTCTAGTTTCGCATTTGGGTACTATTAATACTAAAGCTCATTTTATTTTATTTATTTATTTTGAGACGGAGTCTCGCTCTGTCACCCAGGCTGGAGTGCAGTGGTGCAATCTTGGCTCACTGCAGCCTTAACCTCCTGGGCTCAAGCAATCCTCCTTTCTCAGCCTCTTGAGTAGCTAGGACTACAGGCATGCACCACCACAGCCGACTAATTTTCTTTTTTAAGAGGTAGGGTCTTGCTGTGTTGCCCAGGCTGGTCTTGAACTCCTGGACTCAAGTGAGTCTCTGGCCTCAGCCTCCCAAAGTGCTAGGATTACAGGCATGAGCCACTATGCCCAGCCCCTTCCTTGTGTTTGTTTCCCTTCACTGTTATTATTTTTAGTAGTTTAATTTACTTATATTAGTTATAATTAATTTTTATCATTAGTAACCTTCCTTTTATAGAGAAAACTAGACAGTAGTGAAAAGTAGACAATTGTGAATTGTCTGTCATATTCCAACATTCCGTAGCAGGCTAGCAGTTTATGAATACATCATTTCATAATTCGTATATGCCTCTTCATAATACAATTTTTCAGTGTGATAAAAAAAATGTTTATTTACAGATCCAAGTATCTTTAGTCTCTTTGTAAAAATAAGAAATCAAGACCGGGTGCAGTGGCTCATGCCTGTGATCCCAGCACCCTGAGAGTCCAAGACAGGCAAATCACTTGAGCCCAGGAGTTTGAGACCACCATGTCCAATATGGTGAAACTCCAACTCTAAAAAAATACCAAAATTAGCCTTACATGGTGGTGCATGCCTGTAGTCCCAGCTACTTGACAGGCTGAGGTAGGAGGATCATTTGAGTCTGGGAGGTTGAGGCTGCAATGACCCATGATCATGCCACTGCAGTCCAGCCTGGACAACAGAGCAAGACTCTGTCTCAAAAAAAAAAAAAAAAAGAAAAGAAACTGAAAAAATATAAGCTTAAACTTTAGTTTAATAATGAATGTTTCAGGAGATTGTTACTTAGAAATGGTATAGATTTTTAAAGAATATCTATTCATTAGCATAACTCTAAGGTTGCAAGTCACCAAAAAGGTTTTTGAAACTATCTTAAAGCATACGTATTATAAAACATAATTGTTAAAAAGCCCATTCATAGGCCGGGCGCGGTGGCTCACGCCTGTAATCCCAGCACTTTGGGAGGCCGAGGCGGGCGGATCACAAGGTCAGGAGATCGAGACCATCCTGGCTAACACGGTGAAACCCCGTCTCTACTAAAAATACAAAAAATTGGCCAGGCGTAGTGGCGGGCGCCTGTAGTCCCAGCTGCTGGGGAGGCTGAGGCAGGAGAATGGCGTGAACCCGGGAGGCGGAGCTTGCAGTGAGCCGAGATCGCACCATTGCACTCCAGCCTGGGTGACAGAGCGAGACTCCGTCTCAAAAAAAAAAAAAAAAAAAATCCCATTCATATAATTTTTATCCCACTTACATCAACTTAATAAATGTATTCTTAACAATTCTGTTTGGGTTGCTCATGGAAATTTTTTTCTTCTTTTCTTTCTTTTTTTTTTTAGAGACAGAGTCTTGCTCTGTTACCCAGGCTGGAGTATAGTGGTGGGATCATGGCTCACTGCAGCAAGCCTTGAACTCCTGGGCTCAAGTGATTCTCCCACCACAACCTCCTGAGTAGCTAGGACTACAGGCATGTAATGCCGGGCTGGTATTGAACTCCTGGCTTCAAGTTGGAACTTCTTTTCCCAAGGTTCTGGGATTACAGGCATGAGCCACCATGCCTCACTAAAATTTTTTTGTTTTGTTTTGTTTTGTTTTAGACAGGGTCTCACTCTGTCACCCAAGCTGGAGTGCAGTGGCGCTACCTCAGCTCATTGCAACCTGTACCTCCCTGGCTCAGGTATCCTCCCAGCTCAGCCCCCTGAGTAGCTGGGACTACAGGCACACAGCTCCATGCCCAGCTAATTTTTGTATTTTTTATAGAGATGGGGTTTTGCCATGTTACCCAGGCTGGTCTCAAACTCTTGGTCTGAAGTGCTCCACCAGCCTTGGCCTCCCAAAGTGCTGGCATTACAGGCGTGCACGCCATTGCACCCAGCCTGAAAATTTCTTAAGACATTAAACAAAGCTACCCATCATCTCAAGTTATTTTTCTGTTAACTTATTTCATGTTAACTTATTTTAGGCAATTATCAAAAAAATCAAAAAAGCAAATAACCTAAAATAAATAAAACTAAAATTTAAAAAGTTAAATACTTTTTTTCTGTGCTTCATATACAAGAAATAATGGATATCATGCAATTCATTTTTATCGCATCTTTACTCGTACATTTGTTCTTTAGGTTAAGTTTATAGTTTTTTAATCTTAAACATCTGACAGATACAAGGTTATTTGACTGGTAAACCCAAGGCGAATAAAATGTATACTTGTTTCATGCTTAATGCTGATAACTTGGAAGACATACCACCTGTTTTTATTAAACCAACAAATTCAATTTAGTCTTATTTACCAAAGATTTACCCAAATTACATGAACTTGAAAAACATTTGGGTTAGTTTCTATACTTCTGAAAGTTTTAGGAATATTTTAATTTATATAGCCCTTGTTTGTCTAAGCCAATTAGAACTCCTTTAGGGGATTTTAGAAATTAATTTATTAATACCACTCAGAGATAGGAAAGTATCACATATACATAACATACATGCATGCATACAAACTGGAGCAAATAGAGATCTGATGGCTTTCATCCTAAAATTTTTAGCCATCTATAACAATAGTCACAGCACCCAAGGCGTAAACACAGTAACACAAAATTCACTGGTTTACAAGAGTTGGTTCCTGTCTTTACTCCCCTTTATGTTTTTATCCAAATTGTATTTTTTATTAGATGGAATATGTTGAGATTACCAGCTCAATATGAGGATTAAAACTTTCCATGGATATTTACAGGAAAGAGTTTAAGATTTTTTTTTTTTTTTTGTAATCTTATGGAATCTGTGTACTAAGATTTAGGACTGAGTTTGTGGACTAAGGGACTGAGCACACATCAAGAGGTTGTGTGGATGTCTCCAAATCCCATCTGAGTGGATGAAACATCCATTCTATTTTCAATAAGCCTTTTTAGCCTCATATGATTGCATTTGGGGGCCCCTGAACCCCTCAAGAGCCCCTGTTGATGGGAGGAGAGCTAAAGCTTGAGTGACTGTAAAGAGATGGGGGGCTGGAATGGGAAAGAAAAGATCTGACAGGGGCAGACAGAGGGATGGAGGAGGTAGGGTCTTGAAGGGGACATGTCAAAGGAGCTGAAGGGAAGACTCGAGGCAGTAAAAGGAGGAGGAGAGATGGTAAGAGAGAGGTTTTAGAGGAGCTAGTTTGGGGAGATCTTAGTTTTCCAAAAGGGCCACTAAAGTCCCATGACTTTATCCTTATTAAAGTCTTATCAACAAGAAAGGAAGTGGCCAAATTTACCACCAAATGGAGTCACTCACAGGGTCCCCAGCAGAGACCCAGGAGTCTAATGCTTAAGAAGGTTAACATTTACCAGCTTGGTCAGAGGTCTGAGATCGCTGCTGTCTGTAGATTGAGTGGGGAGTCCTAATCATTCCATCCTACACTTGCTGAAAGTGTAGAGAAGAAACTTTGTTTATCCACTGATACGGGTTGGCTGTGTCCCCACCCACATCCCATCTTGATTTGTAGCTCCCATAATTCCCATGTGTTGTGGGAGGGACCCGGTGGGAGATAATTGAATCATGGGGGCAGTTTCCCTCAGACTGTTCTCATGGTAGTGAATAAGTCTCATGAGATCTGATGGTTTTAATAAAGGGGAGCCCCTTTTTGCTTGGTTCTCATTCTCTTTTTGTCTTGCTGCCATGTAAGATGTGCCTTTCATCTTCCACCATGAGTGAGGCCTCCCCAGCCACGTGGAACTGTGAGTCCATTAAATCTCTTTTTCTTTATAAATTACCCACTCTCAGGTATGTCTTTGTTAGCAGCGTGAAAACAGACTTTTTGCCACTGACTGGCAAAATGTTGGGAGCCTGAGAATTAACTTACAATAGACAGATTAGCAGGAGAAAATAAAATACAATGTTTATTTACATGCGCATGTGGGGGTACTCATTACTGAGTAACTCCCTGAATACTCAGAGGTAAAGAATTATATACCAACTTAACAAAAAGTGGGAGTAGGGTTTGGGCTTCAATGGGAAAGTAGAGAAGGTTCTGTTAGCTTTTATTATGCTGATGGGTAGCAGAATTCTTACTTGCTGATGCTAGGGCCAGTCTTCTCCCAGTCAAGAAACTCCCTCAGAGGGGGATCATAGCAGCTGTAATTCAGGAGGCTCTGCTTAAGTTTACATAATGTTTATTTTTGTAGTTACAGATTTCAGATGTTTCTAATTTTTATACCACTTTGGAGGGCTACTACTCTTTTCATTGGCCAACTTTACAAGTTGGGCAAATGACCGTTCTCTAACCAGAGGCAAGAGTTATGGCCCATAGAAGGTTTGCTCTGAGAGAAAAGTACCCCATACAGTTAAGAGCCCAACCACATGATTTCCAGACAGCTCGTATAGCCTAAAGTATGTCAGTTGAATTACCTTGCAAGTTGTAAACTAATCGACAAACTCAGAATCAATTGGATGTTATTTTAATACCCTATAAGAGTTATGAAATCCTAAGAGTAAGAATAAATGTAGGAATCGAGCAAATTCAAAGTTCTTTAAAGGAACAAGGACAACATTTACACATCTTTGCCAAAGAGATGCAAATCCAATCAAGTGATGTGAGTGGGGTAAACTCTTCTGAGAGAATCAGAAGGGTCTTGGTTTTGGGCTACTTGACCTATCCCTCTTCTGAAATTAAGGAGTAATTGACATAGCAACCACAAATAGAATTCATTTAGTTACCAAAGAACTCAGCCTCCTGGCCAAAATATTTGGTGGTTGGGCAACCTCAAGCTATAGTTACGTGGGAAAATTGTAGCCTGAGTGGGAAGTGCCTTACCCAAATAAGCTTTGAGAACAAAACTCACCGTATTTGTATTTTGGGGTTAAGGAGTTTATACATATTTGATGTTTTATAAACTTATCATGTTTTAAGATGATTGAATTATTCTAAATCCATTTTAAAATACACAAATACATAATTGATTCTGATATGTGTAAGTTTATATCCAGGTCTTAATTATTTAAGAGAATTTCATGTTCAACATATTATCAGTTTAATTGACCATATCAAATTTAAAAGAATTATTTAGTGCTCAGGAATGTTTCATTTATTAAGTCAGATAATTGTTTAATAAAATTAAATATGAATTAAATTTATAAGTGCAGTATAAAAGGTTCTAAAATATTTGATTTTGTTTATAAATAGGACCAAGTTTTAATCAAAGTTCTCTGTAGGCAGGATTCAGTGGCTCATACCTATAATCCCAGCACTTTGGGATGCCGAGGTGGGTGGAACACTTGAAGTCAGGAGTTCAAGACCAGCCTTGGCAAAATGGTGAAACCCCATCTCTACTAAAAATGCAAAAATTAGCCTGGCATAGTGGTGCATGCCTGAAATCCCAGCTACTCAGGAGGCTGAGGCAGGAGAATCACTTGAATCCCAGAGGTGGAGTTTGCAGCAAGCTGAGATCATGCCACTGCACTTCAGCCTGCCCAACAGAGCGAGACTCTGTCTCAAAACAAAAGAAAAGAAACAAACAAAAACAGAAAACAAAGTTCTCTGTAAGGTGATTACCAAATTCACCCAACTTAAAAAAACAGAATTTGTAAGGTGGACTTAAAAACCTAAGGAAGTATTAGATTGTGAGATTTGTATCTTAATATACTGAATACTAATATAACCATTTAAATTAAATATTCTTTTCCTGCAAACAAATCCACCTGTGAGGATAATCCAAAACTCACATTTCACATAGGTCATCGTGAAAATTGAAAGTGATAATCACCATGAAAGTACTCTGAAAAGTCAAGCATGCTCTGTGAGTATAAGGAATAAGGGAGACAGTGATTGGCTCTGCAGCACCTATTCAGCTCCTCTGGCTGCTCATGGCTCTCCCGTGCCCTTGGAAATGCTCAGTTAGGAAAAGGCCTGTTGATGTGTCTGGATGTGATGACTAGGATCTCAATGGCCATCTAGGGAGAGGATTCAACCTGCACCATATAAGGGAAACAGCAGAGGTAGAGAAGGAAGCTGAAGTGCCTACCACATCATGACTGGGGCTACCCTATCTCTGGACTTCCTATGGAAAAGAATACATTTCTTGATGGTTTATATGGATCCAAATTGTGTTTTTCTATTATTTGCAGACAAAATAATCTCACAGACATAAGAAGTTATTAAAATCCATAAAACAGTGCTTTCTGACCATTTAAACTAGTAAGTGGCAGAGCTGGGTTTGATTCCACTTAATAGCCACATGTCTTTGGGCAAGTTGTTTGACCTCTAAGTGAAACAGCCTCATTGTCTGGAGTCACACCCGAGGTTCATTTTCTCATGGCCACGGAGAACAATAATGAGGACACATAAAGATTGAGGTTGAGAGCGGAAGTTTAATATGCAAAAGAAAGAGAAGAGTTCTCTGCTGCAGAGAGGGGTCTCAGAAAAATGGGTTGCCGGATCCGCGGTGAAATGCAGGAGGTTTTATAGATGAGCTGGTGGGGAGGCGGCGTCTGATCTACATAGGCAAGAAAGGGCAAGAAAGACTGGTTAGACCAGTTGTGCTATTTGCATAGGGCACGAATCTCTGGTATCCCCCATCCTAACCTTTTTTTATTATCCAGGCGCGTCTCTGCCTGAGGTGCACCATGTTGCCCATTTCTTTATTACTGTACACGTGATAACAAAAAAAGAGAAGATGGAGCCTCCATGTTGGACATGGCCGCCCCCAGGTAGTCCTTTTCCTTTTCTATTGGCACAGCTGCCGTCATTCCCCTGTGACAGCTTCCATCTTGTGTATCTATGTATCTATGTTTGCAACTCAATTTTTCAGGCTTCTCTTTGTTATGAAAAGAAATGATTTTGAGGGCTGCTTTTTGTTAGAGGGGAAGCTCTGCTGAGGACTCTTGGGCTCTCACTATCTGCCTAAATAATTTCTTTCTACCTCCTGTATCATCAGCTTCACTTTCTTGCAGTGTTGTTGCAAATGCAGAGCTATATAGGTAAAGCAGGTAGTTTAGTGTCAATTTCTTTAACTGTAAAATGAGGATATTATTAGTATCTAGCAAATACCAAATGCTAGATACCGAATGGTATCTAAAACCTCATTGTTATGAGGATGAAATGAAGATCTATGTAAAGCCCTTAGAACAGTGTCTGATACACAGATATTTTTGTCATTGTTATTTTCAGAATACCAGAGTGGACTACAAAGACCCTGAGGGAGTGTGTCCTAACAGTTGGGCCTAATGGTGAAATTTTACAGCCTTGCCTTGCACAGTCCCTCTCACAGCCACACTATCTCCTATCTCCACTCCAGGTCTGCAGTAGGGAATTTAGGGAATTTAGAGAATTTATGGGTCTTTGGAATAGCAGTAGTTTTGGAAATATTGCCCCAAGGGATTCTGGAGATTTAAACCAGAGAAGATGGAGTTCTAAAAGTAGTTAATATTTGTCACTCATTCCTTCTAGCAACATTTATTGACACGGGGGTTACAGAGATGAACCTGACCCTCATAAACTCAAACTCCAGTGGAAGCAGAGAGACCTGTCCCTAAAAAAATTTACACCAGGTGCT
Source organism: Homo sapiens (assembly GCF_000001405.40). Classification (NCBI taxonomy): domain Eukaryota; kingdom Metazoa; phylum Chordata; class Mammalia; order Primates; family Hominidae; genus Homo; species Homo sapiens. The sequence continues at coordinate 3,329,780 of NC_000018.10, read as the reverse complement.
GTGATGAAACTATGCTGAGTGCATAGATGGCCACAAGGGAGAAGGATGCTTCTCTTCCTGGGGGAGTCAGGAAATGACTTACAGGTGAGGCGATGCTTGGGAATGTTGAGTAGAAGCTTGAAAGATTGACTGAGATGGGGAGGAGGGGCGGGGAAGCGCTTCCAGGGAGGCGGCAGGGAGTTAAGGCGGTGCCTTTCCACTCTGGCTGCACATCCAGAATCACCTGAGGAACTTCAAAACATACTCCTGCTTGGGCCTCACCCCTGAGCAGAGTAATTGGAACCTTTAAGGGTGGGCCCAGGCATTGTCTGTTTTTAAGACTTCTCACATGCCTCTAATTTGCAGTCAAGGGTAGAACCATGGATCGAAGAGTAGGATTGGAAAAAAGTGGGTGGTGTGGCAAGGTTGGAGAGCTTAAAGAGAGAGTCTGGTTTGAATTGGGAAGACTGGCAGGAGTCATATCATGGACGATGATAAAACTTACTGTTTTGCAAGTAGCTTTGTTCCTAATTAAAAACGAAAACAAAAACTAACCCGAACACCATGGGCCTCGAGGGGACTGCTTTCATAGAGATGGTAGCATCAGCACTTAATCTTTATCTGCTGAATAAATGAGTCCACCAAAAGCCCAGTCTTTACAAGTGAAACGGCTTTTCAGGAGTTTCCTTAGAATCCTTACCAGTTTCTCTTTTCTTCCAGTCTTCCAATCAAAAGTCTGGCTAGCTTGGCAGTGATAGTGATCATGAACCAGTATTCAGAATTTTGCTTGTTCTAGAAAGGCACTTCCTCATCAACCCCTAACCTTGGATGAGGCTAGCTGCTCCCAATCTAATTTCAGCAGTTCAGATTTCAAGCAAAGTATCTACACAACTAATAATCTCATTCTATTAACATTCCCCTAATCTTCTATGTCTAGTGTGTAATTTGAGGAAGCAGTTGGGCCCTGAAAGCTCTTGGCAGACCTCTTGTCTGATAAATATTTTAGTACTTTCAGTAGCCTTTTAAAATTGGCAGTTCTTGCTCTAAAGATTCATTCAAGTACATGTGATAATTTGAAATTAACATGCTGCCAGATTTTGCGTTTATACAAGTAACTTTGATAGTCAGTACCAACAAAGGGATTTTGTCAGCCATGAATGGATAAACACAGCTGTTTTCTTTACTCATGAGAAGGATAGAAAACTAAAATTATAGGGTAGCCTATGGGCCTATGATTTAAATTCTTACACTGACTCTTCCAAAGTCTAAATAAATTAATGATGTTTATTGGGTTTAAAAAAGTGCATTGCAGTCCATGGTGTAAAAATCAAAGGTTTTAGAGTAAAATTGTTTTCATTATTTTCTAAAATAGTCAAAGGAGTGCCTAAAGCTGTTTAATTTACTTGAAATCCCTTATTGGGTAAAGAGAAAAACCCATAACTCTCTTTAATTCACAGAATCTTAAGGCATTCCCTTTTTTTTTTTCCCGCCAACTACTCAATCATACAAAAAGAAGAGTATCTTCAAAATATGATCTGTAAAATCTCTCCCAATTTAAATATCAAATAGAAGATAAATTTGTGTAATTAGAAATAACCTCTGGAGAGGAGTAAGTCTAAAAGAAGGGTGAAATATATAGGTAAATAAACATTCTTTTTAGAATGTTAATCACATAGTAAGTTATTTTCTAGTTTTAGCTTGGTAAGAAATTAGCTTGTTCAGTAAGATATGAACAACTAATCCCTATTAATCTTCATTTGTTCATTCATCTATTGAAGGTCTACTTGCTTTTGGGAATGATGAGACACATGATTAAATTACAGTCCTATCTCGGGTCACCTTACAAGTTACTGGGGAAGACAGACATGTAAATATATCATTATAGGGTAGTGTGGTAAGAGATGTAGATAAGATATTGCCAAAGAACTACCGAATTATTGGGAAAAGAATAGCTGGTTTTTAGAAACCAATGCCAATGGATTCTCCATAGAGGAAGTGCTGTTTGGACTAATCTTTACAGAAGGGGTAGTCCTACTTTTTGGGTAGGGTGATGCACTCAGGGCTATATGCTGATGTCTTCCAGATCTCCATCTTCAGCCTAGATCTCTTCATTGGCTTTTGGATTTGTACATACAGATGTCTACCAAGGAACTACATCTAGAAGTACCTCAGGCATCTCGAAGTCCAAAACAAAACCTATTTACCCCACCAAACCTATTCTTTCTCCCACATTGTCTACCTCAGTTAATAATATCACCCTCCCTCCAGTCACTCAAGCACAACCTGGTGTGTTCTCTGTGTTCTGGCTCTTTAATGCTACAAAATAAACCTCCCCAAAACTCAGTGGTGCAGCAATTTCTTACTGTCCTTCCTGATTCTGGAGGTCCATTGGCTCAGGCAGGTAGTTCTTGTTGGGTTATCTTAGGTCATTAAGGACAGATGTTGTCTGGGGCTGCCGTCATCTCATGGCTCAGCTGGACTAGCTGCCCAAGATGGCTCACTCCTGTGGCTGGTGGGTGATGCTGGCTGGTAGCTAGGAGCTCAGCTGGGTGGTTTGGGCTTCTCACGGCGTGAGAGCTGGGTTCTCATTCCAAGAGGCCCAGGCAAACCTTCCTCCAACCTAGCCTTGGAAGTCATGAGAAGTCAACGTAGTACCATCTTGCCTCATTCCCTCAGTTTGAATGGCCCAGTCCAGAATCAATGTGAGACAACACTACTGGGTGTGGTTCACTGGGAACAATCTTTAGAAACTAGCTACCACACCCTGACTTTACCCTTTCCTCCATTTGCTTTCGAAAGTTCCCTAATCTCTCCATCCCAGCTATTAATGTCCTAGTCCTGCTTCTTGTCCCCTGACACCTGGATTATTGCAATAAAAAGCCTCCCTCAACCCAGCCACTCTTCCTGACTTCTATCATGCGTCTCTACAATTCATACAAGATACTCTTCTCAAAGATGGTAAGAGATCCTTAAAGAAAAAAAAAAAATAGACTTTAGGCACAGGGGTAATCCCAGCACTTGGGGAGGCTGAGGCAGGAGGATCACTTGAGACCAGGAGTTTGGGACCAACCTGAGCAAAAAAGTGAGACCCCATCTCTACAAAAAAATAAAATAATTAGCCTGGCATAGTGGCATGTGTCTATAGATCTAGCTACTTGGGAGGCTGAGGTGGGAGGATCGCTTCATCCCAGGACGGTCCAGGCCATAGTGAGCTGTGTCCACACCACTGTCTTCCAGCCTGGGTAACAGAGCAAGATCCTGTCTCAAAAGAGAGAGAGAAAAAAAATAGACTTTATATTTAGCAATACAACCTGCTTACAGAAAAGGGCACAGAATATAAACGTACAGCTTAACACATTTTTATAAAGCAAGCTTCCTATAACCACAAGAAATCAAATATTGCCAGCATCCCAGAAGCCCCCTCACATTCCTTCCCAATCACACCATTCCCCTGCCCCACCAACCAGAAGTACTGTCTTGACTTCTGTGGAAACTACGTCTTTGCTTTGTTTGATTCTTTTATCACCTAAGCATTCATCTTGAAAATACCTAGTTTAGTTTTACCTGTTTTAAAATTTTATACAAATGGAATTATACAATACATAGTCTTGTGCCTGGCTTCTTTCATCCAAAATTGTGCAGATGTATTCATCTCATGCCTGTATCTGTAGTTCATTCATTTCATTGCTGTAGAGTATTCCATTGTACGAATATGCTACATGTTATTTATCTATTCTAGAAATTGAGTACGCTGATTACTTCTACTTTATTTTTCTTTTTCAAAATCATTTTTGTTATTCTAGTTTCTTTGCTTTTCTATGTAAATTTTAGAATGATCTTGTCTATACAAAAATCTTGCTGAGATTTTGATAAGAATTGTGTGAAACTTCAATTTGGGGAGAATTAACCATTTTTCTATGTTGAATATTCCAATCCATGAACACAGGATGTATCTTCATTTATTTAGATCTTTTCCAGTTTCTGTCATCAGCATTTTGTAGCATTTTGTGCATGAGTCCTATACATGTTTCAAATAAATAAATAAATGAAATGAAACATGAGTCCTGTACAGGTTTTGTTAGAGTACACTCACATATTTCATTTCATTCATTCATTTATTTGTTTATGTATGTATGTATGTATTTTTAGAGACAGGGTCTCGCTCTGTTGCCCAGGTTGGAGTGCAATGGCGCGACCATGGCTCACTGCAGCCTTGAACTCCTGGGCGCAAAGCGATCCTCTTGCCTAGCCTTTAAACTCTCTTAACATTTGTTTTTTTAATGAATAATTGGTACCTATTTGACATTATAGTCACAACATCTATTGACATATAAAGTATATGGGAATAAAAGTTATTTAGAGAAATATTACTTAAGAGAGAAAGCTTTCTGTTTTACTATTTTAAAATGTGTGTTAAACAAATGCTTTATAAGAAAGAACTCATCTTTTGTTGCAGGATTTTCTAGCTGGCTCAACCAGTTAAAAATAATTTACCTAAGCAGCATTATTTGAAAGGTAGAAATTTGGAATTTGGTCTTTAATGTCTACTTTATCCACTGAGATTCTTAGTCTGTAAAATGGTGTTGATGCCTACTACTTGGAAACACTAGATATTTCTAGAAGGTGTTTAATGTTTGTAAAAGATTAACATTATTATTACAGTTACGTGATTGAACACCTTCTTTAGTCTAGGCATTGTGCTAAGGCTTTTGCGTACATTACCTCTTTTAAGAATCACAGCAACCCTGCAAGGTACAGATAATAGCTGTTTTCTAGGTGAGGATCCTGAAGCCACAGGCCACAGCCATGTGGCGGCAATGACCTCCCTCCATTGTCTTTGCTTCCATGCCACCACACTGCCCAAGGGCTCTAACAATTCTTGTCCATTTTTTTTTAAATCATTCCTAAATCAATTTTAGGATATTGTTTTTACTTTGATTAGGTAGAACTGGAGCTTTTTCTATGGTGTTTGGCTGGACCAAAGTGGCTGTTGTCTAAGTGTTCTGTTTTGCTAGGCTGTTCCTCACCTGGTCCTTTGACTAGAGAGACGAGGACTTTGTTGTTACCAGGTTGGTGCAAAAGTAATTGTGGTTCTTGCCATCACTTTCAATGGCAAAAACGGCAATTATTTTTGCAACAGCCTAATATTTTTGCCTGTACTCGCCATCACTTCTGGGTTGTTGACTTCTTCAGCTCCAAGTATTAGCTATACATGGCAAAAAGCAAAGCCAAGCAACTCATTTTTTTGTTACTTGAGTCTCAAGGTTCTTAACAGATTTACTGTTTTCTTTCCACTTTTCAGAGTTTTCTTATGTGTGTTCACATATTATGTCCAGGGTTTAACGTTGTACCTAATGGGAGGAATAGAGAAAATTACATCCACTCTATATTTCCTGAAGCAAATTTTCCCTTCCATATTTTTAGCATGTATTGTAAATGTTCTCTAAATGTCTCGTTAGTAACATGAATTCTATTTTACACATCTAATAATACTAGTAGGTGTCCTAAGAGAGCCTTTCAAATGGACACCTATGACCTTGTGTAACTGGTGAAATAAATTAGGCAGGACCAACACAAATTTGAAAATAATTCTACCCTCCCCTGTTGGCCCCTGGCTGACCCTGTATTCTTCAGCCTGACTCATCACTTCCCTTTTGTTCGTTTCTAGTCTTCCTCTCCAGCCTCTCCATCTGTCGTTCTCTAACTTCTTCCTTTATTTTTCCTTTTCTCGGTTTCATTGTGATTGTTTTAAAAACCACGTCTATGGCAAATATACCCACAGGTACTTTTTAGAGGGCTTAATGACAGTGTTTATCAGCAGACTCTAGAAATGTGTTCATGACAGATCAATGCTTATTTTTGTGGTTCAAAAGAAAGTTGTAAAAATTTTTAGAAATTATTAGTATTTTCTTGCGGGAATAGTGAAAGTTAGTTGTGTGTGATCATTTTTTAAGCATCAAAGATTGGAAAGTCTGAAATTGTGTTTCAGGTGTGTTCCAACCTACTGACTTTGAATTCATCACTTATTGTTACTGAGGGTCATTTTTCCTTTCTGTAAATATGCACATTTTCACCAACTATTCCCAGGGAAATCTAGGAAGTCAGATGCAAATAGAATATGGTTGATATTCAACAATATTCAGCCTGAAGCAATATCAAGGTAGGGTATGTACTCTGCCCTTCTTGAAGGACTAGCAGTAGCTGTTAGGGTGAATCCTACTGGATCAGTGAGGAAAATCTACAATGAGCTAACCTGAGAAAACTGTGCATGCTTTGTAAAGTATAATCTATTCTTCTGAGTCGTTCTAGGAGCTGCCATATCACAGGACACAATGCAGCCATTGACGTGTGTGTTCTGCTCTCAACTCTATCAGTTAAATTACAGAAGGGCTGGACACGGTGGCTCACACCTGTAATCCCAGCACTTTGGGAGGCTGAGGCGGGCGGATCACGAGGTCACGAGTTTGAGACCAGCCTGACCAACATGGTGAAACCCCTTCTCTACTAAAAATATAAAAATTAGCTGGACGTGGTGGTGCACGCCTGTAATCCCAGCTACTCAGGAGGCTGAGGCAGGAGAATCGCTTGAACCCAGGAGGCGGAGGTTGCAGTGAGCTGAGATTGCGCCATTGCACTCCAGCCTGGGCAAGAAGAGCAAGACTCCGTCTCAAAAAAAAAAAAAAAAAAAAAAATTACAGAAGATGTGCCCACTAGGGGGCACATTTTCTGAAACAAAATAAGGTACTAAAACACAATGCAAATGTCAGGTGAGTCTTGATATTCTTTAGTTGCACAACCAAATCTAGTTAATTGTTAAACTTCCAACGTTATCATATACTAAATTGACAGCTGACAAATGCAAAACAAACCAGTTAAAAATGAAAGAGCCTCTTTGGTAGGCCAAATACAAGAAATAATCAATCTTACATCATTCAATTCTGATCTTAAAATCTGTCACTTGCCACATTTTTATTTATAAGCTACAAAAAATGTTAAAAAATGGATAATGCTCAGTGTTGGAAAGGAGGGACAGAGAAGAGGCGCCCTGCTACATGGTCAGTGGCAGGATAAATTGGCAAACATTTTGGAAGGGTAATTTTACAGTCTTCCAAAATTTAAAACACACATCATTTGACCCAGTAATTCTACTACTGGGAATTTACCTTATGGGATACATTTGCAAAAGTATTAATTAAATGCATACAGAGATGTTCATTAGAACTTTAATTGTAATGAAAAAATTCTGGGCCGGGCACCATGCTCAAGCCTGTAATCCTAGCACTTGGGGAGGTCAAGGTGGGCGGATCACTTGAGGTCAGGAGTTCAAAACCAGCCTGGCCAACATGGTGAAACCCCATCTCTACTAAAAATACAAAAAAAATTAGCCGGATGTGGTGGTGGGCGCCTGTAGTCCCAGCTACTCAGGAGGCTGAGGCAGGAGAATCACTTGAACCTGGGAGGCAGAGGTTGTAGTGAGCCGAGATGGAGCCACCGCACTCCAGCCTGGATGACAGAGCGAGACTCCATCTCAAAAAATAAAAAAAACAGAAAAAATTCTGGAAATAATCAAAACATCCATTAGTAGGAGACTGATTAAATAAATTGTGGCATACAATGAAATAATGTGTTGCTGTTAAAAAGAATGAAATAAATTTACACATTTCACATAAAGACTTCTAAGATATATTATGAAGTGAGAAAAACAGCAAAATTTAGTCAGTATTTAATATATCATTTGCATAAATGTTTTCAAGACTATACACATATATGCTGATATTTGTATAAACAATTCTTGAAGGATAAATAATTACAGACTCTAATTATATTTAAAGAAAAGGGCTGGAAGTTGATGGAGAGGAAGACTTCATTTTATATCATTTTATACTGTTTGGATTTTTTTTTTTTTTTTTTTTGCCATCTATGTATCTTATGTTTTAAAACATCGCCTCTCCCATGGGGAGAGATAACTGCCCAATACATCCATTCAAACAGTTTATAAAACTCAAAATTCTATAGCCTCATAATTCTAGACTTGAGATCTTCTTGTCTCATAAATAAGAAAATTGAGGTTGAGAGCATTCAGATGATTGAGACTTGAAAGTGATTCAGCAAGCTGGTAACAAGCCAAGATGAGGCCAGGTCCTCATCTGACATGGCCCCAGGCCAAGTGACTGACTATTGCACTCCACTATCTTGATTGTGTGGTGTCTGGGAAATTTCTCCAAGTGTGCCTCAAATTTCAATTCATTTAGATCCCAGTATTAGAGAATCATTTCCTGAAAAATGTCATACATTATATGTATTAAGCAATGGCCTCAAAGTTAGTCATTGTTTTTCACTGAATAATTTTGAAGTGGCTTAAATGCATGGGAACTAACAATCCCCTTCAAACTGAGGTTACTGCTGGTGGCCAGACACCCCTCAGATTCATGGGTGATTCAATGCACCTGCAAAGTGCAGTGTAGCATTTCGGTCCACAGTTGTGTTCACGGAACACACGTGTGAGCTGTCAGGCAGCTCAGGGCATTGCATGAAGGTAACTAGAAACACAATTTCCACCTCTTTTTAAACTAGTGTAGTTCAAACCTTCCCTCATTTTTAAGTTCTTTTTTATTGAGGTGTAACTTACATTCAGTAATGTGCCAAGTCCTATGTGTTCAGGTCAATAAATTTTTACAAACACACACACATGTGCACAACCCCCTATAGCCACCACCCAGATCAAACACCCAGGGGGCTTCCTCAGGCCACCTCTTATCAATTTCCCACAAAGGTAACCATTATTCTGGCCTTTAACACCAAAAGTTCATTTTCAAGCCTTCACTATTAAAAAACAACATCAACAACAAAAAACAAGCAACTAATGGCATGGGATCGTAGGCTGGATAAGGAAGGGCAGCCAAGAGTGTTTTAATCAATTTTATTTAAAAAAAAAAAAAGCAAAACTCTGTTACTATCTTTTAACTTATCGTCCTTGCTCACTGTGTTCTTTTAAAATATAACTGTGTGAAAGATCTTAGATTTAATACATCTCTTTTAAAGGAGAATTTTTCTAGACTTCTCTTTTTATGGTTTATTTGTGCCTGAACTTTTGGCATGCTCTAGAGATCAGAGAAAGCCTAACGACGCGGAAGGAGGAACATAATTTCAGAAGGACATTGATTTTCTTTTTTAGTCTTAAGTTCAATTTTCATACCTGTTCTATTTCTCACTGCTTTGACTCTGGACCAACACTTAGCTCTAAATATTCACCAACGTGTGTGCATACTATTGCAGAATATACATATTGAAATATTATTGTTTATTATTTAATGCTTTAGAATAACTGCAGGAAGATTGCATAGTTTCAGCATAGAGATTTCAGGGAGGAAGCAGGTTCTGAAATGGATTTTGTTTAAAGTGTGGGGGTAATTACTCTGGAGTCCCAAAGCAGCAACTTAAAGGATGCTGAAATTGGACCTGAGTGCAAAGGGAGTGTCTGGTATGGAACATCAGTGTACTGGGGGTGGGGGTAGTTCCTGATTGGGTGCAACCCAACCCAGAGTTCAGCATCTGGCCATCAGCTGACCTAATGTGACCCTTCCTACCAAGAGTAGATGCCCTCTGCTTACATCTGTTGGGACTGAGAACACTCCAACACCCTTTCAGCTGTGCTGAAGGAAGCTAACAACTTTCAAGAGGCTGGAGGTGGCAGTGGCAAACCCAGCTCTGTCCCCTACAGACAGTAGCCCTGTACCCTACAGACAGTAACCCTGTCCCCAGACACTTAAAGTCAGAGAGCTAAGACTTCAATAGAAAAGCTTACAAAACAACTGGATGCAATCTTCATGCAGCATCATAGTGAACAGTAAAGATCAGATTCATGGCTGATCCGGTATAAAACTGTAAAAGCACTCTTCTCTATACGTTCAAAACGTGGAAGCAAAACTGATCATTGATATTTATTTAAAACCTTGATTGTCCCGCCATGCCACATACTTTTCCTTTAGACTACTCTCTACAAGTATTTTCTGACGCTATTTAACAACAAATACAAACATACTGAGAGTGGTGAAAGAAAATAGGAGTGCTCTTAATTAGAGGTAAAACCACAAGCTGACACAAAATGATATTTTGCTCTAGAAATGAGAATTAAGAGGTGGGAGACTGATGCTGCTGTCTTTTCAGATGGAGCCCCGGGGGGGCCGTGGCTGGCCTGGAGCTGGGGTGGCAGAGTCTCTCTCCTGGTTTTGCTCTCACAGAGCGTGACATCTCCCTGGAGCAAGGTGGGACCACTGCTGAGCTCACATCAGTCACTGTACTTCCTAGGAAGTTTTCTGATACAACGTCATTTCCTGTAAGTTGGGATTTTTGCACACAGGACAAAACAAAGATGACAGCTCATCTCTCTTGACCCTGGTAGGTATTTAAGTGAAAACCGGAATCAATGATACATTGCCCTGGGATTTATATTTTTCTGGAAAAAGAAAAGAACAATCTCTGCCTACATCTGCATACCCAAAAGATGGATATAAAATGAAAGCCTCCCCTACTCCAAAAGGGAAGCAAAAGAGTGTTAATGAAAATCAAATGACCAAGGTCATTGACCATGTTATAGTACATCTGAGTGATGCAGAGGGGTAGTAGAGGTGATAGGAAACAGACACACACAAAGGGGAAGCTGCAATTTTGTCTTCCTTTCAGGAATGCGGGCAAGAAAGTGAGTAAGCAATATATGACAGTTCTCCGGACCTGTTAGGTTAGTATTATAATCTGGGAGTAGGGGGGAATGTCTACAATGTAAGTGTCTCATTAAAACAAAGAGGAGGGGGCCGGGCATGGTGGCTCATGCCTGTAATCCCAGCACTTTGGGAGGCCGAGGCAGGAGGATCACTTGAGGCCAGGAATTCAAGACCACCCTAGGTAACATAGTGAGACCCCATCTCTACAAAAATTTAAAAAAAACTTAGTCTGGTGTGATGGTGTGTGCCTGTAGTCCTAGTGGGAGAATCAACTGAGTGAGCCCAGGAGTTCAAGGTTATAGTGAGCTACGACTGTGCCAATGCACTCCAGCCTAGGCAACAGAGCAAAACCCAGTCTCTAAGAATAAAAAGTAAATAAATTAAAACAAAGAGGAGGGGAAAGGAAGGATATTTCCATGTGAAATAAAAGAGTATAATTTTGAAAGATATAGTTGCACTTCTTGGCTGGGCACGGTGGCTCACGCCTGTAATCCCAGCACTTTGGGAGGCCAAGGGGGGTGGATCACCTGAGGTCAGGAGTTCAAGACAAGCCTGGCCAACATGGGGAAACCCCGTCTCTACTAAAAATAATAAAATTAGCCAGGTGTGGTGGCGGATGCCTATAATCCCAGCTACTTGGGAGGCTGAGGCAGGAGAATTGCTTAAACCAGGGAGGCAGAGGTTGCAGTGAGCCAAGATGGCACCACTGCACTCCAGCCTGGGCCACAGAGTGAGACTCAGTCTCAAAAAAAAAAAAAAAAAAGAGAGAGAGAGAAATATTTGCACTTCTTTATGGTATTAAGCTGTGCTTAAGCAAGGATATTATTGGTAAGCACTTGATAAATGTCAGCTATAATTACTGGCATATCTCATTTTACTGTACCTTGCTTTATTGTGTTTCACAGGTATTGCACTTTTTACAAATTGAAGGTTTGTGGCAACCCTGCATTGAGCAAGTCTATCTGTTCCATTTTTCCAACAGCGTGTATTCACTTCCTGTCTCTGTGTTACATTTTGGTAATTCTTGTAATATTTCAAATTTTTCATAATGATATGTATTATGACGATCTTTGATGTTACTATTGCAATTTTTTTGGGGTGCCACAAACCACACCCATATAATATGGCAAACGAAATCCATCAATATTGTGTGTTCTGACTTCTCCACCAAATGTGTTACCGAGTGGCCATTCCCTCATCTCTCTCCCTCTCCTCGGGCCTCCCTGTTCCCTGAGGCACAACAATTTTGAAATTAGGCCAATAAATACGCCTACAATGGCCTCTAAGAGTTCAAATGAAAGGAAAAGCACACATCTCTCTCTTTAAATCAAAAGCAAGAAACGATTAAGCTTACTGAGGAAGGCATGTCAAAAACCAACATAGGCTAAAAGCCAGGCCTCTTGTGCTAAACAGCCATGTTGTGAAAGCAAAAACAATGTGAAATGCAAAAGAAGAAAATGTAAAATGCTACTCCAGTCAACACACAAATAATAAGAAAGTGAAACAACCTTATTGCTGATATAGCTAAGGTTTGAGTGGTGTAGATAGAAGATCAAACCAGCCATGACATTCCCTTAAGACAAAGCCTAATCCAGAGGAAGCCCCTAACTCTCTTCAATTCTATGAAGGCTCAGAGAGGTGAGGAAGCTACAGAAGAAAAGTTAGAAGCCAGCAGAAGTTGCTTCAAGAGGTTTAAGGAAAGAGGGCATCACCATAGCATGAAAGTGCAAGATGAATCCCAAGCGCTGATGGAGAAGCTGCAGCAACTTATCCACAAGATCTAGCTAAGATAATTGATGAAGGTGGGTACACTCAACAGTAGATTTTAAATGTAGACAAAACAGCCTTCTGTTGGAAGAAGATGCCATCTAGGTCTTTCATAGCTAGAGAGAAGTCAAGGCCTGGCTTCAAAGCTTCGAAGAACAAGCCGACTCTCTTGTTAGGGGCTAAGGCAGCTGGTGACTTTAAGTTGAAGCTAGTGTTCATTTACCTTTCTGAAAATCCCAGGGCTCCTAAGAATTATGCTAAGTCTACTCTTCCCACACCCCCTAAATGAAACAACAAAGCCTGGATGACAGTATATCTCTTTTTCTTTCTTTCTTTCTTTTCTTTTTTTTTTTGAGACAGAGTCTTGCTCTGTTGCCCAGGCTGTAGTGCAGTAGTGCAATTTCAGCTCACTGCAACCTCTGCCTCCTGAGTTCCAGCAATTCTCCTGCCTCAGTCTCCCAAGTAGCTGGGATTACAGGTGCCTGCCACCACGCCTGGCTAATTTTTATATTTTTAGTAGAGATAGGGCTTCACCATGTTGGTCAGGCTGGTCTCAAACTCCTGATCTCAAGTGATCCGCCTTCCTCGGCCTCCCAAAGTGCTAGGATTACAGGTGTGAGCCACCATGCCCGGCCAACAGTATATATCTTTATAGCATGGTTTACTGAATATTTTAACCCCATTGTTGAGATCTACTGCTCAGAAATAAAAATTCCTTTCAAAATATTACTGCTCATTGACAGTGCACCTGCTCACCCAAGAGCTCCGATGGAGACGTACAAGGAGATTCATGTTGTTCTCATGCCTGCTGACACAACATCCATTCTTCAGCCCATGGGTCAAGGAGTCATTTTGACTTTCAAGTCTTATTATTTAAGAAATACATTTTGTAAGGTTAGAGCTGCAATAATGATTCCCCTCACAGCTCTGAGCAAATACACTGAAAACCTTCTGGAAAAGACTCACCATCCTATATGCCATTAAGGACACTGGTGATTCATGGAAGGAGGTCAAAATATCAACATTAACAGAAGTTCAGAAGAAGTTGATTCTCTGGAACCTCAAAGATGAACCCCTCAAAGTTCATCCTCAAAGTTGAACCCCTCAAAGTTAATCCTCATGGATAAAGTTGGACACCTCAAAATTCATCCTCATGGATGACTTTGAGGGGTTCAAGACTTCAGTGGAGGAAGGAACATCAGATGGGATGGAAATAGCACAAGAACTCGAATTAGAAGTGGAGGCTGAAGATGTGACTGAATTGCTAAAATCTCATGAACAAACTTGAATGGATGAGGAGCTGCTTCTATGGATGAGCAAAGAAAGTGGTTTCTTGAGATGGAATCAACTCTTGCTGAAGATGCTGTGAACATTGTTGAAATGACAACAAATTATTTCAAATATTACATGAACTTACTTGATAAAGCAGCGGCAGGGTTTGAGAGGATTGACTCCAATTTTGAAACAAGTTCTACTGTGGTGGGTAAAATGCTATCAAACAGTATCCTGTGTTGCAGAAAAATACTTCATGAAAGACAGAGTCAATCAATGAGGCAAATTTCATTGTTGTCTTATTTTAAGAAATTGCCACAGTCATTCCAACCTTCAGCAACCACCTCCCTAATCAATCAGTAGTTATCAACATTGAGGCAAGACCCTCCACCAGCAAAAAGATTACAACTTGCTGAAGGCTCAGATAATCATTAGCATTACCAACCCAAATGTCCATCAATGATAGACTGGATAAAGAAAATGTGCCACATATATGCCATGGAATACTATGCAGCCATAAAGAAGAATGAGATCATGTCCTTTGCAGGGACATGGATGAAGCTGGAAACCATCATTCTCAGCAAACTAACACAGGAACAGAAAACCAAACACTGCATGTTCTCACTCATAAGTGGGAGTTTAACAATAAGAACACATGGACATGGGGCGGGGAACATCACACACTGGGGCCTGTAGAGGGGTGGAGGGCAAGGGGAGGGAGAGCATTAGGACAAATACCTAATGCATGAGGGGCTTAAAACCTAGATGATGGGTTGGTAGGTGCAGCAAACCACCACGGCACATGTGTACCTATGTAACAAATCTGCACGTTCTGCACATGTGTCCCAGAGCTTAAAGTAAAAAAAGAAAAGAAACCAGTAGTTGCCCCTACTGTCTGTTCTTCCTTTTTCCTTACTAGAAAAATCTACACGTTTTTATTGGGCACAAGGCCTACTCAGAAGAAAATATATATTTCTACACCAGCATTGTAGCTAAGTGCAATCGCAGTGGTGAAGTCCTATGCAATATGTAAATGTTGTGAGAAGATATTTAAATGGAGTGGACATGCCCATTTCCTCTTCTCTCTTTCTCCTGGCTATAAAGTAGATGTGATGGCTGGAGCTAGAGTGACCATCTGGAACCACCTGGTGAACTTGAGCTTGAGACTCTAACACTGCAGAGTGTCATACCAACTGTGATGACCTACTCAGACTTCTAAGTAAGACAGCAATAAACTTCATTCTGATTTAACCCACTGTTACTTTGAGCTTTTTCTATTACAGTCAAGTCTAATCCTAACCGATATATGCTCCCTTCAACTTTTCCTCAGGCACTGGGAGAAAAGACAGAGCACAAAAGATGCAACCTCAAACTGAATTTCTAAGAGGAAGACGAGTCTCAGGGCAATGGGAAAAAATAATAAAGAAAAGTAATAAATAAAAATTCATCCACACTGTATCTGCAAAAATAGAAAACATGGATAGAGCCCCACATGTTAAAGAGTAGTATGGAGAGGAGTATATGAAAATGCAAAAATATAGCAAAAAAAAAAAAAAAAGGAACAAAAGATTAAAACTATTATCTGGAAAGAAACACACCTTTAAAATGTGAAGAAAAATTCCTAAAACCAAAGTTTTGTAGTCTAGGAAAAAAATTTAAAGTACAGATGGTCCCTGATTTATGATGGTTTCACTTGCAATGTTTTGACCTTACAGTAACGCAAAAGTGACACGCATTCCGTAGATGATGTTTGGTAGGTTAGGTGTATTAATGCACTTTTTACTTACATACAATATTTTCAACTTATGATGGGTTTATCAGGACATAACCCCACTGTAAGTTGAGGAGCATCTGTGTATGAATTCAATGAAACAAGAAATCAAAGGGACGTAAGGCAACAGAAAACTGAGATTGCCACGTGTGATGGTTAAATTTATGTGTTAAGTTGATCGGGCCAGGGTGTGCTGAGGCATTTGGTCAAACATTCTAGGAGTGTCTGTGAGGATGTTTCTGGAAGAGACTGAAATGTGAATCAATAGACCAAGTAAAGCAGATTGTTCTCTCTAATGTGGGTCGGCCTCATGCAATCAGTTGAGGATCTGAATAGAACAAAAACGCTGAGTAAAAGGAAGCTCCTCCTACCTGACTGCTTTGAGCTGGGACGTCAGTCTTTTCCAGCCTTTGGACTCAAACTGAGACATTGGCTGTTTTTGGGTGTCAAGCTTGCACACTTTTGGATAGGAACTTACGCTATTGCCTCTCTTGACTCTCAGGCTTTTGGGCTGAGTTAAATCTAGACTACAGCCTAAAATTAGTTTTTACATTTGTAAATCATTTAAAAATAGTTTTGACATATGAAATACCAATGTGTCTGTCCATGTAATTTTAACTGGAACACAGCCACACCCATTCATCTCTTACTATCTATGGCTGCATTTGCTATATAGGACAAATATGTAGTTGCAATAAGACTGTATGTCTGGCAAAGAGGAATATTTATTATTTTTCCCTTACAGATCTGATGTAGATAGAGCAAAATGTGGAGGAAAATTTAATAACCCTTCCTCTACATTAAATTGTCTGCGTCTTCCTTAAAAGTAAATAAGCTAAAAAATTTTGAACAAAAATTCCATAGCCTAGAAGATCTAAAAGTAAACAACCAGACTTCCAAGTTTCAAAAAGAAAAGTACACACTTAAAGCAAACAGAAATCATTAAGCAAAACAAAGGTTGTGTTAAAACTATAAATATATTCTGATGAAAAATTAACATCAAGTATATGACATATAAATAAAATAAATGTAGTAAATACATAGGAGAAAAAAATCAGATTGGGTTAAAAAAAGATTAAATGTCATATATAAGAGAGTTAGAAACAAAGTTATTCAGAAAGAAAAAAGGGAGGGCCTGGCGCGGTGGGTCACGCCTGTAATCCCAGCATTTTGAGAGGCCAAGGTGGGTGGATCACCTGAGGTCAGGAGTTCCAGAGCAGCCTGGCCAAAATGGCGAAACCCATCTCTACTAAAAATACAAAAATTAGCTGGGCATGGTGGCACGCACCTGTTGTCTCAGCTATTTGGGAGGCTGAGGCAGAAGAATTGCTTGAATCCGGGAGGCAGAGGTTGCAGTGAGCTGAGATCGCACCACTGCACTCCAGCCTGGGTGACAGAGCGAGACTCCATCTCGAAAAAGAAAAAAAAAAAAAAGAAACATAAAAGGGAAAGAGAGATTAATAAATCTCAAGACAATGAAAGCAAAAAGAGAGCTGGTATCAACATCAGTCAAGGATGAATTCAAAACAAAGACAAAGTTGAAAAATGATAAAGAAAAATTTTATGATGATAAAGAAGTGAGGCTTTACCTATCATAAATCTTTATGGACTAAATTACATATTCTTCAAATACATTAAGAAAAAATTGCAAATGCACAAAGAATTTTAAAAAGACAATAAGAGTAAAAGACATTCACTCCTTGGGAAATTCATTTCCAGTTCTTTGAAAAATACTAAAGAATAGGCCGGGCGCGGTGGCTCTCGCCTGTAATCCCAGCACTTTGGGAGGCCGAAGCGGGCGGATCACGAGGTCAGGAGATCGAGACCATCCTGGCTAACACGGTGAAACCCCGTCTCTACTAAAGATACAAAAAATTAGCCGGGCGTGGTGGCGGGCGCCTGTAGTCCCAGCTACTCGGGAGGCTGAGGCAGGAGAATGGCGTGAACCCGGGAGGCGGAGCTTGCAGTGAGCCGAGATTGCGCCACCGCACTCCAGCCTGGGCGACAGAGCGAGGCTCCATCTTGGAAAAAAAAAAGAAAAAGAAAAATATTAAAGAATAGCTAGAGGCCAGGCGCGGTGGCTCAGGCCTTTATCCCAGCACTTTAGGAGGCCAAGGCAGGCAGATCACCTGAGGTTGGGAGTTTAGAGACCAGCCTGGCCAACATGGTGAAACCCCGTCTCTACTAAAAAATAATACAAAAATTAGCTGGGTGTGGTGGTGCACACCTGTAATCCCAGCTATTCAGGAGGCTGAGACAGGAGAATCACTTGAACCCTGGAGGTGGTTGCAGTGAGCCGAGATTGTGCCACGGCATTCCAGCCTATGCGAAGAGCAAGACTCCGTCAAAAACAAAAAAAAAGAAGAGATAGAAAATAAGGAATATGATTACGCAAAAAAAAAATACTAAAAGAGAAGAGAATTGAGGGAGACTAATCCTAACAGAAGTGAGCACTGATTCCAAAACTTCAACAATTAACTGACCAATGGAGTAGATTAAAAAGTCCAGAAATAAAACAAACAAACAAAAAAAAGAAGTATTTTTAGGTGACAAAAATCTGTGGAACAAAAGTAATTATTCAATAAACATTGTTGGTTCAATTCACTAACCATTTAAAGAAAAGCATATTTTAACTCTTGCCTTATTCCAAAATAAATTTGAGGCAGAAATATGAAGCAATTGAAATGTTAGGAAATGCTAGAAAAATTGTGAACAAAGTGAGAAAATTTTAAGTACATATTGTTGAAGTAGATCTTCTTTCTAAGCAGAATACAACCCCACAAGCCAAAAAAAAAAAAAGCATACATTTAATTTGATGAAAATATAAGTTTTCTGTTTAGCTTTAAAAAAAAAATCACTCAGTATAGTTTTAGAAAACAAGCAACAGGCCGGGTGTGGTGGCCCACACCTGTAATCTCAGCACTTTGGGAGGCTGAGATGGGTGGATCCCTTGAGCCCAGGAGTTCCAGACCAGCCTGGGCAACATGGTGAAACCCTGCCTCTACAAAAAATACAAAAAATTAGCCAGGTGTGGTGGTGGGCCTGTAGTCCTAACTACTCAGGTGGCGGAGGTGGGAGAATCGCTTGAGCCCGGGAGGTTGCAGTGAGTCGTGATGGGGCCATTGCACTCCAGCCTGGGCAGCAGAGCGAGACCCTGTCTCCAAACAAACGAACAAACAAAAAAAAAACAGGGAAGTAGTTGCCACGCACATCATTGAAAAGGGCTAATTTCATTGACAGATTTAAAATTTCTTATTCAAAAAATATTTGATAAAATTGAGTTTGTGGAGTGTGTGAGTAAACACATTACAAACTCCTGAAAACCTTTTGTTTTATTTTTTAAAATTCTTTATTGAGATAACATTGACATGTAAAAAACTGCACATATTTAAATGATTTGATCAGTTTTGACGTGTAAATAAATCTGTGAAACTATGACGGCTTGAAAATAATGAAGATATCTGTCACCTCAAAATGTCCTTGTGTCCCTGCAATCTCTCCCTCCCTCACTCCTCTTTTCCACCCCCAGTCCCTAGGCAACCACTGAACTGTTTTTTTGCTCTTACGGATTAATTTGCATTTTTGTCATTGTATACAAATGGAATTATACAGTAATACTCTTTTTGTGTGTGGCTTAACTCAGCATAAATATTTTGAGATTCATCCATGTTGTTGTATATATCAATAGTTCATTCTTTTTTCTTTTTTAATTTTTTTTTTTTTTGAGACGGAATCTCCCTCTGTCGCCCAGGCTGGAGTGCAGTGGCGCGATCTCGGCTCACTGCAACCTCCGCCTCCCAGGTTCAAGCGATTCTCCTGCCTCAGCCTCCGGAGTAGCTGGGATTACAGGTGTGCACCATGCCCAGCTAATTTTTGTATTTTTGGTAGAGATGGGGTTTCGCCATGTTGGCCAGGCTGGTCTCAAACTCCTGACCTCAGGTGATCTGCCTGCCTCCACCTCCCAAAGTGCTGGGATTACAGGCGTGAGCCACCGTGCCTGGCCAGTTCATTCTTAATCATTGATAAGCATTCCATCATCAGAATGTTCTACAATTCATCTAGCCATTCACCTGTTGATGGACACTTGGGTTGTTTCCAGGTTGGAGTTATTGCAAATGGAGCTGCAATGAGCATTGGCGTACAAGTCTCATATGGACATATGCTTTTATTTCTGTTGGATGAATATCTATCTAGGGGCGGTAAATCCTGATATGGAAAAATATCCATGATATGTCACTAAATTTAAAAATTAAATATAGCATGTGTACTTGAGTCTCATTCATGTACATTTTTAAAAGATACACAATTTTATATGTGCTTCATCACTAACTTCACAGTTTGGCTGAACTCCAAATGTCTGACAATTAAAATCAATATTTCATTAAAACAATAACTAAAGCAGATTATACCACCATAGAACGAAACTGCTGGGTTACAAGAATAAATCTGGAATTAATTTAAAAATTCAAATATTAGTTAAAAATTTACTAGTCATATTTTTAGATGATAAACATCTGTGGGACAAGAGTAATTACTGAATAAGTGGTGTTGGTTCAATTGGTTAACCATTTAAGGAAAAACATATTTCAATTCCTGTCTTATTTCAAAATAAATTCAAGGCAGTGTTTCATGTAAAATATAAAGTAATCAAAATGGTTGAAAATTTTGTGTGAAATGTGAAATTTTAAAATATAATTTTGAAGTAAATTTTAAATATAATTTTGAAGCAGAGCACAACCCCACAAGTGAAAAAATAAAACATGCAATTCATTTGTGGAAAATATAAAGTTACTGTTTGGCTAAAATAAAAGTTACATAAATATAGTTTTTAAAAAACAACCAATAAAACTAAGAAAATATTAAATACCAAATAACTAAATAAAACTCTTAAGGTGTATTTGGCTTACCTAATTCACCAAACAAGTCTACAGAAATTTGAATTTTGATACTCTCTGATCTCAATTATTCTTCCTTTTATTAATACTTTTTATAAACACTTGTGGACTCAAAAAAGTGTTGGATTTTTTCTTAAAGTTATCAAACTATTTTTTTTTTTTTTGAGACAGAGTCTCGCTCTGTCTCCCAGGCTGGAGTGCAGTGGCACGATCTCGGCTCACTGCAAGCACTGCCTCACGGGTTCACGCCATTCTCCTGCCTCAGCCTCCCGAGTAGCTGGGACTACAGGCGCCCACCACCACGCCCGGCTAATTTTTTGTATTTTTAGTAGAGATGGGGTTTCACTGTGTTAGCCAGGATGGTCTCGATCTCCTGACCTCGTGATCCGCCCGCCTCGGCCTCCCAAAATGCTGGGATTACAGGCGTGAGCCACCGTGCCCAGCCTAAGTTATCAAACTATTTTAATCTGTGCACTGCCAGTCTATTGCCTTATTTATTTAACTATTTGAAAATTCTTAATATATCTAAATGAATGAATGTGGTAAGTTGCAATAAATATTTACAAAAGCAGAAGGGAGACTAGATTTCACCGAAGAGCTGTGAATTGCAGATCCCCTGACCTGGGTGATAATTGATCATGCCCTGAGAATGCTAGAATGGGGATGCTGAATTTGGCATTTGACTATTAAGTCGACCCCAGGCCAAATATGAAACCAGATAGATTATGGCAGAACATTGAGACCAAGGTGAACTACAAAGCTTCCAAAATATACACCAGTAGAAGCATCACGAAATTTTTAGAAAGATAAATAATTGTCTTGGTTATGTCTGGGGAGTGGAGACGAGGCTGGGGTAGGGAGACTTTTGCTTTTCATTTCATATTGTTTACTTTGAAGTTTTTATCATGTGCATTTATTACTTTAAAACAAAGTCGGCTGGGCACAGTGGCTCACGCCTGTAATCTCAGCACTTTGGGAGGCCGAGGCGGGTGGATCACGAGGTCAGGAGATTGAGACTATCTTGGCTAACATGGTGAAACCCTGTCTCTACTAAAAATACAAAAAAAAATTAGCCGGGCGTGGTGGTGGGCACCTGTAGTCCCAGCTACTCGGGAGGCTGAGGCAGGAGAATGGCGTGAACCAGGGAGGCAGAGCTTGCGGTGAGCTGAGATCACGTCACTGCACTCCAGCCTGGGTGACAGAGCGAGGCTCAGTCTCAAAAACAAAACAAAAAACAAAGTCTAAGGGCAATTCCTTGCTGAAGGACAGGATACACAGAATCAGAAAGTTTGCTGTTTAGTATCAAATAAATATTTGTTGTTGTGGCATTTTCTTTTTTTTTTTTTTTTGGACAGAATCTTGCTCTGTCACCAGGCTGGAGTTCAGTGGTGCGATCTCAGCTCACTGCAACCTTCGTCTCCCATGTTCAAGCAAATTTCCCCTGCCTTGGCCTCCCGCGTAGCTGGGACTACAGGTGCACGCCACCATGCCCGGCTAATTTTTTTGTACTTTAGTAGAGACGGGGTTTCACCGTGTTGACCAGGATGGTCTCGATCTCCTGACCCTCGTGATCCACCCGCCTTGGCCTCCCAAAGTGCTGGGATTACAGGATGAGCCACCTCGCGCGGCCACATTTTATTTTGAATAGAAGATTAAGATTAGCAGACCACTTTTCTTTGCCATCGTGGTGTGTGCTTGCCTTCGCTTCTCCCCATGTCTCCTCACAAGACTTTCAGGATTAAGCGATTCCTGGTCAAGAAACTAAAGCAAATCGTTCCATTCCCCAGTGGATTCAGATGAAAGCTGGTAATAGAATCAGGCACACTACAAAAGGAAACACTGGAGAAGAAGCAAGCTGGATCTGTAAGGAATTGCACATGAGATGGCACACATATTTATGCTGGGCCGAGGTCAGACCATCTTACCGTATCAAGCTGAAAATGCCACCACTATCTGGACAGTTGGACATATTTTATTGGGAATATATTTTTTCTTTCTATGTGTGCTATGAAGGGATTGGTTGGCTGGGTTCAGTAATGAATGTGTGAGGCCTTTACTTTAAAAAAAAGAAAAAGATTAGCAGACCTCTGAAATGCCCTTCTGATGATAATATATGACAATTCCTGTATCAGGATAATTGACTTAGTTGTGTTTTGGCACCCAACAATCGTTGCACAGGCAACCTAGGATGTATTCAAATGCTACAAAGGAATAAGGAACATATTTAACATATTGGACTAAATAATATTGAAAGACATGAAAACTTTAATTCAGTTCATTGATTATGTTTTTAGTCTTCTCTTATCATATTTATCATATCTTTGATTCAAATAATTTTTACCCAAAATGACTTTATAATTAATGATAATAATGTGCAGCAAGACAGAATATTGATCAATGAAACTTGGAGAAATATGAATGACTAATGTCTCTTGAGCACTTATAATGAGCCAGACACTATGCTAAGTGCTTACCATGAGCTATAATAATCACTGCTCATAACACCCCTGTGAAGCGTGTGCTCGTATTTTCTCCATTTTACAGGTGATAAACATGAGGCTTGAAAGGGTTTACAATTTTGTCCAAAATTTAAAGTAATATATATTTACTTTATATTTTACATGAAATGCTGCCTTGAATTTATTTTGGAATGAGACAGGAATTGAAACTTACATTTTCCCCTAGTTCTGAGATTCCAACCTAAGCAATGTGATTTGATATGTGCCTGTTATTTCCTGTTACTCTTGCTACCTGCCCCACGGGAGAGGACGGAGAGGATGATTCAGAACGCATTTCAGTTGCCTGTGGAAGCCACTTTATGACTTCCCAGTGGATCAGGAGGGACAAGGATAGGGAGGGTTTGGGGGGACAGAGTCACCTCCCCAGTGAATAAAATTGGTATTCCATTTCTGACAAAATGTCATTTGGGCTCAAGAAGAAACCTGTACTTTTTAGAGCATCAGTAAAATTTGTTCAGATTTTTAAATGGATCGGTGTCAGGTATGACTCTATCTGCTCACAGAAGAGTAATCGTAATGAAAAAAGACCTCAATTCAACATCACCAATTCTTCCTGTAACCTAAATACCCTAATGCGGTGGAAACACTACAGGGTTTCTCAAAATGTGTGGGAATGCCAATAACACACACTCGGCAGCAGGCTGACCTTGGGCGAGGGCCAGAGGAGACAGAAGACAAGAAGCAACAGAGCAGAGGAAGCGATGAGCTCAGGTCTGAGGGAGAGGAACCAGAGCCTTATCTGCTGCGTGTGAGTACGAAGCAACCTGTGGCTGGAAGAGGAAATCACATAAACATTTGAACAAGGAGGCTCCCTCTAATCCTTAGAAGTCCGTGCTTGCCCTCTGAATGACTGAAGCCCATAGAAAGATGAAATTTACAACCAAGCCACCGGTTTGCTGCAAACATTAGGGCCACAAGAGACAACCCAGCCTGAAAGGTCAGGGGCCCAAGGTTCCACGGCCCAGAAAGCTCTGGCCACTGTGCTCAAATGTTCCACTGTTGAATCTTTTCTCTTCTTGGTAAAGTTTGGCTTCATGACTGAAAACAAAGTACTGAAACTTGTAAATCACTTACAAATTCTGTTTCCATTTTTCTTGTCTGATATCCAATTATTCCGGAGCCTGGCAACTCTAAGTTCATCTAATTAATCTGAAAATTCAACCTAATTGGCATGTGAATGGTGCGGTATACAAAAGCACCAACACCACATTCCTGCACACAGGTAAATGCACGGGCTGCATTCATGCCTCAGCCGGTAAATGAAAAAACACATCCAGACTACCAAGTGCCTGCCAAGTATGAGAGTGCACGGAAACCCTAGGCCCTGAATAAATGCAGCCATGAGTCACTTAACCACAGGACATGTTCTGTGAAACACATGGTAGGCAACTTTGACACTGTATGAACGTCATAGAGTATACTTACATAAACCTAGATGGTCTAGCCTCCTACACACATAGGCTATACGTGATATCCTACTGCTCTTAGGCTACAAACCTGTACAGTATGTTACTGTACTGAATACTGTCAGCAACTATAACACAATGATAGGTATTTGTGTATCTAAACATAGAAAAGGTAGAGTAAAAATATGACAGAAAAGACTAAAAAATGGTACACTTGTATAGGGCACTTACCATAACTTTTATACCAAAAACTATAAAGATACCAGTGGAAAACTTCCAAATTGTTCAAATGTATATTTTGGAAAGAACATTAAAAGTTACAGAAAAGAAGGTTGTTTCCATGCAGTTCAGAAGATCCAACCATCAGTTTAGAGGGAACAGAAAAATATGGTAATGACATCATGATGCAACCATCAGAATGCAGACTGCAGGCAGCTCTAGACTTTGCTACTCTAAGTGTGGTCCATGGATGGTCAGCATCCACCTCACCTGGGAGCTTGCCAGAAATGCCACATCTCAGACCCACTGCAGATCCCTGCACTAAAGCAGAATCTACTAATTTATTTATGTATTTATTTTTTGAGACGCAATCTTGCTCTTGTTGCCCAGGCTGGAGTGCAGTGGTGCAATCTCGGCTCACTGCTCAACTGCAACCCCCAACTCCTCCTGCTTCAGCCTCCTGAGTAGCTGGGATTACAGGCACCCGCCACCACGCCCGGCTAATTTTTATACTGTTAGTAGATACGGGATTTTGCCACATTGGCCAGGCTGGAGAATCTACTTTTTAACAAGATCCCCAGGTGGTTTGTATACACTTTAGCATTTGAGAAGTAGCACTCTATTGGAGAAGGCACCCAATTTCTTCAACAAATAAATTACAACCAAAAGAAAAAGAGAGAAGGTAATAAATAGATTAAAAGAGGTAAGACAGCCTGAGCAACATGACAAGATCCCATCTCTACAAAAAATTTTTAAAAACTAGCCAGACATGATGATGTGTACCTGTAGTCCCAGCTACTAGGGAGACTGAGGCGGCAGGATCGCTAAGTCTAGGAGTTTGAGACTGAGGTGAGCTATGATCATGCCACTGCACTCCAAGCTGGGTGACAGAGTCAGATCCTGTCTATAAAATAAATAAGTAAAAGAGATTAAGAGACCTTCAATAAGATGCAATGTGTGGACTTTGCTTGGATTCTGAGATTTTATTTTATTTTTTTTTTTATATACAGTTTTTACAATTTCAATAGCTTTTGGGGTACAAGTGGTTTTCAGTTACATGGATGAATTGTATAGTTAAGTCTGAGATCTTAGTGTACTCGTCACCCAATTAGTGCACATTGTACCCAATATGTAGTTTTAAAAAATCTCTTATCCCCCTCCTACTTCCCCTTCTGAGTCTCTAGTATCCGTTTTACCACTCTGTATGCCTTTGCTTACCTATAGCTTAGTTCCTACTTATAAGTGAAAACATATGGTATTTGATTTTCCATTCCTGAGTTACTCCACTTAGAATAATGACCTCCACTTCCAGCCAAGTTGCTGCAAAAGACATTATTTCCTTCTTTTTTATGGCTGAGTAGTATTCTCTCGTGTATATATACCACATTTTCTTTATCCACTCACTGGCTGATGGCCACTTAGGTTGGTTCCATATCTTTGCAATTGTGAATTGTTCTGCATAAACATATATGTGCAGGTGTCTTTTTGATATAATGACATCTTTTCCTTTGGGTACATACCCAGTAGTCAGATTGCTGGATCAAATGGTAGATCCACTTTTAGAAATAGATCTACTTGGGCTGGGTGCGGTGGCTCACGCCTGTAATCGCAGCACTTTGGGAGGCTGAAGCAGGCAGATCACCTGAGGTCAAGAGTTTGAGACCAGCCTGGCCAACATGGTGAAACTCTGTCTCTACTAAAAATACAAAAATTAGCCAGACGTGGAGGCAGAAGCCTGTAATCCCAGCTACTCAGGAGGCTGAGGCAAGAGAATCACTTGAGCCCGGTAGGTGGAGGTTTCAGTGAGCCGAGATTGCGCTATTGCACTCCAGCCTGGGTGACAGAGTGAGATTCTGTCTCAAAAAATAAATAAATAAAATGAAATAAAATAAAATAAAACAGAAATAGATCTACTTGGATGGGTGTGGTGGTTCATGCCTGTAATCCCAGCACTTTCGGAGGCTGAGGTGGGTGGATCACTTGAGCCCACAAGTTCATGACCAGCCTGGGCAACATAGTGAGACCCCCATCTGTTTTTCTTAAGATAAATACATTTTTAAAAAAAGAAATAGATCACTTTGGTAAATCTCCGTACTGTTTTTATAGAGGTTGTACTAATTTACATTCCCACCAGCAGCATATAAGTGTTCCTTTTTCGCCATATCCACACCAACATCTATTGTTTTTTGACTTTTTAATAATGGCCATTCTGGCTGGGGTAAGGTTGTATCTCATTGTGGTTTTAATTTGAATTTCTCTGATGATTAGTGATGTTGCACATTTTTCACATGTTTCTTGGCTATTTGTGTATCTTCTTTTGAGAAATGTTTTTTCATGTCACTTGTTCACTTTTTAGTGGGATTATGTTTTTATTTTCTTGCTAATTTGTTTGAGTTCCTTGTATATTCTGCATATTAGTCCTTTGTCAGATGCATAGTTTGCAAATATTTTCTCCCATTCTATGGGTTGTCTGTTTGATGATTATTTCTTTTCCTGTGAAGAAGCTTTTTAGTTTAATTAGGTGCCATTTATTTATTTTTATTTTTGTTGCATTTACTTTTGGGGTCTTAGTCATAAATTCTTTGTTTAAGCCAATGTCCAGAAATATTTTAGCTAGGTTTTCTTCTAAAATTGTTATGGTTTTATTTTAGCTAGGTTTTCTTCTAAAATTGTTATGGTTTCAGGTTTCAGGTCTCAGATTTTTTTTTTTTTTTTGAGACAGAGTTTCTCTCTTGTTGCCCAAGTTGGAGTGCAATGGCACGATCTCGGCTCACTGCAACCTCCGCCTCCCAGGTCCAAGTGATTCTCCTGCCTCAGCCTCCCGAGTAGCTGGGACTACGGGCACCCGCCACCACGCCCGGCTAACTTTTTGTATTTTTAGTTGAGACGGGATTTCACCTTGTTAGCCAGGATGGTCTCAATCTTTTGAACTCGTGATCTGCCCGCCTTGGCCTCCCAAAGTGCTGGGATTACAGGCGTGAGCCACCGCGCCTGGCCTCATGTCTTAGATTTAAGTCTTTTATCCATCTCGAGCTGATGTTTGTAGATAGTGAGAGATAGGGGTCCATTTCATTCTTCTACATGTGGCTATCCAGTTGTCCCAGCACCATCTATTGAATAGAATGTCTTTTCCCTGATTTATGTTTTTGTATGCTCTGTCAAAAGATCAATTACTTGTAAGTATTCAGCTTTATTTCTCGGTTCTCTATTCTGTTCCATTGGTCTATGTGTCTACTTTTATACCAGTATCATGTTGTTTGGATTACTATAGCCTTGTAGTATAATTTGAGGTTGGATAGTGTGATGCGTCCATATTTGTTTTTTTTTTTTGCTTAGGATTGTGTTAGCTATTCGAGCTCTTTTTTTGGTTCCATATGAATTTTAGGATGGTTTTTTTCTAGCTCTGCAAAAAAAGATGTTGGTATTTTGATAGAAATTGCATTGAATCTGCAGATTTCTTTGGGTAGTATGATCATTTTCATGGTATTGGTTATCCAAACCATGAGCATGGGATGTATTTCCATTTGTTTGTGTCATTTATGATCTCTTTCAGCAGCATTTTATAGTTTTCTTGTAGAGATCTTTCACCTTCTTGGTTAAGTATAGTCCTAGGCATTTCATTTTTTTATAGCAATTGTAAAAGATATTGAGTTCTTGATTTGATCCTCAGCTTGGTTATTGTTGGTGTTTAGCAGTGCTACTGATTTGTGTACATTGATTTTGTAACCTGAGATTTTACTGAGTTTGTTTATCAAATCTAGAAGTCTTCTGGTGAAGTCTGTAGGATTTTCTAGGTTTATGATCATGTCATCAGCAAACAGATGTTTGACTTCTTCTCTAATTTGGATGCTTTTTATTTCCTTTTCTTGCTTGATTGCTCTGACTAGGACTTACAGTACTACGTTGAACAGAAGTGGTCAAAGTAGGCATCCTTGTCTTGTTCCATTTCTTAGGGGGAATGCTTTCAACTTTTCCCCTTTCAGTATGATGTAGACTGTGGGTTTGTCCTATGTGGCTTTTATTATTTTGAGATGCGTTCCTTCTATGCTTAGTTTGTTGAGGGTTTTTTATCACAAAGTGATGCTGGGTTTTATTAAATGCTTTTTCTGAGTCTATTGAGATGATCACATCGTTTTTGTTTTTAATTCTGTTTATGAGATAAATCACATTTATTGACTTGTGTATGTTGAACCATCCCTGCATCCCTGGAATGAAACTCATTTTATCATGGTGAATTCTATTTTTGATGTGCTGTTGGATTCAGTTTGCTAGCACTTTGTTGAGGATTTTTGCACCTATGTTCATCAAAGATATTGGTCTGTAGTTTTCTCTTTTTATGTCCTTTTCTGGTTTTGGTATCAGGCTGATACTGGCTTTGTAGAATGAGTTAGGGAGGAGGCTCTCTTTCTCAATCTTTTAGGATAGTTTCAGTAGGATTGGTATCAATTCTTCTAGAATATCTGGTAGAATTTAGCTGTGAATCCATCTGGCCCTGGGTATTTTTGTTCTAGGTGGTAATTATTTTTCTTTGAGATAGGGTCTCACCTTTTGCTCAAGCTGCAGTACAGTGGCACAATCACAGCTCACTGCACCCATGACCTCCCAAAGCTTAAGTGATCCTCCAACCTTTGCCTCCCGAGTAGCTGGGATTACATGCGTGCACCACCACATTTGGCTAAATTTTGTATTTTTTTGTAGAGATGGGGTTTCGCCATGTTGCCCAGGCTGGTCTCTAACTCCCGGGCTCAAGCGATCTGCCTGCCTCTGCCTTCCAAAGTGCTAAGATTACAGGCATGAGCAACCATGCCTAGCTGGTAATTTTTTATTACTGATTGAATCTCACTGCTTGTAATTGGTTTGCTCAGAATTCCTATTTCTTCCTGATTCAAGCTAGGAGGGTTGTATGTTTCCAGGAACTTATTCATTTCCTCTAAATATTCCAGTTTTTGTGCATAGAGGTGTTCATAGTAGTCTCTAATGATCTTTTGTATTTCTGTGGTGTTGGTTGTAATGTCTCCATTTTTATTTCTAATTGAGCTAATTTGAATCTTCTCTCTTTTTGGTTAATCTAGCTAATGGTGTATTGATTTTATTTCTCCTTTCAAAGAACCAACTTTTTGTTTCATTAATCTTTTGTAATTTTTGTTTCAATTTCATTTAGTTCTTCTCTGATCTTTGTTATTTCTTTTCTTCTGCTAGTTTTGGGTTTGGTTTGTTCTTCTTTCTTCAGTTCCTTAAGGTGTGATCTTAGGTTGTCAATTTGTGACCTTTCAGACTTTTTGATATAGGGATTTAGTACTATAAACTGTCCCCTTAGCACTGCTTTTGCTGTATTCCAGAGGTTTTGATACCCTGTATCACTATTATCATTCATTTTGAATAATTTTTAAATTTCTATCTCAATTTCATTGTTAACCCGAAAATCATTCAGCAGCAGATTGTTTAATTTCCATGTATTTGTATAGTTTTGAAGGCTCTTTTTGGAGTTGATTTCTAGTTTTATTCCACTGTAGTCTGAGAAGATACTTGACATTATTTTGATTTTTTAAAGTTTTTTGAGACTTGTTTTGTGGCCTGTCATATGGTTTATCTTGGAGAATGTTCCATGTGCTGATAAGAAGAATGTATATTGTGCAGTTCTTGGGTAGAATGTTCCGTAAATACCTGTTAGGTCCCTTTGTTCTGGAGTGTAGTTTAAGACTAGCATTTCTTTGTTGACCTTCTGCCACAATGATCTGTCTAGGACTGTTAGTGAAGTGTTGAAGTCCCCTACCATTATTATGTTACTGTCTATCTCTCATCTTAGATCTAGAAGTAATAGTTTTATGAATCTGGGAGCTCCAGAGTTAGGTGCATATGTATTTAGGATTATAGTATCTTCTTGTTGGATTCATCCTTTTATCATTATGTAATGACTTTTTTGTCTTTTTTCTATTGTTCTTGCTTTAAAGTCTGTTTTATCTAACATAAAAATAGATACTTCTGCTCACTTTTGGTTTTCTTTTGCACAGAATATTTTTTGCCACTCCTTTACCTTGAATCTATAAGAATCCTTATGTGTTAGGTGAGTCTCTCGAAGACTGAAGATATGTGGTTTGTGATTTTTTATCCATTCTGCCCATTTATACCTTAAAGTAGAGCATTTAGACCATTTACATTCAACATTAATATTGAGATGTGAGCTACTGTTCCAGCCATCATGTTGATTGTTACCTAGATATTTTGTTTTCTTCATTGTGTTATTGTTTTATAGACCCTATGAGGTTTATGTGTCAAGAGGTTCTGTTCTGGTTTATATCAACCTTTTGTTTCAAGCTTTAGAAATCCTTTGAGCATTTCTTGTAGGGCTGGTCTGATAGTGACAAATTCCCTCACCATTTGCTTATCTGAACAAGACTTTATTTTGTCTGTATTTATAAGACTTAATTTTACTGAATACAAAATTCTTGGCTGAGGGTTATTCCATTTAAGAAGGCTAAAGACACTTTGGGAGGCTGAGGCAGGTGAATCACAAGGTCAGGAGTTCGAGACCAGCCTGACCAACATGGTGAAACCTCGTCTCTACTAAAAATACAAAAATTAGCTGGGCTTGGTGGCATGTACCTGTATTCCCAGCTATTCAGGAGGCTGAGGCAGGAGAATTGCTTGAACCTGGGAGGTGGAGGTTGCAGTGAGCTGAGATTGCACCACTGCACTCCAGCCTGGGCAACAGGGCAAGACTCCATCTCAAAAAAAAAAGAAGGCTAAAGATAGGATTCGAATTCCTTCTGGTTTGTAAATTTTATACTGAAAAGTCTACTATTTGTCTGATAGGTTTCCCTTTATAGCTTACCTGATGCTTTTGACTCACTGCTCTTAGAATTCTTTCCTTCACACTGACTATAGATAGTCTGATGACTATGTTCCTTGGTGATATCCTTTTTGCAATGAATCTCCCAGGACTTCTTTGAGCTTCTTGTATTTGGATGTCTAAATCTCCAGCAAGGACAGGGAAGTTTTTCTCAATTATTCCCTCAAAGAAGTTTTTCACTTTTTTTTTTTTTTTTTTTTTTTGCTTTTTCTTCTCCTTCAGGGACACCAATAGTTCTTATACTTGTCCATTTTACATAATACCATATTTCTTGGACGCTTTATTCATTTCTATTAATTCTTTTTTCTTTATTTTTGTCTGATTGGGTTAATTTGAAAGCCTTGTCTTAGAGCTCTGAAATTCTTTCTTCTATTTGGTCTAGAATATTGTTAAAACTTTCCAGCTCATTTTGTAATTCCCTAAATCCCTAAATGTGTCCTTCATTTCAAAAAGTTCTGGTTGATTTTTTAAAAAAATCTATCTCTTTAGAAAATATTTCATCTATATCCTGAATTGATTTTTAAATTTCTATATGTTGTTTTTCACCTTTCTCTTATATCTCCTTGAGTAGCTTAATGATCAACCTTTTGAATTCTTTGTCTGGTAAAGATTTCTCAAATGCCAGTAGTAGTAGTAATGAATTGGTCATGTGGACAGACTCAGGACCCCCTGGTTAGCCAGAACGATGCAGGCAATGGTGACAGCTGAGGTCATGCACAAGTTTTCTCCTTCCTTGGTGCAGTGTTACACTACTTGGAGATGCTGTAATGGACTGTCAATTGGCCTCCAGCCAGAAGGTGGCGCTTGCCAAAGAGCACCAGCTGCCGTAGTAGCAGTGGGATTTGTGCTTGCCTCATGTTACCCAGGGGAGGTACTCTGGTGACTCAGGTAATGGGTGGGGCCATAGAGCGCCAAAAAATTTCTGTCCTTTGTGTTAAGCTACCAGAGCAAGTGAAGGAGCAAAGCCAGGTGGCGGCTGGATCAGGCAGGTTCACGCTGTGGCTCCCCACATGCGGGGTAAGCAGTGGCCCCTGTGGGGGTCAGAGAGCATTTTTCTGGCCGCAGGGGTAATGTTGCAGGGAGGGGTGCAGCTGCCTCTGCTGCACAGAAGTCTCTCTACAGGGGTTGGGGAGTAGCAGGCGGCAGTAAGCCCCACCAGCGCCCATGCACTTGGCAAGGCCGGTCCCTCACCCGCAGGGTTCCGCTTGCAGCAGCTCGTTAGAATCCAGGCAGTCCGCATTCAGAACTCAAGACTGCCCCATGCCATAAGCCTTCCTGAAGGAGAGAACAACCAATGCTTTCAAGCCACGCCCCTCCCAGTCTGCCCGTGAAGCAGGGGCGCCCAGCTCCTGCACCCGTGGCTGCAGCACATTTCCCAGTCACTCCTTGGTTCTGCCCAAGGGGGTTTGTCCCCATTCGGCATTATATTGTGAACCCAGTTGGGAACTTCTGCCAACCTGTGACTGCTGTCTGAGTTAGCTGGCAGATTTCTGCACAGTCCTCTGTGAGGTAGGGTCGGGAATGTCTTCCCTCCATCCTCACTGGAGCCTGGGAGTGCATGCAAAGCCCGTCCCAATGATGCTTTTTCTCATACATTCCCCACTGCTCACTAAAATCAGCTCCATTGCTGGATAGGGTTAAGTTCTTCCCTCATGGGCCTCTATTGCCAGATTCCCAAGTGGGAGTGTATGTTCCAGAGGCAATTTATTCCTCTTTCACTCTGGGGAACTTAGTTTTCCACTGGCTTATGGTGTAGGCTGCAGCCCAGTGCTTCTTTCAAAGGGTCAGTGGCTTCTTTCAGTTCTCCTGTTAAGTTCCTGTGTTGCTTCTAGGAGAAAAGTTCACAGTGTGTGAGTCTCTACACACTATCTTGTCTTTCCAAGTGGAAGAGGCATGCTAACACTGCCTCCAATCTGCCATCTTGGGAGCAACAGAGTGAGAACTTGTCTCTTAAAAAAAAGGTGGGGAGGCCGGGCGCGGTGGCTCACGCCTGTAATCCCAGCATTTGGGAGGCCAAGGCAGGCAGATTATGAGGTCAGGAGTTCGAGGCCAGCCTGGCCAACATGGTGAAACCCCATCTCTACTAAAGATATAAAAAATTAGCCGGGCGTGGTGACGCCCGCCTGTGATCCCAGCTACTCAGGAGGCTGAGGCAGGAGAATCGCTTGAACCTGGGAGGTGGAGGTTGCAGTGAGCAGAGATAGCGCCATTGCACTCCAGCCTGGGTGACAGGGTGAGACTCTGTCTCAAAAAAAAAAAAAAAAAAAAAAGTGGGAGGGGAAGCGGTCTTTTGTTTTAGAGATATCTGCTTTAATATGTATGAACAAATATCAGTGATTTGCTGACAAAATGATTTGTCAGTGATTTACTTCAAAGTAATCTAGTGATGCAGGTAAGAGGGCTGAGGGATAATGATGAAAGGAAAATGGGAGGGGTTATAGATGAAACAAGTTTGGCCATGAGCTGATTATTATTGAAGCTAGGTGATGCCTACAAGGGGATCCATACATTATTTTCTCTTTGCAATACAATCCTGACCTGGAGTAAGGTCAAATTTCACAGGTTAAGGGAACAGCCACTCACAGGATGCCTCTTACCCCAGATACCAGCTGTTATATGTTCCAGGGTTCCTGAGCCACCGGTGCTTCTGACCAACTGACCACAAATGCAGGGATTCCCACTAACTCCTCAGGTTTAATAATGGACCAGAACAACTCACAGAATGCAGGCACGCACTATACTTAGGCTTAGTGTTTCATTATAAAAGACACAAACCAGGGACATCCAAATGAAAAGGTGCAGGGAGCAAAGTCTGGGAGGGTCCCAAATTCAAAGCTTCTTTATGCTCAGGACCTGTCATCCTCCTGGCACACTGATGTATGATTATCAACCTGGAAGTTTCCCCTAGCTTTCATGTCCAGAGTTTTTATTTGGGTTTTATTTTGTAGGCATGATTGGTTGAATCATTGGCAGTGTGATCGAATTCAGTCTCCAGCCCCCTGCTCCTTCCTGGGGGTCAGAGGTCAGAAGTCAGGCTGATATCCACATTGCTCAAAGCCCCAACCCTCCAGTCACATGGATGGCTTTTGTGGCATGTCCAGCCCCTATCCTGAGTGATATCATTAACATAAAGTCAGGCATGATCTGAGGATATTATTTCATAGAAATACAGCCTTCCACAAACGTTGGAACTGGTTAAAGAGTCTCTGTAAGACTGTAGTCCTTTCATCTGGTACTGGAGCTTGAAGTCCAGAGGGCAGAGAGTTGGAAAGCGACAATGGATATAAAGTGAGGAAGATCAAGAAAAGACTGGAACCCACAGCATGAACTAGAACCCAGCAGGACAAATTGAAACTCATGTCAGTTCATATTCCTTCTGGTGTTGATAGTGGGGACCCAACCTCATGGAACTAAACACACACACACCAGGCCCAGGAGTCAGGGAAGCTGAGGGAAAACCCAGTGGAAGGTAGAGCAGGCCCAGCTGCCGCTTCATGCTGATGAGGTGAGTCAGCAGATCAGCAACAATGTGTGTGAGCTACAAAATGACTGCAGCTTCCCATCTGCTTTCTGAATCTCACAAGAATCTCCCTCATGGCCCACCATAACCAGAAACATACAAGAAACAAAATTGTGGAAAACGTAGTTCAGCTTAGCCAAGTCAATACATTACAAGGCCACCACACCACACTTAATAAAAAGTAAACATTTGTAAATCAATCAACCAGTGCCTGGAAGTACTTATTTAAGAGCCAAATTATTTCACAAAGTAAACTGAAACACACCTGGTGAATCCCACCCACCACTGGATACATATTTGCATTGCCACCCATTATTCCTTCCCTCTTCTCCTGTAAGAGAATACGATCTCCTACCAATTCTCCCTCCACCTTTTATTCTCTCTCAGTAATCATGCTTCATCAATTAACTTCTGTCTCTGGCTGTTCTTTATCTTCAGCTTCTTTTTTTTTAAGCTTCCCATGATTCTGTAAATCCCTATAGCAAATAACTTTTTTTTCTCTTTTCCATTACAGCCAAGTGTTGAGTACAAAAAGTCTATTTATGCTATCGTTACTTCTATAATGTGATTTTTCTGTAGTATTTGAGAATATTCAATTCTTCTGAAATTAACAAGAGAAACAAACAAGTAGAACAATAGGTGACACTCATAAAACATGTTGAGGAATGATAGCAAATGTACTAAGTTAGAAATCTTTTAGGTTAAACATAAATAGCATATACAGAACATATGTTTGGTAAGCATAGATTAAAAGAATGGAAATACCAAGTGTGCTACTTGTAGATAGGAAAGGATAGAAGGACCAAGTAAACCTAAAATATTAGTAAAATCACAGATCATGTATCCTCCTGAATGACAGCTATGTCATATTTAAATCAGCTGCTGAATCGTGACAGCTATTCTTGCCCCAGGTGACCTCTGTCCAAGATATGCAGATAAATCCACAGCTCCTCAGCACTTCATTGGTGAATTTCAGTTGTGCACAGGCTCCTTGTCCTCCATCTCTTTGAAAGAGGAAGCATGTGTTGGCTTCAGGCACCTTCAATTTGCTGAGTCTCCTTGCTCACCCTTGACTCTGGTCACTGCATCAGACCATGCCATCAGTAGGAAATTCTGATGTGTCTTTGTAGGTGAGAGAGATAGGATATGAACATTGTGTGACTCAGGATTTTTTTTGTATGGCTCTTACATCCAACTTGGATCCTATCCTTAGTGTGATAACTTATCTCAGTTTCCACTTGCTTCTTGCTTTGTGTTTAAAATTTACACATAGGCTGGACATGGTGGCTCAAACTTGTAATTCTAGCACTTTGGAAGGCTGAGGTGGGAGGACTGCTTGAGCCCAGGAGTTCAAGACCAGCCTGGGCAACATAGCGAGACCTTGTCTCTAAAACAAAAATAAAAACAAAAAATTAGCTGAGCATGCTAGTGTGTGCCTGTAGTCCTAGCTACTAGGGAGTTTGAGGTGGGAGGATTGCTTAAGCCCAGGAGGATGAGGCTGCAATGAGCCATGATGACACCACTGCACTCCAGCCTGGGTGACAGAGCAAGACCCTGTCTCAAAAAAGAAAAGAAAACATAAATAAACCTTGTGATTCCAGCGTCTTTGCAATTTTCTCTCACCCTGTCTCTTTTATGAACTCTAGAGCAGCCTGCCTGATAGTGTACTTGGAGGTAGCATGAACAACTTGTCCTGATTTGTAGCTTTTGCACGCAAATCCAGTATCCTAGAAACCCCCTCAGTTCTGTGCAAATGGGGACAATTGGTCACCCTACTTGGAAGTAATTATTACATCAAGTTCATTTCCCACTGAAGCAGTCCCCTTACCTCTCCTTTTCTTCTTCAATTATTGTAATCTGGTTTCTACTGACACAAATTGCTATGGGTTGAATGTGTTCTCCAAAGTTCATGTGTTGTAAACTTAATCCCCAATGCAAAAGTGTTGAGAGGTGGGACTTTTAAGAGGTAATTAGGTCATGAGAGCTCAGTCCTCATGAATGGATTAATGCCATTATTGTGGAAATGGATTTCTGATAAAAGGATAAGTTCAGCCCTCTTCCCATCTCTCTCTCACATGCTTTATTGCCCTTCTGCCTTCCATGATGGGATGATGCATCAAGAAGGCCCCCTTCAGATATAGGCCCTTCAATCTTGGACTCCCCAGCCTCCAGAACTGTAAGAAATAAATTTCTGTTCTTTATAAATTATCCAATCTCAGATATTCTGTTATAGCAGTACAAAATGAACTAAGACAGCATTCTACCAAAAATGTTTTCACTGGGAGCACCAGTTACTTCCATATTGTCAAAACAAATGGACACTTATTTGATTTCACTGAAGCAATTAACACTTTTGTCACATTTTCTTTCTTGAGATTCTTTTCTCTTAGGTTCTACGACATCTCTTGCATTACCTAGATGCTTTCTGGATTTAATGTGGACCAGTTGGATACCAAGCATCTGTAATTCAAAAAGTTCAAATAAGGGTTATAGGCCTTAAAGGGGAGGTAAATAGAGAGATCAGAATAGAAAGTTTATTCAAAGGAATAATAACAGAGAACTTCCCAAACCTAGAGAAGATATCAATATTCAAGTACAAGAAAGTTATAGAACACCAAGCAGATTTAATCCAAATAAGACTACCTCATGACATTTAATAATCAGACTTCCAAAGGTCAAGGACAAAGAAAGGATCCTAAAAGCAGCAAGAGAAAGAAACAAATAACATACAATGGAGCTCCAATACATCTGGCAGCAGACTTCTCAGTGGAAACCTTACAGGCCAAGAAGGAGTGGTGTGACATATTTAAAGTGCTAAAGAAAAAAACCTTTTATCCTAAAATGGTATGTCCAACAAAAATATACCTTAAACATGAAGGGGAAATAAAGACTCCTCCACTGTACCCCAGACAAAAAAAAAAGAGGCCAAGGGATTTCATCAATGCTAGACCTGTCTTACAAGGAATGCTAAAGGGAGTTTTTCAATCTGAAAGAAAGGGACGTTAATGAGCAATAGGAAATCATCTGAAGGTTCAAAACTCACTGGTAATAGTAAGAACACAGAAAACAACAGAATATTATAACACTGTAATTGTGGTGTGTAAACTAGTCATATCTTGAGTAGAAAGACTAAAAGATGAGCCTATCAAAAATAGCCACAACAACTTTTCAAGACATAGTACAATAAGACATAAATAGAAACAACAAAAAGTTAAAAAGTAGGGGATGGAGTTAAAGTGTAGAGTTTTTATTAGTTTTCTCTTTGCTTATTAGTTTGTTTATGCAATCACTATTATCAGCTTAAAATAATCAGTTATAAGACTAGTTATATATGCAGGCCTCATGGTAACCTCAAATAAAAAAACACACACAAAAAATGAAAAGCAGAAAATTAAAACATACCACCAGAGAAAATCACCTTTACTAAAAGAAAGACAGGAAGAAAGGAAAAAAGGAAGAGAAGACTATGAAATAACCAGAAGACAAACAACAAAATGGCAGAAATTCATTCTTAACATGGAATGTAAATGGACTAAATTCTCCAATCAAAAGATACCGAGTGGCTGAATATTAATAGATCTTAAAAAACAAAACCCAATGATCTGTTGCTTACAAGGAACACACTTCATATATAAAGTCGCACATGGACTGAAAATGAAGAGATGGAAAAAGATACTTTATGCAAATGGAAACCAGAAAAGAGCAGAGATAAAAAAAGAGATATTACAACTAATATTGCAGAAATTCAAAGGATCATTAGAGGTTACTATGAGAAACTCTCTGCCAATAAATTGGAAAACCTAGAAGAAATGGATAAATTCCTAGACACATAAAACCTACTGAGATTGAACCACGAAGAAATCCAACAGCTGAACAGACCAATAACAAGTGATGAGATCAAAGCCATAATAAAAAGTCTCCCAGTAAAGAAAAGCCTAGGACCTAATGGCTTCACTCGTGAATTTTACCAAACATTTAAAGAACTAATACCAGTCCTACTCAAACTATTCTGAAAAATAGGGGAGGAAATATCTCCAAACTCATTCTACAAGGCCATTATTACCCTGACAGCAAAACTAGACAAAGATACATCAAATAAAGAAAACCACAGGCCAATATCCCTGATGAATCTTGATGCAGAAATCCTCAAAATAATATTAACAAACCAAATTCAACAACACATTGAAACTTCATTCATCATGACCAAGTGGAATTTATCCCAGAGATGCAAGGATGGTTCAAAACATGCAGATCAATCAATATGATGCATCATATCAACAGAATAAAAACAAAAACCATACGATCCTTTCAACTGATGCAGAAAGGCATTTGACAAAATTCAACATCCCTTCATGATAAAACCCTAAAAAAAACTGGGTATAGAAGTAACATACCTCAAGATAATAAAAGCCATATATGACAGGCCCACAGCTAGTGTCATAGGCAATGAGGAAAAACTGAAAGCCTTTACTCTAAGATCTGAAACAAGACAAGGATGCCCACTTTCACCACTGTTATTCTACATAGTACTGGAAGTCCTAGCTAGAAAAATCAGATAAAACACAGAAATAAAGGGGATCCAAATTGGAAAGGAAGAGTTAAATTATCCTTGTTGGCAGATAATAGAATCCTATATTTGGAAAAACCTAAAGACTCTACCAAAAAACTATTAGAACTGATGAACAGCCAGACACAGTGGCTCCCACCTGTAATCCCAGCACTTTGGGAGGCCAAGGCAGGTGGATCACCTAAGGTCAGGGGTTTGAGACCAGCCTGGCCAACATGGTGAAACCCTGTCTCTACTAAAAATACAAAAATTAGCTGGCTGTGGTGGTGTGTGCCTGTAATCCCGCCTACTTGGGAGGCTGAGGCAGGAGAATTGCTTGAACCTGGGAGGTGGAGGCTGCAGTGAGCTGAGATCGTGCTACTGCACTCTAGCCTAGACGACAGAGTAAGACTCTGTCTCAAAAACAAAAAAAAGAAAAAAGAACTGATGAACAAATTCAGTGAAGTTGCAGGATACAAAATCAACATACAAAAATCAGTAGCATTTCTATATGTCAATATTGAACAATCTGAAAAAGAAATTAAGAAAGTAATCCCATTTATATCAGCTAAAAATAAAATAAAATATCTAGGAATGAACTTAACCAAAGAAGTGAAATGGGCATGGTGGCTCATCCCTATAATCCCAGCAATTTGAGAGAACAAGGTGGGAGGATCACTTGAGCCCAGGAGTTCAAGACCAGCCTGGATAACATAGCAAGACCTCATCTCTACTAAAAGTAAAAAAGTTAGCTGGGTGTGGTGGTGCATGCTTGTAGTCCCAGATACTCAGGAGGCCGAGTTAGAAGGATCACTTGAGCAAAGTAGTTTCAGATTGCAGTGAGCTATGATAATACTACTGCACTCCATACTTCAGCCTGGGCAACAGAGAGAGACCACCTTGTCTCAAAAAAAAAAAAAAAAAAAAAAAGGAAGAAGAAGTGAAAGAGCTCTACGATGAAAACTATCAAGCAATGATGCAAGAAGTTGAAGACACACAAAAAAATGGAAAGATATTTCATGTTCTCGGATTGGAAGAATCAATATTGTTAAAAATGTGCATACTACCCAAAGCAATCTACAGATTCAATGTAATCTCTATTAAAATACCAATGACGTTGTTCTCCAAAATAGAAAAAAAATCCTAAAATTTACGTGAAACCACAAAAGTACCAGAGTAGCCAAAGCTATCCTGAGCAAAAAGAATAAAACTTGAGGAATCACATTACCTGACTTCAAATTGTACTACAGAGCTATAGTAATCAAAACAGCACAGTAATGGCATGACAGACACATAGACCATGGAAAAGAATAGAGAATCCAGGCCAGGCACAGTGGCTCACACCTGTAATCCCAGCACTTTGGGAGGCCGAGGCAGGCAGACCACGAGGTTAGGGATTCGAGACCAGCCTGACCAACATGGTGAAATCCCGTCTCTACTAAAAAAAAAAAAATACAAAAATTAGCTGGGCGTGGTGGTGCACGCCTGTAATCCCAGCTACTCAGGAGGCTGAGGCAGGAGAATCGCTTGAACCTGGGAGGCAGAGGTTGCAGTGAGCCAAGATTGCGCCATTGCACTCCAGCCTGGCCTGGGCGACAGAGTGAGACTCCATCTCAAAAAAAAAAAAAAAAAGAATAGAGAATCCAGAAATAAATCCATGCATCTATAGTGAACTCGTTTTTGACAAAAGTGCCAGGAACACACATTGGGAAAAGGACTGTCTCTTCAATACATGGTCCTGGGAAAACTGGATATCCATATGCAGAAGAATGAAACTAGACTCTTATCTCTCACCGTATACAAAAATCAAATCAAGATGGAGTAAACACTTAAATTTAAGACCTCAAATTATGAAAACACTTTAAGAAAACATTGAGGAAACTCTACAGGACATTGGTCTGGGCAAAGATTTCTTGAGTAATGCTCCACAAGCACAGGCAACCAAAGCAAAAATACACAAATGGGATCACTTCAAGTTCAAAAGCTTCTGCACAGCAAAGGAAACAACAAAGTGAAGAGACAACCCACAGAATGGGAGAACGTATTTGCAAGCTATCCATTTAACAAGGGATTAATATCCAGAATATATAAGGAGCTCACACAACTCAATAGGAAAAAAATCTAATTATTCAATTTAAAAATGGACAAAATATCTGAATAGACATTTCTTTAAAGAATATATACAAGCCAGGTGCAGTGGCTCATGCCTGTAATCCCAGCACTTTGGGAGGCCGAGGTGAGGGGATCACTTGAGGTCAGGAGTTTGAGACTGGCCTGATCAACATGGTGAAGCCCCATCTCTACTAAAAACACAAAAGTTATCCAGGCATGGTGGCGCATGCCTGTAATCCCAGCTACTCGGGAGGCTAAGGAAGGAGAATTGCTTGAACCCAGGAGGCAGAGGTTGCAGTGAGCCGAGATCATGCCACTGCACTCCAGCCTGGGTGACGGAATGAGACTCTATCTCAGAAAAAACAAAAAAAAAAGATATACAAATAATCAACAGGTATATGAAAAGGTGCTCTACATCATTGATCAACAGAAATGCAAATCAAAACAGCAATGAGATATCAATCACCCAGCTAAAATGGCTTCTATCCAAAAGATAAGCAATAATGAATGCTGGAGAGGATATGGAGAAAAAGGAAACCTTGTACACTTTTGGTAGAAATGTGTGTTAGTACAACCACTATGGAGAAGAGTTTGGAGGCTCCTCAAAAGACTAAACATAGAATTACCACAAGATCCAGCAATCCCACTGCTAGGTATATGCCCAAAAGAAAGGGAATCAGTATATCCGAGAAATGTCTGACTCCCATGTTTATTGCAGCACTATTCACAATAGCCAAGATCTGAAAGCAACCTAACTGTCCATCAACAGATGAATGGATAAAGAAAATGTGGTATGTATACATGGTGGAGAACTATTCAGCCATAAAAAAGAAAAAAGAGTTCCTGTCATTTGCAACAAC
This sequence comes from Homo sapiens, assembly GCF_000001405.40. NCBI lineage: Eukaryota > Metazoa > Chordata > Mammalia > Primates > Hominidae > Homo > Homo sapiens. The sequence continues at coordinate 3,287,343 of NC_000018.10, read as the reverse complement.
ATGGATAGAACTGGAGATCATTATATTAAGTGAAATAAGCCAGGCACAGAAAGACAAACTTCACATGTTCTCACTCATTTGTGGGAGATAAAAATTAAAACAATTGAACTCATGGAGATAGAAGAAGGATGGTTACCAGAGGCTAGGAAGGGTAGTCGGAGGCAGGGGAAAGTGGGGATGGTTAACGGGTACAAAAATAAAGTTAGAGAGAATGAATAAGATCTAGTATTTGGTAGCGTAACAGGGTGACTACAGTCAATGATAATTTATTGTACATCTTTAAGTAGTTGAAAGAGTATAGTTGGAATGTTTGTAACACAAAGAAATGCTAAATGCTTGAGGTAATGGAAACCCCATTTACATGGATGTGATTATTATGCATTGCATGCCTGTATCAAAATATCTCATATATGCCATAAATATATTTGCCTACTGTGGACCCACAAAAATGAAAAATTAAAATTGAAAAAAAAAATGTTTAAAACTGAACTCGTCATTTTCTCCCCCAAAACTTTGTCCTGAACTCTCTATCTCTCTTGACTACACCTCCACCCACTCAGCTACTCCGTAAGCCTGAAAGTGAGTGATCCCAGACTCCTATCCATCCCCATATATGTGTTCCCTGTGTCTCCTTCAGGGCTCCTAGTATGCTCACCAGCAGCTGCAAGTGACCCACAAAATCAGGCCACTCTGGCATCTACTTGCACTTTCTCCCTTCACTCTCCATCCCACCTGGTCTGATCCTTTAGCTCCCTCCTCCTGGCGAAGTTGGATGCATTTGATACTGCCTTTGCACGAGTTCCCTAGGCCTTGATCTGACATAGGCTTGGATGTTGATATGGTTTGGCTCTGTGTCCCCACCCAAATCTCATGTCGAATTGTAATTCCTAGTGTTGGAGGAAAGGCCTGGTTGGGGTGGGTGTCCCCCTTGCCGTTCCTGTGATAGAGCTCTCACAAGATCTGGTCATTTGAAAGTATGTAGCACTTCCCCTTTCGCTCTTTCTCTTCCCTCCTCCCGCTCTCTCTCTTCCTCCTCCTCCCGCCATGTAAGACGTGCTGGCTTCCCCTTCAGCCATGATTGTAAGTTTCTTGAGGCCTCCCAGCCAAGCCTCCTGTACAGCCTGCAGATCTGTGAGTCAGTTAAACCTATTTCCTTTATAAATTACCCAGTCTCAAGTATGTCTTTGTAGCAGTGTAAGAACTGACTAATACAGATGCTGTCTGTCCATTTCTACTGATACCTTCAAGTAGACCTGCAGCGACATCCTGATCCCTGTCTTCCAGGGGAGGGAAAGCACGGTGTCACTCCTATCATTTCTGCAACTGCCCGCTTCTTCACCATCTCACTCCTTTTTGGCCGAAGTGCTGCAGGAGCTCCTTAACTAGTCTCCTACTTCTAATATTAGAATATAATATTTCCCACCCCCAATGTATTTTTTTCTACTGCTATTAGTGATCTTTGTTGTTGTTTTTTTCTGGGATTGGTTTTCACATTTGTATTGGGGGCCACAGGGAAGGGAGCTCTTCCCTGTCAATAGAGGAGCTCACAGATTCTTCAGTCACTCCTACTTCTTCAGAATCTTCTTCCAATTCATTCATTTTCTCAATCTCCACCACTCCAGCTCAGATCTTTCTAAGAATACGGGTGAACCAATGACAGGGCCAGGAAGGTGGCATCCAGGCCCAACCAACACAAACACCAAAGTTCTCACCATCTTTGCCGTAGCACTGCTATCAGGAGCCCCCGAACCCATGGTACTCAAGAGCCACTTGCTTACTTGGGAACATATGCTTGGCCCTTCAACATCTCTGTAGTAAAGTCATAAAGGAAAGATAACCCACTTTAACCTCCCTTCAAACTGAGGTGACAACTAGGATTTTATTCCCCTTATGCCAAGGAAGAAATTGCTTAATGGGACTACTTTGAGATTTTTCCTATGCTTGTAAAGAATATATCCTTTAGTTAAGATGATTATCATATGTTTTAGTTTTAATGGGAAATGCAAGTGCACATTCTAAAATTTTAAAAAGAAAGTGTTTACAATGTAATTAAGTTTTCCTCTCACCCCTGGCCCATGGCTACAAATTCCCACCACAACAGCAACTAGCTTCTGGTGTGTCTTTCCAGAGATGTTTGATTTATGGCTGCATGAACACACATGTGCACATATGCATGGAACACACATATTATATATAAATTGATTTCAAAATACAATACCTGGGCTCTATTTTTTTTGTTGTTTTTTGAGAGGGAGTTTCACTCTTGTTGCCCAGGCTGCAGTACAGTGGCGTGATCTCGGCTCACCGCAACCTCCGCCTCCCGGGTTCAAGTGATTCTCCTGCCTCAGCCTCCCGAGTAGCTGGGATTACAGGCATAGGCCACCATGCCCAGCTAATTTTGTATTTTTAGAAGAGACGGGGTTTCTCCACGTTGGTCAGGCGGTCTCGAACTCCCAACCTCAGGTGATCCGCCCGCCTCGGCCTCCCAGAGTGCTGGGATTAGAGGTGTGAGCCCCTGTGCCCGGCCTACCTGGGCTCTATTTTAAACCAAAGCCACAGATTTCCCTATCTGCTTGTCATTTCTGACCTCTGTGACACAAGCACAAAAGCTGGAACACATACTTGTCCCTGACTCACACTGCCCTGGCCTGGACAACCCCGACCTGCACCACAGGTCCTCACGGCCGGCCCATCCCACCCTCAATCTGTTATCAGTGTCTCTTTCACAGGTGAGGAGGTAGCTAATTTTGATACCTATGTCCAATTTAGCCCAGGTGCAAAGAAAGTAGGAGAGTGCCTTTGTATTTTCTAAATCAAACGCATCTTTTCAAATAAAAGAAAAATGTGCCACGGAAGAGTTTCAAAATCGAGGTCCGTTTTCACATATTCAGGTAAAGTAGCAAAGTGGTAGCAGTGACATGACAGATAGGTGCAACATATGAGGTCAAAAAGAAAAAAATCACAACAAAAATCATATGCATAAAAACACAGATATGCACTGAAAAGGTAAGCAAGAATCTAACCTTTTCCATCTCCATGATTATGCAGAGTAGAAAAGCTTATTTTTCATCTCTTTAAAATTACCTTGTCTGTTTCCTCTTGGCAATAACTTGGTCACATCCATCTGTCTTCTGTTTCACTTGATTTACTCAGGCCTGGCCAATGCTGCCAGCCTGACAATGAGCCCGGATTTGCACGGCCAGCCCGGATTTGCAGGTCTCTCCAGTGTGGCCGCTGTGGACTGGCAGTGGGCTCTCCTCCGCCCCTCCCCTCCACAGGGCAGGATGGGCTTGCTTCCCATCTGCCAGGCAACTCAGGGTCCGCAGCTCTGCATGGCAAGCCCATCAGATAAAGAGGGATTCCTGCTCTTGTTTGGTGGGTGTTCTATGACGAGGTTGGGGTTTTGTCTTTTAACAGGGAAAGAAATAGCCAGACTCACAAACAAGGGAGGGGCAAGGTTATATAAATGTGATATTGTTCAAGGAGTGTGCTGTGAAGATCCCCTAGCTACCTTAGACTGGGAACTAAGACCAGATTTGGAGCAAGGAGAGAGGCCCACCCCAGAGAGACACAAGCCTTTTTTGCTTGGGAAGAGTTTCTCAGCACCACTGATTAAAATTTGCCGTTATGAATGGCAAATGTTCTAGGGTTGCTGAGTTTATTCCCATGAATGCGGGCCTTGTTTCCTGCTCGCTTCTCTGTTTACAGATCCTTGTCTTTTCCTGTTGACATCCTTGGTGTTTTCATACCCACGGGGAAGAGGAGAAGAGCAGCGCAGAACTCAAGGGCAATTCCAAAACAAAAGGAAAAGCTCTGGAGTTGGGTGGGGCAGACAGATCCCACTGCCTGATAAACGGGGTGAGACCACAGTGGCTAAGAAGAAGCCTGGATTAAGAGGCTAGATCTGGAGGCTTTGGGGCCTTAGTCTTCCGATCTGAGAAGTGGGAGCATATCTCTCAAGATGCCTTTCAGCAAGTGGTCCCTGCTCCCAAATGTTTATCATCTGGCAGCGATGAAACGCAGGTCATCTACTGAATTTCGTTAGCTTGTCTGTAAAATAATCAGGAAATCCTGGATATTTTCAATATAAAACTCTTCAAATTGAGGTTTTTCTATTTCGTGCTTGCTTGAGTTCTCAGCTATGCGATTGGCTGGTATGAAGGCGATCAGCGGTAGCACTGAGAGAACAAACATCACTGTCAGGGCAAGCATTTCTCAAAGCTCTCTTTGACCTCTTCAGTGAGCAGTTAGACACCCGTCGCAGCTCCTGAACAGCTGTTTGGCACCCTGGTAACAGATAAGAACTCACATTCGTTACGTGCTTCCAAAGTGCTGGGCATTAAAACACTCCCAGAGAGTAGGGTCCTAGTTTCGCTATCACCCTCGGCTCTCAGATGTAATGTACACTTCAGTAAGTAAGAACTGAATAAATAGATTGAATAAAAGATTACTTGAGAAAAAGTACAGTAAGCACAACCTCCCAAATGAGCCAACCTCAATTTACACTCGGATTATTAAAAAATGCGAGTAGACGAAGGTCCTCAGATTGGTTTTCGCTGTGCTAGTTACCAGTGTCCACGAGGAAATATGAATCATCATCAAGTTCATTAAGAATGACTGTCTGAAAGGAAGCCTGTGTCCTGGCAATACAATCAACTGCAGTTAAGTGCGGCTGGTAAAAGATTAGGCTGGTCTCCTGTGAGACGTGTTAGAACAGTGTTTTATATTTAAACACCCCCATTCATACGCATCTCACAAAATACTTTTCGTACCTTTTGAGACCAGCCTGGCCAACATGGCAAAACCCTGTCTCTACTAAAAATACAAAAATTAGCTGGGCGTGGTGGCAGGCGCCTGTAGTCCCAGCTACTTGGGAGGCTGAGGCGGGAGAATCTCTTGAACCTGGGAGGTGGAGGTTGCAGTGAGCCGAGATCACGCCATTGCACTCCAGCCTGGGTGACAGAGCAAGACTCCATCTCAAAGAAAAAAAAAATAGAAGCTGTCTCATAGTCATTTGTGCTAGACCTGTTTTTCATCAGCTTAGGTGCCTTATTAGAGTATATTATCTAGAACTATAATAGATACAGTTCTCAACATTCCTGAGGTGGTAATAATAGCATTCCTATATAAAGCATAATTTTACAGAGTATTTTCATACATAACCACTAGCTCTGTGCTTTAGCCTTCTCATCTCTAAAATTGAAGTGATGGTAACAAGAACGACTTGTTCAAGTCAGTAAGTGGAGGAAGTCTGGTCTTTTCAGTGCAAAGCCTATGATCTCATGTTCAACAAAGGTCATTATTTCGGTGTAAAAGCCACTGGAGCCAAGCTGAGATTCTGGCACTTTCCAAGCACTCAATAAATACTTGTAAATTAATGAAGGAAGGAGGAAGGAAGGAAGGAAGGAAGGAAGGAAGGAAGGAAGGAAGGAAAAAAGAGGGGAGGGGAAGGGGAAGGAAAAGGCAAAAGGGGTGGAGAAGGGGAAGGGAATTTGCCATTGATATTTGTAAAAAGGAGTCCTAGAGATTATTCCCTACATTTGGGGCTCATGAAATAGTATGAATTTAATTGTAAGACTTTTCATCAATTATTTAAGAAACAACTTTGAGAAAGTCACAGCATTACTGACAATAATGCTGTCTAGATACTCATGATTTGGCTGCTTTATCTCAAATTCATTAGGGAATGGGTTAAGACAGTACTATATTAAGAACAATAGTGCCACCTAGTGACACTTCTAGTTATTGTCTCTAAAATTGCCTATGACAACCATTCTAAAAAAAAAAGATCCACTTAAGAGACTGTGTGATATGTGCAATCCATCATCTTCATCATTTTTCTATACAAGAAACCTTTTCTTGAAATTTTAGTATGTGATAAATCTTTACATCCTCATTCAGATTTCCCAGATGATGTTTCTAAGGGATCTTTTTATACCCGATTTTTCAGTAGTTTATGTTTCTATTTCAAAAACTGTGTTTCTTATAATTTAAGAAATATAAATTTATTTTATATTTCTGTTTCTTATATTTTAACACATATCAATTTTGAGATGCAAATCAGTATAATTGCTGCTCGTAGGATAGACAGTATTAAATATATACATTGTGAGACATTCTGATCAGGCTACAGGTACTAATTATGTAATTAGGAAATTATAGGTTTAATGAGAAGCACCCATCTCGGTCAAAAAGGTTAGAAGCTCGACATTTCTCTAGCTTCTTTAGTTATACAAAGTTGAGCAGGTCAGGTAACTTCAGTAATCTCATCTGTGAAATGGGATGACAATTCCTACTTTATCCACTTCCTAGCGTTCTGAGGATCAAGCACAATTCACAAACGCTTGTAAAACTGGCTCATGACCATAAGAAACTATCGACGGTGTTTCCATAATCACTTTCTTGGGAGGAGCACAACTGCCTGCGCTCAGGTGACTGCCCCACTGCTTATTCCCTGTGTAACTTTGGGAAGTTACTTCCTTGCCCCCTGACATTTCATTTGTAGAACAGGGATAACAATACCTACCTCAGGCCGGCCGCGGTGGCTCATGCCTGTAATCCCAGCACTTTGGGAGGCTGAGGCGGGCGGATCACTTGAGGCCAGGAGTTTGAGTCCAGCTTGGCCAACATAGTGAAACCCCATCTCTACTAAAAATACGAAAATTAGCCAGGTGTGGTGGTGCACACCTGTAATTCCAACTACTTGGGAGGCCGAGGCACGAGAATCGCTTGATTGAACCTGCAAGTGGAGGTTGCAGTGAGCCAAGACTGTGCCACTGTACTTCAGCCTGAGTGACTCTGTCTCAAAAAAAAAAAACAAAAAAAACCCAAAAAGACCTACCTCAAAGGGCAGTTGTGTAACGTGCTTCGTACATAGTGAATACTCAGTGCATTTTCACTATGTGACCACACACACACACTCACTGCAGTGGCCACAGAATCAACCATCAACTTAGGAGATTGTCACTATGTGGTTCTCAAAAGGAGATATTAAGTAGACAAAGTTTTCATCGTCATCATTAATAATATTTACTGGACACCAAAAAGAAACAAAGTCTTGGCCCAGGTGTCTTCCACTACTGGATTCCACAACACTCTTCACAAATAATACAGATGAAACAGAACAGTGTGTCAGGTAAACGTAAGGCAGTCGAGAAACAACTAAGTTTTTTTGTTTTTAATCTTCAAAACTTTTCTCTCAATTTTTCAAATCTGGCTTTAAGCAGATCAATAAAATAAGCACAGTTACGATTATGCCAGAGATGGAAACAAGGCTGAGCTGGAGGGGAGGAAACAGATAGGACCCGGAGAGGCGTTTTATAGCTATCTCCCCTGGACCTGAGTCCATGCTGCCCCCTCTTGCCTGGACGACGGCAACAGCCTCCATACCGGCCTTCTTGCTTCTCTTCGTGCCCCTCCATTCAAGACACAGCACCAACACTGATTTTAAAAATATAAATCACCTTTCTTCCCTGCATTTCACATTAGGACTCTGCTCCAAATACCCTCCCTGGACCCGTATCATCCATGTGCTCTCCCGATGCTCCTACCACACGACAGCCTCGCCCTGATCCTCACATGGGTCCGGACCTCCTTCCTGTCATTCAGATCTCAGCTTACCACCCAGAGGCCTTTCCTGACCACCCTGTCATGCATGCCCAGTTCTCTGCACAGCACTTAACCTGAAATTGCACATGGATTGTCTGCCAGCAGAGAATGCAGTCCCACGAGGGCAGCATCCTTGTCTGTCCCACCCCCCAGTTATCCCCAACCCTTACAACAGTGTAGGGTACATAACAGGTGGTTGACAATGGTTCAATAATCATCAAGATTATCCCACCGTATTTTTCTGTTTCCTGTGAAACACACAATTCTCCACCTGGTTTTGTGACACATTGTGGTGAGTTTAAGCTTCTAAGTGGAAAAAAGAGCCAGATGTAGATTCTTATATTTGTTAGATCTTGGGCAGGAGCTTCAGTCTAAACTTCAGGTCTATTAATAAAAAGTAGAACTGATACCTCAGAGACTAAGAGGATTGGGTGATAAATGTGACAGTTCATATGAGCTGCTCCCTCATTCTAATGATAAAAGGAAGCCCAGGCAAATTGTTAGCAAGTGAATACAGACCAGCCTACTGCCCCAAGTTGTAAAGCACCAATATTAAACAACATATAAATGCTTTGGTGTTAAGCAGACAAAATACCATCACAATACTTTTAAGAGGGGAAATCGGTATTGAACAACGTTGGGTAATTTTTTAAAACGGATTTTTTCCTTTTTTAGATTGTTCTCTTTATTCTCGTATTGCTTGGCCTTGAGGATTCTGAGCTCACAGCAACCTTGTCTTTCGGCTCTTTTCTAGTCTATATATTACATGAAGTGCCTTCAAACACACAATAGTATTGTTTATTTTAACCTGGAATAGAATTTTCTGAAATTCTGTTCCAATCATCAATTACCCCAAGATTATTTTAAATTTCAATAATGACCACAGAATTGTATCATAATAGAACAGAAATGTCTTGACTCTTTTAGACATTTGGGGCTTTTCAGAGACAGTATCGTGGTTCCAGCACTGTGAGCTCTGAAGTTAGGTGCCCTAGGTTGGAATTCCAACTCATGTCCTAATAGTTACCCTAATCAACTGCTCAAGTATGCTAGGTCCTCCCACTTGAAATACAGGGCTAATAAAAATCCCACAAGGTTGTTGGGAAGATTCAAGAAAAATTGTGTAGGCACAACGCTCCACATATAGTAAATGTACAATAACTAATCTTCGGAATTTTGCCTCTTCTCAGAATCTTAGATGAACGCAATGTTTAATGTTTTCCCAGATACATTCTATATTTATCATTTAATAAACATCTGACTAGAAGCGTGAAAAACAATGGCATAACTAGTTTTTACTGCATAATAATGTTAAAGGGTACTTAAAAGTTCTGAAGAACACTGTCCCATATATGTGAAAAATCAATTTTACCATAAAACCTGAATCATATGAAGTTGAAAACCTGAAAAAAGGACTACCCCCACCTATCAATCATTTGTTTAACTTGCCATTACATTGCATTTGAGTCAGCATAATCTTTATTTCAAAATAACATTTTTATTATATAAAAATGTAAAAATCCAGCAAAACCAGAAATACGAATATATTTTTCTGGGCTTTCACATTTGTTGATTTTTATTCGCGATCTTTTTCAATACAATTTACACCCTCATCCCCATTTCCAGTCTGATTATACAAGTGCTAAGTGGCAGAAAGGTCTGGAATAAATACATCAAAAAGAAGAGGCAAAGCTGTGAAACTAAGTTGCATGCAACAGGTTCTATGAGGGTGGGGGAAGTGTCTGAGAAGTAAAAGAGAGTAAGACAATGTAACTGGAAGATTTTAGCTAAAGTTCTTTCAGTCATCTTTGTCTTTGGCTCCATGTTTCAGGATGCGTGTGAACTCGATGTAATTGAAATTCCCCTTTTTGTCAATAGGTGCTTCTCTGTACAGCTCATCCACTTCCTCATCTGTAAACCGATCCCCCATGGTTGTCAGCAGCTCTCTTAGGTAATCTTCCTGAATGGTGCCTGGAAGACAATAGAAAGAAGAAAGCAGTCATCAATACTTCCTGGCACTTTGATGGTTCATTCCTAAAGCTTGTCAATCGTATAAAATATTTCAGAATATCCATATCTATAAACAAAGTAAGTTAGTGAACTAAGGCTATATGAACTATATCATTATGTTTTCCAATTATTCTTAGAGTTCTGTGTTAATATTAGATCAAATCATTTAAAAGCTCAGAAACAGATCATATGCTTACAAAATTATTCTTAAGCAAATATTTTCTAAAGGTAAAAAAAGAAAACCCCTTCTATTTCACAGAAGTACTTTATATAGTGTGGAATGAGGCTGGGCATAAACAAATAGCACTCACCTGTTGCTTCTTCATCAAAGCAAGCAAAGGCGTTTCTGATGACATCTTCAGGATCTGTGCCATTTAACTTCTCACCAAACATGGTCAGGAACATGGTGAAATTGATGGGCCCTGGGGCCTCATTCATCATGGCATCAAGGTATGCATCAGTGGGATTCTTCCCTGTAAGAATACACATTTTAACATTTAAAGACAAAAACATTTAATTTCAATAGTTATTTCACTATTATTATGCTCCCCAACATATTTTTAAAATGTACATCATTTGAAACTAATTTTTCAATTAACTTTAAGAACATTTTAAAAAGATTATTTTTGACAACTTAAAAAATATTGGATACATCATTATAAAAATGTATTCCAGGCTTATATTGAAGGTTATTTATTCGTTTATGTGAACTTTCTGTTCATTATTTTTCATTAAAAACAAAACAAAAACCTGAAGCCAGGCAGTGCCACATTATTACATCTTAATTTTTTTTTTTTTTTTTTTTTGGACTATAGGCATGTGCCACCATGCCCTGCTAATTTTTTGTTTTTTGTAAAGACTGGGTTTCACTATGTTGCCCAGGCTGGTCTTGAACTCCTGAGCTCAAGTGATCCACCTGCCTTGGCCTCCCAAAGTGATGGGATTGCAGGCGTGCATCACCGCGCCCGGCCTACATCCTGAATGTTGATAACATCAATGGTCCATCGGGGAGTCAGTTCAATACCAGTCATACAAAAAAATCTAAATATTCACACTTCCAGTTGTGGTACAGATGCCCATAAGTTGATATGCTTCAAAGTTGTATTTATAAGTTGGCCATTTAAGTTTAAACTATTAGCATGGTTTTGAATTGGCAGCTTATTTTGAACAATGTTAGATATCTTCAAACACTGTTTACACATGTCATTGAACTGTGGTCTTCTTTGGTATTGTTTGTAATGGGAAATCTTAATCTCCATTCCAAGTGTGAACACTTCTTTTAGTGCAGTGGTGAGGGAACTCCCCTGACCTTTCCCTAGGAGCTGAAAGAAATCTCCCTGGAATGGCCAGACATGGTGGGAGTGTTTTTGAGGCCCCGTGGTGTGGGAAAAGCAGCACTGAACCAAGGATCTGGAATACTGGGTTTGAATCCCAGTTCTACCACTGGTTGTGTGATATAGGAGGAAGTGGCAGAACTGGCATTCAAACCCAGTATTCCAGATCCTTCGTTCAGTGCTGCCTTATGTAGAATTTACTTCTTTTTTTAAAAAAGTCTAACATTGACTGGTTAAAGTTGGTATCTCAAAGGTATCTTCCAACATTAAGTTTATATGATTTTACATGAAAAGAACATCTATTAGTCAGATATTCATATCTAAGGAACCATCTCAAAATTATACCCAACTAAGTCAAAGCTAGAATGACAATCAAAGCTACCATTATAGTTCATATGTAAGTTTTAATTCTGGGAATTTGGGTGAAATGTAAACATCATGTTGGCATCTATTTCACTGCATTGCAGTCCTACCTGATTACACTTACTCAATGTTCCAATATCAAAATTAGCCCAAAATTAAACTCAAGATTCACTGAATAAGTTAAAGTAGCTAAAAAGATCTACTTTTCTACCTCCAGATTTAACCCAACTCACTTGCAGCATTTTTTGGGGGGAAGAAAAACTGTAACCAAAAGGTGTGAAGAGAACGCTAGGGTACAAAAAGTTACAGGGATTTAAAATGAATTGGTTTAGGCTAAGCACTTATGGACCCGCTCAAGACATCCAATGTAATCTGTTGATTTGAAAGGTAAATACGTATCTTTTAAAAATTCATATTTATTTAAATTGCTTTGGGTACACAAGAGGTGTATATATTTATGGGGTACATGAGATACTTTGATACAGGCATATAATGCAAAATAATCACATCAAGGTAAATGGCATAGCCATCCCTTCAAGCATTTATCATTTCTTTGTGTTACCAACATTCCAACTATACTGAGTTATTTTAAAATGTACAACAAATTACTGCTGACTGCAGTCACCTTGTTATTCTATCCAATACTAGATCTTATTCATTCTATCTATACTTTTGTATCTATTAACAGTTCCCACTCTTCTCCCTGCCCTTCCCAGTCTCTGATAACCATCCTTCTACTTTCCATCTCCATGAGTTCAATTATTTTAACTTTTAGCTCCCACAAGTGTGTGAGAACATGTGAAGTTTGTCTTTCTGTGCCTGGCTTATTTCACTTAACATAATGTCTTCCATTCCATCCATGTTGCTGCAATGACAGGATCTCATTTTTTATGGTCGAACAGTATTCCATTGTACATAAGTACCACATTTTTAAAATCCGTTCATCTGGTGACGGACACTTACGGTGTTTTCAAATCATGGCTGCTGTGAATAGTGCTGGAATAAACATGGGAGTGCAGATACCTCTTCAATGATACTACTGATTTCCTTTTTTGGGGGTATATACCTAGCAGTGGGATTGCTGGATCATATGGGAGAGCTCCTATTTTTAGTTCTCTGAGGAACCTCCATAATGTCCTTCACAGTGGCTGTACTTATTTACATTCCTACCAATAATGTATGAAGGTTCCCCTAAAAGGTAAATACATATGTTAAAGCAAACTAAATATGGCCTGAGAAAGACTCCGTACTTCTACAGTTGAGTCCTTGTGAATGAATTATAACCTAGCTTAATAGTCAGACAAGACTGAAAACCTAACTTAGGAGTATGAGCCTGTAACAACTGCTAAGCCTTGGCCAATCTCAGCAGCCATACTTCAACCATTCATACACTGCTGAGTGTTCAAACCATGTTCAAATAAGGCATATGCCGAGCTGTAATCAATCAAGCCATTCCATACCTCACTTCCAATTCCTGTACGTCATTTCCCTTTTTTTGTCTATAAATCTTCTTCTACCACGTGGCTGCACTGGAGTCTCTGTGAATCTGCTGTGATTCTGGGGTTACCTGATTCGCAAATTGTTCATTGCTCAATTAAACTCCATTAAATTTAATTAGGCTGAAATTGTTCTTTTAACACGTATCTTTAAAAGGATGGGTTTCTGCAAAACAGAAGGTCTCAAAGACAACCTCTGACTCTACCATGACTTGTTCGTTCAACAAATATCTATTGAGCATCTATTATAAGCAGAGTATAGACTTGAGAGTTCAATCTTTGGAAGATGGCTACATTCCTCAATTTTCCTCAGAGGCCTTCTTCAGTACTGACTTGCCCAAGAACATACTCAGACATTCTGAATGTGAGAAACACTAGGTTATAATCTAACTACAAGTCAACAAATCAGATAAAAATCTTTGATTCTACTCTCACCCTAGATAAAGAAAAGTTACAAAATGTTAACAATCAGTGAATATAGCTAAAGATGTATAGGTGTTCACTATAATGTTCTTTCCACTTTTTGTAGGCTTAAAAGTTTTCAAAATCATATGTTGGATAGGAATAAGTACACACCTAAACTTTACTTTCAATGTGTTAGGAGAAATAATCAAAATCAAAAGTTAGAAGAATAAAAGCTAGCTGATCATTTTGTAGGCATTAAAAGAGAGAAAAAAAAAACCCCCACCTCTTTCTTTGCCTTTTTGGCCAGTCAGCCAAGCAGGAGGACAGAGCGCAAAGTCTCACTGTAGGCCATCCCTGACCCACTCCCAGCCTGCCTCACCCCCTCCGCTTTGGCCTATCAAGGTCTCCTTTGCCTGCAGTTCCTTGACTCCCAACTGTAAATTAACTGCTGACTCTGGCCAGAACATGTAGGATGCATGTTAAGAAACAATAACAAAATCATACAAGGAATATTAACACCCATATACCAACATACAAATGGCTGTTTATGTGTGCTTTAAATCCTGTATCTTTACATTTTAGTTATTAAAAAAATCATACAAAATATTGTGAAAGTCTTCTTCACTGTGTTCCCTTTTCCAGTCGCACTGCCCCTCCTTCCCAGAGATAACCATCATCACTTACTGTCACTCCTTGTTTATAACCTGTACTCAACCTTTATTAAGTATATTATTTAGCTACACTTGTTTGAAACTCTGGTATTTTGCTGCCTAGCCATGCCCTGGCTTTCCATCTAGAGACCTAAAAAATTTAGCTAACAGGAACATTAGCCTACCCGGGCACAGCATCTGCCAGGTCCCCAACCTTGTAGGCTTATCTCCATATGACTGGCCAAGCCCCAAAATAGCACCTCCCACACCCAGAAATCTCTCCAGAGGCCTTTTGAGACAAGGAGAGAAATATTTGTACATCGCACAAAAAAAAGATTCATAAAGAGACAAATTATTATTTTAGGGAAAATACAAATAAAGAATATAAAGTCTACCTAGAGAAGCAAGCATATCATGCAAATCTTCCTTGTCGATGAAGCCATCTCTGTTCTGATCAATCATGTTGAAGGCCTCTTTGAACTCCTGAATCTGTGACTGGTCAAACATGGCAAACACATTGGATGTTGCACGCTGAGGGCGCTTCTTGGTGGTCTTGGTCTTTGCCTTTTTGCTCGACATGGTGGTTGTTTAATTCTGGATTAAAAAAAAAACACAAAAACGTAAAACAAAACAATGTATAAAACAAAGCAAAAACAGAATACATAATACCTAAAGTCTGTAGGTAAAAATATCAATAAGGAATTATTACTTCAATTGGGTAGGAATAAGTATGCACCTAAACTTTATTTTCAATGTGACAATTAAATGACTGAGTGGAAAAAAAGCAGTTTTGAAACATTAAGGAACAGAATTTGCCAGACACCAGTGGCTCATGCCTATAATCCCAACACTTTGGGAGGCCAAGGTGGGAGGCTCACTTGAGACTAGGAGTTCGAGACTTGCCTGGGCAACATAGTGAGACTCCCATCTCTAAAAAAGAAAGAAACACAATAGAAATTATTGATGTACCTTGTCCTAAACTTCAGGGGATCAATTTTTATGAAGTGAGAATTTAAAATATCTAACAATAGCTAGCATCTATGGAGTACTTACTCTGGCCAAGCACTGTTATGAAGGCATAGGGCTTCCTCAAAGAGAAAGTCTCCAAAGTTGATTTCTTACTCTGACAAAGACTGTCCCCATTTAATCCTCACAACAGTTGCCTATGGTAGGTACTCTTATTCCCATTTTACTACCAGTATAACATAACCTCTCTGAGCCTCAATTTTTCATCAGTAAAACATGATATCTACTTCAATGCAAAGAACTAATTGAGATAACATATGTAAAAAGACTAGTCATGTTCAAAAAAGGTCTCATCTTTATAAATATCAAACCCACCCTTTCATCTTTCTAGCTATCCCTGCATTTCCCTTTTCCCTTGACAAGACTTTCAGAATACCAGTCTAATGCTGAACTGTCTTCATTTTTCCTTCTGTTTTTTATTTTAGAGATGGGGGGTTTCTCACTATATTGCCCAGTCTGATCTTGAACTCTGAGGCTCGAGATCCTCCCAAACTGCTGGGATTACAGACATGAGCCACCGTGCCCAGCCCCTTTTCTCTTCTTCCCAATCATTCCTCCATTCTCCGTAATATGGCTTTGGTAGTAGCTTCCAACACTCTACTGAAAGCCACCAATAATTTAAATGTCAAGCAGAAAAGGCACTTGTCATTTCATTTTTAATTTGCAGTTTTAAATAATAAATAAAACACAAAAATACCATCAGCTCTGGAGTTAGGAAGTCCTGAGTTCAAATCTCAGCTCCACCGTTACTAGCTACATATAACCTCTGAAAACCTATGTATCTGTGAGCCTAACAGCTTTCAGTGAGTTCTGTGAGTCTTAGCAAATAATCAAACGCAAGGGTGGTCTTAGGACATCCAAACTTGAAACTGCTGTCAGAAATGATGGTCTTGCAGACTGTTTCCGTAACTTCCTGCAATGTGAAAAACAAATGACTAGAGAGGTCAATGACTGAGCAAGGGGATTTTGGACCTAAGTCTCCAGGACTTCTGGTATTGGGATTTTTTATATAAATGTATTGTCTACTTCTATTTATTCAAGCTAAAGAACATCCCACAGGGTGTTTTGAAGCTTGGCTTAGTGGTGTTGTTTTGAAGTACACCAGCCTTACAGTCCTTACTCTAACATTCCAACTCCTTACCCTCCCCATATACAAGTCCTAAATAAATGTTAATTTTCTTCTCTTCCTTGTAACTTAGTTTGTTATTTGACCTTAGTTATATCGAAGGTTAAATCAGAGACAGAATGTAGTCTACTAACAAGGCATTTGATTATGTTTTCATTCTTCTTCACATACCAAAACTTAGATTAAGGTTCATTCTCATGCTAAAAATTTTGACTCAATTTCTTCAAGATTAGTCAAATACATCTGAAGGCAAAAATTATTAGTTCTCTCTCAGTATCAGCAAGTAATTTTTGTAATCGAGTTATTTAGAAAAAGTTCCAAAAGAGTTAAATATTTATTTTTAAAAACGAATCAGGCCGGGTGCGGTGGCTCACACCTATAATCTCAACACTTTGGGAGGCTGAGGCCAGAAGACTGCTTGAGCCCAGGAATTTGAGATAGGCCTGGGCAACAAAGTGATACTCTGTCCCTACAAAAAATTTAAAAAATTAGCCAGGTGTGGTGGCACATGCCTGTGGTCCCAGCTACTATTTGGGAGGCTGGGGTGGAAGGATCATTTGAGCCTGGGAGGTCGAGGCTGGTGAACCGTAATGGTGCCCCTAACCTCAGCCTGGGTGACAAAACGAGACACTGTCTCAAAAAATCAAATCAAATCAAATCAGAATCAGTCAATTGTATCATGCTACTTCTACAGTTAACCCAAAAATATACTATATTTAAACATTTTTGAAGTTTAGTCCGAGTTCTCTAAGAAGCTGATACCAAGACAGAATGAAACACCCAAGGATTTTATTAGGGGAAATGCCTGTGAGAAAGAATAGGGAGTTAGTTAGCCTGATAACTAGAAGAGCCATCACCATCTGATGGTGACACCCAAGAGAAGGAAACAGAAGGCAAGTTGATGGAAGAGAACAAAAAACAATTCACTAACTGGTCCCAATCAAAATATGTTAGAGCAGATATAGGCTCAATGTAGTAATACTATATTTTAAATTTTTTTCATACTTCATTTAAAAACAGTGGTACATTTGTATACGTATATGGTACCTATAAAAACTACACATACAGTATCAGCTGAAAAGTGAGGCAAAGTTGCATCAAAATAATCAATCTGAAGGGAACTCTGGCCCCCAAAGAAATTACCACCCTCTCTCCTTCCCTTCTGAAATAAGTATCTTGGCTTCCTCCACCTTCTCACTTCCCACTCACTTTTCAACCCACCACAATCTGGCTTTCTGTTCTCTACTGCAACTGCTTTAATTGCCAAATCTGGTCTAAATCTTCTTGGATCAGTCTACTGCATCACACTATTTTATCCCTCTTTTCTTTGGAGAGACAGCCACTGTTAGCCTGGTGCTCCATAACAGTAGAAATGAACTTTCCCAGGTGGAAAGGGTCCCAACCTTGAAGAACTTACGCTCTAATCAGGAAGACTGCTAAGCATTATATTGGAAAGACTGATTATGTAAAATGGTGTATTTGACTTACTCTAGCTCAGTTCTCCTATTTCTAAGATTTCCTCCTCCATTTTCCTCTTAGATGTTTATCTCCGTTTAAATATTCATGTTTCCCAGTATTCTAGCAGCACATGGTTTAAAGTTCTTTTCAGTCTTCATTCCTTGGATGATCTCATCAACTTTCACTGTTATGACAATGCCTGCACCTCCTAAATCCGAACCTCCAGGCCTGACCTTTCCTTGGAGCCTTGGACTCAAACATCCAAATGCCTGTGAAAGGCACCCATCTGGATATGCCACAGACACTCATAATCAACATGCTGAAAACTCAATTATCTCTCCCCTCCTGAACTTTACCATCTTTGTTTCCAATCATCTACCCAGCAGCCAGAAACCTAGGAGTCACCCTCCCCAATCCCTCTCCCTGATGAACCAAGCCCTGCCTCTGAGAAATATTTCTCAGAGTTGCTCATCTTCCTCATTCCTCTGTCATCACCCTAAACTGGATCCTCATTATCTCTTGTGTAAAATATCTCTATGGCCTCTTCACTATCCCCTTGCCTCTCGGCTCTCTCAAAACTACCCTTAGTTTTCTAGGCAGGGCTGTCTAAAACATGAATATGACCTCATCATTCCACTTTTTAAAATCTTCTTTGGCTCTCCACTTTCTAAAGGATAAAGTACCAAGTTCCTAAACATGGTGCATGAGTCTTCCTTTCCCTACTCTAGAATGACCTTTCCAGCCTCCTCTCTAGCCATTCCCTGCTTTGTACTTTTCCTTTAGCAACACCAAACTGCAAATGTCCCCAAGGTACCATGCCACATCTTATCTTGTATATCTTTGTTCCTGCTATTTTTCCAGCCCCAGTTGCCCTGATCTACTTCTCTGCCTTAGGAACAGAGAGAGAATTAAAGATCTACTCAACTTACAGCTACTACCATTTATTAAGTGACTCATGTGCTAGAAACATTATGTACATTAAATGAAACATGCCCACCTGCCAAATGAAGAAACTGAAGGTCAAAGATATTAAATAATCTTGCCCAAGGTCACCTAGTGGCAGAGCTAGGATTCAAATCCCATTTGTTACAGGTTGTTTCTCCTTGTATATTTTCTACTTCCTACTAAATACTCTTCTAATTATTTTGAGTTCAGCACAAAATTTTTTAAAACTTGCAATGCCACCAATATAATTCAACACTGATTTCTGAGCACCTACAATCCTCTAAATTCAAATCCTAGACAAACTGAGTTTTCAAATCAAGTCAATCTACACCAGAAAAACCAAGGTACAGAATAGAGTTGCAGTGAGTAAATGAAATGTGAGTGGCACTCCCTGGAACTGTGCAGTGTAGTAGCCCTGGTTGGGTTTAGTCAGGTGGCAACTATCAGTTATGGCTTTCCTTTGAAACTTTGATCTAGGACTGTCCAATTTATTAATGTTTAACCAAGAAGCATTCAAAAACAACAACAAACAAAAACACAAAAAACTAATCCAACCCTTACAGACAGAAAATAGCCATACAGAACACAGCACAAAATGAATGTAATAACCCTCAATAGCAGTAAAAACACTTCTTCCTTCCTCTGCAACACTGTTACTCTGATATTGCTATAAATTTCTAATACAAAGTGAACTACAGGATATAAGTAGTACTCAGAGGTTACATCAAAGGCAGGCATGTAGGAATTGATACAGCAGTCCCTCCTTATCTGAGGGGGATATATTCCAAGACCCCAGTGGATGCCTGAAACCAGGGATAGTACCCAACCCATACAGTTAGCCCTCCATATCCACAGGTTCCGCACTCACAGATTCAACCGAGAATCAATTGTTCATTTATTTGGAAAAATACAACAATAAAAATACAAATAAAAAATACACTATAACAACTATTTATATAGTATTTGCATTATATGAGGTATTATAAGCAATCTAGAGATGATTTAAAGTATTCAGGAGGATATGTGTAGGTTATATGCAAATACTATGCCATTTTATATGGGAGACTTGAGCATCTGCAGATTCTAGTATCTGCAGGAGGGTCCTGGAACCAACCCTCTGCAGATACAGATGAATGACTATATACACTGTTTTTTCTTATACATACATACCTACGATAAAGTTTAATTTATAAATTAAGCACAGTAAGAGATTAACAATAATAAAATAGAACAATTATAATACACTGTAATAAAAATTATGTGAATGAGATCTCTCTCTGAAAATATCTCACTGTACTGTACTCACTTATTTTCAGACTTCAGTTGACCACAGGCAACTGAAACCGAGGAAGCAAAACCATGGACCGTGGAAAGAAGCATCATATAGGACTACTGTATTATGTATTATAGGTGGCTGTGGTATCAACATACTTAGTTGATAATAAAAATGTTTGTAAAGTCACCTGCAGTACTGATATGCAAACAGAAACATGGACACCATCATCATTAATAAGCAGAAATTGTCTATATACTTCAGCATATATTGCTTTATCAAAGCTTGGGGAAGATGCTCACAGAGCACATTCTGTCAGCTACCTATGATTTCCTCAACATTGTTTTGAGGCTTCTTCCTTTAAGTATCTCAAGTCAGCTAGAGCAAGTAAATACGGCTCTTAAAGCAGTTAAATCCTCTGGTTTCAATCTTGGCTGCACATCAGAATCACCTCAGAAGTTTCAAAAAAGTGATGCCTATAGCCTCAAGGTAATGGAATGTCTGGGGGTGGAGCCCAGGCATCTGTATTTTCAAAAACGCACCAGGTGATTTCAATGCACATTGAAGGTTGAGAACCACTTAGATTATTAAGTTAACCACTTAGATCACATTGGCTGTTTATGCATCTAGTTCCCCTTAGTTTTTCAATGTTGTCATTATGGTTTAATGGAGATGCTGGAGACATGGATTCCAATTCCAGTTCTATCATTCACAAGTTGTATGACTGCTGGTCATTTCGGCTTCCCCAGGCCTCATTTTCCTCATCCATTAAATAAGTGTTAAGTAGATCAGAAGTCATAACCTGGCAGCTACCAAACTACATGCAGTCTGCACAGAGGTTCATTTAGTAATCCCCAGGATGACCTTTAAAATGCCTCTTTTAAAAACTGAATTAGTTTGCCAACATTTAAAAAAAACTGAACATTTTACATAACCTAAATTTCAGATATTTTAAACAACTGTACAATAAGGAATCACTTGACCAGCATCCTGGAAATTCCTGCAGGCCATAAGTGTTCAACAAGCAATCCCCTCTACTCCCTACATCTCCTTATCCCAGCTGGTATTAGTTTGTTATCTGTCTGACCCCTCAGAACACTTTAACTTGCTCCTCTGGTCATGGTGGTAGCCAGGTTCCAAGAAAGCCCTCAACAATTTTCATGCCCTTGTGCAGTCCCCTCCAACAATGAAAAGTGTTGACCCGTGTAACCAGTAAGATATTGTGACAATAAGATATTGTGAAATGAGGGTGTTTGGCTTTGTCATAATACACCTTGCAGCTTTTGCCCTGCTCTGTCATGGATCACTCAATCGGCGGGAGCCAGGTCATGCAGACACACAGCCCTGTGGAGAGATCCATGTGGCAGGGAACTGAGGATTCTTGCCGACAGCCAGCACCAACTTGTCGGCTATGCGTCAGCCATCTTGGAGGCTGATCTTCCTTCAGACGACTGCAGCCTCCCCATGTGACCTCATGAGAGACCCTGTGCCAGAACCACCCACCTAAGCTGCTCTGGCTCTGACCCTCAAAAATTGTTCATTGTTTCTGAGGTGCTAGGTTTTGGAGTATTCTGTTATACACCAATAGAAAAGTAATAAAGCCACTGTCTCCTTGACCTCTTTAATGTTAAAATAGGGCAATGCCTTTATTTCAGAATTACAGCCACAGTCCAAGTTCCAAGGGACCGCAGTCAAATTTGCATAGCACGGGGAATTTTCCATTTCTGAACAGAAAAGTTTAAAGTCCTTCTACTCAGTTTCCATCCAAGTTCTGTAGGTTCTTCTCTTTACTGCACGAGTCACCCTTCCTCAACATTCCCACCACCACCATCCTATTCTTTTGGCTGAATTCCTCTGGCTCTGACCAGCAAATCACTTCCTGATTTGCTAGTTATTCCTGCTTTCTAATTGGAGTCTCAAAGCTCTGTCCTTTTTCCTAAGTGCTGACTGAAAACCTGGTAGTATAAAGCTACCACTCAAAAATGAGGTAATTGGGGAGGGGAGGGAGGAGCTGGTTTTGTCAGCAAAGGATGATAAATAACTCAAATTTTATCTGGGCCACAGTAGAATGCTAGTAGAGGACAGGACTCTGAGAGGGTCTTGTTAGCAGTGCTGATTTGTGAGCAGAGGCACAAGGTAAAGCCCTCAGAGTAGATGAACTCACACAGAAAAGCAGAGAGTAGTTCTTGGGCTAAAACCTAAGGTCATTTTTACTCCACCTCATCTTCACCAAGGTCTATCAGAATCTTTAGAAATTTCTCATGGATTCTTATGGTTATTACTGTAGTCAAGTTGAATGTTCTAACTGGAAGACTCAAATGACTGGATATATAAGCAACAGTCCGAAAACAGCAGTCATAAACAGAATTTAGTATATATCAAGTTAAAAATACTTCACAAAAGTAACCTCATCTACCTAATGACATATAATTGCTTTTGTGCTGCATATTTAGGCAAAAAAATAGTTCCATAAATTATTAGAAGTATTTTTTTTAGGGAGCCAAACTCAATTTTTTCAACTTTTTTTAACACCAGGGAAGCATTTCCCCTAGTACTCTATATGTATTTTAACACTTACCACATACACATTATAACAATGACATTTCTTTCTCTATTATAGGTTTTATGATCATTACAGTTGGCTGCAAACTTTCTATTCTCTGAGCTCCTATATCATTTTGTTTTACTGCAGTGAAATTTATATAGTCAAATGTACAAACCTTAATAAGTTTTTATAATGTGTATACCCATGTAACCATCACCCCCATTAAGTTACAAATGTTAACACTGTTCCAGAAAATTCTCTCCAAGTTAATCACCATCTCCCATAGGCAACCACTGTTCAGATTTCTATCACCATAGATTAGTTTTGTTTTTGAACTTCTTATAAATGGAATTGTACAGTATATATTCATATATATGCCTGTCTTCTTTCATTCAATACAATGTTTTTGAAATTCACCTCTCTTATTGGGTTTATGGCACAATCATAGTTCACTGTAGCCTTGAACTCCTGGACTCAAGTGATCCTCCTGACTCAGCCTCGAGCAGCTGGGACTACAGGCATGAGTCACCATACACAGCTACTTTGCAAGGAGTGGGTGGCAGGGTAGAGACAGGGTCTCGCTATGTTGCCCAGGTTGGTCTTGAACCCCTGGCTTCAAATGATCCCCCCACATTGGCTTCTCAAAGCATTAGGATTACAGGTATGAGCCACCATGCCTGGCCATATTCATTCTTTTTATTGCCTTTTGCCTTTCCACCTTGGACTGCAGAACTTAGCAGTGTGCCTTGCACATGGCAGGTGCTCAAATAATCCTAGTTAAGCAAATACATATATATATGTATAAATATATGTATAGTATACACAGTTGTATATAGTGTATATACATATATAGTTCTTTCCTGTCACAAACAGAATTACACATATATGTTCATTACAAGGTAGGTCCCGGATCTGAATTCCAACATGAGGCTTTTCTCTACGGTCTACCTATGGTTCCAGTCTCTTCCCCAAGAGATCCCTAAGGAAACTTAGTAGCTACCCACTGCTCCATACCTGGAAGAAGCAGTAGCAACCAGGGACAACTGGGTGCTAAAGATGTGCCAGGCACTGATTTAAGCATTTTGTATGTGTTAACACATTTAATCCTCACGACAACTCATCATATAGGTATTGTTATCATCCTCTTCTCTCAGATACGAAAATCAGGGTAAAGAGAATAAACAACTTGCCACACAGCTAGAAAATGGCAGAGCTCAGTCAGGATCTGTACTCAGGAAATCTAGCTCCAGAGCTTGAACCACTAGCCAGTAACATCCTGCATACAGGCAGCTGAAATTCTCTACCATGAAAATGTGGATACCTGGGCATAACAAGCAATGACACCCCAAAGCTAATGTGTAGAATGAGGAAGGAAGATCACAAAGATGCTGGCAAAAAGGGTATGATAAACTCATCCCCAGATATACCTGGAGCCTTTGAATCTTGGGAGAAAGGGAAAACTAGCCCCATGTCGGGGCTCTAAATCCTGTTCTTTCCTAACCCTAGCAACTCTTGTCTGGACATCTGTCCTTCAGAAATTGCAGTTCATCTTGTTCAAGCTTAGTTTCATCAAAGCATAAACGAACATCGAGTCAGCCATCATAAAAGCTGTTTCACTCAAAAGAGCCTAAAGCACTCAAAAGTGCTCTTAGTTATAAAGTCCAGGAGGGTCCACCACCTTCGACAAATTACCTCACCTCTCTGGGTTTCACTTTCCTCAGTTATAAAACGCAAAGCCTTCACAAGGTAATCTATCAGGTCCTACTGAATTCTAAATGCTTTGATTCTTCTCTTACCAAAAGACCATTCCAAATCTACCTTAAACTAAAGCGGCCAAACGAATCCTCTAAACATCCCTTTCTTATTACTCCGTTAGTGAAGACTCCAAAATTACTCTCTATGGCTTCTTAGATAATCTTTTCTTTCTCCTAAGTTTTCAAGACATCCATAAGAAGGTCCTACTTACCTATCTACCCTTATTTCCGACTATTAGTCATTACAGTTCTGTTCCATACCCGCCGGTGTCCCCACGGCCTGCTTTTCACAGGACACAATTCCCAGCTTTTGAGTTTTGCTCGTTACCACCTCCCACACATCTAGCCGGAAACGCTAAGTTCTCCCTCTTAAGGTTGAATCCAAGGCCTTCAGTGAGGTCACGACTCTTTTCCAAGTAACCTTTCCCTATTTCTGTTAATGGTCCTTTCTTCAATCAACACGAATAAACTAAACCTTTACAAGATGCAAGACACACTGAGCGAATTACAACTCTATGTAAATCATCACATTTGAGCCCGTATCAACCACACACTCGGTTACCGGCATGCTAATGGCTTCCTTGGAGGCTTCACCTTAGGCAAGACCGTGCAACAGGAGGCTCCTCCACCCTCCAAAGCATCTAGGATAGTGTTGGGCACAGGGCAGGTGCTCCACACGAACACGCCCGGGTCGGCCCCAATCCACCGCCAGGACCCGCCGCGGCGCCGGGAGGGCAGGCGTTGGCCGCCGGGCAGCCGGGCCGTCCAAGGCCCAGGTGTCTGAGGTCACCCAGGTGGCGCAGGGCCGGCCCACGCACGGCCGGGACCCGGCCACTTCTCCAGCAGGGCGTCTCCCCATACCGGCTCCATCGCCTGCAGCCTCCCGGCCCCTGGACGTCCGGGCCAGGGCCTCGCCACCAACCCTCCTCCCGCCGCCAACCCTCCTCCCTCCACCTCCGGCCCCGCGCCCCCTTCTCAGCCAGTCTGACAGGTCCTGCCGCCGCCTGGCCGCCCTGGGGCGGGGTCCGGCCGCAGGCGCGCGACGGGAGGGGGCGCGGGGGTACGGAGACGGCGGCCCGAGGGGTCTCGCGAGCAGAGTCGAGCGCGACTCACCCGACGCCAAACACCAGAACCGGGGCCGCCCTGCGCGAGACCACAAACGACAGCGAAGAGCGTTAGGCTGTGGCCGGACAGTGGCGGCGCCGACACTTCCTGCCTGAAGGGGCGGAGCGGAAGGCGCACCGGAAGGCGCACCGGAAGGCGCACCGGAAGGCGCGGCGGGACCAAGTGGAACGGGGGTGCGCTGAGTGTTCGCGCCCGGGCCGGCGGGGTCTGCGTGTCCGCCGAGCGGCGGGGCTGCTGAGGCCGGACGCACACGGCCGGGGTCTTAATTGCCCCTCCGGCCTGCTCCGATCCGCTGCGATATCGCGGCCTGCGCTGCGGCGGTCGTCCGCAGCCCGGCCCTCGTCCCCCGCTCCTTTGGTAGCTCCGCCACCCTTCCGCATTCCTGGGCCCGCTGGGCGCGGCTGGGCAGGCCGCTGGAATTTGACCCGAGTGGGCCGCGATCGGCCGAGGATTTGGGGTCCCCTTTGACCCAGGCGGGGCGCGATCCGCCTAGGATTTGGGGTCCCCTGGCGCCGAACCCTGAGTTGCCAGATGTAGCAAGTAAAAGTACAGTTCTTCTAAATTTGAATTTCAGACAAGACAGGTTTTAGGGTTCGTCTCATGTAATGTTGAGAAGGTGAGGGCGGCGCCTGGGCGGATTCTTCTCCGTTCCAGAATCCCTTTCTCTTTTCAAACCGCATTACAGCCCGAGTTAAATTCTTTAACCTACTCCTCTCTGCTTACCCTCATAAGGTTTACGGCCGTATCAGGCTACGGCCGCAGCCTACGGCTGTTTGATTCCCCTTTTGGCCACAAGAAAGTTTTATTCGAACTACTTGCTTTCCTTTATCAAGAAAATGGCAACGCACACACATACATGCACACACAAATAAAAACACAAAGCTACGTTTTTCAGGTTTTGTTCTAGATCGTGTTTGTGGCTGTGTTCTTCAGGATATTTTCCCTCACCTTGAGGTAATCTAGCATTACTTCATCTAGCATTACTAAAATAGCATTACTTCAGGATGGTGGAGGATCGGCAATCTAATAGCAAATCTTTATTGAACTCTTCTTACTGCCTTAACATGTGCCGGATGCTGAGAGATGAATTCAAAGCCTCTTAGGGAGTTTATATTCTAGAAATCTTTGATCAGAAATTCCTAGAAGAGAGGGACCTTGTGTTCAGCACTCTGTAGCAGTTCTTAAACAGTAGCACGCATAATAACAGGGCTTTTAAAAACATTTTTGAGCCTCAAAACCGGGTATCAGGATTCAGTGAGTAAGGGGTGGAGGATAATTCGAATTTCTGGTAAGCACACATGATGCTGATGGGGTGGTCGCCATCCCAGCAGCACAGCTCTAAACGCGGTTCATAACTGTGTGTATTTTCTCAATAGTGTTAGAAAAGCAATTGCTGAAAAGTCACACCTGGTTCTACAATATTTACTCTTAGGTTTTGGTTCGATAGTCTAAATTAAAAAAAAAAAAGTTTCTAGAATTGTGCTGTCCAATACAATCGTCACTAACCACATGCAGCTAAACTTAAATTTAGTTCCTCAGTTGTATTTGATACGTTTTATTTTTAGAGATGGGGTCACCCTATGTTGCCTAACCTGGAATGCACTGGCTATTCACAGGCGTGATCATAATGCACTACAACCTGGAACTCCTGGCCTCAAGCGATCCTCTCACTTGAGCCTCCCAAGTAGTTGGGACTACAGGTGAGAGACACCGCACCAGTGCGTCTGGCAGTATTAGACACTTTTTTTTTTCTTGAGACGGAGTCTTGCTCCGTCGCCCAGGCTGGAGTGCAGTGGTTTGATCTCGGCTCACTGCAACCTCTGCCTCCCGGGTTCATGTGATTCTTCTGCCTTAGCCTCCCGAGTAGCAGGGACTACAGGCCTGTGCCACGACGCCCAGCTAATTTTTGTATTTTTAGTAGAGACGGGGTTTCACCATGTTGGCCAGGATGGTCTCAATCTCTTGTCCTCATGATCCGCCCACCTGGGCCTCCAAAAGTGCTGGGATTACAGGCGTGAGCCACCGCGCCTGGCTAGTATTAGACACATTTTAAGTGCTCAATAGCCACATGTGGTTAGTGTCCTTATTGTATGGCACAGAGAGCATTTCCTTAATTACAGAAGCTTCTATTTGACAGCACTATTCTGAAGAAATAATTCTAAGGTATATTGTTCTCTCTAGATGCAAAAGAAAAGCCTATAATAGGCTTTGTTTAATCATGAATAAAAATTTATTCACTAATAAAAATAGCTGGATAGCTAAATATCTATCATTGGGAAATTGTTAATTATAGCATGCCCACATCAAAGATAACTGAAGTTAAGAATGGTTGAAAAAGAAATATACTCAAAACAATGGTGGCTATGCCAAAACATGAGATATAATTTAAGTAGTAAACGAAAAAACAAGTTGTAAACTCATTACAACTCTAAAATGTGTGTGGATAAATACTGGAGAAAAGTCACATTTCCTGCTATTTGAGCAGACACAGAGAAATCTAGACTAAAAAGATATAGGGACTTGGAAGATGGAAGAGCAAGTGGAAATGACTCGAATAAGCAGCAATGGGAAAACTGGGCATTTCTTCAATGTGGGATTAGCTACTACAATCCCTTTATGGACAGAAAAAATAAACTGTACCCGTGAAGAGGACCTAATTCGACACACACAAGTCTGGCATATTGGACCTGCTCAGGAAATCGAAAGTGAACTATTTCAGAATCCACTAGTACCAAACTGACAGGCATTTGTATGCATAGTCTTATAAAATCTTCCTAACAACCTGTTAATGAAATTCTACCTTGAAATCCATCCACTTTTCTAAGGGCAATCCTACGTGGTCTAGGTTCTGTCACATCCTAGCTCTTAGACATGATCCATTTTGTTTCACTAATTGTTCCCCCCTAGTTTGTTGTCTTCTACTCTGCCTATAAACAGGCTTGAATTTGAAGATATGCCCTTTGCCCCTTCTCACTGGCCCACTCGTAAACAAAATAACTACTATTTGGAGACCTAATGTGTCCCAGACCATTTGTCTTTCATGCTTCTAATTTTCAGAAGAAACTTGGATGGTATTGGCCATTTTACAGATGAGGAAACTGGCAATTAAGAACACAAAGTCAAATAGGCAGGTGCAATTCACTTAAGTATGGCTCCAAATCCGTGCTGCTCTTAATCACACAAATGCTGCTTTATATATTATGTTCCTAATATGAACCAACAGTATTATTTCCGTTTTATAAATGAATAAATAGGCCAAGGAAGTTTAAATAACTGACTTAAGGTTATAGAGCCATGACGTAGCAACAAACGGGAATTAAGTGTAGGTCTGCCTGACCCCACACCTAGGCATTATTCACTATCCTGTGCTGCATTATGGATTCTGCACTCAGAACTCTAATAACTCTAGCAAACATGACTAACGACTTGTCACATCTGGGAGGGTCTCATTTAAACCTTCCCATACTCCACTTTTCTGTGTTGGACACTGCCAACCTCCTTACTCTTGAAATTAACTAGGTTTCCGTAAGACTGTTTTTGTGGCTCTATTTACCTCTCCAAACTCTGATCATTTTTTATCTGATCCTCAAGTCTAGGTGTTAAGCCTCTTGCTGTCCTTCCTCTTTTCACTTTGTAGCAAATGGTTTCCTTTCCTTCTCAATTTGCTGTTACTTGTCTCTTATGCTCAGGCCTTCCTCCTTTCTTTCCCAGGAGCATTCAATTCCTGCTCTCATCAAGTTATAGATTCTTTCATCAAGTAAAATTTGGGGCCTGGAATCAAAATGACCATATCATCATATGCAGGTGGATAAGGATGCCACCCCCATTAGGCTGGTTTTGTCCGATTTTTGTTTTCTTTTTCAAGACAGGGTCTCGCTGTCACCCCAGGCTGGAGTACAGTGGCACAGTCAGCTCACTCCAGCCTCAAACTCCTGGGCTCAAGCAATCCTTCCACCTTAGCTTCCAGAGTAGCTGGGACTATAGGCACCCACCACCATGTCCGGCTAATTTTTAATTTTTATGTAGAGATGGGGTTTTGCTTTGTTGCCCAGGCTGATGTCAATCTTCTGGCTTCAAGCAGTCTTCCTACTTCGACCTTCCAAAGTGCTGGGATTACAGATGTGCGCCAACGTGCCTAGCCAGATCTTTTGAAATGGTTTAAGTATGACTTTCATCATGGAAACTTTTGAGACTGATTTTTCAGTCAAACACACCATTGAAATGGATGCTTTTACCTTTCTGTTGGCAATCACTCTTGTTTAAGCAAAGAATGCTATTACTAAATTAGGAGAATTATTTCATTCAGGGTACATCATTGTTCTTAATGCAAGTTGGTTCATTAAGCACTTATCTGAAAGGGAAACAGGGGCCCTGCAAGAGATCCTTTTAGTAGTACCTTGTTTTTCATATAGTGCAAACAATGCTATCTGTTCTTCACTAGAGATGTAACAAAGCATATGATAATTTTTTCTCTTGACATGGAAATTCAATTCAAAAAACAAGATTTTAGCACCATGGCCATAGCCTGGAAAAAGTATTTTGGCTTAACCAGTGAATAAAATTCAGAAACAAAAGACAAAGAATGAAGGCAGGTTCTAAGATTCTAATGCTGAAGAGGTCAAGGACTAGCTTTGACTAGTCCTTCTATTCCTATAGCACTGGCCTTCCCACGTTACAGGATCTAGCTGATCTATCTTATTGGCTGCAAAGGCCTGCTGCCCAGAAGGCTTTTAGTAATTGTTTACTGAATGAGGTAATGGTTTTGTCCAAGGAGAGTCATGTTAATCGTAGCATAAAACTTAAAGTTATTATAGTAATTGTCAATTACTCATCTTCATAGGCTAATTGTCAAATCTTTTCAACCAAATTTTTCTCCATTTCAAATCTTTTAAAACTCATGCTCTTTGAGAGTCAGAGTTTTGGGCTGGGCATGGTTGCTCACACCTGTAATCCCAGCACTTTAGGAGGCAGAGGTGGGAAGATCACTTGAGTACAGGAGTTTTAGACCAGCCTAGGCAACATAATGAGACCTTGTCTCTACAACAAATTAAGAAATTAGCCAGGCATGGTGGTGCCTGCCTGTAGTCCCAACTACTCAGGTGGCTGTGGATCACTTGAGCCCAGGAGGTCAAGGCTGCAGTGAGCTGTGATCGTGCCATTGCACTCCAGCCTGGGTGATAGAGCGAGAGACCCTGTCTGGAAAAAAAAGAGAATCTTGAAGCCCTTTGAGAGTCAGATTTTTAAAGCTGAAAAAGAACGAAACTGTCTGCCACTCCCTGATTAACTGTGAAACAGTTCTGCATTTCTGCAAATAGTAGAAGTTATTTTTAGGACTGAAATAATGACCTCACTTTCCCAGGCATGCAGGTTCAGCTGTTTTGATTGTGGGAAGGTCAGGAATGTCCAAAACTCAAACATGGACTCATGGTGAATCTCTGCATAAACAAATATCTTTCAATACACATTGCTGTGTTAAAGAAAAACTACATATAATAAAAAAAATACTGCATTATATTTCCAGCACTTTAAAACATAACATAAAAATCTCTCTTTGGTAGCATTCCACAGAACCTTTAAGCCAAAATGGTTTTTAAAAATATGACAAATTGAAATTATACTCAGTAACCTGGTCTAATTTTAAATGACCAGAAATTACAAAAGTTTAAATAAAGTGGAAATGTTGGCAGGTATGTCAACTTAAGGACTTAAAGCTATGGAAACTATCATATATGCAAATTCTACAGGAAATTATTTTAAAAATTGGAAGACAAAGTGCAGAAAACCTGATTAGGGCAGTTAAAATTGGATATCCTTGGGAGGAGGAGGAGGAATGGATAGTAGAGGAGATAGGATTGTTAGGAAAACTGGAGGAAGAGAAAGCTAACAACCATATCATTTTCTAGGATTTCCCTCATCTACCTTTCTTTGGGAGATACGACTGAAACCAACAAAAGCCAAGTTTGGTAAATAAGAAGTTTAAACAAGTAAGTATTTTATCATAAAGTTTAATTATGATTCAGAAAAAATCGAGCGAATAACTTTCTCTGAAAAAATATATTGACTCTGTATAGACCACAGTTATTGGGGGAGAAGGGCTGGTAGGTTAAATTATCCTATTTTTTATTCTGAAAATGATATTAATAGAAAGTCCCGTTTCCAGTCTGATTATAAAGATACATATGCCCAAAATGGCTGAGAATAAATACAACAGGAAATGCAAAAGCTGTAAAGCTAAGGGCATGCAAGAGAAAATCTCAGAATACCCAAAGTGGCAACAAGGAACGTTTGGCTGGAATTTGAAGTTATTTCAGTCATCTTTGTCTTTGGCTCCATGTTTCAGGATGCGTGTGAACTCGATGTAATTGAAATTCCCCTTTTTATCAATAGGTGCTTCTCTGTACAGCTCATCCACTTCCTCATCTGTAAACCGATCCCCCATGGTTGTCAGCAGCTCTCTCAAGTAATCTTCCTGTATGGTGCCTGGAGAATAAAGAACAAGGGATCAGAATACATACTATTCTGAGGGTTAATTACAAAGAATATCTATACTTGACTAAGCATGTTCTGTATGTTACAAACTATAAACATGCAAATATATGAACTACAGGGTGTCCACCTACTTAAAACAGCCTCAGCAGAGAAGTGCCTAGAAAAATGCCTAGCTGCTTAGCAGCACTGCTCCGCTCTATCATTTGCTCTATCATTCTGCCTCCACATTCAGCTTCTGATCTCTTGATAAGAGAGACTAAACCTATGCCTAAACAAAGTAATAAAAAGTATGGTTAAAGAATCTAAGCCTTACGGTTCCTTCAAGTGGCATGAATGGTCACATCTTATTCTACAAACAAGTAACATTTACCTGCCAGGCTAAAATCAACACTACATCATACACATCAATAAAGTGGTACAGTGGAAAGAATACCGGAAGCTTGAGGCCCAGTTTTAAGAAGCTATTTTATTTCAGGCATTTCACTTCATCCCTGACTTTGGTTTTCTCAGATGTAAAATGAGATTTTTACTGTTTACAAATCCAATTATTGTAATAAATATGGCCAGTCCCAGCACATGCAAAAACATGGAATAAATATTTGAGCACTAACTATGTGGCAGGCACTGTGCTGGGCAGTGGGGATGTGCAGTGGTAAGCTGAAAGGTGTGTGCTCTTTACTTTGGGAATTTGATACCAGGGTTCTCATAAAACCTGCCTGCCTACAAGAATCTGATGTCACCCGATTTATTTTCTGGTATTGGTATTTTTAAGATTTCCCAAATAACTGGCATGCACATGTGGGGAGCCTTGAAAGCCACAGACCATGCTTCCATCAGCAGGCCCTGGCAACCACCCAGTATTTAAACTCGTCCCACTAATGGAGGCAACCAAAGATTGTGCCTTCCTTCACTAAACACACTTGGCTACGCCATGTTGAGCTGGGAATCACGGAAAATATTCCCTCATTATGTTTTCTCTTACATACACTTCTGCCAAAGGATCAGGCCCCTATATAGATAACATTTTGTTTTTTTGAGAGTTAACTCTGTGCCACACAGTATGCTAAGTACTTCATGTACATCTCACTTCTTCACTTAATTCTCACAACAACCCTATGAGGTAGGTAATACTGCTCATTTTACAAATAAGAAAACAGAGGCTTAGAGAAAGTTAAGCAACTTGCCCCAAATTATACAGCTATTATGTGGAAGAGGAATTTGAAGCCAGATAGTCTAATTCCAGACCCTAAGTTCTACTGGGTGTATTTTAAAATAAAGGTTAGATGTCAGATTTAAACAATTTGAGAGCTGACAGATACCTGGTAAACATATACAGGATTGTAGTGGTGCATGGCCTATAACAATTTATACTTCATCAAGATTATTCTGGTAAAAGTTTTTTATTCAATACATATTTTCTGAGAGCCTAACCCTTGTGGAGTTAACATGGTAGGAAAGGGGTAATATAAGCTTCCCAATGAGGTTTCAAATACAACCTATTCATTGTAAACTACTACTTAGGGCAGAAGCAGCAAAGTGAGTGACAAACATGCCAAGAGAACTCTGTCTAAAAAAATAGGTGTAGTACAAACCTGAGAGCGTTATCATATTTTAAGTTACTGTATATTTTAGTTACCATAACTAAAAATTAAATCACTTTATAATTAAAGGTTACCTCTCACTTACCAGTTGCTTCTTCATCAAAGCAAGCAAAGGCATTTCTGATGACATCTTCAGGATCTGTGCCATTTAACTTCTCACCAAACATGGTGAGGAACATGGTGAAATTGATGGGGCCTGGAGCCTCATTCATCATGGCATCTAGATACTCATCAGTTGGATTCTTCCCTAAATTTTTAAAAGGGGTCATAATTTTAATTACATTACAATACATATCAACTATTAATGACAGTAAACATTTTGGTAACAAAGATTATCATTCATACAGTTTACTGTTTGCACTCATGAGAGTGAAACTATTTGGGGGGAAAGTTTTCTTAATGAATAGGGCCTATTAAAGAGTCTGGAAAGTATATGATAGTCCATTGGAATGTCAGAAGGAATAATACTGCTTCCATAATCAAGATCAGTGTTTTTATACACACACACACACACACGAACCCCAACCCAATCCTAAGACAGGGTCACGAATCTGCTGGTGATCCGGTGGGAAACACTGTTCCACACTTTACTCAAACCTTAGTAGACTCATTAGACAGGCTTTACAGAGCTTTAAGACTCATGAAATCAAGATGAAAGGCACCATGGAAATTCTATCCAATAGATTAATATTTAAACTGAGCATTACCCAATGAAGCAAGCATATCATGCAAATCTTCCTTGTCGATGAAACCATCTCTGTTCTGATCAATCATGTTGAAGGCCTCTTTGAACTCCTGAATCTGTGACTGGTCAAACATAGCAAACACATTGGATGTTGCACGCTGAGGGCGCTTCTTGGTCTTGGTCTTTGTTCTTTTGCTCGACATGGTGGTGGTTAAGTCCTAATTAGGAAAGGAAATACAATAAAAACCAAATCAACATCTAAGATTACTTAAGTTTGAATCAAAACAATGATTAACAAAAGTACACAGAACCAACTTTCCTGATATGTTTGAGCTACTCAGAAATGTGTCTTTAGAAGACACATCTCAACAAGATTACATATGTCCTGTACTGCTATATAACTAACAACAGCTGATAACCAAATCTGCTGATTTGATAACAATAAAAAACCAAGAAGCAAAAAAAATTAGGTACTTAGGAAACTCCCAAGTTCTATACTTCAGCAGTATAGGGGTGCTGAGGGATACTAATTCATCTTCAGTAGGTCCCTGCTTTGCAGCCTTAGCCTAAACTGGCTATTCCATAGTACGGTGGACAGAAAGGTGAAGAATAGTAAGAATGACTAACTGATGGAACAGGTCTTCATCTCCTAATCTCTATTGACAAATATTGTTAAAGCTTTCACTTTCAACTAACATTTTTTATTGTACCCTCACCACTAGGCAAAAGTAGTTCAAAAAAACTATTTGTTGAAAGGCTAATAGTAAAGTATAAAAAAACTGAAGGGAATTCATCTATAGTTTTTATAGACATTGCACTCTATCCAAACCAGTTTCTTGCATTACAGTCACACTAAATCACTGGAAGTATCTAAGATCTCTAAACAGAAATCAGAGCACAAGCTTTTAAAATAATTTTAAAAGTTTTAGAAAACATCTTAAACGTAGAAACTACCTTTGCTCTCTTACCTAAATTTATCCCGGTAAAATTTAAGTTAAAATTAAAAAGAATGTCTAATAATACCTAAAATAAAAAGGCAATTTTCAATACTCAATCTGTTAAAAACTACAAAAATTTGTTTCAAGTTAAAAATCTCAGTCATCAGACAATAAAATTCTACCATACCATCCTTCAGAGTTGCAGGGAAGATGGTAGTCTGCAAAACCGCTCAGCAGCAAAAGTAAGACACTGCATTGAGTTATATTCTTCCAAGCAGGTCTAAAATAGGCACTACTGATTTCACTCTGACCAGGATAACAATTTTAAAGCTTACGTTCTGAAAACAACATTTAGCTATGATCTGGCAAAACACTATGCCATTGGTCTAAAAATAAGTCTGTGGACTGCAAAGAATGAACTACCACCTAGATCTCAGCACTCCAAAGTGACCCTAAGAATGTGTTTCCGATGTGTTTAAAAAGTAATTTCTTACATTCTTTCCTTGATTATAACCATATCGTCCAGACTAAATACAATTATGGAATGATTAGAAAAGCTCTGCCTCAAATTTTTTAAAGCTAAATCTGTTTTCAGATTTTAATAGGAAATTCCACAAAGGATAGTCACAAATTCCAGCCCATCCAATACAGCACCGTATGGCAACTGGAATATATTGTTGAAAAGATATATCCTACATAGCACAGAAGTTATGATATATATGCTGTTCCCAAATTTCCTAGAATTCTTTAATCAACTTTTAGGATGCTGCCTTTCATGACTTAAAACTATTCATAAATGCATATTTTCATTCTATAACACCTTTGGGGGTAGTAAATCCCATTCACATCTAAACTACATGAGGATGTACTTTCCTCGTCTGTTATAAATGCTGTCTTTAAAAAATACAAAGAGATATAGAATATATTATTCCTCCAATTCTTAAATGTACGCAAGGACTTGGAGCAAGAGGTTGAAACCCAATGAGTGACACGTTTACCAGTCCATATCGCTTTAATATTTTAGGCATGTCACGCCTTTGCAAGCCAAAGCACATCTTTAAAAATAGTCTGTTTTGTGTGACAACATTGTCTTTCCCTAATGATGCAGAAATGTCAGCTATTTTAAGAACAAAGAAACTGATGAGGTCAAACGGCTGACACATCTGATTTTTTAATCTATTATATAAAATCTCATATAACTAAATTTACGAGGGTCCTCTAGATACATTTTCAAAATGCTTAGTTTTGGTTGTAAAGTAGTATGTTTTCTGAATTCTGATATATTTCCTATTCTTTTAATCACGCACTTTTTTGAATTGTAAATGTATTATAAAATAGATTTTTAAAGTAAAAAAGCTTTTTTTTTTTTTTGGGTCAGCACTGACAATGGCCTCATATAGAGCTCTTCTTCAGCACATTCAATACTTAATCTTATCAATTTTATTAT
Source organism: Homo sapiens (assembly GCF_000001405.40). NCBI lineage: Eukaryota > Metazoa > Chordata > Mammalia > Primates > Hominidae > Homo > Homo sapiens. The sequence goes on along the minus strand of NC_000018.10, from coordinate 3,251,065 downwards.
GAAGTTAATTAAACTAATATGTATCAAACGTCATATTAATTATGTTGAATACTAGCTAAGAGTTAAGAAATGTAAGGCATGTGTCCTATCTTCAAGGAGCTTAATATAGTTGGGGAGGCAACTATAAAGAAATGAGATGATTGGTTCAACTTATGAAATGAGTCATAGTTTTCATTCCAGAAGTATGACTCTAAACTTAAAACGTGTGACAATAATGAAAAATAATTCCTAACATGGTACATAATTATCAAATGCTGTGAGTTCAGAAAAGATGTTTCTGAGTAATTAAGGGATTGGGGAGGAGGAAGACCTTGAAAAACCCCGTGTGGGATCATTTAGAAGCTACAAAGCATTGTTAGAATGAAGAGATTCGGCTGTTAGTCTCAATTCTAACAAATTAAGGTAGTTAATTCTATCAAAAACTGGCAGTGTAATGTTGAGGAAGTTACTACCTAGGCCTTTACTTTTTCAAGGAGGCTGGATTCTGATCTATGAGTTATTTTCCACCAGAAACCTTTCAGCGATAGGGAGTTTGGCTGCACAGTCACTGTTCCAAAATACAGAAACTGTGGGGTTTTTTCCCTACCAAACTAAAAGTGTGGGGAGAATAAATAATGGTGGAGGGAGTCAAATCAGGAACAGTGCTATGATCTCAAGGAGCAGATCATTTCTGATATTGTCAGGGTCCTCTTTGCTGATTCTAGTTTGTTGTTCATTTTACTTTCCTTCAAACAATTTAGACTGTCACTCTTCATGTAATAAGCCTTCAGCAAATGCACAACTCTCATCGAAGTTTAGAAAACTAGGGTATACCCCTTAATCTAAAAAAGTTGAAATTGCTTTATTATTATACTTTAAGTTTTAGGGTACATGTGCACAACGTGCAGGTTACATATGTATACATGTGCCATGTTGGTGTGCTGCACCCATTAACTCGTCATTTAACATTAGGTATATCTCCTAATGCTATCCCTCCCCCCTCCCCCCTGAAATTGCTTTTTACAAAAAGCAAGCTAGGGTAAAATAAATTGAAAAGATTTCATGTCAATGTAATTATTCTTTAGGATGCAAAGATCGCCAGGTAAGGACCTGAGGTTTCCAAATTACGAAGCTCCTCAATCATAAAGTCGAGTCTTTATTTACTTATTTATTTTTATTTATTTATTTTTGAGACGGAGTCTTGCTCTGTCGCCCAGGGTGGAGTGCAGTGGCGCGATCTCAACCTCCACCTCCAGGGTTCAAGCAATTCTCTGCCTCAGCCTCTGGAGTAGCTGGGATTACAGGCACCCACCACCATGCCCAGCTAATTTTTGTATTTTTAGTAGAGACGGGGTTTCACCACCTTGTGCAGGCTGGTCTTGAACTCCTGACTTCGTGATCCACCTGCCTCGGCCTCCCAAAGTGCTGGAATTACAGGCGTGAGCCACCGCACCCAGCTCGAGTCTTTATTTTTGAGGGATTAAGTGAAAGATCCTTGGTGTCAAGGAGTGTCTGTTGTACGAAACTGGAAAGTAGAGAGACTTACAGAACAGGCTTCTACAAAATATGAGGATTTCAGATGCATGAGAAAGTGGATGAAGGGCAGTTAGGAGACTGAGTTTACAGATCTAAAGGAGCATAACCTTTTTTTTAAGTCAGGCGAGGTGAGCGCTGGTGGCAATGAATCTGGTTTTTATTTTGTGTTTTAGCTCAGAATCATTGTGGGCTGTAACGAGAGATACACAACATGATTAAGGAAAATGTTAGACTAGATTAATAGGTGGGAGAAATAGAAGAGATTCTCAAAGTGGCTTTCCCCACACACCAAAGGACACAAGAAGTTTTCAGAATCTCTAGAAACTATGTTCATTTATAAAATGGGATTAATCCATACCAATATATACATTAGAGTTCTGTGGTTAGAATCCTAGAGTCCAGCATTTATTTACAAAGTGGCAATAAATGTAAAATAACCTAGAAACTTCTTCTACAAAACGAACACTCAAATTGATAATATTCTGAGAAATATCACACATTCTGCAAGAAAAAACCACCATCTTACAAAACACTGCGTACTGTGATAGCACCTAGTATTTGGTGGGCTTTCTAAACCCTGACCAAATATACCGCCTCATTTAATCAATGCACTTAAAAAAAAAAAGCCTAAGTATAACTTATTTTCTGGTGCTAACCACAATTTTTAAAAAGTGTATTTCAAGTTGGTGCTTCCGTTCCAAGTAAACCAAGTTTCATTTCTTATGCAAACTTCCGGTTGAAGGTAGGATTCGTTCTCTTGGACTGCCACACCCAAAAGTTCTCACCACTGGACAAAGACAATTAGCTGTGAGGGCTGACTTGCCAGTAAAGCCTCGCTTTTGAAAATAGAGTGCTTTTCTGATTACCGTTTATTAGAGCCCTTCCAGAACATGAAACAAATACCAATAATTTTAAGAAATATTCGCTTTATTCGCCTTTAAATATGAAACTTTTTGCACTTAAGTTAAAATCTCTGCTAAATCCATAGGTCTCTCAAGAACTGACAGATACATTCATATACCTACTAAACTACTTTAAAAAGAAGACACTTCCATGGCGAATTGAATTAGCCCAAACTTTCCCCCCAAATGGGACAAGGTATTACATTTTGGAGTTTTTCTTCGAGTCACAAACTAAACTCCAGATCTCTCTGTCCAAAATTTCATCGCTTAAAGAAAAAAAGTTCTAATTACAGGAGCGGATACTGAGCTGAAGAACTTCCCAATTTGAGTTGGTTATTCCTACTAAACGCAGCCACACAGCTGCAACAACAGCTGCAGCAGGGGGACAACGGGCTACGTTTTTGCGCAAACCCTCTTGAATCGGGCAAGTTGACGTTAGAAACTAAAATAGTCCCGGAGTCAGCTCTGCAGGGGTCGGGTTTCGCGGGCCCGGCAGTCGCCCAAGCTCAAGGCGCCAGTGAGCGAAGCCACATTTCCAGAGTTCCAAGTTTGGGCACAGGAGCGAAGTTCGGGTCTGGGCCACTCCAAGCCATGGCCTCGGATCCCAGAACCGGGGACCTGGCTGGCACACCTGCCCAGGTGCGCTACCGGCGCCAGGAGCCCCGCCGCCCTCCAGCTGCCCCCGCGGAGACGGGTCCCCGGGATGGGTCTCACGCGCCCGAACGCGAGCGCCACTCACCCGGCACAGCTACGAGAATCCGAGCACCTCTCCGAGCCCCTCGCTGCCGCTATCACACCACCCTGCTACCCAGAGAGCCGCTAAAAACCACCGCTTCCGGCCTCTGCTTAGCAAGCCGGAAGGAAGCCCGGTCACCTTTCTTGGCCCGCAGAGTGGGTCTGACTTCACGGAGGGGCGACAGAGAGGGAAGTCGCCAGTGTGGTCAGCGGGCGTGGTATTGACCAAGTGCATGAGAAGGAAGTGTAAAGTGGGCGACCTAGAATATAGAGCAATATATAATGGTCCTCTGGGTCCTGTTACTGAGTTTCCTTCTTTTTTGTACCTGTTGTTGCAGTGTTAAGTCTTCCTCCCCCCTATCCTTTCCGCAGATGGTTGCGTCCGTCCTGTGGCTTTGCCTGGCCGCACATTCCAGGGCACGGCGAAGGGCGGGGCCCGTCGGCCCAAGTCCTTGTAGGGAAATCGAGGAGAGGGCTGCGGGCCCACGTGACTGACCCTCGCCCCGCCCCGAAGCCGGGCTCCAGCTTGTGGGCGGTAGTGCGCCTGCGCTTGACGCCCCGCGCGGGGTCTGGGTCTCCGCCTGAGGGCCCCGGAGCAGTGCGCGTATCCCGGGAGCGGATCTTGATGCTAGCTCTGTGTGCAGTGTAATTTTATTAAGAGTCCCGCCCCCTCCATACGGGAGGAAACGTGTGTCCCTGGGGCCCTCAGCCAAGCCTCCACTATCTTTTTGGCCCAGACGGATTTCCCAGGTCACAAGTGGCTGGAGACTTCCTCTTGAAAAACATTTGCCGTCGTTTTTCCCTGGCAGAGCCCCTTTGACCCTGGCTAACAAGGACAGCCTGACTTGGATCCCACTATGCAGGAAGGAAGGCGACTCTTCCCCGCACCTCTTGCTACGATTAGGACTTGCGACTTGGTGAAAACAGGAATCAAAACTTGGGCCTATTTCTCCTGAGGTCTGCTTGCCTAGAACAATTCGTAACGATGAATCTTATTAAAAAGAGAAAGTCCTCCCCGACTTTATCTTTTTCCGCCCAGAATCCGATAAGGAAGACTTGTTCTGGCCCCCTCAGCTCTCTGACCTCACCTACCAGAGGAGAGAGTGGGATCCTCTAACACTCGAGCCGTCATCCCAGCACTAGGGGACAGTGACCAGTGTGGCTCCCGTGGCCAGAACCCTTCTGAAGTTTGGGTTGCCCTGTGGTCTTCGCCTTCAAAGCAGGCCGCCACTTGAATCCTTCTGGAACGGACAGTGTTGCTGTAAACGCCGCGGAATAGTATCTTCTAAGTATTCGTAGCTTCTTTCTTGAGGGATCTCGGGAACGTTCCGTGTATTAACCACTAACGTATTCCAAAGTTAACTTCGTGGTAAAGTCGCTGGGGAAAAAAATAACTGCTCCAGTTCCACAGGTGATTGAAACAAAAGTGATCTGTTTCCCAAACTTCCTTGATGGTAAAGAATGACTTGGGGTACTAATTAAAAATAAAAATAATTGCGTCATTTCCAACCTACTAAATCGGAGTCTTTAAGGGCAGGTCCTGGGAAGCCATCCATGTAATGGGGGTCCTAAGTGGGCTCTTATCGGCGAGGGCGGGGACTCAGCGAGAGGGCTGGCAGCGACGGGACAAACCCCAGACGGCTGCGCGGATGCGTTTGTTCCTGGAGCTTGCGAGCACTTGCAATGCATGGACACCTCCACAGGGTGGTGGCCTGCCACCACGAGAGCACCAGCTCCGCCAGCGTCCTCTCCAGAGGACACTTTAGAGCAGAAAGAAACGGACAGTTCAGTCTTCCCCTCAGCTTGAAGGCAGCATTCTTTTGCTTCTCTTTGAGTCAGGTAATTGTTTTGTCTTCCTTCCACTCAGTCAGCAGGTATTAAACAGCAACCGCATTGCCAAGCACTGTGGTGGGGGCTGTGGCTTATGCTTTCCGGAGCAGAACATAGTTGTTGCTACCTTGGGGATGGGGGCGGGAGGAATAGAAAAAATGCGGAGTTAGCGGAGTATCAGGGAACAAGGGTGGAACAGATATAATAATTGCAGTACAGTTAGTTAGGGCCTATTGAAGGAGCACAAACGAAGCGTAAACTTGTCTGGGAACTAGTGGAAGGTGTCCCCCAGGGGATGTTAAAGAGCTAATTCTAGAATTAATTCAGTGGGGAAAGAAAAGGAGAGGGAGATGCCAGGCAGAGGGAGCAGCATGCCTGATTGTCTGGAGGTGATCAGAGGGCCTGGCTGATTGAAGATGAACAGGAATTGTGTAGTCTGTGTTCATTCATTCATTTATTCATTCCACAACTATGGATTTAAAAACGGTTAGTCAACCAATGTGGAAAAATAGCATCTCGATAAAATGTTCTTCAAATGTCCACCTAGTATTTTGATACTCAGTTTTCATGACTGGACCCACCATCAAAGGCCTCTGACTCTGATATTTCTATCCTTTGGACCCTATGGGAGATCTTTGCCTCCATGTGATAATCTCCTTCTCACGTTTTTACTAAAAGTTTGGAGACTTGAATTCTGCTCCAAATAGAGTGAAACAGGGTCTTGCTCTATTGCCCAGGCTGGAGTGCTGTGTTCTATCACAGCTCACTGCAGCCTCCATCTCCCAGGCTCAAGCCATCCTCCCTCAATCTTTTGACCAATACTCATAGTAAGAAATTTATTTCACTAAGAAATACTTGACTACCTATAATGTTTTTCAAGGATTTCTATTCTGTTCTTTTCAATTCTGTTATTAGTCTGCTTTAGCTGCCATACAAAATACTACACACTGGGCGGCTTAAACAACAGAAATTTATTTCTTATACTTCTGGAGGCCGGGAAGTCCAAGATCAAAGTGCTGGCCAATTCGATTGAAGGCCCTCATCCTGACTTGCAGATAGTCAGTCGCCTTCTCCCTGTGTTCTCATGTGGCAGAGAGATCTCACTCTCTTCCTCTTTTTTTTTTTTCCTTTTTAAATTTTTTTTTTTGTATTTTTATTTTTTTACTTTTATTTACTTATTTTTTTGAGATGGAGTCTCACTCTGTCGCCCAGGCTGGAGTGCAGTGGCACGATCTCAGCTCACTGCAACCTCTGCCTCCTAGGTTCAGGTGATTCTTGTGCCTCAGCCTCCCAAGTAGCTGGGATTACAGGCATGTGCCACCACGCCTGGCTAATTTTTTTTTTTTTTTTGTATTTTAGTAGAGACGGTTTCACCATGTTGGCCAGGCTGGTTGCCAACTCCTGACCTCAGGTGATCCACCCGCCTCAGCCTCCCAAAGTGCTTGGATTACAGGCATGAGACGCCACACCTGGCCTCTTTTTTTGTACTTTTAGTAGAGACAGAGTTTCACCATGTTGGCCAGGCTGGTCTCAAACTCCTGACATCAAGTGATCTGCCCGTCTGTGCCTCCCAAATGGCTGGGATCTCTTCCTCTTATGAGCCTTCAGTGTTAATGGAATTAGGGCCGACCGTTATGACTTCATTTAACCTTAATTATATTTTAATTATATCTCCAGATACAGTCACACTGGGGGTTAGGCCTTCAACATATGAATTTGGCAGGGAGGGGACACACAATTCAGTCCATAGCAAATTCTATGTCATTTAATTTTTAGAATACCTCTCAAGGCCCACTAAATGTGAGCTTATGATCCACTATTGCAGTGGTTCTCAATAGTGGAGGAGTGGTGGTTGGGTTTTGCCCTGAAGGAACATTTGGCGATGTCTGGAGAGACAGTTTTGCTTTTCACAAACGGGACAGATACTGCATCTAGTGGGGAGAAGCCAGGGACGCTGCGAAACATCCTACTATGCACAGGACGGCCCTCGACAACAGAACGTTATTCAGCCCAAAAAGTCAGTAGTGCTTAGGTTGAGAAAACCCAGCACTAATCATTTGGAAACTCAATATTTATAGCAATCAATTATTTCGGGAGTACTATAATTTCTACAAGGTCACTATCCATTGCTCCTGCCTCAGAGTAAGGTGGTGGTGTTTTTTTTCCCCAAGTGAGATCTAAAGGGAGAAAAAAATGGAATGGACAGTTATTATTATCTGTGCCTATTATGTGCTAGGTATTCTATATAAACATTTCTAATATATAATTCTTACAACAACCCTGTGAGATAGACATTATTACCTCCGTTTCATTGATTGGGACACAAGCTCAAATACTTGAATGATCTGCACAGGTTTCCCAAAAGGTAATGAAAGAACCTGGGTTATAAATCCTGTCTCTGATTGTCCGGGGGTAGAATAGAAAGGAAAACAGTAAATATGTGGATATTTATCCACATATCTCTAACTCCTAATACAATGCCTAATATCCACAGGTGCCGGTAAATACATGGTAACTGGTCAATTGTTCAAGTGCACATAGCTAGTAAGTGGCCCAGCCCGAAGCCCATATTTTATTTTACTGTACTGTGCTTTCTCCTTTGGTCCAAAGTAGGAAAATTTCGTTACCCAAACAACAGCAAGGAAGCATAGCAGAATGGATCCTTGGTATTTACAACCTAAGTCAATGATTTTATATGGATCACTTGCAATTTTTATTGCATGTAAGAAACTATTGAATGTTAAGGGACATGGCTTACATTCTGGTTTTGCCTACATACATGGAATTCTAATTCTTCATACATGAAATATTTATGATGTAACAATTAGCATTAATCCTTTAATTCAGGAAAACAGTAGGAGGAGCTCCTTTCTTTTAAATGAATAAGCGTTTACATAAATCTGTATAATAATTAATTTTAGAGCACCAAAACTACAAATAATATATTACAAAGATATAGAAGATTCTACATATATAAAGAATTGCTTTTTAAAAAACTTTAGTCAGAATTATCATTAAAGTCAGGGATGATAAATGAGATAAAAAATTATGTGAAATTGAATTAAGGGTATTTGGGGATACTTATTACTTCCATACTAGAAAATTTGAAAAAATAAGTTAAATAGATACATGCTTAGAAAAATTAAAATACTAAATGAGATGTAAGAACAGAGAATATGAATAAAGCAAACAAAAAAAGGAATAAGGATTATATAGATAATAAATTATCTGGCAGTATTAGTCTGTTTTCATTCTGCTGATAAAGACATACCCGAGGTCAGGCGCAGAGGCTCATGCCTGTAATCCCAGCACTTTGGGAGGCCAAAGTGACTGGATCGCTTGAGGTCAGGAGTTCGAGACTAGCCTGGCCAACATGGTGAAACCCCATCTCTACTAAAAATACAAAAATTAACTGGGCGTGGTGGTGCGTGCCTGTAATTCCAGCTACTCGGGAGGCTGAGGTTGGAGAATCACTTGAACCTGAGAGACGGAGGTTGCAGTGAGCCGAGATCATGCCGCTGCCCTCAAGCCTGGGCTACAGAGCAAGACTCCATCTCAGAAAAGAAAAAAAGACATACCTGAGACTGGGTAATTTACAAAAGAAAGAGGTTTAATGGACTTACAGTTCCATGTGGCTGGGGAGGCTTCACAATCATTGCGGAAGATGAAAGTCACATCTCACATGGTGGCAGAGAAGAGCTTATGCAGGGAAACTCTCCTTTTTAAAGCCATCAGATCTCATGAGACTTATTAACTATCATGAGAATAGCACAGGAAAGAACTGCCCCCATGATTCAATTACCTCCCACTGGGTCCGTCCCACAACACGTGGGAATTTAAGATGAGATTTGGGTGGGGACACAGAGCCAAGCCGTATCCTTCCACCCTGGCCCCTCCTAAATCTCATGTCCTCACTTTTCAAAACCAATCATGCCTTCCCAGCAGCCCCCCAAAGTGTTATTTCAGCATTAACTCAGAAGTCCACAGTCCAAAATCTCATCTGAGTCAAGGCAAGTCCCTTGCACCTGTGAGCCTGTAAAATTAAAAGCAAGTTAGTTACTTCCTAGATACAAGGGGGGTACAGGCATTGGGTAAATATAGCCATTCCAAATAGGAGAAATTGGCCAAAACAAAGGGACTACAGGCTCCAAGCAAGTCCAAAATCCAGCAGGGCAGTCAAATCTTAAAGCTCCAAAATGATCTCCTTTGACTCCATGTCTCACATCCAGGTCACGCTGATGTAAGAGGTGGGTTCCCACGGTCTTGGGAAGCTCTGCTCCTGTGGCTTTGCAGGGTACAGCCTCCCTCCTGGCTGCTTTCCCAGGCTGACGCTGAGTGTCTGTTGCTTTCCAGGCACACAGTGCAAGTTGTCGGTGTATCCATCACTCTGTGGTCTGGAGGACAGTGGTCCTCTTCTCACAGCTCCACTGAGTGGGGCCCCAGTAGGGAGTCTGTGTTGGGTCTCCCACCCCACATTTCCTTTCTGCACTGCCCTAGCAGAGGTTCTCCATGAGGGCCCCGCCCCTGCAGCAAACTTCTGCTTGGGCATCCAGGTGTTTCCATACAACCTCTGAAATCTAGGTGGAGTTTCCCAAACCCCAATTTTTGACTTCTGTGCACTGCAGGCCCAACACCATGTGGAAGCTGCCAAGGCTTGGGTCTTGCACCCTTTGAGGCCACGGCCCGAGCTGTACCTTGGCCCCTTTCAGCCATGGCTGGAGCAGCTGGGATGCAGGGCACCAAGTCCCTAGGCTGCCTGCAGCATAGGGACCCTGGACCTGGCCCATGAAATCACTTTTTCCTCCTTGGCCTCCAGTCCTGTGATGGGAGGGGCTGCCATGAAGACCTCTGAGATGCCCTGGAAATATTTTCCCCATTGTCTTGGGATTAACATTCACCTCCTCGTTACTTATTCAAATTTCTGCAACCGGCTTAAATTTCTCCTCAGAAAATGGAATTTTCTTTTCTATTGCATTTTCAGGCTGCAAATTTTCCAGACTTTCATGCTCTGCTTCCCTTACAAAACTGAATGCCTTTAACAGCACCAAGTCATCTCCTAAATTCTTTGCTGCTTAGAAATTTCTTCTGCCAGATACCCTAAATCATCTCTCTCAAGTTCGGAGTTCCACAAATCTCTATGGCAGGGGCGAAATGTCACCAGTCTCTTTGCTAAAACATAGCAAGAGTCACCTTTACTCCAGTTCCCAACAAGTTCCTCATCTCCATCTGAGACCACCTCAACCTGGATTTCATTGTCACTATCAGTATCAGCATTTTGGGCAAAGCCATTCAACTAGTCTCTAGGAAGTTCCAAACTTTTCCACATTTTCCTCTCTTCTTCTGAGCCCTCCAAACTGTTCCAGCCTCTGTGTGTTACCTAGTTACAAAGTCACTTCCACATTTTTGGGTATCTTTTCAGCAGCGCCCACTCTACTGGTACCAATTTGCTATATTAATCCATTTTTATGCTACTGATAAAGACATACCTGATACTGGGCAATTTAAAAAAGAATGAGGTTTAGTGGACTTACATTTCCATGTGGCTGAGGAGGCCTCACAATTATGGCAGAAGATGAAAGGCATGTCTACATGGTGGCAGACAAGAGAAGAAAAACTTGTGCAGGGAAACTCTCCTTTTTAAAACCATCAGATCTCGTCAGAGTTATTCACTATCATGAGAACAGCACGGGAAAGACCTGCCCCCATGATTCAGTTACCTCCCACCGGATCCCTCCCACAACATGTGGGAATTCAGGATGAGATTTGGGTGGGGACACAGCCAAACCATATCACTGGCTCTGATAGTTAACTGGAGAAATGCTGTTTTAACTGTTAAAAGACAAAGATTCCTGATATCTAAGCTGTTTTGAAGTATATAGCCTAACATAGTGATACTATAATAGTTCGTTAATGAATAAACGTAGTGATTAAATTACATTTACTAAATTAATCTTATGACACAAATATTATTTTTGAATCCCCGAAATAAAACTAATACCTAAAACAAAAATTATAGTCGATGCTTACTTTAGCCAATCTTTTAGTTTCCTCATCTGTAAAAGGGCATAATAATAGTGCCCACTTTATTCAGTGGTTGTGAGGATAAAGCACAATAATCCATGTAAATTTCTTAGGGAGAAATTTACTACTCTGACTAATAAATATATGAATTCTTTGTCCACTTGAGTGTAGGAAACAAGCTAAGTGGTTGCACTTTAAGTTAATGACCACAGACTTCAAGTGGGCCCTCGATGCCCACAACATTTCTCTAGTCTTTTCATGCTCCGCTCTCTCAATTTCTTTTTTTTTTTTTTTTTTTTTTTTTTTGAGACAAGGTGTTGCTGTGTCACCCAGGCCAGACTGCAGTGGTACCATCATGGCTCACTGCAGCCTTGGCCTCCTAAGGGTCAATCAGTCCTCCCACCTCAGCTTCCTGAGTAGCTAGGACTACAGGTGTACACCACTACACCTGGCTAATTTTTGTATTATTTGTAGAGACAGGATTTCTCCACGTTGCTCAGGCTTGGTCTTGAACTCCTGAGCTCTAGCTCTCTGCCTGCGTTGGCCTCAAAAGTGTTGAGATTACAGGCATGAGGCACCATCCCCTGGCCCATGCTCTTGTCTATTTGATGTCAGTTTTATAACTTTTGTCTCTTCACACCTCTAACACATTCTATTCTATCCTCACTCTCAGTTGACAACCTTGCTGCTAAGTCACTGAGAAGATAATGGCTCTCACGAGCCCCCACCACATTTACCCACCAGCCAACATCTGTCTTCATGCATTGTCCTCCCCCTCCTCTCCTGCTAACTAGAGAGGAACTCTCCTTGCTCCTATAGAAAGCCAGCTCCTCTGTTTTCTTGCTCATGCCACACCAGCAATTCTGCCCTCTCCTGCATCATCAAGTTCTCTCTGTTGGAGTATCCCCATCAACATGAATGCTGTAATGTACCCCGTATGTATAAGCAGACTAAGGACCCCCAAAAGATATCCCTGTCCTAATTCCCAGAACCTGTGATTGTGTTAGGTTACACAGCAGAGGAGAATCAAGGGAGAAGATGGAATGAGGTTAATAATGAGCTGATCTTAAAATACAGAGATTATCCTGTACTATCTGGGTATACCCAGCGTTGCCACAAGAGGTCTTGGAAGAAGAGGGAGGCAGAAGAAGACTGTTAGAGAAAGATGTGACTGTGGAAGAAGGGTCAAAGAGATACAATGTTGCTGGCCTTAAAGATGGAAGAAGGGGTCAGGAGCCAGGGAATGCAGGAAGCCTCTAGAAGCTGAAACAGGCTAGGAAACTGATTCTCCCCTAGAGCCTCAGGAAAGGAACACAGTCTCCCTGACAGCTTAATTTTAGCCTGGTGAGATCCACATTGGACTTCCAACCTACAAGATTGTAAGATGACTAAGTTGTGTTGTTTTAAGCCACTAAATTTGTGGTAATTTGTTACAGCAGCAATAAAAAACTAATGTACCGTATCACAAACAAACAACAAAAACTCGCTTCAGCTGTTGTCCTATTTTCTTGCTCCCTTATAGAAAACCCTTTAAATAAGTCACCAAGTCACCTGTACTCACTGGTTCTCGATGCCCCCACCCCCCCACCAATTTAGTAAAATGTACATAACATGAAATTTCCCATCTTCACCATGTTTATTGTATAGCTCAGTGCAGGGGTCCCCAACACCCCCTGCCTCCCCCCTCCCCCAGGTCGGAGGGAGTGATGCTTTGTCTGTACTTACAACTGCTCCCCATCGCTCACATTACTGCGTGAGCTCTGTCTGCTGTCAGATCGGCAGTGGCTTTAGATTCTCTTAGGAGCATGAGCCCTATTGTGAACTGTGCATTGCGAGGAATCTAGGTCATGTTCTCCTTTTGAGAATCTAATGCCTGATGATCTGTCACTGTCTCCCATCACCCCTGAGATGGGACCGTCCAGTTGTAGGAGAACAAGCCCAGGGCTCCCACTGATTCTACATTATGGTGAGTTGTATATGTATTTCATTATATATTACAATGTAATAATAACAGAAATAAGATGCACTATAAATGTAATGAGTTGAATCATTCTGAAATCATTGCCCCCCGACCGCCACCCCTGCCCCAGTCCCTGGAAATATCGTCTTCCTCGAAACTGATCCCTGGTGCCAAAAAGGTTGGGAACTAAAAGCTTAGTGGATTAAATATATTTGTAGTGTTATGCATCACCACCATCCAGCTCCATAACTCTTTGCATCTTGTAAAACTGAAATTCTATGACCATTAAACAATAACTCCCCATTCCTCCCTTCCCCCAGTAACCACCATTCTACTTTCTGTCTAGAATTCTGGCCACTCTAAGTATTTCATGTAAGTTATGGAATCATAAGAGTATTTGTCTTTTTGTGACTGGCTTATTTCACTTAGCATAATGTTCTTGAGGTTCACCGATGTTGTAACATGTCAGAATGTATTTCCTTTTTTTTTTTTTTTTTTTTTTTTGAGACGGAGTCTTGCACTGTTGCCCAGGCTGGAGTGCAGTGGTGTGATCTCGGCTCACTGCAAGCTCCACCTCCCGGGTTCACGCCATTCTCCTGCCTCAGCCTCCCAAGTAGCTGGGATTCCAGGTGCCCGCCACCACGCCCGGCTAATTTTTGTATTTTTAGTAGAGACTGGGTTTCACCTTGTTAGCCAGGATGGTCTTGATCTCCTGACCTCGTGATCCACCTGCCTCAGCCTCCCACCGTGCTGGGATTACAGGCGTGAGCCACCACACCCGGCCATGTCTTTCCTTTTTAAGGCTGAATGATATTCCACGATATGTATACACCACATTTTCCTTATCTGTTCATTTGTTGATGGACACTTGGGTTGCTTCTACATTTTAGCTATTGTGAGTAGTGCTGCTATGAACATGGGTATACAAACCCAATTCTCTCTTTATTTTAGTTTTTACTTTTTTCTTTCTCAGTGATCCTTTTCTGACCAATTATCTCTTGAATCTGCTATAATAAATCTTTTTTTTCTGACCACTCCATCAAATGTGTGCTCGTCAAGGTCACCAGTGACCTCTACATCCTCATAGCCAATTCACAGTTCTCAAATAGTATTAGAAAAGGTGCTCACTCCCTCACCTTTGAAATACCTTCTTCTCTGGCTTCCAGGATGCCACACTGTCCTGGTTTCTGCCTTCATTTGTGGTTACTCTTCAGTCTCCTTTGCCAATTCCTCCTAATTTCGCTAATCACATGGAGTAGCCTAGGATTCAGTGCTTGGATCTCTTCTCTTTTCTGTCAGCCGTCCTTTTGAGCTGACCTCATCCACTCTCATAGCTTTAAATACCACTTATACACCGATCACCAAGTGTGTATCTCTAGCCAAGACCTGTGACCTTTACTCCAGACTCACATATCTAACCTCTCACTTGACAGCTCCATGAGGATGTCTGTTGGGCATGTAAACCTTCACACTCCACAAATGATCTAATCTTACCTCCAAAACCTGCTCATCCTGTTTGTCTTCTCCATCCTTTAAGTTGCTCAGGCCGAAAACTTTGACTCACCTTTGCCACCTCTTTTTCTTTCCTGCCCCTCACTCAACTTTTCAGTCAATTCTGGTAGGATTTTCTGTCTTCTTTGTTCATAGATGTATCTCCATGGCCTAAAACCATAATTAGCACAAGCCTATTAGCAAAGTCCTTCAAAATATATCCAGAATTTTATTAAGTCTCACCACTTCTACTGCCACTATCCCAGTGCAAGTCATTTTCATCTCAAGCCTGGACTTTTGTTAAAGCCTCCTAAAGAGGTCTAAGTAGTTTTCTTACTTCCTTTTCTTCCTATAGTCTGTTCTCCACATAGCAGATAGAGTAATCCTTTAACTATAAACTAGAGCACATCATTGTTCTGCCTGACACCCTCCATGGTGAAGTGAAGTGTCCTACCACCTCTACTTACGTGACTATGCTGAGTGAAGTGTCCTACTTCACTCAGAGTAAAAGCCCAGTGCTTTACCATGGCCTGCAAGGCCCAATAACTCAGGTTCTGGGAACTTCCCCACCCTCTTCTCCTACTTCCTGCCCTCCCCAGTCTGCTCAGCCATATTGACATCCTAAATGTTTCTTGAACAAGTCACATAACTTTCCACCTCAAGACCTTTGCATTTGATGTTCCTGATTTCAATGCTCTTTCTTCAGATTCTTCACTACTCATGCCCTCAACTCTTTCGCATCTTCAAGAAGATACTACCATCTCAGTAAAGCCTTCTCTGGTCATTCCATTTTAAGTCTCCATCACCCAGCTTCCACCCACAGCGTTCCCCTCTCTCGGTTTATTTTTTCCATTGCACTTATTACTTCCAACACACCAGGCACTTTACTCATTTTGTTTACCATCTGTCTCCCCTACTAAGTTCCATGAAGAGGATCTTTTGGCTGCTTTGTTTACTAAAGTATCCCAAGGTCCAGAAGAGTAGTTGGCACATTATAGGCATTCAATGTATAAAGATGCATATTTGAATGAATGAATTGCTAGAAGGCAGAATATAAAGGGAAAATTTAGAAACATGAGGCCAACAAGGGAAGCAGGGACTGTGTCCTCAGTGACTTCTAAGCCATGTTTCAAAGGTCAGTGGGATGCCATGCATACATTTTAAGTATGGGATTAGTATGTTCAGAATCGTATTATTTAAAAAGCACTCTAGTAATAGTATGGAGGATTAGCAGAGGGTAAGTCTGGGAGAAGCTCAAGATTTCTGACAGATGGTAAGGCCACTCACTGAAGTAAGGAGGAGAAATAGTTTGGAGGGCAGAGTGTGGTAATGGTAGGAAATGACAGTTATCATTTGGGACATTTTGAGGTAATGGATTAGAAGTACTGAGGCCTTAACCCAAACACAGTACAAAGAGACAAAAAGAAAAAAATGTAGAAGTGCTGTCAAGAATCATGGAGGATGTATTGAGATGACATGGTATAAATTTGTGTATAGGAAAGCCAGAACAAGATAAAGTGAGAATGATGGAAAAAACAATATCAAAAGTATGTCGGGCCAGGCGCAGTGGCTTACACCTGTAATCCCAGTACTTTGGGAGGCTGAGGAGGGAGAACTGCTTGAGGCCAGGAGTTCGAGACCAGCCTGGGCAATCCAGCGTGAACCCCCATCTCTAAAAAAAAAAAAAATTTAAAGAGATAATGACAGAGTTTTCTGAAACTGAAAGAGAGACCAAATTTTTCATTCAAATGGAGAGTGTACTCTGACTATCAAGCAGGAAAAATAAAATATATAAAATCTGTAGTAAGTTCTATCACAATGAAGCTGCAGAACATGCAGGGTAAAAGGGAAATGGTAAAAGCTGCCAGAAAAAAAGGGAGTGTCTTCAATGGAACAATAATTAGGCTGGCAGCCTGCTTTCCTGTAGCAACCGTGCAAGCTGAAGGTGGCACAGCAATAGCTTCAAAATGCTGTGAGAATCGCCGCCCACTCCTCACTGTGTGTGGGCTGGGTGTGGCACGCTGGCAACTCTCCCCAAACGACTCTGGATGCTGGTGTCCCTAGAATCTCTTGGGTCTAAAGATTGATCTTCTTACCTCCTATAATTCCTGAGGTGGATAATTAACTAGGGGGTCACAAAATTAATTCCACAATCTTGTAACATGTCCTGTATAGATGTTTTGACAATGAACGTTTCCAGCTTTTGGGACAGCTCCCACAATTCTAAAATAATGGGAATGTCATGCTTAACATCCTAGTACGGTGAACAATGTTACATAATTTGGGATTTTCCTCTACTGTTTCCTGTATGTTTGACTTGCTTCCCAAACTGGCTTGTAAACATATATTACTTTTACATTAGCTAAGTAGAAGTTTTTCAATGTATACTTTTAACAATAATAATAAACATTATATTCTTCTTCTTCTTCTTTATTGAGCACGTCCTATGAGCCAAGCTCTCTGCAAAGTGTTTTATTCACATTATCTCTCATTAACATTAGCTGCAAGGTAATGACTGTCACCTCCATTTTACAGATGAGTGAGCTGAAGCTTAGCAAGGTTAGTGACCTGCCCAGGGTCATATTCTGGGTAAGAGGAAAAGGTAGGAATGTGACGCATGTCTGTATAACTTCAAAGCCTGACCTTTCAGCCTCTGTGCTATATTGATCTGTGAAACATACTAACTATTGATAAGAATGACTGTGTTAATAATTTGGAGTGGGAATATTTACTTGAAATGTTGACTTTTTTGTTGTTATTCTTCCCGGAAAAAGAGTCTGTATGGTCTCTTGCAGAATTTCCAGCAAGGCCTAATTCCACTGAAATCAGTGCCTCTACCAGCCACCTGTAGATGTATTATGGACTTTGATTGAGTTCTTCTTTCCTCTGGAGAAGGAATGGTAGATGAATCCGTGGACAGTTTCCATTCATATGACTTGTCAGCATTGAACACATAACACCTCTTTTTGCATTACCTCACAGAGTGTTGATTCAGTAAAGCATTAAAGCTGTGGGCTGGCAGTGCTACCCAGTAATCCCTGAAGGGCCAGAGAGCCATAGGTTAAGTTTGGAGGGGCTTTACCAGGGTCTATTATTCAGTGTCCTGCCATGTGCTACACAGTTCATTATTTGCTTGAGGAAAAAGAGCAAGCCCTGATAGTAAGCGGGTAAGGGGACATGCTTCCCAAGAGTAACTTACTCTGTTTGTACTCTCAATACCTTGCAGAGTGCTAGCCATGTCATGTGTGCTTAGTAAAACCTCAGTTAAATCTATAAACTTTAAGAACTTTGGAACAAAAGTAGTAGAAAAAGTAAGGGAGTTTTAGCAAGTGGGTAAATGATGAAAGTAATCCTGTGTTGAAACTCAACCAGATGAATGTTGTTACCAAACTTCTGTACGGTCCACTAGGTCCAAAAATAAATTTTTGTGGTACATAGGTAGTAGAAGTGGCCAGATTAGCCATAGACAGATCTTGTTTACATATAAAGGCACAATAAAAACTATTGTCCAAGGCAGGGGAGAACAATGCATAAAATCTTTAATATATCTATACTAGTTCTTACAGTAATTATTTCTATTATATGCTCTTTCCATTATAAAATGCTCATTAGGGTGCATGCCTTAGCATGACTTTAAAACACTACAAAGGAACAAAATTTCAAACCTCCAAATCAGATTGTACTACGTTTAAAAATAGGAAAATTGGCCAAGGAATGAAAAATATTAATAGAAATAAATTTAAAACTGCAGTGCTCAACACATGATTTTCCAATGGTGAAACATATTTATGTGAAATACAGTTGGAAAATAGATTATTAAAACTGAAAAATATAAACATATAATTAATTTCTTATAGCATATATCACAACTGCAGGTGAATTATAGGTAAGCATGGAACATAAAGCATAATAAGTTGAATAGAATTGTATAAGTATCCTTGTTGGGAAGAAGAGTAGACATTTTTAAAAATGGCTTTAACTAATGTATTATTAGAACACAATAAACTACACATATTTAAACTGTACCAAGTGACAAATTTTAATACATGTATACACTTGTGAAACCATCATCGCAATCAAGATAGTAACATACCCATCACCCCAGAGTGCTCTCGGGCTCCACTGTGACCCATTGCTCCCAAGTCTTCCCACCTGTCCCCTCTCCCAGACCCACACAACCACTGATCTGCTTTCTGTTACTATCATTTGCATGAATTTAAGTTTTTGACTAGTAAAGTGGTTATTGATTATATGACGGATGGTTCTACTTTTTTTTTTTTCCATGATGGAGTCTTACTCTGTTGCCCAGGCTGGAGTACAAGGGCACCATCTCGGCTCACTGCAAGCTCCGCCTCCAGGATTCAAGCAATTCTTGTGCCTCAGCCTCTCGAGTAGCTGGGATTACAGGAGTGTGCCACAACACCCCGCTAATTTTTGTATTTTTAGTTGAGACGGGGTTTTACCATGTTGGCCAGGCTGGTCTTGAACTCCTGACCTTAGGTGATCCGCCAGCCTCAGCCTCCCAAAGTGCTGGGATTACAGGTGTGAGTCGCTGCTCCTGGCCGGGTTCTACTTTTAAAAATTCAAAATATAATTAAAAAAAGCAAGGAAATAACTGAAATGGAAACTTTTTGTGGTAAATGACAAGTAAAAGCTTAATATCTACACTAGCAAACATTTAATAGAAAGAATATTTTATTTTGGCTTGTTTGATTGCAAGGAACAGGGACAGTCCAATTAACTAAAAAAAAAAAAAAAAAAAAAGGATGCGGCTGGGCGCAGTGGCTCATGCCTGTAATCCCAGCACTTTGGGAGGCCGAGGCTGGCAGATCACGAGGTCAAGAAATCGAGACCATCCTGGCCAACATGGTGAAACCCCGTCTCTACTAAAAATACAAAAATTAGCTGGGCGTGGTGGCACGCACCTGTAGTTAATTCCAGCTACTGGGGAGGCTGAGGCAGGAGAATTGCTTGAACCCGGGAGGCAGAGGTTGTAGCGAGCCAAGATCGCGCCATTGCACACCAGCCTGGGCAGCAAGAGTGAAATTCCGTCTAAAAAAAAAAAAAAAAAAAAAAAGGATGCATATTTTAGGGATACACATGACTGGATTACTGCTGAAAACAGAGGTAGTTTGAAGGCTTGGCTCTTCAGGTTTTCTCTCAAGGGTTTCATGGGCCAAATGTTTGTTCTCCAGTTGCACCTCTGCTTCTTTAAGCCCATTTGTTTTGTTTGCTCCCTGCCACCCATCTTTGCTAACTTTAGTTTGCGGTCCCTCATAATTTCAGCATGCTGTGGCTCATCTGATTCCAAATACACCCGTGGCATACCTTGATTCAGCCTCTTTGACTTTCGTTCCTTCTATTAAGTGTATTGACACTCAGTCTTTTCAAATTCAAATTCTTACGGGAGGAGTGTGATTGGCTTGGCTCGCCTTTTTGGCCCAGGCCATTCACTGTTACCTTTAGATCAGAAATGACCCATCACCTGGGATCAAAAAGCAAGGTCACCTAGTTCTAAACATCAGCAGGGCAGCTTTCCTCAGGAAGGGGTATGAGTAGTGCAGGCATTGAGTGCTTTCCTGTCTAGCAAAGATAATGGTGCTTGAGAGCCAGCTGGAACTGGGTTCAAATCCCAGCTCTATTATTTAGTAGCTGTGTCACTTTGGGGTACTTGCCTAACCTCTCTGAGCCTTGGTTTTTTTGTTACTGTTGGAAGGTGTCCAAGTTCTTGGCATCATGAACAAAGAATTGGACAAAATGCACAAACAAAGCAAGGACAGAATGATGCAACAAAAGCAGAGATTTATTGAAAATGAAAGTATACTCCATATGGTGGGAGCGGCCCAAGTAAGTGGCTCAAGAGCCCAGTTACGGAATTTTCCGGGGTTTAAATACCCTCTAGAAGTTCCCCATTGGTTACTTGGTGTACACCCTAGGTAAAGGAAGTAGTGGCCTGAGATCAGTCTGATTGATTGCAGGAGAGGGCCAATCAGAGGCTGAAGCAAGGTTACAAAGTTACACCCTATGCAAAGGTCTGATTGGTTGCAGAAAGTGACCAATCAGAGGCTGAAGTGAAGTTACAAAGTTATACTACTATGCAAATGAAAACTTGGCCGGCAACCAGCCTGATTGTCTCCCAGAGGGGACAAATCAGAGGCACTTTCAATTTTTCATCTGTCACTCAGAA
Source organism: Homo sapiens (assembly GCF_000001405.40). Classification (NCBI taxonomy): domain Eukaryota; kingdom Metazoa; phylum Chordata; class Mammalia; order Primates; family Hominidae; genus Homo; species Homo sapiens. The sequence continues at coordinate 3,230,424 of NC_000018.10, read as the reverse complement.
AACGGGAGGTTGCAAATGTATTAGCCTCTGGTCCTTTCGTTACCTGGGCATGGAAAGTTGGGGTTTTCCTTGTGATTTAGTTCTGGGAAGTCAGCATGAATTCGGCCTTAGGTTCCCTGCCTCCAGACCCTATTCTCCTGCCTCATTTTCATTTTAGCTTGGGAATAATAACTGCCTTGAAGAGATTTTGTAACAAATATATAAAATAATATCTGTAAAGCACTGGTATAGTATCTAGCACACAATAGGTCTCAAATAATGGTAGCTATTTTATTATCACATTAACAGATTAATAATGATCTCAGGAAAAAGATACCTCACAGAAGAGGAAAGCCAAATAGTGGGATAACATTTAAGGACATGCTCAGCCTCACAAATAATTTTTTAAACGCATTTGAGGATAGCTATGAGACATATCTCACTTCTTTTTTTTTTTTTTTTTTTTTTTGAGATGGAGTTTCACTCTTGTTGCCTAGGATGGAGTGCAATGGCGCAATCTCGGCTCACTGCAACCTCCGCCTCCTGGGTTCAACTGATTCTCCATTCTCCTGCTTCATCCTCCTGAGTAGCTGGGATTACAGGCATGCACCACCACGCCTGGCTAATTTTGTATTTTTAATAGAGACAAGTTTTCTCCATGTTGGTCAGGCTGGTCTTGAACTCTCGACCTCAGGTGATCCGCATGCCTTGACCTCCCAAAGTGCTGGGATTACAGGCGTGAGCCACCGCGCCCGGCCACATCTCACTACTGTTAAACTTGCAAAAATAAATTAAAATTAACCATTCCAATATTGATGGGGCAATGAGGAAAGAGTACATTCATATTTGGTTGATGACATTATACATTAGCCTAATTATTCCAAATAGCAATCTCATAAAACATACCCTCCAATTCATAGTACCTTCTGGGCAAATACTTCCCAAGGAGGTAGTTAAAAAGGAATACTTCTATTTGTGCAAAATATTTATAGCTTTCTTTTTAATTCAGGCTTTTATCCTTTTCGAACTGAAAGAGACCTAAGAGGTTTTTTTTTTTTTTCTCTTGGGTTGCATGTTAGAATCATTTAGGAGCTTTTAAAAAATACTGATGTTCATGTCTCATGCCAGAGATATGGAGTTAATTGTCCTAGAATATGGCCTAGGCCTGAGTACAGTTTCAAAGCTCCTCAGGTGATACTAATGTATAGCCAGGAAGGAGAACCACTCTTCCAATCCCACTCTATTGGGGGAACTATGAATAAACAAGAGCCCGAGAGGCTAAAAAAGGCCTCTCAAAAGAAGTCACAGAGAGGTGATAAAAGAGCTGGGTTGAAACTAAAGATGCTCCAAATGCCTGCTTCCAGCTTCTAGTCCTGGTGAATGACTGGAAATTTCCAGGTGCTCAACACTTAGAGACCAGGTAACAAATTATAGCAGAGCAATACAACACATTCATTCATTGTTATTGAAAGGACAACTGCGGACAGGGTAGGACATTGGTGAGAACCAAGTGCAATACTGGTGCATCCAGTATCCAGATGAAACTCAAAAACATCTTGCCAAGTGAAAGAAACCAGACACAAATGACTACATATGGTAGGATTCCATTTGTGTGAAATTTCTAGAAAAAGCTGAACTGTAGAGACAGAGGTCAGTGGTGGCCTCGGTCACGCGCGGGACCCAGGATTAACTGCAGACAAGCCTGAGGAAACTTTTCTGGGTGATGGAAGTGTTTTAAAACTGGATTTTGGTGATGGTTGCACAATGTAAAAATTGACTAAAACTCCCTGAACTTTACTCTTAAAATGGATTAATTTATGGTGTGTCAATTTTATTGCTATAAACTGTTAAAAGGAAATTCGAAATGAATTGAAACTGAAAACTCAGATCTGCTGATCTTTATTCTGGTTCTTACTTTTAAAGGAAAAAAAAAACCATATGATTTTTGTAAAAGTAACACACAGTCATTGTCGGGAGACAGTTCTCCGCGGGCTTCTTGTGTTTCGGCACATGTTGCAAGCGAAGATCTGGCTCTCCGTTGTTCCAGCCTGTTTCTGCAGGACTGTTCATATAGTGAACAGCCTTTGAAGACAGAGTAAGTGTCTCCAGCCACAGCAAAAGGCAGACACGCTTACTATCCAGTGTAACAAGAATATCTCCCTCTGAAGCAAAGGGCAGGTATGCTGAATGCTCATGATGAAATATTCAGGTGCTCTAAAGTCAAGATTCTTCTTCTGTAATGCAGCCCACTGTGACTGCAGGTGTCACCTGGTCTTCATCACGTTGTCCTTTGGGAACATGGGGATTGGGGGCTGGCAAACCAGTGAAGAATATGCTGACACTTGGCCACTGCTCTTGCTGTCAGGAGTAAAGCTCTTTGTCTTCTTGTGTCTTCTGTCAACACTCATGAAACTGTAGCAGGATCACTTTTTAGTTTGCAAGTAGGGTAAAATCTCTGACTCCTGCGTTCCTTTTTTTAAAAAATTGTGGTAAAATATACACAACATTAAATTTACCATTTTAGCCATTTTAGGGATACAGTTCAGTGGCAGTAAGTACATTTACACTGTTGTATAACTATCGCCATTACACATCTCTACAGCTTTTTAAAAATTAATTAATTTTTTTTTGAGATGGAGTCTCGTACGGCCCCCTGGCCTAGAGTGCAGTGGCTCGATGGCTCACTGCAACCTCCGCCTGCTGGGTTCAAGCGATTCTCCTGCCTCAGCCTCCCAAGTAGCTGGGATTACAGGTGCCTGCCACCATACCCAGCTAATTTTTTTGTATTTTTAGTAAAAGCAGGGTTTCACCATGTTGGCCAGGCTGGTCTCAAACTCCTGACCTTGTGACTCGCCCACCTCGGTCTCCCAAAGTGTTGGGATTACAGGTGTGAGCCACCGCGCCCGGCTCACATTGCTCTAGAGCTTTTTAATCATCCCATGTTGAAACTCTACCCATTAAGCTATACTCCTCATTACCCCCTTTCCCCAGCCCCTGGCAACCACTGTTCTGCTTTCTCTATAAACTCGACTACTCTAGGTACCTCATATAAGTGGAATCATACACTATTTGTCCTTGTGTGACTGGCTTATTTCACTTTGCATAATGTCTTCAGGGTTCATCCATGTTGTAGTGTGTGTCAGGATTTCACTCCTTTTTAAGGCTGAATAATATTCCATTGTATGTATATACCTTCACAGTTCTTGATGCTAATTATATCTTAAAATCAAGTAAAAAAAATACAAACAAGAAAGTTAAAAAAAAACAAAAGAAAGAGAAAGCATCTCATCATTTGGAAGTCATTATCATACCAGATATCTATTTATGAATAGACAGAAAAACAGGTAGAGACAAAAAATGTTAGAAAATGGGCTTTGGGGTCTTGCTTTCTAATACTCACCTCCAGTTCCCTGGCCTGGACTATGCGTGCAGGCAGCTTTCTGGCTTAGGGGCTTGTCCCTCTCCCAGAATCTACCCACCAGCTCCTGAGCCTCACACGCAGGTTAAGAGGGGCTCACAGCAGTTGTCCTCCCCGCAGCTGAACAGCTGATCCCTGGCCACACTGACTCCTAGCCCTTGTTTTTTCCCATCTCTAAGGAGTCCCTATGTCCTGAGGAGTTGTCCTTTGCCACATTTCCCAGTTTTCCTCATTCAGTAATTCTTTATTAAATGCCTGTTGTGGGTCAGGAGCTTTGCTGGGTACTGGGAGCACCTAGCCATAGAGATCCCGCTCCTACCAGTGAGTACTCATTGTGCAGAGACAGAAAAGTAAACACGTAAATACCACACGAAAAACTTCCCATCCTAGTGGAAGTAGGGAAGTCTCCCGGAAGGAGATGGCACGGGGTGTTGAAGGAGCGGGGTGAAGGAAGTGAGGAAGTGTGCGCGTGTTGGCAGGGCTGAGAGGAGCACCAGGTGTGAGGGAACCGGGGTGCTGGAGTCCTGGAGTTTGAGGGCTTGCAAGGAATTACCCGTGGTTGAAACTCAGGAGGCAGGCAGGGGAATGGAGAGGGGCGGAGCTGGAGAATTATGGAGGCTCATAGGGTGAAGATGCCCTCGTGCCATGCTGAGGAGGCCACCTGGGGAAGAATAGGCAGTGAGGAGCCATTGGAAGGTTTGAAGCAGAAGAGGACATAGTGAGCTCTGTCTGAATGCATTCTCCCTTTGTCATAGCGTCAGCTCACATTCTGTCCTCAATCCCAGTGCCTGGCTTACTGCAGCACTTCTACTCTCCAACCCGTGCACCACTCATGCTGACGAATGAATGGAACACAATGTTCCTTAGGTCTTCAGCAAATGCCACATAATGTATGCATTAGGGTTACAAATGAACAGATTCATGAAATGGAATTTTGATTCTCCAGTAGTTTGGTTCTAGTTCTAGTTGCGAATGCCATTATGTGAAAATACTGATGGGGCCATCTCTCTTCTCGAAGTGCAAGATTTTGAAATTGTGTCATATTTCTGGAAATTCAAACACATCATTTACTGACAATCACTGGTGAATGATGAAAGGGCAATACTTCAGTCTAAGTCAACCCAATTCCTGACAGACCACAGGAAAGCAAAAAGATTAATCAGCCTTGGCTGCCTGACCTGTTCTTTGTCCTCAGCCATAATACAGCATGCAGACAATTCTTCATTAACCAGAGAGGGGGAAGAAGGGGCGTGCTGGGAGGAGGGTGTGGATCAGCATAACCATGGTCAACTTTCCATGGCCTTGGGACATATTAAATGTGGCTAAGGCTCAGCTGGACTTTGGACATGTTCGGCATTTAAGACGCTGCCCATTCATACTGAGTCTGCCCTCCTTCACCTCCAAAAGGAGTAGTCTAGGAAGAGAGGTGCCAAGCCTTTGTTCTGGAGTCTGGGGCTCTGGAAGAGGCCAAGATCACTCCTCCCCCTCTGTATTGGGAGCTTCAACAGAGGCCACTTGCTACCCCCCTCCTTTGGCTTATAGGGAAGTAGTTTATCAGCTTCTATTCAATTATCCAACAATTCAAGGGGCAGGTGCACCTTAACAAATAAAGGGCTTCCCTCCCTTCTCCTGTGAACAGGGGAAGAAGGTTCAGATGGGCAAAATGAGCTTCTTTGATGCAGGAAGGAATTGAGAAGAGAGAGAAGTATGGGCGACTAATGAAGAATAAAAAGTAATCCCAGGCCTGGCACGGTGGCTCACGCCTGTAATCCCGGCACTTTGGGAGGCCAAGGCGGGCAGATCACGAGGTCAGGAGATCGAGACCATCCTGGCTAACACGGTGAAACTCTCTACTAAAAAAAAATACAAAAAATTAGTTGGGCGTGGTGGCAGGTGCCTGTAGTCCCAGCTACTCAGGAGGCTGAGGCAGGAGAACGGTGTGAACCCGGGAGGTGGAGCTTGCAGTGAGCTGAGATGGCGCCACTGCGCTCCAGCCTGGGTGAAAGAGCGAGACTCCGTCTCAAAATAAAATAAAATAAAATAAAATAATAATACTAATAATAGGCCGGGCACGGTGGCTCACGCCTGTAATCCCAGCACTTTGGGAGGCCGAGTTGGGTGGATCACGAGGTCAGCAGTTCAATACCAACCTGGCCAAGATGGTGAAACCCTGTCTCTACTAAAAACACACAAAAAATTAGCCGGGCATGGTGGTGGGCGCCTGCAATCCCAGCTATTTAGGAGGCTGAGGCAGAGAATTGCTTGAACCCAAGAGGCGGAGGTTGCAGTGAGCCGAGATTATGCCACTGCATTCCAGCCTGGGCGACAGAGTGAGACTCCATTTCAAAAATAATAATAATAATAATGATAATTCCATTTCCATAACCATGAGTGGAGCATTTCACAACAAATTATGTTTGTGCTTCCTAATGGCCTGGAGTCTGGTCTAGAGGACAGGGTAATAGGCAAGGATCTGACTAAGGCTCGGGCCCTATCCCACTTACCTGCCAGTTCTGCACCATGGCAGGCATGCCCTCTTCCAAGGCTGGGCTTTCAGCCCAGCACTTCTTCCCCTTTCCAAAACTGGGAAAGGAGCTCACAGGGGCCCCTCCCAGTCTGTGGATTCTGATGCAAGATGTCAACAGCATTGGCCTTAATTTTGCCATTGCCCAGATACACTCAACATTCAAACTAGATCTAATTTTATGTCGGGTGCAGTAGCTCATGCCTGTAATCCCAGAACTTTGGGAGGCTGAGGCAGGCAGATCACTTGAGGTCAGAAGTTCGAGGCCAGCCTGGCCAACATGGCGAAACCTACTAAAAATACAAAAATTAGCCGGGTGACAAGGCGGGCGCCTGTAGTCCCAGCTACTCGGGAGGCTGAAGCAGGAGAATCTCTTGAACCTGGGAGGTGGAGGTTGCAGTGAGCTGAGATCATGCCATTGCACTCCAGCCTGGGTGACACAGTGAGCCTGTGTCTCAAAAAAAAAAAAAAAAAATCTAATGTTAGATTTAGTTCACCTAGTTTAGATCTAGGTCATTTAATAACTAGATGAAATTTGGCTTCTGATAAGAGTCCTAGGCCCCACTCTCCAGCCACTCGCACCCTCACCGCTGGCTCTGCTTCCCTCCCTCTCCGCTACTCATTATACACAAAGACTTAAAAGAAACAATAACATATTGAAATACCTTTCTGGGTTATTTTCAGCATAGTAGGGATTAAAGTCATAAAATGACACTCTCAGGGAGGAGTATTTCAGATGTGAGCCAGCAGGTAGAAGCAGAGTTTTTGGATCAGGGATGATTTGTTTTATTCTTCCCACAAATTGCTCCACACAGAATGTTGCTAATCTGCTTATGAGCAAGGCAAGAATAGAATAGTTACTTTGTGGATTGATAGCACAGGTTATTAGAGCTGGAAAGCACCTTAGTGATCATCTAGCTCTAAGCCCTTTAGTTTACAGATGAGAAAATGGAGCTTCAGAGAGGTGAAATGATTTTTCAAAGTTACTCAGTAAACCACAGGACTAGATGCCAAATATGATACCTTTCTTATTTTAGTGTTGCCTATAAATTAGTCAACACTGAAGTAGGAAGGATACAGCAAATTTATGGCTTTCAAAAGAGCTCACTGAACAATTTATTTAAGCTTTTCCTTCCGTGGAAAACATCCGCATTGAAGAAAAAATGAACAAAAATAGGAGATATAAGTCCTCATAATGGTAGCTAATATTTAATGACTATTTGCTATATGCCAGGAAGTAATACTGTTTTACAATATCTTATTTGATTATCTTATGCATGATTATCATGAAAACATTTTATGAATTAAGAAATTGAGATTTACAGCCAGACATGGTGGCTCACACCTGTAATCCCAGCACTTTGGGAGGCCAAGGCAGGCAGATTGCTTGAACTCAGGAGTTCGAGACCATCCTGGCAACATGGTGAAACCCCATCTCTACAAAAGTACAAACATTAGCCAGGTGTTGTGGCATGTGCCTGTAGTCCCACCTACTCGGGAGGCTGAGGTGGGAGAATTGCTTGAGGCTGAGGAGGTCGAGGTTGCAGTGAGCCAAGATTGCACCACTGCATTCCAGCCTGAGCAACAGAGCGAGAGACCCTGTCTCAAAAAGAAAAAAAAAATTGAGATTTAGAGAGATTAATATCCTTAAAGTCACAACCAGAAGGTGACAGAGGATGGAACCCAGGACTGTTCCACACAGAGCATAGCCTCCTATATATGATACTATGCTGCCTCTCAACCATTTAACTGTGTGTGTATGCCTGTTTGTGTGTGTATGTGTGTATGTGCACACGTACACATTTATGTTGATAGAGAGCACCATGTGCCAATACTGTCCATTAGAAGGAAGAAATGTTACAGAAGAAGAGTTTCATTTATGTTTCTTATTAACAGACAATAATTTATTAGGTCAAAATGTACTGGCTACAAGTATCAATACATTTAAATATTTACTGAACTTTCATCCTTGTTAAAAATACAAAAATGAGAGAAGTGCACACACACTATAGAAAAACTAAAATATTATCATTGATTCATTGATACTCAAGATCCCTGTGAAAGCAAGAGTTTATTCCAAACAAATATACAGTAAGTTTAGACAAAAGAAGCATGAGCTAGACCCAGCAGAATCTCCTAAGTGATCTTTCTGCTGTGGCATCATCTAGATTCAGGTTTTTCTAACAGCAAATTTATCTGAATTACAACTAGCTACATAATAAATTACATATGGTGATGTACTGGATAATAAAACTAAAGAAGAAAAACTTGGGCTCATATGAATCAATTATTGTAACTTAGTTATGATTCCTTTATATATGTGGACTCTGGTCAATTACACTTACTCATGATACCCTTACAGATATGTGATTATCCTGAAAACTTAATGGAGTGGTTAGCCAGCTGTTAATTTCAAATTTCCCAGAAAATCATCTAATGTAAAACACTTTTTAAAAAGCATATAAGTTTATTTTTCCTCTTTTCTGCTTTGAGAAGATTTGGGGCAATTGACCAATGTTCTCTAGAGAAACAGCTCACCAGGAATCATCCTAATGGCTGGTGGATAAGACTTGAGAAGAATCACTGCATTCTGTATTGGATATTTAGAGAACAAATGGATGCTTGGGGAACATAACACTTGGAAAACTCGCCTATGGCTTCCAGATAGCTAAAATGTCCACATGCTTACTAATAGCAGAGGTATGTATATGAAGAAATTCCAGGTTGAATTTCACAGGTACCTGGATCAGAACTAGGTGGAACAGATTCTTTTACATACTTTGAGTAGCTCAGAAGCTAACCGTCTATTACAAGTGAAGACCCGTATTGCCATTTCAAAATGTCTAGTTTCTTACTATCAAAGTGCCACTGGAGGAGCCAGCAATACATGACTACAAGTACACGGGCTTTGGAATCAAATGTCTCTGAATGAAGTTGCGTTTCTGTCATCTACCCGCTGTGTGATCTTTGGCAAATGCCTTCCCTTCTGGAAGCTTTGCTTTCCTCAACGGGGTAATGAAGCTGTACCTTGCAAGGTATGATAAGTCAGTGGGATCATGTATATAAACTGCCTATCCCAGTGTCTGGCACTGGATAGGTCCTCAACAGTGTTAACTGTAGTTATCATCAAGAAAGTCATGATGAAGTATACTATAATATTGAGTCTGTTCAATATCTTGATAGAGACTGGGTGCAGTGGCTCACGCCTGTAATTCCAGCACTTTGTGAGACTGAGGCAGGTGGATTACTCGAGTCCAGGAGTTTGAGACCAGCCTGGGCAACATGGTGAAACTCCATTTCTACCAAGAGTTAAAAAAAAAAATTAGCCGAGTGTGATGGCATGCGCCTGTAGCTACTCGGGAGGCTGAGGTGGGAGGATTGCTTGAGCCTGGGAGGCAGAGGTTGCAGTGAGCCAAGACTGCACCACTGCACTCCAGCCTGGGCAACAGAGTGAGACCCTGTCTCAGAAAGAAAAACAATTTTGATAGACACAGGTGACCTTTATTCAGTTGATGTAATATCACTGTCAGAACATAAGGCCAGTAGATCAAAATACCAACCTGCTGCATACATGTAATCTAACAATGAGCTTTTATATTATTGGTATCAGTAATAACAGCTGATATTTACTGAGTCTATATTATGTGACTGTCACTAGGTCAAGTGCTCTGTCTGCAGTATCACATTTAATCACCACAGCAATCCTATAATTTGGATATGATTATCCCCATTTTATAGACAAAAAACCTGAAGCTTAGGAAGGAGAAATAAATTGCTGGAGATTACATGGCTACTAAGTGCTATCAATATAGTGGGATCTAGATCTGGTCTGAATCCACAACACAGGCTCTCACAACCGGGTTACACCTCCTCTTAATTGGTCACACCATTTAAAGAACAAAGAAAGAGAATCTCTTATTAGATGGACTGACCCTACTCTGAGTTAGGAAAGATAAAACACTGAGTTGCGTCTCAAAAGGCTTTAGTTAATGAACAGGAAATCACATATTCAGGCTTGAAGCTAAGACTTAACCTTGTAAATTTTCCTGAAGTGAGAGAAATAGTGACCGTGATGTCAGGCAAAAATCGCCACCACGTGTAACCCATTTCTTCCTTGTTTTGCCTTTAGTTAGCTTCAAGTTCTTTTTTCACATTGTATCTTTTAAATGTACCGTACGTGTGTTGTTAACAGCACACTCAGAATCATATCTTGGCATTAAAATTCCACGAAGTCCATTTTGAGAATCATATTACTACACCTATTTTTAGCTGTTAACACAAACCACTCTTTCCATTACACTTTTAAATTATCTACTGATAAAGTGACATTGAAAATAACTCTTGTTGCCAAATAAAAACCCTATATTTGGTTTAATCGGGCCAGACCCATTGACCGGCATTATGCAATTATATTACTAAGGCTGCTACCTGCCCATGCCCCTCTCCTCCTCCTGGTTTGGAACTACCCTCCCCATCTGCTGCTATATTTATCTGCCTTCTTGGCCATAAAAGGCTGGTTGTGTGGCCTGACATTCGACTGCCTGACCACATGCATTATTTTTGAACTGGCCCCCAGGGTCCTGTCTTTAGCCCTGCCTCTTAACATTGTCTTGGATTCAACCTAGGTGGAGTCTTCATTCTCTCATCCAGCTCCTCGGCCTCATCGGAACATTTCCACCACCATTACTCCTTTGGAAACTGGTAAGTGTGACACTGAGGCAGAAGAATGCACTTGATAGCTTATGAGCTTAGCAGCAGTGCAGTGTAAGTGCTTTCTTTCTGTCTTCTGAACTCAGCAGTTTTCTCAAAGAGATGTCAGAATAACAGAGAAATAGGAAAGTGAAGCTCCAGGGAGGGAAACCAGAACAGCCGGGTGCCAGTCGGGCTGGCACAGCTCTTCTCTCACATCACTGTATTCTTCTGAAATTAAGCTGCTGTTCCTGGAACTGTAAGGAGGTCATATCTGCCTCGGATTGAACTGTAAGCGTGTGTTTAATGCTATTTCCAAGTACGGTTTGGTTGAAATCTGAAATGGATGAGAGACAGGAGGCCCTGCATTTTCAATCCTGCATGTGCCATACAATGCTCCCTGGTTACAAATTAGACCGAAAGAAGGAAAATTAACTCTGAAGTCACTAGTTTATAATTCAGGGATCTTGCTGTGACGATGCAATGTGGATAAATGTGAGCGCGCACAATGATATGGCCTCAAATGGTTAAGTAATATTTCAGAGGCAACATAGAGCCCCACATAGTGATTTTTCTGGGAATCGTTTTCATCAGCTTCTGCCCTCTAATGCCTGCACAAAAGTATCATAAATTACAGCTATGGAATTTGTATTTCTTCCTAAATTCTCAAATTATTTTCAGAAAGAAAATTTAGGTCTTAAAGAAACAAAAGACACTAAAACCATCTTTCCTCCCAACGTACTCCAGCCGTCATGTGTTGGAGCTAATCCTGGCTTTAGTTAACTTCAAGGGCTTACTTGATGAAGAGGAGGTGGTTGTACCTTTGTTCCAGAGGTCAGGGCTGTGACAATCAGCAATGTGGGCTTCAAGTCAAACCCTGTTTACTTGTAACTTACTATCTATGTGAGAGGAATAGTAAGTATTATTAAAAATAAATGTATTTGGGAGAAATAGAAATAAAGAGAGTAAAAAATAGTATTGGGGCAAGATATTTAAAGATTTTATTTTGTGAAAATAACAGCATTTCAAGTCATCTGGGGAATGAATTTAGTTTATAACATAACAAGTTTCTTTATTATTTATTTGAAAAATCATTCAAATAACATGTGCCATGTTACAATGTAGTATCATAACAGAAACTTCTCTAATATCTTTATAACTGCCTAACGTAATTCTGTATTAACATTTTCTAACCCCTTTGTTTTATCAAAATTCATCTAGTAGTTATTAATTATACATGGTAATTATCCTCCATATTTTGTAACAGAAAATAGCCATCTATTTAAGGGTTGAAGCAAAGTTGCTTGCTAGTAGCTATTTTTTTCCCTTAGGAAATGCCCTGTAGACTGATATCTTCCATGAACCCTAAGATAAATATTTCTGGAGTGAAGTTTGCTCAGTTTTCTTCTCTGGGGAATACATGCTGACTTTTAAAATAGTTTAAATAAAAAGTAGTTTTAAACTTGACAAAGAATATGCTGAGTTTAGAAGGATTCATTCTTCATTTTGAATTTTTTTAAAAATGACATTTGGAGAAAACAGATCACTTTAAAACTAATTCTACAGCATTAAAACACTTGGGGGTGGAGCTTTTATAAAACTATTACTTCATCCAGGGTTGTCAACGTGGCTGATAGGCCTGCTTCAGTGGATAAACTATTCAAGAATGCTAAGGCCATGTGACATCTCCCCACCCTATGCTAAACAAACATACCTTTGACTTTTAGTAGAACTGCTAGCTCAAGTTCACAATGCCAGCTGTCACCCTGGGAATCGACTCTCTTACCTCTTTAAGTAGGGAGACTAGAAGCCTGCATGTTCCTTATAGAGCAAACAGGTTTTTTTGTTTGTTTTGTTTTGTTTTCTGGTTTGAGACTATACCTTTGCTTGAAATGTTTGTGAGATTTGAGAGAGCTTATATATAAGATTAGCATACTCCAGGGTTCAGTTCTAGGACTTTATTTTACTTATTTTATTTTATCTTAAATTTTTATAATAGAGACAAGGTCTCACCACGTTGCCCAGGCTGGTCTCAAACTCCTGGGCTCAGGAAATCCTCCTGCCTTGGCCTCTCAAAGTGCTGGAATTACAAGCATGAGCCACCATGCCTGTAATTTCCTTTTCTGTGTATAATGGTCCTCATCTGTTTTCTTTTAGGACTTTCTTTTCCGTGTACAATGGTTCTCACCTATTTTCTTGGCTTTCGATACCACCTATATGCTGTTGACTCCCAAATGTATATCTGCATCCTGGACCTCTCTCCTGCACTCCAGAGTCATGTATCCAGCTTCCCACTTAAAATGTCTCCTCTGGGAGGTCTAACAGGCATCTCAGATGTAGAGCATTGAAACCAATCTCCTGTTCTTCCACCCCAAACTGATACTTTCCCACATTCCTCCCCATCTCAGTTAATAGCAACTTGTCTTTCAATTGCTCAGGCAAAAACCTTGGAGTCATCTCTTTCTTTCACATCCTAATTCAGAACTTTCAGCAAATGCCATTGGTTCTAACTTCAAAAGCTGTGCAGAGCTTGACCACCTCTCACACTTTCGCTGCTACCCCTGTCACCTCTAGCCTGGACCATTGCAGTGGACTTTGTATTCTTTTGCCCGGGCTATCATAGCTAAGCGCCATGGACTGGGTGGCTTAAACAACAGAAACTTATTACCTTACAACTCTGGAGGCTGGAAGTCCAAGATCAAGGTGTCAGCTGGGTGGTTTCTTCTCAGGTCTCTTCTCGGCTCATGGATGGCTGTCTTCTCCCTGTGTCTCCACGTGGCCTTCCCTCTGTTATATACATATTTGGATCTTGGTTTTCTTTTCCTATAGAGACACCATCATATAGAATTACGGCCCATCCTAATGGCCTAATTTTAACTCAACTTCCTCTTTAAGGACCCTATCTCCAAATATGGTCACATGTTGAGGTACTGGAGGTTAGGGCTTCAACACAGGAATTTTGAGAGGATACAACTCAGCCCTTTCATAGGTCTTCTGGCTTTCACTCTCATCCCTCCACAGTCCATCTTCAGACATCGGCGAGAATGAGTCTCAGCTCAGAGTCTTCCAATGGCCTCTCAGCCCTTTCACAGTATTAGCTGAAGTCCTTACTGCTACCTACAGGACCCTACACTACTGGCCCTTCCACCAGGCACATAGCTCACCTCTTTGACATCATCTCCTATACCTCTCCCATCCCAGAACCCCTGCCAATCAGTGGTTCCTGGAGCACAATAGTCATGTTCATTCCTCAGTGCCTTTGCTCTGGTCTTCCTTCTGGAATACTCTTCCCCAGAAAGTCTCATGCTCAGATGTTACTGTCTAGAGAAGCCATCCCTGCTGAGGCTGTTGAAAATTGCATCCATCCCTCTTACCTGCTTTGTTTTTCTCTGGTTCTTGGCACATTAACCTATCTCATACTTGACTTACTTGTTTTCTCTATTGTCTTTCTCCTGCAGTAGACTGTACAGTTCTGTACAAGGTAATTAGAGCAGGCATTTTGTCTGTTTTGTTTACCACTGTATTTCTTTTTTGTTTTGTTTCATTGTGAGACAGAGTCTTTCTCTGTTGCCCAGTATGGAGTGCAGTGGCGCAACCTCGGCTCACTGCAAACTCCGCCTCTGAGTTCAAGTGATTCTCCTGCCTCAGCCACCGGAGTAGCTGGGACTACAGGTGCCCACCACCATGCCAGGCTAATTTTTGTATTTTTAGTAGAGATGGGGTTTCGCCATGTTGGCCGGGCTGGTCTTGAACTCCTGACCTCAAGTGATCCGCCTGCCTCGGCCTCCCAAAGTGCTGGGATTACAGGCGTGACCCACTGTGCCCGGCCTCACTACTGGATTTCATGGGCTGGATGGCGTCAGGCACACAGTAGGTGCTGCTAATTATTTGTTGAATGAACACCACATGACTCTCTATCCTTCCACATTCTCCCAAATGAAGTCCCAAATGAAGAATGAAATGGCAGAAAATTAGAAATATGTATTATGAAGAGTCTGAGGAAAGAGCACAATAGCCAGGGTAGAAAAACTTTGTTTTTCTAGGAAAACCTCCTAGATACAATTTTTTTTAAAAAAAGGTACAATGACAGGAGGGGCATATCTGGGCTATGAAGTGGAGAGTTTTTTGAATATCCAGTTATGTTAAACTTCATACCCTTTTTGGTTTACTCTTCGGAAAAGATAAGAATATTAATTTTTATTTTATTTTGTTTTTAGACAGTGTCTTGCTCTGTCACCCAAGCTGAGTGCAATGGTCAATCATAGCTCCCTGCAGCCTCGAAGTCTTGGGCTCAAGCAATCCTCCTGCCTCAGCCTCCGGAGTAGCTGGGACTACAGACACACACACCACACCCGGCTAATTTTTTCTTTTTGTAGAGATAGGGTCTCACTGTGTTGGCCAGGTTGATTTTGAGCTCCCGGCCTCGAGAGATCCTCGTTGGGATTTCAAGCATGAACCACCGCACCCAGCCAAGAGTATTGATTTTTACACATTGATTTAGATGACTTGGTCTATGGAATTTGTTCCTTAATAAGTCACTCAAAAAGTGTTGTTTTCCTTCAGGTGGCCCGGTTCCTTCAAGGGGCACAGGATGTCTTTGCCTTTTTATCAGAGGTGCCACCAGCACTATGATCTCAGCTACCGCAACAAGGACGTGCGCAGCACCGTGAGTCACTACCAGCGGGAGAAGAAACGCTCCGCCGTCTACACCCAGGGCTCCACGGCCTACAGCAGCCGCTCCTCCGCCGCGCACCGCCGGGAGTCCGAGGCCTTCCGTCGGGCGTCCGCCTCCTCCTCCCAGCAGCAGGCCTCGCAGCACGCCCTGAGCTCTGAAGTCAGTCGGAAGGCAGCCTCAGCCTACGATTATGGCTCCTCCCATGGGTATGTCGGACGCCCTCCTCCAACCTTCCAACCTCAGGAAGAGGCGTGTGCTCTGAGTAACCCTCCCAGTTACTTCTCGCTTTGTTTCGGTTCGGTTTTGGTTTTTTGAGACAGAGTTTCGCTCTTGTTGCCCAGGCTGGAGTGCAATGGCGTGATCTCGGCTCCCTGCAACCTCTGCTGCCTCCTGGGTTCAATCGATTCTCCTGCCTCCGCCTCCCGAGTAGCTGGGATTACAGGCGTGCACCACCACGCCCGGCTCATGTCGTGTTTTTAGTGGAGACAGGGTTTCACCATGTTGGCTAGGCTGGTTTTGAGCCCCTGACCTCAGGTGTTCCACCCGCCTGGGCCTCTCAAAGTGCTAGGATTACAGGCGTGAGCCACCGTGCCCAGCCTCTCCCAGTTACTTCTTAAATACGGCAGCCCTGCATTTCAACCAAGTGTGCAGACAGACCTTGTTTGGGAGACCCGGGACCCGTGCCTACCTATTTCCCTTTATTGTCTCTTTTAGCTTCACTAAGAGCCTGGTGTTCTCACGGGCGAGTCTTGCTTGTGTTGCCAATTTGCTATTTCTAAGAGCAGGCAAATTTTGCCACAGGTTACTTTAGCAGCAGCAGGGCGAGAAAAGATCATTTCAGTATTCACAGCGGGTTTCCTTGCGCTCAGAATGTTTCTGCCTAGATGAGAAGCTGATATATACAATTTAAAATTCACAGGGCACAGGAGACTGAACTACTGCGAAGATATATTCTATTAAATATTTTTTCAATATCTAATAGCAAATACTTAAAATTCGGAACTACTATTTATGCAGCAGATAATTTCTTTAGCTCGACCATTTGATAAAAACATGGCCCTATCTCAGTCAGTCTAAGAATAATAGGAACCAACCTGTATTCCGACAAAATTAGGTTTATTGACCCAATGCAATGAAGGAGACTAAACACTAGAGGAAAAAAGGTTATTTTAGGTTTCTAGGAAGAGTGGAGCTTAGACGCAGGTCTGGTCTGCAAAGTGAACCCAGGGTGCTATTTCTTTGGAAACAATAAAGTTAAGATAAATGTGGACTGTTGCATCCCCAAGCCCCTTATCTGGGACTTCTCACCAGAAGTGGGAATTGAGGTTGCTTCTCTGCTTCAATTAAGCAACTAAGATCCTGCAGGCAAGAGTGAGATGTTTTATTCTTACTGATATAATTTTAAACAGCAAGCTCACTGATTGTCTTTGATATTAGAGAAGAAAGTTTCTCAGTGAATCTATAGTCACTCAAAGAAGGACGTTACCATGACACTTTACAACAGCAACGTCCCTGGGAGAAATGTCATTTCCTGTTCACTTTGCAGTTGGCTTATCTGTGTCTGCTGTTTCAGCCTGATGAATGTTGGGCAGATATTTACTTTCTCAGTCCAAGGCAAGTTTTATTTTCTTCATATTCAGAATGAAATATTTCATGGAGATTAAAAAACACTTGCAAGATACACGTGACTTTTATTTAAAATCTATCTAGAGTCCACAGAAAAAAACTGCTGATCTTCAAAACATAGACATTTCTGGGCTATGTGGTCGATAACCACCTGCTGCCTCTTTTCCTCTTCTCCAAAGTACCTGGCATAGGTTGCATTTTTTGCTATAAACATAACATACTTTTCAGTCTTACAAAATTTAAGCCCACAAAATATCTGGTAGGGCAACTAGAAAAGCTGTTTTCTCTGGGAATCTAAAAAGTTATTGAGAAAATAATAGAGTGGTCGGTTTAACTAGAAGTGAGGCATGCTTCCAAAGGCAGAAATTCCGAAATCCCTGTTGGGTTTGAGCAGCACCTGATCTACAGCTATCATTTTATCAGTGATGGTGGCCTCCTGGGAGCTTCTGCTGGGTTGAGTAACAGAGCCAGACTCTGCTGGGGTTTACCTGGAGTGTATGATGGCAACACTCTGAAATTCCATTAAAATGGAACAGGATCACTTCGCAGTCTCAATTTCATAGGTCATATTCTGCCGTGGGATATTCATAAGGATCACACATTGGCTGCAGATAGGGAAATACTGTCACTGAGGTGAATTCATTTCTTTTAGCACTTGCCTCAGACGAACTGCTTCCAAATAAAAGCTGGGAGGAATTAATACCATATGTATATGACAGCCTCAATTTGTTTCCCTGAAAAACGTTCTGCAGATATGCTTAAGAACCTCATTTAGGAAAGCACATGTAATAGAGAAAGATTACATTTTAAATATCCATTTTCCTGGACTGTTTGTGCTAGGTTTATAGAAGATGGGCATTTTCATTATAAGGCAGTTGTCAATGTAACTCCTTGTGTACTTATTTCATTTCCCCAGTGCTGTAGAATCTAGAGTTTTATGAATTTGTATTTTTAAAGGATCTTTATTTTCTCAACTCTATTGCAAAATTTTATATTAAAATTATCTTAATTTTATACAAATCCTTCTTTTAGCCACATATGCAATCTTTATATTTATTCATAGTCTGATATATCATTAATAATTAAACCTTTGAGCAAATTTTATTGTGAAAACATTTGCTCTATATAATCCTCGGAAGACTTATCCATTTTGGCCATAAAGAGCCTTAGATAATAAACTTTCTCTAGGGAATGGAACTGTAATTATTTTTCTGTGTTCAAACTCATTACTTTTTCCTTCCTACTATGTATATATTTTTGTAGGTAGGTATTTATTATGGCTTGTTATGTTTGAACAACTTAAACTTTTTGGTAGAAGCATGCTGACCTAGAAACAAGAGGAGGGAAAATGCCAATATGTTTTCCTTTGAATAATTCAATGTGAAAGGCAAAGAAAGCCAACTCAATCCTGAAGGTATTTTAGTCTTTCTTTTTTTAGACCTAGAACACAGGTGCAGATAATATTTTTTGAACACTTCAAAGTCTTCATAATTCCTTTAGGTTGTATTTTAGCTTGCTCAAAATGAAGCAACTTTTTCCTGCTAAATGAAAGCATTCTCTTTGGATTGTGAACAGTGTTGTTGATTAAAACCCCTGGGGTTGGAAATGCATCTCTGTGGAGTGTAAGTGCTCGGCTTGGTCTATTTTTAGCTCTGCTTTGTAGTTAGATGTCCAGGGTTAAAGTGGAAACTATGGAGAGTTACATGTGCTCAGGGCTTGGCTGACCTTAGTGAGTCTTAGGAACAATGACTAGTTTACTGTCAGTGCGCTTGCAGTACAGATCAGTTACCAATTGTGTTCTGAGCCACGAGCTATAAAGTAAATTCTGGATGGCTTACTCTAAATGCCTTTGTTCTTGGTCACAGTGGGAAAAATAAAGAAAATAATTTAGGAAAACAAACTCTTAAAATGACAGATTACTGTTTCATGCTAATAATAACAAAATATCATCAGGATTAAAGGAGCAGTATTACTTATGACCATGTTGCAACCATTAGGCAAGGGTTCTTAACCTCTGTCCATGAATGGTTTCAGTAGAGTCTTGGATGATCTGAAATTATATGCAAAATTATGCACAGATGAGAATTTTTCTGGAGAGAGGGACTGTAGTTTTCATCGGATTTTCAAGGAGCTCCGTGACTCAACAAAGGTCAGAACCATTGCTCTAGAAAGTCTAAAAATGAATAACAGAGAGTCTAGTGTATGACCTGAGGACCTCTTTCCTAATGCCAATGTTATAAGGACTTGGGATGAAATAAGGCAGATGTTTACAGAAAAGGTGGTATTATGGAAAGCAGGGACCTTCCATTCTTGCAAGTAAGCTGGATCATACATTAGGATGAAAATAATTTAAAAAGAATGTTTTCTTATTCTTCTAAGTAGAGTGAATAACTTACAAGAATGAATAGCTTACAAAAACCAGAGAACAGCACAGCAGGTTTCTTAGGTTGTGGGATGATTTAGAGTTGTTCCTCAACCTTCCATGGTGACAGTAGACATTTAGTTGTCTTATTCTAAACAGATTAAAATTCAGCCTATATGACGTAATTCAGCATTGCATTCTCTATACCACTGAGTCTTTACAACAACCCTGAGCAGTAGAAATTTTTATCTTCATTTTATAAATGAGAAAATTGGAAACCAAGGAGATTAAATGACTTTTCTTCATTACACTAGAAAGTAGCAGAGTAGTTATTTGAACCCTCGTCATACCCAGGTCCCCACCCTTTCCACGGGCACCCAATGCCAGTTACAGTCAGCAACTCCCCTTGATCATACACCACCGGGTTTTCCTTGAAGCATCAATATGTAGTTTTTGCATTGTGCTTCCTTTGATTTAGCCTTCTTCTAGAGAAGCTATTGAATACCAAAATAACCAAGATTTACAGCAGGGAACAGCAGATGGAAGGACACAAATTCTAACAAAGAAAACCCAAGGAGTGTCCATGAATGCCAAGCCTGGGACCTTACAGACACTTTAACCCACTATTTAGAATCAGACATAGATATTTGCAAAGGACTCTAAGAGAGCAGTTTGGGGATGAAAACACTGAGGCTTGAGTGACTTTCCCTGGGCACCCTAACTTTAAACCATGCCCCTCACCTACCCCTATGTCACATTGATCAACCACCCCCACTCCCACGTGTCACCCAGATTATAACCTCTTGAAACTACTAGAGTTGGTGAAGACCACACTAACATTCAAAGCTGTTATAATTCAGACAAAAGATACCAATGCTAAAAATAGAGACGACCAAACACAGCAGAGAGTGCAGAGAACTTGAAAGCTTGTTCCATCTCCTACCCCAATATCCTTTCAAAATGTGTTACCAAAGAAATCTGCCTTGTGGACACTTTTGTGTCCTAACCTCAGCTATGAGCTGTAGATTCATGTCATTTTCTACATATCTATTTCTGTAAAATGAGGAAAATGACTGTCCCTCATGTTGTGAGGTCGAAAAGAGATAATCATGTAAGATGTTGAGTGTGGTGGCTGGCACAGGGGGAACACCCAGTGAGGTTTAGGCATTATGAGTCATTCATTCAATAAATATTTACTGAGCGCTAAGCACTGCTCTAGGTGCTTGGGATAAATTACCAAGCACATTGTATTGAATCTATTATATTAAGTAGAATTATATTTTATACCAGAAGGTAATACATGTTATAGAAACAATAAGAAACAGAGCAGGGTAAGAGAGATCAGGGACATGGGCCAAGAGTGCAGGTTAGAATTTTCAAGAGGGCAGTCAGGCCTTGTTGAGAAGGTGATATCTGAGCAAAGAAGTGAAGTAGCTCAGAGAGGTAGCCATGAGGTTATCTGGGTAAAGGTGCACCAGGCATCAGGGACAGCCACTGCCAGGCCTTCCAGCACAGAACAGCATCGAGGCCCATGCAAGGGAATGGGGGAGTGATGGATAGTGCAGGTGGAGAGGATGTCAGAAAGGTGATGGGTTGGGCAGGACTGATCATGGAGGGCCTGTGGGCCATTGAAGGGAGTTGATATTCTGAGTTAAAGAAGGAATCCATGACAGTTTTGAGCAGAATAGCGACATGCTCTGACTCAGTGGTAACAGCATCACTGTGACTGTTGCAGAAGCAAGTTCCCTTGTTAGGAGGCTAGTGCTGTAGTCCAGCCAGGGCCAGATGTGCAGTAAGAGCGGATGTGCGAGCAGTGGCCAGATGTGAGGATCTACTGGTCATGGCTGAGTTCTGAATTCCGTCAGATTTCTCCCAGAGTTCCTCAGCACCCTTAGCCAGGGAGTTTTGAGGCTGTGAAATGGTCTGTGGAGATTTTGCGCATACAATGAATCTTCTGAGACTCTCTTTAGGTGGTATGATGATAGTAAAACCATTCACTTGTTCCCCATTTTCCCAGATTCCCTCTACATCGTGTCAAAGAAATGCCTTATTCTTTTGTTAGTGTTTTTCTGGTATTTAATAGGAAAAGCACCTTGAAATAACCATAGTTGTATGGAGACTCAAATCCATCTGGAGACTGAAGTGACTGAATCTGAATAATAAAAAATATTGAGCCAATTGACTGTTACCGGAAATGAAATTTGCTTAGGAAGCTGCTGATAGTCTGGGCACAGTGGCTCATGCCTGTAATCCCAACACTTGAGGAGGCCAAGGCAGGAGGATTGCTGGAGCCCAGGAGTTTCAGACCAGCCTGGGCAAAATAGTGAAACCTTGTCTCTATTGTTGCTGATATATCAAGGTTTTACTTTTTTTCCTTTAGAAACGATTTTATTGCTTCTTCTCTAAATAAAATTTTAATTATTATATATAAGAAAAAAGCATCATAGTTCATGGGTAACAAAAATCAATACAATATTCTAAGGTTTGTCTTCCAGTATTTAAATACCAACAAAATGATGAGCCACATTATTTCCTGAACGGTAGAAGTTCAGAGGGAAATATCTATGAAAGCAGAAAAGCCAGAGAGTTACTTTGTTTAAAAGGCTGTTGCATTATGGTTTTTTTTTAATAGATGGGATCTTGCCCTGTTGCCCAGGCTGGAGTGCAGTGGTGCGATCTCAGCTCACTGCAACCTCCACCTCCTGGGCTCAGGCAGATCCTCTTGGCTCAGTCCTCTCAGCCCGCAAGTAGCTGGAACTATAGGCGCGTGCCACTATGCCTAGTTAATTTTTGTGTTTTTTGTAGAGACGGGGTTTCACCATGTTGCTCAGGCTGGTCTCAAACTCCCGAGCTAGCTCGGACAATCCACCCACCTTGGCATCCCAAAGTGCTGGGATTACAGGTGTGTGCCACCGTGCCTGGCCTGTTGCATTATGTTCTGAATCCCAAAGACCAACCCTAAATCCAAGGAGAATGGTCCTTTCTATGTATCAGCCTCCTGCTCCAACTTCCTCAGCTGTAAACACAGGGAGAGAGAGCTAGGATTCTCACTCCTGGTAACAACAGGTTCACATAATTGGCAATTTATAGATCCATAGAACTGTGGAATGTTAAAGCAAGAAAGGACCAAAAGTTCATATAATTTAAGCCCCTCCTTTCATAGATGTGTAGACTGAGGCCCAGAAAGATGTGGTTCCTTCTTTGCCTGCTGTGCTTGACTCTTTTACCAGGCTCTCATGCAGCCTAAATCAAGTTGAGATGGCACCAGATATACCCAGAATGGCATAGTCTTCCCTAGGCAGGTGAATCATGCTGTGAGAAGGCATGTCCTTTTCCTAGAGTAGAGCAGAGTAGAATGAGTCAGCCAGAGGCGGAGGAAGGGCAAAGCTGCTACCTCCCTGGGCTCAGAGGTGAAACATTTGCTCTGTCCCTGCAGGCCCTTGGCCTCCATAGTGTCGGCACTGGCCAGGTAGTGGGGTGTAACTGAGCTTCCACAGAGAGACCTCTGGACTCTGGAAGCCCAAGGGTGCCTTTGCAACAGGCTTGAGGTTTCCCACAGCCATCTTTTAGATGAAACAAGAAAGCAAGAGTAAGGTAACTTTCGTGCAATGTCTAGTCAATCCCAGTGACCATCCCAAAGTAGAGTGGATATTGGTGTCTGGGCTGCTTTATAAATAAGTTAATAAGACCTGCTTTGACAAACCCTGGACACCTCAGTTCACAAAGAAACAACCTTAGACTTAGTAAGGCATCTCCTGATACTATTGTCAAGTGTCTTTATACTATAATGTCTAGGAAATATGGGGTTAAACTCTTTTACTCTTGCTTAAAAACTATAATGTAGTCCGATTAAATTCACTTATGGAATAGTCAGAAGTGAATAACAACTGAAGGATGTATATAGACAAGAACCATAAGAGATTTAATTCTCTCAGAGTTTTACACATCCACCTTTTCTAGAACACATGAATATTCTACATTCCTAGGGCATTTGTTTTTATATCATGGCTATACACTAACTGTGTAAAGTTACTGAAAAAGCAAGGAAAATGTTACATATCAATGGAAATTTAAATCATGGAAAAAATAAAGCAATAAATTAAATGAAAAAATTGCGGTTATATTCCTATTTAAATAGTTTTTTTTAAAAAAAACTGAAAGTGAGATATGGCTAAGAGTAAAATGAAGAGAAGAGATTAGTGTAAGATAAATAATGCAAAAAAAATTAAAATCCAAGGGAAGGCTATTTATTTTGACATCATAATATTTATTATGACGCTACCTGTCAGTAAATTTCAAGGATCATGTCGATCTAACTAAATTCATGTTTGTACCATAAGAAACTTTTTCTGAAAAGTGTATTAGCAAAAAGAGGACTCTTCAGCTTTCTACTTGTCCGCGAACTTTGATGTTCTCCTGAAACCTCCATGTGTGTCAAGATTGGGAAATGGGAGAATCAAGAATCAGTAGGTGTTAGGCCACCGGGATTGCCTGTATCAAAGGAGGAGCACAAAACCAAGCTGTTCTCAATCAAAAGTAGATCCAAAACAACGTTTTCACAAAAGTCCAAAGAAAAGTATCATTTTTCAGGTTTTGCGAAGAGGAAATTGTGGCGAACAGAAAATTGGAGAGTAGAAAAGAGAATGCAAATTCCCAGCGACTCTGCACAGGGTCCTAAAGATGAGAGATGTAATTCAGATGCTGAAGCCCTGCGGAGGAGCAGCTAACTGGAGCAAAGACAGCCCAGAAGAGGCCCAGAAAAAGCTGACCCACAGTTTAAAAACATGGCCTCTTTCTCTCTTCCAGTAAACGGCTGAGCATTTCGCATATATGTGAACAGTACGGAGCTGTAAATATATGTAAAGATGAAGTTTTTAAAGGAACATTTTTAGAATAGAAAAAATGAATTCAGCTCTTTTGTGGCCTTTCAGTAAAGCCTAATGAAAACACATAGATAAGTCAGCATTAAAAACAGAGCTTTTCATCCTGGGATGTCCTACCCATCTTTGAATGTCCAGCTCTTCCACGAAGGATTCCCTGATAACCCCAGACAGAAGCTCACTCTCGAGTGTGTGAATTCACATTTTGTTTGCACTGGCCTTTGTGGTTACTGGCCTTCCTTCTTTGTGTTCTTCCATCCTTTCTTCCTTGATTGACATAATATATTTGCTCCCTTACTAGACCGTAAAGCTCTCAGAAGACAAGGGTTTTACATTTATCCTTGTATCCTACTCCTACCCCAGTGCCAAACACAGTATTTTGCACACAGTAGATACTCAATAATTTTTTTTGTCAAATAAATGAAATTGCTACAGAATGTTAAGAAATAAACCCGTGAGGATTTCAGTGGTATTATAACGTGTTATATGTATATACATTGTGAACGATTGAACAAGGAGATTGTTCAATAATGTTTGAAATAAACTTTCTCGTGCACTTTCTGAAATACCAGCTGGGTTGTATGCTAAGTTTACATTTAACTCTATAAGAAACTACCCAGTGGTTTTCCAAAGTGGTTGTACTGTTTTACCTTCCCACAAAAATGTATGGGGATTCTAGTTTATCCACATCCTTGTCAACATTTATTGTTTTCTGTCTTATTTATTATAGCCATTATAATGTGTGTGTAATAGAGTTTTGTTGTGGTTTTGATTTGCATTTGCTTAATGACCAATTTTGTTAACCATCTTTTTTGCATTTAGTAGCCATTTCTGTATCTTCTTTAGTGAAATGCCTATTCAAATGTTTTGCCCATTTTTTAATTGGATTTTTTTCTTATTGAGTTGTCATAGTTATTTAAATGGTTTGGATACAAGTCCTTTATTAGATATGTTTGCAAATATTTTCTCATATTCTGTGCCTTGTCTTTTCCTTCTCTTTACTGCAGTGTCTTTCCAAAACCAGAAGTTTTTAATTTTGATGAAGTTCAGTTCAACAATTTTGTTCCTTTCAAATCATGCTTTTGGTATTTTATCTAAGAACTCTTTGATTAAGTCAACACCTTAGGGAGTTTCTCTGATCTTTTCTTCTAAGAGTTTTACCATTTCAGCACTTATATTTAGAACTGTGATGCATTTTGAAGTAACTTTTTGTGTATAATATTGAGTAAAGCTCTAAATTCGTCCTTTCACATATGGGTTTACAGTACAACTGATTGCCCCAGCACCATTTGTTATAAAGATTATCCCTTCCCCCATTAAATTTCTTGATACCTTTATCAAAAATCACTTGACCATAAATGTAGAGGTTTATTTCTGGACTATCAATTCTGTTCCCTTAATCTATATGCTTGTTCTTATACCAGTACCATAGTGCTACTGTTGCTTTATAAAAAGTTTGAAACTGGTGAATGTAAGTCCTCTTAGTTCTTCTTTTACAATATTGTTTGCCTATGTCGTTCCTTCATATTTCCATATAAATTTTAGAATCACCTTGTCAATTTCTACAAAGAACAAAGTCTACTGGGATTTTGATTAGGATCATGTTGAATCTGTAGATCAATTTTGAAAAAAAGTATCATTTTAATAATGTTGAGTTTTCCATTCCATGAACATGAAATACTTATTTATTTAGTTGTTCTTTCACTTCTCATAATAATGTTTTGTAATTGTCAATGTACAAGTGTTATACTTCTTTGTTAAAGTTATTCCTTAGTATTTTATTCTCTTTGATGCTATTGTGAATGGAGTTGTCTTAATTTAATTTTTGGATTATTCATTGCTAGTATATGGAAATATAATTGATTTTTGTGTTTTGATTTTATATCCTATGACCTTGCTGAACTCATTTATTAGTACCAACAATTTTTGTGTGTATTTTTTAGGATTTTCTACACATAGGATTATATCATCTGTAACAAAAGGTAGATTTACATCTTTTCAATTTTTAAAAAGTTAATTACCCAGACTAGAACCTCCACTACAATGTTGAACAGAAGTGGCAAGAGCAGATCATTGCCTTGTTTCAGTCTTAAGAGGAAAGCATTTGGTTTTTACCATTAAGTATGACATTAGGTGTAGATTTTTCGTAGATGGCCTTTATCAGTTTAAGGAAGTTCCCTTCTGTTTCTATTCTATTGAGAGTTATTAATAAGAATGCTGACTTTTGTCAAATGCTTTTTCTGCATCTATTGAGATGATAATATGGTTTTTGCTTTTTATTCTATTAATATGGTATATTACACTGACTGATTTTCATATGTTAAATCAACCTTGCATTTCTGGGGTAATCTTCACTTGGTTTTATATGTTGCTGGATTCCATTTCTTAATATTTTATGAAGGATTTTTGCGTCTCTATGATGGATATTGGTCTGTAGTTTCCTTTTATTATAACGTCTTTGTTTGCTTTGATATCATGTAATACTGACCTTGTAGAATGAGTTGGAAAGTGTTCCCTTCTCTATTTTTGGAAAAAAAAAAAAAGAGAAATGATTGGTATTATTTCTTTAAGTATTTGATAGACTTCATTAGCGAAGCTATTTGGGCATGGACTTTTCGTTGTAGGAAAATTTTAAATTACCAATTCGAGTTCTTTACTTGTTATTGATCTCTTCAGATTTTGTAATTTTTTCTCAAGTTAGCCTTAGTAATTTGAGTCTTTATAGGAATTTTCCTATTTTGTCTAAGTTGTCTAATTTGTTGGCATAAAGGCATCTACATTATTTCTTTGTGAGCCTCTTAATTCTTATAAGGTTGTTAGTGATGTCTCCTCTTTCATTCTTGATTTTAGTAATTTGTGTCTTCTATTATTTGTAGTCAATTTAGCAAAAGCCTTACTAATTGTCATGATCTTTTCAAAGAACCAACTTTTGTTTCATTAATTTTATTGTTTTTCTGTTTTCTTTTTCATTTATTTCCCCTCTAGTCTTCATTATATTGCCCTTCTGCTTGTTTTGTGTTTAGTTTTATCTTTTTCTAGCTACTTATGATGGAAGCTTAAATTATTAGTTTGAGATCTTCTTTTCTAATATAAACACTTAAAGCTATATATGTCCCTCTAAGTACTGCTTTAGCTGTATCCCATATATTTTAATAAGTTGTGTTTTTGTTTTTATATAGTTCGAAGTATTTTCTAATTTCCTTTGTGATTTCTTCTTGACCAATAGGTTATTTAAAAGTATGTTGTTAGTTTCCTTATATTTGAGAATTTTCTAAATTTTTTTCTATTGTAGATTATTGTTTAATTCTTCTGTTATCTGGGGATATATTTCCCATGATTCTAGCTCTTTTAAATTGATTGAGATTGTTTTGTGGACTACCATATGAACCCTCCTTGAGAATGTTGAAAAGAGTAAGTATTCTGTCGTCCTTGGGTAAAGTACTCAAGAAAGATCAGTCACGTCAAGGTGATTGATAGTGTTTTGCAAGTATTCTATGTTCCTGATGATTTTTTAAATCTAGTTGTTCTATCAGTTATTGAGAGTGGAATATTGAAGTCTCCAACTATTATTTTTCAGTTTTATATTTCTTTCAATTCTGTCATTTTTGCTTTATGTATTTTGGGGATCTGTTGTTAGGTGTATATACATTTACAATTATGCTTTTCTTAGAAATTGACCATTTTATCATATGAAATATTCCTCTTTGTCTCTAATAATATTTCTTGATGTAAAGTATATTATGTTTTATATTACTATAGCTTACCATTTGCATGGTATATATTTTTTATCCTTTTACTAACAAATGTGTCTTTAAATTTAGGGTGTGCCTCTTGTGGCAGCATATAAGTGGATTAGTTGAATCTGTATTTTTCCATTCAGTCTGACAGCCTCTGCCTGTTCCTTGGAGTTTTTTATTCCATTTACGTTTGCTAAAATTACTGATATGGTTGTATTTATGTCTGCCACTTTTTAAAGTATATCTCATTATCTCTTTAATTACTCCTTTATTGCCTTATTTTGTATTAAATGGACCTTTTTAGTGTATTGTTTTAATTCTTTTGTTTCTTGACTATATTCTTTGAGCTATTTTCCTAGGGATTGCCTTAGGAATTACAATATACATATTAACTTATTTCTATCTACTTCAGATAATATATACTCACTGAATACCAGTAAACATAGAAACTTTCCTCTAATATAGCTTCATTTCCTTCTCCCTCCTTTGCACTGTTGTCAAGTATATTACAACTATGAATGTTGTAAACCCAACAACACAATGCAATAAGTATTTTATACAATATTATATCTTTTAAAGAATTTAAGAGAAGCCTGGGTGCAGTGGCTTACATGTGCAATTCCAGCACTTTCAGAGGCCGAGGTGGGTGACTCACTTGAGCTCAAGAGTTTGAGACCAGCCTGGGCAGCATGGTGAAATCCCAGTTCTACAAAAAATACAGAAATTAGCTGGGCATGGTGATGTGTGCCTGTAGTCCCAACTACTTGAGAGGCTGAGGTGGGAGGATGGCTTGAGCCCGGGAGATCGAGGTTATAGTTATGACCACGCCATTGCACTCCAGCCTGGGTGACAGAGCAAGACTCTGTCTCAAAAAAAAAAAAAAGAATTTAATAGAATATATATGTAAAAATTTACATACATATATGTGTATAAGCTTATATACGTATAAATTTATATACATATGTGTGTATAAACTTATATACATATATGTGCATGTACATGTGTGTATGTGTGTATGTACACACACTGTCTTTTGTATTTACCCAATTATTTACTGTCTGGTTGTTCTCCATCTTTTCGTGTGGGTTTAAATTACAATTAAATTACCTTTAGTCTTTTTTTCTTTTTTTTTTTGAGACGGAGTCTCACTCTGTCGCCAGGGCTGGAGTGCAGTGTGGCACGATCTTGGCTCACTGCAAGCTCTGCCTCCCAGGTTCAAGCAATTCTCCTGCCTCAGCCTCCTGAGTAGCTGGGATTACAGGAGTGCACCACCATGCCCGGCTAATTTTTGTATTTTTAGTAGAGGCAGGGTTCCACCATGTTGGACAGGCTGGTCTCAAACTCCTGACCTCAAGTGATGCACCCCCTTCAGCCTCCCAAAGTGCTAGGATTACAGGCATGAGCCACTGCGCCCGGCCAGATATAGAATTCTTGATTAACATTGTTTTTCAGCACTTAAATATGTCATGTCGGTGCCATTTTTCCTGATGAGAAGTCTACCATTAACAGTATTATTGTTCCCCTGTGTGTAAAGAATCATTTTACTCTTGATGCTTTCAAGGTTTCTCTCTGGCTTTGACTTTCAACAGTTTGACTTCGATATTTCCAGGTCTAAGTATCTTTTTCTGTGTTATTCTACTTGGGTTTTTTGAGCATCTTGGATCCATAGATTAATATTTTCATCAAATTTTGGAAGCTTTAGTCTATTATTTCTTCAAATATATTTTCCTGCCCTTTCTCTCTCTCTTCCCTTTCTGGCACTGCCATTACTCATATGTTAGTATGTTTGACATTGTCTCACACGTTTCTGAGGCTCTTTTAATTTTTCTTTATTCTTTTATCTCTCTTTGCTTTAGAATGGGTAATTTCTATTTTCAACTTTATTGATTATTTCTTCCCTTATCTAACATCTGCTGTTGAGTCCCTCTAAGAAATTTTCATTTGTTATCGTACTTTTTAACTCCAGAGTGTCCTTTGATTTTATTTTATAATTTATATTTCTTTGTTGACATTCTCTATTTGTTGAGTCACTGTTGTAATACATTCCTTTAACTCTTTAAACATGGTTTCCTTCAGTTTTTGAACATATTTATAATTGCTGCTTTGAAGTCTTTGTCTGCTAAACCCAACATCAAGGACAACCCAGAGACAATTTTTGCTTACTACTATTTTCCCATTGGTGTGGGTTACATTTTCCTATTTCTTGGCATGTCTCATAACTTTTATTGTTGTTAAAAATGGGACATGTCAGATAATATATTGTTACAATTCTGAATTCTGAATTTTCCTCAGAGTGTGTTGTTGCTGTATTTTGGTTTTGTTTTTTGTTTTTTGGGTTTTTTTGTTTTTGTTTTTGTTTTTGTTTTCAGCTGGAGTCTCACTCTGTTGCCCAGTCTGGAGTGCAGTGGTGTGATCTCAGTTTTGTTTAATAATAATTTGGCTGGACATGCTTGTAGAATCTCCTTAACTGCTGTGTGGCTGCAGGTGTCTCTGCTCAGCTTTGTTTTGTTTTTTAAATTCTTGTTCTCATTTTTAAGCCGGAATTCCTAGGAATCACACTGTGTTTGCATAGATTAATGGTGGTCAGACATTGTGCCCAAACAGCTCAAGACAGTAAATCTTCCACCCTCTGGCAGTAGATCTGAGTGTGTGTTAGGGAGCACAGCTAAAGTGTGCAGGTAATTTTTTTTTTTTTGAGACGGAGTCTCACTCTGTCACCCAGGCTGGAGTGCAGTGGCACGATCTCAGCTCGCTGCAACCTCCACCTCCCGGGTTCAAGTGATTCTCCTGCCTCAGCCTCTAGAGTAGCTGGGACTATAGGCATGTGCCACCATGCCTAGCTAATTTTTGTATTTTTAGTAGAGACAGGGTTTCACCATGTTGACCAGGATGGTCTTGATTTCTTGACCTCGTGATCCACCCACCTTGGCCTCCCAAAGTGCTGGGATTACAGGTGTGAGCCACCGTGCCCAGCCGGTGTGCAGGTAATTTTTACGTAAATCTGGTTTTGCTTAATTCCAGGCTCTCTTGCCTGTCCTCTGCACATGTGCACAGGCTTGCAGTCAACCAATGATGTGTGGAAAACTTGGCCCTCTCCAATTTTTCCCACACATATATGTATGGAGAGCTTATGAAGGACCCTGTGACTACCTTATTTTCCAGATCTTCCTGGTAAATTTCTGGCTGATCTACCAATCTGCTGCTTGCCCCAAGCCTGACTGTAACCTCAGGCTAGCTGAGCTGCTGGTTTTCCCTTGTTTGTTTGCCACCTAGATTATTGCTACTGTTATTCACAGTGCTGCTGGATGTGGGGTTTTATCACATTGTTCCCCAAATCAAGTCAGTCTTCCCTGGCTGCTCCTTTTCATGCCTTTTCTCATCTTGGTTGAACTACCTTATGGACTAAGCTGGGGGTAAGGGATGGGAGAAGCCTAGGCAGGAATGACACCCTGCTCATACGTGAAGTTCAGTTGTTTGTTTGTTCTATGAATAGCGAATTCTCAGTGTAGTGTACGCCTTTGATTGATTTTCAGAGCCCTGATTGGTTATTTTTGACAATGTGTTATATATCATCACTGCTTTGGGGAGAGGAACTGAGGAACTACTCCTTCCACCATACTGGAAGTCCCACCTCTGCATCAGTCATTTTTAATCATTCCTCAGCTGATTCTGATGTGAAACCAGGGTTGAGAATCCTTGAGCTAGGGTTTTACTACAGGAGAATAAATCTTTTTTTTTTTTTTTCTTTTTTTGAGACAGAGTCTCCCTCTGTCACCCAGGCTGGAGGGCAGTGGTGCGATCTTGGCTCACTGCAACCTCCCTCTTCCGGGTTGAAGCAGTTCTCTGCCACAGCCTCCTTAGTAGCTGGGATTACAGGCGCCCGCCACCACGCCCAGCTAAGTTTTGTATTTTTAGTAGAGACGGGGTTTCACCATCTTGGCCAGGCTGGTCGTGAACTCCTGACCTCCTGATCCACCCACCTCGGCCTCCCAAAGTGCTGAGATTACAGGTGTAAGCCACTGCGCCTGGCCATAAATCTTTATTTCACTTCATTCAGTAAACATTTATTGAATTATGTCAGGCACTGGGCACAGTGCTGAGAATATAAAAATCACTGAGACCATCCCTCTTCTGGAGTAGTCACAGGCAGTGGGAAAGACAGAGAAACCAATAATGCAGCCTAACCCTGAACACATAAGGATGGGTGATGCTGGCTTTGGTGGCACAGTCAGCGGAGACAATGCCCACAGTTCATCCTTTCTCTGAAACGTGCTGATAGGCTGTCAGAATGTTTTCAGAAAATAACATAGCCATTAAGCAGATCTATACTTCCCATAAGCATGAATACATTTATTCATCCTAGTGAACCTGGAAAAATTTCCCCAAATTATATAGTGATTATAAACATAACTTTAAGGGGCCAGCATTTTACTTTATGTTCAGTTTAATGAGTTTTTTTTTGTGCTTTATTTTTAGCTGTAACTGATGATTTCATAACTTCAATTTAGGTGAATAAATTCAGGGAGAGCAAATCAACATCAAAGTCATCATGGGCAGTATGACATGGTTTTATGGTCTGCAAACTGGGGAGTCCACAAAGGCAAGCCATTGGAGTATAGAACGAAATAGTAACATTTCTTTTTCTTTTTCTTTTTCTTTTTTGAGATGGAGTCTCGCTCTGTCACCCAGGCCAGAGTGCAGTGGTGCGATCTCGGCTCACTGCAAGCTCTGCCTCCCAGGTTCACGCCATTCTCCTGCCTCAGCCTCCCGAGTAGCTGGGACCACAGGCGCCTGCCACCATGCCCAGCTAATTTTTTGTATTTTTAGTAAAGACGGGGTTTCACCATGTTAGCTAGGATGGTCTCGATCTCCTGACCTCGTGATCCGCCCGCCTTGGCCTCCCAACGTGCTGGGATTACAGGCGTGAGCCACCGCGCCCAGCCTTAACACTTCTTTTTTTAAAAAAAATCAAGTGTGGTCTTTAGTATTTTTCTATTGATTGAATGTTTCATAAAATTAGACTATTTATACAGTAGTATATGGATAGAACTTATAAATAAACATATATAGGTAGTATGCTCCCAATTTTTTTAAATTGAGAGTACTTGATCATAAAGGTTGGAGATCCCAGCACTTTGGGAGGCCAAGGCAGGCGGATCACCTGAGATCAGGAGTTTGAGACCAGCCTGGCCAACATGGCGAAACTCTGTCTCTACTAAAACGTACAAAAATTAGCTGGCCATGGTGGCGTGCGCCTGTAATCCCAGCTATTCAGGAGGCTGAGGCAGGAGAATTGTTTGAACTCGGGAGGCAGAGGTTGCAGTGAGCCGAGATCGCGCCATTGCACTCCAGCCTGGGTGACAGAGTGAGACTCCGTCTCAAAAAAAAAAAAAAAAAAGGAAGTTGGAGATGACTGGTATAGTGTAAAGAACACTAACCTGAAAATCAAGAAGAGATGAATGCTAGTCCCAGTTCACCACCAACTCACTGTGTGAGCATGGGTGAGTTACAAACACTCTCCAGGCTTTGCTTTCCACATCTGTCAAATCAAGGGCCTGATATAAATATCCCCGAGTCCTCTTTCAGCTCTGAGATTCTATAAATGGTTTTGTTCTTGCTTTTCCTGTTACGAAGTTGAACAAGTAGGTGGTTATGATATTTTCTGTTCAGTATTTGAATTAAATGCAGGTGTAAGTCTACTTCTGAGTTCCTGGAATATTTCCGGAGAGTGCATTTTGTACCTTGGCTACATCTCTTCCCTGTGGTGCTACCAGTCATAGATGTATGTGATAATGTCCTACACACCAGGATATGTATTTAAAATCTGTTAACTGTAGACATATTAACAAGGACTAGCATAATTGGTGGGGGAGTACAAAAAGATGTACCTAGATATAGATACAGTTACAGGCTCATAGATACCTGCACACACACACAATTAACCCTTGCCTTTTGCTTAATTTGATTGCTTTCATCAAAATTCAGAAAGCTTCAAGATTTAAGCTAAGTACATTAAAAAACACTACATGTAGTTTTAATAGGTAAAGACTGACACCAGTCCATACATATTGTTTGGTATCTACTCAGAAACTGAGTTGTTGGCTTATTTTCAAAATTTAAATACATAAAAGCCCAAGGGGTTAGCAATCCCTTATTTAACTCTTTGATTTAAGATCAAAGAAATTTAAAATCTACATATTCGATGTAACTCCTTTAGAAACATTATTCAACTTTAAAATTTGATAGAGTAAGATGTTGGACTTCAGAGTTCATGGATCATGACAAAATAGACTATGGATGGTTTTTCTTAAGATAATTATGCTTATTATAACATAGTCACTTTCTTTAAAGTTTGTGTCTCTCTGATTTAGTTTTGTTTGGTAGCCTCAATACATAAACGTCTTAGCATTACTAAATCATCAGTTTGCATTGTATTTTAACACCTAATTCTTCAATACTCTTTATTAGAAATCAAAGGCTTGAAGAAATATTAGCATAATAAAAGTGAAGATCTTGCGTTTTCTAAGCAGTACTATATAACACATAACATCATAATGCTTTTTAAAAATTCTTCTGTTCCAAATGAAATATGAAGTGGAAGCTGATGAAAGTGCCATGAGTCTTTAGCATAAAGTTCAACTATTAAAAATCAGCTCTTACATTGGAAGGACATAAAGAAAAAAAAAAGCAGCGCCTGTGATTTACTTGTGAGAATGGAATACTCATATTATGGCACATTCTATGTAATAAATGCATTATTTTAAGAATTTGTCTTAAAGGATAAATGACAGAAAAAGGAGCAATGCAATGAAAAGAATAACAAATCATAGCTATTTTGATGTAAATAAATGTCAAAAAATAATGAGCTCATGAGACTATGACTGTGGCCACTAGAATGGAAGTAAAGAGAGAAAAGCAAAAGCAGAAAAACAGGAGAGAAATTAGAAATCCAACTGTTCTGGAAACAGGGGAAAAAATGAAACTCTTAAGCCCCATAAGTATGTTATTTTGGATGCTAATGGAATAAAGAGGTGAGGGAAAATACCACTTTAAACTTAGACCTGTATAAGCACAGCCTGTACTTTGTGACCTGCCGGGGTATAGAATGCAGTCGTTTTGCTGCTGCCCAGGACAGCTGGCCAGGAACAAATGTCACCCTGGCTTCCAGTTTGTAACCAATCCACAAGCTTAAATTCAAAGTTCTAACCTTTAGTTTTAATGCTCATCATAGAAAAAGAGATGGATATTCCCCACTGGGGGAGGTGGTAGATAGTGGGGAAGGAAGAGTTTGGCCATTTCCATGCGACCTCCCTGGAGGATTCAAGGGGCCGCTGCCTGCCCTGCATGTCAAAGTCCTGTGCTACTTGTTTTCTCGCATCGTCATATATCCATTTTGTACCATGTATGTGCTTGGCCTCTCTTCTGCTTTTGATTAGGTAATCCCTTTTGCTTTTTCAAATGATTTTCCAAGATTAGGAAATGGTCAAGGTTTGGATGGTTTGGAAGGTTTTTCTATTTCAACTGGGCAGCTTGGCTTTTCCCATGCCACAATACCCCTGTTCACCTTGTCTTTAGAGATTCTCTAGACGGGGGCTCTTAAAAAATACATTAACTTTTTTTTTTTTAAGAATAGTTTCAAATTTACAAAATGATTACAAGGATAGTGCAGAGGGTTCCCATACAGATCCCTATTGTTAACATCTTTCTTAATGTGTAGATCAGGGACTTTTAGCCCCAAGTTCATGGATTGACTTCAGGGAGTTCATGAACTCCTGAAGTTTATGCCAAATTGTTTATGTTTGTATGAAAATGCATTTCATTTCATTCAAGAGCTATATAAATTAAGACTATTCTTTTCATTTCATCAGTCCTTTTCCTCTGCTATCTCTGCTCTCATGTTTTCCACTTCCCTAGTCAATTTTTTGGTTTATTAGAACACTACCTGCCTCCAAGTGCACATTTGTACCAGTGTGCACAGGAAGCCAGAACTGACCAAAGGCTTCCTTATCGCACCCGTGTGCACCACTGAGTCAATCGGCATCGTGTGTTCCCATAAAATATGTTAACTCTATCATTTAATAAGCCCCACGTCCCTTCAAAGGCAGGAGTTGCCTATAATACATAAAGGTCTCAGTGTAAACCAAGGGTCCTACATCAGGATGGACCTGTCTAGAAAAGTATGCATTTTAAATAAGCTCCCAAAAGAATTTGGATGCACCATGTATCAAACCATTTATATAGACTGCCTAAATTTCCAACATGACATTAACACAAAAGGGCATTTAGAACTATCATAAAAACATCACTCTTTTCCCTTGAAACTTTAAGTGGGGGAAAAAGCCATGCAATTACTGTAGCCATAAAGTTATTATCACTATTTTTCTTTTCTGTCTATATAGAATCCATTATTTGAAATCTTTCTAACTCTACTTTAATTCTAAAGATAAGAGATAATTGTAACATTAGAGATCTAGGATTTGGTAAAATTTCTCCCAAGTTAAAACTTCCTCTATCGTATTTTGAATATTGTAAATGCCTTTTTTTGTTACTGTCTGATGTTAGGTGGTTTATTTCAGACTTACAGATTCCAGTCTGCTGTTAGATGATTATTCATCCAAGTTGAGCCCCAAACCAAAGAGAGCCAAGCACAGCCTACTGTCTGGAGAAGAGAAAGAAAATTTGCCCAGTGACTACATGGTACCCATTTTCTCAGGACGGTGAGTGTGCTTTTTCTTCCTGGCTTTAATTTTTAAGAAGTATATAGTAAGTGCTATAGGAATGGCAGATTATAGTCATAATTGTTGTGGACAGATTATAGAAATAGCAGCTAACATTTATTGAGCACTTGTTAGATTATAGTAAAAGCAGCTAACCTTTTATTAAGCACTTACTATATACTGATTCAGATCTGAGGAAGCTGGGAACCCTGCACTGAGAGAGATGTGTTAACTGTGTTAAAAGGGACTTCCTCTTCAGAAATTTTGCCATCACGTAGGATGGTTACATGACAAACAAGAATGATCAGAACTTAATGCTGCTTATAAAACTAGCTGGAATGGGAAGTGGATCCTGGGATGCTTGTGATTGGACAGGACAGCCAGAGTAAAAAGAAAGCTTCAAAAACTACAAAATGTTGGGTGAATTTTTATTATTGTGTGTGTGTGTGTGTGTGTATATATATATATATGTATATGTACATATATATGTATATGTACATATACATATATATATGTATGTATATGTATATATATTTATGTATTTGAGATAGGGTCTCACTCTGTTACCCAGGCTGGAGTGCAGTGGCACAAACATAGCTCACTGCAGCCTCAACCTCCCAGACTCAGGCAATCCTCCTACCTCAGCCTCCCAAGTAGCTGGGTCCACAGGCACGAGCCACCACACCCAGCTAATTTTTTTAAAAAATTATGTGTAGTGATGGGGTCTCACTATATCGCCCAGGTTGGTCTTGAACTCCTGGGCTCAAGTGATCTTCCCTGCTTGGCCTCCCAAAGTGCTGGAATTACAGGCATGAGCCACCACACCTGGCCTGGGTGAACTTTTAAAAAAAAACCCAAGATGACACATTTAGGTAGCTGAAAAATATCTTGGTTATCAATGTGGTTTTAATTATTATTCATTGGGGGAAAAAATCTCATCATAATTTGAATGCCTTGTTCAATGGGAAATAGATTGCTATTTACTTTGAGGTAAACTTCAGACAAAATAATCACTAAATCACAAGTCTGTGTGATGCCACTTTTCTATCTTTATTGCATAAACATTATTTTTGAGCAGTAATAATATTTAAAGGAATCTTGAAAGGAAACTTGTCCTGGACACCAAGATTAAAGCTCAACAGGAGCTTTCTGGTTCATCTCCTATTTATTTCTCTTTGAACAGAGAGTTATTCCCATAGCTCAGGTGACACTCAAAGTGAGGCCATCCTCTAAGAGCAAATGTCATGGAAAAGTAGATCCTCTTGGAAGTCAGGAAATAATTTGGTTGTGATTGATGGTGACCTACTTCTGTTGCCTGTGTTTTTCTTTCCATTGCCCTCTGACAGTTCCTTTCTGACTTGTGTCAGAGGCTAATGTCATAATTGCTCTGAACCCAATTAGGAAGGTAAAGGGATAAATAACATTCTATTTTTAGCTTTTTATTTGATATCTTTGCTATCTCTGAT
Source organism: Homo sapiens (assembly GCF_000001405.40). Taxonomy (NCBI): domain Eukaryota; kingdom Metazoa; phylum Chordata; class Mammalia; order Primates; family Hominidae; genus Homo; species Homo sapiens. The sequence goes on along the minus strand of NC_000018.10, from coordinate 3,192,351 downwards.
TTTTTTAAGTGAACTTTCCAGACAAACATGTTTTCACTGCTAAGTATGGATGCCCAGCCTTTTGACCTCTTCACAGTAGCTTAATGTAACTCGCATTCCTTATAAGAGATGGTAGGCTAGAGCGGTAAAATCTTTTGTCTCCAGTATTTTTCCCACTCTGTTTCAAAAAATCATTTAAAAACCACATCAGCTTAACACCAGCCTACGTGACATGACTCCACCTGGCAGGGCACAAAATGAAGCTTCTTACTCCTAACATCTTCTCCCTGCTCTGTCCACACCAAACTATTTTTCTCTTCCGGGCCAATCTCAAGAAGTGATCATTTACAAATACACTGTGATAAAAGAAGACGTGAGGCCAGGCACGGTGGCTCATGCCTGTAATTCCAGCACTTTGGGAGGCTGAGGCGGGCAGATCACAATGTCAGGAGATTGAGACCATCCTGGCTAACACGGTGAAACCCGGTCTCTACTAAAAATACAAAAAAATTAGCCGGGCGTGGTGGCGGGCACCTGTAGTCCCAGCTACTCGGGAGGCTGAGGCAGGAAAATCGCTTAAACCTGGGAGGCAGAGGTTGCAGTGAGCTGAGATCACGCCACTGCACTCCAGCCTGGGCCACAGAGTGAGACCCCATCTCAAAAAGAAAAAAAAAAAAGATGTGAAGAAAAATTGATCTTCTAGGCTTTATTTCTAGTTCTCCATTATATCTTATATGATGTCATCACCTATACTCTGTTACTGTGTCAAAAATAACATTTCACAGTGGTTTTGGCAGTATTAACAATCTGAGGAGAGGATGGAAAAGAAATGAACATTTGTTGAGTGTCTATTATTATTTGCTGGGACTCACGCAAGGTGCTTTATATAAACCATCTTGCTAAATTCTCCATACAACCCTGCAGAGATATTAATATATCAACGTTTTGGACAAGGAAATCATGGCAGAGTGACTTGCTGAAAGCTGCATGCCTGGGAGGTAAAGAATTGAAAGTCCCACGTAGGCCTGGCGAATGCAGTGGACATGCCCTCTGCACTCACAGTGTGCTTCTGGAAAATACCATTTCCTCTGCATGGCACCTGAAATTTCCACTTATATTCCAATAAATCGAGTAAACTTTGTGTCAACAAGAGATTTTTGAATTGAGACTGTCAGAGATTCGCAGAGTACCGGGAGATTTTAAATTTATTTTTACTTTGTAGTAGTATACTTTTGTCAACATGTTAGCCTCACAGTTTTGCTTTTGTGTCCACATTATAGAAGGGTTATCACTGATAAATCCTGACTTTTACTTAAAGGAGAATATCCCTATTGCCTGGGTCTAACATACTTTTTAACTGTAGTTGAGTTCTCGTGTGAAATAATTAGTTTTTTTTCGAAGTTTAGCTTCTTTGTAAATGGAAAAGGCAAGGAGACTATCACTTCATTTGGCCCTCTAGAGCTGTGCCAACATATCCAGTATCAGTAGTAATGAGAACTTAAACATAAAGTTCTCTTACTTGGAGCCTGGGGCAAGACTAGCACTGAATATGATCCATCATTACATGAATTGAAACAGCTCACAAAGCTCATTTCACATCTCCCTATTGCATATTGACTTCCATAGAGAATTCCAAGCAAATTCTCCTGATGGTTTGTTTTGTATTCAGTTAGTAATTCATTCATTTCCTATCTTGTTCAAAAAAGAATGAGAGGTCATTATGTGAGGACACTAAGCTAAAAATCTTTCATCTTCTTCCTGCCCCCCAAATAATAATGGACATATTACTAACATCCATAGTAGGGATTAGCTTATTAATATTTACGGAGAGAGAAAAAAACTTAAAATTTACTCACTACATTTAGTCAGAAACAACGTGGACTCATCTCGTCTGCCAGATGTTTTAGGAATAGTCCATGAGAAACCCCAATCTTGGCAAATGTGGAATCTCATTCCTCAGCAAGCAGCATAGATTTAGATGCTAGGAACTTGCTAACACAATGGCAGCATTTGCTTACATTCTGAAGTAATCATTCTTAGAATGCACGATTCTGTCTTAAGAGGTCTAAGGAGACTCAATGTCAAGAGAATCTTCGATGTAATCAATACACTCTCTCACGAAACATTTGAGGGGGTTAACAACAAAAGGCATTGAAATATGTTAAAATAATTCAAATATTTTTAAACGACATGAATAAATCACAGCACAGATTCTATCATAAACTGCCACAGTAGGCATTGCACTTGGGATGTTGCCACTCCCTTACTATTGTCAATTATGAATAATAACGAGTCACATTTATAAACGTCACCACTTCCATCACAAGTTTGATAATTTCTTAGTATATAGTATAGGTACACACATAGTATATGCACACACAACATGTATTATCTTAGAAAGAAACCCAGTAGGCATAAGGAACCTCATGTAAATTCAGAACTTATTCATACCTGTAACAACTCCAGGCAATGCATTACATCAGCAAAGTGACAGAACCCAGATCAAGCTCCTACTCATGTATCAGGGTCACAGGCACACAAACTAGATCTCATTTGACAATATAGCTTTTCTGGAAAGGAACCATAATCTTTTATTTTAAACAAAATCATGTTTAAACACACTAAGACAACCAGTGAGACGACCTTGGCCAAGTTATCTAACTTATCTGAACTTCGTTACCATATATTTAAAACAGAAATAATAATTTATCTTGGCCAGGCACGGTGGATCATGCCTGTAATCCCAGCACTTTGGGAGGCCAAGGCTGGTGGATCACCTCAGGTCAGGAATTCGAGACCAGCCTGGCCAACATGGTGAAACCCTGTCTCTACTAAAATTACAAAATATTAGCCAGGCATGGTAGCAGGAGCCTGTAATCCCAGCTCCTTGAGAGGCTGAGGCAGGAGAATTGCTTGAACAAGGAGGCCAAGGTTGCAGTGAGCTGAGATCGCACCACTGCACTCCAGCCTGGGCAACAAGAGCGAGACTCCATATCAAAAAAAAAAAAAAAGTTTATCTCATAGGGTTTGTAAGGGGATGAAACAAGATAGTGTATGTGAAAAGCACCAGGGCCATCATAGGTGTTATTATTGTTGTTATTTGTTAAGGTGAGGAATACTTCTGTACATGAAGTGTCAGCTTCTGATTCACCTGCTTTTTCTATGTCGGATTTTCTTTTGGTGCAGGATACAGTGTCTGAGATGTGGTACTTTGAACTTAGTAAAATTACTCAATCTTATCACTGCCATCCACAACATCTACATTTTGCCATTGTTGTGTTTTAGTCAAAAGCATGTCAGTGGAATTACTGATACGGAAGAAGAAAGAATTAAAGAAGCTGCTGCTTATATAGCCCAGAGGAATCTTCTTGCTAGTGAGGAAGGAATCACAACATCTAAACAGTCCACGGCATCCAAGCAGACCACGGCATCTAAGCAGTCCACGGCATCCAAGCAGTCCACAGCATCCAAGCAGTCCACGGCATCCAGGCAGTCCACGGCATCCAGGCAGTCTGTGGTTTCCAAACAGGCCACATCCGCTCTTCAACAGGAAGAAACTTCTGAAAAGAAGTCAAGGAAAGTTGTGATTCGAGAAAAGGCAGAACGCCTGTCCCTGAGGAAAACAGTAAGAAAAGACAGTTTAAAGTAACTTACAAAGGTGGAAATGCATGTCATAAGGGGTGTGTGTGTGTGTGTGTGTGTGTGTAGATATAGATTGATTTGTTTCTTTTTTTTTTTCCTTTTGAGATGGAGTCTCACTCTGTCCCCCAGGTTGGAGTGCAGTGGCGCAGTCTCAGCTCACTGCAGCCTCCGCCTCCCGGATTCAAGCGATTCTTCTGCCTCAGCCTCCCAAGTAGCTGGGATTACAGGCACGTGCCACCACACCCAGCTAATTTTCGTTGTTGTTTTTTTTTTTCTGGTAGAGGTGGGGTTTCGCCATGTTGGCAAGGCTGGTCTTGAACTCGTGACCTCAAGTGATCCACCCACCTCGGCCTCCCCAAATGTTGGGATTATAGGTGTGAGCCACTGCACCCAGCTGATTTGTTTCAAATGAAGAATATGTGGTCTTTTGGAGAAACAAAACGTAAGAAAACAAGGAGAAAGACATTAAAATATTAATATGTAGGTCAAAGAAAGCAAACAATAGTTTTAAACTCCATGGAATTTTAGGTTTTAAGAAAATTAAAGATTTTAGAGAGCCTTAAGAAATCCACCTTGGAGAAGTAAAATATGATCAGGTGTGGCGGCTCACACCTGTAATCCCAGTTTTGGGAGGCCAAGGCAGGAGAATTACTTGAGGACAGGAGTTCGAGACCAGCCTAGCCAACATGGTGAAACCCCTAAAATCTCTACTAAAAATACAAAAATTAGCCAGGCATGGTGGTGCATGCCTGTAATCCCAGCTACTCGGGAGGCTGAGGCACAAGAATCGCATGAACCTGGGAGGCAGAGGCTGCAGTGATGCAGGTTGCACCAGTGCACTCCAGTCCGGGCCAAAAAAAAAAAAAAAAAAAAGAAAAAGAAATCAAAGATGTTGCTTAAGCTTAGAATGTTAAATGTCAAATAACTACCTCTGTTCTTAAAAGGGAGAAGGGAGTGCATTTTCTCTACAAAAAATTAAGCTTCCAAATGGAAAAATAAAACTTTTGCCTTCTACTTGTTATTTTAGCACCAAAATTCACTTTGATTTATTGGTATTTTGGTAATATGTTTGTTTGCATATTTGTTTTTTCAGTTAGAAGAAACCGAGACATATCATGCCAAGCTGAATGAAGACCATCTTCTCCATGCTCCTGAGTTTATCATTAAACCTCGCTCCCACACGGTTTGGGAGAAGGAGAATGTAAAATTGCATTGCTCCATAGCAGGCTGGCCAGAACCTCGTGTCACGTGGTATGTTATCTTTATGAAAGCTAACAGAATTCATTACACCAAGTTAAGTTCGCCTCTAGTGGAAACACACAGAACAACCATATGCAAGAGTCAATGAAGACATCTACAAGATTGTATAGGTTTTTAAAAGAGTGAAGAAGGGTAGGCATTGAGATGAATTTGTATGCATGGGAAGAAAAAACAGTCTTGCATATATACGCTACATGATAATACTCTATAATCCTATTATACAAATGGATCTTTATTTTATATGAAGTATTGCATTTTAGTCAACATATGTACCAACATACCAAATATATGTCTATAACTCTTACGGATGATAAAAGTTAGGTAAAAATCAGCTTCCAGCAATGAACTTTACACAACATGGCAGGATTTTGTGATCAGAAGCAATGCTGCCTTTTACAAAACTCCCTTTAACTAAAACTCCCATCTCTACCCCTCATGTGAGCTGAGGCCTCAATGTGCCTTTCTTCCTTTCTTTCTTTCTTTTTTTCTTTCTTCTTTCTTTTCTTTTTCTTTCTTTCTCTCTTTTCCTTTTTTCTTTCTTTTTCTTTATCTTCCTCTTTCTTTCCTTCCTTCTTTCTCTTTCTTTCTTTCTCTCTCTCCCTTCCTTCCTTCCTTTCCCTTTCTTTCTTTTCTCTTCTTTCTTTCTCTTTCTTTCTTTCTTTCTTTCTCTTTCTTTCTTTCTCTCTCTCCTTCCTTCCTTCCTTTCCTTCCTTCCTTCTTTCTCTCTTTCTTTCTTCCTTTCTTATTTATTTATTTTTTTTACCAGAGAGCATAAGCAAGTTGCATCAATTTGTTTTCTGACACCAAACAAAAGAAAGAATTGGAAGGCAGATATTACCCAATATGGGGCATGAGATATTTTCTTTCCATAAAGAATAAGCACTCTTTTTCCTCCTTCATAATATATCCTATTGCAATTGTCAATGACTTTTTGATCCCTAACCTGAGAACTTTCCTGTCACATGTCACAAATATCTGCCATAGATGGCAGAAGTATGAAAATAATTGAGCCAATTAAAAAAGATATTTCAGTTTTACTCTCTGGTGCAGGTATTTGCATGCTTTTTTCTTATTTTCAGGAGTGGTGGTAAATGCACCTTAGGTTGCAATATAAACACTACATGAATGTCACTGTCACCCAGAGTGTCTGCGTCCTTCTCCTTTCTTTTCTGTTATTTCTAATGTTGATCAGATGCCTGCCTAGCACTGTGGAGGTAGCTGACAAGATAAACCCAATTAACTCTCTAAGGTTATTCTTTTTTTTTTTCCTTTTTTGAGACAGAGTCCCGCCTTGTCACCCAGGCTGGAATGCAGTGATGTAATCTCAGCTCACTGCAACCTCTGCCTCCTGGGTTCAAGCAATTCTCCTGCCTCAGCCTCCCAAGTAGCTGGGAATACAGGTGCATACCACCACACCTGGCTGATTTTTGTATTTTCAGTAGAGACGGGGTTTTGCCGTGTTGGCCAGGCTGGTCTCGAACTCCTGACCTCAGGTGATTTGCCCACCTCGGCCTCCCAAAGTGCTGGGACTACCGGAGTGAGCCAGCGCTCCTGGCTTCTAAGGTTGTTCTTAAGGAGCACATGGTGAGTTTTTACTTGTAATCTTAATCTGTCTTTGATGATTTTGGATTTACTTACAATTTTTCTATGTATGTAAACTCTTTTCAGGGCTTCTGAGTTTGAAAACCAAAGAATAAAAATCAAAGCTGGCTATGAATTATCAGGGCAAATAATTTATAGATGAGAACTGTGGAAACATATTTCTATAAAAATGAAGTTTAAAAAAATCAATTTACAAGCTTTAAAATGGAAAAGTAAGTTAGCAATCACTCTGCCTTTGCCTGCCCTTCTCTGTGACTATAGAGTTGCACAATTTGGCCTGTTAAAGGGACATTTCTTCTTAAAAAACCAATTACTTCCCACCTCAAAAAAAAAATTCCAAACTTTCCTATAGAAATGCACAAACAATAACAAATTTTTGGCTGCAAGAAATATTAGTAAAAATATTTCTTCTTTCATGAATTAAAATGTATCAATAATAAATGAATAATTAGAGGCCTTTGTTGAATAAATGTGTTTATTACACAGTTTCCTATCTGTGTTTTCCCACTTTAAAAAAATTAGAATTTAAGATGATTATCAAAAGGATACAAAGTAGCTTCTGGGAGATAAACATTCAATTCCTAAGCATTTATTTATTCTGTTAAGTACACAGCAACTGGAATAAAAACCCGGCCACATACCGCTGATGGTGTTATTAAGCAAAAGTGATGTGATTTCACGAAAGCAGAGCTGAACTTCAGAGATTAGACTCCTTACATTGTGCTCTGTTGATCTGGAAAAAAAGTAATTAAAAACAAAAACAAAAAGAATGGAAACTCTCCGGAAAAATAGGAGATGACCAAACTGTCAACCCTTCAAATTCCAGTTAAATTCAAAAATAGAAATACTGTCCATTTCCAGTGATCCTCACTAACAGAGCTAAGAAGCAGTAGAGTTGATCCCCAAACCCTTTACAGGTGGCTTTGAAATATCTGCATCCTTTACATGTGAAGTTTATGTCCTAGGGGCTCATTTCAAACAAAAGGGAAGACACAGAGACAAGCTTCCTCTCCAGAAGTACTGGATGAGCCTCCTCTGGTCCCTGCACCTCCGTTAGTGCTCTTGGAGAGAACAACTCCCTTGAGCCCCGTGCAAAGCATCAGTCCTAGTGACTTCATTCTTTATCGTACATTCTCCCACGAGGGACAGACCAGAGCATTTCACAGTCTCCTTGCCTTGCAAGCTAAGTGGAAAATAAATATTAAAACAAACGAACAACAAGGCTTCAGTGAGCTCTGATCTCGCCACTGCATCCCAGCCTGGGTAACTGAGCTAAAAAAACAAAAAAACAAACAAACAAAAAAAGAACTGGGAGACAACTAGGAAAATAGTTAACTATACTTCTGAGAGCAAGAGTTGCCCTGGGTAAAGCTGAAACTTGGACAATCAGTTAGCAGATAACTGATGACTGGAAATGGCAGTAAACAGGGTCAGGGTCAGGTTTTGTTGGCATGAAGCTGATACAACTTGGAGGGCACTCTTTACAAACTAAATAAATAAATTAGCAGTATAAGTTAGGACATAAGGTCTTGCAGGGATTTGGGTAGTGAGAGACCCTGAAATTTAAGCTTCATTTGCTTCAAGTTAAATCCACCTCTGGGAGTTGACTTCTGGATAGGATTAGTATATATTCCTGGGCATGTTTTTAAAAAGTCATTAACTGGGCTGGGCCAGCTGGCTCACACCTGTAATCCCAGCACTTTGGGAGGCCGAGGTGGGCAGATCACTTGAGGCCAGGAGTTTGAGACCAGCCTGGCCAACATGGAGAAAACGTGTCTCTACTAAAAATACAAAAATTAGCCAGGTGTGTTGGTGCATACCTGTAATCCCAGCTACTCGGGAGGCTGAGGCACAAGAATCACTTGAATCCAGGAAGCAGAGGTTGCAGTGAGCTGAGATGGCACTACTGCACTCCAGCCTGAGCAATAGAGTGTGACCCTGTCTCAAAAAAAAAAAAAAGAGAGAGAACGAAAAATGATTCACTGGAGTGCTAATTGACTTTGCACCACTGGTACAGAGCATGAAATCTTCAATAAGCAGCCTTTCCCTTGAAGACCTGGGAACCCGCAGCCCAAGCAACAACCAAGATTGTTGGTGATAACATTGCTGGCATTTATACCTTTTTGGTATCCAATTGCAGCTTCCTGGGCCTGACACTGAGGAGAAGTACAAAGGGAATATTGAGAATGCCCTTCCTGAATATCAGCAGGTTTATTAAAGGAGTAAATTTGTGATGATGCTTCATATAATCACACTGCCTCCACTCATAGCAGTTATGTCCTTAGCCACATCTTTCAAAGGCACGTGTGGCGGGCCTGTCTCCGGCAGAGCCCTTTCCAAAGAGGGTTTGGCTGGACACCAACCAACCAGTTTCCACTGGACACCTTCACTCATGGGAGTTCCTGAGGCCTAACAAATGATACAAGCACTCAGCAGCCGCTCTCCAACCAATCCCACATTACTAACCAAATCTATTCATGTGGAACCTAGAGGTTACCAGAGAGCACTGAATAAGGGCACACACATCCCTCATTAAAGTCAGGTGCAGAGACAGGATGCAGTACCGTCCTATTCCCAACTCGCTCTGACAGCAGCAGGGAGCCTGTCTAAGCACTGGCCTCGGTAGAAAAGTTAGTTACAGGCCGGGCGTGGTGGCCCACGCCTGTAATCCCAGCACTTTGGGAGGCCGAGTCGGGCGGATGACCTGAGGTCGGGAGTCCGAGACCAGCCTAACCAACATGGAGAGACCCTGTCTCTACTAAAAATACAAAATTAGCCGGGTGTGGTGGAGCATGCCTGTAATCCCAGCTACTGGGGAGGCTGAGGCAGGAGAATCGATGGAACGCGGAAGGCGGAGGTTGCGGTGAGCTGAGATCACGCCACTGCACTCCAGGCAGCCTGGGCAACAAGAGCGAAACTCTGTCTCAAAAAAAAAAAAAAAAAAAAAAAAAAAAAGAAGAAAGAAAAGTTAGTTGCAGAGGATGCTGCTGCACCCCTACCGTGAAGCTGGCCATCCTGCAGGAGGACTCTGTCGACATAGAAGGGAAAATACATATGTAGTGAAAAAAATTAAAGTTTTAAAATTTAATAGGGTACATTTATGTAATAACTTGTATAATAAGAGTCTTTCTGTTTAAAGGGGGAAGAAAAAAGCATTTATGTTTGTTTTTGTTTTATTTGCATAATGAAATTCTGGAAGGATATGGAAGAACCCAAGAAAAGCTATTGACCCTGAGGGGGAGCCTTGTCAAAGGGACAAAAGTTCTAGGAAGTTACCAGGAAGGGTTCACTGTGCACCCTTAGTTCTTTCTGGTTCTTGAACCATGTAAACGTATTACCTAGTCAGATTTTAAACATTATGTGAAATAGTGGAGAAGGAAAAAGTTTTCTTTAAAAGGAGAGAATAGTGTTAATTGTATACTTTTTATTATTATTATAATACTTTAAGTTCTAGGGTACATGTGCACAACGTGCAGGTTTGTTACATATGTATACATGTGCCATGTTGGTGTACTGCACCCATCAACTCGTCATTTACATTAGGTATATCTCCCAATGCTATCCCTCCCCCTCCCCTCACCTCATGACAGGCATACTTTTTAAAGAGCAGGATTCATTTGGGTTTCTGGCCTGAAGCCTAGATTGAATTTGTCCATGGAAATCTTGATTGTAGCCTGCAGGAAGATCAGGAAAACTCATTGGAGCAATGTGTTGGTATCAGTGTGTACCTGTCATTCACTCACTCGGCACTCATGTTTTCATATCTATATGTTGGACACTGGACTAGATCCTCAAGCAAAGCATTTATAATACATGTTTAAAATTCTTCAGTTTCAGCCAGGCGCGAGGGCTCACGCCTGTAATCCCAGCTCTTTAGGAGGCCGAGTCGGGCGGATTACCTGAGGTCCAGAGTTCGAGACCAGCCTGGCCAACATGGTGAAACTCCATCTGTACTAAAAGTACAAAAATTAGCCGGGTGTGGTGGCAGGAACCTGTAGTACCAGCTACACAGGAGGCTGAGGCAGGAGAATTGCTTGAATCTGGGAGGTGGAAGTTGCAGTGAGTGAGATCGCACCACTGCGCTACAGCCTGGGGGACAGAGCAAGACCCTGTCTCAAAAAAAAAAAAAAAAAAAATTATTCAGTTTCACCCAAAGGTCGTTGTCAAATAGATACTTAAAGAAATGTGTCATTAAGCCCATTATAATAATTCAAAACCTAGGAATAAAATAGTTACAAAGGCAGAGATTCAGAAAACTCTTCTATTCTCACAAATTATGAGGGTTTGTAAATTTCATAATAGAATCATGCATTGAGTTTATTTTCAAGATTAGAATTATTAATCACATATTCAAATTTAGCAGTTACTACCATATTATCATAGAAAAAACAGCTTATATTTAAAATGGTTAACACAAATTATTTACAATTTACAACAGTTTTCCAACATAAGGATTTGGAGTTTTACTTTGGATTTTTCTTATTTACTTAATTCCAAAATCTATCCCAATGGGATCTCTCTCTCTCTCTCAATCTCTCTCAGATAGTTTTTAAAGTGGGTCTAGAGTGATTTACTCAAAACAGGTTGGATTATAAGCAGCAATCTCATTTGTGGTGAGATTCAGTATATTAAAGATCATCTTTGGCCGGGCGTGGTGGTTCATGCCTGTAATCCCAGCACTTTGGGGGCCGAAGCAGGCAGATCACCTGAGGTCAGGAGTTTGAGACCAGCCTGGCCAACATGGTGAAAGCCCATGTCTACTAAAAATACAAAAAGTAGCTGGACGTGGTGGCACGCTCCTATAGTCCCAGCTACTTGGGAGGCTGAGGCAGGGGAACCACTTGAACCCGGAAGGCGGAGGTTGCAGTGAGCACAGATCGTGCCACTGCTCTTCAGCCTGGGTGACAGAGTAAGTAAGACTCCGTCTCAAAAAAAAAAAAAAAGATCATCTCGGTGTGCATTATTTGTGGGTAGAAAATAATTTTTGTGAAGTCTTTTGCTTGATCATGCTTTACACTGCCAAAGAGCTTTTACTGTGACCCCATACTATAAACTCGGCCCAACATCCAAACTGACATTTGTCTGGGAGAATTGTGTGTTTTACACACATAAAGGAAATGTCACTGGAAAAACTTATAGTATACTGAAAGCTCATTAGCAATTCATAGACATTACATAAAAATGATAAGGGAGATAGTATACATCTGAATATTCACAGGGATTTAAGAAAGCTTTTGATATGTAATCCCAGGGTGTGGATTAACCTCCAAAATTAGCCGATGACTACTCAGCTTGGAATTTCATGTTCTAGAAATAACAAGCTGTGAAGTATATACAGAACAGGCCCCAAATCCTTCTTTTCTTCCCTGACTTAAAGCTAAAGATAGCCAGTCTCAAGTGACTGCAAACCTAAATGCCTCACTGGGTGGAATTCTTTGGAGAATAGAATCAAATACCTTTCTGACTTAATCCTTGACCACCGCTTTAAATGAAGAATTTCTCACATTGGTATCTGGAGCTCCAGAGAAAAGACTACAAGCTCTGCAGTCAAAGTGATGTGTGGTGTGTGTGTATTTTAAACCCATTTCTCTTGCCATGTGGTGATAATAGAAAAGTTGTTAGCTGGGGAAAAGGTATTAGGGTGCTAAATTGAGTAGTAATGGAAAGAAAGGATGGTGAAGCAACTATGGGAGCTGCAAAATAGTTTTTTATTTTATTTTTAAAAATTCATTTTTTACAGTCATGGAGTCTTGCCATGTTACCCAGCTGGTCTCGAACTCCTGGCCTCAAACGATCCTCCTGCTTCAGCCTCCCAAAGTTCTGGGATTACAGGCATGAACTGCCACTGCTGACCTGCAGAATACTTTGTAATGAAAATTTTATAGAGATATGAGCAATACTTTTGATCCGAAGCCGAATTGAGTGTCACTGAGTCATTTGGTCAAACAGCACATGTCACAGCCGTTGGTATCACAGCGCTTTTCTTAGGCAAAGAGGAACCACTGAAAACCCTCCAGCACAAGAAAGAGCAGAGCCAGAGTGAGCTTGAGTCCAGTGTGAAATTACCTAAACCAATTATAGAAGAAGAGCATGCCAATTAACATGTTCTACCCTGTACTTCATCTAAACGGGGAATGCGGGAGATTAGAAGTGGCCAGTGGATTTCTTTTTCCAGGCCATCTCTGATCAGATAGTCCTGTCTGCTCGAGCCATGTTGAGACAGCTGTCTGAAGCTGCTGGCAGGAAATAGCACTGCATCAACTTGCAGGGTCTTCTGTGTTTGGAGAAGGTTATGTTGCTGCACCTGCCACACAGCTGCGATTCTTAAGCCAGTCCCACCCTCTCCATTTCACATCTGAGGGAACTGAGACTGTCAACTTACTTTCTTCGTGTGCATTTATTTAAAATCATCCAACTTTGGGAGGCTGAGGCAGGGGGATCGCTTGAGCCCAGGAATTTGAGACCAACTTGAGCAACATAGTGAGACCTCATCGCTATTTATTTAAAATAAAATCATCCATATCATGACATATATGCTTGTCAGAACTCTGTTCTCTCAGACAAAAAATTATGAAGCTACAATTAATCTATTGCATTACGTGCTAATTCTGTTCAACCAAATTTAACCAATTCTGAGCGCCTGCTGTTTGCCCATGACTCATTCTTCCTCAGGAGTAGGAATAGAAGTAAATGTGGATCAGGCCAGGCACAGTGGCTCATGGCTGTAATCCTAGCATTTTGGGAGGCCGAGGTGGGAGGATTGCTTGAGCCCAGGAGTTTAAGACCAGCATAGGCAACATAGCAAGAGCCTGTCTCTACAAAAAATAGAAAAAATTAGCTGAGTGTGGTGGTGCACACTTGTAGTCCCAGCTACTTGGTAGTCTGAGGTGGGAAGATTGCTCGAGCCTGGGAGGTGGAGGTTGCAGGGAGCTATAATCACACCATTGCACTCCAGCATGGGAGACAGAGCGAGACACTGTCTCAAAAAAAAAAAGTAAATGTGGATCAGACACAATCCCAACCTCAAAGGTTTGGCAACATAATAGAAGAGACACATATCCAACCATAATTTTGATAAATGTTATATTTAGTAACTTGAAGCAAGGAACCCTGATGCAGAGAGGCAGGAACGATTCATACTGTGTCATATTTTAGGGAAGAGTTTATTGAAGAAGTTGCATTTGATCTGAATCTTGAAGGATGAGTTCGGGTTCTGTTATATGGAGGAGAGTGTTTGTTTGTTTTAAGTGTAGAAAATGAATAACGTGCTTTAGGGACGGAGGGGTGTATGTGTATGTGAGAGAGAGAGCTGGGGAAAGGAAGGAGCTGACTGAAGCCAGTATTCTTCCTTCCTCTCCCTTTCCATCATGTTCCCTACTCCCAAACCTCCTTATGATCGTGTCCACAAGTCTGAAGAAATGAAATGCAGACAGAACAATTGGAAAATGGAAGCATCATGTGGGTCAGCAGCCAGGCTGCCGGTTCAAATCCCTCCTCTGCTGTTCCTGGCTGTGTGACTGGGCAAGTTCCTGAAACCCCCATGCCTTGGTTTCTTCATCTGGAAAATGAGGTTAAAAACAGCACTATCTCATACGGTGGTTGTGAGAACTGAACTTACCAATGTATGCATAAAGCGCTTAGAGCATTGCCTGGCTCATAGTCAATTCTCTGTGTCAGCTATGTTAATCAGGGTTATTGACGTCATCTGTGCGTGCGAAGTGGGCTGTCTGAAAGGGAAACAAGTGAAACCCAGTTCCTCTTTTGGGCAGAAAATGGTTTAAGTAGAAAAGCCTGGTCCAGCACCATAGCCACTGGCTACTGAGAACATGAGGAAGTGGTGAAGAATCCAGGCGCCACGTACAGACCCAGAAGACAGGGTCCCAGGGAGAGGCCCGCCTGCGTAGTCCACTCTCCGAGGGCTGTGAGGCTTAACCAGATATGGAACAGTCAGAAAAAGGGAGGCTTTCAGCTCTTACTTGTCAGAAGTTTCCTTTCATGATTTATATTATAAATTCTTCCAAGGCAAGAGCCATGTTTGTTTATGACATTGAATAAAACACTTAAATATAATGATCGTTCAATACAATGATATTGCAGGCCGAGCATAGTGGCTCACACCTGTAATCCCAGCACTTTGGGAGGTCAAGGCAGGTGGATGACCTGAGGTCAGGGGTTCGAGATCAGCCTGACCAACATGGTGAAACCCCATCTGTACTAAAAATACAAAAAACTAGCCAGGCGTAGTGGCCGGTGCCTGTAATCCCAGCTACTGGGGAGGCTGAGGCAGGAGAATCACTTGAACCCGGGAGGTGGAGTTTGCAGTGAGCCAAGATGATGCCATTGCACTCCAGCCTGGGCAACAAGAGTGAAACTCTGTCTCAAATAATAATAATAATAATAATAATAATAATAATAATAATAATGATATTGCTTCTAACAACATGCAAGAATGTTAGCAGGAAGAATGTTTTGCTCTCATCCTACACAGATAGCCAGCAATAAAACCCCCAACAGAAAGCCTTCCTCTCTGTTACATCAATAGTGGTCAACTTTTTAAAAAGCTTATTTATGTATTTATTTGTTTTATTTATTTTTAAAAAGCTTATTTGTTTGTTTGTTTTATTTATTTTAAGACACGGTCTCACTCTGTTGCCCAGGCTGGAGTGCAGTGGTGCGATCATAGCTCACTGCAGCCTCAGCCTCTCAGGCTCAAGCTATTCTCCCACTGCAGCCTCCAAAGTAGTTGGGACTACAGGTTTACACTCAGCTAATTTTTTGTAGTTTTTGTAGATTCAGGGTCTTGCTTATTGCCCAGGCTGGTCACAAACTCCTGGCCTCAAGTGATTCTTCCACTTCAGCCTCCCAAAGTGCTGGGATTACAGGAATTACATGCATAAGCCACCATGCCTGGCCTAAAACCTTTTAAATTATAATATAACATGCACACAAAAAGTGTGCATATTATATACTGCAAATTTTTTTTTTTCGAGATGGAGTCTCACTCCGTCGCCCAGGCTGGAGTGCAGTGGCACAATCTCAGCTCACTGCAACCTCCGCCTCCTGGGTTCAAACAATTCTTGTGCCTGAGCCTCCTGAGTAGCTGGGATTACAGGTGTGTGCTACCATGCCTGGCTAATTTTTAGTATTACTAGTAGAGATGGTATTTCACCACGTTGGCCAGGCTGGTCTCAAACTCCTGACCTCAAGTGATTTGCCCGCCTCGGCTTCCCAAAGACTGCACACTTTTACAAATGAATTGCTTTAGTGAATTTTTGTAGATTGCACACACCCATGTAACTGACACCCAAATCAATAAACATTATTGACACCCAAGAAGCCTCCTTCTTGCGTCCCAACACACTACTGATTTCTAGTAGCATTAATTAGTTTTTTGTTTTTGTATTCTATATAAAAGCAATCATTCTGCTGTGCACTGTTTTGTAACTGGCTTTTTTCGGTAACTATGTTACATGATATTCAGCCATATTGCTGTGAATCGTCAACATTTTTCATGTAAGTTTATAGAGGAGGGGAAAGCACTTCATCAAGAAGTGTGATGTATTGCTGGTGCACTTCACGTAAGCCAATATGATTTACATTTATTTAATCGATGCTGCTGCTACCCTCAGTGCCCTGTTTACAGATGTTCCTGCAAGAACAAGAATTGTGTGTGTGTTTAATCATGAAGTTGTTTACACTTCAACTTACTTCATTTTGTTTCCATTCTGTTATAGGTATAAAAACCAGGTGCCAATAAATGTCCATGCAAACCCTGGAAAGTATATTATTGAGAGTCGATATGGGATGCACACTCTGGAGATTAATGGGTAAGAGAACATTAGTGTCCATGTGTTGCTCACCATTGCTCAGGGAGGCTTCTCACCCCTGCAGTTAACAGCCACTCTCCCCACTTCATCCCAATGCTGTGTGATCACACTGAGGGACATTCGTATACGGTGCTTCTCTGGGTGCACACCTGAAAGTGATATGTATGACTGATCCTTACCATACCCACACTACCTCCCAAAGTGATTTTATATTTGGATTCGGTCAAAGATGATGAGAAAAAAACCAATTTGCATGTTTTTATTTATCTTTTTATATACTTGGGAATTTTTCTTAGATGTAAGTAAGAAAAATATGTTGCATAAAGAGGCATTTATATTCAGTAATCATTTCAGAGTCCCAAATCAATATCATCATCACAGTCTCTTGTTTTTAATAACTAAAGGCCATGGAGATCCGGGTAGGTGGCATTGAATGTGGGCTAAACTTGGAGATAATGTTCTTTCCTTCAGCTTGCCAGGAACCATGGGAAAGTATGCACTCTGTCAATCTGTGTATGTGAAGCAGGCTAGACATTGAGATGTTTGAGCTTAAAGTAAAATCCAAAGCAAAATTTGAAAACGAAACCTACATCAAAATTCCTAAGTTCCCAAATGTTTATTTTGCCTCCCAAGATGATTTTGAAATTCAAACCTAATTAGGTCAATGAAAAGCTAAACAAGTTCCCAGAATTTTCAGTTTAGATAAAACCATGATGTGCCTAAGTGTCAAGGTGAAATTTATACCATTCATTCTCAGGAGACTTATAGCCTTCTCCTCAGATCAGAGGAGTTGGCCAAATGATGCTAGGACCCTGTGCCATTTGCCAGGCACTGACCCTGACCCAAAGTCAGGTCAGTTCTGCCAGTGGGTGGTTCTGCTAAAGCAACAGTGAGCTATGTGGTTACTTTCAAAATTAAGTAGTTATGAGAAGGGCAACTGTGTTTGCCTTGCTGGGGTTCTATTGATGTCTGTAAAATTTCAGCAAGAAAAAAAATTTACACAAATGAAACTAAACCCCGAGAAACAATGAAGAACACGAGAAACTGGTAATGATAAGACATAAAACAACCTGCTTTGAAACCTTAGCCTCTTCATCTCTCCATGAAACCATTCTCTCCCTAATGGTCCATTTTTATAAGAATTCCAGTTTCTGTATTATAACTTAGAAGAACATCCAAATGGCGCTTCTTGTGTGCTGTGAGCTGAAATTCCAAGTATGGCCTGAACCTTAGTGGAAATGAAGTGTAAATAACTTAGATGAGCTTTGAAGCTAGAACACATAGACCAACGTGGCTCAGGGAGGTTGTGGGAATCTACACGGAGGGACTGCTTCTTTCTCTTCCCTATTTCCTGGTTGCCCCCAGACTGAAACCCACCACAAGGGCAGGACAGCAGGAAAGCCACGCCCTCCAGTGTGCCTCTGGGTAGTTACTTGCTACAAAGGTACACGCCTGCACATTTTCTCCTCCCAATGCAACTTTAGACAAGTAAGCGGATCACAATGCTGTTCACTCTATAATTTATGTGCCTAGCACTTGGTTGACTTTTTTTTTTGACATTTTAAATGAACCCAGGCTAGGGTCACAGTGAACTATAGGTGTTCTCTCCCCAGTCTATGCTGCTGGCATGAAAC
Organism: Homo sapiens; assembly: GCF_000001405.40. Classification (NCBI taxonomy): domain Eukaryota; kingdom Metazoa; phylum Chordata; class Mammalia; order Primates; family Hominidae; genus Homo; species Homo sapiens. Next base: position 3,174,407 of record NC_000018.10, on the reverse strand, counting down.
TGCAGTAGATCACTTGGACTAGGTAATATCCCACAGGTAGCTAGATCAGAGACAAATAGCTGTACCAGGAGAACCAAAGAGCCATGTGTTAGCCACTGATTTGCAGGGGGCTGTGATAGCAAAGAGTTCCTTGATAGAACAGCTAGTAATTACAAGGATTGTCACTACGATGGATATTCATTTCCGTCTGTTCTTTCAGATGTGATTTTGAAGATACAGCTCAGTACCGGGCCTCGGCGATGAATGTTAAAGGAGAGCTTTCGGCATATGCTTCAGTTGTGGTAAAAAGTAGGTTTGCTAGATTTGTTTTCTTCAAAGTGTGTGTGTGTTTTTAAAAATTTCTTCCCATGGTTTTAAAATAAATCGATCACAAAGCAGTTCACATGCGTTTCTGTTTTCTTCTCTAGGGTATAAGGGAGAGTTTGATGAGACTCGCTTCCACGCTGGGGCTTCCACCATGCCCCTCAGCTGTAAGTTTAAAAACACATTTACTAAGTGTCACCTCTATGTAAAATATGGCATAATAAGTTAGCCCATAATGCTGAAATAAATGCATACTATATATAACATAGTATATGCTAGGTTGGATGTAGTAGGTACCTGTGGTTATTTTATTTACTTATTTTTTTAGATTTTTTGGTTACTGTTCTCTTTCTGAATCGAATTGCTTTGTGCTGGTTTTATGAAAGCCCAGATATGATGGGCTAAAAATAGCAAATGTTTTTACATCTTTCTGGGTTAAACTGCGAAAGATCATTATGCAAACCTGGGCAGAACGACTTAACCAAACACACACACACACACACACACACACACACACACACACACACACACGAGTCTGGACTATATCAAAGCGCTCTTTCTCACCCTTAAATATCCAGATGGGCATCACTTCCTTGAGAAAGCAGGTCTGACCCCCACTGCCGCCCCTACACCCTACCCAGTCAGGGTTAGGTGTCCTGGGTGAGGCCATGGCACCTCATCGGAGCGTCAGTGAGGCTGTACACTGTTACCTGTTGTGTGTCAGTCTCTCTCACTGGTCCATGAGCCACTTGAAGGCAAGGTTGGGCCTGCCACAGAGTGGGTATTCAATAATGAAATGAATAAATAAATGCATTAAGTTATAAAGTACAATCTAAAATGAAGTCTAAATATGATTAAATAAAAACCTATTAAAAATATTCTGGTCAGTAGTAATTTACAAATTTGTGAATGTCAGTCATTTCATTTACATCAGAACTTCTATTTATGAGAAGCAATAAAAGTAAAATCTTTATGGTTGTTGAAATAATTATATACTTACAGTGGTCAGACTAAAAAAGGTAGTCAAGCCCTAATTTGGTTTTCAAACATTAAAAAATTAGTGGTAGTTTTGAAAATGGCTGATAGCAGTTTTTCACCTGGCTGGTTAGCTTGATGTCTGTGGCTGACCTGCTCCACTGATTTCATGGAATGGCTTCTCGTTTAATATCCCAAGTTGTGATCACTGGCATCAGCCCCATGGGTGAGAAGGGATGACTGGTAGAGCAACAGAGAAGCACATCCCGAATCATGTTCTTCTCCCATCTCTTGATTTATGTTGAGATAGAATAGTTGGGGCCAGGCACGGTGGCTCACGCCTGTAATCCCAACACTTTGCGAGGCGGAGGTGGGTGGATCACCTGAGGTCAGGAGTTCGAGACCAGCCTGGTGCAACATCATGAAACCCTATCTCTACTAAAAATACAAAAATTAGCCAGGCATGGTGGTGGGCATCTGTAATCCCAGCTACTCAGGAGGCTGAGGCAGGAGAATCGCTTGAACTGGGGAGGCAGAGGTTGCAGTAAGCCGAGATCACGCCACTGCATTCCAGCCTGGGCAACAGAGTGAGACTCCATCTCAAAAAAAAAAAGAATAGTTGGAAATTCTGAACCTATGACTTGTCTCCCAGTGTCCCCAGGAGTGGCCTATTGATCACGTCACAATCCTCTGAATGTAGCTTGCCCATCTCCACAACTGTATCATCATCCATGTTTCTCCCTTTCCTCTCTTCTCTGTCAAGGCGGGGACTGAAAGCCCAACTCACTCTCACTTCTCTTATTGCTAAATCTTACAGAGCCTCCTCTCTGATGACCCCCGAATTGAATGCAGTTGTTCCTAACAGAAAACAGAGTGCTTATATTCACATATTTGGTTAATATTTACTAAGCACCTGTTATGTGCTAGGTAGGGGTTTAGGTGCTTGGAATGTTGGTAAATATCACAGACAAAGCTCTCTGCTCTTTTTTTCTAATAGTTAACATTTATTGATCAGTTCTGCCAGACAATGTACTAAGACTTTTTTATACACATTGATTCATTTAATGTTTCCCAGAAGCTTATGAAGTAGTTGCATTTCTATCTGCGCTATGCCAATGAGGAAACAGTTTAGAGAAGAACACAGAGTGGTAGAATAGGGATGTGTAACCTGGTCTTTTTAATTCTAAACCATTATTTCAAACAAGGAGTCACCAAACATTTTCTGTAAAGGACTAGACTGTAAATATTGTAGACTTTGTGGGCCATATGGTCTCTGTCACAGCCACTCAACTCTGCCTCTGTAACACAAAAGCAGCCGTAACAGTAGGAGAATGAATGAGCATGGCTGTGTTCCAATAAAACCTTTATGAACGTTGAAATTTAAATTTCCTGTGACTTTTCACATCGCAAAATACTGTACTTCTTTTTATTTTTTTCAACCACTAAAACATGCAAAAACCATTCTTAATGGTCTAAACAAGAGACATCCTAGATTTGCCCCACAGACTTGCCAACCCCTGCCCTAAACCATTTTTCTCAGGATAGTAAGTACATGTGATAAAAGATTGAGGACGTGACAACGAAATGATGTGTTGTCTTCTGGTTGTTAAACTGGGGTGCCTCCTACTGAACCCCAAAGTTATCGCAGACAGTGCAGTCCAATCTCAGATACAGAAGAGAACCTAGAAGTTAGGTCCGTTTCTAGGGGACCTACTTGCCTTTCCAGCTGAGTCTGGAACATCTGGCGGTAGCCCTCACCTCTACCCCCTAAGGCAGCTCTGGAACCAGCCCAGCCTCCCAGCGCTGTGCAAGATCTGTCAAGTTGTTTCTCTCTCTGGTCTCAGTGAACATCAACACATAAAAAAAAGTGAGGCAGATGGGAGATGTGCTTCCAAAGAGGTTACTTCACTGTTGATTAGGGTTACCTGGGAACACACGAAATCAAGACAGTACAATGTATTGGCCAAGAGCACAGAAACGGCCAGCCGGTGCAAATCTGGCTCTGCAGGGGAATGTGGTCAGTTATTTTGCCTTCCTATGCATCAGTTTCTTCTTCTATAAAATGCAGATATTAGTGGTACTTACCTAATAGCATTATTATGGGATTTCTGTTAATATGGGGTATTAAATGCTTGGACCAATACTTGGTCAAAGTTGAACTCAATAAATGTCAGCTTGCATTTTCAAGTGTAATGAAAGAAGTCTTAGGAAGAGGGACAAAAGATGTGAGAAAGGGCCTAAGTTTTGGGGTCGAGAAGTTATGAGTGTGAATTTCAATTTCACACATGCTACCTGTGAAATTCTGGCATTAGGTGTGTGTTACTTTTGTGAACTTCCATATACCCACCTGAAAGAGAGGAAGAAAATAGTATCTACGGCATAGATTTGTTGCAAGGGATTGATGATATGTCAAATGTGAAAGTGTCTGGCATGTAATAACCCATCAATAAACAGTCGTTTCTTTCCCAAGTCCTTTCTTTGGTGAAAAGAGGAAATAAAGCCTAGGAGAGTTGATTACGCAGGCTGCATTTACTCAATCTGTAAATAAGATATTTCTGAGAATAATATTTTTAAAAGTTAGAATATTTTAAACTTTTCCATTTTCTCCTGTGGACATTTCTTATAATATTTATCACTCAGATCATTAAAGAAACTGAAGCAACTTATTTTAAAACTCCATTAAAATTATTTAATTTAAAATTATTTTTATTTTTATGGATACATAGTAGTTGTACATATTGATGGGGTACATGCGATATTTAGATACAAGCATACAATGTGTAATGATCAAATCAGGGTAATTGGAGCATCCATCATCTCAAACATGTCTTATTTCTTTGTATTAGGGACGTTCCAATTCCACTCTTCTCATTGTTTGAAAATATGCAATAAATTATTAACTGTAGACTAGATCTTATTCCTTGCATCTAATTGTATTTTTGTACCCATTAACTAACCCTTCTTTATTTCCCCTTGCACTACAGTTCCCAGCCTCTGGTAACCATCATTCTACTCTCTATCTCCATGGGTTCAATTCTTTTTAGCTCTCACATTTGAGTGAGAACACATGATATCGGTTCTTCTGTGCCTGGCTTACTTCCCTTAACATAATGTCCTCTAGTTCCATCTATGTTGTTGCAAATGACAGGATTTCAATCTTTTTTTTTGCTGAATAACATTCCATTGAGTATATGTACCACGTTTTCTTTATTCATTCTGCCATGGTTGAACACTTAGGTTAATTTCACATCCTGGCCTATTGTGAAAAGGGCTGCAATAAACATCGGAGTGCAGATGTCTCTGCTATATATTGTTTTCCTTTCTTTAAGATATAAACCCAGCAATGGGATTGCTGGATTATATGGAAATTTTTTATTTTTTTGAGGAACCTCCATACTGTTCTCCATAGTGGTTGTACTAATTTACGTTCCCACCAACAGCGTAAGAGGGTTTCCTTGTCTCCACATCTTTGTCAGCGTTATTGCCTGTCTTTTGGATACATTTTAATTGGGGTGAAATGATATCTCATTGTCATTTTGATTTGCATTTCTCTCAATGATTAGTGATGTTGAGCATTTTTCCGTATACCGGTTGGCCATTTGTATGTCTTTTTAGAAACGTCTATTCAGATCTTTTGCTCATTTTTAAATTGGATTACTTGAATTTTTTGCTATTGAGTACTTTGAGCTTCTTATAAATTCTGGTTATTAATCCCTTGTCAGATGAAAAACGCCATTTTTATGAATAATGGATATGGCTATTTTGTCCCAAGAGTACAAGCAGTAGAGTTTAACTCAACATCTAAAATTACAAAGTGCATATGTTGCAGCTAAAGATTTAAATCTAGGCTAAATGTGGTATTAATTTGCATTGAAGACATTAAACCTGACCCTTTAAATTCTATTCATTACAATAATAAAAATAAGCATTTAGCTTATATAACCAATGAAGTAAGAATTTCCATACAAATGATATATGCATATGTTCTAAATACTTCTTATGTACGGTTTCATTTTGACCCAGTTAAATCATTTGCTCATTTGTTCATTTTTTTTTTGCTGTGACTGCTTTCTGCCTGTGCTTATTAAAATGCTTGTGTCTCTTTGATGAAGAAAAAAATTACTGATATTTGTTATTTTTGTACCCAGTTGGTGTGACCCCATATGGTTATGCATCCCGGTTTGAGATCCACTTTGATGACAAATTTGATGTGTCTTTTGGGAGAGAGGGAGAGACAATGAGTCTAGGCTGTCGTGTTGTCATCACTCCTGAAATTAAACATTTCCAGCCAGAGATCCAGTGGTACAGAAACGGTGAGTCTTTACAATGAATGCTCACTTAGGTTCTTATTCGAAGGTTGTAGACCAGATTGCAGATCTGTTTATCGGAGCTGGTGGAATCTGGAAGTTAGAAGGGACTACCTTTACACGATTAAAAGGTTTTCACATGTGTAGCAAAGTAGCAACACTTTCATATTTGTGGAGATGATATTTTCCTTTTAACAAGTAAGATGTGGAAAGAATCATAAAGAATGTATATTCTGCTGGGCGTGGTGGCTCATGCCTGTAATCTCAGCACTTTGGGAGGCTGAGATGGGCAGATAACCTGAGGTCAGGAGTTTGAGACCAGACTGGCCAACATGACGAAACCCTGTCTCTACTAAAAATACGAAAATTAGCCAGGCGTGGTGGTGTGCACCTGTAATCCCAGCTACTCAGGAGGCTGAAGCAGGAGAATCACTTGAACCCAGGAGGCAGAGGTTGCAGTGAGTGGAGATGGCGCCATTGCACTCCGCCTGGGCGACGGAGAGACTGTCTCAAAAAAAAAAAAGTATATTCATTTTGTAAGTTAATCCATTTGGTAAAATACCCATCCTCATAGACTTATTTATACCATAAAAATGGTATGTAACTTTAAAAAACATAACCTTATGAAACAATAAAATCCTGATATTATTATTAATTAACCAGAAGAGTACATTCAGAAGAATTTCAGACTCTGGCACTTTTGTTTTAACGTATTAAAGGCTTTTTATAATTTTGAAATTTTTGATAAGTGTATTCTGCATGCAATATATCCAAGTTCTACTGATGTCCCTGAAGGACACAAAAATAGATAAAATGATCCTTTTGTTTTACATCATATTATAACAGGCTGGTAGAACAGAAAGAAAATCCTTCCATTGTCAGTTCCTCTGACTCTGGCTTTAAATCACAATTCAATCTCACTTTGCTTCAAAAGGGCCTAGAGCCATGATAGTTTGGTGTGAGAAAGAAATAAGGATTTAATTTCCCCTTTTTAAACTCCATTTGGGTTAAAGTATATTTAAAGTAACACTCCAGATAAAACCCAGTCAAAGCAAAACAAGATGAAGAAGCTATCAAAACAAGTTGATGAGTTGAAGCACTGGACTTGAAAAATAATGCTATTTCTAAAATAACAATAGGCCGGGCACAGCGGCTCACACCTGTAATCCCAGCACTTTGGGAGGCTGAAGTGGGCAGATCACCTGAGGTCAGGAGTTTGAGACCAGCCTGGCCAACATGGTGAAACCCTGTCTCTACCAAAAAATACAAAAATTAGCCGGGCGTGGTGGCGCACACCTGTAGTCCCAGCTACTTGCGTGGCTGAGGCAGGGGAATCGCTTGAACTCAGAAGGCAGAAGTTGCAGTGAACCAAGATTGCGCCATTGCACTCCAGCCTGGGCTATAGAGCGGGACTCCATCTCAAAACAAAACAAAACAAAAAACATAAAATAAAATAACAATAAATCTCAGGTCCAAATACACTAAGTTTCTATACTAGAGTATCTCATAGAATAGACCAAGATATAGAAACTGTCTGAAGAGAATAAGGGATTGCCCCAAATCACACAGTCAAATCCTTGCCACGGGAGACCTCCAGACCTGCTGGTGTTTACTCTAAGCCTGGACATCTTTTCACTACCATGTGCCTCCTTTTATATTGTCTGTATTAGGTCTAACACAGACAAAAAGCCTCCTGAGAAAACTTGTACTTTCTCTGACTTGTCTGCCTCCCTTTATGCCTAGGTATTGAAAAAAGCATTGAAATTTAAGAAATTGAATTTGCCCGTACATACATATCTGCGAGGCCCATGCTAGCTCCTAGCTAACAGAAGATGTGTCATGGAGAGAGCAATGAATAAGGCCTAGGGACTTTCATCATCCCTTTTAATTTATCTTAAAGTTTTCTCTAGGTTTATTTATAGAGACGATTATGTTTTAAAGCTCTTAAAAACTTTAAAATTCCAGACATATTTAGTAGTGTACTAGTAAGATTACCATATAATTTTTCTGTTTAATTGTTTTAGAAAATAAATTTTGGAAAAATACAGAAAAATGAAAGAAAAAGTAGTAAATGATAATGCCTTGCGGTATTGTCCTATAAGGTCCTTTATTACTATTATTTGTATGACTATTTATTATTCAAACTCCATTTTGTTCAGGTAAAAAAACAAAGGCACGGAGAGGTTAAGTAATTTCCCTGAAAGTTACATAATTAGTTAGTGAAAGAGATCAGACTGAGCTGGGCACGGTGGCTCAGGCCTGTGATCCCAGCACTTTGGGAGGCTGAGGTGGGCAGATCACTTGAGGTCTGGAGTTTGAGACCAGCCTGGCCAACCTGGTAAAACCCCATATCTACTAAAAAAACAAAACAAAACAAAAAAAGAATTAGCCAGGCGTGGTGGTGCATGCCTGTAATCCCAGCTACTCAGGAGGCTGAGGCACTATAATCGCTTGAACCCGGGAGGCGGAGGTTGCAATGAGCTGAGATCACACCGCTGCACTCTAGCCTGGATGACAGACTGAGACGCCGCCTCAAATAAAAAAAAAAAAAAAAAAAAAGACTTGAGATAGAAAGAGATCAGACTGAAATATAGCTCCTCTCCAGAGCTGACTTTTTGGGCCTGTGAATGGTGCCATTTTACAGGACCAAGAGATCTGGGCTTCATTTAATGCTCTGCTGTCACCCCTTGAAGTTCATAATCACTTTATCTTTGATCTTGTGTTTTATACATGGAGTCCAGTGGGACTATGGCACATGCACATGATCGGAGGAAATACGGGAATGGCAGTGCAGACAAATGTAGGTGCAGGCTCCTGGGCACAGTGGGCAGTGGGTAGTAGGCAGTGTGAGCACCAAGCTGCAGGTGTGGTCTTCAGTTGTGCACATGAGCACTTGGGGCAGTCTGTGGCACCATGGCATTCCAAGGTGATGAAAGAGACCAGGACCTAAGGCCAGACTGGAATTAGCAATGGTGGTGGCACCAGCAGCAGTAGCAGTGGTGATGGGTCCCATGGCTGCAGAGGAGAGAAGGGGCTCGGCATGGAGGCAGCATAGGGACACACAGTGTGGGGACAGATTGCCTGGCCTTCCCCAGAACTCAGCTCTGTGGGATCTGCACAAATATTAACTCCTGGCCTGAGCATGGGGACAGGAACTGCTGGCAATAGGACAGTAAATTTTGTCACTAAAATATTATAAAATAAAAGTGTACATGTAGACACTGCAATAAAGCACATAAGGCAGTTATTAGAATTCTTCAAGGAGGTTTGAATCTCTGGTTTTGAGGCTTAGAATTAGAAGTTACATTTAAAGATTGTAGCATTTGATGGAAAAGAACATTTTCATATGAAACTTTGGATAAGCCTATTATTAACAAGGAAGACAGTTTTAAAATTACCACTTATAATTGAAGATACAGTAATAGAATACATAAACAGGCATCCTGAATTTTATACAAATCATGAAATCATGTTCGGCTTGTAGTGTCACCTCCACAGGTTAAAGCCATATTGGACAAAGCATTAAAATGAAACTGTATAAATTCACACTTAAAATTAAATAGAGATTTACATGAAACTGATTTGTATGAAGAGTTAAATCTTTTTAGAATAATTGTCCCTTTATTCTAGATTCTAGATTGTCCCTTTATTCTAGGTTCTAGAATCTGGAGTCATCAGTTCTAGATTGCTAAAATTTATATTTTGAAATAGTTTCTCAGAAAGTTAACCCAATGTTGTCATAGCCTATATAACTTTTTTAACAGCTCCAGTAACAGTTACATCAGCAGAAAGGTCCTTCTAAAAAAATTATGGGAATTAATTCATGAGCTTGCATTTATAAATAGTTACTGATGTTGCTTTTGATTATATTGATTTAAAATGAAGTTGCTAAAAGTATAAATTTTGATGACTAATAAATGAATTTGCAGAAAAGCAGACAGCAATATCTTATTATCAATCAAGGTCTCCTACTAGTAACGTATTATTATTGATTGCATATACAATTATGGCACCAAAATACGATTTTTTGCAACTTGTATTACCCCTATTACATTACTATAAGTAATAAAATATTTTTAAAGGAAGAAGACATATTTTAGCACCTTTAATTGCACTTTTTCTCTGCTTTTTGAACAAGGGGCCTTGTAATGTAATTTTACACGAGGCCCCTGCGGATTATGTGTCTGCCCCTTATCCCCTTACTTTTGGTCCAGTATTTTTACCAATGTAAACATATCAGGATGGCTCAAAGTCCTAGAGACTTCCTCTAGTAGTTAAATTACTTTCATTATAGAAAAGGCTAAGGAGAGGAATGGAGGGGAGACAAGAAGGAAGTTATAAAACAAAAATAAGTTAATTTGCTTACTTTTAAAATATTTCTAGGAGTACCTCTTTCTCCATCAAAATGGGTGCAAACACTTTGGAGTGGAGAGCGGGCAACGCTGACATTTTCCCATCTCAACAAAGAAGATGAAGGCCTCTATACAATCCGTGTACGGATGGGAGAATATTATGAACAATATAGTGCTTATGTCTTTGTTCGAGGTAAGTCCTAGCAAAAAACAAAACACCTAACAATATTTAGTACACTGAAGCCAAAGCAGTTTTTGATTACAAAACAGTTCAAACATGTTTCATAATGATGGAAGAGTCATTTCAAAATTCTGGCAGGGTGCAATGTCTCACGCCTGTAATCCCAGCACTTTGGGAGGCCAAGGTGGGAGGATCTCTTGAACCCAGGGATTCAAGACCAGCCCAGTAACATAGGCAAGAACCCATTTCTACAAAAAAAAATTTTTTTGATTAGCTGGGCATGGCGGCATGCACCTGTGGTCCCAGCTACTTGGGAGGCTGAAGAGGGAGGATCACTCAAGCCCGAGAAGTCAAGGCTGCAGTGAGCTGTGATTGCACCACTGCACTCCAGCCTGGGTGATAGAACAAGACCCCGTCTCAAAAAACAAAACAAAATGAAACAAAACAAAACAAAACCAAAAAAAAAAGAAAGAAAAGAAAAAGGAAATTCTTGCAGATTACATTGAATAAGAATATGTTCGTTTCCAATAAAATAGACCTAGGCCCGGTGGCTCATGCCTGTAATCCCAGCACTTTAGGAAGCTGAGATGTGTGGATCACTTGAGCTCAGGAGTTCAAGACCAGCCTGGGCAACATGGTAAAATCTCATCTCTACAAAAAATACAAAAAATTAGCCGGGCATGGTGGTGCGCGCTTGTAGTCTCAGCTACTTGGGAGGCTGGAGTGGGAGGATGGCTTGGGCCTGGCAGGCAGAAGTTCAAGTTGGCTGAGATTATGCCACTGCACTCCAGCCTGGGTGACAGAGTGAGACCCTGTCTCAAAAGAAAAACAAAAAAAAAAGTAGACCTAGTGTAAAAGGTGAGCCCTGAGGGCACCAACTCAAAAGTCACCATTTTCCAGACCATGTTTCCATCATTAATATCAGGACTTTCTTCGTCTTCAGGGAGCTGCTAGTACAGTTCCCTATGACTGTTCCGGTGGAGATGCTAAATCCTAATGATACCAGCCATCTCAGTTTAAGGAAGCTGCTGCAAAAGAGGGATCTGTTATTTTGGGTGTAAGTCTTTAATGTGTATTTCAGAGAGTAAATTTATTATTTCATTTCAGGTCCCTTGGCCCATAACTGAACTTTATAGCCTCTGTTTTGATGAACTAGGAAGCAAGGGGTTTCAGCTTAATTCTTGAGACAAACCAAAATTGTTGACTTTAGGAGTCTTTCTTTTTTTCAGTGGTGTGTGGTTTTTTGTTTTTTTTTGTTTTTTTGAGTGGGAGTCTCAGTCACCCAGGCTGGAGTGCAGTGCAGTGGCTTGATCTCGGCTCACTGCAAGCTCCGCCTCCTGGGTTCACACCATTCTCTTGCGTCAGCCTCCCGAGTAGCTGGGACTACAGGCGCCCACCACCATGCCCGGCTAATTTTTTTGTATTTTTAGTAGAGATGGGGTTTCACCGTGTTAGCCAGGATGGTCTCGATCTCCTGACCTCGTGATCCACCGGTCTCGGTCTCCCAAAGTGCTGGGATTACAGGCGTGAGCCCACGCCCGGCCTTTTCAGTGGTGTCTTAAATGGATTGGATATGCACATGTGGAATATTATTCCTCCACGGGATCCTAGCACTTGGGAAGACCATTAGCACTTTTAGGCTACCAGGGTAGTGTTCTGTGTTTTTTTATGGCATGATTAGTCAGGTGCAGTCATAAGAAGAGATCTAGTAGAGGCACAAGAAAACAATGTTTATAATACTCACAGGTCCTAGAACAGGAACAGCTGGGACACGTGGGAAAGTGCCAGTGTCAGTCATGAGTCAGAAGGGGCAGGAGGAGCAAAGGAGTGCCTAGACCAAGCCCTTTATTGGAGTTTCCTTGGGTAGGGAAAGCAGGGCAAGTAAACAAGTTAGGATTGGCTAGTTCAAATAATTTCAGTAGGCTGTAAGTTACAGGTGTGGTCCCTACTTGCCTGGTATCTGGCCCCGGGGATGATTAAGGCAGAACCATATTGTTTCCTGGGTTCTACAGGCCAGATAAAGGAGGTGTGGCTGAAGTGGCTAGTTTGCATATCAGTCATGCTCCCCTCTGGGCCCTAAGAATTGGCTCGCCTCAGGAAGGCAGGCCCTCCTTAGCCAGAATGGTGTCTAAGATGTTAAAGCATCATAATATAGAGAAAATTTAAAATATAAACAATGCAGGTAGACTAGCTCATTTTTATCTCTCTTACACTAAATAGAGTCATAAACTCATAAACATTTTGAGTACTCAACTGGGATCCACAGACTTCCAAAAGGTCTATGATTAGAACTGTATTTCAATATATTTAGGTTTTCTGGTAATCACATGAGTTTTATTTTATGTGTGTAAATGCATTACTCTCAGAAGGACCTCTAGGCTTTACCGGCTTGTCAAAGGGGTCGATGGCTCAAAAAATGTTAGAATTCTCATCCTAGTACAACCCCTTAATTTTATGATGCAGAAACTGAGGTTCAAAAAAGTACGGTAATTTACCAAAAACTTCAGTTAATTAGAAGCAGAAGTGGAACTAGCTTATAGGTCTTCCAGTGGCTAACCCAGGATTTTAATTAGGATCTAGACTAAGCTGCTGAAATGAAATAACAAAAGATTTGTTTCTCTCCTGTATGTGAAAGTTGGGTATGATCCAGATGCCTCTTCCTAGGTCCCCTCTATGTTGTTATTGCACTGTGCCCTGGGGTACTGTCCCAGGTTCTCATCCCAGCCTATGGGGAGGAGAAAGAAAGGGAGTGGAGGGGCAGAGGCCGAATTGCCCTCATCACTTCTGCTTAGTGCCCTCATCACTTCTGCTTAGTGCACACTTAGCACATGCAGACACTTCACAGTGAGGGGAGCTAGCAGGTACTGTCTCTTGTTAGCCAGCCATGTTTCCTGCTAACGCTCAGGGGTCCTAGTACTAAAAGGAAGCAGGAAGAATGATTGCTGGGGACAGTTAGCAGGCCACACCACATCGGCATTGAACAGTAAAAATGACCACTGAATTCTGTCCCAGACCGGCAACTGGTATAGATACCTGAATATCTAAACATCTGAAAAGCATATAAGGCTTTCTCCACCACAAAGGCATCATGAAAAAGTCTATATCATCAGGGAAGACAGGAGCTGGCCTTCTGGGAAAATTGCAGTGAGAACCAACACACTGCAATTAGCAAGTGCGTTCATTTAGCCAAATCACCAGGATCAACCTGGCTAGATGAGGATGAACTAAGCTAAGTCTTTGCTTCCACTTTCCACTGTTTTACTAGAGCCAGAGAACATCGCTGGCTATTCCAAAAACCTTTGTCATGCTATGGTCCTTCCTTCATGAACTTTTTCTAGGAACCCTGACCCAGTCTAGGGTTCCTCAACATTTCTCAGCGCCCACACCCAGAATGGTGCCTCTTTGCCAGGTTTAGGCCAGACTCCACGTTACTAACTATGGATGGGGCGAAGGTGTTCCAATTTAAAATTTATACTTAAGCCAGCTTTCAAATCCACAAATTAAGGAAATGGAAAGATTCTCAGTTTATCAGAGGTTGATGTGAGAGCATTGAAAAGATAAATAGAAAAGGCAAAATTGGAAAGGTAAATTTCAGCAATTGCATTGTGAATTTTACAATCTTTAGAAAAAGATTTCACTTATAAATGTATTTTAAATGATATATATTAGGTTTTTTAAAGCATATTTTTGAGATATAATTTGTATACCATAAAGTTCACTCATGTTAAGTATACAATTTGGTGCTTTTTAGTATATTTACAGAGTTGGGCAACCATTACCCACACTCCACTTTTAGAAAATGTTGACCAGGTACAATGGCTCACGCCTGTAATCCCAGCACTTTGGGAGGCCAAGATAGGAGGATCTCTTGAGCCCAGGAGTGTGAGACCAGCCTGGGCCACATAGCAAGACCCCATCTCTACAAAAACTGAAAACAATTAGCTGGGTGTGATGCATGCCTGTAGTCCCAGCTACTCAGGAGGCTGAGATGGGAGGATTGCTTGAGCCCAAGAGGTCGAGGCTGCAATGACTGGTGATTGCAACACTGCACTCCAGCTTGGGTGACAGAACGAGACCCTGTCTCAAAAAAAAGAAAGAAAAAAAAGAGAGAGAGAAGAAGAAAAGGAAAGGAAGGGAAGGGAAGGGAAAGGAAGGAGGAGGAGGAGGAGGAAGAGAAGAAGAAGAAGGAGGAGGAGAAGAAGGAGGAGGAGGAAGAGAAGAAGAAGAAGGAGGAGGAGGAGGAGAAGGAGGAGGAAGAGGAGAAGGAGAAGAAGAAGTAGGAGAAGAAGAAAAGAGAATAAGAGAGGGAGAGAGAGAAGGAAGGCAGGCAGGGAAGGAAGGAGGGAAGGAGAGAAGGAAGGAAGGAAGGAAGGAAGGAAGGAAGGAAGGAAGGAAGGAAGGAAGGAAGGAAGGAAAAGAAAGAAAATTTACATCACCCCAAAAAGATTTCTCCTCCCTATTTCCCTCTCCCATAACCAGTCTAGTCTCCCGCAACTACTAATTCACTTTCTATCTCTGTAGATTTGTCTTTCTGGACATTTCTGGATCTCTATGGTTTTTTATGTCGGCCTTCTTTGGCTTTACATGTTTTGAGGTTCATTCATGTTGTAAGACATATTGTTCCTTTTTCTTATTAAATTGCATTCCAATACATGGATATGCATCCTTTTGCCTATACGTTCACCCGCTGATGGACAGTGCGATTGTTTTCACTCTTTGGTTATTATAAACATGTGTGTTCATATTTATAGGCCTATATCTTCATTTCTCTTGGGTATCTACCTACAAGTGGAATTGCTAGGTCATATGGTAAATTTGTGTTTAACTTTGTAAGAAACTGCCATTGCTTAAATAATATTTTATTTTTAAAAAAACTTTGTATTCATTGAGCTGCACGAGGTCACTTCAGGGCATTGTTTTGGAGCTCTGATATTCTTACAGCTTAGAAAACAGCTTCCACACCAGAACGATCAGTGTATAAAGCACCATATGTCTGCAGAAACACATTGTAAAGAGCTGTACACATTTGGCCAAGATTTTATTACATAGATAATATGTGTTCATTGTGAAAAAAATAGATAATATAAATTTAACAAATAAAAAGTAAAGCCATCCGTAAGTCTGCCACCCACAGGTATCCAGTGTTATCATTTTATTACATATTCCTTGAGGCTTTGATGTATTCTTTCCTTCTCTTTCTCTTTTCTTTTTTTTTCACACTCTGTTTCTCTTGCTCTCTCTCATGCAGAGAGGAGACAGAGAAATAATAAAGTGATAAAGGATGTCATTAAAATGTCATGAAAGAAGAATTGAAAATGGCAAATAAGTGTATGAAAAAATTTTCATTAGCAATCAAAACAATGAAAATTGAAATGAGGCTGGGCACAGTGGCTCATGCCGGTAATCCCAGCACTTTGGGAGGCCCAGGTGGGAGGATCACTTGAGCCCAGGAGTTCAAGACCAGCCTGGGCAACACAGTGAGACCCTGTCTCTACAAAAAATAAAAAAATTAGCTGGGCATAGTGGAGTATACCTATAATCCTAGCTACTTGGGAGGCTGAAGAGGGAGGAGAGCTTGAGCCTGGGAGGTCAAAGCCACCGGGAACTATGATTGCCTCACTGCACTCCAGCCTGGGCCACAGAGTGAGACCCTATCTCAAAAAAAGAAAGAAAAAAAGAAAATTGAAATGAGATTGTTTTTCCTATCATATTGAAAAGATGTAAAGTTTTTTGAAATCCACTGGGGTAAAGGAATGGAGGAACAGGCACTGCTGCAGTGGCTGGTGAGTATAAATTTGTTCAACTTTTCTCAGGCTCTTTGCCACTAAATATCAAAAACACACATTTCCAACAATTCTAGTTCTAAGAACTGAGGGGACAGAGGTGAAAAAAATGTTTGGGGGAAAATTGGAAGAAATATAGATATTCACCAATATGCAAGTTGTAGAGTAAAGTATAATAGATGCTCCATGAAACGATGACATACCACACAGCAATGAAAACCAATGTCTACCCACATGTATTGATATGGAAATATATCAAGAAAAAACAGCTTACATGAAACTATATAGTACAATCACTTTGTTTCAAAAATAATCATTTCTGAGTTTATAAATATAGAATAAAAGTCTAGAAAGATTTAGGCCAATATGGTAATAGTAGTTATCTCTGGGTTGTAAAAAAGGGATTTTAACATATTTTTTGATTATCATATAGTTCATATAAAATATATGTAACACTTTTACAATAAAGACAATAGAATTACTTACATTTTGCAAAAAGTTATTAATAGTCTGTGTCAGAGGTCAAAATATAAAGAGTAGTAGGCTAATCTTTGATCTAATAATCAAACTTATAAAAAGTTTGGCTATTTGGAGGGCTGGGAGAGGGAAGGGCAGAGGCGTAGAAGAGGATTAATGTTGTCTGAAGGGTGCTGTGGGCCCCACACTGTGTAGCAGCTGCTAGAAGCCAAATACTGTGTTTCCTTGCTTCACAGCTGCCTCTTGTCATCCCAAGTATGTTTTGTTTCTCACACTATATCGTAGCTTCTTGAGAAAAAGAAGGATTATTATTATTATTATTATTATTATTATTATTATTATTATTATTTTTGGAGACAAGGTCTTGCTCTGTCACCCAGGCTGGAGTGTAGTGGTGCAATCATAGCTTACTGCAGCCTCTACCTCCCAGGCTCAAGCAATCCTCTTCCCTCAGCCTCTCAAGTTACTGGAAACATAGGCCCGCACTACCACACCTGGCTATTTTTTTAAAATGCATAGAGACAGAGTCTCACCATGTTGCCCAGGCTGCTCTTGAATTCCTAGGCTCAAGTGATCTACCCAAAGTGCTAGGATTACAGGCGTGACCCACTGCACCCAGCTAGGATCCTTATTTTTTAACTTTTGCAGTTAACACCTAGAAGAGTACTGAATGAATGAATGAGAGAATGAATGAATGAGAGAATGAATGAGAGAATGAATGCCTGAGTAACTTGGAAGATTGTCAAGCCCACCTCAGTTCCAAGCAATGCTATACAAATGTTGAACAATGGCTCCCTGAATGCCCGCTGTCTGCCAGGCTCCATTACAGCGTATTCCTGCCATCGTGCATCTATGCCATGGATGCCCAGCTCACTGAGCTCTGCTCTATCAATGCAGGGGCTCCTGGTTGTTGTGGTATAGGCCGTTAGCAAAAGGACATGGCTAGAGGTTGCCAGCTGTCCCTCTTGTAGCTGATGGCTTTCTAGCAGTGCCTCTTTTGCAGCCCAAGCATGTCAGCCTCAGCATCCCCACCTCCTCTGCAGCTCTGCTCTGCCTTTGCCATCAGCAGCCCCACTCTCCGCCATCCAGTGCTCTGAAAGCCTGGAAGGAAAGAAGTGTCTCGCCGGGCGCGGTGGCTCACGCCTGTAATCCCAGCACTTTGGGAGGCCGAGGCGGGCGGATCACAAGGTCAGGAGTTCGAGACCATCCTGGCTAATACGGTGAATCCCCATCTCTACTAAAAATACAAAAAAAATTAGCCGGGCATAGGTGGTGCACGCCTGTAGTCCCAGCTACTCAGGAGGCTTGAGGCAGGAGAATGGCGTGAACCCGGGAGGTGGAGCTTGCAGTGAGCTGAGATCCCACCTCTGCCCTCCAGCCTGGGTGACAGAGCAAGACTCTGTCTCAAAAAAAAAAAAAAAGAAAGAAGTGTCTCCTCATCAAAATGCTCATTTCCCACTGAGTGGCACGCAGAGATTCTGCATTAAGTTTTAGGCACAATGAGTTAGTTACATTCTCCTATAGCACTTCTGCAGGAGATATTTGCCTAGATGCTTTCCTGCTGGTTCACAGAACAAGAAACAGAATGTTCAAAACCCAAGTGGCTTGAGCTCTTCACAGATAATGCAAATCTATTAAATGCAGAAGTAGACAGATATTTCTGCTATGTTATCAAATGTCCTTGTAACTCATAAGAGTTACAGAATGTAGATCATAGGGAAAGAAAGTGTTTGTTTGGTCGACATGGGTGCTTTCCCTTGAGTGAGTGGCTCCTGCATGTCTCAGCCTCTTCTACTAACTCCGTTTATGAAAGCGTTGGTCAAATGCCAGGAGGAATTGGCAAATGTGGGCCTCCACCCCCAGGGACCCTGCCTCTTGTCTTAATTATTCTCACTTAAAAGGTTACTAACTGAATATTTTCATTCCCCCTTCTCTCCCTCCTATAAACAGCCCTGATTCACTAATTCAGCTGTGCCTGAGGGGCCGTGTGGTCAGGGGATCCCATTTCATAAAAAGGGATTGTAGTGTTTCCTGTATTATCCCGGACTTTTACTAAACTCAGATAAACTGAGCTCAGATGTGAGTATTGCATTGGAGTTCTTTTCCTAAGTGTTCAGTTTGGTAACAATCATTTGATTAAAACGAATGTTTTCTCTTTCAAAATGGTAGTGTCTTGCCTAGGGACTGGCAAAGCTCTATGACTCGTATTTTCTTGTGGATGCCTCCAGAAGGGGTATTTGTCTCCCTTGGGAGCCTTTCTTAGTTTTTCTTAGCAACGTTGCACAATCAATGTCATGAGAACAGACTTTCTGGCACAACTGACTTGTCTGAATGCAATCTTCAGCATCTCTATATTAATTTTCTTTTGGAACATTTTGGGCCACAGGGACCATGAGGCAAAGGTCATGGGTTCTTTTCAGAGCACTTTCTATTTTCTGACACAATGTTCTTCCTGCTGAAGGTGAAAAACACACATTGTTATGTTGGTCAACAAATAGCAAGATTTGGCCGGGTGTGATGGCTCACGCCTGTAATCCCAGCACTTTGGGAGGCCGAGGCGGGCGGATCACAAGGTCAGGAGATCAAGACCATCCTGGCTAACACGGTGAAACCCCATCTCTACCAAAAATACAAAAAGAAATTAGCTGGGCGTGGTGGCGGGTGCCTGTAGTCCCAGCTACTCAGGAGGCTGAGGCAGGAGAATGGCGTGAACCCGGGAGGTGGAGCTTGCAGTGAGCTGAGATCCCACCTCTGCCCTCCAGCCTGGGTGACAGAGCGAGACTCCGTCTCAAAAAAAAAATAGCAAGATTTGATGCTTGCTGCGTTGGGGCCAAAGATTGAGCCACTGTGATGATGTGGTAAGAAGCGTGTGCGCTGAGACCTGCCTGCCGACTGACAGCATGTCTGAGAGGGTTAATGGGATCCTTCTCTGTCTCCACAGATGCTGATGCAGAGATTGAAGGAGCCCCAGCTGCTCCCTTGGATGTGAAGTGCTTGGAGGCCAACAAAGATTATATCATCATCTCCTGGAAACAGCCAGCTGTCGATGGAGGGAGTCCTATTCTCGGATATTTTATTGATAAGTTAGTGCTTAGGCTAACATCAATTACAGTTATTTGGTCATAGAGATGCGTGCTTGATTTCTCCCATCATTTCTAGTGGAAATATTTTCTTTTCTGGCTTTCCTCTCCTCCTCTTTCTATTTCTGTATCTCTCTTCATCTTTCTTTTTCTCTATTTGTCTCTGTCTCAGTCTCTCGCTCTCTCTTTCTCTCTGTATGTATATATCTACACAAACATATACATACATACATATATACACATACATATAATGGTACCTACATATATATATAAAATGGGTATATATACCCATTATAAATGTGTGTGTGTGTGTGTGTGTGTGTGTGTGTGTGTATTGAGTAGGTACTTAGAAACGCTGATTTCTAATTGAGTGCTTTTACAGCAGTTAGTACCTGCAGATGGAGTGGGTCACTCCCCAGCAGACAAATGTGACAGCTCATATCATAGTGTCACAAAATTCATCTTTGGAACTTAGGTAAATAGGTAGGTAGATATATATACATATATATATATTTCATTTCCAAGATGGCCTCTGTTAGGTCTCTATTAGGTCTACGAATTCATAGCATTCTTGCCAAATTAGTAACATGAGCTGGTAGTCAAATTCAAAAAATTCTTTTTTGGAATTTAGGTAAAAGTTCCAAAAATGAATTAAATATTTACCTAAATTCCAAAGATGAATTTTTTTAAATTTGGCTACCAGCTTATGTCACTAATTTGGCAAGAATGCTATGAATTTGTAGACCTCATAGAGGCCACCTTGGAAATGAAATCATTGGAATTCAGCATAATGTCCATATTCCTAATATGTCAATAATTTAAGAATATTTACTTTGGTAATACTACCAAAGTCTTATTTCTACCTCAGGATGTGTTTTCAAGTTATACAAAGAAGTAACAACAAAAAATCAATAGAAGCAAATTATTCACTATCTATAAGTTCTTGTCTATATTCTCCAAAACTTAGAGGCTCTGATATTTATAGTAACTGGGCTTTACACATTAATTATGACATGAGTTTGGACGATACAGACAGCAAATTTAGATTTGGCCTAAATAACATTGTTCTCTGACTTGGTTTCTATTCAGATCGTTGTTCCAATTCTCTTTTCATTTTTGAGTAATGAAATCTCATTGTAGAAATCACTAGAGATGGATAATCTGTGTCATATTAGCACAATGGGTTTGCACCAAGGGTGTGTTGAACTTCGCAGTACATAAATACATGCAATTGTGCTCAGAACTATTTGTAAGAAATATTTCTAATAAATTATATACTATTTAACCATCCATGTGAACTAATGCTTCCACAACATTTCATCATTTAGTAGTGATGAATTGTGAAGGTTTAGATATATTCTTTTTTGTGCTTTATTGTCTTTGGCACATTTCCAGGGGATTTTTAAACTTTGACCAGTGAAAGGCCAGGGACAATAAGTACATTTTGTTCTCCTCTGGCCTTAGTCATAGTGAAAATACCCACCTTGTGGCTATTATTTATTAAGCATTTACTGTGTGCATGGCACTGTTCTAAACACTTCGCATATATTAACCACTAACCCATAACCGCCCTTTAAGGTCGTTGCTATTATTTCAAGTAGGAAATGAGGCCCGAGACCACATATCAGTGAGGAAGCACTAACTCACCTAAGATCACGCGGGTAATAAGTAGCAGAACTAGAATTCAGATGTGAGCCTGGCTGTAGGTTTGTGTTCTTTCTGCTCCAACGTGCTGCGGAAAGTGTCAGGAGCAGTGAGTTCCACCTTTCTTTCTGCCCACATGAGGTTAGGAAGGATGCTCTAGTGTCACTGGGTCACCATAGCAGTATCTGCACAGAGAAGAGGCTGAGTCCTGGCAGAATCTCTGGAGACAGGTGTAGATTGAAGAATTGTCCTGGCCCTATCAGCTTCTGCCACAGCCCCACCTCCCCAAACCCCTAGCAGCTCCAGAATTTCTACCAAGGAGGATTAGGGGAAATGATGGAAGGCAGGGATTGAAGCCACATTTGACAGCACTTTACATAAGGAAAGTGAGGAAGTTGTCTATTCCACTTTACATAAGGAAATTGTCTATTGTCCATATCAAAGAGAGGAAGGTGATTGTGAGGAGGGGAGATACACCCCCCACACCAGCCACCTCTGTCCTGCCACTGGCAACCCCCACGCCCCTGAGAATCATTTGGGAATTACACATTTTGGACATAGAGCCCATGTTGGGGAAATGATATGAGCTAAAAGTACAGCACTCTGCTCATAAAAAAAGTAAGAGCTGCTTAATCCTAATCTGTAAAATTTAATCACATGTTGAACCCCTAAAGCTTTGTTGATCAGGCCAACAGCATGATATGAGCTGTCATATTTGTCTGCTGGGAATGACCCACTCCATCCCCAGGTACCAACTGCTGTAAAAGCACTCAATTAGAAATCAGTGTTTCCAAGTACCCACTCAATCTGCCCCTGCCAGGACTGGGCATCTCCCCACCTGTCATCAGTCTCTTCTGTTAAAGAAACAAACATCTTCACAATAACCTTCTTACCCTCTACACAGGATGGAATGACCATGAAGTGAGGAAATATGGTGAACTCTTTTCCAAACTACAGTGCAAATAGTTAGGTTTTAAGACGCCAATTTTCTCAATAATACCTCTGTTTTTCAAAGAAAATACCTAAAGAAGACAAAGAAGTCACTAATGGTAGAATTGAAGGCATCAGCCGGGGAGATGTTTGGGGATCTTCTCCAATGCTAAGATTGGAGATATTTATCTGCTTATCCCAGCAACCCCCAAACCCCTCTGCTTTCTACACAAGGCCCCTCAGATGCCTGCTTTTTACGAGTTCAGGAAGGACCTGAGGCTTCTTTCCTCTTGGTAAAGAAGACACAGTGCATTTGAGTGAAACGGAGTGCCTGCATGCAGTTCACCAGGTAGCGAGCCACGCCTGACTTGGATATTTTATAGGGAGAAGATCTGAAACAACTGGGTGATTCTGCAGCTCTGGAGATATTCATTAAGCCATACTTCTTTTAATATTTTTGTCAATCACGCTCATTCCTTTAGGTGTGAGGTGGGCACAGATAGCTGGTCGCAGTGCAATGACACACCTGTGAAGTTTGCTCGTTTTCCTGTCACTGGATTGATCGAAGGTCGTTCCTATATCTTCCGAGTTCGAGCTGTGAATAAAATGGGAATAGGTTTCCCATCTCGAGTTTCCGAGCCCGTGGCTGCTCTGGATCCGGCTGAGAAAGCTAGACTTAAAAGTAAGCACTTTTCATTTTTCAGGACCTTCCCTAAACCTTTTTAAAATGACTGCAAGAATCAGCTTCATTGCAAGGTTGTTTCTCTCCCTTCCACTAGAGGGAGACAAGAACAAGAAATCCTTTTTTCATCAGAAAATCCGAGGGGGAGAATCCTTCGCAAACATTGCCTTAGCCATTCTCTTAAGGGTTTTATTTTATTTTATTTTATTTTATTTTATTTATTTTATTTTATTTTATTATTTTATATTTTATTTTATTTTATTCAGAAACATTTATGTTGTTAAACTGAGTTCCAGGCATTGTGTGTGGAATGAAGTATAAAAGCAAAGAGGCTGGAGAGCATTTTTATTCCTGTTATTATACATTCCAAAAATAATAAAAATAATTTTCTTTCTGGCTCAAGGTCTATTTCTTTACCTTGGAGTCCACCCTTAGAGCATTAATATCTCAGCACAGTGCGTCTCTCTATATCAAAGGAAAAACAGATAGACAACGTTATATCTAATCTATGTCTGAGTTCTCATATTAGACTGTCAAAAATCATTTTTTCAGGCCTGGCGTGGTGGCTCACACCTGTAATCCCAGCACTTGGAGAGGCTAAGGTGGGAGGATGGCTTGAGCCTAGGAGTTCTGAGACCAACCTGGGCAACATAGAGAGACCCCATCTTTTAAAAAAAAAAAATGAAAAAAATGAAAAAAAAAAAAAAAAAAAAAGCCAGGCATGGTAGCACACAGCTGTAAGTCCCAGCTACTCAGGAGGCTGAGGTGGGAGGATCGCTAGAGCCCAGGAGGTCAAGGCTGCAGTGAGCTGTGATTACACCATTGCACTCTAGCCTGGGCAACAGAGCAAGACCCTGTCTCAATAATAACAATAATAATAATCTTTTAATATATGTAGTCTCCAAGTCTTAATGTCAAAACCATGGTACATGAATCATGCCCTGTAATCATGCCTTGTATTTGTTTCATGGAAACCCATATGGCATCTCCAACAATAGGGAACGTAAAATGACATTATGAGAAGAGTTGGATAGTAACATTTCAGGCTTATGCCAGGCTTCTCAACCTTGGCCCTACTGGCACTTTAGGCCAGTAATTCTTTGTTGTTGTGGGAGGTGGCTAGGGGTGTTCTGTTCATTGCAGGAGGCTGAGCAACATCCCTTGTCTCTACCCACTAGATGCCAGCAGTGTCATGGAGACACTACCAAATGTCACCTAAAGGGCAAAACCACCTTTGTAGAGGACTGCTGGTCTGTGCTACATTCACAATGTTATTCTTTACCTTCAGTACGTGTAGTGGCATCGTAAAAGTCTAAATAAAATAATGTCACTGGCTGGGCATGGTGGCTCACACCTGTAATCCCAGCACTCTGGGAGGTCGAGGCGGGTGGATCACCTGAGGTCAGGAGTTCGTGACCAGCCGGGCCAACATGGCGAAACCCCGTCTCTACTAAAAATTACAAAAAATTAGCCAGGCGTGGTGGCGGGCGCCTGTAATCCCAGCTACTCGGGAGGCTGAGGCAGGAGAATCATTTGAACCCGGGAGGCGGAGGTTGCAGTGAGCTGAGATCGCGCCACTGCACTCCAGCCTAGGCGACAGAGCGAGACTCCATCTGAAAATAATAATAATAATAATGTTACCATTTCCCCGGCAACCGTGTCTCATCAGGCTCCTTGATTGCTCTTCAGTCACTCTTCACCAACCCTCCAACTTCCTGCCCTCCTTTCTAAACTTGCAAATTCCATCTCATACTTTCGTTTGCTCCTCTTTTATCAATTCCAATCAAAATAAGATTTGTTTGAACTAAAAATAAGTTACCTTCTTTACTGCCTTTCTGTTTTTCACAAACCCTGACAAAAAGTCCCCTGGTTAATGCAAGAGTAGAACTACTCTGTCTTTCTGATGTTTATGGGATCATACAAGTGAATTTCCTCTTTAACTTTGTACCCGTATCATTCATTTTCCTTGCTCAGGATCTCAACTGATTTCCTTTGGAGATAATATTTTTCAAAATATAATGGGAAAAATTTGCTTTGCTGAGCTTTACCGCAGGATCGGCACCCCCTCTCCTCTTTCATCTTATTATGACAATAAATAACTACTGGGCTTACAATTGTTCTGGAAATGTTTCTCCCAAACGCATGCTATCCTTCAGAGGGGATGAGCAAGCCTACCTGTTCCAGGAGATTCATATTGAACAGTTACATGAACACAGGTTACTTACCTAGCTTGTGCAAGTACAGTTCCAGAAACATCTACTCAGCCAGTCCAGGCAGATTCTAGGCTCCAGCAGATTATGAGTCCCTTGAGGACCGGGGCTGTGCTTCCCACAGTGCCCTCTACATGATTGATACCATTCATGGGAAAACACATAAGTCTATTAGTAACAAACCCAGTTGTGACTAATCTGGCCACTTTCCCAATTCATCAGTGCAGCTGATAAATTGCACACTTGTAAACGTTTGTGATTCTTATATTTGTCTTTATTCAGGTCGCCCCTCAGCACCCTGGACTGGACAGATCATTGTTACTGAAGAGGAACCTTCAGGTAAGAAGTCTGGTTGCCCCAGATACTATTGCTGATGTTTTGCTAAGCAGTTTGCCTTTTGTTGTGGAGGGTGCAGTGTGTATTGCTTAAGATGTTTTGGTAAGAACATTCTAAAATATCTGGAGATTGTAAATAACTTATGTCAGAGAATCCCATTTTATTTTTAAAGCTTTCTTGAGGTGTAATTGTCATACGGTATACTGCAAATATGTAACATGTACAATTTGATAAATTTTACACATGTATATACCCATGAAACCATCACCATTTTCTTTTTTTTTTTTTTTTTTTTTTTTTTTTGGATGGAGTCTCGCTCTGTCGCCCAGGGTGGAGTGCAATGGTGCGATCTCGGCTCACTACAAGCTCCGCCTCCCGGGTTCACGCCATTCTCCTGCCTCAGCCTCCCGAGCAGCTGGGACTACAGGCGCCCGCCACTACGCCTGGCTAATTTTTGTATTTTTAGTAGAGACGGGATTTCACCGTGTTAGCCAGGATGGTCTCGATCTCCTGACCTCGTGATCCGCCCGTCTCGGCCTCCCAAAGTGCTGGGATGACAGACGTGAGCCACCGCGCCCGGCCACCATCACCATTTTCAAAATAATGAACGTATTTGTCACCCCTAAATTTCCCCTGCCCATTCGTAATTCCTCCTTTTCATGTTTCCCCATCTCCAGCCATCACTGATCTGCTTTCTGCCACTGTAGTTTACATTGTCCACAATTGTAGATCAGTTGAATCATGTTCATTTTTGTCTGTTTTTCTTTACTCAGCATAATTATTTTGAGACTTATCTACGTTGGTGTGTGTATCAATTCGTTCCAAAGTATTTATCCATTCACTGTTGAAAGCTTCTATGAACATTCTTAACTGTTTCTGTGGACATATGCTTTCATTTATGTCTTGTGTAAATACCTAGGAGTTGAATGGATGTGTTCTGTGGTAGGTGTATGCTTAATTTTTAAAGGAACTGCCAGCTGTTTTCTGAAATGATTGTACCACGTTCCCTTCCCCTCCAGCCCTACGTGAGAGTTCCACTTGCTCCCGCATTGTCACTAGCACTTAGTGTGGCCAGTCTTTTCAATTTTAGCCATTCTAGTGGGTTCATAGTGGTATTTCTTTGTGGCTTTGATTTGCATTTTACTCATAATGTCGAGCATCTTTTCATGTGTTTATTTGCCAGTTTTTGTGACATTGGGCATCTTTGTCAAATCCAGGTATTTTTCCTGTTTTTTTCCCCCTGGAAATGTTATAGCATTAGTTTTTACTTTTCACTCTGTGATGCATTTAAAATTAATTTTTTCTACATTACAAGAAGTAAGGGCCTCAATTATTACTATCGTTCATACTTGCATATGGCTATTAAATTATTTCAGCAATATCTATTGAAAAGATTGTTCTTTACCCAACGAATTTGTATTGGCACCATTGTCAAATTCAATTGATTACATATGTGTGGATCAATTTCTGGAATCTCTATTGGTCAATTTTTTTCCCCTTCCATCAATACCATACTGTCTTTATTACTATAGCTTTTCTGAGCTTCATTTTTTCATATATAAATTTTAGCATCTTCAAATCAGTATAAGTCTTCTAATCTTGTGTTGGGTTTTTCCCCCCCAAAGTTGTTTCAGCTATTCTGTCTTTACATTTCTATAAAAATTTTAAAATCAGCTTATCAACTTCTACAAAAAACATGCTGGGATTTCAGCCGAACAGCATTGAGTCCTTTGATTTATGAACATAGCCTGTATCTCCATTCATTTAGCTTTGTTTTCATTTCTCTCACCTTAGTAGTAGTTTTAGTGAGCAGGTCCTGCACATTTTTATAGATATAATCTCATACATTCGTTTGCTCCTCTTTTATCAATTCCAATCAAAATAAGATTTGTTTGAATTGAAAATAAGTTACCTTCTTTACTGCCTTTCTGTTTTTGCACAAACTCTGACAAAAAGTTAGAGTATCTGACTTTTTATATATATATATTTCTATATAATATATATATTTATCTATAATATATAATATTTATATATAAATATATATATTTATCTATAATGTATAATATTTATATATAAGATATATATTTATATATAATATATAATATTTATATATAATATTTCTGATGATGCTGTAAATGGTATTGTTTTTTATTTTAATTTGTTTTTATGCTAGTATAAAGAAACACAATTGATTTTTGTATATTGATTTTGTGTCCTGCATCCTTGCTGAACTAATTTATTAATTCTCACAAACATTAGGGTTTTTTATGAAATTTATTATGGATTTTCTATTACAGGATTATGCCATCTATAAGTAAAGATAAATTAACTTCTTCCTTTTCAATCTGGATACCTTTTATTTCTTTTTCTTTCCTTATTGCTCCATCTAGAACCTTTAGTACAATGTTGAATAGAAGTGGTAGACTGGTCATCTTTGCCTTTTCCTGATGTCAGGGGGAAAGCATTCAGTCTTTCACCATTAAGTCTAACATTAAGTGTAGGTTTTGTATAGCTATCCTTTATCAAGTTGAGGAAAATTTCTTCTACTCCTGGTTTTCTGAGAGTTTATATTAGGAAAAAGTGTTGGATTTTGTCAAATGCTTTTCCTGTATCTATTGAGACGATCGTATGATTTTTATTTTTCCATTAACATGTTGAATTACATTGATTA
Organism: Homo sapiens; assembly: GCF_000001405.40. NCBI lineage: Eukaryota > Metazoa > Chordata > Mammalia > Primates > Hominidae > Homo > Homo sapiens. The sequence goes on along the minus strand of NC_000018.10, from coordinate 3,146,476 downwards.
ATTTTAGATTATTAAACCGAAATAAAATAAATAACGCAAACTAAACCTCACAGTCCTGGGTTGAATGTCACTATGTTATGCTGTGTTATCCTTTTTATACATTGCTGGAGTTTATTTGCTAAAAATTTTTAAAGGAATTTTTGTGTCTATATTCATAAAAGATATTGGTCTGTGGTTTTTCCCAGTAAAGTCTTGGTTTGGTTTTGGTATTGGGGTACTGAGTGGAAAGTATTACCATTATTTTAATTTTTTGAAAGAGCTTGTGTTAACTTTTATTATTTTTTTTAATTAAACATTCAGTATAATTTACCAGCAGAGCCATCTAGGCCTGGAGGTTTGTTTTTTGGTTTGTTTGTTTTGTTTTGTTGTGGGAAGCTTTTATACTGCAAATTCAATTTTTAAAATAAATTTAGGACTATTCAGGTTATTTACTTTTTCTTGAGTAAAATTTAATAGTTTTCATCTTTCAAGAAACTTTTTCATTCATAAAGTTGTTCATATTTTCTTATTATCCTTTTAATACCTGCAGAATCTGTAGTGGTGTCACCTCTCTCATTCCTAATATTCGTGTTTTACTTCCTTTGTCCTGACCTGACTAGAAGTTTATCAACTTTATTGATGTTCCCAAAGAAACAGCTTTTGGTTTCATTGATTTTCTATATTTTTCTTCTGTTTCCAGTTTTATTTATTTCTGTTCTTATCTTTATTATTTCCTTTTTTCTGCTTATTTGAGTTTAATTTGCTGGGTTTTTTTCTTGTTTCTTAAGGTAGAAGCTGAGGTCCTTAATTTGAAGTATTCTTTTATAACGCATGCATTTAGTGCTAAATATTTTTTTCTAAGTACTCCTTTAGCTGTATTTCACACATTTTGATCTGTTGTGTTTTCATTTTTATTTTGTGCAAAATACTTTCCAATTTTTTGATACCTTCTTTGATACATGGATTATTTGGAGTATGTTATTTAGTTACTAAATATTTGCAGATTTCCCAAGTATATTTCTCTTATTTGTTTTTAATTTAATTCTATTATGAAAATTAAATAGAACATATTTTGTGTTATTTGAATCCTTGTAGATTTTCTTGAACTTGTTTTATGGTCCAGAAAAAGATCTATCTTGGTGAATATTTAGTGTGCGCTTGAAAAGCATTGTATTTTTTTTTTTTTTTGAGATGGAGTCTCACTCTGTTTCCCAGGCTGGAGTGCAGCAGCTCAATGTTGGCTCACTGCAACCTCCGTCTCCCAGGTTCAAGTGATTCTCCTGCTTCAGCCCCCATGAGTAGCTGGGATTATAGGCACATACCACCATGCCAGGCTAATTTTTGTATTTTTAGTAGAGATGGGGTTTCACCATGTTGGCCAGGCTGGTCTCGAACTCCTGACCTCAGGTTACCTGCCTGCCTCAGCCTCCCAAAGTGCTGGGATTACAGGCGTTAGCCACACACCCAGCCAAAAAGCATAGTATTCTGCTATTGTTGAGTTTTATAAATATTAATTAGGTCAAGTTAGTTGATAGCATTGCTCAAGTCTTTTAGATCCATAATTATTTACTATTGCTAATATCTACATGTTCTATCAATTATTGAGAGAGTAGTGATGAAATAGCCAACCAAATGGTGCATTTATCTATTTCTTCTTGCAGTTCTACCAGTTTCTTCATGTATTTTGGGATGTTATTAGATGTATTAACATTTTTATTATTATATCCTCTTATGAATTGACCACTTTATTGTTATAACATGACTTCTTTTACCCATGGTAATGTTTTTTTGCTTGGAAATCTACTTTTAATATAGCTATTCCAGCTTTCTTTTGATTAGTGTTAGCATGGTATATTATTTCCATCCTTTTACACTTAGCCTATGTGTGCCTTTATATTAATACAATGTGTTTCTCATAGGCAGCATATATTTGGGTCTTGCTTTTTAAAAATCTAAATTGGTAATCTTTGCCTTTTAATTGGGGTGTTTTAACCATTTACATTTCATCTGATCGTTGATATGGTTGGATTTAAATCAATCATCTTGCTATTTGGTTTCCATCTATTCCATTTATTTGTTTCATTTTTTCTCTTTTTCTACTTTTTTTGGATTGAGTATTTTTTATTATTCCATTTTATCTGTATTCTCTTGTTGGCTATGATTTTTTATTTTGCTTTTTAGTAGTTTAGAATTTATAATATACATCTTTTCACAGTCTACCTTCCAGTAATATTATATTACTTCACATGTAGTGTAAGAATTTACAACAGTGCCTTTTTTTGTTTGTTTTTTGAGATGGAGTCTTGCTCTGTCGCCCAGTCTGGAGTGTAGTGCTGCAGTCTCGGCTCACTGCAAGCTCCGCCTCCCAGGTTCATGCCATTCTCCTGCCTCAGGCTCCTGAGTAGCTGGGACTACAGATGCCCGCCACAATGCCCGGCTAATTTTTTGTATTTTTAGTAGAGATGGGGTTTCACTGTGTTAGTCAGGATGGTCTTGATCTCCTGACCTTGTGATCCACCCTCCTCGGCCTCCCAAAGTGCTGGGATTACAGGTGTGAGCCACCGTGCCTGGCCTTTTTTTTTTTTTTTTTTTTTTTTGAGACAGGGTCTCACTCTGTTGCCCAAGCTGGAGTGCAGTGGCATGATCATGGCTCACTGCAGCCTCGACCTCTTGGGCTCAAGCAATTCTCTCACCTCAGCCTCCCAAGTAGCTGGGGCTATAGGTACACACCACCATACCTGGCTAATTTTTGTATTTTTTGTAGAGATGGGTTTTCACCATGTTGCCCAGGCTCATCTCAAACTCCTGAGCTCAAGCGATTCACCTGCCTTGGCCTCTCAAAGTGTCTGGATTACAGGCATGAGCCATCGTGCCTGTCCTGCAACAGTATTATTCCATTTCCCACTCTTAGCCTTGGTGCTGTTATTGTCATACATTTTATTTGCATATTTATGGTAAACTACACAATACGATATTATTATTTTGACTGTGGTCAATTATCTTTCAGAGATACAAAATGTAAGAAAAAGGCTTTATTGACTCACATTTTTATCATTTCCATTGCTTTTCATTTATTTGTTTAAATCCAGATTTCCATCTGATATGATTTTCTTTTCACCTGAAGCACTTCCTTGAACATTTCTCGTAGTGCAGGTATTTTATCTTTTGTTATGTAAAAAAAATCCTCTATTTTACCTTCATTCTTGAAATATATCTTCACTGAGTATAGAATTCTAGGTTGACAGTTTTTTCTCTCAGTACTTTAAGAGCTTTGTCCAGCATAGTGCAGATCTACACTACAAGAATGATTGCTTTTATTCTTATTTTTGTTCCTCAATATATAATGTGTCTTCTCTATCTGCTTTTAATATATTCTCTTTATCACTGTTTTTTCAGCATTTGATTATGATATGCATTGTGTAGCTTTCTTCATATATCTTGTGCTTATAGGGTTTGCAAGTTTCTCTAATCTGTGAGTTCGTAGTTTTCATCAGATTTGGAAATTTTTCATCATTATTTCTTTAAATATTTCTTCTGTACCCCATTATTTTTCTTGACCTCTGGAGTCTATGTATTTCCAGTCTCCTCCCTCCCTGCCTGATAAGACCAACTTTACTGTAACTGTAAACTAAAACTGTCCTAAACTTTACTAAAACTATAAACTCAACTCCACTGGGACCTTGGCTCCTGCCTATCTGCTTATAGGATTCTGTGCCCTGCTTATTTTCATATCTGAGCCAGGGTAAATCCTGCTTGTGGAGGGTTCATGTGGCTCTAAACTCTAGATGCTCTGGGACTTCTGGGATCTGGGTGCTTCTGGAAGTTTGTCCTTGCTTTCACCCGAACACTCCTGACCTGGCCTCAGAACTATTTAAAGATAAGAAGAGTATCCTAGATTCTTAGCTCTATATTCTAAATGAGCAATGGGGCTGGCTGCAGTGGCTCACACCTGTAATCCCAGCAATTTGGGAGGCCAAGGCAGGAGGATCACTTCAGCTCAGGAGTTCAAGACCAGCCTGGGCAACATAGGGAGTCCTCAACTCTACAAAAAAAAATATTTTTTTTTGAATTATGTAGGTGTGGTGGTGTGCACCTGTGGTCCCAGCTGTTTGGAAGGCTGAGGTGGGAGGATCACTTGGGCCCAGAAGGTCAGGGCTGCAGTGAGCCATAATTGCACCACTGCATGCCAGCGTGGGTGATAGAGTGAAACCCTTCCCCCCCTCCAAAAAAAACCAAAACAACAGCAACTGCTCAATGGCATTTGAAGAATGAATGAATGAATGATGTTTTGGGGGAATTTTAGAGAGAAGGTACTTCTTTAAACTGTGGAGACATAATTAACTCTTCCTCAGGAGGAGAGCAGCGTCTTTGGCTCTCTGAGTATCCTGGGCTACCCAGAATGTGTGCTTCTCATTTTTCCTTGTTGTTTTTCAGAGGGTATTGTGCCTGGCCCCCCGACAGACCTCTCTGTCACTGAGGCCACCCGGAGCTATGTGGTGCTCAGCTGGAAGCCCCCTGGCCAGCGTGGTCATGAGGGCATTATGTACTTTGTGGAAAAGGTAAGACTCTAGAATCAACATGACCTCATACTACCTCCTAAGGATTTCTTTAGAAAAGTGGAGGCTAAATTCCCAGGGACAATGGAGTGAGGGAGGAGGAGGGAGCATGTCCTGATCTCACTAGATTGTTATCAACTGTGAACTGTCTCCATAGAACAAAGTATATCACACAGAACTGTGCCTGAAAATCAAGGGGTTTATGGATCCCCAAGACTCACCCATAGACTCCTAAGAGATCCAGACCCAACATCATAGCACCTACAAGAAGAGAAATGTTCCTGAAATGGTAGATTGCCTGTATGACAATGTTTTCTAGAGACCTTCCTGTCTCCCTTGCTTTGGTAATGGCTTTTCATCTCTCTACCACTCCTCCTTCTGTAGTAGGACATGAACATCGTGAGGCTAGAAGGGAGGGGGTAACGGAGAAGGGGCAATACTCTCAAATGGCCGGGAGTGTGGAAGACAGCAACCTCATGCCACTGCACTTGGCTAGCTCCACTCTGAGTACAGGTAGCGGAATGAGGTCAGGGATCACAAAACAATAAATATTGGCAAGTTCTTTCCCAGATATCTTACAATTATGTCAGGAATTAGAACATTAGAGAGGACAGCATGCAATGAAGGCCCAGAATGGGTGGAATGAAGGAGAACGGTATGTGAATCAAACACATATCCGTATTTGAGGGTAGTTCTGATAAGGATTTATGCCCAACAAATGGAGAAGAGCCAAGACCTGTACAGAACATTATTTCGGCAGAACTGACTCAGCCACAAGTGTAGAAATAGGAGAGCCGGCCACGCAAGGCACAGGTCTTAGTGGGGGTAAGAAGTCCTTGGCTAACAGGATCATTGCTACTGGAAAACGACATTTAAAGAGAATTTGCTTAAAATGAGGTTCAAAATCCATTTGTTAAAAAGGTTCTGATTAGGATATAATTGAGAAAATGAAAGAAAATAAGTTTATTTTATCCCATATGTAAGAACATTTATTGGTAGTGATGCACCATTTTTTAGAACAATAAATGAAACAAGTGTTTGTACTTTTAAATTTTATTTTTATAAAATTGTGTGATAGCATGAAAAGGTATCATTTACTTTACATTTTAGTTTCATAGCAAAATCGTAGAATTTTTTTTTATAAAAATATGGTGTTCAGTTAATTTTCCTAAAGGTCTTTCTCTTTTATCCTTAATACTGTTTTGATCATTCAATTTTGTAACACCTATTAGGTCACCTTCCCTGATAATTATTGCAAGAGAATACATTTCATAGGTATGTAGGTGTATGCAAACTTCTGAAAATTAGGTAACAACATAAAGACAATATGCAAATATCTTTGAGCTGCATTCTTTACTTCCTTTTTATTCCTAGCAAATCAGTAACAATGAATGCCTTATCTCCTCTACATGCAATATGGATATCTTCCAAGAGAGTCTTGTTTTACAAAGACAATATTTAATTTTTATATGCTTTCCAGATATCAGCTTCAAATATAATATAACTTGAGTAGCATTCTAAGCCTTTTTTTTTTTTTGAGACAGCCTCACTCTGTTGCCCAGGCTGGAGTGCAATGGCACAATCTCAGCTCACTGCAACCTCCGCCTCCCTGGTTTAAGCAATTCTCCTGCCTCAGCCTCCCTAGTAGCTGGGATTACAGGCGTGAGCCACCACGCCTGGCTAAATTTTGTATTTTTAGTAGAGACAGGGTTTCACCATGTTAGCCAGGGTGATCTCGAACTCCTGACCTCAAGTAATCCTCCTGCCTCAGCCTCCCAAAGTGCTGGGATTACAGGCATGACCCACCACGCCCGGCTGCATTCTAAGCTTTTTAAAAGAAAATAGATGGCAAAAATAGAGTGGTGGATCAATGTTCATTTCCTAGTGTGTTTAATACACACCCCCACTGAATCTCTTTGAAACACTCCACAGGAAGAAGGTTCTGAATAACCTCTGTGACAGTAGTTACCATCTTTCCTATAATAAGGGCACATAACAACTATTTGGAGGCGTTTTCTGCAGATGAGTCAACTTTGGCTTCTGTTGAACTTTTCCTCTGGTCATATAAACTCTAATTTCTCTGTGGAAGTCTATAACTTCCCTCGACCTAAATACCTGTGAGTTTGTAATTAAAAATTTAAATATTCTTCCCCCAGCACACCTATTGGCATGGAACAGAAGGGGACGTTTATGAACACAGTACTATGTAGGGAGGCCTGCACAGGGCATAGAACACCCAGGATGTTGGGTATTGAGGACACAGAGCACGTCCAGGGACCTGGGGTACATTTGCAGAACCATCCAAATGTCAAACTGTTCTGAGCTGAGGCTAAAATTATTTCTGATGTAGCTGTTCTGATATGCTAACCTTTCTAAAGGGAAAAGGTCTGTGTGCTCCTGTCCCTGCTGCGTCTGTTCCAGGATGCCCTGCACCCAGCATGCTGCCTCTTGGGCCACCGCTGTGCTTGTTCTTCTTCACGGCATGTCCTTGATCCCTGGAATGGGTGAAATTGAAGGGTTTATAGCAAGGGACTCAGATAAATCAGTCCTTGGCACTTCCAGCCTCCCCATCCTACTGTGTTCTTTTTACACCCAAACTTTTTCCTCAGGTGTCTTACGTCTTGAGCTCTTTTTCTCACTCCCCTATCAAAAATCTGGTCGTGTCAGAGACAAGGACTGTATCACTCGTTAACAGCAGGAACGAACATAGCCAAGATTTGCACTGTTCTAAGCACCTTACATGAGTTAACCCACTTAATTCTTAGAGTAGTCCTATGAGGTAAATATCTTTGTTTTCATCATGCCTGTATATTTTTAAGTGTTTTGTAGAGATGGGGTCTCCCTATGTTGCCCAGGCTGATCTCGAACTCCTGGGCTCAAGCTATCCTCCCCTGTTAGCCTCCTAAAGTGCTGGGATTATAGTTGTGAGCCACTGTGCCTGGCAGATCATGCCTATTTTGTAGATGAGGAAACTGAGGCATAGAAAGGTATATAATTTGCCCGAGGTCACAGAGCTGGTAAAACACAGAACTGAGATTTGAACCCCAGCAGTCTGGTTCAGGTGCGTAAATCCAACTATTACACTGGGCCACCTTTCAATCTTCCCAGGCTTGTCTTCTCCTCTGGAAAACGTTGACAATCATACAATACTACCTCCACAATACCTACTCCATGGCATAGTTGAGAGGAGTAAAGAGTAATAATGGCTTATAAAGTTTTCGGCACAGTGAAAGGCAGCTATTTTTTTATGAGAGTATAAACAACTGATAACAGCTTAAGAATTTGCCAGGGTGGAATATGTTAAAAGAAATCAAAGCCATAAATGAAAAGATTAAAGGTCTGAGAGAGTTTCGTCCCTCAGGAGACAGCAGACACACAAAAGATAATGTTATCATAAAAAACACTGCAAGGAACTTTAGAGGTTACCTTGTCAAATTTGCTCGTTTCATAGAAGACGAAACCAAGGCCAAGAGCATGCGTGTGGCTTTCCAAGGTCACGTGGCTTGTTATTAACACAAAGGGACCAGATCCCATCCCTTTGTCTCCTCTATGCCATGCCATGTTGCCTGTCTGTCAAGTCAACGAAGATCATCCTGTGTGGTGGACTGATAAACTTAAAGTCCCAAAAATGTACCATCCTGACAGCTGGTCAACCTGTCACGAGATCTGGACTTCAGAAAAGTCTTTTGAAAACGTTACAAAATTCTGTAGTGAAATCAGGCAAGAGTTTCTAAATTTCTTCTCTTACCAACCATGGGCAAAGTTGGAAATTAAAATAGGAGGGAATAAGGATTACCAAAGACTTCTGACAGTTTTGTTACTGTATCTTCTACCAGAGCTCAAATATACACCACGTCCTTCATTCGAGGATTTCCAAGTCACTCTAAATCATTTTAATTTTAAGAATAGAGTCTCATTAAAAATTAATTTTCCCATTAATTATTCTAAGACTTGGGCAAAAAAAGAGAACATCTTTTTTTAATCTGGTTTTTATTGATACACAATCATTGCACATATTTACAGGGTACACTGAATATTTTGATACATCTTTGCAATGTGTAATGATCAAATCAGAGTAATTGGGGTACCCATCACCTCAAACATTTGTCATTTTTGTGGAGAAAATTCCAAATCTTATCTTTTAGGTATTTTGAAATATATAATAAATTACTGATAACTATAGTCACCCTACTGTGCTATTGAACACTAGAACTTATTTCTTCTAATTGTATTTTTGTGCCCACTAACAAACCTCTCTTCACCACCACCCCCAACCCTTCCCAGCCTCTGGTAACCACCATTCCACTCTCTACCTCCATGAGATCAAATTTTTTAGCTCCCATATATGAATGAGAACATGAGATATTTGTCTTTATGTGCCTGACTTATTTCACTTAGCGACCTCCAATTATATTCATATTGCTGCAAATGACAGTACTTCATTCTTTTTTGTGGCTGAATAACATTACATTGTGCATATTTACCACATTTTCTTTATCCATTCATCCACTGATGGGCACTTGGGTTGATTCCATATTTTGGCTTTTGTGAGTGCAGCAATAAACATGGGAGTACAGATATCTCCTTGACATACTGATTTTCTTTCTTTTGGATAGATACCCAGCAGTGGGATTGCTGGATCATATAGTAGAAAAACATCTTCATCTTTCAGTCATTTAGAAAAAAAACACTGGGCCGGGCATGGTGGCTCACGCCTGTAATCCCAGCACTTTGGGAGGCTGAGGTGGGCGGATCACGAGGTCAGGAGATCGAGACCATCCTGGCTAACACGGTGAAACCCCCCTCTACTAAAAATACAAAAAATTAGCCAGGTGTGGTGGGGGGCGCCTGTAGTCCCAGCTACTCGGGAGGCTGAGGCAGGAGAATGGCGTGAACCCAGGAGGCGGAGCTTGCAGTGAGCCGAGATTGTGCCACTGCACTCCAGCCTGGGCGACCCAGCGAGACTCCGTCTCAAAAAAAAAAAAAGAAAAAAGAAAGAAAAAAAATACTGTAGTTGATTATGTACTATTTGCCAGATGGAATTCTATGCTCTGTCATAAAGCAGTGAACAAAGCTCCTTGAGCTTATGTGATTTGCTCTTCAGTGGAGGAGACAACAAATAACTTAATTTCAAATAGTGATACATGATTGAAGAAGAATAAAGCAGGCTAAGAAACAGAGAGTGATAAGAAAAGGACCAAGAATTCTTTTAAATAGGTAATGGGCAGGCCAGGTGCAGTGGCTCATGCCTGTGGGAGGCTGAAGTGGGTGAATCGCTTGAGCCCAGGAGTTCGAGACCAGCCTAGGCAACATGGGGAAACCTTGTCTCTACCAAAAAAATACAAAAATTAGCCAGGTGTGGTGGCATGTGCCTGTAGTCCCAACTACTTGGGAGGCTGAGGTGGGAGGATCACTTGAACCCAAAGAAGTCAAGGCTGCAGTGAGCCGTGATTGTGCCACTGTACTCCAGCCCAGGTGACAGGGTAAGACCCTGTCTCAAAAATAAAATAAAATAAAATTTAATTTAATTTAATTAAAATTAGAAAATTACCTGACCCCAAACGATCCTCAAAATAAGACTTTTGTAAGCAGATTATTGTATTTAGTTAACAAAGGAAGAGAAATATTAAAGTAGCATATTTTTCAAACAATACAACGCTGTATTAGTCCATTTTCATGTTGTTGATCGACATACCAGAGACTGGGTAATTTATAAAGAAAAAGAGGTTTAATGGACTCACAGTTCCATGTGGCTGGGGAGGCCTCACAATCATGGTGGAAGGCGAAAGGCACGTCTTACACGGTGGCAGGCAAGACAGAAGGAGAGCCAAGTGAAAGAGGTTTCTCCTTATAAAACCATCAGCTCTCATGAGACTTACTCACTACCACGAGAACAGTATGGGGGAAACCGCCCCCATGATTCAATTATCTCCCACCAGGTCCCTCCCACACACATGGGAATTATGGGAGCTACAATTGTAGATGAGATTTGGGCAGGGACACAGCCAAACCGTATCAAAAGCCAAGTTTGATTTAGAGAATCCTACGAACTTCAGATGCCTCATCCCCTATTTCCTCCTCATCTCTCCTCCAGTCCAGCTTGCATTACAGGGAGTGGTTTGTTGCAGATGAATGAAACTTGGAGTTGCCTGGCCTGGATTCTCGCTTGTGTTTGCTGTGCTTTCAATGGGTTTCCCTGTTCTTGCTGCAGTGTGAGGCAGGAACAGAAAACTGGCAGCGAGTGAACACGGAGCTCCCTGTGAAGTCTCCCCGCTTTGCTCTGTTTGACTTGGCCGAGGGGAAATCCTACTGTTTCCGTGTCCGCTGTTCTAATTCTGCAGGAGTTGGTGAGCCCTCAGAGGCAACGGAGGTGACTGTGGTAGGGGACAAACTTGGTAAGCAACTGTAAACTTCTTTTACTTCAAGAGAAAATTTCAAAGCAAGGATCTAGTATATGTATATTTGGCCAGGAGTAAAAATGGTGACATCCTTCTTTCATATTATAAATTTACTCGATGGCTGTACTTAACCTATACATTAAACAAAAATTCATTATTTTTGTTTATGAAAAGTAAACTTCTTTGGGAGTTTCAACAATATTGATAATGTGTTTTTTCTGAAGTTCATGGACATTTAGTTTATCCATGCTCCCTAACTGTTTTAAAATTTTTTGCTTTAAAAAATACAATGTAGGCCAGGCGCGGTGGCTCATGTCTGTAATCTGAGCACTTTGGGAGGCCGAGGCAGGCAGATCACCTGAGTCCAAGAGTTTGAGACCAGCCTGGCCAACATGGTGAAACCCCATCTCTACTGAAAACACAAAAATTAGCCAGGCGTTGTGGCACATGCCTGGTAATTCCAGCTACTCAGGAGGCTGAGGTGGGAAAATTGCCTGAACCCAGGAGGTGGGGGCTGCAGTGAGCCGAGATCCCGCCACTGCTCTCCAGCCTGGGTGACAGAGCGAGACTCAGTCTCAAAAAAAAAAATCGTAAAATAAAGCAGCTGTTCTTTTGACATGACGAAGTGTGTAAAATACCTAGGTGTGTGTTTGTGCATAGATGATAAGGATGAATTTTTAAAACCACTTGAGTTTGATCACCATTTTCCTCTTTCTCAGATATCCCCAAGGCTCCTGGCAAAATCATCCCAAGCAGAAACACAGACACCTCAGTGGTAGTTTCGTGGGAGGAGTCCAAAGATGCCAAAGAGCTGGTCGGGTACTACATAGAGGCGAGCGTTGCTGGCTCTGGCAAGTGGGAGCCCTGTAACAACAACCCCGTGAAGGGCTCACGGTAACTCAGTCGGGTGTGCAGGGCGGGCAATGGCCTCTGGAGCTGCCATAGACACATACGGCACACAGACATCCAATGGAGGAGATTTTTTTAAAAAATTTTACTTTTTGGCTGGATGTGGTGGCTTACACCTGTAATCCTAGCACTTTCGGAGGCTGAGGTGGGAAGATTGCTTGAAGCCAGGATTTCAAGACCAACCTGGCCAACACAGTGAGACCCTATCTTTACAAACTGAAAAAAAAAACAAGAAAACATTATACTTTAAATAAGCCAAGGCAGTGGCAGGCCTGTAGTCCTAGCTACTCAGGAGGCTGAGGAGGGAGGATCCCTTGAGCTTGAGTTCAACTTGAGTTCAACTACAGCTTGAGTTTGAAGTTGTAGGATACAATGACCAGGCCTGTAAATAGCCACTGCCAGCCTGGACAGCATAGGGAGACCCCATCTCTAAAAAACAAAACAGAACAAGGCTGGGTGTGGTGGCTCATGCCTGTAATCTCAACACTTTGGGAGGCCAAGGTGGGCGGATTGCTTGAGCCCAGGAGTTTGAGACCTGCTTGAGCCCAGGAGTTTGAGACCAGCCTGGGCAACCTGGCGAAAACCTGCCTCTACAAAAAATACAAAAATCAGCCCAGCATGGTGGTGTGCTGTAGTCCCAGCTACTCAAGAGGTTGAAGTGGGAGAATTCCTTGAGCCTGGGAGATCAAGGCTGCAGTGAGCTATGATCACAACACTGTACTCTGGCCTGGGCAACAGAGCAAGACCCTGTCTCAAAAAACAAACAAGCAAAACAAAACAATTACACTTTAGATATTTAAATGAATTTAAAATTGAACACATTAGATGCAATACATCTTTTTTTAAAAGGTTCACTTATGATGTTAAACACTTAGCAACACATAATGCCAACTATTGTAAGAGTTCATTTCATAGTGCTTTTGCTGCTTCTTCCTTTTTTACCCCTCTGATTTTATATCTAATATGCAACGTGATATTAGATTCTGAGGATATAATACACTCTACTTAACATAAATTACCCAGGAATTTTAAATGAAGAGAAAAAAGTATCGAAATTTTACAAATTCTGGACATCAACATGATTAAACCCAGTGCTAAGCAGACATAGTTACACCAAAACAAAGACATTCAGAATAATTTGCTGCCTCTTTGTATTTGTTTCTAATGGGGAGAGGGTTGGTTTCTTCCTTGCTTTCAACTATTTTATCAATCAGCTTTGCACATTGATGGTGAATTCTGATCTGCACCCAGACCAGAGACCAGTATGAGAGGGGGATGCTGCCCTCCCAGAAATTGTCAAATAGACTCGTTCGGCAGCTTCTGGCTTGGATCACTTCTCAGTCCGAGGACCCCAACAGAATGAGTTGGTTTTGCGGAACGTGAGAGAGTAGAGATAAATGATTAATTAGGGAAGGCAATATGTTTTGCAAGAGATTCATTTAGCCTGTTGGTGTATTTCATTTTTCCTTGGAGTTACCCAGCATTTTCCTGGGACTATTCAGAAATGCTGGTGGTGCGTAGGCAGGAGCTGCTAGAGGGCAGGCACCATTTTTTGTTCATCTTTTGTCCACAGTACCTAACTCAGTGTCTGGAACACCGAGACCCCAATAAATCTTTGCTGAAGCAAAGCTGACTCTAAGGACTGAAGGGCTGGCCTAGATTATGGCTCCTTTGTTAAATACTTGAACATGCGAATAGTCATAGATTCGTTAGCAGACCTGTTATTTCCTCTGGCTGCAGTCCTTAGGATGGATTCAAATGTTACAGTGATTCATGAAACAGCTATTTATAGCCATAATAGCTATGAAAAGAGTTAGGTTGTTTTTATGGATGAAACTTCCCATGGATTCACACCTCATTATTGAATCTTCATATCTAAATGGTAATTCTAGAATCCATTGTTCACCTTATCTTCAGATTCTATAGTAATTTCCCAAGTAAGTACCTTCCTTGGCATGCAGCGAGACAGTGACTAGGCCTCTATGACAAGGAGCCACCAATGCCTTACAGCCATAGTTATATACCTAAAATAGTCATTGATCATATTATTAATTGGGTATTAGGCTTAATACCTGGGTGATGAAATAATCCGTCAACAAACCCCTGTGACACGAGTTTACCAATATAACAAACCTTCCCATGTATCCCTGAGCCTAAAATAAAAGTTAAAAAATATATATGAGTTGGCTGGGCTTGGTGGCTCTTGCCTGTAATCCCAGAACTTTGGGAGGCCGAGGTGGGTGGATCACGAGGTCGGAGTTCAAGACCAGCCTGGCCAAGATGGTGAAACTCCATCTCTAGTAAAAATACAAAAAAATTAGCCAGGCGTGGTGGTGGGTGCCTGTAGTCCCAGCTACTCAGGAGGCTGAGGCAGAGAATTGCTTGAACCTGGGAGTTGGAGGTTGCAGTGAGCTGAGATTGCACTACTGCACTCCAGCCTGGGCAACAGAGCGAGACTCCGTCTCAAAATATATATATATATATTTTAGAGTATAACTCATATATATATATATATACACACACATATATAATAATAATTTTAGAGTATAACTCATATATATTATTATATATGTATATATTATTATTATATATACATATATATAATAATATTAATACTAATAATTTTAATACTAATTATTATTTATTAAGTACCTCATATATGCCAGGCCCTATATAGGTACTTTATATACTTTATAACTAACCTCTACATGAAAATTATCATGTAAGCATCATTATCCCTATTTTACTGGTGAGCATTTGGGGAAGACCAGGGCTCCTCATTTTTTGACAGAGTGGGTTTAGAAAAGTGCCTTAGTTACCTTCTTGTCTAAAGTATATATATTACCTGAATCTTTCTACATCTTTTTCTTCCTTTAAAAAATGAATTATTAGCTGGGCATGCTGCTTACAACTGTAATCCCAGCACTTTAGGAGGCTGAGGTGGGAGAGAGGATGGCTCGAGGCCAGGAGTTCAAGACTAGCCTGGGAAACACAGCAAGACCCCATTTCTGTTCAAAATAAATCACAATAAAAAAAAAAGAATTGTTTTCATAAAGCCAGATCCACTCCATTAAGCTAACAATCATCTTCCTTAATCTTCCTCCTAGGAAAATTTTTTAAAACTTGTTTTCCTTTTAGATTCACTTGTCATGGATTAGTGACTGGTCAGAGTTATATTTTCCGGGTCAGAGCAGTCAATGCAGCTGGACTTAGTGAATATTCCCAGGATTCAGAAGCTATTGAAGTCAAAGCTGCTATTGGTAAGTTCCTTATGCATAACTGTATGGGGGAAAAATGGATTTTTCTATGTTAGAAAGGAAGATACCATCCTCTCCAGAAATTATTTAGCTTCCAATATTGCTGGATGATTGCATCCTTAGATGATCATTTTCTCTGACTCTAGGTGATGTCTAACCTTCCATAGCTGCCATTTTACAGACCTTCATCACTTATCCAGATTCTGTGCATCCATAGCCTTTTCATCTTCACGAACCCAAGTTTCCTCAGATATTTCACATTGTGTGAAACTCCATTCTAACTTCATGCTCATCCTGGGACTGTGAAGGGCCATTCCGATTCCATGAAGTGGTATATCACCCATAACACAGATCATCTTGTCCCTAAAAGCCATTTGGTCTATGCCAGAGCCTGGCTTGTTTTTGCTAACAGAACATTAACATGCTTCTTATAAACCCCTCTAAAATTCATGCAAGGCACATGTAATTGCTTAATCATATGTTTCATCTTTGCTTGCAAAGTAACCAACAGAATAAAACCAGTAATAAAGTAATTATATGTGTGTATGTGATGTACCTCCCAATCTTGGATAAAGTAGAAAAGGGACCCAGGTGGTTAGAAACAATACAAATAATATTTGTGGGCTGAGCACGGGGGCTTACACCTGTAATCCCAGCACTTTGGGAGGGAGAGGCAGGCAGATTGCTTGAGTCCAGGAGTTTGAGACCAACTTGGGCAACATAGTGAAATCCCATTTCTAAAAATAACAATAAAAAAAATTAGCCAGGCATGGTGGTGCATGTCTGTAGTCCCAGCTATTCAGAAGGCTGAGGCACGTGGATCACTTGAGTCCAAGAGTTCAAGGCTGCAGTGAACTATGATCTCACCACTGCACTCCACCCTGGACAACAAAGCAAGATCCTGTGTCTGAAATAAATAAATAAATAAAATAAAATTTATTATATAGTAACGCATGTTTTTTAAAAAGCTGATTTAATATTGATTGTCTTCAGTTAGCATCTCATATAGCTTTTTCATATTCCTTATAACATAGGGATCGGGCACAGTGGCTCACGCCTGTAATCCCAGCACTTTGGGAGGCTAAGGCGGGTGGATCACTTGAGGTCAGGAGTTTGAGATCAACCTGGCCTACATGGCTAAACCCTGTCTCTACTGAAAATACAAAAATTAGCCGGGTATGGTGGTGCATGCCTATAATCCCAGCTACTTAGGAGGCTGAGGCACGAGAATTGTTTGAACCCAGAAGGTGGAGGTTGCAGTGAGCCGAGATTGCGCCAGTGCACTCCAGCCTGGGGGACAGAGTGAGACTCCAAAAAAAAAAAAAAGAAGAAAGAAAACGAAGGAAGGAAGATTCCTTATAATGTGAACCATTCTAAACATGTCTCTTTGAGGTTGAGAGGTACAGACCATTACTATTGTAGTACTGCACATAATTCGAGGTGTTATAAAATTAGGATCTTTAATATGATGTCTCTTGTGCACTTTATAGTCCTTTTTTCATTCTGTTGAATAATAGGGCTTACATCTCTCAATATTTGTGTCTAAGATTTGCTTTTCCTTATATATACTAAAAGCCCTTTGGGTTCTGCAAATCGAAATGGTTCCTATTCTATCTTTGGCTTCTTTGTTCTCATTTCTTCTTTTTCCAGAATACGGGGAAGGTGAAATGTTCCTTGGCGTATATTGTGTGAAATGTAGTCTTTCCATATTTCTTGCAAATGTGAGCGATTTTCTTTAAGCCAAGACTGTTTTTGTTCTGCTTGTGGTCCTAATGTTTTTCTCTTTGTTCTATCCTATAAGAGCAGCTGATACTCTGTCCGGGCTCAATGCGTTTCTGTTGTTGTCTGGCAACTGTAGGGGGAGGAGTGTCTCCAGATGTGTGTCCCGCACTGAGCGATGAGCCTGGTGGACTAACCGCCTCCAGGGGGCGCGTGCATGAAGCCTCCCCGCCAACCTTCCAGAAAGATGCTTTGCTTGGCAGCAAACCTAACAAACCTTCACTACCCAGTAGCTCTCAAAACCTGGGCCAAACAGAAGTGAGTAAAGTAAGTGAAACAGTTCAGGAAGAGCTTACCCCGCCACCACAGAAAGCGGCTCCTCAGGGGAAAAGTAAGTCTGACCCCCTGAAAAAGAAGACAGACAGAGGTGAGAGTTGAGAAAGGGAAGCTGTTCCATCCGTCTCCATCACTGTCCTCACCTCTCATCGTCTACATCACATCCTTCATCCATGTTTGCTTTCATCAATGTCCATTCTTATTGTATGTGTTTTCAGCTAGCCATCTGAAATGTGTACTTTCATCTGATGACTTGGAAAAGTAATTGTCTATGGGTTTGGCTTGTACACATCATTTTGGGTGCTTAATGATGCTAGAATGTTTCAAGTAATTTGGTTATAGAGCCTTTCTTGGTTTGTCAGGCAGATACACCTCTGGCCTGATTTTGCTAAGAGAATTCGATGTGAGAGCAGGACTTGGTACTGCTAGCCTGTGTGAGGTCCTTTGAAATAGTCATGTTTGGAACATGTAGAGGAGAAAGATCTCACAAAGAAGGTGACATCGTACCAGGGTCATAGTTGTTACCTTCTTGCTCATCCTCAGATTATTAAGCGATTATTCACATTTAATTTAAATAGTTTGCAAGAAAAATCAACACTGGAAAATTAAATACTTTAAGTGAAAAAAGTATATAAAAAGATTAAAAATTTCTAAAATAATAATAATCTAAATAGCTACTTACCTACTACTTTTTGAAATGAAAAAAGAAAAGAAAAAAACAGCTATAAATATATCTTTGAGTTACCATGAAAAGTTTAAAAGTTAAAATTATAATCACATATAGCTATATTGTATGATATATGATCCTCATTCCCAGAAGTGATTTATTTAAGATGATTTATCAGTAGGCTAAGAATGATCTGATTAGGATATTTGGTACCTGTGGCTAATATATCCTAGGAGACATTGTTTTTCCTATCAAACAACAATGAACTGAAGCACATGTGCTGATAAATTTTTAAATGCCTCTCATCCAGTTCTTTTTTCTAACCCCACCCCAACTTCTATAACCTCCTCTGTTTTATGACACCTTTCTTTGTCCCTCAACTCGAGAGGAGATATTCATTTGAGAGCACATATTCAACAATGCTCTGAAATAGAGGGAGAGAGAGAAAGCTTTTTTAAAATGTGAGGAATAAAGGAGGTTGGTAAGTGGAGAAGAGATAAATGTATTTTATTTTAAAAGCCTTCATTCTTCTGATACTCTTTTTGGGTAAGAATGAGATAGTTTCTTTATCTCCTATAATCCAAATAAACATTCAGAAAATTCTCTTCGATGTTATTGCATATCTAGATGTATTTCTTTCCACCACTTCACCCCCTCTCTTCATTGAAAACTGTAATTTCAGTAGTTGAGTGAAAAGCTGATCAGCAAAGCCACATAAATGAAGGAGGACTTTTGAAATATCCTCCAGATATTTTTCTAGCTAAGCACTGATAAACATGGTGACAGCTGTATAGTATTGTACCACATGAAAAATATTCCAACATCAGATTAAAAATAATGTGATAAAAGTATTATACACTAAGAGAAAGTCACATAGCAGATTGTGTCTGTTTTTTAAAAATGTTTTCTAAAGCTGTCATTTAGCTGAGCTCTAGAGTAAATTTTTTTCTTGTGTGCAGACAGAGTTGTGTAGTTGTAAGGTCTCACAAGGGTAAGTGTGCCTGAATGGTGAAAGGCTAACCATTTGAGAAATATATGGAAATTCTGGGCCAGGTGTGGTGATTCACACCTGTAATCCCAGCACTTTGGGAGGCTGAGGTGGGTGGATCACCTAAGGTCAGGAGTTCGAGACCAGCCTAGCCAACATGGTGAAACCCTGTCTCTCCTAATAATACAAAAATTAGCCGGGCATGGTGGTGCACACCTATAATCCCAACTACTTGGGAGGCTGAGGCAGGAGAATTGCTTGAACCCAGAAGACGGAAGTTGCATTGAGCCAAGATGGTGCCATTGCACTCAAGCCTGGGTGACAAGAGCAAAACCCCAGCTCAAAAAAAAAAAAAAAAAAAATATATATATATATATATATATATGGAAATTCTGAATAAGCAAATTGCAGCAGAAATTGATATACACATTCCATTTTCATCAGGGAACAAATGAAAACTAAACCACATAAAGAAACAAAAATTATACCTTGGGAAAAATATTTCTTCTTATGGGGAAAAGAATCATTTTCTTTCAGGGTATTGTACCATTTTGCTAGGACAGGTTCATTTTATCTTTGGAATAATAATTGTAGTGTACTTTTTACTGTGTCCATTGCATTCACCAAGTTCAATGCCAAGTTCATCAGCCTCGAATTTTAGTTTTATACTGCAAGATCTAGTGCCCTCATATGTGGCACCCATGGAAATGTTTATATATAGAATCATAAATGCATTTCTGCCTACTCACAAGCTATTCATATTGCTACAGCACCACCATCTCCACCCTGTGATATCACCTGTCTTGAAAGTTTTCGTGACTCAATGGTTCTTGGATGGAAGCAACCAGATAAGATTGGAGGGGCAGAAATTACTGGCTATTATGTGAACTATCGCGAGGTCATTGATGGGGTACCAGGAAAATGGAGAGAAGCCAATGTCAAGGCTGTCAGTGAGGAGGCATACAAGGTAAGCACGTGACTTTCTGTAGTGTGGCGTGTCCTATGTATGACGCTATGCTTGCACGCCCAGGCAGGCACACACCCAGCACCTTGTAAGAGAGTCACGTCATTTCTCCAGAGTCCATTGTCTGCAGTGGCATGAGTCTTGTGAAAAATATACTGTGGTGAATACAAGTAGTTTGGCTAACCAGGCAGGATTTATATTTTCTGATCCATACACATAAGCATAATAAATTCCTAGAATATTTACTATGAAATGTGCGCTTACTGTACAAACTAATTTTTTTTTCAAAACTTACAAAATATCTACAATTAATATGCCACTAGCCTCAAGAGTCCCAGGATCCTTCTGCAGCCCTCAAGTTGAGGGGGAAAAAAAAAAAAGATTCCCAGGATTTAATGACACTCTGGATTTTTAACTTTCTTTTTTTTTTTTTTTTTTTGAGATGAAGTCTTGCTCTGTCCCCCAGGCTGGAATGCAGGAGTGTGATCTCAACTCACTGCAAACTCCACCTCCCAGGTTAAAGTGATTCTCCTGCCTCAGCCTCCTGAGTAGCTGGGATTGCAAGTGAAAGCCACCATGCTCAGCTAAATTTTCTATTTTTAGTAGAGGGTTTCACCATGTTGGCCAGGCTGGTCTCAAACTCCTGGCCTCAAGTGATCCGCTCACCTCAGCCTCCCAAAGTGCTGGGATTATAGGCATGAGCCACCGCGGCCGGCTGGGTTTTTAACTTTCAGTGTCCAAATTACAGCGGATGAAGGGACATGGGCTTGATGGCTAGACTCAGCTCACCAGCTGTGAAGTGGTGCTTGTTATAGTCGCTTGATGGCCACAAAGGGTGGCCTCACATGTGTTCTCCTCTACATGGGGGCCTCCACTGCTCAGGTCACATAAGAGAACCAGAACAGTCTCACTGTTGCCTTAGCTGATGACTTTCTTCTCTAGAGCTTCATCAGCTACATCCAAGCTACCACCTCTTAACACTCACAGAATCCTCTGCCATGAGGGTTCAGAGCAGGGTGAGGCCAGGGATGACAGCTGCCCCAACTCAACACCATGCTCTTTTAATTTAACATTTGAAATTTATGAAATATCACACACATGCTGAGAATGCGTAAAACAAAGTTGCTTTTTTTTTTTTTTTGAGATGGAGTTTCGCTCCTGGCCTCAAGTGATCTGCCCACCTCAGCCTCCCAAAGTGCTGGGATTACAAGCGTGAGCCACTGCGCCTATACAAAATTGTATTTTTAAGATTCTTCCCTGTTAGTGCATGTGGCTATAACTCATTCTTTTTCATTGCTATATGGTATGGTATTCCATTATGTGGTCATATCACAATATATTCTTTCATTCAATTCTTATTGCTATTTGGGTATTTTTGCATTTTTAGCTACATCAAGCAAAGTAGCTATGAACAATTTTGTATACATCTATCTGCTGCTACATATGTGCACCAGTTTCTCTGGGTGATCACCTAAATGTAGAATGGCTGGGTCAGGGGGTCTGTTTATCTTCCACTTTACTAGATAATTCCATACTGTCTTCTGAAGAGTGTGTGAGAATTCCCATCACTCTGCATCCTTGCCAACACTTGGTCTATTCACACATTTTCAGCTTTGACAATCTGAGTGTCAAATGAGTTTGAACATCCTTTCCTATGTACACAGTCCATTTTGATATCCTCTTTTATGCCTGTTCAAGGTTTTTGCCCATTTTTCTAATGCATTCTTGTTGACTTGCAAAGTTCTTTACATGTTATGAGTAGAAATCCTTTGCAGGTCTGTAAGTCGCATACATCTTCTCTGACTTTAATTTTAATGTCAAATTCATTGTAGTCATATTTACTAACATATGCTTTGTCCTTAGTGATTTTTGTGCCTTTGTGGTGAAATGCCTTCTCTATTCCAAGATCATGGAGGTACTGTAGTTGATTACATTCTAAAAGCTATACTATTTTGCCACTTACATTTCTGTCATTAATTCACCTTTATATTTTTATATGCTGTGAGTTAAGCATCAAAATTAACCCCCCCCCACAGAGACATAGTTGTCCCAGCATTATCTATTGAAAAGTTTGGGGCCGGGCGCGGTGGCTCACGCCTGTAATCCCAGCACTTTGGGAGGCCGAGGCAGGTGGATCATGAGGTCAGGAGATCGAGACTATCCTGGCTAACACGGTGAAACCCTGTCTCTACTAAAAATACAAAAAAATTAGCCGGGCGTGGTGGCGGGCACTCAGCTCCTCGGGAGTCCCAGGAGTGGTGGAGTCCCAGCTCCTCAGGAGGCTGAGGCAGGAGAATGGCGTGAACCTGGGAGGCGGAGCTTGCAGTGAGCCAAGATCGCACGCCACTGCACTCCAGCCTGGGCGACAGAGTGAGACTCCATCTCAAAAAAAAAAAAAAAGAAAAAAGAAAAGTTTGTCGTCTGCCTGCTATTCTGCAGGGGTATCTGTATCATATATCGTTTCCTTATATGCGTGAGTCTGTGTTCGTGCTTCCCATGCTGTTCCACTGGTCTGTTTGTGTAACAGTGGGTGACTACCACACTGATTTAAATATTATAGCTTTATAGGCCGGGCATGGTGGCTCGCACCTGTAGTCTCAGCACTTTGGGAGGCCGAGGTGGGGGGATCACTTGAGGCCAGGAGTTTGAGACCAGCCTGGCCAACATGGTGAAACCCTGTCTCTACTAAAAATACAAAAATTAGCCAGGAGTGGTGGCTCTCATGTGTAATCCCAGCTACTTTTATACCTTTTACTCAGGAGGCTGAGGCATGAGAATCACTTGAACCCGGGAGGTGGAGGTTGCAGTGAGCTGAGATCACACCACTGCACTCCAGGCTTGGTGACAGAGCGAGATCCTGTCTCAAAAAAAATAAATAAATAAAAATAAATTATAGCTTTATAGTAAAGTTGATGACTGATAGATCAGCTTCTCCTGGTTTATTCTTTTTCCAGAGCTACTCTTAGCCCTTTGCACTTGATATAAATTTAAGTATTAGGGTCCCAAGTTCTACCAAAAAAAAAAAAATAGTAATAATAATAAGTAAGACAAAACAAAAGAAAACAACAATAAAAAAACTTACATTCAACCCAACTAAACCCATTAGAATTCTGATTGAGGATGCATTGAATCTGTAAAAAAATTAAGGAATAATTGACATTTAAAAAATATTGAACCTTCTAATCCATGAACATGTTATTTTTCTTCATTCGTTTTGGTCTTTTTAAAGCCTCTTATTAAAGTTTTACGATTCTCTACAGAGGTTTGTATATCATTTGTTATTTATTAATAGAGACGATATATTTTCAGTATATTTTTATATCAGTTTTTATTGCTAGTAAAGAGAAATATAACTTTTATATATTGATTTCACATATAATTATTATATGTAGTCTTTTGTTAAATTTTTTAAATAATTTGAATGTTACCTTGAAGTTCTTTTGGAGTCTATGTATATTCATATCATCTGCAAATAGTGGCAATTTACTTCATTTCCAAATTTTATAACTTTTACTTCATTTTCTTACCTTACTTTCTGCATAGTGACTTTAGCACTATATTGAATAAAAGTGGTGGTGCTGGGGGCATGGTGGCTCACACCTGTAATCCCAGCACTTTGGGAGCCTGAGGCGGTGGATTGCTTCAACCCGGGAGTTCAAGACCAGCCTGGGCAACACAGCACGACACCGTCTCAGATTTTCTTCTTTTTTTTTAAAGTGGTGATGTTGGTCATTCTAGGCTTGATAGTTATCTTAAAGGGAAATTTTACAACATTTCACCATTAAATACTGTATTGTGTGTTACAGGTGTTTTGTAGACATCTATTATCGGTTAAAGGAAGTTTCCTTCTATTCCCCGTTTGCCAACAGTTAATTAAAATTATCAAAAACATTTTTGGGGTCTATTGAGAAGATTATATGATTTTTTTCCCTTTTATTATAATTTGGTATATTCTAGTAATTGTCTAATGTTAAAACTACCTTGCATTCCTGGAATAAATTCAACTTGGATACTATATATACTCTGTTTATATCACCTGGATTTTGTTTGCCAATTATCGTTTAGGATTTTTGCTTCTATGTTCATGAGTGAGATTATTCTGAGACTAGAATTAATTTAATACTAATATCTGACAAGGATAGTACAGGAAGGAAAAAAATGCAGGATAGTCTCCCTTTATTAAGATATAATTCACACATCATAAAGTTCACTCATTTAAAATGTTGCCTTATGAATTTTGAAGTGATATTTTTAAATGGATACAAAGTGACTCTTTACCATTATGAATACATTTTACCTTAAAGTCTATATTGCCTGTTATTACCATAGATACACTAGGGTTTTGGGGTGGGGTGACTTTTGCATGGTATGTAGCTTTTCATCCTTTAACTTTCTATCTTTCTGAAACTTTCTGCTTTACATGTGTCTCTTAAAAATAGCACGGAGTTAAATTTTGTGTTTTTCCTCCCTGACAGTCTTTGTCATTTGTTTGCTATTACTGATTACTTAAAAAAAAAAAAAAACTAATATCTTATTTTGTACTTTCTATTTGTCCTTTCTGTTCTGTGTTTCTTTCTCTTTTTTTGAGACAAAGTCTCACTCTGTCCCTGAGGCTGGAGTACAGTGGCATGATCTTGACTCACTGCAACCTCCGCCTCCTGGGTTCAAACAATTCCCGTGCCTCAGCCTCCCAAGTAGCTGGAATTACAGGCATGTGCCACCACGCCTGGCTAATTTTTGTATTTTTAGAAGAAACAGGGTTTCACCATGTTGGCCAGGCTGGTCTCAAACTCCTGACCTCAAGTGATCCGCCCGCCTCGGCCTCCCAAAGTGCTGGGATTACAGGCGTCAGACACCACACCTGGCCTGTTCTGTGTTTCATTTTCTGTCCTTTTTTGACTATTTTTGAATCGTTTTTAAAAGTTGTTCAATTTTTCCTTCTATTCTACCTTAAAAGTTATAGATTCCGAGTTTCTTTCGTTTTGGTGACTGTGCAACTTAAAGTCTGAAGTTATTTCATTTGTTTTACTCTTGTCTCAGAAACAGAAGGGCCTTAAAAACTTTACCCCTTTACCTTTTTCCCAACTTGTATGCTATTGTGTATGTATGTGTCTGTGTTTTAATTCTTTTTAAAATCCAAACAGCAATGTGATTATTGTTTTATAGATTCAACTTACCAATATATTTACCATTTTATTTGCTTTTAATTAAGTGCTTTGAAGATGTAATTGCACCATCTTCTGGCCCATTGTTGCCGCTGACATTCAACTCTTGGTCTGCTTGCTTGTTTGAGGGTAATTTGCCTTTTTTCTTGGACAGCTTTTGATATGTTCACTTTATCTTTGGTGTGCTATACTTAAAATACTATAGGTCTAGATGTGGGTTTTTAAAAAAGATGTATCTACCCGGGATTTTAGGGGG
Source organism: Homo sapiens (assembly GCF_000001405.40). Taxonomy (NCBI): domain Eukaryota; kingdom Metazoa; phylum Chordata; class Mammalia; order Primates; family Hominidae; genus Homo; species Homo sapiens. Next base: position 3,121,282 of record NC_000018.10, on the reverse strand, counting down.
CAGAGGATTTTTCATCTGTGGGTTGGATTTTTCAGAAGATCTTTCTAGAAAATTCTGTATCTCCTAAAATATTGTTTCTCCCTCATTTTCTCTCTCTCTGCACTTCTCCCAAAACTAATTAAACATATGTTTGATGTTCTCATTCTATCTTCCATGTCTATTAATCAACTTTTCTCTCTTTCCCATTTTTGAGTCTTTCCACATCATGTTCTGTGTAATTTCTTCTGACTTTCTGTCAGTTTACAAACTCTCTCTTCTTTTGCATCTGATACTCTGTTGAAAATGTCTGTTATTTTTTTCTTACTGTATTTTCCATCTCTTGTCGGTCACATTTTACATATTTTATAGTTTGCTGCTTCCTACAAATGTTTTTCACACTAATATATTCCATCACTTCTATTTTGCAAATGTTTTAACATTTATTATTTTGTCATGTATATTTACCCTCACAACAACCCAGTTCCTACTGAGTGATACGGAAAATATTAGGTCACTCAGTAAAGAGCAGAAACATTATGAGAACTTGAGCATTTTGATTCCTAGCTTAGAACTCGTTTAAATTTCACCTGTACATGCCCTAGCTTTCTATTGCTACATAGCAAATTACCACAGACTCGGTGGCTGAAAACAATGCACATTTGTTGTATCACGGTGTCCTTGAGTCAGGGGTCTGCGCACGGCGTTGCAGGGTCGTCTGTTCAGGATCTCACAGGGCTGCAATCCGGTTATCAGCTGGGCCACATTCATGTTGAGTTCCTCTTCCAAGCCCGCTCAGGTTGTTGGCAGAATTCAGTTCCTTGCAGCTGTAGGGCTGAGGCTTCCACTCCTAGATGTTGCCTTTCTCCAAATGTGAGTGGGTAGGCAGCTCTCAGTGTGACATTTACCTCCTCAAGGCCATTGGCACCATGTTTTTCTTTAGGAGGGGCCCGAACCCCATTGTAAGAGTTCTTACCTGATAACATCAGGCCCATCCAGGATAATTTCCCTTTTAATTAACCTCAAATCAGCTGACTAGGGACCCTAATCTATAATATCTTTTCTCCTTTGCCATATGGGGTGACACAATCACAGGACTTGATCTCCCAATCCCTTTGCCACATTCTATTGTAGGCTACAAGGAGGTCACGGTTTCATCCACACCCAGGAGATTACAAAAGGGGTGTGACTCATTGAGGGTCACCCTAGGGTGTGTCTGACATGGAAGGTAAATAAATAAAATGCTCAACAAGTAGAAAAAAAAAAACAAACCTGGAACATTCAGTATCTGTGATGTTGTCAATGTTGCAGATTAGCAACTTGAAGGAAAACATGGTGTATCAGTTCCAAGTGGCAGCCATGAACATGGCTGGGCTGGGCGCGCCCTCCGCAGTAAGCGAATGCTTCAAATGTGAAGAGTGGACCATCGCCGTCCCAGGTAAACCACAGACACCTGCCTCCACACCGCACCTCGGAATTTCCTCCAAGAGAACCTACAACCTGGAATGAAATTCAAAGTACTATATGGTCAATATTTAAGGGAAAAGAATTCTCTTGGCCCCTTGTGTTTACCTAAAATATTTTAATGATAATATTAAATAATAGGTAGCAATGTAAAACTGAGTATAAATTCCTTATGCTTGTGTTCCCAGTAAATCCTAGAGCCCTCATCGCTCAGCCTGTGCGAGGAGTAGGATTAGCACAGGCAGCCGGCTTGAGTGCAAATGAATGTTTAAAAGGAATTCCAATCTTTGTTTTTGCTTCTGAAAGGCCACTTAAAGGTTATCCAATTTATATCCCACAGCAAAATTTCTCAAACACTTCTCCCTGCACTTCTTTGTTCTCATATATTGTTATGCTGCTGGGAAGGTTCTCATTTATTAGCCCCCCAAAATCTCTCCCTCCATACCCAAGCTATGTGGCTTCTTAGGCTCTCCTTCTCCCTCCTCCCAGCTCTTCATCATATCACATGGATGGATTTCGTGCACCTGTCTAGGGTTTAAGGCTGACCTCTCTCCGCTTGCCTCTCTGCACTGACTTTTCCAGCCCTTTCTCTCTAAGCATTTTCCAAACTCTGAGCCAAAAGAAATTTCCTGGAACCTGGCAAATACTGTTCTTCAGAGGTCATCATAGGGAGTGGTTGGGTGGGCAGGGAAGAAAGTGGGAAGTGGGGCGAGGATGGGGCTGGGGGAAACTTACCTTGCTTGTAACTCTTACAGAGTTATAAAGACAAAATAAAATAAAATAAAAATTGAATGCAAATTTACTAAGCCGTTAAGATTTAAACTAGCAATAGTAAGGTATGCGGGGGGTGATTTTATGTCCCTGGTGCCTCTTGCTTCCTCTGTTTGAAACCCTTTGCCCTTGAAGACCATCACGTTGCCTTTGCTGAACTTCTCTGTCAGGTGTGAATAACAAGATTCCAAGAGAAACTCAAGAGCAGTTCAGGTGCTCTCTCGACTTCAGCAAATAGAGAGAGACAAACACATTGCTCTTTCCTTGCAGTTCCTTGAGGCCAGTTGGTATTTCTTAAGTCCTTTCTGCCACCTGCATAAAAGTGGGTCTATTTTCAAATTCTTGCAATTCCTGAGTAAAGTGAAATGCAATCGACTAGAGACTAAGAAATTCCGAGCAGGCCTGTAGAAATTTTTTTTGATCAAAAGTGATGTCGTTGGCTGGGTGCGGTGGCTCATTCCTGTAATCCCAGTGCTTTGGGAGGCTGAGGCAGGGGGATTGCCTGAGCCCAGGGGTTCAAGACCAGGCTGGGCAACGTGGTGAGGCCTCATCTCTTAAAAAATGTTTTTTAATTAGCTGGGCATGATGGTGCATGCCTGTAGTCCCAGCTACTCAGGAGGATTGCTTGAGCTCACGAGGTCAAGGCTGCAGTGAGCTGTGATCACACCACTGTGCTCCAGCCTGGATAAGAGTGAGGCTCTGTCTGTCTTTAAAAAAAAGTGATGCAGTTGACAAAGAAAGGTTGCAGGTGAGCGCTGTCAACTTAGAGAAGAAATGGAGGGGGCAGCCCTCCACCCTCCTGACACCCTGGCTTCTCAGTCCCATCCTTGACTTACTGAGTAGTGTAAAGCAAGTCTCACTTCAAGAAATCCCTTATGGAAGAAAGCAATAAGAATGTTTTGTCATCCTGTTTTACAGATGAAAAAATTGACACTCAGGTTAAATGATGCCCAGAGGGTCACAGAGGTAACAAGTAGCATAATTAGGGTAGGAAACTAGGTCTGCTTTTCCCTAGACTAGAGCTGCTAGGAAACAGCAGAGCATAGTTCCTCATCTGTAGGGCAGGGATACTGCTCCCAATCTAGATGCCTCCCTGGGTTCTCAGGATGACACAAGATCATGGTTATAAAAGCCCTTTGCAAAACAGAACATGCCACATTCGTGTGAGGTATTTGGTATTAATATTTAAATATAGCTTTATACAAAACATCGGAAGGCAAGCATGACGCATATTTGTAGCCATGAAGCCAAGGTAAAGGGCCAAACAAATATTGAACTATCAATTACACAACACCAAAGCATGGCATAACAGAGTATGTCCTTCTACAAGTTGGCTTTCAGGCTACTGTGAGTCACTTCAGGTGATTTTGATTGGTTGGCTAGATGTCAGTTGTTATTTAAAAAAAAAAAAAGGAAAGGAAAAAATAAATTTTTTCACCTGCGTAGCAGCTGGTGGTCATGCAAAGATACAGGCAATCACTTAGTAGTTTGGACTTTGCCAAGAATGTGAATAGCATTCATACAGGCCACATTTTGGCTTTCTCCCTGCAGAGGGTTATGAAGTGTCTTGGCTTCTCTGAGCTTTCTTTCTGTTAATTGTCTTAAGGAAGAGGGAGATAAATGAATGTAAGGTACCTGGCAGTATTTAGTGCAGATGCAGGGCCCATAGGATTGATTATATTTAATTTGGTAAAAGGATTTTGTAAACCATAACCTATCGTTTGTTTTTACCCATTTGTGGGCTGCGCATACTCTTTACGGGGAAGATTTTCCTCCAATTGGGAGTGATGCTTTTTCCTTTGAAAGAGCTATTACTCTCTATATTCATATGCCATCAAATAGAGCTGCTTTCTTTATACTATTTGAGATTAAGGGGAAATTTTAGGCTGTCACTCAAAAATTATCTGAAACTGGGTGCCAGATATGGTGGCTCCCACCTGTAATCCCAACACTTTGGGAGGCTGAGGCAGAAGAACCACTTGAACCCAAGAGTTCAAGACCAGCCTGGTCAACACAGCAAGACCCTATCTCTATAAAAACTTAAAAAATTAGCCGGGTGTGGTGGTGCACACTTGTAGGTCCAGCTGCTCAGAAGGCTAAGGTGAGAGGATCCCTTGAGCCCAGGAGCTCGAGGTTACAGTGAGCTACCATCACACCACTGCACTCCAGCCTGGGTAACAGGGCAAAACCCTGTGTCTAAAAATAAAAATCAAAAAATATGAATCTGCAGCTAAATCAGACTGTTCCAATAAAAGGTCTTTGAGACTAATGCAGGCCAGAGAATGGCCTGAAGGGAAGTTTTGGGTCCACCCTTTGAGAGGCACCTCAGAGTGGCCTTACCTACCTGCCACCCTTAAAGGGACTCAGTGGGCTAATGTAGAGCAGTACGAAAACGTTGTGAAATGACCACAGAATACTTATTTTTCATGGGAAAGCTAGATTTTGAAAAAAGAACACCAGTGTTAGATTAGCTTGAAGACTTACAAGTGGTTCTAAACGTGTGGAGACGAGTTTTCTCTGTTATGATTTCTACTCATTGGCTTCTCTCTCTCTCAGGACCACCGCACAGTCTCAAGTGTAGTGAAGTCAGGAAAGACTCACTGGTTCTCCAGTGGAAGCCGCCAGTCCACTCCGGGCGGACTCCGGTCACTGGTTACTTCGTGGACTTGAAGGAGGCCAAGGCCAAAGAAGACCAGTGGCGAGGGCTCAATGAGGCGGCTATTAAAAACGTATACCTGAAGGTAAGAGGCTGCTCAGTTCTAGAGCTTCCTCTACTAACTGCTCTACTAATACGAACTTTAAAGTTAGCAAGATAAAACAGAATATCTCCGCTTTGATCTGTTTCATATATTGGGCTCCTGGTAAGATTCCACTGGCAGAGGTTGGGGCTGGGAGAAGTTTCTGATGCTTGAAAGAGTTTGGTTATATTTAACCTGAATTCCTTAGCATAGCTTTGAAATGCACCCAGCAGCTCCTTCCTCTCTCCTTTCTCTCCTTGCCTCAACTTACCCACTACACATTTTTGTTACTCATAGTCTTAAAACCTTACTGCTTACCATCCCCAAAAGGTGATTTTTTCATTCCTCTTTTTTCTAGGGGGATGGTTGATTTGAGGGTGCTGTTTTTATAAAGTTCACACCAGGAAGCCTGTGACTACTGATCCTCTCGAGTCACTCCTGTCTCACGTTACCTCCTCCCTCAGGCCGGTTCTCACATGAGCTCTCAGAGATTAGTGGAACAGGTTCACTCAACCCCCTTATCCATGTCACTGCCTTTCAGGTTCCTCTAGAGTGTGCTCATTGAACCATTTCCTAACTCTGTTGGCCAAAGACTGTTCTGCCATAGCCACCAAATCTCTCATTTGTAGCAAAAGGAAATTTCGAAAGAATATTTTCCGCTAGTGTTAGCAGTGGCACCTGGAGACCCTGATGCCCCAGCGGGGCCTCAGAAACTGTAGGGAATATGATTGCATTACTTACTACTTAGAATGAAATGTGACTGACTTCACCACAGTCACTCAGGAAGTTACACACTGCGTTTGCACAGTCCTATCTTTTGGCAGAAGAGGTCATTGCCTATAAGGTGGGCTTTGGAAGATACTCAAAGTATACCTGGCCAAAAAGATCTCTCCCTGACCTGCCTCATGAACTAAGTCCCTTCCATCTATCAGCCACTCTCCAGGGTTAGGGTATTTCCAGCCACTCTAAACTATGTAAATATATCCTCCAGGAGATACAGCCCATAAACCATTATACCCAACTTGCCATTAACTCAACTTAGCATATGCCAATCAGCTCTCCAGCTTCTTGCAAAACTCTGAAGAAATAAGACAGGTCATCTTTTCATGAGGAAGAGAAAAGTTCAAGGAAGGACTGAAGCCTATGATGTTGTTTGCTGTCAAGATGAGTCCAGAGGTCCCTGGATTCCGAGAAACCCCCAAAGTACAGTGTAAAATAAAGGTCAGGAACATCCTAGATGATGGTGGTGGGTGTATATGGCTGGGATGAAGATTTCCAAGTCTTCAGTCTGCCACTGTAGAGGATGCCAAGGGCCTGAGGTTTGAACTGACTAGGGTGAAGCGAAACAAAGGTGAAGAAGCAAACAAAAAGAAAAAAAAAAGTAGAGTTTAAATGTGTGAAAGAATGGTTAATGTCACTCATTTTTAAAAAGAAAAAGAATAACGGGAATTTTAACAGAGAGACAGAGAGAGAAAGAGAGACTGAGGTTAAGTATACCTAACAAACCTGGAAGTGAACTTCCGTAAGGAGAGTTCTTACATTTTATCAACAGTTTTTATAAAGTGAAAATAATCTTTTTTTATTTTTCTGATTATAAAACTAACAATTTAAATGAAAAATTCAAACATAAGAAGCACAAAGAAGAAAGTAGGCCAGGCACGGTGACTCATGCCTATAATCCCAGGGCTTTGGGAGGCCAAGGCAGGCAAATCACTTGAGCCCAGGAGTTCAAGACCATGGGAAACATGGCAAAACCCTGTCTCTAAAAAAAAAAAAAAAAAAAAAAAAATTAGCTGACCATGGTGGCATGTGCCTGTATTCCCAGCTACTCAGGAGGCTGAGATGGGAGGATTGCTTGAACCAGGGAGGCGGAAGCTGCAGTGAGCTGTGATTGCACCACTGCACTCCAGCCCGGGCAACAGAACGAGACTCTGTCTCGAAAAAAAAAAAAAAGGGAAAATAGATCTGCATCGATGATCTCGATTACGTATTTGTGGTACTGTTGAGGCCAGTGGTCATTGCCCCTGTGGTGATGGAAGAGCAGAGAGTGCCCCTGTCACCCCAGGGACCAGACACTGGAATATGAACAGACTTCCTGTACATGTTGCAGAAATCTGACTCACAGCCATACATCATCACCTAGGTGGCAGGTGCAGATGTGTCAGGTACCTGGCGATTACTCTATTTTTATTACACGGAAATGTTTCTGTGTTCTTCTGGAAATCCACAGTTTCCTGGCATTATTTCTAAACATAGAATTTAAATATGTCAGGCTCTATACATTTAACCTATAACTAAGTTAAAGTTCATTTACAGAATAAAATCCATTTCAAAAATCCGTTAGTGCCAGTGAGGGCTATTACTACATAAATAGTGACATTCTGCTGTAAACAAATACAATTAGTTAGATTAAAAACCTAACAATTTAATACGTACCTCATTTAAATACATGGTCACAAACACTTCACATAATTGAATAACTTTATTCCAACATTGTTTGATTTAAATCACATTTTGGATATTGGTCTCTATCACATCTTGGGGAAAAATTATGCCCTCTGTGTAATAAATTCCTTCTTATAACATAGCTTTTAAAAGTCACATGTTTTTAAAATAAAAATGTTGATAAAACATTAACAGTATTGGTAATAGTAATGAGATTATTCAAAACCCAAAGAAAGTTACAAAAAATTAAGTAGGAAACCAGGCATGGTGGCTCACTCCTGTAATCCCAACACTGTGGGAGGCTGAGGTGGGAAAATTGCTTGAGCCCAGGAGTTTGAGACCAGCCTGGGCAACATGGAGAAATCCCGTATCTATAAAAAAAATTGTTTTTAGGTAGCCTGGTGTGCTGGCACATGTCTGTGGTCCCAACTATTCAAGAGGCTGAGGCAGGAGGATTGCTTGATCCCAGGAGGTCCAGGCTACAGTGAGCTGAGATTGTGCCACTGTACTCCGCCTGAGCAACAGAGTGAAACTCTGTCTCAGAAATACATACATATATATATATATATATATATATATATATATATATAGACACAAACACATACACACATATATATACATACACATATACACACATAGATGTGTGTGTATATATATATACATGTGTGTATATATATATACATGTGTGTATATATGTATGTGTGTGTATATATACATGAAGTGGGACTGTCATACAAAAATAAATTATAAATGCTTTTTTTTTACAGCTCTTAGTAATTCTAGTTTAGTGGCACATATGTAGTGGATTCTCAGCACACATCTTGATCATTAAAAACTTGAGGATTTAGAATTTTAATACACTTTGGTTATTCACAAATTATTCAAACTCACAATTGTGTTAATTTCATGTCTATTTAGTAAGAAATAGCTATATTAAATTTACAGGAACAATTATTGTTTGTTTTGGTTTTAGTAGTTTAACATGCTTTTAAACAAATGGAAAGTGTTCATGATTCATGCTTTTAATTCTCCTCTTTTGCCAAGAATTCCATCTGAAATTATTCATGGAATGTCTCAAAAGGATTGGGGGGAAAAGCGACATATATGCTATAATGAGCACTTTGTATTTTGTCCTTTTGACCAAAGAATACAGTGGCTAACGCATGTGACACCTACGTACACTAGTCTCTGTTTCTGATGTTGGTGGCCACTAAATTAACTAAAAAGGAGAAACATCAAAGTGAGAATGGATATTGGAAACTCCTCTCTATCTACAGATGGTCTAGAGAGAAGACCATCTACAGCTAAAGTCACCTGCGTAGTGTTTGACAGAATCAAATCTAGACCACAAGTCTTGTATCCCTGGTGCTAGGTCACTAAATCATTACTACAGAGGAAGAGCCCCGTCTGTTTAAATGACATAAAACAGCCACTGCTTCATCAAACACCCATTGCTTCTACACCTGCTTCTACCAGGTTCGAGGCCTCAAGGAGGGCGTCAGCTACGTGTTCCGTGTTCGAGCCATAAACCAGGCGGGAGTTGGGAAGCCATCTGACCTTGCTGGCCCTGTTGTGGCAGAGACCCGTCCAGGTGGGCTTTCACCTTTTCATTAAAACTAATCCTATCTGTGTAAGATACTGAACTAAGGTTCGGCCTTTCTGTGCTTTCCTCTAATTTTCAAAACAATCAATGTGTGCTATCTGAATATAATTGATAAGTAATGATCTTAGAACATGACAGTCATTGGTCCCATCACAGGCACCTCAGGACAGGGTTGAGCCAGGTTTGACGTGGTCTAGGGGCTGTTCTGATGCATACCTAAAAACCCGGAAGTTCTTGATCAAGTTAAGCTTCCCGGACCAACTGTTCCAAGCATTCATTCCTGGAATGTTATTCCTATTACACCCTGGCCATTAAGTCTCATAAGAATATTTTCCCAATCATAGGGGAAGCTAGAACAGCCCAGCTAGTGGGCACAATCCTTAAACGAAAGTAGGATTTATGTAATTGTAGCTATTATGTTTAAACCAGAGGTCAGCAAACTTTTTCTGTGGAGGGCCAGATAATATTTATCACTCAACAGCCCTGTGGTCTCTGTCACAACTTCTTAACTCTGCCATGACACAAAAGAAGCCATTGAGGATACATAAACTAATGAGCATGGCTGTGTTCTAATAAAACTTTATCATGCACATTATATGTATTATATAATGTGATGCGTTATATGCATTATAAAATTTCAATCTTGTATAATTTTCCTGTGTTTTGAAATAGTAATCTTCTTTCAATTTTTTCAACTATTTAAAAATATAAAAACCATTCTTAGCTTGCAGCCCTTGCAAAAAGAGGTAATGGGCCAGATTTAGCCCACAGGCCATAGTTTGCTGACCCCTGGGCTAAACTAACAGTGGTCCCAACTGAATGGTTTATAGATTCGAGGCAGCCCTCATTTCCCAGTTTCAAAGATGCCGTGATTACTAGAGAAGACAGACTTGCCGTTTCTTATGAGAACAGAGTTTACTGTGTTCATTGTCCAACGAGTTTCAGATCATTACATAATAATTTCTTTTATCATTTAACCTGTATTATTTTTCAACGTTATCATATATTTCAGTTCATTAAAGTTACATAAAGGAAAGCACCGGAGGCCAGGCACTGTGGCTCATGTCTGTAATCCCAACACTTTGGGCAGCTGAGGCTGGAGGAACCTAGGAATTCGAGAGCAGCCTGGGCAACTTGGCAGAACCCCACCTCTACCAAATTTTTAAATTAGCTGGATGTGGTGGTGAGTGCCTGTAATCCTAGCTGCTCGGGAGGCTGAGGCAGGAAAATCGCGTGAACCCAGGAGGCAGAGGTTGCAGTGAGCTGAGATTGTGCCATTGCACTCCATCCCAGGCGACAGTGAGAGACTCCATCCCAAAAAAAGAAAGAAAATTTAAAAAAGAAAACTGCACTTGTATTTGCTTGCTAACTGATCTCTTTCATCTGCTAGAACCGTAGTTTTCAATCTTGCCTGTACATTAGAATCATACGAGGACTGTTTTGAAAATACTGCTATCTGGACTCAACTCCAGACCAATTAAATCAGGATCTTTAGGGCTGATGGGATGATGACAGAAGATCAGATATTCTAAAAAAAAAAAAAAAGAAAAAAAAGAATCTCTTAGGCTGGGTACCTGAACATAGGCTTATTGCTGTTTGTTTGTTTACTTAGCAATTTGGGTAATTCCAGTGTGAAAACAGGCTTGTGAACTGTACTTTAGACCATAGCTCCTCAAAATAGGAACTGTGTCTTTTCTGTACATGTGCTGAGAGTCTAACATAGTACCAGGTATATAATAGCTAATTTATTAAATGAAAAAATAATGAATGACTAGCATGTTTGCCAGTGAGTGTGACACTGTCTTGAAGCCTCAGTGTGTGCACTTCACCCCAGTCGTCTTGTACTGCCTGCCCTGGTTATGATGGGTGAGCTGGGGAAGAAATGTCTGGTGGAGGCTCCAAGGTGGGCATGAGGCTGAATGGTCAGCCGCCAGTCCTCGTCTGAAACCCAGGGCAGCTCAGTACTACACGTGACCCATTACATTAACTCACTTTCCTCTGCTTCTATTCTGTCCCATGCTTCAGTTTTTTAAACATCACCACACACACACGCACACCCCCACGCACACCCACAGCATGGAGAACAAATAATTAAAGCTTATAAAAGTGATATATTCATGCTCATGTAAAACACTTTATATGAGAAAGAATTATCATATCAGATTACAAAATGTATAGGAACGTGAACAGTTTACTGTGATTTTATTTAAGCTTTTAAATTTTATCCTTTATTATCATTTTTTGTGGGGAAGAGAAAGAAAAGTGGGATGAAATGAGTTAATTTCCAAATAGTTCATTTTAGTCCTGAGCCACACTTGAACCCATTAGGATACCAGGAGTTCTGGGCAAGCCTTGGAGGGATCATTGGAATGCTGTCTTGGCCCTGTAATCCCAACACTTTGGGAGTCCAGATAGGAGGATCACTTGAGCCCAGGAGTTGGAGACCACCCTGAGCAACATAGTGGGACCTGTCTCTATTAGAAAAGAATAGGAAAGAAAAAATAATAATAATAGTAATGTAAAATGAGATCTGTTAAAATCAGTTATCTCTGTGTCTGTATTAAGGATTCGCTTAGGTTGAGGAGTTGACTAGTGACAACTCTTCTTAAATCCTTTTTAGGCAACAACGACAACAACTCTCTCATGTTCTATACATAAACCTCCTGAGATCTTAGTTAAGTTCTTCACATTCATGAGCAGGTTAAGAGGTTGTTTCTGAGAAAATCTAAGTTATGCCAAATTTTGGTCCACTTTTCCAGCCCAACTTTGTGGGAAAGTGGGATGGCCTCTCATCTGGATAAGAATACCACAAAGACCACTTTACTTTGATAGCAGAACATCAAACTTGCTTCCTGCCCATTAATTATCAGAACCACATCCCTCAATCAACTTGAGAGAATATGCCTCTTTAGGCATTTCTCAGAGTTCAACCATAATTAATTGATAGGAGCTCAGCTCTGGAAAACCTCAGCTAAGTTGTGGGATATTCTAAAGAGAAAATTTGGCTAGGTACGGTGATTCACGCCTGTAATCCCAGCACTTTGGGAGGCCAAGGCGGGCGGATTACCTGAGGTCAGGGGTTCGAGACTAGCCTGGCCAACATGGTGAAACCCCATCTCTACTAAAAATACAAAAAAAATTAGCTGGGCGTGTGGCGGGCATCTGTAATCCCAGCTTCTCAGGAGGATAAGGCAGGAGAATCACTTGAACCTGGGAGGCAGAGGTCACAGTGAGCCAAGATCACATCACTGCACTCCAGCCTGGGCAACAGAGCAAGACTCCATCTCAAAAAAAAAAAGGAAAAAGAAAAAGGAAAATTTGAGGAGGATGTTATAGGTAGACTTTTCTGTCAGGCTTTTTCTGTGATATTGTACCAAGTTAATCTCCACAAGGCACTACCTGGTGGGTTAGCCTGGGGCATGTTAGAAATTCTGAAATGCTGTCATTGGCCGGACACGGTGCCTCACGCCTATTATCCCAGCACTTTGGGAGGCCAAGACAGGCGGATCACAAGGTCAGGAGTTCGAGATCAGCCTGGCCAACATGGTGAAACCCTGTTTCTACTGAAAATACAAAAATTAGCTGGGTGTGGTGGTCCGCACCTGTAATCCCAGCTACTTGGGAGACTGAGGCAGAATTGCTTGGACCCAGGAGGTGGAGGTTGCAGTGAGCTGAGATCACGCCACTGCACTCCAGCCTGGGTGACAGAGCAAGACTCCATCTCGAAAAAAAAAAAATGCTGTCATTGCTTTATAGGCTAATATATGGGCTTTGGTTTTGCTAGGGCATCTATAGAAAGAATCATCCATTTGAGTATCATGTACCTTTTGTTAAATTGCAATAGAATTTTTTGTCTACTATGTACAGGACCCTTATTTAAATAATTATTTAATTCCTCATCAAATTTATCAAGGAGGAGATCCAGCTTCAAATTCTGAGTATAAAATTAAGTAGGAAACCCACTGCCACTAGAATATTTTCTTTGTTAGTGTAATCGCCCATTAGGTTCTCCCTTCCCACTGCATAGACAAAATCAATCCACTGCGACTGCAGCATTGCAGTTGAGAATTTAATTGACCTGAGGCCAGCTGAAGCGAGAGACCTAGAGTTATCAGTCAAATCAGTCTCCCTGAAGGCTCAGAGGTTCTTTGAGTAAGGGCATTTTTTTAAGAGTGACTTAGAAGACCAAGATGCCTACAATGGGGAAAGTAAATTGAGTCACAAGTCAGGAGTCTGGGTGGGGTCAGTCTTAAAAACATCTAAAAGAAAACAATCTTAGGTTCTACAATACTGATGTTATCTATAGGAGCAACTGGGAAGCTCACAGATCTTGTGACCTCTGGCCACATAACATCTAAGCAGTAAGGGATAATAGAAACTACACCTGTCTTGTAACCTCCCATTAGTGGTTTCAGCCCCTGAACAGAGAGGACTATTATCATTCTTGCTTTCAAGTTAAACTATAAACTAACCTTCTCCCAAAGTTAGCTTAGCCTGTGCTCAGGAATGACCAAGGGCAGCTTGGAGGTCAGAAACAAGATGAAGTCAACTATGTCATAATTTTGCAAAGGCGGTTTCATTGGTAATTTTGTTTCCTCTCACCTCTTTATCAAAATATTGGTGTTATACTTTAGCTTTAACAAGACAGTTTCCAATAAAATAAATGTCATAATCTTAAACTGGCATTTATCTTTTAAAGATGGTTTTTTTAAATCTCAATCCAGTCCTGCATGTGTAAATAGGTAGGGGAAATATAAGACATTTGTGGAATTTAACCCTATTCTCAATAAACTAAACAACCAGTGCAACTTTTTGAAAAATGAATATCCAATCAAATAATCCTCTTAGCCAGTTTTAATTTTTAAACCTGGCCGGGTGCGGTGGCTCACGCCTGTAATCCCAGCACTTTGGGAGGCCAAGGTGGGTGGATCATGAGATCAGGAGATTGAGACCATCTTGGCTAACATGGTGAAACCCCCTCTCTACTAAAAATACAAAAAATTAGCCCAGCGTGGTGGCACATGCCTGTAGTCCCACCCACTCGGGAGGCTGAGGCAGGAGAATCACTTGAACCCAGGAGACAGAGGTTGCAGTGAGCCGAGATCGTGCCACTGCACTCCAGCCTGGGCAACAGAGTGAGACTCCGTCTCAAAAAAAAAAGAAATTTTTAAACCTTAAGTGCCAAATATAGTTTTAATAGTTTTTATTTGTTTCCTTTATTGTTCATTTATTTAATAAATCCACCAGTAGCACCCACAATTATGTGTGCATAAATTGAAGAAATGTTCATGCCTCTCTTTTCTACCCACTACAGATATTGCTTATGATATACTGATTTGACATAATTAATCAAGAAAAGCTTCACAGATAAGGGAAACTCTTAGATACTGATTGATATTACAGCTAATCCTTACCTCTTTGGCTCTCTCCTAGCAATTACTTAAGTTTGTTTGTTTTTGTTTTGCGACAGGATCTGATTTTGTCACCCAGGCTGGAGTGCAGTGGCATGATCATTGCTCACCACAGCCTCCATCTCCCAGGCTCAAGTGATCCTCCTACCTCAGCTTCCCTAGTAGCTGGTGCTACAGGTGTCAGCCACCACATCCCACTAATTAAAAATTTTTTTTGTAGATACAGAGTCTCATTTTGTTGCCCAGGCTGGTCTCAAACTCCTGGGCTCAAGCAATCCTACTTTGGCCTCCCAAAGTGCTGGGATTACAGGTGTGAGCCAGTGAGCCCAGCCAATTACCTAATTTTAAATTACAATTTTTAATGTAAGACTTTGAAAAAATTTCCACATTCTTTTCTAAAAAGTATGCATGATCCCATTTCTTATGTTACAACTCAACTATAAGGTAATGATGTACGACTCATAGGTTGAAGTTGAAACACAGATGTGGCTTAGAACCTAAAAATAACATCTTTTATTTAAAAAGGCAAATAAGCAACATCTTTTGTTTCATTTCATATTTTCACAAAAGATCTCGAAATGCTTTACAAAGTTTATTTTTCAGAATACAGTTATCCCTCTTTATCCTGGGGGATCAGTTCCAGGACCCCCTGTGGATACCAAAATCCAGGAACACTCAAGACCCTTCATAAAATGGCATAGCATATGCACATAGCCTACAGACATCCTCCTTTATACTTTAAATCATCTCTAGCTTACTTACAATACCTAATATGATGTAAACGCTATGTAAAGAGTTGGGATACTGTATTGTTTTTTAATTTGCATTGTTTTTATTGATGTGTTGTTACTTTTATTGTTTTTTCCCCAAGTATTTTCAATCCACAGTTGGTTGAATCCACGGTTGCAGAACCCATAGATATGAAGGACCAATGTACTTCAGTGATTCAGCTCTATATTCTTTGCTCAGTAACTGAGGCAATTGAGACAAAAACTAAACGGGATTTTCTTTCTTTTTTTTGAGACAGAGTCTTGCTCTGTTGCCCAGGCTGGACTGCAGTGGTGTGATCTCAGCTCACTGCAACCTCCGTCTCTCAGGTCCAAGCGATTCTTGTGCCTCAGCCTCTCAAGTAGCTGGGATTACAGACATGCGCCACCACGCCTGGCTAATTTTTATATTTTTAATAGAGACAGGGTTTCACCTTGTTGGCCAGGCTGGTTTTGAACTCCTGGCCTCAAGTGATCCCCCTGCCACGGCCTCCTAAAGTGCTGTGATTACAGGCATGAGCCACCATGCCTGGCCAGGATTTTCTTATTCTCCAAGTTTCATGGGTTTGGGACCAAATTTGGCCATTCAAAAACCTGAACAAATTATTGTTTTAGATGACCATTTGTTCCATTTGCCTGAGGGTTTACCGCTAAAGCATTAATACTTTAAAATTTCATTTAAGACTTTCTGATGAAAATCGTTTTAAAATAAAGTATGCAATTCAATAAGAGCTTTTCATCCTTCTTGGATGCAGTATACTGAATCTTATTTACCTTTTTCTGTGACTCAGAGCCGTAAGTATCACCTTTATTTAATACACAGTGTTGTGATACAGCAATGTTGTTATGGGGTGGAGAAGCTATCTGCCCCTATAGCAAATAATGTTTTTGTGCCTGCTTTTTAGTTTTTCTCCCTCCTTTCTTGCTGTCATTTTCTTTATTCTCAATGCTCCTGCTCATAGTAGCTTCTTACCTCCCTGTCTTTTTTTAATCTACTGAGAGAAACCAACCAAGTAGGCTTGTTAGAATTGTCTCAAGCAAAGTATAAAAAGACTCCAAGGCTGGGCACAGTGGCTCATGTCTGTAATCCCAGCACTTTGGGCGGCCAAGGCGGGTGGATCACTTGAGCTCAGGAGTTTGAGACCAGCCTGGCCAACATGGCAAAAGCCTGTCCCTACAAAAAATGCAAAAAAATTGGCCGGATGTGGTGCCATGCACCTGTGATCCCAGCTACTTGGGAGGCAGAGGTGGGAGGATGACCTGGGAGGCCAAGGCCACAGCGAGGCAAGATCACACCACTGTACTCCAGCCTGGGTGACAGAGTGAGACCCTGTCTCAAAAAAAAAAAAAAAAAAAAAAAAAGATTCCAATTCCCTGGTGAGTGTGCAGCATACTAGTGTGTGGACTTTGTCACATCAGAACTGGTATTAGAGGCTTATTTTCCTTATTTCTTGGTTTTGGGCAGTTTTCCAAATGGGTGAGGTGTTACACTACAAAAGTTATCTACAGCATTTAGAGAATGGCGAGGCTGATTAAATTGTTCGTATTCTTTCTGTTTTGTGGCTATTTTGTTTTCAGAAAAGTCAAATCTTTCACAATCAAGATTCTTAAGCTAACCAATATTTTTGTTGTACACTTGTCATACCTCTAATGTAATAAACAACAAGCATATGGATGATTCACTTCCTTTTAAAAAGGGATCACAGATAGAACAATGAATGATTAATATAAGCAATCTGTCATGCTTCCAAAATAGAGATTATGCAAAAAGCAAGATTACCTCACTTCTTTTCTCTCTGTAACAATACAGATATACAAAAATTTCTGTTTACATTCTTTCTGTGACTCAGTCACACAAACTGTATATTATAATACAGTCTAAACCTCAACACTCTTCAGTGTTAGCCTTTTCTTAAGTTTTAATAAAAGCATTTGTTCAACATTTATTATACGAAAATAGAGTGTGAAGATTAGTCACGTGTTATCAGGAATAGAAATAAAATGTGGGCTGCAACTTACAATGGAATACATATAGCCCTTTAAAAGTAACATATGGTGGACAATTAAGGAATACTTAAGCCTTTAATTGATTGTTATTTCACTTTATGTAACCAAATATGAAAGTAGCCCTTTGTTTAAGAAAAAGGAATTTTAAAAAATTTTCTAGAACCAGTCTTCTCTAAGCTTTGCATGTGCTAACAATCACTTTTTGGAAGTTTATAGTTGAAGCATACACTGCCATCTGTACGGACACAAGTTAGATCAACTATCAGGCTCAGGAACCAAGATCATCCTGCCAGGCACAATTTGGGCACTGGTTTCCTCTTGGCCTTCCCTTGGGAAAACGTTTGCAATTTTTTTTCCACTAACAAGTTTTATTGGACAGTAGGCCAGGATGTTGGCCTCTTGTAATACAATCCAGACAGAAAATATTCAATTCTTTTGGAAGGTTTTTTTATGCTTTTTAAAAAAATACAGCTGTACTTTTCTGGGATTAAATGTAATATATTTTATATATATTTTTCCTAATGTACTGAAACAAACCAAGTTTAGACTGGCAATTGAATGAGTATAAATCTGAGTAGAGCATTTTACTCCTTTCAACTGGATTTAGGCATAGATGTGAATGTTTCATATGCTGTACAAATTCTCCTTGAATTCTCTATTAGGTGCAGGTGCAATTTATTATAACTCTCAAAAATAGAATAACTCAAAACACTAACTGAATTTTTTTTAATCCAAAAACCAATCTTCCTGAAAGAGCTGAATCTCTTGAAACTCATTTCCATTTAAATTTCCATGCAGTTCAATAATAGTCATTTCTCAGTTGCTATCACTCTAATCTAGAGGGGCATCTTTAAATTGATTTATGGTTCTGTGATCCACAGAGCAGGCATCCATATATTTCTCCACTCTTAAATGACTTAAAGACTTTGAATATGTGAATATAGGCTATTCTTAGTCTCTCTACTTTCTCCCATTCAATTTCCTTTTGGGTTCTTCATCTCTATCCTTCCCTGATGACTGATTGCATGCGGACTTTCTCCCATTCAATTTCCTTTTGGGTTCTTCATCTCTATCCTTCCCTGATGACTGATTGCATGTGGATATTGTTGAAACAAAAGTCATGAATGAGGGTCTGATAAAGATCAATTGACTTTCCCTTTTCCCAAAGCTGCCTTGTTTCCTCATTGCAATCAATCCACTCCCATAACTGTACCATCAGTCACATCACAAACAATACTGTCCATGGTGTTGACTCTACCTAAGAAATGTGGTGCAACCATCTAATTTCATGTTATGGCATAAAAGTTGAATTGTGGAGTAGGACTGTCCACCTGCATGAGTAGTGAAGCTTTTCCCTGACCTAGGATCAGGGCCCTACTTTAGGGTTAAAGTAAAGAATCTCAAGGTAACAAATTCTTACTTGGTTGCTTTCCTCCACGAAGTATCAGTGCCTTCTTTTTGATCTTGTAGGAACCAAAGAGGTTGTTGTAAATGTGGATGATGATGGAGTCATTTCATTGAACTTCGAGTGTGATAAGATGACTCCAAAGTCCGAGTTCTCCTGGTCCAAAGATTATGTATCCACTGAGGACTCTCCACGATTGGAAGTCGAAAGCAAGGGCAACAAGTAAGGACTATGTCAATCACAATCATGGGTTTCCTTTTCACTGTAGGAGAATGAGGTGAGCTCTGATTTCCACTTAAATTGCTTGGAATAAGAGGATGAAGTCACTTATATTTTATATCTGGTATTGTAGAAAATAATAACCAACTTAAACCTTAAAAATAATCATCCTAGGCCGAGCGCGGTGGCTCACACCTCTAATCCCAGCACTTTGGGAGGCCAAGGCAGGTGGATCACGAGGTCAGGAGATCGAAACCATCCTGGCTAACATGGTGAAACCCCGTCTCTGCTAAAAATACAAAAAAAAATTAGCCGGGTGTGGTGGTGGGTGCCTGTAGTCCCAGCTACTCGGGAGGCTGAGGCAGGAGAATGGCGTGAACCCGGAAGGCGGAGCTTGCAGTGAGCCGAGATCGCGCCACTGCACTCCAGCCTGGGCAACAGAGCCAGACTCTGTCTCAAAAAAAAAAAAAAAAAAAAAAAAAAAAAATCCCAGACTGACTCATTGGCTCACACCTGAAATCCTAGCAACTCAGGAGGCTGAGGCAGAAAGATCACTTGAGCCTAGGGGTTCAAGACCAGCCTGGGCAACATAGTGAGTCCCTGACTCTAATAAAATAAATACTAACAACTCTTATGAAATACTTTTTACATTATTCCATTTAAAGTGCTTTCTTATTTATTATCTCATTTATGCTATTAGAAACATTCAATTGACATAAAGATCAGCTTTAATAATGATTCTCATTATCTATGAAATTTTGAAATCTTAAAGTAACAATAAGGATACTTATAGGGGGCTAGGAAGAACTCGCTGGTTCAAGTTATGGTAAATTAAATGGATTGAGGATAATCTTTTCTGCTTTTTTGATCATCACTCATGCGTGACACAATAGTACATGGGAAGAAAGCTCTATGTGGAAGTATAAGATGAACGAGCTCTAGGCCCATCTCTACCAGGAGCTGGCTATATAACCTTGGGCAGCTATTTAACTTCCATAAACCTCGGATTTCTTTTTCTATAAAATGAGCATGGGGAGAATGGAGGAATTGTATGATCTATCATTGCCTTTCAACGCCAAGATTTTGAGTATTCTTTTTACTTTGCTTTATAGCAAAAGCTTACCAAGCTTTGTATTTTCATAGTGTCAACCACATTGGATTGATATGATAAAGCAAATATTTGATAAAGCACAGTATTTCTAAGTACTTTTTTCTATTACAATGAAGCCCAGTGTGTCTCAGAAATCAAAGAAAAAACTAGCAATTTTGCTGTAGAATGACAAGGAAATACCAAATATAATTAAAGGATGTTTTTCTGCCACCATGCTGTAAATTTCTTGACATAAAACACATTTGCCCCAAGAAAAGATAATTGAACGATAATTTTTTCTCCCAGTTTATACACTTAACATTTCAATGTTTGGTTGATCTTAGACACTGCCTAGCAATATAGCTTACCAAAGTTAGAAAACCCAGTGAACTTGGCCACTGAGCCATTCATTTACTTATTACACATACTATGTGCCAGACAAGGTACAGGGTGCTGGGGGTGACACAGTAAACAAAGCAGTTCCTGTCTCTGAAGGCACAGGGATTACACAGTGAGGAGAATACAGATGCTTTGAGCTCAAGATGCTTATAATAAGTTCAGAAAAGGGAAGAGCAGGAGATGGCATAGGAGAGGCACCCAGAGTTACCAACAGCAGGTTCTGCCCTTGGCGGGGGAAGTGTCTGGCTCCCAGCAGGGACTGATCAGCTGGGTATTTTTCTGCAGGATATGCACTGATAAGCAACATAGCTTGGGCATGTGGAATTTGTGCCAGTTCCACTCTCCCGTCACCATCACCCCCTGGAAGGAGGTAAGGAAAGTCCTCCCAGAGTAAATGACATTGAATCTGAGACACCAAGAACATGTAGGCTGTAGCTCAGCAAGATGAGAGGAGGTGTCCAGATGAAAGGAGTAGTATACACAAATGCCCAGATTCAGGGGAAACACAGGCCCACAGATCCCACACAGCCTCATTTCTAAGAAAAATATTTTGTTCCGAAGGACGAAAATGACCTTCAAAGACCTTGGGATGGATGACTTGGGTATTTACTCTTGCGATGTAACAGACACTGATGGAATAGCATCAAGCTACTTAATAGATGAGGAAGGTAAGTTTAAAATCAGTGCATTCACACATCGAATGTTGCTTTGAATTCTCAGTTATTCTTAAGTGACTTTTATTTTAGTAGTTTAAGGTTTAACTGCCTTCTTTTTCCCCCTACAGAATTGAAACGTTTACTTGCTCTCAGCCATGAACACAAGTTCCCAAGTAAGTATCCACAATACATTCACAGGTTTTTAGCAGTCTTACTAGGCAGCAACTTCTGGAATAGATCAGATGACAGCTCTGATGGGATTAAGAGAGAGACTCTTGAGAACATATAATGGAACACACATCAGTAGCTACAGATGTGCTTTCTAGAAGTGATGCCTTTTCCTTTGCGGTTGTTCTCCAGAGATACCAAGGATACTAACATAGAAAATATATCCCATGCTCCATTACATGGCGAAGTGTCAGGCTACACAGGTGTAACATCTGAGTAATTAAGTTCTTCACTTTTTGCCCACATATGTTGGAATCACATATATATTTTCTGGATATATTCACTTATATGTCTTTATGCAAACTAATCTTTTCCTAAGTAAGATTGGCACTTAAAAGCAGAATCATACCTCTAAATAAAGACAATATAAAGACAGTGCCTACCATTTTCAACTCCTGGAAAATTGGGCAAACATGCCTTCGTCAGAAAAAGAATCCCTCTGAACAATGTACAACCCTTCAATAAAGCACCTTCTACATAAAAGATTAAATTCCACACTTGACACTAAGAGAAGAGAAGGAAGTCAGAAATGACCCTTGGAAGGTTCCACTGGCCAGATGGGGGGATCTCTTGCCATTAGTACCCACTGGCCAAGGTAGTGAAGCATCCAGAAAGTTGCACCCTGGAGTTTGAGAAAACAAGTAGAAAGTGATAGTATACACCCATTCTTTTTAAATCAGAAATTTTAATACTTAAAATATAAATCCTCCACTAATAAAGGAGTTTCAGGAACCCAGAAAACTATATTCCTATTCCAGACTATGGACAAACAGCCTTTGTATATTGATATATGTGCATTTTTCTAGGAAGAGTATCCTTCACTTTTAGTAAATTCCCCAATGGAGACTGTAATTTAAAAACACACACCACTGCTCTAGAATGAATTGCGGACCTTCTCTTACATCTGCAAGGAGTGACTTGTTTGATAGTGAGGCTGAGTGCTGGTGATATTGGCCTCAGCTGTAATGTTCTCAAAACCAACTTTGGCTGGGCACAGCGGTTCACACCTGTACTCCCAGCACTTTGGGAGGCCGGAGCGAGAGGATCACTTGAGGCCAGGAGTTCAAGGCTGCAGTGAGCCATGATCACGCTACTGCACTCCACCCTGGGCAACAGAGCGAGTCCGTATCTCTAAAAACAAAAACTAACCCAACTTTGTTCAGCAAAGTAGCAGAGTGGAGGGCCCATGAGACACGACTGTAGGGCGCAGACTTCTAAATTCTAGGGAAGAACCCTCTATGCCACCATGTGGCATTAGGCAAGCCATTTCTCATCTGTATGCTTATTCACCATAAAACTGGAAAAGTAATATCATGAGTGAGGTTTCAAATGTTAATTTTGAAAAAGTTTATGGAAAGTACTAAAGTGTATTGCAAAGTGTTTGGACTGGACTCTCTTTGTTCTGGACTTTTGACTCAAGCTGTGCGCCTGGGCAGCTCACTTTTATTTCTCTGTGCCTTGGTTTCTTTTCCAGGAATGGCTATCACAGTGGTTTATAGCACCTCCCATATAGAAATGCTGTAAGAGGGTGGGGTGTGGTGGCTCACACCTGTAATCCCAGCACCTTGGGAGGCCAAGGTGGGTGGATCATGAGGTCAGGAGTTCAAGACCAGCCTGACCAACATAGTGAAACCCCATCTCTACTAAAAATACAAAAAATTAGCTGGGTGTGGTGGTGGGCGCCTGTAATCCCAGCTACTCAGGAGGCTGAAGCAGGATAATTGCTTGAACCCGGGAGGCGAAGGTTGCAGTGAGCCGAGATCGTGCCACTGCACTCCAGCCTGGGTGACAGAGCAAGACTCCATCTCAAAAAATAAAAATAAATAAAAATAAAATAAAATAAATGCTGTAAGAGATAATAAATATGGTATTGATGAATCCATGAACTATTCAGGAAAAATATGAACATTAATTGAAACAGACCAGTGATCCCTGAACCTGCTGCCCAACGCAGAAGTCTCCAAGCTACATAAGATGGTTGTACTTTCTACTCTCGAACATTGACAGAAATGGGGAGAAACAGCAGCACCTACTAATCTAGTCAGATAATAAACATTGATTAAGTGTCTAGACAACAACTAGTCCAAACAACATTTACATTCAGCTTAAAGGTTGGAGATGAGAGAAGATGGGGTGTCACTTTTGAGCTCAAGATGCCCAGGCCTCCCTGGAGTTTAGTGTTCATATGGACTTGGAGAGAGAATTAGTCCGGGCAGTAGGCATTGCCTGATGTCATTATCATTTATGCTGAGATATTTTATCTTGCATAAGCCCAAGAACTCTGATTATTGGTGCTACGAGAGAGGGTAGCAGCAAACTCAGTTATCCTTTTATTAGAGACCCAGTGTCGCATTTTGGTAGAGAGACCCTGAGAATGTGATTAAAACTCTGACATTCGGCTGGGCAAGGTGGCTCATGCCTGTAATCCCAGCACTTAGGAAAGCCAAGGCGGGAGGATCACTTGAGCCCAGGAGTTCAAGACCAGCCTGGTCAACATGGTGAAACCCTATCTCTACAAAAATACAAAAATTAGCCAGGTGTGGCCGCAGCTCCTCGAGAGACTGAGGCGGGAGGATCACTTGAGCCCAGCAGTTGGAGGCTGCAGTGAGCCGTGATCATGCCACTGCACTTCAGCCTGGGTGACAGAGTGAGAATCTGTCACAAAAAAATGAGTATAAAAATCACAAAATAACAAACTCTGACATGCAAGTATCAGAGCCCCCAACCCAAGGGTGTTTTGGTTAACCCAAGGAAGCAACATTTTTCAATACTAAAACTCCAGCTCTTTTCTTTCCCCTACCACTATCAGACCAATGAGGTCACAAGGTGAATATCTTCAGAGGTCTGGTGGTAGGATCAAAGTAGCACATGCAATTTCTTGATTCATACCCACTTCCTGTTGGTAAATGCTGGCATGTTGATGAAGTCGTTTTCTTGAGATTTTGTAAAGTTTTAAACTGTCTTATTTCTTAGAGAATGTAATAAAGAGTATAGTATTCCTTTATCCTTTGGCACAGTAAATTCTCCTATTTTAAGCTGTTTTCAAAATTATTTTGAAAACCACTAAACACGTGCCTTAAACCTACAAATAACATATTTCGCTGAGGCACATTAACTGCCAGAGAAAAGAGCCTAAGGAAATTTGGAGCTGAGTAAATAGAAAAAATAGAAATGCACAAAGCTAAAAATAGAAATCGACTTAGTCTATCTTGCCAGTATTGATACTAAATTGCAGTGTGGAAAGATAGCTTATTTGAATATATATCCATACACCAAGAATTCAAGGTATTTTGAGGGGGTGGGTGGAGGGTACACTTTGGTATTATCAGCATGCTGCATAATAGCCCTTCATTTGCAGACACCGGTTTTTACCCCTCTTGTATACATGCACTATATGTGGGGAGGCAAGCACAAGCACGTATACATAAATACAGATATGTTGGTGTGTCCTCTTAGGTGTCAACATATTATATTCTAAAATTAGTGGTTGTAAAATTTAACCAGGTGTGGTGGCTCTCGCCTGTAATCCCAGCTACTCTGGAGGCTAAGGTACAAGAATCTCTTGAACCTGGGAGGTGGAGGTTGCAGTGAGCCGAGATCATGCCATTGCCTAGGTGACAGAGTGAGACTCCATCTCAAAAAAAAAAAAAATGGTGTTTCTAGGGTGTTGTAGAAGCAACTAGAGGAGGAGAGAGATAACAAAATATTAACAGCCAACATTAATAGAGCATTTATTATATGCCAGGCTCTTTATAGAGTATTTAAGCAGTATATATTATTTGAATTCCACAATGACCTTAAAAGGGTTGGTATTGTGGCGATTTGATTTTAGAGGGGAAGAACATGAGGCCCAGAGAGGTTAAGTAACTAGATCATTTGCAAACAGCTGGTTAAACCCAGGTGGTCTGCCTCTGGAGCCTGCTCCCCTGACTGTGATGTGGGCTATCTCTATGTAGGCACGGCCACATTTGCTCCGTGCCCACTGTGGACATTCAAGGCGGCCAGCATTCCCCAGACGATGTTCTCAGGACTCAGGGAGGACAGTGAACATTAAGGGAGCTGGAGACTTCCAGGAGGGCCTGTTCCTCCTCCTCCCTCATCACTCTGGGCCTCTTAGGTAACCTCCTCACTCACATAGTAAGTTTCCTAGAATGAGGTCTCCAGATATTTTTAGAAGAAATTGTGCTTTCTACTCTCCTCAAGACTTAGTTGTAGCAAGCATGAGCATCCTGTAAGGGAGAAGCTTAGCCTCTGCCCTTGCTGCCCTGGTGCACTCAGACATCCTGCTCACACTGGAAAACCACCGTGTGGACAACGAGGACCAAGAGGAATACAGAAGAGAGGGAGTGACCCTGCTCTCAGCTCCACCACCCAGACGTGTTACCACTGTCTCCTGGGGTGCAGTTGAGATTTTGTAAAGAGACCAGTAAAGTGAGGGGAGGAAGATAACCAACCTTCTTGAACACAGACCACTATTCACAGTACCTTAATGTGTTCTCTTACTATATTTACATTTGTTTGTTTGTTTATTTATTTGAGACAGAGTCTCACTTTGTTGCCCAGGCTGGAGTGCAGTGGCGCGATCTCGGCTCACTGCAACCTCCGCCTCCCAGGTTCAAGCAGTTCTCCTGCCTCAGCCTCTTGAGTAGCTGGGATATAGGCGCCCACCACCACGCCTGGCTAATTTTTGTAATTTTAGTAGAGATGGGGTTTCACCATGTTGGCCAGGCTGGTCTCGAACTTCTGACCTCAAGGGATTTGCCCCCCTCGGCCTCCCCAAGTATTAGGATTACAGGCGTGAGCCACCATGCCCGGCCTTATATTTACTCTTCATAGCACATCCATGTTAGCAGGTGAGGGACACGAGGTCTAAAGGAGGAGAGTAACTGGTCCAGATCTTGGTGGGACTCCAAAGCCCACCTTCTCTCCACCTTGAAACCCCCTCAATAGATGACATCTGAGCCCCCTCTCAGTCCTGCATTGGAATGAATGTATCACACTGAACTTGGTAGTGAATATGGAATAATGCAAAGAAAATCATCCCTTGAAACTTGAAAAGGGTAGTTTTAAAATAAATACAAAGAAATATTAATTTACATTTGACATAAGTTTAGGAAGCTTCTAATTTAAAATACAGCACATGCCAACTAGATGAGGTGGCTCACACCTGTAATCCCAACACCTTGGGAGGCCAAGGAGGATCACTTGAGGTTAGGAGTTCAAGACCACCTGGGCAACATAGTGAGTCTCTTTCTAATAAAAGAAAAATAAAAAACTAGCCGAATGTGGTGGTGCGTGACTGTTGTGTGAGCTACTCAGGAGGCGGAGGTGAGAGGATCGCCTGAACCCAGGAGGCAGAGGTTGCAGTGAGCCGAGATCATGCCACTGCACTCCAGCCTGGGCAACAGAGTGAGAACCTATTGCAAAAAAAAAAAGAAAAAGAAAAAGAAAAAACACCAACCAAAAGCCACAGTAGAAAGTTACAGATATTAGCTACAAGTGCCCCTATGCCCCTAGAGGTAAGTTCATCTTCCTCATTTTTACAGTTGAGACAACTATGATTCAAAGAGAATGAACAACTTGCTCCAAGTGACAGTCCCAGCATCAGAGCTGAGTCCCTCTGTCTTTAATCTAAGGCTTTCCCTGCAACTCTCACTGCCTCTGGGCTTTGCAAGAAGCAGGTGCTACATTGTCATTTCCATTGTGTGGTTTTTTTTTTTTTTTCACTTGATGGAAAATGAGTACCAATATAATTGGTTACCAATATAATTACTGTGTTTATTTTTACTTTTCATAGCTGTCCCAGTTAAATCAGAGTTGGCAGTTGAAATTTTGGAGAAAGGCCAGGTCCGGTTTTGGATGCAGGCTGAGAAACTGTCTGGCAATGCCAAAGTCAACTACATATTTAACGAGAAGGAAATTTTTGAAGGCCCGGTAGGTTTTACACTGTTTAGACTTTTTAATGTATCATTGTAGAATACACTGAGGAAGCCTTATGTGGATGTGGATATGTTGTTATAAAAACCGCTGGGTGGTGGAGTGGGAGAGTTTAAATCCTTCTCACAAGTGAAAACTGTGAAATGAAAATACAGATTGACTATAACATATTATGCAAACTGGGACGCTTTGAGAATGAAAGGACAACAGTCATAAATAGTCATAAACCAAAACGGTCTCAGGCAAACCGAGATGTATGATCCCCATGAAAATAGAGAGGCTCTCCTGGGAGGCAGAGGAGCCCATACCCTACCCTGAATTCACATCTTACTCACACTGGACACCCCAGCACGGACTTGATTCATTATATGAAGAATAGGCCTCTTGTCCCAATGGCTCTGAAAAATGCAATAAAAATACCTTTCATTGCTTTTCTGGTTAAAAACACGATACATCCTTATTGTAAAAAGCATTAAAGACTCAGAAAGGACTAATCACACATTCTTACGGCTTTTCTTAATTTGGTGGTGGTGGTGGGGAGTCTTTCCAGCAAAAACCGGAAAGCCTGCTAGACAAATTCTAAAAGAGCTGTAACACTTCTTATGGCTTTTTGATGTACATATTGGTATATACTTTTTTAGACTTTTTTCTATGCTTCTCTGTGTGTACGTCTGTTTGAGTCATATTTACGTAGGTGATTTTGTATATATATAAAATACTCTTTCCTTTCCTTTTAACATAAACATAGTTTTTGTAGATAGAGTTACAACATCTAAGTTTTATTTGTCCTCCCCACAGATGTCAGTCAAGTCAAGATCAGGCCAGTGCCCAGCAGTACTGAAGAACTGGGGGTTCAGGGGCACTGACCTGTGCTATCATGGGTGTAAATGGGAAACTGAAAGGGCAGAGGAGGTGTGGTTTGTGGCCATTAGTAGCAACCCTTTCCCTTTTCACTGAGATGTATTTTTAAAACATTTGAGGACTTGTTAGTGAGAGGGAAACGAGTACCATGAATATTAGGAGAGTATGCAGTATAGTCCTTTCCAGTGCATAGAGTGACTTGCTGTGGGGCCAGAACAAGTCACTCCTGACTCCTGTGTCCACTGCGACCCGTCTCCTCTCCACTTTCAAAATGTTCCCTCGACTGCTGTGATCACCACCTGGTCAGGGGAGAGGAAGGAAAAGTGTTGTTGGCCTCACTCATCACCCCACAGCCATTGAGTGAACATTCATGCATATGTGCATATAGACGTACTCCCCTTCACGTGTTCAAGCGTGCATACATGTTGCCTTGAGGGTATGCAGCTGCTCTCTTAAGTTTCTTAGAAAGAGAGTCTGAAGTAGTTTCTCGTTCAAGTGATTTATTGTTGGGGAGCAGGATAGGATGGGGGGATGCTAAGCAAAAATGTGGTCTCAGTTGGAGACTGACTTCCTGCAGGTGAGGCTCGGGAGCATGAATTGCATCACAGAGTTCATCCCAGACCTGAGCCTTCATTCTGTGACATTTTATATATAGCAAAAGTTAACCAATTCAAATCCATCATGGTATTTGTGCTTGCATGCCTAGCAACTAAAACTTATCTTTACATTCTGGGAAAAAAAAAAGTTGTCTAAACAATATGATAAAATAAGTATAGTCTAATAGGGCTATTTCCATTCATTAAGAGCAAATAGGGCCAGTCATGGTGGCTCACACGTGTAATCCCAGCACTTTGGGAGGCCAAGGCAGGGGAATTACTTGAGGCTCAGAGTTTGAAACCAGCTTGGGCAACATAGTGAAACCTCATCTCTACAAAAAATTTTTAAAAATTGGTGAGGCATAGTGGTGTGTGCCTGTAGTCCTAGCCTCAAGATCCTGAGGCCTGAGGCTTCAGTCCAGGAGTTCGAGGCTGCAGTGAGCTATGATTGCACCACTGCACTCCAGCCTGGGCATCAGAGCGAGACCCTATCTCTAAAAAGAGAGAGTAAACACATTTAGAAGCATTTTTTTTCATGTATTAGTTCAGCAGATATTTATTAATTGACTACTATATACCATGTATGTGCAAGATGCCAAGGAGATAGCGATGAATGAGCAAGATACCTGCCTCTGCTGCCTATAGTTTTACATTATTCTACTCATTAAAAATAATGTAGGCCGGGAGCAGTGGCTTATGCCTGTAATCCCAGCACTTTGGGAGGCCGAGGTGGGCAGATCACTTGAGGTCAGGACTTCAAGACCAGCCTGGCCATCATGGTAAAACTCTGTCTCTACTAAAAATACAAAAATCAGCTGGGTATGGTGGCACACGCCTGTAGTCCCAGCTACTCAGGAGGCTGAGGCAGCAGAATCACTTGAACCTGGGAGGCCGAGGTTGCAATTAGCCAAGATTGCACCACTGCACTCCAGCCTGGGCGACAGAACAAGAATCCGTCTCTAAATAAATAAATAAATAAATAATGTAATCTGGAAGGTAATGTGAGAGTCTAAAGACAACTTTTTGACATTTTGTGACTTGGGGTAACAAAACTTTATTTAGATTTAAGAAACTAAATTTCAGACTTTTTAGTAATCTATTCTGGTCTAGGTCATAAACTCCACATAATATTTCCCTTTACCTGGGTATAAGAATATAAAGCACTTGTTCAGTTATGAAGAGATTTTATTTAAATTATTATTCTAATTTTTAATGTTTAATTTTTTTTTTTTAGACATGGTCTCCTTCTGTTGCTCAGGCTGGAGTGCAGTGGCACAATCATGGCTCACTGTAGCCTTGACCTCCTGGGTTCAAGAGATCCTCCCATCTGAGTGGCTGGGATTAAAGGTGCACACCACCATGCCCAACCAATTTTTCAATGTTTTTTTTTTTTTAGACAGAGTTTTGCTCTTGTTGCCCAGGCTGGAGTGCAATGGTGCGATCTCGGCTCACTGCAACCTCTGCCTCCTAGGTTCAAGCAATTCTCCTGGCTCAGCCTCCCAGGTAGCTGGGATTACAGGCGCATCCCACCACACCAGGCTAATTTTTGTGTTTTTAGTAGAGACGGGGTTTCATCATATTGGTCAGGCTGGTCTCGAACTCCTGACCTCAGGTGATCTGCCCACCTCAGCCTCCCAAAGTGCTGGGATTACAGGCGTGAGCCACTGTGCCTAGCCTATTTTTCTATTTTTATATAGACAAGGTCTCGCTTTGCTGCTCAGGCTGTTCTCAAACTTCTGGCCTCAAGTAATCCTCCCACCTCGACCTCCCAAAGTACTGGGATTACAGGCATGAACAGGCACTGCATCTAGCCTTTGGGGTTTATTTTTATTTCATCAAGCTTGTTGTCATTCCAAGTAAAATATATGCCTCAGTGATTTCTCTGTCATTTTCTTTTCACACTGAAGAAATATAAAATGCATATTGACCGAAACACTGGCATCATCGAAATGTTCATGGAAAAGCTACAGGATGAGGATGAGGGAACGTACACTTTCCAGCTTCAAGATGGAAAAGCAACTAACCATTCTACTGTTGTTCTCGTTGGAGATGGTAAGAATTCCGTGGAACATTAACCAGCAGGCTTTGCTACTCCCTTCAATCTAAGTACCCCATGGCACAAAAGTTGTTATTTGAAAGGTAGTAGGAATTTTTTCTTAATTGACTTCTAATGTTCAAAATACAATTTTCAGCTGGGCGCGGTGGCTCATGCCTATAATCCCAGCACTTTGAGAGGCCGAGGCGGGTGGATCACCTAAGGTCAAGAGTTTAAGACCAGCCTGGCCAACATGGTGAAACCCCGCCTCTATTAAAAATACAAAAATTAGCCAGGCATGGTGGTGTGCACCTGTAGTCCCAGCTACTTGGGAGGCTGAGGCATGAGAATCATTTGAACCCGGGAAGCAGAGATTGCAGTGAGCCAAGATCGCACCACTGCACTCCAGCCTGGGGGACAGAGTGAGACCCTGTCTCAAAAAAAAAAAAAAAAAAAATACAGTTTTCAGTTAATACTTTACATGGTATTTTATTTCATGGAAATGAAAGTGAATTTAAAGGAACACCAAATTTATTCCTAGCTCACAGGCAAGACTGCGTTTAAATACTTTCATATATAAACAAATGTTTATTGCTAAAATTCTCCAGTGAGGGAGATTGCAATACAACAAAGACTGTATGTGTCTCAGAAACAAACCATGAGACTGTTTTGCCACGTGTACTTACTGTAAATTACTAAAATTGAGAAGAAAAATATGCAAAAGTAGTGCCTGCCGAATCTACTAATCATACATTGTAACTGGATTGTAGTAAATCAGCTGCTCACTTACTACCACCCAGATTTAAAATGTGGCAGTTACGAAGGCAATGGAAAGGCCGGCCAGATCTCTGTATTTGCAACATCCAATATTATGTCACTGTTTCCTAGCTTTATGACCTTGTACAATTTATTTAACCTTCCTAAGCCTATTTCTTCATCTATAAAGATAAAAAATGAGCAGGGTTGTCACAATGTATGAGTGTTACAATAATGAATATAAATCACTTAGTGCAGTGGCTGACATGTGCATTTATACCACCCAACTCAATTTCACACTTCCTTGTTTTTCAATTTGTAGTTTTCAAAAAGCTCCAGAAAGAAGCTGAATTCCAGCGGCAAGAATGGATCAGGAAACAAGGTAAAAATAGGCCGTGGATAAAGAGAAAATTTTTAATTTTTTTGTACAAAAGATTCCAAGGTTATTTCCATAACAAATTAAAATGAATATTATTGATTATGTTAATAATGCCTAGTAAATTAAAATAATTAAAAATATTTACTGTTAAATATGTAGACATTAAAATATTTAAAAGCTAAATCTAGAATTTTAAAAATCTGACTTCAGATGTAAATCACCTTAGGACTTAAGTGTGAGCTTTGATTTTGCATTTGTGATTAATAGAGTAATTGCTAATGTCATTAAAATTTTATAGGTCCTCACTTTGTTGAGTATTTGAGCTGGGAAGTGACTGGTGAATGTAATGTACTATTGAAATGCAAGGTAAGAGGTAGATAAATTTTTAATATTTGATTCAAGGGAAATAAAATAGAATGTAGAGAAGAGGAAGCTCAATTTTTCATCTCTTCCATCTGAGCCAAAATGATAAGTGGGACACATATTTACTGTTCAATGTTACTGTAACCATTTGTT
Source organism: Homo sapiens (assembly GCF_000001405.40). Classification (NCBI taxonomy): domain Eukaryota; kingdom Metazoa; phylum Chordata; class Mammalia; order Primates; family Hominidae; genus Homo; species Homo sapiens. The sequence goes on along the minus strand of NC_000018.10, from coordinate 3,089,023 downwards.
GATAAGAAAGATTTAAAATAAAATGACATAAAATATGACAAGGCAAGGTGATCATTCCTAGTCACTACTCATGATCTAGTTAGTAACACCCTAGACTTTTATCTAATTAGTAATCTCCAAAGACTCTCACGTTTTTGTTTTAAGCCAAATCTGTATTCTAAGTCATAGACCTATTCCAGAATCACTCCAGCTGCAATGTTTCGTGGACCTTGCCATGTAAATTGTGAGGCTGGTGCAACAATACCCCTGGGTATTCCCCAGCTGTGCCACTGACTCCAAGGGAGACATGTGGAAAAGAGTTGGCAGCTCACAACCAATTGTCTTATTAGGACTTTGGAAAGATTCAGGAAAAAAAAATTCTATACAGCATTCTAAACAAGTTTGTACTTTAGCATGTGGTGTGTAGCTGAGTCATCAGAAATGTTTTGGGTAAGGAACCGGTGGGTGAGGTTGGAGCGTGAAGGTCCTGCTGGCTGACAAGGACAGGTGGAAGCATAGGTGTGGCATTTGGTCTGGATTTCACAATTGTCATGATAAAAGCCAGAACCCAAGTGCCCCAGTGTCTACTAGATGTGATAAACTCAAAGAAACAGCAGTCTATCAGAAATACATATAAGGAAAATCAGTTCTAGGTTTTAGCCTCACAGGAAATGGCAACGCTGCTTGAAAAACTCTTTCTCTGGCAGCAGCTGAAGCCCTCACCTTCTCTCTCATCCCAGCTGCTCCGTCTTGCTGTCCCACTCACTTCTTCATTTGCGTGGCCCCTCCCTATAAGCTATCCTTTTTCAAAAGCCCACACATCCCTCGCCTTCTGCGCTTGCTGTTTCCCTCTGCACCAGAGGAGCTCTGGTGTCCTGTGATGGCCTTCCTCAGGACAATCAGCCCCATACCCAGATTCTGAGCAACCAAGGGCAGTCTGGAAATGGATTGTGAATATTCACACAGTTCTGTTATGCTGTCGTTCCAATGCCTGGAATGACGTTCTTTCAGCTTCTCTGACAAAATCCTTTCCCAGGCCCAGCTCAGTCATCTCTAGAAGGCCTCCCGCTTCCTCTGTCTTCGCATAGCTCTTTGTTCCGTTACTGTGGCAATTCCTGTAAATTTAGCCACTCACGTGTCGCATTACAGTTCATGGAGTATGCGCAGCGAATCATTCAGACTCACTGGAGTATCGTGGGTCTTGCTTGGCGCTAGTCTACTCAAAAAAAAAAATAAATAAATAAAAAGTAGGAGGGGCAGGGAGCGGTGGCTCATGCCTGTAATCCCAGCACTTTGGGAGGCCAAAGCAGGCAGATCACTTGAGGTCAGGACTTCAAGACCAGCCTGGCCAACATGGTGAAACCCCGTCTCTACTAAAAATACAAAAATTAGCTGGGCATGGTGGCAGGCACCTGTGGTTCCAGCTAGTTGGCAGGCTGAGGCAGGAGAATCACTTGAACCCGGGAGGCTGAGGTTGCAGTGAGCCGAGATCATGCCACTGCACTCCAGCCTGGGTGATAGAGTGAGACTCTGTCTCAAAAAAAAAAAAAAAAAAAGAACGTAGGAGGAACCCTAGCTTGCACACTGGGACCTTCCTCTCCCTCAGGAGTCCACATGTGGAGCTATGACCTTTGCCATCCCGGACAACAGAAAGCTCAGATGCAAGGAGACAAGATCCACTTTGGGCAGGTGCAGGAAGTCACCACGGCTTTAAAAAAAAAAAAAGCCCAAAAAAACTTCATGCCCTGAGGAACTAGTATCTTTTCTAACAACTGCCTAAACAGAGCTTCTGGGATCCACACAAGGGATGTGTCCAAATTTCATGAGCAATGTACTCAGCAAAGCCCAAAGCTGCGGAGTGCATTTCTAGTCCTCTGGGTCCAGACACAGCTTTCCAATCGAGGTCATTTTTATCGTAAGCAATGTCAGCTGGTAACACACTTTCTACAATTCAGGAACCAGTTTCCAGGGTCATAAAGAATGATTGTGTGTAGTGGTTTCACTACAGTTGCCAGGGTGGTTCCTATGTTTATTTATTAGCTGAAATTGTTTCACATTTTAAAACCTGTATATTGTCACGTATAATGAGACAACATTGTCTTTGTCTGTTGGTTTTATGGTTGTATTTTCTCTTTGGGGAATGGTATGTAGTTTTCACCCATTATTCAGTGGGGTCTTTGAGACGGTTTTCTTGATTTGTAGGAAGTCTTTACTTTTTCATACAATTTGAATTATACAAGAAATACATGAGTATATTCTCCTTTGTAAAAAAAATTCAAGCATTGTAGATGAAACTCAAGATCCCTTTAACCATATGCAGTTGTTTAGTCCATTTGAAATAGATGATATGATGAGAAGATTAGTGTATCTAAGTGAGTCTCCTCGAAATTGCTAAGTAATTAATTTACTTAGCATACCTCCCCTCCACATATATTTGCAATGCTTCATTTATCTTTCATTAAACTTTTAGATATAGATTGGCGCTTACTCATTCTGTTCCTTTAATAAAGCCATTTGTTTTTGTAACACAGCCTGTATTTTAATCTGATGGGATTTTTCTCCCTTTGGTTTTGTGACTTCTATTTTCATTTAAGTTTGTATGTCAGTATGAATGTATCTATTCTCTCTTTTCTTTCCTACCACATGATTTTAGAGTCAATTTTCACTGCTGGAAATAGAGATGCTATTGATTTAGGTTTATTCATTGGTGTCCACTTGATTCTAAACTCTTTTCTCAATTAAAATAGTTTTCAATTCATTCCTTTAGAAATCTGTGTCTTCTCACTCCACGTTCAGTGCTTTTTCTTTTATATCTTGCTGCATTAAGAACTATTCAACTTCACAAGAGTACACTTTCTTATTTTAAGAAAAGTAATTATGGTTTTTCTCCTAGGTGGCAAATATTAAGAAGGAGACTCATATTGTGTGGTACAAAGATGAGAGGGAGATATCAGTGGATGAAAAGCATGACTTTAAGGATGGTATATGTACCCTGCTTATAACAGAGGTAGGCGATTATAAATGTAAAATGTAATATATTAGCTCTCTACCCTCTATCTTACCCCAAAACAGTAACTAGATTCTGTATTCCTTTCATGACCAGGGGATTTATATTAGCTTACTTCCAACTGCTGTAGGAACACAAAAGCTTCTCTAACCTTGTGATGTGTGTGGATTTGTTAGGTAGCAAACCAGTATGAGCTGAATGCCACAACTCTTGCTTTTCTGAGTTGCTTTTATCCATATATGGGCAGTGAAGTGGATCATTCTTCATTTGTGCTTAAGCCTCGTGGTCCTAAAAGTACAGAGACATCAGACATGGTATTCATTTAAGGATAGATTTTTATCTACTTCTTGTCTAAAAGAGCACAGCATTTAAATATATCACTATAAAACTAGTGATCACTAGTTTTTAATAAATGAAGGCAGAGTAAAAAGTAAGGACATTAAGCCTCATATCAATTACAGCCTTGGAAGGTAAAAAGTCAGGACTGCTAGCTCGCTGGTCAAATTATTATGGAGAGGTGCATCTCTGCATCTGTGAACGGTTCACCACTCACAAGTTAGATGCTTGTTCAAAGAGTGTTTTGATGGCAATTCTGTAAATCAAGGGCCTTTAAAAATGCAGATAGCAGGTGAGGTGCAGTGGCTCACACCTGTAATCCCAGTGCTTTTGGTAGGTCAAGGCTTGAGGCCAGGCGTTCAAGGATACAGTGAGCTATAATCACACATCTGCACTCCAGCCTGGCTGATAGAGTGAGACCCTTGTCTCAAAAAAAAAAAAAAAAAAAAAAAAAAAAAAAAAAAAAAAAAAAGCAGCAGCAGCAGAAGAAGCAGAAGAAAAAAAAAAATCACAGATACCGTGCCCTGGGGCTACGAAAGGTGCAATGTGGTATATCTATTCCCCCTTAGTTTTCCAAGAAAGATGCTGGGATTTATGAAGTTATCCTGAAAGATGACCGAGGAAAAGATAAGAGCAGACTGAAGCTTGTGGATGAAGGTCAGTCCACCAACTGCTGGGGTCTGTCTTGTGTGTTTCTGCATACAGCTTACCAGAATGATGATTGAGGCCGAGCTGACGATTGAAATCATGCTGATTTTTTTTGTCCACAGATTTTGGCTTAATTGAAATTCCAACAGAGTGAACTGTTTTATTCAAAAATACCTCACTTCTAGTCATCTTCGAAATCAGAAGTGTATTTTTGATCCTTAGAGAATTTATAGTCCAGAGTCCACAAGGGATCTGTTTTCAATTTAAATCATTTTTGTTTCAACTCTATAAAAATGTTCCAGGCTCAAAAACTTCTGTGAGAAGCATGACAAAAAATAGTCCACTCTAAAGGTAGCAAGCAAGATTTATATATGAAATGTGAAGCCTTGCAGTTTTTAGCACAGCAAGAAAGCAAATTCCATTTTTCAGAGACTACTAAGGACAAATATATCATGATGATGAAAATCTACATGGGAACTCCAAACTTACAATTTTGTTCCTGAACAAGATTTTTAAAACAATATTGCTAACAAACAGCAGAAGTCTGACTAATTTCACCTTCCTACTTTGGGTGGAAGTGGGGCTAAATGTGTTTATTGGCAAAAAGCATTATCAGGCTGATGAAGGCCAGGAGACCTACATGGTTAATTCATTATGAATCGATGACACGGCTAAGAAAATGTCCTCTAATGTAAACTAAGGCTTCCTGGGAATTAAGAAGAAAGAGAATCCCAAAGCCAAGAACCTTCCTAGAAATCTCTTGTGGCCCTTTCTCTAGAATGTAAATATGGCGATTGTGACAAAGAATTCAAGGGAAAAAAAATCAAAATAAGCAGGGATCTTTTAAAACCTGATAAAATTGAACTATTTCCTCAAAGAATACTCATTATCAGTGGGTCGACAAATTCACCTTGTTTCCATTTCCTTTCAACCAGAAAGGGAATTTTTGAGAGCTAAGAATTTGAGATTTAACCTTACATTGAGAATTTTTATGCTAAAGTTTTGGCTCTGAATCTCTCTCCACAGCCTTTAAGGAACTGATGATGGAAGTATGCAAAAAAATAGGTGAGTCAAACATTTCGCACCACAACAATGCTTTATGATCCTCCTGCCAGGAGGGGCATGCAGATGTATGAAATATGCTATTTTCTTCTTTCAGCTTTGTCTGCTACAGACCTGAAAATCCAGAGCACAGCCGAGGGCATCCAACTGTACTCTTTTGTAACTTACTATGTGGAGGATTTGAAAGTTAACTGGTCCCACAAGTAAGTAAATGAGAACTTACTTGCTGTGTAGAAATTCTTTCCCTGCCAGGCGCGGCAGCTCACACCTGTAATCCCAGCACTTTGGGAGGCCGAGGCAGGTGGATCATTTGAGGTCAGGAGTTCGAGACCAGCCTGGCCAACATGGTGAAACCCTGTCTATACTAAAAATACAAAAAAAAAAAAAAAAAAAAAATGAGCTGGGCGCAGTGGCAGACACCTGTAATCTGAGCTACTGGGGAGGCTGAGGCATGAGAATTGCTTGAACCCAGGAGGCGGATGTTGCAGTGAGCCGAGATTGCACCACTGTACTTCAGCCTGGGTGTCAGAGTGAGACACTGTCTCAAAAAAAAAAAAAAAAAAAGAAAAAGAAAAAGAAAAAAGAAAAGAAAGAAAGAAAAAGAAATTCTTTCCCCACTGGAAGAGGGGAGGATAGGGAAAAAATTTTTCTGTTCTTCTCAAGTAAGGAGTCTTCTTAATTCTCAAGTCTGACATTGGTGAGCCCAGGAGATAAACATCCAAGGCATTCTGTTACTGTGAGGTTAGCTCTTTCCCTCAACATGTACATGCTGAGGCCAGTCATAGTTACAGTACATCTTTCTTTGTGATTTAAGAAGTACCATAATTCATAGACATCTCTATAATGCAGCCTCCACCTCCAGACAGTCATGCTTGGGCTCTCTCTGCTGTGCCAGGCATCTGGAGCCACATTCTTACCTTTCTTTCTATACACACGGTTAACACATCTGTGGTCTGGAACAGAAATGAAGCAGTGTGCACCAGGAGGCACCAAATTTCCCATGATATGAATGAATGGGCATTCACCAAAGAAGCCTAATCCAACGAGTGCCCAAGATTATTGTTGTTGTTATAGCATCTGGCAGAGTGAGACATTAGCATGTTTCTGGTCCACTCTCAGAAGGCTTTGGAGATCTCAAGTTGACTTTGGGGAAGGTGAGTTTGAACCTCTGTGCAGTTATACAGGGACTCTATTCAAGTTCACTTCTGGGATTCCAAGAGCTGAAATCAGTTTCCAAATCAAACCAGGCCTCCCATTTACACTCTTGACAGTGTCCTTAACCTCTGTGTTTCCTTGAAATATCCTGAGCTGAAAGAGAACGGAGGCCTGGCAAAGATAATCCAATGGAATGTAGCCACATTCAGTCCAACTTCAGGATGCAAATGTTCCAAACTGCAAATGTTCCTAGGAGCCCCACTGAGAAGAAGGTCACATGGCATCCCCAGGAGGGTGCAGATAATAAGTTTCCTTACACTGTACCCTCAGTGGCATTGACAATATGGGGGGCACTGCTCAAAGCCCTTTACATATGTGAATTCATTTCACATTCACCATTCTACATGGTAGGTGCTCCTCACTTGAGGGATGAGGGAGCTAGGGCTCGGGGAGGTGACCGGCCTAAGGTCACACAGCTAAGAGGTAGGTCAAGGCTGAGCCTAGGCAGCCTGGCTCCAGAGCCCGGTTCATCATGGTACTACCTGCCACTGGATTCCAGCCGTGTGAAGTCTAGATTAGAGATCCCCAAACCCCAGGCCATGGACCGGTACCAGTCCGTGGCCTACTAGGAGCTGGGCCGTGTAACAGGAGGTGAGTGGTGGGCGAGGGAGCGAGCATGACCACCTGAGCTCCGCCTCCTGTCAGATCAGCTGCGGCATTAGATTCTCATAGGAGCGCGAACCCTATTGTGAACTGCGCATGCGAGGGATCTAGGTTGTGCGCTCCTTATAAGAATCTGATGATAAATGTTATGTGCTTGAGTCATCCCCAAACCCACCCCCGACCTGGTCTGTGGAAAAATCGTCTTCCATGAAACCGGTCCCTGGTGCCAAAAAGGTTGGGGACCACTGGGCTAGATTGAACAGTTAGCCAGAGCCAGGCCCCACAAAGCAGCCATTTGTGTTTTCTTTAAGATGACTTTACTGTTATATAAAACAGTGTTTTCGTTAGTATTATGATTTATTATTTCCTGAGTCATAAAAATGAGAATTAGTAAAATTCCAATGTAGAATGCTTGGGGCTTATTCCTTTGTTCTGTTTCTTTCAGAATACATTTTAGGAAAGTAATTATTAGCTAAAATAGATCAAATTCCAGGAAATTCCTCTGTGGCATCTAGGACATTCTAATATATCAGTCTGAAGAATGAGAGAAGTAAAATTCATTGAATCATCAATCAAAAAGCTTTATATCTTCTCTAAAAGAATTAACTTGTTCAAAAATGAGAACACTGAAAGTATGTTTTGAGGAAATTGCTATTAGGCCAGCAAAGCATAAGTATCTTAATTATTTGGTCTAGTCAATCAATTATGTCTCTTGTGTTTCCGTGTACCTATGACATTCAGGGATAAGGATGGTCTTTGCTGTCTGTATGTGGCATAGAGGGGAAAAAAACCCTTGAAACGGATTTTAGTCTTCACTTTGTTCCTATCTTGCCTTATGATCTTAGACAGGTCATTTAATTTTCTGAATCTCAGTTTTCTCTTATATAAAATAGGACCAATAGTACCTATTCCATCGGAAGCACATTACAGATGTAAGGTACCCTTATTCATGTTACCCAGAGATTAAAGATTTAAAACAGATTTATTATAGCAAAGCAGAGGACAATCTTTCTGTTTAACTCTCTCTCTTTTTTTTTTTTTTTGAGACGGAGTCTCACTCTGTCACCCAGGCTGGAGTGCAGTGGCGTGATCCCGGCTCACTGCAACCTCTGCCTCCAGGGTCAAGCAATTCTCCTGCCTCAGCTTCCCAAATAGCTGGGATTACAAGCGTGTGCCACCATGCCTGGCTAATTTTTGTATTTTTAGTAAAGACGAGGTTTCACCATGCTGGCCAGGCTGGTTTCAAACTCCTGACTTCGTGATCCACCTGCCTCGGCCTCCCAAAGTACTGGGATTACAGGCGTGAGCCACCACGCCCGGCCCTGTTTAACTCTCTAAGACACATCTATTGCTCATGCCAAAATCTGTCTTTACATTTTATGGCATCTTTATTTTTAATATCTTTTTAGATAAATAATGTTATTTAAAAAATGTAATATTATTAAAAATGCTAAATATTAGAAAGCTAAAAGCTTTTAGGTAGGAAATTTTTTTTTTTTTGAGATGGAGCCTCACTTTGTCACCCAGGCTGGAGTGCAATGGCGTGATCTCGGTTCATTGCAACCTCCGCCTCCCGGGTTCAAGCGATTCTCCTGCCTCAGCCTCCTGAGTAGCTGGGACTACAGGCACATGCCACCATGCCCAGCTAGTATTTGTGTTTTTAGTAGAGACAGGGTTTCACCATGTTGGCCAGGCTGGTCTGGAACTCCTGACCTCAGGTGATCCGCCTGCCTCCGCTTCCCAAAGTGCTGGGATTACAGGTGTGAGCCACCGTGACCAGCCAGAAAATTTGTTTTTCTATGTTTTCCAAAGTTCATTTTGTTTATTACAACAGACGTAAGACATGCTTGTTTCAGAAAATACATTTATAATAATATAAATTAGAAAAAACTATAATATAATAGTATCCATAGTTTTACCAGCCATAATATGAACATTTTAGGGTACTTCCTGCTAGCCTTTTTTCTATGCATGATGGTTACTATAATAACGTCATTTTATATACCACTTTTTAACGTCATTTTGTATGCCACTTTTTAAACATTTCCTCAGTTTTAATAACTTCTTCATAAAGTTTCTTTTAACATAATTAAAAGTACATCTACCTAGCTTTCTCTTAGTTCGTCTATATCTGTAGTATTTCTACACCAAGATCACACAAAAAAGGGTTGTATTTCCTAATATTCTCTTGCAGAGAATATATTGCATGGGTCTGCTCATGACCTACTGTAGAATTCTGAGAAACTCACATCCCGGGACAGAGAACATGCCTCATTCGTGTTGGCGGCAACTCTGCTTTTCATTCACTCTTGGCTCTACTACCAAGTGCATATTTATCTGTTTTAAATAGCTTTCTAACAACATATGTCAATAGATGTCAGGCACAGATGAGCCTCCATAAGTGTGTTTTTGGACTAGCTTGTAGAATCTGATTTATAGCCATAGATTATCTAGATGAAATATGCAGTAAAATAGTATGTAGTTTGGCCTTTTAGCTTTATAGATTACCCTAGTCCTACAAATAAACCCAAACAAAAACAAAGATAATTAATGCCACCGAGAAGTATTAGTATTGTGATTTGCACTGGGCCTCAGACTGCTATGAGGAGTTATTAACAAATAAATGTTCAGACTGTCACACCTTGGGCCCTGGAATCCCGGTTCTGTGTGTCATGGCCCATAATTTTTCTGAAGCAGAAGAATAACATATGCAGATCCCTCGTTTTTTGAAAGCCTACAAAACTTTATGGCAAGAGCTTCAATGAGAGACAAAGTAAAGATCAGCCCTGGATGGAAGCAAATGCTAAGGAAGTTTTCTTCGATTTTCACAGTGGGTCCGCCATTAGGTACTCAGACAGAGTTAAGACCGGGGTCACTGGAGAGCAGATCTGGCTACAAATCAACGAGCCCACCCCGAATGACAAAGGGAAGTATGTCATGGAGCTCTTTGATGGCAAAACTGGACATCAGAAGACAGTGGATCTCTCTGGACAAGGTAAACAGATATTTTGCAGATTCAAATTTACTCTAGATGAATGAGCCTTTTAAAAGGAATGAAGGGAGTTGGGCATGGTGGCTTATGCCTGTAATCCCAACACCTTGAGAGGCCAAGGCAGGAGGATGACTTGAAGTCAGGAGTTCAAGACCAGCCTGGGCAACAGAGTAAAATCTCATCTCTAAAAAAAAAAAAAAAAAAAAAAGTAGCTGGGTAAAGTGGCACACACCTGTAGTCCCAGTTACTGTGGGAGGCAGGAGAATCAGTTGAGCCCAGGAGTTCAAGACCAGCCAGCCTGTAGCAACATAGTGAAACCCCATCTCTATAAAAATAAATAAATATTAAAAATGCTCACTTATAAGCAAAAAGTCAAAAAAAATACTGGACCATTTATCCCTTTCCCAGAACTATACTCTTCATCTTATTCTTTCTTACAAAAATAAAATAGTCTGCCGGCATGGTGGCCTTTAATCCTAGCACTTTGGGAGGCCAAGGTGGGAGGATCACTTGAGGCCAGGAATTTAAGACCAGTCTGGGCAACATAGTGAGGCCCCAGCTCTTCAAATATAAAATTTTAAGAAATTAGCCAAGTGTGGTAGCATATGCCTATAATCCCTACTACTCAGGAGGCTGAGCTAGGATGATCACTTGGGCCCTGGAGGTTGAGGCTGCTGTGAGCCAAGATCACACTACTGCACTCCAGCCTGGGCAACAGAGCAAGATTCTGTCTCTAAAAAAATAAAAAATAAATAAAATAAAATAGTCTATACTGTATTAAAGTTAATAAAGACAACTGTGGACTAACTTTTCCTCCACTTCATTTTAAAATACAATCTCAGGTGGGCATGGTGGCTCATGCCTGTAATCCTAGCGCTTTGGGAGGCTGAGGCGGGTGGATCACCTGAGGTCAGGAGTTCGACACCAGCCTGGCCAACATGGTGAAACCGCGTCTCTACTAAAAATACAAAAATTAGCTGGCTGTGGTGGCACATGCCTGTAATCCCAGCTACTTGGGAGGCTGAGGCAGGAGAATCATTTGAACCCATGTGGCGGAGGTTGCAGTGATTTGAGATCACGCCACTGTACTCCAGCCTGGGCTACAGAGCGAGACTCTGTCTCAAAAAAAAAAAAAAATACAACCTCAATATGCAGTAACTCAGGTTTTCTCAACCTCAGAGAGCAGATTCATCACTTAGAGCGTCGCCCTTCAGCCCTGCTGTGAGTGTTTTTGGTGCTGAATCCCCTTGTCTTCACCTCACCCATTCACGGCGACTAGAAAGACTCGCTGCAGGACCTTTCAGTAATGGGAGCAGCTGCTCCAGAGGGACGCGGACTTTCTAGGACACACTTTGCCTGCATCACAAGTGCACAGTGACAGGGGATTCATTCCACACTCCATCTGACAATGTGAAACACAATGGAAAAAGGGAGGCAGTCAGTGGGTGGAAAATGTTTAATTTTTTTAAATTTTATTTTTACTCTCTGGTTCACCAAAGCTTATTTAACTACACCACTCTGAAATCCCTTTTAAGGAAAAGGCTGTAGATTGTCCTACCAGCATTGCCACTGCCACCAAGCACAGATTGGCTCGGCCATTCCCACCTCTCTGTCAGAGTGGTGCGGGGACAAGAGGAAGCACTAACCTCAGCCTGGGTCCGCCTAACTGGTCTACCCTTCATTTTACAGATGAGAAAAAATCAGGACTAGCAACTGTAAGCCTAGCTTTATACTTATTTTTCCCATCTGTAACATGAGGGAATAAACTAGTATTATCTAAGCATTCTCTAGACTTAAAATATGATTCCTAGACCACTGAGGAGATTAAAAATGAGGTGAGAGGGATTTCAAAATGAAGCGACCTGCCAGACATGGTGGCTCACAGCTGTCATCCCAACATTTTGAGAGACTGAGGCAGGGGGATCGATTGAGCCCAGGAGTTCAAGACCAGCCTGGACAACATCGCAAGACCCTGTCTCTACAAAATAAAAAAAATGTAAAAATAGCTAGGTGTGGTGGCACACACCTATAGTCCCAGCTACTCGAGAAGCAGAGGTAAGAGGATCATGTGAGCCCAGGAGTTCGAGGCTACCTCAAGCTATGATTGCACTACTGCACTCCAGCCTGGGCAACGGCAAGACCCTGTCTCTTGAAAAAAAAAAAAAAACAAGGCTGGGAGCTGTGGCTCACGCCTGTAATCCCAGCAGTTTGGGAGGCCAAAGCGGGTGGATCACGAGGTCGGGAGATCGAGACCATCCTGGCCAATGTGGTGAAACCCCGTCTCTACAAAAAATACAAAAATTAGCTGGTCATGGTGGTGGGTGCCTGAAGTCCCAGCTACTCAGGAGGCTGAGGCAGAAGAATCACTTGAACTGGGGAGGTGGAGGTTGCAGTGAGCCGAGATCTCGCCACTGCACTCCAGCCTGGTGACAGAACTCCGTCTCAAAAAAAAAAAAAAAGCTGCCATTTTGCTTGAATCTTTAATCAAAGTGGCTTACTCGGCAGGCACAGAAAAAAATTATTTGAGAACTATATAGATCTCATTTTCTTGTCCCACTTGCCTTTCATCCCCTCTCCATCATGGCATAAGAAACATTGCTTCAGGCAAGCACCAGCACCCTCTGTGATTACAGTAACTCATTGTGCTTTTTTGCCCAAACAGACCAGACAGCATAACAGAAAGAGAGTTAACTGCCTATCTAGGAGGCTCTGATGTCTGGGATAATTTAATAAGACAAAGTTTTTGTTTTCCTTTTTGTTTGACACTCAGGATGTTTACTCAACAACCAGCTTTTCTTTGAAACAGACTTTTATGGCTGGGCGCAGTGGCTCATGCCTGTAATCCCAGCACTTTGGGAGGCCGAGACGGGCAAATCACTTAAGGTCAGGAGTTTGAGACCACCCTGCCCAAAATGGTGAAACCCCGTATCTACTAAAAACACAAAAATTAACTGGGTGTGATGGCGCATGCTACTTGAGTGGCCCCAGCTACTTGAGAGGCTGAGGCAGGAGAATCGTTTGTACCTGGGAGGTGGAGGTTGCAGTGAGCCGAGATTGCACCACTGCACTCCAGCCTGGGCACAGCAAGACTCCGTCTCAAAAAAAGAAAAGAAACAGACTTTTATTCCCATTTTTTCTTTGTTGGAGTTAATCTTTGCCTTTCCGTTTGAGGGGCTGAAGCCCTCTTGCTGAGTTGAAAGCTTCTAAAATCTACTATTTCATATTTTGTGCCTACAATGTATTTCCTGGCCTTGTTAAGTACATTAAGCTGTGGAGTGAACACATAAGCACAGTCTTAATCAAAGTCGGTTTAGTCATGTCTGGACCGATCACAGCAATCTCCAGTTGTGAATTTTAATCGCCCCTGTGTGTCATCAATTCTGGGTGAGAAAATTCTAACTTTTCTTTTTTCTTTTAAAGCATACGATGAGGCCTATGCTGAATTCCAGAGGTTGAAGTAAGTCCCTGGTCCTAGCAAATGCCACTTGCATGCACTAATTTCCCGGGAAGCTTGCATGCTGCTCGCCCCTCTGAGTGTTAGAAAGAGCCTTTTATTTCAGAAAGTACAGTAGAAGCAGCACTTCCCATTGTTATATTGAACAGCAAAATGTCTCTGAGGCAAGGAAAATGTCGTCAAGTTTAGCTACTTTGAAGTAACACTAACACAAAATTCTTCGTCTGTTTGTTCGTTTCTCTCAACCACAGACAAGCTGCCATTGCCGAGAAAAGTAAGTAAACTTTTTTTTTACTTTTCACAAGTACTCCTGGGATAGATTCAAAAGATAATTTTATTTTGCTATTATAACTACAGATGGAGGAGAATGGAAGTGGTTTTTTTCTTTTTTAAATCTTAGGTGTTCTACATATGTTTTCATTTTAGTCTTTTGAGTAAGAATATCTAGGAAAAGAAGGTCTCAGGTTACATTGTAAAGAATGTCACCCTACCCTTGACTTGAGCTACAACCCAGACATCCTGAGAAACCTCTTGGCTGCAAATCATACAGTAGGTTGTTAGTGACTTGCAGGTACAGTGTTTCATAAAAATATGTATATATTGGAGAAAAGAAGCAACAAGAAACATTGTAAGGGCCAGGCATGGTGGCTCACGCCTGCAATCCTAGCACTTTGGGAGGCCGAGGTGGGCGGATCACCTGAGGTCAGGAGTTCAAGACCAGTCTGGCCAACATGGCAAAACCCCGTCTCTACTAAAAAATACAAAAATTAGCCGGGTGTAGTGGCGGGTGCCTGTAATCCCAGCTACTTGGGAGGCTGAGGCAGGAGAATCACTTGAACCCGTGAGCCAAGATCACGCCACTGCACTCCAGCCTGGGCAACAGAGCAAGACTCCGTCTCAAAAACAAAACAAAACAACAACAACAAAAGAAAATAGAAAACTGTAAATTTGATATCAAGTAATTCACTGTAACTTGGCCCCAACAAATACTGTACATTTTCCTGGGAGCCCCTGCGAGATAAAAGCTACCAAATAAGGCCTTCCTTACTTTCATATAACTAGACACAGTCCAAGCAAAGCAACACCAATCTGTCAAGTCTGCATGTGTACCCAGAAACACACACACTGCAGTATTTCTGTGAGCTGTTTGTTTCACACACACAGATTTTTAGAAGAACTCAGTCTTACAGGATCTTAGGAGTCACTGACTAATCCATAATACTAATTCAGCTTCTTTGTCCGAGTGGGAGCCAGAATTTTAAAATTGTTACAGGCTAAAATGGTAGAGTCCACCTGAGCTGGATGTGAAGGGGACAGGGAGAAGGAGCAAGAAGGGAAGTCATCCTTCCCCACAGGGCTCCATGTGCCTCTGGGTGCAACTTTGAACTTTGAACCTGAAACTTGCACTGCTCCCCTCCACTCCCTTCTCCACTTTCCCCCTCCTGCTCAGGCCCTGTGTATGTGGACTGCAGCTGGGGGTAAGGGACAGAGGCTGGTACTGGGGCACCAGAGGTCAAGGGGGAAGTGGGGTGTTGAGCAAGAGAGAGCTGTTCTTGTTTGGTACTGAGCAAAGCCTACATCCACAAGCAGTTTTCTGTCTTTCCAGATTCTTGAACTCTTCTGTGGGCAAGGAGTTCATGAACTCTTTAGAACTGGAAGCAACCTTAGAGCTTTTCTAGCTCCATGTTTGTAAACTTTTGTAAGCTATGGAACACTTACTTCAAATTGATGCAGGATTTTTGCTCCTTAGTTCAGCTAAATCCAGGTTCTTGTCTCACAACCAGGAAAAATTAGACATGCGGACACATTGAAGGGTGAGGCAGGCAGAATTTATTAAGCGAAAGGAAAACTCTCGGCAAAGAGAGGGTTTCTCCAAGCAGGTTTCCCTCTCACAGTTGAATACCAGGTCTACCGTGGATGAGCTGAAGAGGCCAGGCCCCTCCCCTGCATAAGGTGCAAATTCCTGGTGGATCCCCCCATTCCCCCAATGCACATGTGGGCATGCCCAGGCAAGCCATAGGTAGCATCGGAAAAGGCAACATTCGATTGGTTAAAAGGCATTATTCAGAAATAATCATAGTATCCCCAGGTCTAATGCAACCCTTGTCCCCCATTCTACAAATTAGGAGACTGAGGCCAACACAGTGAAGTGACTGGCCCAGTATCACACAGCATGTCACACAGGAAACCAGAAGAAGGGTTAGGCTTACAGGTGGCATGATGGAATTAGCAGTAGAATGCTGTCATGTTTCACCAAAAGCAAAGCTTTAGCCTCACTTAATGGAGAAGGGAATTGTAGACAGGGAAGTCAAGAGTCACACATTAATTGAAGCAGGCCGAAAAATGAGAGGGAGGTGGCTGCTGTGTTCATGCCAGAGAGAACACCTTTGAATGAATGACAGGAAGGTGCCCTTTCCAGGGACTGAGGCAGTCATGCCCAGGGCATATAGCTTGGCTGAGGGCACCCAGGATCCCAGCACCCATCCTGTGCCTCGTCCCCTCACCTGCAGGCCTTTATACTCCTAGCCATAGACAGTGGCCTGCACAGCACTACCAAGAACTACCGGGAGACAAGAAAGGGACACTCTCTAGAGAAGGCTTCAAGGAAAGCTTATGGCCAGGCCTGGTGGCTTGTGCCTGTAATCCTAACACTTTGGGAAGCCAAGGCAGGATGATGGCTGGAGCCCAGGAGTTCAAGACCAGCCTGGGTAACATAAGACCCTGTCTCTTAAAAAAAAAAAAAAAAAAAAAAAATGCTTACATCTGCATGAGCCTCCAATCTCCCTAGCATGTAGCCCTTCCATTATGCAACCTTTTCTCATCATATGGAAACCCATAAAAGAGGCCAAGCTACGCTTGGAGGCTGTCCATAGAGATCTGTTCTACTTCCTTGAGCTTAGCCCTACTAAGCTGCAGAAGGGTCAGGGCCAAAAACAGCCATGAAAATGATAGAGCGGGTCTTGATATGGCAAAGCTATCACACACTGGTATTTTAGATACAGATACAGGCACTCCCCCACCGCCCCCCACACACACACAATATGACGGTGAAGAAGGATTAAAATCCTGAATCCAGCCAGGCATGGTGGCTCACACCTGTAATCCCAGCAATTTGGGAGGCAGAGGCGGGCAGATCACTTGAGGTCCGGAGCTCAAGACCAACCTGGCCAACATGGTGAAATCCTGTCTCTACTAAGAATACAAAAATTAGCCAGGCGTGGTGGTACAGGCCTGTAATTCCAGATACTCAGGAGGCTGAGGCAGGAGAATCACTTGAACCTGGGAGGCGGAGGTCGCAGTGAGCTGAGATTGCGCCACTGCATTCCACCCTGGGTGACAGAGCGAGACTCTGCCTCAAAAAAAAAAAAAAAAAAAAAGCCGGGTGCGGTGGCTCACGCCTGCTGTAATCCCAGCATTTTCAGAGGCTGAAGTGGATGGATCACGAGGTCAGGAGTTCAAGACCAGCCTGGCCAAGATGGCAAAACCCCATCTCTACTAAAAATACAAAAATTAGCTGGGCACGGTGGCAGGTGCCTATAATCCCAGCTACTCGGGAGGCTGAGGCAGGAGAACCGCTTGAACCTAGTGGGCAGAGGTTGCAGTGAGCCGAGATCCCGCCATTGCACTCCAGCCTGGGTGACAGAGTGAGACTCTGTCTCAAAAAAAAAAAAAATCCTGAATCCCTGGATCATTTTCTTTTTTTGCATGTTGAAAACTGTATAAAAGAACTATCAGGAGAAGGAAACTAAATTGGAAATGTAGCTTCCTGGGTGGTTTTGTGAGTATGACCGCTGGCCTTGCCACTGCAGTGATTAACCCAAAATGCCTATGCTTGCAGATCGTGCCCGGGTGTTGGGAGGTCTCCCAGACGTGGTCACCATCCAGGAGGGGAAGGTAAGCATGAAGCCTGCCTGTGCCTGCTCCTTCTGCACTATGAACAGGTTCCAGCACCCCAGATTTTGTTCCTTCTTTTAAGGCACACTTAACAGCCCACCACCTTCATCGTACTCCATAGCTGCTTATACTTGACCAGAGTAACCAAACACAAGGTTAAAAATCAGTCAGTTTTCTGGCCAGGCACGATGGCTCACGCCTGTAATCCCAACACTGGGAGGCTGAGGCGGGCGGATCACCTGAGGTCAGCAGTTCAAGACCAGCCTGGCCAACATGGTGAAACCCCGTCTCTATTAAAAATACAAAAATTAGCTGGGTGTGGTGGCTGGTGCCTGTAATCCCAGCTATTTGGTAGGCTGAGGCAGGAGAGTTGCTTGAACCTGGGAGGTGGAGGTTACAGTGAGCCAAGATCATGCCACTGCACTCCAGCCCAGGCAACAGAGTGAGACTCCATCTCAAAAAAAATCAGTCGGTTTTCCAATCATCTTAACGTTTCATAGGTCAAGCATCGGCATAAAAGTTTGTCTCTAATAGACATATGTAGACCACTTAGTATCTTTGAAGAGTCACCCTTTAAAATTATGAGAAAATGAACATGTTCTGTGTTAACTCTATGACAAATAAAATTGAAGAAAGAAATTACCTCCAACAGAGTGGAATATGAAAATTTCTATAGGCTCTAGTTCTGTTGAAAACAGGCTTCTTTCTTTCTTTTTTTAATAATTTTTTTCCCCTGTGACAGAACTCCAGGGGCTCCTGAGAGCATGTGCCCCTAGGCCGGGCACAGTGGCTCACGCCTGTAATCTCAACACTTTGGGAGGCCAAGGCACGCAGATCACTTGAGCCCAGGAGTTTGAGACCAGCCTGGGCAACACGACGAAACCCCATCTCTACAAAAAATACAAAATTTAGCCAAATGTAGTGGTGCACACCTGTAGTCCCAGCTACTCGGGAGTCTGAGTGGGAGGACCGCTTGAGCCCAGGAGGCGGAGTTTGCAGTGAGCCAAGATCACTCCAGCCCGGGCGACAGACACCCTGTCATACAAACACACACACGTGCACACACACACACACACACACACACACACACACACACAAAGAACATGCACCTCTGGTTTCTTTCCATTTGGTTTTAAACTGATGTAACCTGTTTCTGTAATAATCTCTCCAAGAGATTACAACGTTGTAAATTTGGCATCAGGTAAATCACTGAAACTTGTCCCCAACAAGTACTGTGCATTTTCCGAAGAGCCCCTGTAAGATAAGATGCCAAATAAGGCCTTCCTTACTTTCATTTAACTAGATACAGTCTGAGCGAACCAACATAATTTCTAATCTGGATTCGCTTTTTTTATCTTTATGTTTCATTAAAAAGTTTACAGCCACTGGGTGCAGTGGCTCATGCCTGTAAACCAGCACTTTGGGAGGCCAAGGCAGGAGGATTGCTTACACCCAGGAGTTCAAACTAGCCTGGGCAACATAATGAGACCCCGACTCTACAAAAACAATTTTTAAAAGTCAGCTGGGTATGGTGGTGCACACCTGTAGTCTTAGCTACTCTGGAGGCTGAGATGGGAGGATCGCCTGAGCCCAGGAGGTCAAAGCTGCAGTGAGTCATGACACCATACCACTTCACTTCAGCCTGGACAACACAGTGAGACACTGTCTACAAAAAATAAATGGAAAATAAATTAAAACAAGTTTAACATACCAGTCCTAGGGGTAGAGATATTTGTAGTGGAACAAATTTTCCACTTCAAAGGGCAGTGAAGACATACAGTGGGTGACTGGAATTCGGGTAACAAAGCAAGGCATGTGGAAATGCTTTAGCAAGAGGTAGGTTTCATTCAACTGCATTTCCTCATGGTTGGAAAATATGATCACGGTTGATTTTAAGCTCAGCCACTGCAGGGGTTCTTTTGTTCCTCAACTGTCTTTTCCATTTTCCTCACCTAATAAGGTTAAAAATATACAACTCTCTAGGTCGTACTGAGAATTAAGAAAGAGAATGTATATGAAAGTACTTTGTAATGCAGAACCCAAATCTGAAGTGTGGATAAGAGTTTTCCATGATGCCTAAGGTGTTTGGGAGTTTTGTTTTTTCTTTTTCACATTTTTTTTTCCTAACCACTAGACTGTCAGGGGGTGTTTGGGACTTTGTTTCATTTTGTTAAAAGTTTTAACTACAAGTAATCACAGTTTCCAAAAGCATATACCTAATCTGCTCATTAAGTTTAAGGATAATAATTGGACTCCTCTTTTTTTGACTGAAATGTATTTGTAGGATAATTCAGTAAGAAATATTAATTAGTGATGGGAGAAAAACAGATTTCTTAATCTATCCAATTTTAAATGATATACCTGCAAAAGGGGTAACAAATAATCATGTAAGACCCTTTAGAAAGCTATGTAGATGGGTGTTCTTTCTCTGTACATTGTGAGCCCTAGTTCTTTCCTTATCACATCTGGATTTTAGTAAGAGAAAAATACAAGAATGGAATTTTAAAATGTGAAGTAAATTCAACATCATTAACCACCAGGCAAGTGAACATTAAAACCACAATGAAATATCACACCACACCTATCAGAATTGCTGTAATAAAGAATAGTAGCTGGGTGGGCTGGTGTACAACAACAAATGGTGGGGAGGCTGTGGAGAAACCGAATCACTTGTATATTCTGGTGGGAATGTAAGCCAAAATTGTATAGCCGCTCAGAAAAACCGTTTGGCAATTTCTGGGAAAAAAAAAGAAAACATGGGCTGGGTGTGGTGGCCCATGCCTGTAATCTCAGCACTTTGGGAGGCCACGATGGGAAGATTGCTTGAGACCAGGAGTTCAAGACCAGCCTGGTCAACATAATGAGACCCCATCTCTATTCTCTATTTTTTTAATTAAAAAAAATAAAGAAAAAATGAAACATGCATTTATCATACATTCCAGCAATTGTATCCCTGGGCATTTATCCCAGAGAAATGACAGCTTATGCTCACATAAAAACCTGTACACAAATGTTCATAGCAACTTAGTGCATCATAGTTAAAACTGGAAAAAGCTCAGATGACCCTTACGGGCATAAACATAGTATGACATTCTAGTCAGCAAGAACAAGGGATAAACTATCGATACATGCAGCATCTTGGATGAATCTGGATGTAATTATGCTGAGTTACAAAGGTTATTCTGAAAGGTTATACAGTGCATGATTCTATTTATATAATATCTTTGACCTGACAAAATTTTAGAAATGGAAAACAGATGAGTGGTTGCCAGAGATTAGGAACAGAGTTTGGAAGTTGGAGGAGAGGTGGGTGTGGGTATAAAAGGACAACGCAAGGGGTTCTTGTGGTGATGAAAATATTCTGTAAATTGAATAGAATGAAACACACACAAACACAAATAAGCACCAGTAAAATTAGAGAAATCTAAATAAGGTCGGTGGATTGCATCAATGTCAATATACTGGTTATGACATTCTACTATAGTTTTGTAAAATGTTACCACTGGGAAGCTGGGTAGACAGCATACCAGATCTCTTTATTATTTCTTATGGATTTCTTTATTATTTCTTACAACTGCATGTGAATTTACAATTATCTAAATCCTTTTCAATTAAAAAAAGTAAGGTAAAATAAAACTGTAGACCTTGTGTCTACATACATATCTAGAATATCGATCTTTTAGAATAAGGTTTCAGCACAGATGGGAATATTTTCTTTAGGAATACGTTTTGGTAGGGGACCACTGCAACTGCAGCAGATTGGATGGGCTTTGAGGAGAGAAGTAAAATAAGGGTGGTGGAATTTGAAAATCAGTAACATTATCTGAAGCAGCTGCCGTGATTCTGCTGCCCGGCTCTTTGATGCAAATGAAAGGCAAAAGTGAGCAGGTGGCAATTACAGCAATGAGATTCCTGTACCGAGACAGAACCCAAAATGCCACAATAGAGCAAAAGGCATCTATATGTTTATGAAAGAGAAAGTGAAAATGGGGAATAGACATAAACTCTTTCGTGTGTTTTTGATAATAAGCATTCCAGAAGCCAGAAAGCATATAAAGGCCTTGAGGAGCATTAAAAGGCCTTGAGGAGATCCCCTCACATGTTATTTCAAACTGTAACTCACACAGGTGCATACACAGAACTACTTTAAACCCTGGTCCGGGAGGCTTTTACTTATCCTCCCTTTGGTCATGCCAAGCCACCAGCCGGCAAGATTGTTGACAGTGTGTCTATTACATCTAATTTATCTTCTTCTCTCCCATAAAACCTGTCTTGCAGGCCCTTAATCTCACTTGCAACGTGTGGGGAGACCCGCCTCCGGAGGTGTCGTGGTTGAAGAACGAGAAGGCCCTGGCCTCAGACGACCACTGCAACCTCAAGTTCGAGGCTGGGAGGACCGCGTACTTCACCATCAACGGCGTGAGCACCGCTGACTCGGGCAAATACGGGCTGGTTGTGAAGAACAAGTATGGCTCGGAGACCAGCGACTTCACCGTCAGCGTGTTCATCCCAGAGGAGGAGGCGAGGATGGCCGCCTTGGAGTCCCTGAAAGGTGGCAAGAAGGCCAAGTGACCGGAGGTGCGAGGAGAGCCAGCCGGCCTGTGTGACTTGGGTGTGAATGGTTTGGGTTAAGGATGAGACGTCTTCATGCTTTCTCCTCCCTATTATTTTCTGGCTTGAGGGGAAAATAATGTCAGGTCTTTCACTCATATAAAAAAGCACCAACTAATGACACTTTAATTGTTTTTCTTTATCTACAAAATTATGTGTTAAGAAAATACCATTCATAGCATGAAGATTAGGAAACAGTTTTAAGGAGAAGACTTGAATGAAGTTGGAGGGACATTGAATGATGGTCAGAGGGCAGACGAATGTGTCGTGGGGCGAATTGGGATTTGCTGCAGCTGTGAAGCCATGGCCGTGTCTCGTGTGTTGTTACAGAGGTGATGTGCTTTTCGACGGGCGCCTCGTGGCTTGGAACCTCCTCTGTATGAATAAACAGTTTTCACGTCTGTCCTCTTCCCCGACACTGTTTCTCAAATTCCTGCTGTTTTGCTGCTAGGTTGGGTGGCTTCTTGGTGCTTCTTTCTCAACGCGTCTTGTGCCACATCTTCTGATTTAAATTCCTTTTGGTGAAAGCAGTACCTTGCAACATGATCAGATAAGTCGTTTGAGCTCAACGAGGTTCAGGGGTGTGAAATTACACGGCCACTGCACATCTGGTGGCTTACCACACAATCAAGCCAATTCCATTAATAAGATACACAAGGCAATTGAATGTAATGTGACAATTACATGTGATAAGATGGTGTGAGGCGCCTCCTGCCAGAACTGGAGACTAAGGGCCCACAGCTAAGAATAAAAGGTACATAAGAAGCCTCATTCTGAGCTCAGAGAACTGCCAGCTGTGGAAATTGCCACTCCCTGAGGGGTTTGCTGAGGGTCAGCATCCCAGCAGCAGCTGTTGTAGAAAGTTTTGTCCTCCCCAACCCCAGCACCACACACACACACACACACACACACACACACACACACACACATAACACACACCATTCTAGGAAAATCGTCATGGTGTTTTTTTCTGTTGGGTGCAGTATCTCACACCTGTAATCCCAGCACTTTGGAAGGCTGAGGCGGGAGGATTGCTTGAGTCTAGGAGTTCAAGACCAGCCTGGGCAACACAGCGAGACCCCTCTCTACAACAAATTTTAAAAATCAGCTGGGTGTGGTGGTGCCCACCTATAGTCACAGCTACTTGGGAAGCTGAGGTGGGAGGATCATTTGAGCCTGGGAGGTCAAGCCTGCAATGAGCCATGATGGCGCCACTGCACTCCAGCCTGGGCAACAGAACAAGACCATCTCATAAAAACAATTTTTTCCCCTTCTTTCTCCTGCCAAAGGTAGCGGATGAGACAAGAAATTTCCTTATACAGTTGGCAGGGGCTCCTACACACCCTCTCCTTTACAAGTTTAAGGCTGGAAATTGCTTCTCATCTGACTGTGGCCAATCCACTTGTCCAAACAAGTGCTGGATGCTGCTGCTATGACACTGAACACCAGGCAGGAGCCAGATGCTGTGTTCTCACTCCCAGATATGGCAAGGAGATGAGCTTCCCAAGGGTCAAGCGGACCCCATGGAAGGTGGCTGGCCATGAGCAGTCTGCGGTTCTGCCTGCCTCAGTAAGAGGGCTACATCTGAACAAGCTGACCCGGAAGGAAACTGCCAGTGGGTGGACACCTGCTGGGGAGCTAAAGATGGGAGGGTGGCGGGGTGGGGGTGGGGGTGGGAAAGGTTCAAGCGGCGGCAGACCTCCCATGCCAAGGGCCAAGGGCTGTGCAAGCGAGAGGCCCCTAAGACTCTCCGAAAAGCCCCCACCACACCCCTCAAAAAGCCAGCAACAGAGCTCCCAGTGTCAGAGAGGTGAGGTTTCTGCAAGCAGCACCTCCCACCCCTTCCCTAATTTCCACCTGCTGGATCCCAGACTGGGGAGAAAGCAAGACGGGTGTTGAATCAGGTGGAAACAAAATTTTAAAACAGTGTATTCCAAATTCTGAAATTGTGCAAAAATGTATGAAATCAAAGTGTGCCCTAAGACCCCTGCGCCCAGCAGAGGGGTTTGCTGGGACACAGCAGCAGTGAGTTGGGGAGATGGCTTTTGTGTTCGGAGCTCCATACGCTGAGATTGCTCAACAAAACAGCTATAAGAATTATTTCAGCCATTATTATGACCAAACTAAACCAGTGACCTCAAGATTTAATAGCTTAGGTAAAAAGCTGCTATTTCTACAGGGGAAAATAGAACTGAAACTATAGATCCATCACTTTAATGGTGCCGAAGATACTTTGTAACACATAAAAATTTATGAATCTGTGACCTGGTAAATGTGAAGTAGTGGTACTTAAAGGATCAACTTGGAACACAGAAAAGACCATTCAGAGTTTACTTCAGTTTTATAAAATTAATATATAGGCTGGGGTGCAGTGGCTCACGCCTGTAATCCCAGCACTTCGGGAGGCCGAGGCGGGCGGATCACCTGAGGTCGGGAGTTTGAGACCAGCCTGGCCAGCATGGAGAAACTCCATCTCTACTAAAAATACAAAACTAGCCGGGCGTGGTGGCACATGCCTGTAATCCCAGCTACTCAGGAGGCTGAGGCAGGAGAATTGCTTGAACCCAGGAGGCGGAGGTTGTGGCGAGCCGAGATCTCACCATTGCACTCCAGCCTGGGCAACAAGAGCGAAACTCCATCACAAAAAAATTAAAAAAATAAAAAAATTAATATATATATATATATATAATAGTCAAGTGACACATTTTAAAACCTAGATCTTCCTAAATTCTTGAAGTTCAACTTTAAAACATTATTTTTCCATTTAAAAATCTGACTATTGAAGAACATTAAGTTTAAGGCTGCTTTTTATAGCATAACTTAATTCCCTTTAATTTGTTAAGCTTTATTTATAAATTAATATATTTTCTCTCCACTTTAAGGACTACTATTGTCTGACTTAAACAAAACTGTCTCAAGAACTTAAATAACTTTATCTACTAAACTAAGTATATAAATACAGAAAATTTGGAGTTTTCATAAATATTCTCATATTGTATATAAACCTAGTAAGATGAACATAAAATCACAGTCAATTAAACATTTTACATTGGAATCACAAAGCTGGAGGCTGGGTGCAGTGGCTTACACCTGTAATCCCAGCACTTTGGGAAGCCCAGGCAGGAGGATCACTCGAGCCCAGGAGTTTGAGACTAGCCTGGAGAACATGGTGAAAGCCCATCTCTACAAAAAATCCAAAATTAGCTGGGGGTGGTGGCACGAGCCTGTAGTTCCAGCTACTCGGGAGGCTGAAGCAGGAGGATCGCTTGAGCCTGGGAGGTCAAGGCTGCAGTGAGCTGTGATTGCACCACTGCACTCCAGCCTGGAAGACAGAGTGATACTCTGTCAAAAAAAAAAAAAAAAAATTGGACTTAGTCACTAGGCTAAGACATTTCAAGTACATGAAAATCAAATATGCACAGCCTACATAATGCAGAAATACTAATTTTTGCCTAGATATAGCCTCTAAGATCTGGGACTGGAGTTTTAATACACATGCCAGAATGAGAGATGTAGACCTGGATTGTTCAAGGTAGTGAGTTGGTACCCAAGATGCCTGCACAAATCTGAGATGCACAAAGAGTGGCTTAGTCAAAACAAAAATGGGAATAGTAAAAATATCACCAACTGACATAGAGAAGCTATACAGAAGCTTTCCATCTGCCTGGGGGCGGTTCTGGATGGAAGAAAATTTAATGGATTCCTCAAACTAGTACTGCATGTTTGTGGGGTGCAAATTTACAGCACCACATGGTAACAATCTCAAGCCAAGAATTCCCATAAAAATGGTCGAGGTCCGGGGCCTCAGGGAAGCAAATGCAAAACTACGCTAGACGGGATTCTCTGTCTGCCCACAAAGGATTACTGTTATGGAAATTGTCCTCCCACCATGAACAACTAGAAAAACAGGCAAAATATCAAAACATATGGAAAAATAACCGTTTAGGGCATTGGCCAGCAGATGTGCAGGCCCAAGATGCCTGAGAGAAGGGGAAAGTGATGAGACACCTGTGATTGCTCCAGCTTCTTCTTGCCTAGACAGAGTGCTCAGGCTGCAGCCCAGCAGGGGGAGCCTGTCAGTCTCATTGAATTGAGGGGACAGAGACTGAGGTTCAATGAGGCGGGGTCGTCTAAAATGTATGAGAAAGAATAAGAGAGAGAGGAGAGTTGCACGAAGACAGGGTGCTGGAGGCTGCACATGCTCTTTGGCTGAGTACTATTCAGCAAATGCACGGGAGAAAGAAATCTGGAAAGCCTCAGGCCAAGCAATTCTTGGAGCTCACGCGGGCTGGAAACAGAGTCCGTGTCCACCAGCCGGAATGAAAAGACTTTGTAATACGTGGGCCTCGGGTAGAGTCCTCAGAAGTTTCTCCTCCATAGTGGGGCACTACTAAGGTGAGAAATTAATCCTGGATTAAAAACTCCTCTGGCCCCACCCTAACAGAGCTTAAAAGCAAGCCTCAAGAGGATCAAATATCTACAACAAATCGAGTGTCAGAACAAGGTGCAGCGCATTTTAAATGAACACACTGGCACGGTCTCAGGTGTTCATTAGTTCTGTTCTGTGGGCCTGCTTCACATACCCACAGCAAGATGTTTAGATAAAATACTAATACATCAGTTATATGGAGGATTACAAACTGGATACATAGTGACCATCACATCACAGCCTCAAATATTTGCATTTTGACCTCTACCTTGGGCTTTAGAGATAAGATTATGTTTAAAAAACAGTCTTAAGTTATTTAAATTGCTTCTGAAGAATCAACTGATATATGTAAATGAAAATCTCAATCTCTAAAATGCACACCAAAGTTTCCAAAATTACTTAGCTCATACTTACTAACATCTAAGTGCATTTTTTACTTTTTTTAGAACATGCTTTAATTGTAGCCCAGCATCAAGAAGGCATAGTAGACTTGTCACAAAGCTCAGACACACACACTGTGGTTACTCAGACAGTCCATACTCCCTGCTACTCACTTTTGAGGATGAATATTTACATTCCAAATGATACACAACTAAGTTTAATTTAAAACACTTTGGAAACAAAATAGGCACTGTTTGCAATAAATTATGAAGGTAATGCTCGCCTCCCCTGGGGTTGAGTTTCTACAGTTTCCTTCTGTGGTTTCTTTCCTCTCGTTTCTGGTTTTAGAAGGTTAAGGGCATAACCTATCAGGCCGGGACTTCAGCCTGAGGCGTTACTAGTGCCCATGGTATCACACAAAAGCCACCCACTCTGCTTGCTAAGAGCTGGTTCTAAGCCGGGAGAAAAGGTGTTACATTGCTGAGCCAAACTGAAGCCAAGTGTTTCCTTTCAGAGACGAGGGGGACGTGTCCCAGAATCAGAGAGTGTTTTATTACATTGACTCTATTTTGGTTGTTCCAGGGCTCATCTTAGTTATCTAAATGTCCCTACTGAATGCACCCATAGTTGCCCACAGGAAGCCTCTCCAAGGAGACCCCCATGCCAACTGCAGTACATATGTGAATGCTCCCTCCATTTCCTTGTTCTTTACAGCTTAATATTCCCGGCTAGAAAGAGCTAACCAGTTCTCGGAACCCTCTTTGCTCACAGGCTTCTGTCAGTACAGGCACCTCTGGTTCATAAGCTTCCCACGCAGTCCGGAGACATTCTCCAGAATTTCACGAGAAGCGTGTGTCTTCCTTACACACTCAAAACCAGGAGCTGAATTGCAAGGAGGCATTTGGCTTCATGAAAGTGAAGACTGTGCAGAGAAAGAAGAGAAGCAACTCGTTGCGGGGGCAGAATCGAGAAATCTGAAATCCTCCTCTCAGGTGAAAGTTTCAGCAGCACTGAAGTACAGATGAAAAAATAATGAAAATGAAACCAATTCCTTGTTTTCATCTCAAAACAGAAAGAAAAAACAATTACCTCTACGTCATTCTATTAAAAACACGGGGCATTGCCTGGGCACGGTGGCTCACACCTATAATCCCAGCACTTCAGGAGGCCAGGAATTTGAGACCAGCCTGGGCAACACAGAGAGTCCCCGTCTCTACCAAAAACAAAAAATAAAAATAAATTAGCTGAGCATGGTGGCACATGACTGTAGTCCTAGCTACTTGGGAGGCTGAGATGGGTGGATGCTTGAGCCCAGGAGCTCGAGGCTGCAGAGAGCCATGATCGTGCCACCACTCTCCAGGCAGGGCAACAGCAAGACTCTGTCTCCAAAAAAGACAAACCATAAGATACCATTTCTTCCATTCATTCATTCATTCAACAAATATTTACTTGGTGTGGGTCAGGCCCTGTTCCCCCAGGCCCTTCTGACCTGCCATGGTAGAAAGCCCTCTGTCCCTAAAATTCCTGCCTTTTTGCCAGGTTTATGTCCAGCACAAGTGGAAAATCACCAACAGCTTTGACCTCTGAACAGACACTGCCGGAAGTCATGGAAGTGAACTGGGGTGAAGAATTGGTTTTTTCCATCTCACTCAAGTGTGGCAGGACAGTTGCTCTGTAGCACCGGCGGCCAGGAAGTGAGGGGGAAGAGGCAGGAAATGTGTATTGGCTTCTACACATAAACTTCGTATCTATAAAGAATGAGACTATTTTGTTTAAACGTTTTTAGTTGGAATGTTTCTCAATTTTGTATTTCTTGAGGCTCTTAATTTTGTTTCTTATCTGGGCTGCATTATGGTGGTTAACATTTCAAAAAGTGGTTGAGCATTTCTAACGCTGTGTAAAAAAAGATTGTTGCCTTTAAATACAAGGCAGCAAAGAAAAAGAAAAGCTGTAAGTAAAAATATAGGCCAGGCACCGTGGCTCACGCCTATAATCCCAGCACTTTGGGAAGCCGAGGTGGGTGGATCACCTGAGGTCAGGAGTTTGAGACCAGCCTGGCTAACATGGGGAAACTTTATCTCTACTAAAAATACAAAAATCGTCTGGGCGTGGTGGTGCACGCCTGTAATCCCAGCTACTTGGGAGGCTGAGGCAGGAGAATCATCTGAATCCAGGAGGTAGAGGTTGCAGTGAGCTGAGATTGCGCCACTGCACTCCAGCCTGGGCAACAGAGCGAGATTCCTTCTCAAAGAAAACATAAAAATATAAAAACATAATGATAATGAGAAGCCATTTTAGCTAGAGTAATAGAAAAAATTCATTTGCATTTTAAAATATGGTCATGCTAAAATCACTTTAGCTTTTAAATAGACACTTTGATGTCCCTGGTTCTACTAGAACCTGTCAGTGACATTTGAACAACTTTTATGAAGTAGAAGCAGATTGATCTCCTGCATAGCTAAGGTTCAGAGACAATTTGTCTCATTTTCACTCTATTTTGATAATACAAAACTAAAATAATGAGGAAATGTATCACCATAAGGCAGAGGTTATTAAGTGTTCAGACCTTTGTTGATAAATAATTTAAAGCAAAATAAGTCCAAAGACTAGGGGAAGTTAAAAAAAAAAAAACCCACATGTCACTTCAAATGTTTATTATAGTGGTATGCTGTAGAGTTATTGTTGTAAAGTATTGTTACTGTGTTATTTGTGTATTATATAGAGATATATAGAGATACAGTTGTTTATTATTGTTATAGTAATATTATCTTGTTTTATGGTTGTATATTATAGAGCTACAAACATAATAAAAATTAGAAAACTTGAAAGAAATTGTATAAAGGCCTTAATTCAGTGAGACGATTGGAACTGCTCTCATTTCTGTGGTAGCCACAGTAACAGAAATTCAGCGTGTCCTTTGTCAACACAGGAAGTTTGTTACAAAGACATCATTCAAAACAAGAGTCAAATTCTGGGAACTCCCTTTAAAATGAAAAGGGAAAAAAAATCAGAAAGAATTTACTTTTATAGCCTTTAAAGTACTTTTTGTAGAGATTAGGCTAGTCACTGCAAAATAAATAAATAAATAAATTCTAATTCAATTCACTTCTTCTATGGACCGCTTGCATGAGTCCTTGAAAATTACACACCCTTAGAGCATGATATTTTCTTTTGCCGGAGGTATTCATTGGCCTGTATAAAGGTATGCATTAGTTACGTGCCTCCTCTGCCCCACAAGGCAGGCTTTTGAAGCATTAACATTTTTGTTGTTTTTCTCTTTTGTGGGGTGGGGGTGTTGTTGTTGTTGTTTTGAGACAAGGTCTCCCTGTGTCACCCAGGCTGGAGTGCAGTGGCTCACTGCAGCCTTGAACTCCTGGGCTCAATTGATCCTCCCAACTCAGCCTCCCAAGTAGCTGGAACTACAGGTGCAGGCCACCACACCTGTCTAATTTTTGTATTTTTTGTAGAGATAGGGTTTTGCTGTGTTGCCCAGACTAATCTCGAACTCCTGGGCTCAGGTGATTCACCTGCCTTGGCCTTGAAAGTGCTGAGATTACAGGTGTGCCTGGCCTTGAAGCATTTACTCTGGGGAGCTGAAAAAATTCTGCTAAGCACATTATGTCTTAAAATTAGTCAAGTATTGATCATGGATTTGGGGAACTTCTCGATACTTGACTTTAGGTGTAAAATATATGCCAGTTTTGTTGCTATTGTTATCATTCACTTATTCCTTCAACAAATGTTTACTGAGCAATGTCTGTGAGAAAACAAAGATGAATCAGATGGAGATTCGCCCTCAGGATGTTTACTGCTAACTGATGTGTTAGCAGTACCAGAATGTGAACAACCACAGTATAAGCAACGTGTTCATAGGGAAGAGACAGACAGCATGCTATCCTCTGAGTTCAAGGAGAGTGCGATGCTTGCTGTGCAGTGAGGTTAGGGTACAGGGGAAGGTGGATTACAGGAATCAGAAAAGGTTTTGTGGACACAGAAGCATTTACTCTGTGTTTTGATGAGCAGGAGGGTTTTAGCCAGTTTCAAGACTGAAGGGAAGAGTATTTATGTTAAAGAAATCCCTCGGCTGGCTGGGCGCAGTGGCTCACACCTGTTAATCCCAGCACTTTGGGAGGCCAAGGTAGGCAGATCACTTGAGGTCAGGAGTTCCAGACCAGCCTGGCCAACATGGTGAAACCACATCTCTACTAAAAATACAAAAATTAGCCAGGCGTGGTGCACACAACTGTAGTCCCAGTTATTTGAGAGACTGAGGCAGGAGACTCGCTTGAACCTGGGAGGCAGAGGTTGCAGTGAGCCGAGATCGCACCACTGCACTCCAGCCTGGGAGATAAGAGCAAAACTCCATCTCCAAAAAAAAAAAAAAATCCCTCGGTACCACGAAGGCATCCCCAGAGCAGACAGGTATACACAGGTGTGAGCTTCAATATCTACTCCCAGACAAAAAAGGCATTGGCCAAACTCATTCTGTCTTTATTACAGGCTGAATTGTGTCCTTCAAAATTCATATGTTGAAGCCCCAACCCCCAGTACCTTAATATGTGACTGTATTTGGAGGTTATGTCTTTAAAGAGGTAATTGAGTTACAATGAGGTCACTGTAGTGAGCTCTAACCCAAAATGACTGCTGTCCTTGTGAGAAGTTTAGGACACAGACTCAAAGGGAAGACCACGTGGAGAAGCAGGGAAAATGTGGCCATGTGCAAGCCGAGGAGGGAGGCCCTGGGAGAAGCCAACCCCACAAACATCTTGATCTCAGACGGTAATACATGTCTGTTGCTTAAGCCACATAGTCTGTGATCCTTCGTTATGTGGCAGCACCAGCAAACTAACACAGTCCCCATGGAGGCTTCAGACATTCTCCTGGTTTGAACTTGGTTTGGTTTCCGGGCCCCCCACCTTGCTCCAGCTTACAACTCAGCCCAGCAAGGCTGGTGGACTGCTGTGATGGGCCATCTCACCAGCAGGTCCTGACCCACAAGGTGTGCAGGTAGCAGAAACCAAATACAACAAATAAGGCAACAAGAAACACCTCTCCAACACCTACTAGTCCTAGAGCCTTGTGATTGGCACTGGGTCATTGATGTTTACGCTGCCTCTATTCATAAGTACTTATAATGTGCCAGCTCCTGTCCTAAGCCGTTTACTCACTGAATCCTTTCTATAAGCATGTAGGGGAGATACTATTATTGGGCTGCTTTTCCACATGAGGAATCTAAGGAACCAAGAGGGTTCCTTTTGTCCAAGACCACACAGCTAGTAAGTGGTCTGGGATTTGAGCCTCGGCATTTCGGCTCCAGACTTCATTTTCTTAACAGTTAGTTATACCCAGCTGCCTCTGGATAGAAATATTTTCACAGTCTTTAAGATATGCCAGGAGCATACTTCGCAGGGTCACATGTAAGGGAGGGGTGACCTCTGGGTATTACTGCAGGTTGAGCTACCTCCGTCATAGGACCTCCACAAACCCACACGCTCCAAACACACAACCATGCAAGATCAAATATAACAGGACTGTCTTTAGTACATTTAGAGCATGGAAGGAGAAAGAGAAACCTCTTGAATGCACAATTGTTCAGGGAAAAGACATTATTTACTTCACTGCTGATGGTCTAGGGCTTAGAATCATGCCTGGCACATTAGTAAGCATTTGATAAATATCTATTGAATGAAAAAAATTGGGGGTAGAAATGAACAAAATAGTGCGCAAGTAGTGTGCAAGTGTAAAAGTGAATGGATAAAGAGGGTGTTGGAACTCAAACTTCAGGAGTGTGGAGCTGGGGTCTTGTTCATACATCAAATGATCATAGATCAAATACATAGTGTTCACTCATGTCAAAAGATGAAGCTGGCCGGGCGCGGTGGCTCAAGTCTGTAATTCCAGCACTTTGGGGAGCCAAGGCAGGCGGATCACAAGGTCAGGAGATCAAGACCATCCTGGCTAACACGGTGGAATCCTGTCTCTATTTAAAAAAAAACAACAACAAAAAAAAAATTAGCCGGGTGTGGTACCTGGCACCTGTAGTCCCAGCTGCTCAGGAGGCTGAGGCAGGAAAATGGCGTGAACCCAGGAGGCGGAGCTTGCAGTGAGCCGAGACAGCACCACTGCACCCCAGCCTGGGCGACAGAGTGAGACTCCATCTCAAAAAAAAAAAAGAAAAAAAGAAAAAAAAGATGAAGCCACAAACCTGTGTGAGGAGAGTTCCCTGTATAAAGCCAAGGAATTGTCCTATCTGTGAAACTGAGACCAGAACATTCTAACTGGACAAGCAGTCCTGAGAAGCCTCAGCCAGCTGACCAGCTCCTCCTGTAACTTCTTGTAACTATACAACCCGAGGAATGTGGCTCCTGAGAGAAAATTGGTGGAAAATACCTACTACAGATGAGCTCATAGGTAAAAATTTAAAACCATCTGGGAAAGGAAGTAGCACAAGGAAGAATCACAAAAGAGATCATTCCCATCCAAGAACTAGAGTTAATGAATGGGAATGATCCGTTAACTCATGGACTCCTCCGGAGTCCCCAAAGTCCATTATGTCATTCTTATGCCTTTGCGTCCTCATAGCTTAGCTCCCAAAAATAATCGTGTTTAAAATATTGAAGGAAAAAATATAACCTATAGGGCGGGAACAGTATATTATTAGGGGAAAAAAGCTAAATGACTGGAAAATAACGTATAGAAATCCTACACTGAAAAATATATGAATTAATTTTTTTTAATTTAATGGATGGTACGGGAGCAATCTGCCCTTCATTCTTGCCCACTCTTCACAAAGTTGGACTTCAATGGGCCAGAAGAGTGCCACTTTGGCAGGGGTATCAGAGGTCTACCCTGTCAACCGTGGGAGGTGGATAGATTAGGGGATGGTGGCTAGATTATCATTTTATTACAGTGTCAGGAACTATCTCAAAAGGAGCATTTAAAACAGCTGGCTATGAAATGATGTCAACATACTATTTGTAACTCTATTGCTGTTCCTCTCAACTTTAATCCTGCTTCAGTTTTGGATAGATGCCCAAGAATATGCTTTTATTTATTTATTTATTGAGACAGGGTTTTTATTCCCTGACTTCGAGAAAAAATAAAAATAAGTCAGGGTTTTTCTCTGTCACCCAGGCTGGAGTGCAGTGGTGTAATCATAGCTCACTGCAGCCTCAAACTCCTGGGCTTGAGAAATCCTCCTGCCTTAGCCTCCAGAGTAGCTGGGACTACAAGCATGCACCTCCATGTCCAGGTAATATTTTCTTTTCTTATTTTTGTAAAGACAGGGTCTCGCTATGTTCCCCAAGCTGGTCTTGCACTCCTGGCCTCAAGCAATCCTCCCACCTTGCCTTCTCAAAGTGCTGAGATTATAGGTGTGAGCCAGCATACCTGAGCCAAACATATTCTTTACTGGAAAATAATTAAATCATGAGTCAACCAACAAACAGTCTTCATTGCACAGCATCACTTATTTCTTCAAAAAATATTTATTGGCTGGGCGAGGTGGCTCACACTTGTAATCCTAGCACTTTGGGAGGCTGGAGATGGGTGGATCACCTGAGTTCAGGAGTTCAAGACCAGCCTGGACAACATGATGAAACCTCGTCTCTACTAAAAATACAAAAAAAAAAAAAAATTAGCCAGACGTGGTGGCATGTGCCTATAGTCCCAGCTACTTGGGAAGCTGAGGCAGGAGAATCACTTGAATCCAGGAGGCAGAGGTTGCAATGAGCCAAGATCGTGCCACTGCACTCCAGCCTGGGTGACAGAGGGAAACCTTGTCTCAAAAAAAAAATTTTCTTTGAGTGCCTACTGAGAGTAGGATACTGTGTTGAATATGTTAGAGTGAAGAGCTGTGAAGACGTGACCCGACAATGAGTGGTAGAGACGATGAATGGTATAGATGATGAATGGTACAGATGATGAATGGTAGGCTTGAACTGGTTTACATAGGATGATCCAGGCAGAGGGCACAGCAAGTGCAAAGGCCCAGGGGCATATCTGCCCTTCACATGTTTGAATAACAGCAAGTTGGTCAGTATGCCTGGAATGTAGGCACAAGGTCAGAAAGGGAAGCAGGGGTCAGATCTTGTGGGGCCACGTAGAGTGAGGTAAGGAATTTCGACTTTATTCTAAATCCAGTGGGAATCCACTGGAGGGTTTTAAGCGAGGAACATGGGTTCAATAACTTTTTTAAAAGATCACTCTGGGCCGGGCGTGGTGGCTCATGCCTGTAATCCCAGCATTTTGGGAGGCTGAGGCGGGTGGATCACGAGGTCAGGAGATCGAGACCATCCTGGCTAACAAGGTGAAACCCCGTCTCTACTAAAAATACAAAAAATTAGCCGGGCGCGGTGGCGGGCGCCTGTAGTCCCAGCTACTCGGGAGGCTGAGGCCGGAGAATGGTTTGAACCCGGGAGGCAGAGCTTGCAGTGAGCCGAGATCGCGCCACTGCACTCCAGCCTGGGAGACAGTGAGATTCTGTCTCAAAAAAAAAAAAAAAAGAAAGGATCACTCTGGGTGCTTAGTTGGAGAATGGATTGAAGAAGGACAAAAATGAAAGGGGAAACGGTCAAGTTGCTCTTCCACTGTTCAGAATAAAATTGAGGACAGCTTAGACTAAAGCTAGCAGTAGAGATGCAGAGAGGCTGACAGATTCGAGGTATAACTTCAGGGTAAAGTTCTGTTGATGCCCTGGATATAGGGAATGAGGAAGAGAAGGAAGAGCCACAGATAACCTGGAGACTTTTAGCCTATCGGCTGGAAGGGGCTGGGCACCACTACTTGAGATATGAAAAAATGCGGAGAAAGAGTTTTGGAGGAAAATCAAGCCTCCCATATTGGGCATGTTAATTTTGAGACACCTGTTAGACCTACAAATGGATATGACAAGGAAGAAGCTGGATAAGTAAGTCTGTGATTCAGGGGAGAGATCATGGGAGAGATGGAGATTTAAGAGTCACTGGACTACAGATGCTCCTGAAATCCATGGGTTTCCAAGACAGGACCACTTCTGGAAAGAGGGAAGGAAGGAAAAGAGAGCCCTGGTGCACGCCAACATTTAGAGTTCTAGAAGAGGACAGGAACCAGCAAAGACAACTAAGAAGAAGAAACTTGGGAGGCAGAAGAAGGACCAGGGAGTGTCAGGGAGGTGAAAGAGAAGAGCATGTGTCCCCCAGATAGAATGGTCAGCTGTGTCCAGTAAGGATGAAGTTGTCATAGAGTTTAGTTTTTGTGACAGAAGCCTTGGAGTGAATTTGAAAGAAAATGGAGGTTGAAAAAAATGGGACACAAGGCTGGGCGTCGTGGCTCACGCCTGTAATCTCAGCACTTTGGGAGGCCGAGGCAAGTGGGTCGCCTGAGGTCAGAAGTTCACAACCTAGTCTGGCCAACATGGCCAAACCCCGTCTCTACTAAAAATACAAAAATTAGCCGGCTGTGGTGGTGAGCGCCTGTAACCCCAGCTACTTGGGAGGCTGAGGCAGGAGAATCACTTGAACCCGGGACACAGAGGTTTCAGTGAGCCAAGGTCGCACCATTGCACTCCAGCCTGGGCAACAAGAGCAAAACTCCATCTCAAAAAAAAAAAAAAGAAAAAAAAGAAAGAAAGGAAAAATGGGACACAGAGCACAGATAATGATTTCCAGTAGTTTTTTTTTGACTGGGGAGTAAAGAAATGAGATGGTAGCTGAAGGGAACTCAGTGTAGGGTGGGGGACTTTAGGATGACAGGTGATAGATTAGAAGATGCTGATGAGACTGACTGAGGAAGAGGGAGGAGGGGACAATGCAGACAGATCTCAGGAGACAAGAAAGGGTGACATTCAGAGGACAGGTGGGGTTCATCTGTGCTTGGGTGAGGACACTTACCCTCTACCTTCATAGGACAGGAGGCAAGAACATGAGCACAGATACAGGTGGTTAATGGTGAGATGATGAGGACGTTCCTTTCTGTTTCCATATTCTTAAGGAATTATGAGGCCACGTCATCAGTTGAGAGTGAATAATTAAGAGGAAGATGGAAAATGAGGTAAGTGGAGAGAGGAAAAGGCATGATATAAATATCTTAGAGAGCAGGGGGATGTGAGAGGTTTCCAGGAAGTGCCAGAGTCCATTTGAAATCTATGTTTCACATTAGTGGCACCATTGTGCAATTATCTGCAACATTCATTTGCACAAGTGTGGTTATGCTGAAGGACGGGGCTGTGTCAGGTAGGTAAACAAATGGAGAGAGAACAAAGGAACAAAGTCGGGGTGGTTTTTTTTTTTTTTTTGATACAGAGTCTTGCCCTGTCACCCAGGCTGGAGTGCAGTGGCAGGATCTTGGCTCATTGCAACCTCCACCTCCGGGGTTCAAGCAATTCTTGTGCCTCAACCTCCCAAGTAGCTGGACTACAGGCACACGTCACCAAAACCAGCTAATCTTTGTATTTTTTTAGAAGACATGGGGTTTCGCCTGTTGGCCAGGCTGGTCTTAAACTCCTGATCTCAAGTGATCTGCCCACCTCGGCCTCCCGAAGTGCTGGGATTATAGGTATGAGTCACTGTGTCTGGCCAAGGGTGGTTCTCAAGGAAGTGATTATAGTGTTGGACCTTGGAGTCTAAGGCTGGGTAAGAAGAATCAGAAGAACATTTGATAAATGATGCTCAATAAACTGGTAGTCCCGATGAGAGAGGAATATTTGGAATTTAAGCTTTTGGGTAAGCAGGCCAGAGGATATTATGGTCAGACAGTGGAATGCTTAAGTTTGAGATTTCAAAGACTATTTTCCCCACTAACCTCTCTTTATTAGTAGGCAGAGTAGTTAATAATCCATGAAATGAGATTCCAGAAATAGAAAAAAAAGGTGCATTGTCCTCACCTCACCCAAAATATATATCCCCTTATTTCCTCTCAGTGGGCTGAAATTGCATAATAAGAAAGCCATTCGCCCTTCATCAAGTTACTTCCTATGACTTATGCCAACAGGGCACTGCATCTACTCCTTCTGCTAGCGAGTATGAATAAAGCCCCTCTCGGCCCAAAGTCTCATGCGATCAAGTCACCCATGCACAGCACTGGGCAGGACCGATGCTGCTCCCAACTTCACGCAGTGAGCATCTTCCCTGCTTCACGTTTCTGTGAGAATTAATTTATCAGATTACTTCCAGAGAATGAGTTTTTATGTGATAAAGAGAAGAGAAGGCACCTGTAATCCCAGCACCTGGGGAGGTCAAGTCGGGAGGACTGCTTGACCCCAGGAGTTCAAGAGACCAGCACTGACAACAAAACAAGACCTTATCTCTACAAAAAATTTTAAAATTAGCTGGGCATGTTGGCATGCACCTGTGGCCCCAGCTACCCTGGAGGCTGAGGCAGGAGGATCACTTGAGCCCCGGATTTTTTTTTTTTTTTGACAGAAACAGATCTTATAGCTTTATAAGATTCTTCATTTGCCAGTTTGCAGATAATCTCTCCCTGTTTAGACTACCAGTTCCTTGATTACTTATTTCATTGCCCTAAACAGTTGTTTAGCTAGGTAACCCTAAATTGCAAACATTACTCTTAGGTGAAAATTGATACCCCCAGAGGCATAGAACGTATATCTATATACCATTATTTGCTGAAACAAAAAGAATCAGTCAAGATAAGATTGCCAGGAAAAGTATCTTTAAACATAGGTAAGGTTTGTTACGTAAACTTTAAGCCAGTGTCTTTCCCATTGTAAAGATTTCTAGCTGCTTTGGTATAGGGGGATGTCCTTACAAATGG
This sequence comes from Homo sapiens, assembly GCF_000001405.40. NCBI lineage: Eukaryota > Metazoa > Chordata > Mammalia > Primates > Hominidae > Homo > Homo sapiens. The sequence goes on along the minus strand of NC_000018.10, from coordinate 3,050,661 downwards.
AGATTTCCTTTATAGAAGTAAATTTATTTTACATAGAGTTTCAAAGTAGCCCGCTAAGTGCTAGAAAGTTGTATTTTGGAGACTAATCTTGTTAGATACTTAGTTCGTTTCTTGATTACATTACTGACTTCAAAGTGGAGCCCTTTCATGAATGGGACCAGGAAAGTATTTGCAGTTTCCAGGGCCTAATACATATATATTTTAAAAATTTCTTTCTTTCTCTCTCTTTTTTTAAATTTTTTTAGTATTTATTGATCATTCTTGGGTGTTTCTCGGAGAGGGGGATTTGGCAGGGTCATGGGACAATAGTGGAGGGAAGGTCAGCAGATAAACATGTGAACAAAGGTCTCTGGTTTTCCTAGGCAGAGGACCCTGCGGCCTTCCGCAGTGTTTGTGTCCCTGGGTACTTGAGATTAGGGAGTGGTGATGACTCTTAACCAGCATGCTGCCTTCAAGCATCTGTTTAACAAAGCACATCTTGCACCGCCCTTAATCCATTTAACCCTGAGTGGACACAGCACATGTTTCAGAGAGCAGGGGGTTGGGGGTAAGGCTATAGATTAACAGCATCCCAAGGCAGAAGAATTTTTCTTAGTACAGAACAAAATGGAGTCTCCTATGTCTACTTCTTTCTACACAGACACAGTAACAATCTGATCTCTCTTTCTTTTCCCCACATTTCCCCCTTTTCTATTCGACAAAACCACCATCGTCATCATGGCCCGTTCTCAATGAGCTGTTGGGTACACCTCCCAGACGGGGTGGTGGCCGGGCAGAGGGGCTCCTCACTTCCCAGACGGGGTGGCCAGGCAGAGGCGCCCCCCACCTCCCGGACAGGGTGGCTGGCCGGGCAGGGGATGCCCCCCACCTCCAGGAGAGCCCCGGATTTTGAGGTTATAGTGAGCTATGATCGCATCACTGCACTCCATCCTGGGCAACAGAGCTAAATCCTGTCTGTTAAAAATAAGTAAATAATACAAAATAAAGAGCAGAGAAGGTTTGGGCCTTCACAATTTGCTTTGTGCTGGCATTGTTTTTCTAAAGGTAGAGCAAAACTGCAAGTTTTATAAAAGGGACTAAAAAGCAGAAATATGTAACAAAAATCTTAAAATTATATATCCTTAGACACAGAAATTCTGCATTAAATAATTTTACCATAAGAAAATAGATAATGGACTAAGATGTTTGAATAAGAATGTTCACCACAATATTATTTACACATCAAATCACACTCAAAGCATTTCAACGCTAAAGAATGAGACCTCATCTCTATTTTTTAAAAAGTTAATCCTAAAAAATAGGAGATTTAAAAAAAAACAAAAAACCTGTGGTAATCCACAGAGGAAATGCTATGTAGCTGACAAAATGTTAATTGATATATTGCTTAACTGGTAAAGAAAGTTTATTTTCTTTTCTTCAACTTAAAATCACACAAATGGGCCAGGCACAGTGGCTCATGCCTGCAATCCCAGAACTTTGGGAGGCCAGAGAGGGAGGATCACTGAGGCCGAGAATTTGAGACCAGCCTGGCCAATATAGCAAAACCCTGTCTCTACTAAAAATACAAAAAATTAGCCAGGCATGGTGTTGCACACCTGTAATCTCGGCTACTCGGGAGGCTAAGGAAGGAGAATCACTTGAACCTAGGAGGTAGAGGTTGTGGTGAGCAGAGATTGCATCACTGCACTCCAGCCTGGGCAATAGAGCAAGACTCTGTCTCAAAACATTAAAAAAAAAAAACAAAACACATAAATAAATGTGGAGGAAGAAAGATGAAAGGGGCATAAATCAAATTGTTATGGCTGTAGGGTGAGATTATGTGGGATTTTTAGTTTATTTTGGGATTTTTTTGTGCTTTACTGTTTTTGTGGAAAAGCCAACTAAATGTAAGTGTATTTAATCATGAAGAAAAACATCCAATTTGATTTTATTCTCTAGCTGTACAAAATGTATTCATCAACCAGCCTCAAAATTCTGCCATAAGACTTAATTAACTCTAACAAATAAAGCTTTTCATGGGCAATACTTATTCTAATAGCATCCATCACAAAAAAAAACAGTTGATTCAAACTAAATTACTTGAAAATATAAAAGAAATTCTTGCCAGAAAATAATGATGCCCATGAACAGACAAGAAGGTACAGCATTCTTTTTCTAATATATATTTTTTTCTGATAACAAAATTATCCTACTTTGGAAAATGTAGTTAGTGCAGTAGCTTGAGCCTGGAGACCGGCAGTATTGTAAGGCAAAAACAGTTCTGGCATCTTCCTGGAGTCTGACTGGGAGCATCGCTGGAGGAAATGATGGGGAGTAATTGCAGAGACTGCCATCTGTCTCTGCATGCAGAGAAGTCGCAGACGGCCCTGGGATGTGCTGCCTTCTAGCCCACTTCCTATGCTTCTACTTTAGACTCCAAACAGAGCAAGAGGGACGGGAGGGAGAGGACGGAGGGCAATGAATCCAAAGATGGAAAAGCAGAGAAGATTTAAAAAGGAAAGACAGAGGGGCAGAAGAGAGAGACCCATGTCACTTGTTCTTTGGAATGAAAGAGGACGGGTGATACATTTATTATTCAATAAGACAATCATATATTCATTCATTCTCTCAACAAACACAAACCAGGCTCCCACAATAGCCCAGACCCTAGGTTATGACAGGAAAGAAAACCATCTTTCCATCCAGGTGAACACAATAGACCAGTCTTCTAGATGTACTTTTTTTAAAGACAGAGACTCAGTTTGTTGCCCAGGCTGCAGTGCAGTGGCACCACGATGGCTCATTGTAGCCTTCAACTCCGGAACTCAAGCAATGCTCCTACCTCAGCCTCCGAATAGCTGGGACTACAGGTAAGCATCACCCAGCTGCCTACTGTTTAAATGTTTTGGGTTGAGCACGGTGGCTCATGCCTGTAATCTCAACACTTTGGGAGGCCAAGGCAGGAGGATCACTGGAAGACAGGAGTTTGAGACCAGCCTGGGCAACAAAGCAAGACCCCGTCTATATAAAAATAAATTAATTGGGCTGAGCGCGGTGGCTCATGCCTATAATCTCAGCACTTTGGGAGGCCGAGATGGGCGGATCACCTCAGGTCGGGAGTTCAAGACCAGCCTGATCAACATGGAGAAACCCCGTCTCTACTAAAAATACAAAATTATCTGGGTGTGGTGGCGCATGCCTGTAATCCCAGCTACTCAGGAGGCTGAGGCAGGAGAATCGCTTGAACCAGGGAGGCGAAGGTTGCGGTGAGCTGAGATTGCGCCATTGCACTCCAGCCTGGGCAACAAGAGCAAAACTTCGTCTCAAAATAAATAAATAAATACTAAAAATAAATAAATTAATTAATTAAAATAATTTTTTTGTAGAGATGGGGTCTTTCCATGTTGCCAGGGTGGATCTTGAACTTCTGGGTTCAAGCGAGCTTCCCATCTCAACCTCCCAAAGTGCTGGGATTGCAGACGTGAGTAGAATATATTTTTTGTTATTCCTCTACACAAAACTTTGTGACCTTGGCTCACGAACATGCTTAATAAACTTGGCTCATGATTTTCCAGCCCCTGGAATCACTTTTTCCTCCATGTTGCCTAGCCAAATTCTGATTATTCTCTGCTGCTTATCTGTTCCACAGAGTCATCTTTAACTATTTCTTCTAAGCCATGTGGGTATTTCATTGAACTCCAATTTCATTAATAATGAGCACTAGACTTACATGTTAGAATAACATTATTCTTTATTTGTGGGCATTTTCTATTCAGTTTGTAAGGTAGGTCTTGTGGGTTCCTCACACTAATACAACAAGAATAACAAACATCTATTTAGCATCTCTATGAACTATAAACTAGGTAACATGTATAGGGTGAAATCATGAATGAAACATGGACCCCACACATGAGAAGCTCAATTGTCTCAATGGAGCAAAATAAGCATGTTACCCATACGTTTTGCTTGGCAGTATCTGGAGGCTGTGTGGGTATCACTTAATCACCTGAGAGAACACACAGTCTTAGTGGTAACCCAGCTTAAACACACCCTATGTCTAGAGAGGACAGAAATGAGTCTTAATTTTCACATCCAACCCCCCTGCCACTCACACAGATCACACAGAACTCTTTCCATTCAGATGCTTACTATAAGTTCCATCGACTTCTGGTCTCCCTCCCACTTTTCTTCCTTTATGTTTCCAGGGGCCTTTTCTGCCCCTCTGCCCTCCTCCTGCAGACACCAGGCATTGTCCCGGGCCCTCCTGCACCAGAGCAGCTGTGGGCCCCTGGTGGGCCTAGGCCTCACACATTCTTCAGACTGGACAGTCTATGAGACAAACAAACCTTCCTCCTGCTAATCTTGAGACCATCCCTGTAGTCTGTGATCAAGGTAGAAAGGGAGGGCCCAGGACCTGAAACATCCTGTACTGATGCAGATCCACAACAAAATACAGTCGTGTGCTGCATAATGACCTTTTGGTCAACAATGGACCACATATATGACAGCAGTCCCGTAAAATTATAATAGCGTATTTTTTACTGTATCTTTTTGTTGTTGTTGTTGTTAATTGAGACTGAGTCTCACTCTGTCACCCAGGCTGGAGTTTAGTGGTGCAATCTTGGCTCACTGCACCCTCTGCCTCCTGGGTTCAAGCAATTCTCCTGCCTCAGCCTCCCGAGTAGCTGGGATTACAGGCACGCACCACCACGCCCGGCTAATTTTTGTGTTTTTAGTAGAGACAGGGTTTCACCATGTTGGCCACGCTGGTCTTGAGCTCCTGACCTCAAAAGATCCGTCCGCCTAGGCTTTACAAAGTGCTGGGATTACAAGCATGAGCCACCATGCCCAGACTTACTGTACTTTTTCTATGCCTAGATATGTTTCAATACACACTTACCTCATTATATCTTCCAACTCCCTGTCACATAGGAGCTTCTCGGTAAGTATTTTATTATACACTAATGAGCTGAGTATAAGATGCAAAACACGAAGAAAGTGCCTACTGAGTAACCCAGACAGACGCAGGACAAAGACAGGGCATCTCTGGCCCAGGCAGTCAGGTCAGTTGAGGGAATGCTATGCACAGAAACTTCCTCTTGGCTTGTTGCCCGCAGTGGGGCTGTTAGCCTTTCTGCCCTTTATTTGCTTACTTTATTAGATTTTTTAAACTTGTTTTTGCATCTAGCACAGTGTCTTGCACAGGGTAAACACTCAATGCACACTCACAGAACTTAATGCAAACCGTGCCGTGATTGGTATTTGGGGGCGTTTTTGTTTGCTTGATTGTTGATGAATGGTGAGCGTAAAGCCTGCTGCATATAGGAATTGCTGCTTTTGCTGCTTTTGTTTCCTGCCACCCTCCCTTGATTTCACTATGCAATCTATCTTGTTCATTTTACAACTACCTGCGCAGCCTCAGTACAGTCCCCTGCAAGCCTCCATTCCTTCCACCCTCAGCTGGCCTTGAGATAAGCACCCCTAAGAGTATTCAGCATGGGGGCTGCCCAGCCTAATCTGGCATGGCATTTCCCACCGTGTCCTCACAGATGGATCCCCTGCCTACTCCGGGCACCCTCTCAGGGTGCTCAGTGCAGCTTTCCTACGTCTTGGCTACATTCCACCAGATACAGTTCTTGCTCAGACGATCTTGAGTAAATACTTCTCCCTGCTGAATCCAAATCTGGGCCATCTGTGGGTGGCCCATCTGCACAGTTTACCCTTTTCAGCAAGCAGAAACTAGACCAGACTTGTTGCTTATCCTCAAACCATTTAAATCTATAATTCTGGAATTCACTGACTATTTTCCCACAATGAAGTCTTTCTAAGAGGCTAGTTTGGGGGCATGAGAAAATCTAGGGGAAGTTACTAGAGCTATGGCAGCCGTGTAAGGGAAGGCAGGACAGAAGCCATTGCCTCTGCGATATAGATATACAGTCGTCCCTCCATATCCACAGGGAATTGTTTCCAAGACTGCCCCAAAGATACCAAAATCTACAGATGGTCAAGTCCCTTATATAAAAGGGCATAGTATTTTCAGATAACCTATGCACATCCTTCCGTATATATTATTTATTGATTGATTTAATTAATTTATTTTTGAGACAGAGTCTTACTCTGTTGTCCAGGCTGGAGTGCAGTGGCTCGATCTTGGCTCACTGCAACCTCCGCCTCCCAGTTTCAAGTGACTCTCCTGCCACAGCCTCCCAAGTAGCTGGGATTACAGGTGTGCAACACCACACCCAGCGAATTTTTGTATTTTTAGTAGAGATGGGGTTTCACCATGTTGGCCAAGCTGATCTCAAACTCCTGACCTCAGGTGATCCACCTGCCTCGGCCTCCCAAATTGCTGGGATTACAGGCGTGAGCCGTGCTTCTGTATATTTTAAATCCTCTCTAGATTACTTATAATTCCTTATGCAATGTAAATGCTGTGTAAATTGTTGTTATATTATATTGTTGAAGGAATAATGACAAGAAAAAAGCCTGTACCTTTTCGGTACGGATGCAACTATCCATATTTTTTTCTGCATATTTTCAATCCGAGGTTGGTTGAATCCTCCGATGTGGAACCCACAGATATGGAGGGTTGACTGTATTTAAAAACTCTCCAAGAAGGGTGAATAGTGCCATAACTTCTTTTTATTTCCTAAGAATGCCAGCTCTTGCCAATGACGAAAATAAGCATAGAAAATAATGTATAGAGTAGACATGAGGCAGGACCAAAAATCTGAACCCACAGCTCCCAACTGTTAACAGAAGGTCACCTATAGGATTTCTCACATCAGATTATATCTTTTCATTTTTTCTGAGACAGTGTCTTTCTCTGTTGCCCAGGCTAAAGTGCAATGGAGAAAACATGGCTCACTGCAGCCTTGACCTCCTGGGCTCAAATGATTCTCCCACCTCAGCCTCCCAAGTAGCTGGGACTACAGGAATGTAGGCCCACACCAGCTAATTTTTAAAATTTTTTTATAGAGACAGGGATCCCACTATGTTGCCCAGGCTGGTCTTGAACTCCTGGGCCCAAGTGATCCTCCCACATTGGCCTCCCAAAGGGCTAGGGTTTCAGGTATGAGCCACCGCACCCAGCCTCAGATTATATTTTGTTAAATATTTCAATGAAGGTGGAGCAGTATTGACGTTATTAAGCTGAACCTATTCAAAATGAACCTTGCTACGCACAATCAAAGGTTATCTTGTGCTAAAAGCATGACTAATTAAAGGCCACTTGGGGAAAAATAAATAGGTGCTTTGTGTGTAACTTTTGCTCCGCTGGTAACTCTGCTATCACCTTTCCCCAGTAGATCAGCAAGCAAGTTAAGCACAGTCCAGCGGCAGAATCCTGGGGTTAGGCAGATTGGCTTCACCTCCACCCCTTTCTCACTGTGGGAAAGTTAGACCCCCTCCCCACAAGTCCTCCTCTAAAGTGGGGATAAGGACACTACACTGTCTCCCACATGGAGATTTTGCCAGGATTAAAGGGGTTTATTCATTTTTAACAGTGCCTAGGAGAGCACGTGGCACATAGTAGGCCTTCAGGAAGGGGCTTTCCCCCTCCCTGTGCTTCCTGCCTCATTTTTCCAAGGGTAATTTTCCAAAGGGCAAAAAAACCATATTATCGAAATGAGAGGCCAGACGTAGTGGCTCACACGTGTAATCCCAGCACTTTGGGAGGCCGAGGCGGGCGGATCACAAGGTCAGGAGATCGAGACCATCCTGGCTAACACGGTGAAACCCCGTCTCTACTAAAAATACAAAAAAATTAGCCGGGCGTGGTGGTGGGCGCCTGTGGTCCCAGCTACTCGGGAGGCTGAGGCAGGAGAATGGTGTGAACCCGGGAGGCGGAGCTTGCAGTGAGCCGAGATCGCACCACTGCACTCCAGCCTGGGCGACAGAGCGAGACTCCATCTCAAAAAAAAAGAAATAAGAAAGGCCTCTGTTCCCCTCTGGAATACAGAAATCACTGCAGTATACAAAATCAGGAATTCCTATTTGTGGGATTTTCTTACTGGGGTTGCCTTACAAAATTTACTGAAACTATTTTGTGTATGAAATATGTTTCTAAGTACTTTCATGTGCGTCAAGTAATACGTCACCCCAGTGAGGCAGTTTGTGCTCAGGTTACTGACCTCATTTTATAGATAAGCAAACTAATGTTAAGGGAGGTGAAGTCAATCAAGCCATCAGGGTCAAGTGATATGTAAGGGAGGGAAGAATGAAACCAAGTCTCTCAACACTTCCACCATTGTTATTTTCTTTCCCACAGCCCAGGAGCCCACAGGTGGGAACCCACCTTTGTTCAATGAATCTGTGACCTGCTGCTAGAGTATTCAGAGAACACATGTCCTTGACTAGGTTGGCTGGTGGAAATGACAGCTGCTCCCCAAAAAACCTAAGGATTTCCTCTATTGTGCTGCCTTGGAAAAAGGAAATTCCCATTAGTCTCTTTCTCCTCAGAGTTTACTACTATGGCTGTAATCACTGTCATTTGAGCCGAGGGACAGATGAAAAGTGGGAGAGGATAAAACAGAAGATAAGAATCAGGACAAGAGGCTTGTTCTTGAGGAGGCTTTAATAGTTTCATCAAGACAGATGGCAGCTGTCTATAAAATATGTTTTTGGGTCTTACTTCCTCCTTCACTTTGCTTTGTTGTGACAACTGGAGTTAAGTTTTAGGCAAATAAACATATAAGATCATATTTTCACTCTGAGTATTGGGATAATTAAAGCAACGGGATGCCTCACTTTATGGAAGAAATTTTCTTTCTACAAAGCAGGTTTTACGCTGCTTTCCTGAGGTTTGACGGAGGTGGCGGGACAGCTGGGGAATGTTAGGATCCATTTCTCCCACAGAAACAGCTCCCAATATATGTAACTAATAAGTGAGCCCCAGAGCAGTTGGTCCAGCTTCATTCTTCTTGTTTGTACTCCACACTTTCCTTTTGTGCATTCTGCCTGGAGCCTACTCACCTGATACTGGTTCCTGGTTGATCAAATCTCCAGCCCCTCGGGTTCTGATACCTGTTCTAGATATGCCTCCCATGACAACCCACCCATCCCAAGAACGAGCCTCCTCAAGATGTTCATGTTTGTGCTGCATTTCCTCTGTGCCCTCCAAGCTGAGTGAGAGGATTACTAGTGTAAAATGCTAATCCCTTTGGAAAAACACATTTTATTTTAACAAAGGCCCTTAAAGCTCAGATCTGGGATCTATGTTTTAGAGGAGCAGGTTCTTTCAGAATTCCAGCTGTGCCGCCCCTGCAGAGACAAAGATGGCTGGCGAACAGTGGTGAGGACAATGCCACAATCGTCTCCTGACATAGAGGTCACCTCGGTCTGCCAGTTATCAAGAAAGAGCACCTTTTCTCCCCATCTAATCCACTTACTCATTTTAATAAAAATATGATTGTCAGGATTATTATTATTATTTTTGGAGACGGGGTCTCACTCTGTGGCCTAGGCTGGAGTGTGCAGTGGTGCGATATTGGCTGTCTGCAACCTCTGCCTCCTGCATTCAAGTGATTCTACTGCCCCAGCCTCCTGAGTAGCTGGGATTACGGGTATGTGCCATCACACCTGGCTAATTTTCGTATTTTTTTAGTAGACATTGCGGGGCGGTCTCACCATGTTGGCCAGGCTGGTCTGGAACTCCTGACCTCAAGTGGGCCACCCATCTCGGCCTCCCAAAATGTTGGGCTTACAGGCATGAGCCACCACGCCTGCCAATTATTATTATTATTGAGATGGGGTTTCACTCAGTTGCTTAGGCTGGAGTGCAGTGGCACAGTCATGGCTCATTACAGCCTCGACCTCCCAGGCTCAAGCAATCCTCCTGCCTCAGCCTCCCAAGTAGTTGAGACTACAGACGTTCACCACCACACCTGGCTAATTTTTAATTTTTTTGTAAAGACAGGGTCTACCTATATTGCTCAAGCTGGTCTCAAACTCCTGGGCTCAAGCGATCCTCCCACTTCAGCCTCCCAAAGTGCTGGGATTACAGGTACAAGCCACTGTGCCCAGCCAAAATTATTTTTTAAATGATACATTTAAAACATTTTGAATGATTTCATATTTCTATTCAAGAATCAGCTCATCAGTGATAATTTTCCAGACTATCCTACTTTTTTTTTTCTTTTTTTCAAATTTTACTGCAGGATTGTGTAGGTTTGTTATAGAGGTATATTTTGTGATGCTGCGGTTTGGAGTATAAATGACTCCATCACCCAAGTAGCTAGTATGGTACCCAATAGGTAGTTTTAAAGAAAGAGCATCTTTCCAAATGACTCAAACTAGAATCTCCAGGGGAAAATGCAATACATCATGAATGACTAAAATTCAATAAAGCAAGAACTGAGTAGCAAAGGCCTGGGGGGAAATTAAGTGAAAGATTAAGAGTAAGAAAAACATCTGTAATGACAAGCAATAAAAGGAGACTATACGGAAAGGTGCAGAAATAGAGTTTACAGACATGGAAGGAAACACCAGACAATGAATGTCAGGTAGAATTGAGAGCAAGAAGAAAAAATGAGATACTTCAGAATGGTTGCTTTCGGGTGTGATGAGCATAATTTGACTTGATTAGACTGTCTAGAGTTTCTGATTTACATAATGCAGGAATAAAAGCTCAGGAGTGATGTGGTTACTGTTTACCTTTGAAAAACCCTATGTTTTTTGTCTTCTTTTAAATTCAGATTGGGTGGATCCTTTCATGTTCATTTTTTAATGTCAGTTTGTTTCTTTATAGTATTGTGAGCTGTAAAAAACAGATGAGAAGGGCCGGGCGCAGTGGCTCACGCCTGTAATCCCAGCACTTTGGGAGGCTGAGGCAGGTGGATCACCTGAGGTCGGGAGTTCGAGACCAGCCTGACCTACATGGAGAAACCCCGTCTCTACTAAAAATAGAAAATTAGCCAGGGGTGGTGGCGCATGCCTGTAATCCCAGCTGTTAGGGAGGCTGAGGCAGGAGAATCACTTGAATCTGGGAGGTGGAGGTTGCAGTGAGCCGAGGTCACGCCATTGCACTCCAACCTGGGCAACAAGAGTGAAACTCCGTCTGAAAAAAAAAAAAAGGTGAGAAGCTGCATTTAAAAAAATGACTAAAAAAAATGACAAGACTACCCTCTCCCAAGAAATTAAACATCACCTTTATAATTGAAAGGGAAAGGACATTTTCCCTTTCCCTAAGTCCTTCTGAGGCCTAAAAAAGATACCTCTCTTGTGTTTTTTTTCAAGATTTCTTTTGGTTATACTGCATAATAGATATTAAATGTTTCCTAGTTCTGTATTCCTAATGATTGAGATAACGTTGTTTTTCTGGCTTAAACATGTGAATAGATCAGAACAGAAAACAATGTAAGGGAAAAACTAAATTTTTCAAAGGCATTATGCAAAGTTTCTCATGTGAGCTAATTAGGCTTGTATATTGTGGTGGCTGATGATACAGGCTCTGGGGCCTACTGGGGTCCAATTGCCATTCTGAGCTGCGTGGCCTTAAGCAAAGTAGTTGATCTCAAGGGCATTAGTTTTTCATCTGTAACATGGAGATAATAATAAACTCTAACACTTACAGTCGTTGGGAGGATTGAGTTAATATACATGTAAAGCACTTATTAAGCCTATGTGTTTGTTGTTATTATCCAGTGAATTACAGCCACACTCAGAGAAGCCACAGAGATTAGAGGTTAGGAAAATTTGAATACTTAGAAGAAATCTTTTGGGTAGCAGTATGATTTAATGTATGTTTAAATGCTCTTGGACGAGTGCAGTGGCTCACATCTGTAATCCCAGCACTTTGCGAGGCCAAGGCAAAAGGATCCCTTAAGCCCAGGAGTTTGAGACCAGCTTAGGCAACAAAGTGAGACCTCCATCTCTACAAAAAAATTAAAAATTAGCCAAGCATGGTGGCGTACGCCTGTAGTCCCAACTATTCAGGAGGCTGAGGCGGGCTGAGGTGGAGGATCGCTTGAGCCTGGGAGGTCAAGACTGCAGAGAGCCATTATCACCCCAGTGCACTCTAGCCTGGGTGACAGAGCGAGATCCTATCTCTCTTTTTTATTTTTTGACACGGAGTCTCGCTCTGTCGCCCAGGCTGGAGTGCGGTGACGCGATCTCGGCTCACTGCAAGCTCCGCCTCCCGGGTTCACGTCATTCTCCTGCGTCAGCCTCCCGAGCATCTGGGACTACAGGCGCCCGCCATGATGCCCGGCTAATTTTTTGTATTTTTAGCAGAGACGGGGTTTCACCCTGTTAGCCAGGATGGTCTCGATCTCCTGACCTCGTGATCCACCCGCCTCGGCCCCCCAAAGTGCTGGGATTACAGGCGTGAGCCCGCGCCCAGCCGAAGAGATCCTATCTCAAAAAATAAATAAATAAACAGGCGGGGCACACTGGCTCACGCCTGTAATCCCAGCACTTCAGGAGGCCGAGGCGGGCGGATCACCTGAGGTCAGGAGTTTGAGACCAGCCTGGCCAACATGGTGAAACCTCGTCTCTACTAAAAATACAAAAATTAGCCGAGTGTGGTGGCGGGTGCCCGTAATTCCAGCTGCTTGGGAGGCTGAGGCAGGAGAATCGCTTGAACTGAGGAGGCAGAGGTTGCAGTGAGGCGGGATCACTCCACTGTACTCCAGCCTGGACGACAGAATGATTCCATCTCAATAAATAAACGAACAAATCCTCTTTGCTATTGTGTAAAAAAATCAATTTCTTTTGTAAGTTACTTGCAAAAAGTCCAAACACGAAATGCTAAACAATATGGTTGTAAGAGACCATAAACATCTTAATCTGTAGTTGGAACTAACATATCTTTACCACCAAAGTCTAATAAAGAGCAACTTCCAAGAAGCAAAATGTTTGCCTCCACTTGATAACTTCTGCTTGGAGTTTTAGCCCTGCAGTGGGCATTTGTCCTTTCGCAGCTGCACAAAATCCAAATTCCTTTATTGTGTTAGAGGGAAGATCCTACTATATGAGTCCTGGGAGGGAAAGCCAAACAGCCCAGGCCTTATTGGTTTCTACCTTGTGCTATGTTTAGCCCCCTTCTAGGTACGCAATATATGTTGGCTGAAGTGAAAATGTAAACAGGAAGGAGAAAGGTTTCACAACGAGGAAAGGCTACACGGTGAGTCAGGGCTTTGTGCTCTGTTCCCAACTAGCTCCACTGTGACTAGCTATCTTTGGTCACAAAACTGGCTCAGTTAGTTGCTATTTTCTGCATCAGCATATTTCAAAAGGAAATGAACCTGCTGACTTAAGTGATGTAAGGAGTAATCAATGAATGAAAATTAACTAGAGATATCCATACAAAATTATATTTGTATTTTATACTAAAAGATAAAATATGCCTAACTCACAAATACTCATTATAAGTTTTTTGTTTGTTTGTTTGTTTGTTTGTTTGTTTTTTAGTTTGCTTTAGTTCAGCTCCTAGGAATTTCTATACCATATGTTATTATAAACATTAATTTACTTTATTCTTCATACAATTATAAAATAAAACAGGCCAGGCGTGGTAGCTCATGCCTGTAATCGCAGCACTTTGGGAGGCCGAGGCGGGCGGATCACGAGGTCAGGAGATCGAGACCATCCTGGCTAACACGGTGAAACCCCGTCCCTACTAAAAATACAAAAAATTAGCCTGGCGTGGTGGCGGGCACCTGTAGTCCCAGCTACTCGGAGGCAGGAGAATGGCATGAACCCGGAAGGCGGAGCTTGCAATGAGCCGAGATCGCACCACTGCACTCTATCTAGCCTGGGCGACAGAGCGAGACTCCGTCTCAAAAAAAAAAAAAAAAAAGAATTGTCACTGCTGTTTATTCACCTGCCTTGCCATTTTATGGCTTTTCCCAATGAAAGGAGACAGAAAAACATTTAATGAGAAGTACACACAGTTTGGGAGACATAGCATCTTTAGCAATCTTTACATATTAAATGCTGCACATGTGGGAGCGATAAGATGTAGATCACTTCCTGTAATACCGTTTCCATGTTCCTGAAAATCTGAACATAAAAGGAATTTTTGAAAGTGAAGCTTAATTCTTTTTGAAATCTGCCTTGAATCTTTTTATAAAACAAAGGAGCCTTCTGACATGTGAGCAATAAGCCACCAATTTATCCTGTTTTACCAGCATAGATTTTAGGCTAGAACTAAAACTTCATTGAGCTTTTAGAGGTTTGGTTAACGAATTAACAAATATTGGCTAGGCATGATGGTGCTCATACCTGTAATCCCAGCATTTAGGGAGGGCAAGGTGGGCAGATCACTTGAGTTCAGGAGTTTGAGACAAGCCTGGGCAACATGGTAAAACCCCATCTCTGCAAAAAATACGACAATTAGCCAGGTGTGGGACTACGTGCCTGTAGTCTCAGCTACTCCACAGGCTGAGGTGGGAGGATCCCTTGATCCCAGGAGGTAGAGGTTGCGGTGAGCCAACATTGCATCACTGTGCTCCAGGTTGGGTGACGGAGTGAGACTGTCTCAAGGAAAAAAAAAAAAAAGAATTTACAAATATTAATTGAGCATCTACTAAGTGTCAGGCACTATGCTATGTGCCCAGGTGCATTGGTGAACAAAACAGATAAGATCCTGCTCAAATGAAGTGTGCAGCCTTAAAGGCAAGACAAGCAACAAACAAACAAATAAATGAGATAATTACAAGAGAAAATAAGCAGGACGGTAAGATGGGAGAGTAGGCTGGGTGCAATGGCTCACACCTGTCATCCCAGCATTTTGGGAGGCTGAGGCAGTCTTATTGCTAGAGGCCAGGAGTCCAAAACCAGCCTGATAAACATGGCAAGACCCCGTCTCTACAAAAAAATTTAAAAATTAGCCATGCGTGACGGTGTGTACCTGTAGTCCCAGCTACTCGGGGGTTGAGGTGGGGATTGCTTGTGCCTAGGAGTTTGAGTCTTCAGTGAACTATGATTGCACCACAGCACTCCAGCCTGGGGAACAAAGGGAGACCTCATCTCTACAGAAAAATTTAAAAATAAAAGGAAATGGAGAATAGTGGAGAAAGCAGCCTTAGAAAAGATCACCAGGGGCTGGGCGCAGTGGCTCATGCCTGTAATCCCAGCACTTTGCGAGGCCGAAGCCAGTGGATCATGAGATCAGGAGTTTGAGACTATCTAACACGGTGAAAACCCCGCTCTACTAAAAATACAAAAAATTAGCCTGGCGCGGTGGCAGGTGCCTGTAGTCCCAGCTACTCTGGAGGCTGAGGCAGGAGAATCGCTTGAACCCCGGAGGCGGAGCTTGCAGTGAGTCGACATCGCGCCACTGCACTCCAGCCTGGGCGAGAGAGGGAGACTCTGTCTAAAAAAGAAAAGAAAAGAAAAGAAAAGGTCACCAGGGAAGGTCTCTATGAGGAGGGGTCTTGGGAGCTGAGGCTTGAAGACGGAGAGAAAAGCAGCTTGTGAAGAGCCAAGGAAGGGCATTCAGGTATTAACTTGGGGGAAACTTCATGAGTGCAGGGGCAAAGAAGGGCCCCAGGGAAGGCTTTTTGTTGGAGTTGTGTTTATCCAGTATACATAGAGGAGAAGACTGGAGATAGGAGAGACCAATACCTTGGCTCAGTGCTCTAGTTCTCTTGCTTTTTTGAAAGATGTTGCCTATGATGGCATCTTTGAAATATGATAGTATTTCCTCAGGAATGCATAGGTTGATGAAAAAAACAGGTAAGCACCTGTGTTTCTTCCCTTTTAAAGCTCAGATGCCACAGGACCAGGGCTGGGGGAAAATAGATGGTAATGGAGGCATACTTTTTTTTTTTTTTTTTTTTGAGACGGAGTCTTGCTGTGTTGCCCAGGCTGGAGTGCAGTGGCGCGATCTCTGCTCACTGCAAGCTCCGCCTCCCGGGTTCACACCATTCTCCTGCCTCAGCCTCCCGAGTAGCTGGGACTACAGGCGCCCGCCACCACGCCCGGCTAATTTTTTTTTGTATTTTTAGTAGAGACGGGGTTTCACCATGTTAGCCAGGATGGTCTCGATCTCCTGACCTTGTGATCTGCCCGCCTCGGCCTCCCAAAGTGTTGGGATTACAGGCGTGAGCCACTGCACCTGGCCAGTGGAGGCATTCTTTCAATAATAACAGTAACCTTCTGTTGAGGACTTACTCTGGGAGATTCTAAGAGATTTACATTAATCTCATTTACCCTCATAACCAGACTATGAAATGAGGTACTCATTAGAGATGCACTCAGCTGCAAGTAATAGAAGACCTCAATGACAGTAGCTTAAATCGATGGTAAATGGGAGGATTTTTTCTCATATAGCAAGGACTTCCAAGGTATACAGTCCAAGGCTAGAAGAGCTGCTCAAGGATGCTGTCATGGACTCAGGATCCCTCCATATTTCTGCCCCTCCAGCCTTAAAATGTTGGTTTTTGTTTTCTGCTTATCCCCTTACAGTTACAAGATAGCTGCTACAGCTCTAGCCATTGCATGTGTGTTACAGGCAGAATAAAAGAATACACAGAGGAGAAGGAACAATACCTCAGACTTCATTTATGTCTTACTGGTGATAACTGAACCACTGCCAATTCTGTCTGCAAGAGAAGCTGGAACACACATTCTCCTTTTTTTTTTTTTTTTCCTGAGATGGAGTCTCACTGTGTTGCCCAGGCTGGGGTGCAGTGGTGCGATCTCGGCTCACTGCAACCTCTGCCTCCCAAGTTCAAGTGATTCTCCTGCCTCAGCCTCCCGAATAGCTGGGACTACAGGCGCACGCCACCATGCCCTGCTAATTTTTGTATCTTTAGTAGAGATGGGGTTTCACCATGTTGGCCAGGATGGTCTTGAACTCCTGACCTCATGATCCGCCTGCCTCGGCCTCCCAAAGTGCTGGGATTGCAGGTGTGAGCCACTGCACCTGGCCACATTCTACTTTTTATAGCCCATAAGGTAGAGGTAGATAAGGGAGGAGGGAGTTAGACTGAAGATCAGGTTTGCCAGTCAGTAGTACCTGCCAACATTGGGATATCTTTCCATGTAAGAATCAAATTTAAAAACTGAGGTTTTTGACCAGGTGCGGTGGCTCACGCCTGTAATCCCAGCACTTTGGGAGGCCGAGGCGGGCAGATCATGAGGTCAGGAGTTCAAGACCAGTCTGGCTAACATAGTGAAACTCCGTCTCTACTAAAAATACAAAAAATTAGCCAGGTGTGGTGGTGTACGCCTGTAATCCCAGCTACTTGGGAGGCTGAGGTAGGAGAATAGCATGAAACCAGGTGGAAGGCAGAGATCGCAGTGAGCTGAGATCGCGCCATTGCACTCCAGCCTGGCCGACACTGCAAGACTCCATCTCAAACAAACAAAGAAAAAACTGAGGGTTTTGTTGTTGCTGTTGTTGTTTCTTTTTTTTTTTTTTGAGATGGAGTCTTCCTCTGTCGCCCAGGCTGGAGTGCAGTGGCACAATCTCAGCTCACTGCAAACCTCCACCTCCCAGGCTCAAGCAATTCTCCTGCCTCAGCCTCCCCAGCAGCTGGGACTACAGGCATGCACAACCACGTCTGGCTAATTTTTTGTATTTGTAGTAGAGATGGGGTTTTGCCACGTTGGCCAGGCTGGTCTCGAACTCCTGATCTCATGTGATCCACCCACCTTGGCCTCCCAAAGTGCTGGGATTACAGGCATAAGCCACCGTTCCCAGCCTTTATAAACTGAGTTTTAAAGGAGTTACACTAAGACACAAAGTCACAAGCAAACAAGGGATGGATTCCATGGTTTTAACCACTGCCTATGTCAGCAGACAACCCTTCCATTACTTACAGCGTTCCAGAAATACAAAGGATGTTTGTGGCAGCAACAACATCCTCAAAGCAGCATTAGGAAAAGTGGCACAAGCATTCATAATTATCAGTCATAGTCATCATTACCAAAAACATTTATTACCAAAACTTCTATCCTAAATGACAGGGCTGCAAATAATTAAAGGACATTTTTAGTCCTTGAGGGAGTTACAAGTTAGTTGGATGAACCAGACACGTAGTGGCTCATGCCTGTAATCCCAGCACTTTGGGAGGCTGAGGTGGGCAGATCACCTGAGGACGGCAGTTGGAGACCAGCCTGACCAATATGGTGAAACCTCATCTCTACTAAAAATACAAAAATTAGCTGGGCGTGGTGGCAGGTGCCTGTAATCCCAGCTACTCGGGAGGCTGAGGCAGGGAGAATCACTTGAACCTGGGAGGTGGAGGTTGCAGTGAGCCGGGATGGCACCATTGCACTCCAGCCTGGGCGACAGAGCAAGACTCTGTCTCAAAAAAAAAAAAAAAAAGAAAAGATAAACAACAATGCACGTAAGCAGATAAGCATAGGTTTGGTACCAAGCGAATGGTTGCAACAATATAAGCGCTAGAAGTTCCAAGCATGGAGAGATTAGCATTACAGACTATATTAACCACTGAGGGCTTTGGAGATCAGGTAATTCAAGAACTCATTTTATGAATGAGGAATCAGAGGTCAAGCAGCTAAGCAGAAACTAGGACCCAGAGATAGAGTATTTTAATCCATTCCTTTTCTTCATGGCACACTGCTATCAAGGACTAAACTATTCAAGGAAGGCTTCCTGGTGGAGATGGACTTTAAGCGGAGCCTTGAAGGCAGGGCAAGAATTAGACAATCAGAAGCAGAGAAGTAGAGTGTTTCAAGTCGGCCGAATGTCATAATAAAAGCTGTAGACCTGGGAATGAGTATGATGTTTTCCCACAGTAATGAGGAGATGGGTTTGGCTGGAACAGAGAGAGAAGAAAGGGAAAGCAAGGTTGGAAGTTGGTGGAGGTAAACGCCGTGGACTCTAGCTGTCTGGAAACAGGGCCAGGACACTGCTCACTGTCACGCAACTTTCTTGCCATTGGACATAGCTGTAGGACGCTGTCCACCCACTGAGTAGATCTGTCTTTGCTGGTAAGGCCACATTCATCCATGTGTGCATCATGTGCTTATAGAGGTTCTGCAGTGTAAGACACAGGGCTGAATACTCTTGAGGAAATGACACAAATTAGCCATGCATCAGGCAGGCAAGTATCTAATAATCTGGAAAGGGAGATTGGATTTACACCTAAATAATCATATGCAGGGCCTGTATACAAGGTACACATGTGATCTATTTCAGATACAAACAAGCTGCCTTGCCATTCAATAAAATGAAAGGAAAAATGATGTCTAGTTGGTGAGATGAAGGAAAACTTTTCAGGAGAGGCAGCACTTGCACAGAACCTGGAAGAATTGGTGGAATCAAGGAGCAGGGCAACACTGCAGGAGGGAGCAACTTCAGCAAAGTTGGGTGAGGGGCAGGGAGCGCGTCTAGTTAACAGACAGGATTGGAGGACGCGTGAAGGCAATAGAGAGGATCAGAGTGAGTGGTGCATGTCACCAAACCAATCCCTTTGGGGGCTCATTGGCTGAAGAGGAACTATAGGGTGGCACTGCCATTGTGAATATCTCCAGGTTGCTCGGTTTTCCTCATATAACTGGTCCAGGCATTCAAAGGCTCGCTGTGTCTCCCAGTCTGGAGTGCAATGGTGTGATCAAGGCTCATGGCAGCCTCAACCTCCCAGGCTCAAGCTATCCTCCCTCTTCAGCCTCCTGAGTAGCTGAGACTATAGGCACAGTTAATTTTTATTTTTGTTTTTTGAGAGACGGGGTTTTGCCATCCTGCCCAGGCTGGTCTCAAACTTCTGGGCTCAAACGATCTGCCTGCCTTGGCCTCCCAAAGTGCTGGGATTACAGGTGTGAGCCACCACACCTGGCCCAAAGGCTATTTTTTAAATTGGAAATAGTTGGCTCCTAACAATTGTGTCAGTTACACCAAGCAAACATCCTTCAGGTCCCGCTTTCTTATTTATTTATTTGTTTTTGAGACAGAGTCTTGCTCTGTCTCCCAGGCTGGAGGGCAGTGGCGTGATCTTGGCTCACTGCAACCTCCGCCTCCCAGGTTCAAGCGATTCTCCTGCCTCAGCCTCCCAAGTAGCCGAGATTACAGGCATGCGCCACCATGCCCAGCTAATTTTTGTATTTTTAGTAGAGACAGGGTTTCACCATACTGGCCAGGTTGGTTTCGAACTCCTGACCTCAGGTGATTCGCCCACCTCAGCCTCCCAAAGTGCTGGGATTACAGGTATGAGCAACCGCGCCCGGCCTCTTTTTTATTGTTTTTATTTTTATTTTTAATTTTTAAATTTTTTTTAAATTTTATTTATCTTTTTTTTGAGACGGAGTCTCACTCTGTCATCCAGGCTGGAGTGCAGTGGCACGATCTTGACTCACTGCAAGCTCCGCCTCTCGGGTTCATGCCATTCTCCTGCCTCAGCCTCCCGAGTAGCTGGGACTACAGGTGCCCGCCACCACACCCGGCTAATTTTTCGTATTTTTAGTGGAGACAGAATTTCACCATGTTGGCCAGGATGGTCTCGATCTCCTGACATTGTGATCCGCCCGCCTCGGCCTCCCAAAGTGCTGGGATTACAGGCGTGAGCCACCGTGCCCGGCCTCTTTTTTATTTTTACTTTTTGTAGAGATAGGGTCTCACTTTGTTGCCCAGGCTAGTCTTGAACTCCTGGCTTCAAGTGATCCTCCTGCTTTGGCCTCCCAAAGTGCTGGGATTACAGGCATGAGCCACCGCGCCTCGTCCCTGATCCCACTTTCCAACAGTGATATGAAAGAAAGTTTTATTGAACATTATTAGGAGGTTTTTGAGTGCCACTCAGAAATGAGTTGATAAGACTCTCTGACGCCGGGGGGCTGGCTTTTCAGGAGGCTTCTATCTCCAAAACAATAATAAAAACAAAACAACATGTCCTCTAGGAGGCTAAAAAGGGAAGAGGTAAAGAGATGTCAGCTCTGCAGGAAAAGCTTTCCAGGCCCCGGCATGCTCTTCTATATGGTGATCTAAATTTAGACTCCAATCTGAAAGCAGGAGACAGACTGTTTGTTTCCATTGTAAATTCCACTTTCCCGGTTTGAATTTCCTTTAGAATCTTGTGGAGTCATTTCAAAAACTCCCATCCCAGGCTGCATCTGCTTCCAGACGGTAGACACACAGAGCTGTGTTTTGGGGTACAGGAACACAGGAAGATTACAGAAAACTTCTCAAAAGTTGAGAACCCGTGCAACTTGGAAAGGAAGGTCATTATTTGACTGTGACAGCATCAGCTATGAGGAAGGTTTTCTTCACAGTGCCCTACCTTCGCCCCCACACTGCTCTTGTTTCTTGTCCACAGAGCAGTGGGTTACTAAAGCTGATGGCTGATTGCCGATTGCATGCAGATGCCTGGGGTTCCTCCTTGTCAGCCTCCTCCTTGCCACTCCCCTGTTTGTGCCTTTCTTTTATCGCTTCCCTCCTGGGCTGACACAGAAGGTCTCAGTACTGTGTGTGTTGTGTTTTGAGGGGAGGTTGGAGCCGGAGTGGGATGTGTTATCTGAGGGTGAGGGAGGGTTGGGGACGGCAGAAATTCCAACGAGGAAACATTGGAAAATCTGTCCTTGTTCTTTCTTCCTGTATTCTTTGAGACATGTGATGATGCTTTCTTGTCCTCCTAGAAGTTAGTGGTCACAAACTAGGCCATCCCTGGGTTCAAAAGTAGTCTCCTTATAAAAGTTTTTTTGTTTTGTTTTGAGGAAGGGTCTGTCACCCAGACTAGAGTGCAGTGGTGCAATCTGGGCTCACTGCAACCTCTGCCTCCCAGGCTCAAGCAATCCTCCCACCTCAGCCTCCTGAGTAGCTGGAACTACAGGCATGAGCCACCACACCTAGTTAATTTTTGTATTTTTGTAGAGACGAGGTCTCACCACCTTGCCCAGGTTGGTCTCGAATTCCTGGGCTAAAGCAGTCGGCCCGCATCGCCCTCCCAGAGTGCTGGGATTACAGGTGTGAGCCACCACGCCTGGCTAGATTAGCTAATTTTAATAACTACATAGTGCTTAAAATTACTGAGCATTTATTTCATCACTTCTGGGGATTTTTACTTAATGACGGAAGAATCTCCTAGTGAGAACACTGAAATTCTGTTTCTACCAGAGTAGAAAATAGTCTGCAAAGCCATACACCTTCCCCTTAATTTTTCTAACATTGGGAAAAATTTGTCTAACATTAATAAGCCATTTAGATAAATAAGGAGAAAGAAAACAAAAAACTTTGTGCTGTCAACAAAAATTTATTGAATTAGAAGAACTTTCATGTAGGAGAAAATTGGAAGAGGAAAAAGAAGAGTGAAGTGTGAGAGACAACCACTCTTTTTTGCTGAAATAGAGTCACTTCCCTAACAAGATTTCACTTTCCTGATGTTAAATAAAAATTATGTTCAGGTGTGGTGGTGTATCCCTATAGTCTCAGCTATTAGGGAGGCTGAGGTGGGAGGATCACTTGAGCCCGGGAAGTGGAGGCTGCGGTGAGCCATGATTGTGCCACTGCACTCCAGCCTGGGTGACAGAGCAAGACCCTGTCTCAAAAAAAAAAAAAAAAAGAAAAAAGAAAAAAAAATCATGGGAGGTCGTTGTTTCAGACTAAGCTCCTGCACTAGGCCCCAATAGACCAGACTAAAAATTAAAATGGAGTCATCCATGCTACAGTTTCACATCACCAAACCCAAACTAAATTGTTATTTGACCTTCCAAGCAATCACGAGAGAGATAACAGCCAATTTCCCAAACAGGCCAGTGTAAATCTTCAGTCTGCAGGATAACGGCGTTCCCCCTGCTGTAATTCTTATGTAAAAAAGAAGCAGACTGACCTAATATTAACTAATCAGTTATTTTTGTATTGTTCTGTCTCCCTGTCTCCCCCTTACAAGAAAAATAGCTTTGAAACTAATGCTGGCCTTTGTTCTTGGCTTCTGCTGTCTTCAGCCCTTCCCTGTCTATAAAGACAACCCCTTCTGCTCAGCTCCGGAACACTTAACTCTATTTTATGGAATGAAGTGCTGCCCGATTCTCATCACAGCAAGGGCAATTGAGATCTTTAAACTACATTTGTTGAAAATGTGTCTTTTGACGCTAATGTTTAAGGAGCATCCCTTATCAGGGATCATTGTGCAGAGCACACACCCAAAAACTGAGGAGAAAGAAAGGAGGGGTTTAAACGTGCTTTTTTGAAAGGTTTAAGGAGACCAGACGTACCCTGGGAACATCTTCTTAAGGACAGTTCGCAATAGTTCCAACATTCCATTCAAATTTGTGGCTATTCTGAAAATAATTTAAGACAATGGCTGTTGAACTGAGCAACCTGGAAGCGCCAGGAAATTTTCCGGGCTGGCCTCAGGGTCCTCGCTGTACAGCAGCTTTCAAACACTCTGGCCAGCCGATTTCTTTCTCGGTGAGTGCTTTTAAAAAATCTCTCCTCCCCTCTATAGCTTCTAAAATGTTACTATCATTATTTGTTTAGTTATAATGTAAAATGTGGGATGATGAAGGCTTAGTGTTACAAAGGATCAGTGAAATCACCAAGTGCTAATAAATTAAATCCTTCTCACACAAAATTTACAGAACACATTTTCTCTAAACGGCCCGGTTTTAAACCATGGAAGGCAGTGTGTTCTCCAACAGGATCATGATTTTCAGAGTGAGTCTATAAGCAGGTCTCCTTAGATAGGTCGGCCTGCTGAGTAAAACAACAGCCCTGTCTAATCGCGGAATGAATTGTCCCTGACAAGAACTGCCCATGACCCGAGGGATTCAGACAGGACAAGATTCCAGAGGGGATTTCTGCCGCAGCTGCGGTTCCGTACCTTGGCCTTCAAGATCCCTGGTTTTATGACCTGGCAGCACATGACCGGTGAAAATAAGAAAGTCCATCGACCAACTGGAAGAATCTTTGTGCCCAGGACTAAGAATGATAACCATCCAGTTCAAAGAAAGCAAACAGGTTGGGTGCAGTGGCTCACGCTTGCAATCCCAACGCTTTGGGAGGCAGGCGGAACACGTAAGGCCAGGATTTCGAGGCCAGCCTGGCCAACGTGGCAAAGCCCCATCTCTACTAAAGATACAGAAATTAGCCAGGCATGGTGGTGCAGGTCTGTAATTCCAGCTACTCTGGAGGCTGAGGCATGAGAATCACTTGAACCTGGGAGGTGGCAGTGAGCTGAGATCGTGCCACTGCACTCCAGCCTGGGCGACAGAGGGAGACTCTGTCTCAAAATAAATAAATGAATAAAAAAGCAAACAAACCTAAATGGAGTGATTTGGGGCTATGTATATGTGAGTGACTTATTAGAAGAGTCCTCATGTTTCTACTAGTTTTTCTTTGCACTTCTGACCCATTTTGTGTAACTTATTCTTCCTCACCTTTTACAAAGATTTATTACAAAACAAACTGCAGTGCCTTGTTGAAAAACCATTCCTTGCAGTGCGATAGGAAAGTTCTAAAGAACACTGAGTTTGTCTTCTAAGTGTGAACGGAAATTTACAGAGCTTATAGGAGCACAATAACGTTTTAAAAAATACAGATGTGTGTATGTATTAATTCATTCTCCTTTATCCTTCATTTATTTTAGTTTTTATTGTGAAATAATAATACACACAAACACCTATGTATCCATCACACAGGCCAAGAAACAGCACATTGCCCTGCTCCAGACTTACACCTAACTCGGATTGCACTGTCTCTCTCTTTCCTGCAATTTCTGTCATTTCCTTATTTTTCTTTATAGTTGTTATCACCTATGCTTTTATCTTGAAACAGTATATCATTTTTGGAATAGAATAAGTAGAGTCATACTTTGATCTTGTGATGTTTCTTTGCTTAAGATTTTATTTTTGAAATTCATCCATGTTGATGTAAATCAGTAGGATTTCATTATATGATTACACCACAATCTAAGTATCCATTCCACCTTTAGTGGCCATTCATGTTGTTTCTTTGCAATTATGAGCAATGCTGTTCTATTTTTGTATGTGTCTTTGAGGGCACTTGGGCAAGAACTTCTAGAGGGCATGTACCTAACATTGGAATTACTGGTCCCTGTGTGTGTGCACGTTGAACTTTCTAGATAATATCAAACTGTTTTCTAAAGTTGTTACAGTTTGACTCTGGGTACCCATAGTCCCAGCTACTTGGGAGGCGGAGGCAAGAGGATTGCTAGAGGCCAGGAGTTCAAGTCCTGTCTGGGCAACATAGGGAGATCCCATCTCTTAAATAAAAAGATTTTTTTTTTAAGAAGTTGTACATGTGCAATGGCTGCAAACAGCAGCTTCCTTGGCAGTGTGTGCAGCCTGTTTCTTGTATGGGTTGCTCTAAGGGACCTTGGAGACAGGCCTTTCAGATGGGGGTTCATGTCTCTGACCTTGCACTACCCCAATGTAGGCTCCAAACAGGCATGTGAGGTGCCTTTGGAAAGAAAGCCCCAGGGCACTGTGGCCAGGGTTAACATTGGCCAAGTTATCATGTCCATCCGCACCAAGCTGCAGAACAAGGAGCATGTGATTGAGGCCCTGTGCAGGGCCAAGTTCAAGTTCTCTGGTCACCAGAAGATCCACATCTCAAAGAAGTAGGGCTTCACCAAGTTGAATGCTGATGAATTTGAAGACATGGTGGCTGAGAAGCGGCTCATCCCAGATGGCTGTGGGGTCAAGTACATCCCCATTCGTGGCCCTCTGGATAAGTGGTGGGCCCTGCACTCATGAGGGCTTCCACTGTGCTGCCCCCTCTTAATACTCACCAATAAATTCTACTTTCTGTCCAAAAAAAAAGTTGTACGATTTGGATTTGAACCAGTGATGTGCCTGAATGCTGGTTGATCACTGCATGACCTTAGCATTAGTAACACCTCCAACACTTGGCATTGAACAACTTTAAAATTGTTAACCATTCTGGCCAGGCATGGTGGCTCACACCTGTAATCCCAGCACTTTGGGAGGCCGAGGCAGGCGGATCACATGAGGTCAGGAGTTCCAGACCAACCTGGCCAACATGGCAAAACCCAGTTTCTACTAAAAATACAAAAATTAGCCAGGCCCGTAATCCCAGCTTCTTGGGAGGCTGAGGCACGAGAATTGCTTGAAACCGGGAGGTGGAGATTGCAGTGAGTCAAGATCACGCCACTGCACTCCAGCCTGGGTGACAGAGCAAGACTGTCTGAAAAAAAAAAATTAATTAATTAAAAAAAATTCAGTCGTTCTGATGGGTGTGTGGTGGTATCTCATTGCAGTTTTTTTTCTAACAATTAATTTATTTGAGAGATTCCACAATAACAAAACAGAAACCAAAAACCTTTTTTATTTCTCCCCAAATCTGGTAAGATTAACTTCTGGCATTTCAGATAACCTAACTGTCACAGAGATTTGAAAACATGATCTAATGCACAAATGCTATACAATAAATACAGCTGATAAAAATTTAAAAAAATTTAACAGTAGATAAGCTGTTGTACGTATAATTTGGTATTACACATAAAACAGTTTAACCATGTTATTTAAAATAAGATGCAGATACAGAAAACCACATTAAATGATAGCTTAATGAATTATCTTTCTTTTAATACTTTAAGTTCTAGGGTACATGTGCACAACATGCAGGTTTGTTACATATGTATACATGTGCCGTGTTGGTGTGCTGCACCCATTAACTCATCATTTACATTAGGTATATCTCCTAATGCTATCCCTCCCCCCCTCCCACCCCACAACAGGCCCCAGTGTGTGATGTTCCCCTTCCTGTGTCCAAGTGTTCTCATTGTTCAGTTCCCACCTATGAGTGAGAATATGCGGTGTTTGGTTTTTTGTTCTTGCGATAGTTTGCTGCGAATGATGGTTTCCAGCTTCATCCATGTCCCTGCAAAGGACATGAACTCATCC
This sequence comes from Homo sapiens, assembly GCF_000001405.40. NCBI lineage: Eukaryota > Metazoa > Chordata > Mammalia > Primates > Hominidae > Homo > Homo sapiens. Next base: position 3,023,895 of record NC_000018.10, on the reverse strand, counting down.
TTTTTTATGGCTGCATAGTATTCCATGGTGTATATGTGCCACATTTTCTTCATCCAGTCTATCATTGATGGACATTTGGGTTGGTTCCAAGTCTTTGCTATTGTGAATAACTTACTTTCTCCTGATTACTTGTCAGGCCTCTGAGCCCAAGCTAAGCCATCATATCCCCTGCCACCTGCACGTATACAATCCAGATGGCCTGAAGCAACTGAAGATCCACAAAAGAAGTGAAAATAGCCTTAACTGATGACATTCCACCATTGTTATTTGTTTCTGCTCCACCCTGATACGATATATTCTCCCCACTCCCTACCTAAGAAGGTACTTTGTAATATTCTCCCTGCCCTTAAGAAGGTACTTTGTAATATTCTCCCCCCGCCCTTAAGAATGTACCTTGTACACCTATCCCAAACCTATAAGAAGTCATGATAATCCCACCACCCTTTGCAGACTCCTTTTTCGGACTCAGCCCATCTGCACCCAGGTGAGATAAACAGCCTTGTTGCTCACACAAAGCCTGTTTGGTGATCTCTTCACATGGACGCGTGTGACATTACTAATGAAATTAAACATCTTTTCATAAGTTTATGGGCATTTGTGCTTATTTTTTGTGAAATTCATCTTCATTTTTTTTGCTAATTTTTCTACTGATTGCAAAATTTTTACTTACTGATTCATAGGAGTTCTTCATATATTCTGGATTCTAATCTTGGGTTGATTATATATGTTGCAAATATATTCTCCTGGAATGGTGCTTATTTTTGTTTTGTTTTGTTTTACTTTTTTTATGGTCTCTTTTAAAGAAGTCCTAACTTCAATGTAGATAAATGTATCAGTCTTTTCCTTTATAGTTAGTGCTTCTTGTGTCTTGTTTAATAAATCCTTTCACTCAGAATTTGATAGCGTATTCTCCTGTATTGTCTCCTAAAAATTTTATATCACGAATCACGGAGTCTAAGTTGACATTTATTATAAAAAAATCAATCACAATTTCAGAAATGGTAAAATGTGGAAAAGAAAGTATATCCTTGAAATGATGACAGGAGCACAATTTTGATTTCTCATTTAGGTCTTTAATCCAACTAAAGCTGATTTTGGGATATGTTGTTGAGTCTAAATTTAATTTTGCCATATAGATAATCACTATGGTTTGAAGTATTCCCCAAACTTCATGTGTCGGAAATGTAATCCTCAAATTCATATGTTGATGGTACCTGGAGGTGGGGCCTTTGGGAGGTAACTGAGATTAGATAAGGTCATCAGGAGTCCCCATGCTAGGACTGGTGGCTTTATAAGAAGAGGAAGAGGGACTTGAATTAGCATCCCTTGCCCTCTTGCCACCAGAAGCCCCCTGCTAGGTTACAGCACGAAGGCCTTCACCAGATCCGGCCCATCCACCTTGGACTTCCAGCCTGCAGAATTGTGAGCCAGAGAAACTTATTTTCTTTATAAATTACCCAGTGTGGTATTTTGTTATAGCAATGAAAATGAATACAATAATCAACTGCCTCCTAACCATTTATTGAAAAATCCATCTTTTCCCCAATATTCTGAATTGCCCCCTCTGCCATACATCAAGTGTCTGTATGTGTTGAACCTATTTCTGAGCTTTTTCTTACATTTAAAAAAAATGGCTAGGTGTGGTGGCTCACACCTGTAATCCCAGCACTTTGGGAGGTCGAGGGAGGAAGATCACTTGAGTCCAGAAGTTCGAGACCAGCCTGGGCAACATAGTGAGACCCTGTCTTTTTTTTTAAAATCACTTTATTAAAAAATAAAAAATATAATTACTTTTCATATTTTCTTATTTATTTATTTTTATTTTTTAAAATAGAGATGGGGTCTTCCCACATTGTCTAGGCTAGCGTTGAACTCCTGGCCTCAAGCAATCCTCCCACCTTGGCTTCCCAAAGTGCTGGGATTACAGGTGTGAGCCACTGTACCTGGCCTAATTATTAAACTGACAAAAGTTACGTATATTTACGGTGTACAACATGATGTGTTGATACATGCATACATTGTGGAATAGCTAAATCAAACGGATTAACATATTCATTACCTCACATACTTTTTTGTGTGTGTGTGGTGAGAATTTCTATTGCATTTGATTGGCCTATTTGTCTAACTGGCCCCTGAACTAATATGACCCTGCCTTTCATCCTACAGTTTTGATATATAGAAAGGTAATTCCTCCCTCTCTGTTTTTCTTCAAGAGTCTTTTGAAGAAGTAACCTCTATTTTGAATGAAATTGCATTGAATTCATAGATCAATTTATTGAGAATTAATATTTTTATGAGATTGGATCTATCTCCAAATATGGTATTTTTCTAACTAGGTCTTCTTCATAGTTTTTCACTGAAGCTTCTTAATTCTCTTTATGGAGGTCTTGCTGGGCATGGTGGCTCATGCTTGTAATCCCAGCACTTTGGGAGGCTGAGGCAGGAGGGTCACTTAAGCCCAATAGTTCAAGACCAGCCTGGGTAACACAGTGAGACCCTTGTCTCCACAGATTTTTTTTTTTTCTTTTTGAGATGGAGTCTCACTCTGTCGCCCAGGCTGGAGTGCAGTGGTGCGATCTTGGTTCACTGCAGCCTCCATCTTCCAGGTTCAAGCGATTCCCCTGCCTCAGCCTCCCAAGTAGCTGAGACCACAGGTGTTTGCCACCACTCCCAGCTAATTTTTGTATTTTTAGTAGAGACAGGCGGGGCGCGGGGGGGGGGGGGTCTCACCATATTGGCCAGGCTGGTCTCAAACTCCTGACCTCAAATGACCCACCTGCCTTGGCCTCACAAAGTGCTGGGATTACAGGCGTGATACCGCGCCCAGCCTGTCACCACAAAAATTTTTAAACAAGTTAGAAAAAATTTTTTTAATGTGGTGCTGCAAGCCTGTGGTCCCAGCTACTTGGGAGGCTGAGGTGGGAGGATCCCTTGAGCCCAGAAGTTGAGGCTGTAGTGAGCTGTGTTCGTGCCACTGTACTCCAGCCTAGGTGACAGAGTGAGACCCTGTCTCAAAAAAAAAAAAAAAAAAGAATTAAAAAATTAAAGGTCTTGCTCATATTTTGTTAGATTTATTCCTCAGTCGCTTATTTTTTGATATTATTCTAAATGTATCTTTAAAAAAATTTCATTCCAAACTGTTTATTACTGGTATATACAAATGCTAACAATTTTGCATGTTGATTTTAGCATCCAGCAACATTACTAAACTCTCACATTCATTTCAATAGGTTATGTATACATTCTTTTGAATTTTGTACACATACGACCATGTCATTGTGATTTCTTTCTTTCCAATACATACATATTTGATTTCTTTGTCTTACCTTATTCCACTATTAGAACCTCTAGTACTATACTGAATAGAAGTGGAGATGGCTGCACACTTATGTTCCTCATTTTAAAATTTTATTTTATTTTTAATATTTGTTTTTTTTTTTGAGACACAGTCTCACTCTGCCACCCAGGCTGAAGTGCAATGGTGTAATCTTGAATCACTGCAACCTCTGCCTTCCAGGCTGCAATGATCCTCCTGCCTCAGCCTCCCAAGTAGCTGGGACCACAGGCATGCTCTACCATGCCTGGCTAATTTTTTTTTTGTAGAGATGGGGTTTCGCCATGTTGCCCAGGCTGATCTCAAACTCTTGGGCAAGCGATCTGCCTGCCTCAGCCTCCCAAAGTGCTGGGATTACAGGCGTGAGCTACTGCACCCGACCCCTCATTTTTTTTTTTAAAGCAATGATTACTTATGATATTTGCTATACACTTTTGTAAATCTCCCCTTTTTTTCAAGGAAAATATTCCTAGTTTCCTATGAATTTTATCTGGTTGGATACTCCATTTGATCAAAGGCTTTTTCTGAACCTGCTGAGATCATCATAGGATTTTTTTTTCCTTTAATCTTTTAATGTGGTGAATTACATTAATTGATTTTCTCATTTTAAACTAACCTTGCATTCTTGGATAAGCCCGTTTGGTTATAATGTATTACCTTGCTGGATTCACATTGTTGAAATTCAGCTCAGGACTTTTCATGTCTATATATGTAAGAGTGTTTTGGCCTGGGATTTTTGTTTCTGACACTCTCCTGATCAGATTTTGGTATAAGGCAATGCCAGCTTCATAAAGCGAGTTGAGGGATAATCTCTCCTTTTCCATACTTTAGAGTGTGAGATTGGAATTACTTATTACTGGAATGTTCGGTAGAAATCACTGGCAAACTGTTTTAGCTAGATTTTTCTTTGCAGAAAATATTTAACAACAGATTCAAGTTCTTGGACAGTTACGAGTTTCAGTTTTATTAATTTACGCTTCTTGGAATTTCACAAAGTTCTTTTACCTTTGTTAAGTTCCACATCATGTGTGATTATAGCTTTCCCTTTATGCTTCACATTGTGTGTTGTGCCTTCTCCTTTTTCCCTGATCATTTTTCACCAGAAGTTTGAATGCAGTGTTTGGCTTAGTTGGTTCTTTCTATTGCATGTTTGCTTTCAATTTTATTATTTTTAAAATTTTATCTTTATTATTTCCTTTCTTCTATATGACTTTAATTTCCTGTTCTTTTTTAACTTTTTAGCTCTTTACATTTCAAACAATTTTCTCTTGTAATATAAGCTTTTAGTCTATAAGTTTCCCCTTAACAACTTGCTCAGTTTTATCCCTCATATTTTCATACATAGTATCAAATATTTGATATATAGCATTTAAATGTTGTCACATTCCCATAGTGCTGTTCATTGGCTCATGAATTTCCAAACAAATAGGTTTTTCTAGTTACTTCTTAAAAAAATTGATTCTTGTCTTTTTTTTTTTTTTTTTTTTAAGACGGAGTCTCGCTCTGTTGCCCAGGCTGAAGTGCAGTGGCGCAATCTCGGCTCACTGCAAGCTCTGCCTCCTGGGTTCACACCATTCTTCTGCCTCAGCCTCCCAAGTAGCGGGACTACAGGCGCCTGCCACCATGCCCGGCTAATTTTTTTTTTTTTTGGTATTTTTAGTAGAGACGAGATTTCACCGTGTTAGCCAGGATAGTCTCGATCTCCTGACCTCGTGATCTGCCCGCCTCGGCCTCCCAAAGTGCTGGGATTACAGGCGTGAGCCACTGGGCCCGGCCGATTCTTGTCTTAATTGCATTGTGTTCAGAGGATATAGTCTGTATGATAAACATTTTCCTTTCTTTCTTTTCTCTCTCTCTTTCATTCTTCTTGAGACAGGGTCGTGCTCTATTGCCCAGGCTGGAGTGCAGTGGTACAATCTGGGCTCACTGCGACCTTGACCTCTTAGGCTCAATCAATCCTCCCACCTCATCTTCCCGAGTAGCTGGGACTACAGGCACACGCTACCACAGCCAGCTAATTTATTACATTTTTAGTAGAGATGAGGTCTCTCTATGTTGCTCAGGCTGGTCTCAAACTCCTGAGCTCAAGCAATCCTCCCAAGCTCAAGCTATCTTCCTGATTTGGTTTCCTGAAGTGCTGGGATTACAGTTGTGAGCCACTGCGTCTGGCCAATGCATTCAAAATTTTCAGATTTGTTAAGACTTGCTTTATTTATTTTATTTATTTATTTATTTAGTTTTTGAGATGAAGTCTAGCTCTGTTGCTCAGGCTGGAGTGCAGTGGCCCCATCTTGGCTCACTGCCTCTGTGTCTTGGGTTCAAGTGATTCTCCTACCTCAGCCTCCTGAGTAGCTGGGACTACAGTTGTGCGCCACCACACCTGGCTAATTTTTGTGTTTTTAGTAGAGACGGGTTTCACCATGTTGGCCAGGCTAGCCTCGAACTCCTGACCTCAAGTGATCGGCCTGTCTCGGCCTCCCAAAGTGCTGGGATTACAGGTGTGAGCCACTGCACCCGGCCTATATGTGTTTTATATGTTCATATGTTACCAGCTTTAGTGAGGTTTCTGGGTCGGCTTGAGAAGTAATTTTTTTTCTTATTCTACTATTTTGCTTTTGCAATTCTGTATTTATTGGGTCTTCTATTAATCTCCCTACTTAAAGTACATGCTAACCTTTACTTCTGCTGCACAAAACTCCCAAGGCTTCAAAAATCAACGTTCAAACTCACTAGATTCAGCAAAAATCCTCCAGGCATATGCTGACTTTGGGCTCGGCTTACCTCTCTGGGTTCTGACCTTCACCCTGTCCTGGGGCAATTTCTTAATTTCTTGCCAGTTTATAGATGCCTTCCAGAATATATTTTTATTATTTTGCCCAGTATTTTTGTTTTTGTTTTCAGTGAGGGAAAGTTGGTCTAGACACCCAGCTGAGCCTATCAGATGAAATAGAAATCTTCACTTATTTTTCATCACGTATTTACTCAGCACCTACTATGTGTATAATAAGTACTATAATTGTGATCTGTGCAAGGTGGACTAGAGGCATAAGAAAAAATACATCGACTGGGGTAGGGCAGTAGGGCAATTGAGGGAAGGTGGTGGGAGGTAGTTAAAAATACAGGTTTATGCTGGGCCTGGTGGCTCATGCCTGTAATCCCAGCACTTTGGGAGGCTGAGGTGGGCGGATCATTTGAGGCCAGTATTTCGAGACCAGCCTGGGCAACATGGCAAAACCCCATCTCTACTAAAAATAAATTAAAAAAAATAGTTTTGGTTCATTCATTTGATGGCTAAATAATAACTTTTTTAGAAAGAGAAGAAAAAAATATGGGTTTAGGAGTCAAGGAGGGCTGGAGGCAAATTCTATCAACACTGCTGACGAGTTGTGAGATCTGAGGCAAGTTACCCAACATCTCTGTGCCGTAGTTCCTTCCTCTGTAAACTGGTGTTAATGATAGAAGTTGAATTACTAGAAGAGCTGGGCACACAGTGATGGTACAGAAAATGCTAGCTATTCTCTGTCCTCACAGAGAAAGAGATGCAGAAGCTGGGAATAACAAAGCTATTTTTCTAAGGTTGAATCACCTCCCCTGGGAGCTGCCAGACAGGAGGGCATAGGACCACCTCCTTCCAACTCCAGGTCGGGGATACTTGATTCTTATTCTAGAGAAAATCCTTCTCTGCTTTCCAGATTCCCTCAAAGATATGCCTTCTCCCTGGCCCTCTCCCCCTTGACTGAGACAGGTTCCTCACTGAGCATAGTGTTTTGGAAATAAAAGACAGGAAGGAAATGTCTTGCAGACAACTTCTGCTTTCCACTCTGCCAACAACCTCCTGAGACAAGCAGAATGCCTGGGTGCATTCTTATAAGGAGAAGAAGAAAGAGAGAACTCTAAGGAAAAACACAGAAGTTAATATATGAAAAATTATTCTTACCAGCTACTGTGGCTCAAGCCTGTAATTCCAGTACTTTGGGTGGCTAAGGTGGGAGGCTCGATTGAGCCCAGGAGTTTGAGGTTGCAGTGAACCGTGATCACACCACTTCACTTTGGCCTGAACAACAGAGTGAGACCCTGTCTCCAAAAAAAAAAAAAAAATCCTGTTGCAAAAGGGATGATGGAATGGCTGAAGCATACAGACTAGAAGGAGCAGGAGAGAAAATTAGAGAGAAAAGGAGCACACTGGATGCCACGCTAGGGAACTTGGCTTGCTTCGTCAAGACAATGGGTTGCCAACCACCTGTGCCATGGCCAGGTCTGCAATTCAGAGTAGAGGATGCTTAGAATTGGGCAGGACTAGAGGGTAGGGAGACCAGCTGGCATATTCCTACAATGGACCACAAGAGAAATGGCGAGGGCCTAATCACAAGCAGGGGTGAGTGGTGCGACAGAGGACCAAGAGTAGGAATCATGAGGAGGAATAATGAGGAGGAGTGATGGAAACAGCATGGGAGTAGAGGGAAATGAGACTCCCTCCTAGGTTTCTGGCAAGTATGTCTAAACAGATGACAGCGCCATCAGCCAGGATAGGAGATTCAGGTGGAGCAGGTTTGAAGAAGCACAAATAATGGGTTTGAATCTGACATCACTGTGGACCTTGCTGGTTGAGACGTTGAAAGCCACTGAGCACAGGCATGTAGAATTCAGAGGAGTTCCCACTAATGAGGGGAGGAGAGAGTTTCAAGAAGGAAATAATGATCAACAGCATCTTGCCCTGCAGAGATCATGAGGCATGGGACAGGAAAGGGGTCTGTTTTCTTCGGCAACCAGAAGGTCATAGTGACTTTAGCCTGAGCAGTTTCAGGGTTAGAGGAGGAGCAACCCTGTGAAGATGGGAGAAAACCTGAAACTCTTTCAGGTAGCTTGGGTGGGAAGAGAAGCTGTGTGATAAGTCGACAGCCTGAGGGGGAACGGAGGGGCCACAAAAGCTTCTTTTTCAAGTGCAGGAATGAAGCCAGAATTGAGGAAGAGGGGACAATTAGTGGAGTGAGGTTCCTCACCTTGGAGCTGGAAGGTGGTGGGTCAGAGGCCAGTTGAAGGAAGCGCTTTCTTCCTCTGACACTCCAGTGGAGTAGGTGGACCTGGGGTGGCCCCTCCACACTTCCTAGGGCAGGAGGTGAAGGGATTTATCATGCAACAAACATTTAATGAGTCACCACTTAAGTGGTAGTGTAAGCTGGTGGACACGGGAAAATGAGGAAAATATTAGCAATATGAACCAATCGTTCTGAGTGAGGTCTCAAACGCAAGGTTGTTTGGAGGAAGGGAGGGGAGCTCTAGGGCTTCCTGAATGATGAAAGGAAGGAAGGGAGCTTGGCAGAATATTTCCCTCCCAAGGCAGAGATAGAGAAAATAGCCTGAGAGAAACAGGAAAAGTCTAAGTGGGAGAAATGGAAGAAAGGAAAGAAAATAAACGCTAACAGCCTGTTCCAGGTTGCAGACACTAACGTAGGCACTTTATAGGTTATCACGGGGAATCCACAAAACAATTCTGTAAGAAAGACACTACTATCTTTATTTTACTGACGTAGAAACTGAGGATTAAATTCTTTCTCTAGCTTTAATTTTTCTTCTCCATATTTATAAAATCCATTGAATACGGAGGGGGATATTTTAGTCCTCTTCAATTTTTATTTTACTTGTGAAGCCAAGTGAGAAGCAGTGAAATGAGGAAAATTCCTAGTGGTCTTGTGCCAGTGAAACTACCTATGTTTCTGTAGGGCCTTGATTACAGATGGGGCAAAACTTGATCGAGTTTCACAGAAAAGCAGAAGGAACTTCAGTGAAGAAGTGGTCGCCTGCTCCCTGAATCCAAGCACTGCCCAGCTACACCAGGCACTGGTGGGAAGAAACTGGGCTGCAGCTGGATCCTTCAAGGAGCAGCTTTGTGTATGCAAATGCCTATTTCAGTACCCTTAGAACTGTATAAATGATCACACACAAGATGCACCTCATAAATTAACTGCCATTTATATAGAAGTAACATAGGCTTCTGTTCATTACTTTCAATCATAGAATAGTAATAGAATAGGCTGCAAATTAAAAACCAGTGTGCACCAATAGTATATAGCACCAGCAATCCAGTTTTTTTTGTTTTTTTTTTTTTTGAGACAGAGTTTCGCTCCCAGGCTGGAGTGAAGTGGCGCAATCTCTGCTCACTGCAACCTCCGCCCCCCGGGTTCAAGTGATTCTACCGCCTCTGCCTCCTAAGTAGCTGGGATTGCAGCCAACATGCCCGGCTAATTTTTGTATTTTTAGTAGAGGCGGGGTTTTGCCACGTTGGCCAGGCTAGTCTCCAACTCCTGACCTCAGGCGATCGACCCGCCTTGGCCTCCCAAAGTGCTGGGATTACCGGCGTGAGCCACCGCGCCGGGCCCCATTTCTTTTCTTTCTGAGACGGAGTCTCTCTGTCGCCAGGCTGGAGTGCAATAGCGCCATCTCGGCTCACTGCAATCTCCGCCTCCCGGGTTCAACTGATTCTCCTGCCTCAGCCTCCTGAGAAGCTGGGATTACAGGCACGCGCCACCACGCCCGGCTGGTTTTTTGTATTTTTAGTAGAGACGGGGGTTTCACCATGTTGGCCAGGCTGGTCTTGAACTCCTGACCTCAAGTGATCCGCCTGCCTCGGCCTTCCAAAGTGCTAGGATTACAGGCGTGAGCCACCCATTTCTTAAAAAGTATATTTTAATGCTGGGGACGGTGGCTCATGCCTGTAATTCCAGTACTTTGGGAGGCCGAGGTGCGGGGATGCTTGAGCCCAGGAGTTGGAGACCAGCCGGGGTAACAGAGCGATAAAAAGAATAAACAAAAAACAACAGAACCCCGGCATATTTTTAAAAATGAGTTGTGTAATAGGATTTTTTTTTTTTCGGTGGAGATGTAAGTAAGCAAAGGAGATGTGCTACTAGTGATCAAAAGGGGATTATAAAACATTCATTCCCTAGACTTTTTTTGCACTTTAACATTCCTTTTTGGCAATTGGGCTCTCAGTCCCACGTGACCTGCCGCAGGGTTGCCATGGGGACCGGAAGAAACTTTTTTTTTTTAAAACAAAGTAAGGCTCCTGTCGCCCGAGGCACTAGAAAATCGAGGCCCCGCCCTCACTTGGCCAGGGGCCCGGGCGCGCAGCCCAGGGACTGGGAGCGGTGAGAAGCCGCACGCCTGGCGCTCGGCGGCGGGGGCGCGGCGCGCGGCCGGGAGCGCGCGTCACGTGGCTGGGGCGGGGCCTGCGCGCTGCCCGCCCGCCAGCTGCCGGCTCGGCCGCCGCAGCCGCGGCGTCCCATTCATGAGGGCCGCCCGACTCAGCTGCGGCCCAGGCGGCTTCCAAGGCAGCGGCGGCTGCGGGCGCTCCGACCCCGCGCGCGCCCCCGACCGGCCCCGCCCCCTCGGCTTCCCTCCCCGGCGGGTCCTAGCCGTCGCAGTCCAGCCGCCGCCTGCCCTCAGCCGCCCGCTGGCCGGGAGCGGAGCCCCTGTGGGTAAGTGGGCGCGGGCCGGGCTCCTCGCAGGCGTCCCTCCGGGGCTGGCGGTGAGTGTCTGCGCCTGGGGGCTTCCCTTGGCGCGGGCCCGGGGCTGTCCTGCCGGAGGCCGGGACCCTCCGGGGCGGCGCGGGTTGAGCCGCCCCTCCTCGCGCCGCGGTCCCCGCTTCCCGGTCCTCGCGTCCCAGTCCCCGCCTCGCCGCGACCGCGCCACGTAGACGCGGCCCCTACCGCCGCCGCCGCAGGACGGACCGGCGGGGTGCGCGGGGAGCCGGGGGCGTCGGGGCGTCAGTGGTGGCTGCTGAGGACTCTGAACCCGCGCAGTTCCCTCGCCGCCGCCCTGGGGATGGTTACCCGAGACCACCCCTACCCCTGGGTTTGGGGCGCGGAGGGGAGTGCGGAAGGCGCGCGGGAGGCCGCGTCTCCATCCCGCCCCCGGCCCTGCGGGAGGGGGCGCCGGGCACGTGATCTGCGGCGAGGCGGGGGCCGCCGAGTTGCTGGTGTTTCTTCCCCGCCGCGCTTTGCCCCGTACCTCCGCCTTCAAGCTGTGTGGACCGGATTCAAATGTGGTTAGTTTTCTCAAAGCCCCCCAGCCCCCGGTGCAGATCTTAATTTGTGAGGAACACGTTCAGATACAGTTTGTACTGAGAGCCTCTCTGTCCACTTCTAACGCCAGCGGATCACCATTTTCTCCACTCGCCTGAACATTTTAAGACTCTTTTCATTGAAAATTCAAGATGACATTTTTTAGGCATAATTATGCAAACCAGTACCAGAAAGATCACCCTTCCTTTCCGAAAAGTACTGGAACTCTGAATACTTGGAAATGCTTTGAAGGACTACTTAGTAAATGGCCAAACTAATTTTTAATGCACATTTGGGGCTTACCCATTTTTTTTTTAATTGAAAACGAGGCTCTAGACTTGGTGTCAAGGTAGGTCCTGTTGAATGAAGTTCTTTACCCAGTAGTGATGATGGGTGTTACTGTTTATTAAAACTTGGCCTGGCTAGATTATAATGTTTTGACAATACAAAGTCGGTTTTGAAATACATTTTGAAATATTTACGAATTATTTAGTGGCCCATACTGGTTTATGTTTTAACGGTCTGGTGTTGATCGTTCTTAGTGGCTTCAGATTGAGAAGAAGTGGCAGGTGATGCTGAAGCGGGGGAGAAGCGGCAGAGCCGGCCACACAGTGCAGGGGATGGAGACAGGTGCTGGGCTGGTCCTCCTGCAGCATCCTCAGTTGTTGGAGGGCAGTCATCCTCAGGCCGTACCCAGCCAGAGAAGAAAAAGAACAGTGTGAAGCCACGTGTGATAGCCGTCCAACATCGGCTCTTCCCTCCAATTACATTGTAGTTGATTGTGGTATGTCAGACTGAAGTATCTCTTTTATTTCGAGACAGAGTCTCACTCTGTCGCCCAGGCTGGAGTGTAGTTGCGCGATCTCCGATCACTGCAATCTCTGCCTCCTCTGTTAAAGCGATTCTTGTGCCCCAGCCTCCCGAGTAGCTGGGATTACAGGCATGAGCCACCACACTCAGCTAATTTTTGTATTTTTATTAGAGACCGGGGGTTTCACCATGTTGGCCAGGCTGGTCTCGAACTGCCGACCTCAGGTGATCCGCCCCCCTCGGCCTCCCAAAGAGCTGGGATTACAGGCGTGAGCAACCGCCCCAGCCAGACTTAAGGTATCTCCATGCCCAACTTTTGATAGAGGTAGCCATAGAAAGCTAGAAATGAAACGACAGGTTCTGTTTTAACGTTTGATGGCACAGTCGAGAGTCAATAGGCACGCATTATGCTTAAGAGAAGCTGGAAATGAAGTGTTTGAAAACCCTTTAATACTATAGTAAAGCACTGTTAAGAAGCAAATAATAGAGTCAGCTGGGGCTTTGTCTTCTTTATTGCTAGGAGAATGTAGCAATAGAAGTTCTCATCGCCCTGTATTGCACTTTTGGTTTTAAGGACTGGACCCAGAGTTCCTGAAAGCCAAACTCCATAGCTGCTCAGTAAGTTCCAAGCACATAGCCGGCTTTGGGATGCGATTCGGTCGAGGTCTGTTGAATGAAGGTAGACGCAGCAGGCAGTTTGTCCTTACCAGTGACCTGGAAGACGGTGGCACTTCCTGAGTGAGCTCACTTACCTTCCCTGAATGGTGAGGCATGGATGAATATTCCTGGTGGTGCCACGTGTTAGAGGTGGTAAAGGGTCAAATGTTTACTTTTATTAATATTACATTATGGCTTGGTTCTCTGTGTCAGCGATTTTTCTATGCCTTGGGTACTTATTTCCTAATATATATCAGCACAGTAACGCCTAGCTGGAGGCTTTGTCTTGTTAGTTGATAGATTAGTGGTAACAGGTAGATTTGGTTATCTCCCGTAGGTGCTTAGCAATTTACATCAAGAGGCTTTTCTTTAAGTCTGATTTAAGTCTTTCCATCTTTAATTTAAATCCATTTCTTTTTACTCCGACCCCAGTGACTGTCGTTGAGTGTGTATTTGCCCGACTTGCCGTGCCAGATTGGTAGGCAGTGGTTTGGAATCTTCATTTTAAAATCCTGTTTTTCTCTCTCCAATACCCTTCACTGCTTGGTAAGTTTTTATACTTCTCAATGAGACCCAGAGTCTCGTGACCTACCATTTGCCTCCTTCATGATGAAACAACTCACAAGTTGGTAGATAGCCTCCAGTTGGCAGAATCCTATGTATAATGTGTCTTTAAAACTTGAAGAGTTTGAAGGTATTATAGCCTGGAGCAGTAAGTTTTATGGCTATACCTTGGTAATAAGACATTTGAATAACTTGGCTTAGCGGCTTTGGTAATTAACTGTGATTTTTGGAATCCACCTCCCCTGCTGTCAGCTTGAATCTTCATTTTAGTAACACACTATTACTAACACTAAACGCTTATTACATGTGTGTTTCAAGACAAGCGTGAGGGAGTTGCTCACCCTGGGGTCCAAATGAAGCAGTCAGTGGCAACCCATGTGTAGTGGGGAATGGCCAGAATCCTGCCGGGGCCACTTGGTGGGCTGCCTTGCTCTTGATTTTCAGCAGGAAGCTGGTGGAAGCTGGGGTTGGGCATCTGTCTCTGCTCAACTTCTCAGTCAGAAAGGAAGGAGAAGAAAAAAAAATCTGTTGGGAGGTAAACTGTGTTTTAATACAAGATAAAACTCTTAATGTCACTTTCAGGATTAAAATGATGATAAAGTAAACATTTTTACTAATTTGATTCACTGACTGCAATTCAGTCTTTTTCTGCTAAAGCCTTTGAATGTTGTATTTCGGTGATCAGGTTTGTCAGTTTATGTTAAAATTGTTAACAAGAAATGAGGAAGAAGGCTGGGTGCGGTGGTTCACGCCTGTAATCCCAGCACTTTGGGAGGCCGAGGCGGGCGGATCACCTGAGGTCAGGAATTCGAGACCAGCCTGGCCAACGTGGTGAAACCCTGTCTCTACTAAAAATACAAAAGAATTAGCCAGGTGTGGTTATGCATGCCTGTAGACCCAGCTACTCTGGAGGCTGAGGCAGGAGAATCATTTGAACCTGGGAGGCAGAAGTTGCAGTGAGCCGAGATTGTGTCACTGCACTCCAGCCTGGGTGACAGAGCGAGACTCTGTCTCAAAAAACAAACAAACAAAAAATGGTACTTATTTTTATAATCTTTGAATTTAGAATTTTACTAGTGTTTTTTTGTTTGTAACCCAGGCTGGAGTGCAGTGTCATGATCTCGGCTGACTGCAACCTCCGCCTCCCAGGTTCAAGCAATTCTCCTGCCTCAGCCTCCTGAGTAGCTGGGACTACAGGCACGTGCCACCACACCTGGCTAATTTTTTGTATTTTTAGGAGAGACAGGGTTTCACTGTGTTAGCCAGAATAGTGTTGATCTCCTGACCTCGTGATCCTCCTGCCTTGGCCTCCCAAAGTGCTGGGATTACAGACGTGAGCCACCGCGCCTGGCCGAAACAATTCTTTTGAAAGAGAGAAGTCTCCCTGTGTTGCGCAGGCTGGTCTCAGACTCCTGGGGTCAAGTGAGCCTCCTGCTTTCGCCTCCTAAAGTGCTGGGATTACAGGCGTGAGCCACCGCACCCGGACAGATGTGTTGATTTTAAAGTGGGTATGAGGCCTGAGCCCTGGAGTTTGAGACCAGCCTGGACAACATGGCAAGACCCTGTCTCTCCAAAAAAAAAAAAAAAAAAACACAGCTGTGGTAGTGCGGGCACCTGTGTGATCCCAGCTGCTCAGGAGGCTAAGGTCAGAGGATGGCTTCAGCCAAGGAGTTGAGGCTGCAGTGAGCCATGTTCACGCCACTGCTGGATGACACAGTAGAACCCTGAGTCTGAATAAATAAATACATGAGTAAGTGGGAAGGAGGGAAGGAAGGAAGGATCTAGGTTTAAAAATTATTTGGCTTTGGTGGTTATGACTAAGCTGTATTAGATGAAGGGAGGAGCTAAAGATGGGGAAAGCATCCTTCGGAAACTTTAAAGTTGGAACTGGTAATTTTACTCCGCAAAAAATATATGGTACAAAGTAACTTTGTTAGTGACAGATTGAATTTCTGCATTTACCTATTTCTGAAATAAAATGAAAGGGATAAATGACCTTAGAATATTGATTTAAACTTCTATTTTATTTGAGACAAGGTCTCACTTGGTCACCCAGGCTGGAGTGCAGTGGTGCAATCTCGGCTCACTGCAGCCTCCGCTTCTAGGGCTCAAGCGATCCTCCCACCTCGGACTCCCGAGTAGCTGGGACCACAGGGAGGTGCCACCGTGCCCAGCTAATTTTTGTACTTTTCTGTAGGACAAGGTATCATCATGTTGCCCAGGCTGGTCTCGAACTCCTGGACTCAAGTGATCCACCCACCTTGGCCTCCGAAAGTGTTGGGATTACAGGTGTGAGCCACTGTGCCCAGCCTAAGCATCCGTTTTTAAATTTAAAATAAGATGGTCTCTTTTTATAAAAGGAATCATAATTATAAACAAAAAGTTCATTGGTTAGTATGGGATTGCAGTTTGCCTAGAAGACGTTTTATATACCCCTGACTAAACAGTAGAATTGTATGCTGACCAAGATCGTCCTCATCTATTCAGTGCATTATGATATGACATTTATGGTTCCTGGCAAGATAGGTATGTTCAGCTGCACTGGAGACATGGCTTTAAACTTATTCGGAAAGGGAGGTGTCCAGAATGCAAACAGCTCTTAAAAAGTATTTGGAAATAATTTATTCAATATAAGGTCATCTGATCATTTGATTATATGTTTTGAATTGCCCTCCGGTATGTGCCAGCAAAACCATCAGATCGTTAATATGAATTAGAAGCTCTGATTTGGAGCTGCTTGAATTGTTATGGATATTTTTCCTCACAGTTGAGTCTATAAACTTGTGGTGTTTGTAAAACAATGTGCTTTTCTTATGAGCCAACATAAGTTAAGGAATGTTTGGGCTTAGTTGAAGCATTATAGGGGATATAATATATCTTTTGTTTGTTTTAGGAGGCTGTGTTATTTTTTTCTTTGTAAACACTGAGAGACGTCTGTCCACATATTACATTTCTTTAAACTCTTTTAACAGTATTTTTTAAAATTAATAATAGGTACCTGGATAGGTGTGGTGGCTTACGCCTGTAATCCCAGCACTTTGGGAGGCCCAGGCGGGCGGATCACGAGGTCAGGAGATCGAGACCATCCTGGCTAACACAGTGAAACCCCGTCTCTACTAAAAATACAAAAAATTAGCCAGACGTGGTGGGGGGCACCTGTAGTCCCAGCTACTCTGGAGGCTGAGGCAGGGGAATGGCATGAACCTGGGAGGCGGAGCTTGCAGTGAGCCAAGATAGCACCACTGCACTACAGCCCTGGGCGACAGAGCAAGACTCCATCTCAAAAAAGATAAATAAAAATAAATAACTAACTAAATATAATAGGTACCTATTTGACATAGCTGTAATGTCAATTTACATATGAACTATTCGAGAATAAGAGTTATTTAGAGAAATACTACTTGAGAGAGAGATAAAGCTTTGTTTTTGTTATTTAAAATGTTAAACAAATGCTGTTTTTTTTTTTTTAAAGAGACAAGGTCTCACTTTGTCACTGAGGCTGGAGTGCAGTGGGGCTATCTCAGCTCACTGCAGCCTTGACCTCCCCAGCCCAAGCAATCCTCCTACCTCAGCCTCCCCAGTAGCTGGGACTACAGGCCTGCGCCACCATGCTTGGCTACTTTTTTTTTTTTTTGAGACAGAGTCTCGTTCTGTCGCCCAGGCTGGAGTGCAGCGGCGCGATCTCTGCTCACTGCAAGCTCCGCCTCCCGGGTTCATGCCATTCTCCTGCCTCAGCCTCCTGAGTAGCTGGGACTACAGGCTCCCGCCACCACGCCTGGCTAATTTTTTGTATTTTTAGTAGAGACGGGGTTTCACCGTGTTAGCCAGGGTGGTCTCGATCTCCTGATCTTGTGACCTCCCTGCCTCGGCCTCCCAAAGTGTTGGGATTACAGGCTTGAGCCGCTGCGCCCGGCCCATGCTTGGCTAATTTTTGTATTTTTTTGTAGAGACCAGGCTTCACTATGTTGCCCAGGCTGGTCTCGAACTCCTGGGCTCAAGTGATCTGCCAGCTGTCCTGGGATTACAGGTGTGAGCCACTGTGCCCGGTCAACAAATGCTTTGTAAGAAAGGACTGATCTTCTGTTGCAGGATTTTCTAACTGGCTTAGCTGTTAAAAATAACTTACCTAGGTAGCATTATTTGAAATATAGAAATTTGGCATTTTGGGGTCTTTAATATCTAGTCTATCCACTGACATTCTTAGTCTGTTGTAAAGTGGTGCTGATGCCTTCTACTTAGGAACACTAGGTATTTCGAGGAGGTGTTTAATATTTGTAAAAGATTATCATTATTACAGTTATCTTATTGAACAACTTCTTTAGGCATTTTGCTAAGTTTTTTACGTAAAGTATCTCTCTTAAGTCACAACCACTGTACAAAGTACAGATAATAATGCTGTTTTCTAGGTGAGAACCCTGAAGCTGAAAGAGATTTGCCAGAGGCCACAGCCATGTGGTAGCGATGACCTGCCTCCCCACATTGCCTTGTTCCTATGCTGCCCCACTGCCCAAGGACTCTGACAGTTCCTGTGCATTGCTTTATCATCCCTAAGTCAATTTTAGCGTTTTGTTTTTACTTCATTATGATTATTGTTGTTCATTGTTATTTATAGCGATGAGGTCTTGCTGTGTTGCCCAGGTTGGTCTCAAACTTCTGGGCCCAAGCAGTCTTCCCGTTTCTACCTCCCAAAGTGCTGGGATTGCTGAGTTGGGCCACCACACCTGGCCGTTGTTGTTACGTTTATTAGGTAGAACTGGATAAGCTGTGTGTGTGTGTGTGTGTGTGTGTGTGTGTAAGATAGTGTCTTGCTCTGTTGTCCAGGCTGGAGTACAGTGGCACGATTTCAGCTCACTGCAGCCTGGACCTGCTGGGATCAAGCAATCCTCTTGCCTGTGCCTCCTGAGTAGCTGGGACCACAGGCATGTGCCACCATCCCCGGTTAATTTTGGTTTTAATAGACATAAGGGTCTTGCTATATCAGCTGAGGAAGATCTGAAACTTCTGGGCTCAAGCGATCCTCCCACCTCAGCCTCCCAAAGTGCTGAGGGGGTTACAGGCATGAGCCACTGTGCCCTGCCGAGACACTTTTCTTTTCTTTTTCTTTTTCTTTTTTTTTTTTGAGACGGAGTCTTGCTCTGTCACCCAGGCAGGAGTGCAGTGATGCACGATCTTGGCTCGCTGCAGCCTCTACCTCCTGGGTTTAAACGATTCTCCTGCCTTGGCTTCCCTAGTAGCTGGGATTACAGGCACCTGCCACCAAACGCTGCTAATTTTTGTATTTTTAGTAGAGACAGGGTTTCACCATGTTGGCCAGGCTGGTCTCAAACTCCTGACCTCAAGTGATCCACCGACCTTGGCCTCCCAAAGTGCTGGGATTACAAGTATGAGCCACCGCACCTGGCTGAAGCTTTTCTTTATAGATGTCAGCATCTATAAATTGGTAACAGAGAGATAGCACCTACTTTATAGGAGTGTGGGTTTCTCTGGGTTATTTATGTTTTCAAAGGCAATTGTGTCAAGGAGAGAAATACCAGCCGGGAAGATGGGGAGGTGATGTGGCCCTACCATGCCTACTTGGTGCACTTTGGAATGAGTTGGACAAGGTAAACCTGATGTTCTTTGGCCTGTGTTTCACAGCATGAGCATATCGCTGGGCTGAGACTGGATGGAATGTCTAAGCTGTATTTCTCATACAACATGATCCCTAAAACAACCTAAATATTGCTCTCGGGCTCATCCTGATAGGAAGGTGACTAAAGGTGTTGGGGAGGAGGAAATGGGCTCAGTGGGACTATGTGAGACGTGGTATGTCAGTATCCAACATGGTGCCTTCTTCAAGGATTTTCCCTCGTAATTTTGACGGTTCCTGATTTGAGTAAGTGTACACTGTGACTCCTGGGTTACATGGCACTGGACTGTGAGTAGAAGGATCCTTAAGTTAAACAGTTTCAGAGCTGAATAGAGCTTCCAGTCTTTTATTCTGTTCAGTATCGGGGGAACCAGCCCCCAATATTTTAATATAGGTTCTTTCTGTTTTCCCTAAGTGTTGGCCGGTCTGAGAAATAGACAGAGTACAAAGAGAGGAATTTCACAGCTGGGCCTCTGGGGGTGACATCACATATTGGTAGGACCGTAATGATGACCCCGAGCCCCAAACCAGCAAGTTTTTATTAGGGATTTTAAAAGGGGAGGGGGTGTATGAACAGGGAGTAGGTCACAAGGATCCCATGCTTCAAAGGGCAATAAGATCACAAGGCAAAGGCAAAATTAGAATTACTGATGAGGGTCTATGTCCTGCTGTGCACATATTGTCTTGATAAACATCTTAACAGGAAACAGGGTTCAAGAGCAGAGAACCAGTCTGACTAGAATTTACCAGGCTGGAATTTCCCAATCCTAGTAAGCCTGAGGGTACTGTAGGAGACCAGGGCGTATTTCAGTCCTTATCTCAACTGCATAAGACAATCCCAGAGCGGCCGTTAATAGACCTCCCCCCAGGAATGCATTCCTTCCACACGGTATCAATTATTAATATTCCTTGCTGGGAAAAGAATTCAGCGATATCTCTCCTACTTACACGTTCATTTATAGGCTCTCTGCAAGAAGAAAAATATGGCTGTATTCTGCCCGACCCCGCAGGCAGTCAGACCTTATGGTTATCTTCCATTGTTCCCTGAAAATTGCTGTTATTCTGTTCTTTTCAGGGTACAGTGATTTCATATTGTTCAAACACACGTTTTACAATCAGTTTGTACAGTAGTGGTCCTGAGGTGACGTACATTCTCAGCTTATGAAGATAACGTGATTAAGAGATTAAAGTAAAAACAGACATAAGAAATTATAAGATGATTATTAGGGAAGTGACAAAAGTCCATGAAATCTTCACAATTTATGTTCAGAGACTGCAGTAAAGACAGGCTTAAGAAGTTATAAAGGTATTAATTTTGGGAACTGATAAATGTCCATGAAATCTTCACAATTTATGTTCTTCTGCCTCGGCTCCTGCTGGTCCCTCTGTTTAGGGTCCCTGACTTCCTGCAACAGTTCAGAAATCCAGGTCCCATCACATTGTTGGTAGCCAGTGGAAACCCCTAATACAAGTGAGTATCTGAATTCTTTTTGAGCAGATCTGTCTTTTGAACTAGTGCTTTCTTCACTGTATCATTTGACTCACTTGGTAACTACATCTGCAGATGAGCTCCCCGCTAATGGAGTTTTAGTGGTGCTTTACTTAGTGTAATTGAATAAATGAATGATACATCAGCTCTGATGAAGAACCTTTCATTAAATAGAAATATACTCATAGACCTTTGGGAATTCCCAAATTCATGAATATACTTTTGATGTATCATTTACTCAGTTGTCTCTTTTGTAATAGGGAGATAACAATACCTACTTGACAGGCTGGTTCTGAGGATTAAATGAGGTCATATGTTAAACTGGAGCCCGCATCCACCTCTAGGTCTTACTAGGCCAGAGAAGCCAGTGTTGAGAGAGTCATAGGACAAAGGGCGAAAGGTGAATGAATGAACATTCCTCTTGTCCCGAAGTAGCTGATAGTGTCATAGAGGAATCAAGTAGGTCTGCTTCTGCGTAAAGCAGGGTTTTATGAATCAGGGACAGGGAGGGACTTAGAAGGGAGTACTGCTTGAGCGATTGTGGGAAAGTCTGAGGAACTGTCTTGGAGTTAGCTCTGGGCTTATATTTTTAATGTGAGAATTTACTGTTTAGTTAAAAGCTTGTTTTTATCTCAAAGAAAAACATTGTTTAATGTGTTTGCTTAGAATTTCTTTCTTGACCCAGAAAGAAATTTCTTTATTCTCATAGTGCCAAAGTTAGAAATCTTGTATACAAATGTTATGCACAACATGTGTTTATAAATGTAATCCTTAAGATTTTTCCATCATTTCATCTATGGCTGCATGAATTTTGTTAATGTGTGGGCCTGTAGGAGGGACCTTATCTTTGTGTTTAGAATGGGACGTCTAGAAAGCACAGTTGTCTATACCTAGTGTATTGCAGGTGAGCGTTTGACTAAAATTTAAAAATCTGCTGATTAGTTCATAAGGCCTCTAATGTTTTTCTATAAGCTTGAATAATTGATTTTCATTAGAATGGACACTAATTTTCTTAGCTTATAAAACTACATGAAATGTTATTCTCTGCCAGTTGAAAAACGTAGGTACTGGTATACCTATGTTGTTATGGTGGGTTTTTTTTTTTTTTTTTTTTTTGGTCTTTTGAAGGTCATCCTTTTAAATGCTGGCTGAATCTTTCAGTGCTATCCTTGTCATCAAATGGAAATGGACCTTCCCCCTGTAAGTGTGGTATCTTCATGACAGTCAAGAAATAGGACTTTTGTTTTAGGACATCTCCCTGTCCCAAGTGAATTAACTAGATAACTTTGTTGTATTTAAATTTCCTGGTTTGTTTGTTTTGTCTTACTAATGAGACATACCTACAGGTCAGATGGACCATAGGTGCTGATCCTGAGAGTTGGAAAGGAACTTTTCCTAATTAAAAGCAAAACAAAAAAAGCCTTACAATGCTTATATTTGCTTGGTGTTCCTATTTTCCTTCCCTTAAGTAGTTTTCATTTCTGTAAATGTGATTCTTATTCATTAGGCTATATCACATAATAGTTCTATTTATCTTTTAAAATCTTAAGTATTTATTTTTATATGTAATTTAAACATTTAAGTACATAGTACTGTGAGGTTTATTATGAAAAACCCCAGTTCTCTTTCTCACAGCTGATTACTGCTCCCTAGCAAAAGCCCCTTTCATTTCTTTTCTGTGCTTGTGGGATTTGATTCCATGCTTGTATGCATACACTACTGTAGCTTGTTTTTTTCATTTTAGACCTTCTCTATTGATTTCCTACGCTGCAAGATGAAGGTTCATCTCTTATATAACCCTCCTCTCACACGCACAATTCTTTATACTAAGCTCTCAATACCATTTTCTAATTTTCTTAATATTCATTGTTTATATTTTCATGGCTAAATATTGCTTACAGCTGAGCATATGCAGTGATTTTTATTTCTTTGCCAGTTCAAATTTTTCTTTTCTCTGGAGTCAACAATTATTTTATTGGTTTACATTTCTTAGTACCAGTCACAAATTCAGGCCCCCAGTTTCTGATAGGACTACAGAACTCTGCAGTCAACACCTCACTCATCCTGAATCCCAGTAATTTTCTGTGTTGGATTCTGAGTCCTGGATTACACATTGTCTTCTCTCTTGGCATGCCTCCTCATTTTGATGGAGCACATCCTCTAGCAGCTTTTTGAGAAAGGGTTTACAGGGAGGAAATTCTTTGAGAGCTTACGTGTCTGAAAATGTCTTTATTTGAGCCTCCTACCCAACTGATAGGCTAGCTATAGAATGCTAGAATGGAAATAGTTTTCCTTTAGAATTGTTACTTTTGAGAAGTTACCTTTTTTTGAGAAGTCTCAAGTCTTTTTAATTTCTCTCTCTCTCCCTCCCTCTCCCCCCTCTTTTTCCCCATTTTCCTATCCTTTCCCCCCTACCCATTTTTTTTAGCACCTTTCTTTGTTTCTTTTTAAAGTATCTCATTACCATCTCTTGATGAAGCACCTTGGTTTGGGATTTGCCATCTCAGTTTTTGGACGAGACACAGTCTCTTAGGAGGGAACACGGGAAGTACCCACCTTACCTGGCTTCACAGTGAATCCTTACCCCTGGCCTTGTTTCGTTACTTAGACCTGGCTAGCAGGCCCTATGTCACCAGAGTCTCCGCAGGCCAGAGGGCATAAAAACACCCAGAGACTGTAGTGGGTATTTATCAATCCTGGTGAGGCCTCTCCCCACAGGTAGAATCATCTGTAGCTGTGTACACTCATGATGTTGGGGAAGTAGCTGGCACTACGTGCCGTACATCTGATGGAGGGCATGGTGTGTATCCTGCTTTGTGTAGTCGTGCCCATATGGTGATTTTGGAATCCTTTGTGTAGCCTTTAACGTTGTCTATTATTAGCATGTTTCTGTCGTGACTGCCATAGGTGGAGCCCACAACAGTGCAGGTGTTTCTTTATCCTTTGAGCTGGGCACCTGGTGGGAACTTTCAATTTGGAAAATCATGTTTCTGACGCCAGGAAATTTCTTGTATGATTTATTTGATAATATCCAACTCCTGCCTTTCCCTACCTTTTTTTCCTCTCCTGTTTCTGTACTTTAAAAAGTCTACAAGTCAGATATTGGGGCCATTTTGGATTGATGCTCTGATATTCATCTTTTTCCTCCTTTTGCCCATTCCTTTATCCTTGTTGGATTTACTGGGAGATCTGCTTTCTACATTTTCTCCTTCTCCTCCTCCTCCTCCTCCTCCTTCTTCCCCTCCTTCCCCTCTTTCCCCTCTTCCTCCTTCTCCTCTTCCTCCTCCTCCTCCTCTTCTTCTTTTTAAAAGAAAAAAAAAAACAAAACAGAGATAGGGTCTCACTAATGTTGCCCAAGTTGGTCTTGAACTTCCAGCCTTAAGTGATCCTCCCACCTCAGCCTCCTGAAGTGCTGGGATTACAGGTGAGACCCACCGTGCCTGGCTATTTTTTAATTTTTGTAGAGACAGGGTCTTGCTGTGTTTCCCAGGCTGGTATTTATTCTCCAACCCTTCTATAGAATGTCTTAATTTTACAATTGTGTGTTAATTTCCAAGAGCGCTTTCTCATTCTTGGATGTTTATTTTTATTAGCGTCCTCTCCTAGCTGCTGGTGGGTTGCTGGCAGCCTTTGGCGTTCCTTGGCTTGCAGATGCATCACCCCAATCTCTGCCTTTATATTCACATGGCGTTCTTCTGTGTGCATGTCTGTCTCTCTGTCCAGATTTCCTCTTTTTTTTTTTTCTTTTTGAGACGGAGTTTCTCTCTGTCACCCAGGCTGGAGTGCAGTGGCGTGATCTTGGCTCACTGCAAGCTCCGCCTCCCGGGCCATGCCATTCTCCTGCCTCAGCCTCCTGAGTAGCTGGGACTACAGGCGCCTGCAACCGCGCCCGGCTAATTTTTTTTTTTTTTTGTATTTTTAGTAGAGACGGGGTTTCACCATGTTAGCCAGAATGGTCTCGATCTCCTGACCTCGTGATCCGCCCGCTTTGGCCTCCCAGAGTGCTGGGATTACAGGCGTGGGCCACGGCGCCTGGACCAGATTTCCTCTTTTTATAAGGACATCAGTCCTACTGGATTAGGGCCAGCCTTAATGACCTCGTTTTAACTTGAATACCTCTGTAAAGATCCCCTTTCCAAATAAGGTCACATTCTGAGCTACCAGAGGTTAGGAGTTCAGCGTTTCTTTTTTGGAGGATATACTTCAACCCAAACAGTGGGTTTTGAGAGTGGGGATAACACATGTGACATCCTCTGGGTTTAACAGGATGTCTAGTTAGAGCAATATTTTTAAAGATGCTTTTAGTTACACCTATCTTCACTAATGATCAGAAAGAAACTCTTAGGAAGTAATTTTTAGATTACAACTGGAGATTTTTGTTCAGACTTGTGACTGCCAAAATTTCTGCATGTTCCTGAATGTTTAATGACAGTATCTGAGTTGTCTCATTTTCACTCTTGGTTTGTTTCTAAAGTCATTTGAAGGTTGGCAAAATGACTAAAGAAAGAACAGCAGTAGTGTCTTATGAGAAAGTAAACCGTATCTATATCCTGGCATAGTTTCGTGAACATGTTAGCCAGGTTCTCATCATGCTCTGTCCCTCCATGTTATACTCTATTTCTTTTTTCAGATATGAGCCTTCTTGGAGCTTTGTTGCTTAAAAAAAAATCTGTCATGTATTTTCCTGTTCTGGGCTCTACAACGCTTTTCTTTCCTTAAAAGTGGCTCTTCCTGCTCTTCCTCCCTCTCTTCAGGGAGCAGCACCCTCTTTTATTTCCTTTATAATAGTTGTCCCAGCCTAACATATGTTGTTGTTGTTGTTTTCTCCCTCCCCACATTAGAATATAACCACTACAAGGGCAGGTACCTTGTCAGCCAAGTTCACTGCTTGATCCCCAGCTCTCAGAATAGAATAGACACTGCTGTTGAGCAGATCAGTGAGTGAAAGAGGCCTTGTTTTCTGACTTTCAAGTGCTGTTTCGCTGACTTGCTGTTGCTCTTGGAAGTCCTTCTCTCTTGTTGAAGTAGCTTAGTATGCAAGTCAGCTTGTGATAACACACTGGTGCAGCCTTACTTGGCATTTGTTTTGCAAAACTACTTAAAAATAGCCTAAATCTGAGTGATTGGTGGCATTGATTGCAGCAGTGCTGTTGGTATGGCCACAGCCTTTCCCTTTACCCAAGTGTCCTCCCAGAGCCAGGAAAGGGAGGTACCTCTCCTTACGTTTCTGAAGATTCCATTGTGGTCCCAGTGGGCACCATGCAGAATTTAATAAAGCAGGGCATGAAACTTGAGCTGTGTTTTGATTGACATTGGGAAAGACTCCTCTGCAGAACACAGGCACAGGGTGCCTGGAGCTGCCTGGCACTGGAAACTCTGCCTCACGGTCACCATGTTCTGTTTAACTGAGACAAGGAGACACTTCAGGCACTTCCAAAGGAAACAGTAGGGAAGTAGTGAATTCATGCTTACCGATCTAGCAGACTTCCCTCTGGGAAGCTGGGGGACTGCATCCTTGAGAGCTAAAAGCAAGAAATTGGAGATGTTTGAAAAACTAAGTCTGTGGCATGGGGGGTAAGGAATCCTCCTGCTACTTCTGTGACATCAGCTAAGTAAGCTGATGAATTGGTGACTTTTTGTTTCTTTTTGAGTTATACTGCTTTTAGTAATTATGGAAGAGCCTGCTCTCCCCCCACAGGAGTCATTAAACAATGATTGATGCCATATGTAAGGTTTGTGAATTGTTTATGCAGCAGAAGTCACCTTTTGATCAGAATTGGGGCACTGTCTTGGTTTCATTGTGGCACACTGCAGAGTTATAGGCATAGTGGCCTGGTACTCTGATGATGTCTTGAAAGTGACTGCTATAGCTTTGACTTCATTAATGTTCCTTTGAATTTGTTATGTTTAGAAAAATACAAGCCTCTGCCAGGTGCAGTGGCTCATGCTTGTAATCCCAGCACTTTGGGAGGCTGAGGAGGGTGGATCACATGAGGTCAGGAGTTCAAGACCAGCCTGGCCAACAGAGTAAAACCCCATCTCTACTAAAAAAAAACAAAAAACAAAAATGAGTCCAGGCACAGTGGCTCAAGCCTGTAATCCCAGTACTTTGGGACACCAAGGCCGGCGGATCACCTGAGGTCAGGAGTTTGAGACCAGCCTAGCCAACATGGCAAAACCCCGTTTCTACTAAAAATACAAAAATTAGCCAGGCGTGGGGGTGGGTACCTGTAATCCTAGCTACTCGGGAGGCTGAAGCAGGAGAATTGCTTGAATCCGGGAGGTGGAGGTTGCAATGAGCCGAGATCACGCCACCGCACTCCAGCCTGGGTGAGGGAGTGAGACTCTGTCTCAAAAGAAAAAGAAAAATACAAGCCTCCAAAAATGAAATGTACATATTTATGATGTGTTGATTCTGGCACCTCTTATGCAGAAGTTTACCATTAGCAAATATAGCAAACTTGGTGCCATTGGCAAGGCCTTTGTAGAACCAAATGATGCTTTATTTGGAGATGGTGGGATGTGGGTCTGTTATTCTGGGATATATATGATACTCAATAGATAGATAAAGATATTGGTCGAGCGTGGTGGCTCACGCCTGTAATCCCAGCACTTTGGAAGGCCGAGGTGGGTGGATCATGACGTCAGGAGATCGAGACCATCCTGGCTAACACGGTGAAACCCCGTCTCTACTAAAAATACAAAAAATTAGCCAGGCGTGATGGTGGGCACCTGTAGTCCCAGCTACTCGGGAGGCTGAGGCAGGAGAATGGCATGAACCTGGGAGCCGGAGCTTGCAGTGAGCTGAGATGGCGCCACTGCACTCCAGCCTGGGTGACAGAGAGAGACTCTGTCTCAAAAAAAAAAAAAAAAAAAAAAAAAAAAGATATTTTCCTGGGAGGTAAGCATGTAGTCATATCTTTTCTGCAACGTCACCATGCCTGTTGAAATGGAGAGGTTGGATGATGTAATTGATGGACATTATAAAAGAACCAATGTAACACTTTTATTTTTGGGATGAAGTCTTGCACTGTCACCAGGCTGGACTGCAGTGGTGCGATCTCGGCTCACTGCAACCTCCCACTCCCGGGTTCAAGCTATTCTCCTGCCTCAGCCTCCCGAGTAGCTGGGATTACAGGCATGCACCACCACGCTCAGCTAATTTTTTGTATTGTTAGTAGAGATGGGGTTTCACTGTGTTGACCACGATGGTCTCAATCTCCTGACCTCATGATCCGCCCGCCTCGGCCTCCCAAAATGCTGGGATTATAGGTGTGAGCCACAGCGCCCGGCCGTAACATTTTATTAATAAGTCTTAAGTTTGTCCATAGAGCTAATTACCTCTAATTCTTCAGTTTTGTCCTCCGTTATACACATGTAATAAGGAAGCTTGGTACCCTGCTTAAAAAATGTGACTGTGAAGGAATATGACCAGAAACTTACACAATGAAATGTACTTTGCACTTTAGGGACAGCATATACATTTCATCTATGCTGTCATTCTGGAAAACATTTTGAAACACCCCTTCCTTTTTAAATTGCTTTCAGAGTCTCACAGTGTATCCTTTTATCCCCAGCGGTGGAAAATCTTTACCCTTCAAGGTAGATTAGGTTTTTGGAAATAGCCAGAAGCCATTCAAAGCAACATCTGATGAACCACGCATGTCAGATGAATCATATTTACTTTTGGAGTATAAGAGTTCTGTGACTATGTGGTATTGACACTCATTTTTATCCTGTGTGGCACCTAAATTAAATTTAAAGATAGTTCTTTCAGGAAGAAAGGGGAGCCCTCATGTCATGTTACACAGTGGTGTATCAGTGGAATTAATTTATTGTAGCCTTCAGAGGTGATTGATTTAAAAGACAATATTCATACTAGAGTGTAGATGTGACTAAACAGTTTTACACCAAAACTTGGAAGAAGAGAAGACACTGGGGACAAATAGGCTGAAGAGTGGGGTTCAGTTGGATGAGTCTTAAGGCATAGGGAAATGGTTTGGGAAGTTAAAACATGCAAAGAGCTGATGATTGAAGCATTTAGATTTAGAAAGTCATTTGTTTTCCTTTCCAGTGTCCCTCATTATTAAATAGCTCCTTGATGGCTAGAATCCTATCCTAACAGTCATCTGCTAAGCACTTACTGTGGCATAGGTCTTGGAACTATTCAGTTCATAGTTCTTTTTTAATGAGAAGAAAAAAGAAAACTAGCATTTATTAAGCAGCTGGTGGTTTCCAGGCACCACCTCATGGGATCCTCACAGCAGTCCTACCTGACAGGTGCTCTGAACCCTGCTATATGAAGGGGGCCTGTGAAGCTTAGGTTGACCTGAAACTGAAGAAGGTTCCATCCTGGAGGTCTGTATCAAGTGGGAGAGCTGTGGTATAAAACTCCCTGTCTAAATTCAGCCAAGTCATGTGCTTGCCGGCCCACCCCTAACATGTTTGTGGGGACCCAGTCAGAACAGGCTTATCAATACAGGGCCATATACCATCTGTTTAAACCAGTGGTTCTCAGCTGCAGACAATTTTGCCCACACACCGCCCCCACCCGCCGCCGGGGACATTCAGAAATAACCGGAGACATTTTTTTGGCTGTCACCACTGGGGAGGGTGCTACTGGCATCTGGTGGTTGGAGGCCAGGGCTGCTACACTCCTCACCTCCCAAGCAAAGAATTATCTGACCAAAAATGTCAATAGGCTGAGAAAACCTGTATCTAAACTATTAAAAGCTGTAAATCCAAAGAAAAGATAAATGTTCGAGGGGATGGATATCCCATTTACCCTGATTTGAGCATTACACATTGTATACATGTATAAAATATTATTATATGTCCTCCCCAACTATGATATATCATTAAAAAATTTTTTTAAAGCTATAAATCCAGTCACCACCCCCATGGCCCGGCCTCCATGGCCACCAGTGGCCCTGCAGAAGCCTTGTCCTTTGCCAGCTGCCCTAGGGAGCCTGACCATAGGTCTGCTGCACACATCTACACTGACCAGGGCACAGGTCTGGGGCAGCTTGGCTTGTGATAACCACCTGTTCCTTTAGCTAAATTGTCTTCAAAAAACTTTCCTAGAGGTCTGAAATGAAGAAGAAAAACACTTACTGCCTTTGTATTTTGGGTTTATGATACACAGAGCCTTCTAAAGTGCAGGACCCAGGACTAAAGGCAGTATTGGTACCTGAGATATTACAGGCACTGGGCAAGTTCTTGAATGATAGGCGTACATTTATGTACAGTCTGTACTGCTTCATTTTAAGGGCTGTTACTGTGTGGTGTAAGGCTAGATTGAGCATGTTTTAACTACTTTGGCTGGGAAGTAATTGACTTTTTCAATACCTGTATGCTCTCATCTTTCAAATAGCAGTGTGGTTTAGAACCAGAGGTTTTTTACTTGGGGTCTGCAGACTAACCATAGAGGGGTTCCATCGGATCCTCAGAGCACAAATCTGTGTATGGTTGTGTCGGTATACATGTATGCTGCTGGTTTGCATGTTTTCTGTAAAGAGGGTATATTGCAAAGCTTAGTTGGGTTCTCAGAAATGAGAATGGCACAAACTACTCATGGGCTATATATATTCTCTAGGGTTACTTCTAGATGTTTAGAAGCTAAGATTAGGAATTTGTGTTGAGATCAGAAGTGGATTTGTTGTGGTCCAGTGTAATTTTTGACTGAAGGAAGAAGCTCTCTGTTGTGTGTAGGTATACATAAAATGAAAGTTACACGTTAACTTTTTGTTGAAGTTATTGCTGTGGAATCACCAAGCTCGTGGTAAAAACTAAGTTGTGGGAAATACTTTGCTTTCTACTTAGTAGAGTTGAATGCTCAGAAAGCCATAGTTTTCGAAATGTCAGATTGTTTTACCTAGAAGGATACATAGAAATTATCTAGAAATTCACTTTTTGGGTGAGGAAATTGAGGGTTAATGATATTCAGTGAGTTGTTCAAATAACCTAGGAAGTTTGTAACAGTATAGGAATAGAAGATGATATTTATAGCCAAGAACAAATATATTCTCATTTTAAACTATGGACTGTATTGACATTGCTTTACATTTCAATTAGAGTTTTATTGCATAATTTTAATTCCTATTTTTCTTCTCCTACCTTTTTTCTTTCTTCTTTCTTCTTCTTTCTTCTTTGTTCCTTTCTCCTTTCTTCTTTTTTCCTTCTTCCTTTCTTCTTTCTTTTTTCTTCCTCCGTCAGGGTCTCGCTCTGTTTCCCAGGCTGGAGCGCAGTGGTGCAATCATGGCTTACTGCACACTCAAGCTCCTGAGCTCAAGCCATCCTCCCACCTCAGCCTCTGAGTACTACAGATGTACACCACCACACCTGGCTAATATTTAAATTTTTTTTTTTTTTTTTTTTTGAGACGGGTCTCACTGGCTGGAGTGCAGTGGTGCTATCTCAGCTCACTGCAAGCTCCGCCTTCCAGGTTCACGCCATTCTCCTGCCTCAGCCTCCCGAGTAGCTGGGACTACAGGCGCCCGCCACCAGGCCTGGCTAATTTTTTTTTGTATTTTTAGTAGAGACATGGTTTCACTGTGTTAGCCAGGACGGTCTCCATCTCCTGACCTCATGATCTGCCCGCCTCGACCTCCCAAAGTGCTGGGATTACAGGCATGAGCCACCGCACCCGGCCTAAAGATTTTTTATAGAGATGAGATCTCACTACTGTATTGCCCAGGCTGGTCTTGAACTCCTGGAACTCAAGATCTGCCCACCTTGGCCTCCCAAAGTGTTGGGATTACAGGTGTGAGCCACTGTGCCTGGCCCCATTGCATAATTTTCTAATTGTAGTAAGATTCAACCATTTTTGAATGTATGATTTCATGGTATTAACTACCATTTACTATGTTGTACAACCATCACTGCTATTTCCAAAATTTTTCATGACTCTAAACTCTGTAACCATTAAGCAATAACTCTCCATTTCCTCCACCTGGTAACCTCTAATCTACCTTTTATTTATGAATTTGCCTATTCTAGATATTTCACATAATTGGAATCATATGACATTTGTCCTTTTGTGTCAGGCTTATTTCCTTTAGCATGTTTTCAGGGTTCGTCCATGTTGTGGCATGTATCAGAACTTCACTTGTTTTCATGACTGAATGATATTCCATTGTATGAATATAACACATTTTGTTTCTCCATCTGTTGATGGACAGTTGTGTTGTTTCCACATTTTGGCTGTTGTGAATAATGCTGCCGTGAACACTGGTATACAAATGTCTGTTTTCAGTTCTTTTGTGTATGTACCTGGGAGTGAAATTGCTGGATTATATGGCAATTCTATATTTATTTTTTATTGTATTATACTTTTTTTTTTTTTTGAGATGGAGTCTCACTCTGTCGCCCAGGCTAGAGTGCAGTGGCGCTATCTCAGCTCACTGCAACCTCTGCCTCCTGTGTTCGGCAGTTCTCTACCTCAGCCTCCCAAGTAGCTGGGATTACAGGTGCACGCCACCACGCCCAGCTAATTTTTGTATTTTTAGTAGAGATGGGGTTTCGCCATCTTGGCCAGGCTGATCTTGAATTCCTGACCTCATGATCCACCCACCTCCCCCTCCCAAAGTGCTGAGATTATAGGCGTGAGCCACT
Source organism: Homo sapiens (assembly GCF_000001405.40). Taxonomy (NCBI): domain Eukaryota; kingdom Metazoa; phylum Chordata; class Mammalia; order Primates; family Hominidae; genus Homo; species Homo sapiens. The sequence continues at coordinate 2,991,739 of NC_000018.10, read as the reverse complement.
GTGCCCGGCCTTATTATTATTATTTTTTGAGACAGGCCCTCATTCTGGTGCTCAGGTTGGAGTGTAGTGACATGGTCTCGGCTCACTGCAGCCTCGACCTCTTAGGCTCAAGCAGTCCTCCCACCTCAGCCTTCTCAGGAGCTGTGATTATAGGTGTACAACACCACACCTGGCTCATTTTGTTTATGTTTTGTAGAAACAGGGTCTCACTATGTTGCCTACACTGGTCTCTAACTCCTGGGCTCACATGATCCTCCCACCTTAGTCCGCCCCAGTGTGAGCCACTGTGCCGAGCCTGGTAATTCCATATTTAGCTTTTGAGAAACGACCAAACTTGTTTTCTACAGTGGTTACACCATTTGACATTCTCACCAACAGTGCACAAGTGTTTCAGTTTCTCCAGTTTTCTTTCTAACATATATTTTCCTTTTTTAAAAAAAGTTGACAATTTTATTTTCATATTTCACAATATAGATAAAAACTGCACTTTTTTTGTCCCACTTCTCCACTCCAAAATGATTCTTTCTTTAATAGGAAGGGGGAGCACCTTTTCTGTATCAGACTGATAAGAAAACACCCAGAGTCACAGCATTGTGATCTCCTGGTGAAGCAGAGCAAGCAATATAAAACTGATATAGGGAGGCCTCCCCTCTATCCTTTCTGTCTGCTCGAGTCATTCTGGGCCAAGTGGGCACCATCATGGGACAAGCAAGAGGTCTCATCATTGGGGGCCCAGGCATCATTGGCATGTGGCCTCCCATGGGCAGCCTCATTCCAGGAGCAGGTCCCACTGGCATCATCCCAGGAGGAGGGCCCCGTGTGGGGTGCTGGCATCATACCAGGATGAGGAGGACCCAGAAGACTGGAGGGAGGTAGTATCATTGTCCCTGCCGGCGGGGAACAGAGATTGAAGTAGGAAGTATCTTTCCTTGTTGAAGTGCAACCCTTATTTTGTCAGTCAGGCTCTGAGCCTGTTCTTCCATCCATTTCTAATAGTAATCTTTGACATTCTGTCTCTGTTTCCTACCACTGCAATATGTCTTTCTCATAAATGGAGAGTCATGGATGAGGTGTGTGTTGCAGTAGTCACGGCCATTGGCCACTCTCTTCCTTTTTAACAGAAACTATAGCCATCGTAGTGGGTATGAATTGGTATCTCATTGTGGTTTTGATTTGCCTTTCCCGGATGGTTAATGATGTTGAGCATCTTTTCAAGTATTTATTTGCCATTTTGTATATCTTCTTTGAAGAAGGGTTTATCTAGATCCTTTGCCCATATTTTAATTGAATCATTTGTCTTTTAGTTGTTGTAGGAATTTTTAAATATATTCTAGAGTTAAACTCCCCAATTTGCAAATATTTTCTTACATTCTGTATGATTCTTTTTCTTGATCATGTCCTTTGATACAAAAAAAAGTACTTTTAGTGAAATCCAATTTATCTAGTTTTTGTTACTCATGCTTTTGGTGTTATATCTGAGAATCATTTGCCAAATCCAAGATCATGAAGATTTACCCTATGTTTTCTTCTAAGAGTTTTATGGTTTTAGGTCATTAATCCATTTTGAGTTAATTTTTTAATATGGTGTAAAGTAGGGTTCCAACTTCATTCTTTTGCATATAGAAACTTAGTTGTGTCAGCACCATCCGTTGAGACTATTCCTTCCGCCATGCAGTGGATTTGGTACTCTTGTCAAATATCAATTGGCCATAAATGTTTGGGTTTATTTCTGGACTCTCAAGTCTATTCCATTGGTCTGTATGTCTGTTTTATGCCAGTACTACAATGTTTTGATTACTGTAATTTTTTTTTTTTTTTTTGAGACAGAGTCTCACTCTGTCACCCAGGCTGGAGTGCAGTGGTGCAATCTCAGCTCACTGCAGCTTCCACCTCCTGGGTTCAAGTGATTCTCCTGCCTCAGCCTCCCGAGTGGCTGGGACCACAGGAGCCTGCCACACACCTGCCTAATTTCTGTATTTTTTGTAGAGGCGGGGTTTCACTGTGTTGGCCAAGCTGGTCTCGAACTCCTGACCTCAAGTGTTCTGCCCGCATTGGCCTCCCAAAGTGATGGGATTACAGGCGTCAGCTACTGCACCCAGCCTGATTACTGTAACTTTGAAAGTTTTGAAATCAAGAAATGGAAGTCTTCCAACTTAGCTCTTTTTCAGTATTATTTTGGCTAGTCAGGGCCCCTTGTAACTCCATATGAATTTGAGGCTTTTGGAATTTTGATAGGGATTGCCTTGAATTTGAAGATCGCTTTAGGTAATATTGGCATCTTAACAATATTGAGTCTTCCTATTCACGAACACGGATGTCTTTCTATTTACTGAGGTTATCTTTAATTTTTTTTTTCAGTGATTTTTGCAATTTTATTTGTACAAGCTTTCACCTCCTTGGTTAAATTTATTCCTAGGCATTTTTTTTCTTTTAGATGCATTGCATAATGTTTGAGATTTTAGAAATACTTAGCATAGTAAATCTGAATTTCAGCTTAAATAATGAGTCTAAGAAGGTACTGTGGAAGACATCTTGAGCTCTAGCTGGTTTGTCCTTGGATATTTAACATAACCTCTCTCTAAACCTCCATTTCTTCATCTGTAAAATATAGGGATAAAGCAAATCTGTCTTTCATGAGAATTGTGTAGATCAGAGATAATATATGCAAAGGATTAATTCCAGGGTATGGCTTAGAGTAAATACTAAATAAATAGTGCTTGGCTGCCAGGATTGTGTTTTCTTCTATGATTTCAATATAAATACCTATGTTGTACTTGAAGTATACTTTTTCAAATTGAATACAATTAATTTGTTGCAAAGGCTGAAGATTTTTACACAAACTAAATGCCCTGTTCCTGAGAGAGCTTTTTTATATTAAAGTATGTTGAGTCTGGAAGAAAAATAAAATGAAATGTCACACTTGTTCTGTTTCAATGGTGCTTTATCCTTAGAAGAGGGAGCATTTCTTCTCATGTTGCAACTTTCAGATGCCTCTTTGCTTTTTGAATCCTATCTGTGTCTTGACATTACAAGGTTAAATCTTAGACATTACCAGCATTTAACTTGAAAGAGTAGCAAAGCTGACTAACTTTTCCCCTTTTCTTTTACTACTTAGTGCATTGAGGCTTTACCCTCACTGGAGATTGCAATTACCGTCACCATCTGGAATTGGATTCATCTGTATGTGTAGAATATAACTTACATATAAAGCTGAGTATCAGTGTTTCAGGTTTTCTCTTTTTCTTACACATCTCAGTCAAGCTTTAGATTGAAGTAGGCAGATTCACTGAGTGTAATAATTTAAGAATTCAGTTACTTTCATTTTAATTTAAATTTCACCAATTAAATAAAATTCTTCATAACACTTAAGTATAGCATTAGAATTTCTAAACATTGTGAAACTAAATTCTTTATTCTCATAGCAAAGTATATTAGTCATTTTTGCCGTTTCTCCTGAAGAGCATAAATGAGCCTGCATTCAAGAATATGGAATGTTGTACATTCTGATGGGGAAATAGAGTGGCAGAATATAGTCAGGTTGAGGAGCATGGAAGTTTGAAAAAGAACCAGAAATTTGGAGAGAGAGCTGACCACAGAAACAAAGGAGGGTTGCCAGATTCTGTTGGGGACCCATTTAAGGCTACAGATAAGTAATTTATACTGTTACCCATCTGGCCTGCTGGCAGCACTCATGATGATTCTTTTTTTTTTTTTTTTTTTTTTTTTTGAGACAGTCTCTCACTCTGTCGCCCAGGCTGGAGAACAGTGGTATGATCTTGGCTCACTGCAACCTCCGCCTCAGCCTCCTGAGTAGCTGGGATTACAGGCGTGAGCCACCACACTCAGCTAATTCTTGTATTTTTAGTAGAGATGAGGTTTCACTGTGTTGGCCAGGCTGGTCTTGAACTCCTGACCTCAAGTGATCCACCCTCCTGGATTCTAAGTACACTTAAAATTACAGCAGCCGTTCGTTTCTATAGATGGAAGAAGGTGGCAGGAAGAAGAGTAATTACTAAGAGTAATTTACTAAGTAAAGCTGATTACAAATATCTTTTAAATAAAAAATTTTTAAGTAATTGAAAGAGATCACAGCAACAGAATAATTTAAACAACCATCACCAGTTTTTCAGGTGGTCGAGAAAATCTTGAATTAGAACTGTTGTGAGGAACCAGCTATGGAAGAGAAAATTGGAGTCAAAGATGGACCTGAAATGTCCACGTGGAAAAAAATAAGTCAAGGAATGTGAGGATGAGGGGTTCCTACATGATGCCGATACATTTTGTGATAATTTTCACTTATATTTTCTTTGGATTGTCTTAATGATATAATCAACTCTTGCTCACCTTATTTGTTGTTTGTTGCTGTTTTTGGGGGACAAGCTTTAAGCTATCTCACTTTTTGATCTGGAGTATAGGAACCCAGCACTGGCTTCTTCCAGCACCTTCACTTGGCCTCAGTGTTGTGATGCACTGAGCCACCCCTGTTATTGTGAGTCTATAACAAGTAATTTGTTTCTGAAAAGATTAAAGCACTACACTTTGAAAATTATTTAGTGTTTTAAAATTTGATGATAGTAAGACTTGCATTTCAACAGGATTTTTTGAGTTTGAATGAAATGGGGGTGATATAACCCCAGAACAGAAAATCGTATACCTAAGGGTGTCATCACTGTGCAAACTGCTATTCAGAGGTGAAATGGGAGAAGAAAAAGACATTTAAACAGAAACAATTAGGCAATTAACAGGCCCCCTCTTCACCCCCGACCTCCACCCCTGTCAAGCAACTGAGGCCTCAGGAGTCCTGCCTGAGCAGAACAGAGGGTTTTCCATTTCTTTTGGCTTTATTTTGTTGAAAATGTTGTCCAAAAGTTGTGACACAAGTCAGGCCATAATTACTCTGATCCTAAATTAGGCTGTTCAGCTTTACTCTCTTAATGTTCAGATGCACTTGACTGCTACAGCCAGGCAACTCTCAGTATTGTCTCTCTTGTCTCCAAATAGTGGGTAAAAGCTTGACCTCAAACATTTGTGTTGGAAGGGTTAGACCGCAGAGGTTGTTTGGTCCTAAGCTCCTTAAACTGCGATGTGTACACTGAGCATCCTCTAATTCTTACAGTAAATGTGTTGCATTAACCTTTGAACTTGGAAGAAGAAAGCTTTGGCCAGTTAGTCTTTCTTTTTTTTTTTTTTTTACATTAAAAAAATAGACTTATCACAATAGACTACAAAATGTGTGAATTTTAAAGATAAATGACAAGTCTTCAAAGAAGTTTATCTTTGGGAGAGTCACTTTAAGCTGGGCGTCTGACCTCAGGAGACCCTCCCTTGTTTTTTCTCTTCTGTTCCTGGAAAGATCTGTTTGCATTTGGTTATTCACTCACAGTTCAGTGAAATTGCCAGCCACTAGCTATCTTGTTTAGAATTTTGAGATTATATGAGGATATTATGAAACACTGGAACTTGAGTAAACTATATAACCATTACCCAATGAGCAGTTAAACTACAAATGTTTGAAAAACCCAAGAGTGGTAGCAAGAGGAATTTTATCTTGGTTTTGAATAAAACGTCAGTCCCTTTGGGGTTGTTTTCATAAACAGTGAATTATAAGTGATTCCATTTAGGAGAAGAAACACTTCATATGCTTTGGTGTAGATGGTGAGAGCCATTTGGCTCTAAATGAAAACATTTGTTTCAGGTGAGCCATGGTCCTTTACATGTTCCCTTTGTCATGAGGAGTCTTGAAAATGCAGAAATGCACTTAGGTTCTTCACTATAGAGGAATTCCGGTGGGTATTATGAAATTCTTTGTAATTGAGGTTATAAAATATTTTCATGATTTTTTAATAATCAAAACTTAGTTTTGTCACATCTTCATTGGTAATCCAGGAGCAAGGTGTTGTGTTTCCATAGTATGGCCACTGGGGGGGAGTACAATTATTTTCATGTTTTATGGTAAAATAACATGCTTGTGGTGTAAAGGTATTTCTGTTGAACCAGCTTAGTACAGCTTCAGATAAGCAAATTCTAGCTAGAAAGTTTTAAATAAATCGTTATACCCTCTTAAAAAGCCCTGTATACCTAGTCTTACATACTTATGGGATTAGTAGTAGAAAAAACAAAAACAAAGAAGGTATATATTTTACTTAGCATCATTAAAGCTGTGGAATCTGAACAGGATTCTGTTTTTCCTAACTAGCATTTTAGCTTTGTTTCCCTAAGTTAGACTATTTTTTTTTGAAAGAGTTAAGTCTTGGGAAAAAGACTTCCAAATTCTATGCACTTTTTAAAAAAAAGATCATTGAAGATGTTATACAAAAGTAAAAAGTAGCTTTTTTCAGTAGTCATTTATTTTTATTTTAGCCTGTAGAGAAAAAGTTTGACAATACAGTAGCGTTTTCCTTTGAAAATCATAGGGATGATTAAGAATTGTTGGTTGTGATTTTTAACATTTATCCATCAAGACTGAAAAGTGCCACCTTGCAGATGGTGGGGGTGGAAGCAGAACTTTGGCTACCAGCTTTGAAGGTCAGGGTGATCCACAGGTGGCCATAGGAGGAAACTTTAGGTGTGTGCCTGTTGGCAACACAGATGTTTAGAAAATGAGCTCACTTCTGATGGGTCCATAGTACATGTTCCTTGCAGTCAGGACATTCTGGGAGTCATCAGCTAAAACAAGGAAACAATACAAACACTATCAGGAAACCCCCAAATGACTGGCTTGGGTGCCCCACCTGTTGTGTAAGCTGCATTGTAGGCAAGAGTTGCTGAACAGAATTCTACCCGCTGACCTCTGCCCTGCTGGATCTCCACCACGCCTCACTTGCTAAGCCTTTGCTCCTACCTCTTGTCAGCCTCCTCCTGCTGATCCCCAGCATGTTCTTTCTTGGTCTCTGCTTGGCATAACACAAAAAAGCACTGAACCAGAAACTGGGGGGCTTCTTCTCCCTGGCACCTTTGCTGACCAGTTGAGTGACATTGGGCTAATTGCCTGACCTCTTTCTGGGCCTCAGTTTCCTCACATTTAAAGTGGATATGGTTTTTGTCTTTCTTCTTTCCACCCTCCTTACAGTTTTCCCCTTCTCCTGCTATCCAGTTGAATATTTTCTCATCTCTTCTACATTTTATTTCCTCTGCCCCTCTAACTTTTCTTTTTTTCACCTTCTTAGGTTTCTCTTTAATCTCTCTTTCTCCTACTAGCCTCCCCTTCTTGCTGACCTCTGGCTTCTTCCATTTTTCTCCACCGGCAGCACCCCAATATCCGGTTTTTATCACTACCATCTGATGCCAAGGATCCTGAACTGCAGTAGATCATGGATGAAGAGATTTAAATTTTTATTCATTGCATAAAATTTAGGCCAGAAAAACCTAAACAATTCTCTTCTGGAAGTAGGAGTTTGTGTACATGATGTGTGTTGAATTAGATCGCAAGTGACTGGGCACTTTGGTGTACTGCAGGTCCACGATACTATGCTGGGCTAGAAGGCAAGCAGGAAAACATGCTGCATGCAAGATAAGTTTTGCCATTTCTAATTTTGGTGAAATTGGTTTTTAATTCTGCCACTTAATGTTTTTATTATATGAACCTTGGTGATATGTTACTGTATTAAGCATCACCAGACACCTATTACTTGGTCAAACATTTGAAAATTTTGTCTTTTGTGAAGTTTAGATGCAGAGAAAAGGGTTTAATGTGAAGGTTAAATGGATGTGGATCAGCTAGTATATTGTTGATGAATTAACTAAATACTTTAAAGGAATGATGAACAATCCAGTTGTCCTCAGTTCTTCCTTACCTATAACTTGCCTGAATGGCCTTTTCCCCACCTTGTTCTCAAGATTGTCTCGGGGCCTTAGAGCAGCATTGTCCAATAGAAATATAATGTGAGCCACATGTGTAATTTCAAATTTTCTAGTAATCACATTTTAAAAAGTGGGAAAAAAAAAACTAGGTAAAAGTAAATGTAATTTCTTATTTAACTCAGTATATCCAAAATATCCTTTAAACATGTAGTATATATTAGAAATTATGAGTTTTTTTATTCTCTTTTCATTCTTAGTCATGGAAATCCAGTGTGTATTTTACACTTGGAGCACATTGCAGTTGGTACTGGCCTGATTGCCATTGCTCAGTAGCCACACGTGGCTAATGGCTGTTTGTGATGAACAGCACAATCCTAGACAATGGTATGAAAAAAACAGTGTATCTTAATTCAGAAATCTAATATGTTTGTCCATGTGAGTTGTGTGTTTGCGGTTTTTAGAAAAATTCAGTTAAAATTACTATGTTTTGACTTACTGAGAGCTGCCAAGGAAATACCAGGAATGTTTTAATTTTACAGTGTTGCATTATCATATTCTTGAAATTAATAAATTCTGCTTGTTATATACAGTACTGAGCAGGATATCTCCCAGAATTGTGAAAATACCTTGGGTCACACCAGTCTGACAAAGGAAAAGTGTTCAGTAGTTGGGCTCTTGGAGGCATGTAATCTGGCTGACTTTGGGAAGCTCCCTGCTGCTCGGAAAATGTCTGTAAATTACTTCCCTTACATGATTAGCTTATGTAAGATCACTCTCCATATGTGTAGTAGCTGTTTTTATTTCTAAAAAATGAGGATGTGATTGGTTTAGAGAATCATTAACTCAATCCCTGTCCTGTGTGATGGAAGCTGCAGTGGCCATCATGTGATTGGGCAGGTCTTGGTGCCTATCAGTGTAAACACATGGCACAACCTGTCCCATGCCCCTGCTTATCTCCTTTGGGGAGAAGGGGTTGAGGTATTTTGAGCAAATCTCATTGGTAAACTTGTGTATGCATTGCTTTTTTTTTTTTTAAGAACCATTTCCTTTCAGTTTTAGCCATATAACTGTGTCTGCAAGCAGTTTGTACTCAGTTTGTCAAGAGAGCAGCTTTCTGTTTTGATTATATACCTTCATCTCTGAAAAAAGACATGCTAGTTAAATTTCAAGATGTTTTACTTAGAAGATGACAAGGAAGATGAGGTGGTTTGTAAAGGCTCATTAAGTAAAACTCAAGATGTTTACCATGACAAGTCCCCTCCTGGTATCTTGGTGAGTTACATCTCCCAATGTCCCTGCTCCCTTCGCTGCTTGCTCAATCTGGACACTACTGAGAGACAAGGGGATGGCATCCACCAAAAGAAAAAGACTAATGCCCTTTCTTAGGAAAATGTAATGTTGTAGTGAATTTTATTAACTTCTAAGTGTTATGTTGAACAGAAATCTTTGGCTACCTGCCCTCCTGCATTTACTATGCCATCTTTCTGCTATCTCTATTCGTTGTTATTTAACAAAAGACTTTTTTTTCCTAGGAAAAAAATGAAGTTGCTGTTTTAAACTGAGAATTTTTAAAAATTATGTTTCAAAAATAATATATTTGGTTTCACATTCTCTTTGCATTTAAGTGTAGTAGTAAAAATCATATAAAAGTGTTACAGTTTTTGTTGGCCTAGTCATAATTTTTGGAATGGTAAACTAATATTTTGAAGCTGACGTTGTATTTGGATATATGAGAGTGGCTGCAGTTGCTTTCTTCTGTGATCATAAACAAGAATTTTTGTAAGCTTGAAGTATGTGGGGAAAATATAAATTGTATGAACTTCTTTAATCCAGAGTTTTCTCTCTTGTTACAAAATATAACTTAGAACAAGTTATGTAAGCTTAGTGTAAGTCCCAGAAATCTGCATTAAAGAAACAAAATCAAGTGACTTGAGGACAGTGTAACTCTACCTGTGGAAGCTTTCCTTTAAAAATAATAGGAAGGAAACACTATTTTCAAGGTTATTTTTTAAAATTAAGGATGGATATTTTTATGAAAACAAGCATAAAATCAGTGAGACAAAAATTAGTTTCTAAAATCTGTGGCTCATAACTTGATTTTAGTTTTAAGGTTATACAAATGTTTATTATCTTTAAAAATGTTATCACACTCTGCTTTTTGCTTTTGGATCTGTTAGTGAAAGTGTACTTACTCAGAGTTCTCAGGAACTAATGGAAAGACGTGGTTTGAATATGAATGGAAGAGTCAGGTGCTACCACGGGGGAGGCAGTTTGCTTTTGAAATCAACATTGTAATATTATAGAATGTATACACATATTGGCTCACTCACATTTGTTGTAAAGGTCAGAAGGGAGAATAGAGAACCTTGCTGACTTTTTACGAAATACTTTAAACATTCATATATTAAGTAGCACTAACACACATAAACTCTCCCTCACAGGAAGTTCTTAAGACTTGTGTCTGCTGGTGTTTTCCAGAAAGAGGTCAAGAGGTGTTTGCTTAGGCTGCATTTTATTAACGGTCCCATTTTATGTTGCCGTTAGAACATTGAAGTCTAATGAGTCACCTCCCTGTCCCATGAGAAGCATGAGTTTTCTTAATGCTAACGTTTGGGATAAGGATCTGATATCTGCTTAGTAGCCTGTAATGATTATATAGGAGTTTGACTTTATAACCTGGGTGTGTGTGGTTAGAGGGAGAACCCTGGTTTTCAGGGTCCAGGCCTTCTGTGACCTGAACACTCCTTACAAATCACATCCTTTCTGGGCACCCCTTTTGTAAGGTGACAGTTTCAGTTTTGAAAGAGTCTTTCCTCATGGTTTTGTGATTTGGGAATATAAATGTATCATATCATGATTTGGAAAACCATGAGAAGATTTCTGTGCTTTGTTAGAAATTGGGAAATTTCAAAGACCATGTTTTCATATTTTTTGAAACAAGTGAAGACAATACCTTTATTTGCTAAGGAAAAAGCTAAATTATTTTATATTCAAATAACCTGAAGTCCCAGAATAATCTACTGGCCATATTTTCACCCCATTTAGGGCAGAATATACTACAGGAGTTCTTAGCCAAACTTGTAATCCTCAGAAATGCTTATAGAATTGGAGCTTTTCTGCAGTTTAGAGCTGGGGGGGGACTCTAGAGGTCACCTGACCATTCTTGTTAGAGAGAACCCCCGGCACAGAGCCCAGACCTCTTCTCCAGCGGAAGCGAGACTTGATCTTGAGTCTTCACATCCTCACCAGCTTCAGGGGACTCCAGGAAGCCCTGAGGGCAGTGTCCCTCAATTCTCATCTCTGTGAGCTATTTATCAAAGGACATGGGCACCTCTGGTTGATGCCAAAAAGCTCAACCAGATTTAATAACACAAACAGTGGTCAGAGGTGGCAAGTCACCCTGTAGGTGGGGCACATGATACGAGGCAGCGTGCATCATGCTAAGTTAGGAAACCTTAGTCCACCCAGGATTTGGGGTGGGGCTGAGGTTGGTGGTGGGGAACCATAACACGTTGTCATTACTGATTGCTGCCCAGATTCCTAGAACAACTGGAGGTGAACAAGTCTAAAACTAACTGTGTTCCTCCAGTCTAGCATGGCCAGTGTTCAAAAAAGTAATTATTTAATTGAGTGGAATTTTATTTCCTCATAGAAATAATGTTGCTATGCCTGTCTCATAATTAGCCAGAGAACTCAACCAGAGTTCTGAGTCCTAGAACAAGGGGGAAGAAGGGCTAATGCAAGAATTTCCTCTTTCTTTCTGGATAAGGGCCAAGTTTCGCTAAAATTTTTGAGACAAACATTTTCTGAGTTCCATTTTCAAGCCATGTTTTAGCTCCCACTCTCCATAGCTAGTAACTTTGGGCTTGAAAATGATACCTTTCCTCCCTCCTAACTCCCCTAAGTTTTAGGAGTGTTTGTGCTCTTGCCACTGAGCTGTGAATGGGTGATGGTTCCTTAAGCGCAGCAGAAGTAGCTGCATTGGAGGAAGAGGATTCTAGTAAACCTACAGGTGTGCTTTGGTAGGCTCACTAGCCAAGTGACAGTGTGCACTGAAATGAAAACTCTGAGGCCTGCTAAGAGGATATATTGAGGGACCATACAAGATTACTGGTTAGGCAGTTTGGGGGAGTAAATTCTCTGAAAGTCTTTGTTTTCAAAGCATGCTCGCCACAGATGAACTCAGGAATTTGGGGGGGAGTAGTTTTGGGACTGTGGACATGAATATGTTTCGGCTATTTGAAAATTATTTATTATTCATTTTTATATTTGTGCCCCCATCTGTTTTCAGTAAGGAAGGATTTAGAAGTAGTTTACAATTAAAACATACATGCACACAGACTGCCTCCACACACACTGTATATTGCATAGCTAAGCCTATTAATGTAGAGGAAACAAAATTGTCTTCATTTAGCAAATATTTATTGTACTACAACTGAGTCCAGTAGATGCATGTAAATCAATTTTTTTTTGTTTGCCTCCACTAATATGTCGGAATTTTTTGCTGCTCTGGGTTTATGAATAACACAGCTGGGCAGATATCCAGCAAATGGCTGTATGAATGCTACCATGTTGAGTTTGCCTGGATACTTGGTCCTGATTACATACTCAGCATACTCAGTGCGTTAGAGTGCCTGGTGAGCCCTGTTTTGTAGATGTGATCCAGGTGTAGTCTTCGTGCATTGGGAAAACACACCTTAGTTACATCACTGTGCCTTTAGGTGTCCCAAAAAGTGAGGCTGCTGGCCTGGCCTAGAGGAGATGGACACAACTCTGAAAGGATCTAAATAAAAATCTCAGTTGGGCATGGTGGCTCACACCTGTAATCCTGCACTTTGGGAGGCCCAGGCAGGTAGATCACTTGAGGCCAGGAAGTGAGGCAGGAAAGGAACAGGAACTACTACACCACCCTTCTTCAGCTCTGTTCACTGTCAAGAAAACAAGAGGGTTTGGGAGTCATTCCACCTACCTGTGGTCCTGAGGCACAGCTTGAGATGTGCTACATTCTGGGATCATTTGGAGGCTTTCAAAAGTACTTGCAGTAGAATCTGCAGATGGGGTGGCCTGATCATGAGGATTCCCCAAGCACCTCAGTGACTGCAACGTGCACCGGGGGTGAGAAGTGAGCCCCAAGGACGATGATGCCCACATCTGACTCATCACTGAGTGAATCCCTGTGGAGCTTTCAAAAGAAAATACAGATTTCCCAGACAGACTGAAGCAGAATTGAAGGCAGTAGTGGAGGCCAAGAATAACTGTTTTGTTTTGTTTTGAAAATGAAACTACAGACTTTATTCAGATTCTTCTTACTAATGTCCTTTTTCTGTTCCAGAGCCCAACCTTACCTTGAATTGTCCTGTCTCCTTAGTCTCTTCCAATCGTGACAGTTCTTTAGTCTTTGCTTCTCATGACCTTGATGTTTTGATGAGCACTGGTCAGATATTTTGTTGAATTTGTCTCTACTTCGGTTTGTCTGATGTTGTCTCATAATTAGATTGAGGTTGTGTGTTTTTGGTCAAAATACCTCAAAAGTCCTTTTCAGTGAGTCATACCAGGAGTCCCTGAGGTCAGTGTGTCTTAAGTTTTCCCGATCACTTGATTATGGTGGTGTCTTCCAGGTTTCTCTACTATAGAGTTAAAATTTTTTCCTTTTGTAATGAATGTGTATCTTGGGGAAAATACTTTGAGAATATCCAGACATCTTGTTTATCTTGTTTCTCCTTCAACTTTTTTTTTTATTTTTTATTTTTTAAAAGACAGAGTCTTGCTCTGTCGCCCAGGCTGGAGTGCAGTGGCGCAGTCTTGGCTCACTTCAGCCTCCGCCTCCTGACTTCAAGCAGTTCTCCTGCCTCAGCCTCCTGAGTAGCTGGGACTACAGGTGCCACCACTCCCGGCTTCTTTTTGTGTTTTTAGTAGAGATGGTTTCATCATGTTGATCAGGCTGGTCTTGAACTCTTGACCTCAGGTGATCCACCTTCCTTGGCCTCCCAAAGTGCTGGGATTACAGGTGTAAACCACCGAGCCCGGCCTCTCCTCAAACTTTGTCTTCTGTTTTTAACATCCATTGATGGATCTTGCCTTCCATAAATAATACTGTGATATATTCCAATAGTGAGTTTCTAGTTTCTTCATTTTTTCTTCATTAATTATAATTCATCTGTAAGAGCTGTCATTTCTCACTTATATATTAATTTATTCTATCAGTGAGGACTCAAGAATATTTTATTCAGCTAATTGTAATCTAGTAATCCTGTTTTGTTGCTCAGATTGTCCTGTGTTTAGCTCTTGGGAGTATACTCCTGTTTTTTCTCTGACATACGTTTGCTCTTTTGATTTTGAGCATTTCCCAGTCTCTGACTCCACGAGATGCTCCAGCATTATCTTGTATTTTCCTGCCCACAGCCATGGAATGAATCAACCACTTTTCCAAGGAACCCTGGTTCCTTTTATTGGAGAATGATATTCAGAAAGCAAGATCTGAGCCATAGATATGCACATTGTTTTGAGAGTATCCTTGATTCTAGGTCCTCTTAACAGAGAGTTAGGATATTTGAGTGTGTTTTCTAGCTCAGGTATAAACACATCAGTGCTTGTGCATCTAGTTACCTGTGTATGTACTTTAAAACCATGGGTTCATACCGAGACCTCCAATTCCAGTCCAGCACCACAGGGTTCATTTTAGCTTCCTCTCTAGGAAGTTTTATTTTTAGAAGCTTTCCCAGGTGTTTATGATTTTTTTTTTTTTTTTGACAAGGTCTCACTGCCACCCAGTCTGGAGTGCAGTGTAGGAGGCAACCTCTGCCTCCCAGGCTCAAGCAGTCCTTTCGCCTCAGCCTTCTAAGGAGCTAGGACCTCAGGTACGTGCCACCACACCTGGCTAATTTTTGTATTTTTTTGTGGAGACTGTGTTTCTCCATGTTGCCCAGGCTGGTCTTGAACTCCTGGGCTCAAGTGATCTGCCCACCTTGGCCTCCCAAAGTGCTGGGAATACAGACATGAGCCACCACACCCAGCCCCAGCTGTTTGTGATTAATTAGTCTTGGGGAACGATGACTTTTGGATGTATATCTGTGGATCCAAAGGCTCTTACGGCTTAGTTAAGTACTCTTTGTTAATGAACAGTCTGTTCCATGGTGAAGTATCATTTTCCATAACTGGGTTAATCATCATTTCTTCTTATACTAAAAAGAATTTTTATGTCACTCCTAGCTAGCTCTCATTAGTAAAGTAAGTCCCCTGTTTTGCGTGGGAAGTGGTACAGTTTCATGGCCAGTATGCTTATAAACATTTGTCAGAGAAATTGAGCACACCTCAGGAAATGTTTAGTGGGTTGAATGCCCAGGGAAGCTGTTAAACATTTTAAAAAACATGTAAACAATCCACGCAGACAAATGACAGGCTTACGATTCCACTAAAACCAAATTTATTTTAGTCCTTGAGTTATCTTCTTTTTGATAAGGCAGCCTACATTCTTTTTTCCACGTGTAGCTTGCTTTCTAAAGCAGGTGCTCTATCAGACTTCTTGATAAGAAACCCTTCAACCCCAGTTACTGAGAGTACTGACTGTGAACTTTGGGCCTGCATGTGCTTGTTAATTTAGTAGCTGCCACCTTAGCTACAGGAGTTGCAATGGTAGTCCATCTGGCTGGTTCTTACCCTCATTTACTAGGATACAATATGGTACAGGTTGAGAGACCTTCACCCCAGGGCATTAACACAATTAGGACACGTAATTACTTGACATTTTAAACTTCCCTAATTGTGTTAATGTTAACTGTGATATTAACTAAAGTTCTTTAATGGGTGAGAGAGGATGAGATGGGAAATAAGGGGGATGAGCAAAGTTTAACATGTCCTTCCCTAGACATAGAACCTATAGTAATATATTACTTTGTTTCCAGTCTGGGGCTGTAATTTGGATAGTGGAAGAATCGTACAAATTCCTGACTTCTAGGTCAGTGTGTAAATAGAAAAAACTTCCGATAGAGTTGGAGTGTTTCAAAGTTGGAGTGTTTGAATTTTGGATAAAATTCAAAAAAATTGTATCCCACCAATGTCAGTGATAGTCAACCCTGAAAATACTGCACATGGCTTCTATAGCAACCTGCTGAAATTGTGTGCCTTTTGTATGTGGAATTAAGCCAAATAATCAGATTTCCTGGCTTATTTTAGAGTTGCTTATGGTTATCAATAGTCGCCACCAAAATAGGTTTACTACACAATTCTTTTAGAAGGTTTAGGATAAGGACATACCCCTTAAAACACACTTTTATGTTCATAACGTAATCGTATCTGTAAGACTACTCATAATAAAAGGCTTGGCTAGGCGTGGAATCCCAGCACTTTGGGAGGCAGAGGTGGGTGGATCACCTGAGGTGAGGAGTTCGAGACCAGCTTGACCAACATGGAGAAACCCCGTCGCTACTAAAAATACAAAATTAGCTGGGCATGGTGGCACGCGCCTGTAGTCCCGGCTACTCGAGAGGCTGAGGCAGGAGAATCACTTGAACCCGGGAGGCAGAAGTTGCAGTGAGCTGAGATTGCACCATTGCACTCCAGCCTGGGCAGCAAGAGTAAAACTCCATCTCAAAAAAAAGGCTTAAGATTTTTCATGTATGGTAGCATATGGAAGAATCATCATAGCCTTCTAAAAGCCTTTATGAAATTCCTACCCACACATAGCCTGAAAATTCCATAAATTTTTAGGAGCTGTTTTAGGTTTCAGTGAAACAAGAATGGGTATTTAAGATGGACATACCAGGGCTTTTGTCTGGTCATGTCTCTGGGTAACTGCTAGACTATAGATAAGTTGCTTCTCTGGGCCTCAGTTTTCTTATTAGTACAATGAATATAACATTTACCTCACCTAGTTGTGAGGATTAAATCAGATGAGGTACGTAAAATGGCATTTGGGGTTTAAACAATTTTTGTTTGTTTGTTTGAGTCAGGATCTTGCTCTGTTGCCTAGGCTGGAGTGCAGTGGCACAAACATGGCTCACACTACAGCCTTCACTACCCTGGCTCAGGCATTCCCTCCCACCTCAGCCTCCGGAGTAGCTGGGACTACAGGCATGCGCCACCACACCCAACTACTTTTTAAAAAAATTCTCTGTAGAGATGGAGTCTCCTTACATTGCCCAGGCTGCTCTCCACCTTCTGGGCTCAACTAATTCTTCTGCCTTGGCCTCCCAGAGTGCTGGGATTACAAGTGTGAGCCAACGCACGCAGCCTAAAATGGCAATTGGAAGGGGTAAGTTAGTGCCCTCTCCACTTTTTCCCCCATCATCTCCCTGTAACTAACATTAGGAAGAATAATGAGTAAAACATCTGAATTACAGCTTATGTAATTTGTTGAGGATATACAATGTTTAAAAAGTTAAGACCATGAGAAAATGAATTTGAATTTTCACCAGTATAGAGGTGAATTTACATTTTAAGCAAATCCCACATGTGAAAATCCAAACTTAAAAAACAGTTACGTTATTTTACAAAGGAAGGATTTCTCTAATAACAGGCTCCCCCAAGGACACTGAAGATTCCTTAAAAACAATACCAGTAGAAGCCCAGGCGCGGTGGCTCACGCCTGTTAATCCCAGCACTTTGGGAGTCTGAGGCGGGCGGATCGCGAGGTCAGGAGATCGAGACCATCCTGGCTAACACGGTGAAACCCCATCTCTACTAAAAAATACAAAAAAATTAGCTGGGCGTGGTGGCAGGCGCCCGTAATCCCAGCTACTGAGGAGGCTGAGGAAGGAGAATGGTGTGAACCTGGGAGGCAGATTGCACCACTGCACTCCAGCCTGGGCCACAGAGCAAGACTGCATCTCAAAAAAACAAAACAAAACAACAACAACAACTAAACAATACCAGTAAAATCAACTTTGTAAAAAGATATCTTAGCAATCCCGTTTTAAAATATCCAAATAAAATGAAATTATGTTCACACAAATGCCTGTACACAAATGTTTATAGTACAGAATGAGCATCCCTAATCCAAAAATCTGAAATCCAAAATGCTCTAAAATCCAAAACTCTCTGATGCCACAAGTGGAAAATTCCACACTTGCCCTGGTGATAGGTCCCAGCCAAGATGCAGTTAAAGCTTTGTTTCGTGTGCAAAATTAATTGAAAATATTTTCTATAATTACCTTCAGCCTATGTGTTTAAGGTGTATATGAAACATAAATGAATTTTATGTTTGGACTTGGGTCATTATGTATATGCAAATATTCCAAAATCTGAAAATATCCAAAATTCAAAACATTTCTGGTCCTGAGCATTTTGGATAAGGGGGATACTCAACCTGTAGTTTTATTTGTAATTGCCGAAACCTGGAAACAACCCAGATATCTTCTAGCTAGTGAATGGATAAACATTTGATACATCCATGCAGTGGGGTACTACTTAACAGGGAACAGACTACTGATACATGCAGCAGTATTGATTAATGTCACGTGGACTGTGCTAAGCTAAAGAAGCCAGAATCCAAAGGTACATACTGTATGGTTCTATTTATATGATATTCCAGAGATGGCAAGACTAGGGACAGAAAGCAGATCAGTGATTGGCATGGGTGGGGAAGAGGGATTGACTCCAGATGGGTTTGGGCATTTTGGAGAGCAGTCTGATTGATCTGTATCTTGATTATAGTGGTGGCTACAGCAATGTGTGGTCACAGCTAACAACTGTACACTACAAAAGGGTTAATTTTCCTGCCTGTAAAGTGTATGCTTTTTTTTTTGTTTTAAGAAAAATCTATTTTGAATAGTTCAAGGTACAGCTATTTGTAATCTTAAAACTTCATAGCTAAATTGGCATGAACATTTAGCTGGAATTTTTTCTGTGCTGATAGGTATAACCATTACACAAAGGTTAACTTAAGTAATAGTTTAATATCTTTCATTATTAATTATAAACAGAATGTTGAACTGATTACAGTTCTTAATGATTTTACTTATTGCATTTCTCTCTATTTGCCAGTCAGGTTAAATGTTCCCTGTAACAGCATCTGTCACCTCATGTACAGAGGTCAAAACTGGGCATATTTTAGCCTTGATGGGAACAGACAAGAATTAAATTATCAGAAAGTTTCATGACAAGGTTTTATTTTCATTTTGGGAAATGAAGGGAGAAGCATTAAAGAGAAATGTGGGAACAGGAACCATTTAGTTTTACAGAGCTATGATAGTTTGAAACAAGTTTGGCCATGTGAATGTTGTCGGGGCTGAGGAAGGGAGTTGGGGCCCCCTTTTGAGGGTGCTGCTTACCGTTTTAGGATCTCCTTAAGCCACACATGTTATTTTGAAATTTAACGATAAAATTGAACACTAGTTTTTCTTGCTCTGTACCAGGTTCTATTTCTGAAGAAAATTAATGTTCTGGTACATTATTGAGCACAGGAAAATTAAACTATTGTTTCCAGCCATTTTCCTTAAAGGCTGTGCTCTGTAGCATAATTATATTGGGCATTTTCGTAAAAGTCAGCTGACTAGTAGAAGATGGATAACTTTGTGGTTGTGTTTCACTTTGTTTTCTGTAATAATGCAGTTACGGCACCCTTGCCCCTGCCTCGGCTGACTTCACACTGACTTCCTCTGATGACCAGCAGTCTCTGCCGCGAGTTGCTGCTGCGCTGCTCAGTATTCTCCAGAATGATCTACTTGGCTGTCATTTGTTCTCACGGGGATATTTTTAGATTTACCCATCCTGAGGCGGTGTCATTTTTGTCACTGACATAGACTAGATTTATGCAAGTTTTTCTCTGTGAGGTCTTCAGCAGCTTCTGGAGGAAAGTATTGGTCTGAACACATGGGCATTGCTTTTGGGACTTTGGGTTAACTTCCACCATGGATTTCTTTTCTTTGTTTTTGTTTTTTTGTTTTGTTTTGTTTTTGATATGGAGTTTCACTCTGTCGCCCAGGCTGTAATGCAGTGGCGCGATCTTGGCTCACTGCAACCTCCACCTCCTGGGTTCAAGCGATTCTCGTGTCTCGGCCTCCTGAGTAGCTGGGATTACAGGTGCCCACCACCATGCCTGGCTAATTTTTGTGTTTTTAGTAGAGAGTTTCACCATGTTGGCCAGGCTGGTCTCAAACCCCTGACCTCAGGTGATCCACCCCCCGCCTCGGCCTCCCAAAGTGCTGGGATTACAGTCGTGAGCCACCGCACCCAGCCTGTTTTTTTTTTTTTTTTCCAGTGCATGGTTATATGTATCTTCACTTACCTCTTGAATTTTACTCTAAGTCAGTGAGATAAAACGCAACACTGTGTATATTTCTCCCTCTCCTTGCTGATTCTGTTCACTAGGTCTTGCATTCATTCATTCATTTATTCATTGGTCCATTCATTGATCCAAAACCACTTATTAAGAACCTACTATTGCTAGGCACTGTGCCAAGCTTTCAGGAAGCAGTGAAGCTTGCGGGACTTTTCTCTTCCTTACCGGAACTCAAGAGTTTGAAGGTAGCCTAAATGTTCATGCCGCGTGGTGGGTGCTGTGGTAGGGAGAGGGCAGGGGGCCTTGGGCACTCACAGCAACAGATCCCATCTTGTGACCTCTGCTTTCTTCTCAGCCGCTGAGCCCACACATCCTCCCCTATCATCTTTTTGATCTTTGCCTTTGTGCTCTGGGGATTCACAATCTGTTGTGGATGTACGTTCCTTTTTGATCCCACTTCCTCCTTACCCAGGGAACCTGAAACATCCTTGCTCCTCTTACGAAATACCAGATTAAGATGAAAACTGGTATTGGCTTTTGAAGAATTGTCCAGAAAATTATTGGGCTGATGACTGGGGTGGGTAGAAGATGGGGGCTGGTAATTTTTGAAGATGAAATAGGTGATGTTTATGGTCCTTCCTTAAGTTATACCTGCTGAAAAGCTGAAGTAGACACTGTCGTTGAGTAAAGGTCTGGGCCGCCACTCGGAGAGAGGGTGCATTGCTATACTGGGAAAGCGTCTTCCCTTTTCTGAGCCCTACTCAGTCCAACAAAGCAGTTCATCTGTTTATAGAAAGTGAGTGTGTTGAAATCATCATAGTGAAGTGAACTCAGTGAGCAGAAGTCTGAGCTTTCAGATTCCCTCAAAGGAAATAACATGGTGACAGATCCAAAAATCCTAATTTAAAACTTATCAGCCCTGAGAACTAAGCTTAAGGCCAGCTTCATATTTTCTCATTTTTAAAAAATTAAAAATTTTTTTCTCAACAGATTAAGTTGTTAAGTAGCATAAAGTGTTATCTGGGTTATGTTTGAAGCATGTTCTTGCTAGTTTTGCCAGGCTGATATTTGCAGGAGGGTGTTTTAGGGCTCCAGGTGGCTTTATCCAGTCAGGATCTAGCCTGTCTGATTTAAGTCCTCTGTTGGCAACATTGGAAATGGACTCTGAACAACCACGCAAAGAAACTTATGACTGGCTCATCGTTCAGAGAGATGCCAAGAGGGCAAGAGCCAGGGCCACCTGGGGTGTCAGTGTTCCAAGCTGGTGGGCCTTCTGCATCCCATCTCAGGTAGCCCAGCCCTCCCAGTCTTGGGTGGCCTTGGCTCTCCATATACGTTTCATGAATATCTGTTTGGGCCAGATGTTTCCCACCCCTGTCAGCCAGCAGATACCAAGACCTGGGTCCCGTATTATAGACATGGCTACTGGGGGCCCACCCTTGTGTTTCGGTGCCTCTCTGAGCACTGAAATCATTGAAATCCAGGGAGCCCTGTTTTTACCTTCAGATCTAGCCATTGCATTATGTGTCTGTTTAAATTCCCAAACAGAAATATTGAATCAGAAAATCCCCTCTTCTTACGTATCCCAAAGGTTGATATTGAGTAATATTTGGTTGTAATTGTGGAAGGGGTCCTTAGGCAAGCAGTCTTCCCAGGCCAGAATTTCTGAGTTTTTTCACAGAAGCACTGCCAGTTCTAGAATTTAAGTATCATAAAACAGTCAGGTCAGCTGTCATTAAAATGTCTAAAATTCTATTACTATCTATTGCTTCCACTTCTGATCCACACTTATCAGACCTTGACATCTTTATACGACAGGATGTGAACTTGAGCCCATAACAACTTAGTCTTCATAACAAACTTAATCAGGCTTAAGAGGAGAAAGTTCTTGCAACAGAGCCTAGAGTTAGTTCCCAAACTTGGGTGTCTGTCAGAATCGTGGGTAACAGATTTTTAAGACCTCATTTCCAGCTTTTTATGTAGTAGGTCTGGGTTGGGGTTCATGAGCGTGTATTTGTTTTTATCCCCCTTTCCCGTATTTTTCATGAATGAACCTACATTCTTAAGCACCAAAACTTGCTTCTATTGCAGGCAGTCCAAGGACCACTCTTTGAGAAATACTGACCTAGAGTGTGCTCCTTGCCAGTTTTCCTCATTTAGTGGGGAAAAAGAAGTTAGATATAAAAACCTCCCTGACTGCGACTTCAAACAGTGGAGGTGATGGGGTTGCTCTGATTTAGAAAGACAGAGTTTGTGATCTACGGGGAATTGACTAGAACCTCAGATCCTCCAAAGCACACCTCATCCTGGCTAAATCTCATTCTCTCAGGAGGGAGTCCTCTGAGGCCCAACACCAGCTCAGAACGATTCAAAAACTCCCCTGTACTTTTTCTCTGTAAAAGACAAAGGACAGGACAATTCCCAAGGCTCAGAGCCTTTGTGTAGTCAGTTTTCTGTTGAACTGATTTTGGAAGTAGCACAAAGTAGCAAGAGCTCTTACTTTTACATGGAACTATGCTTCCCTAACCTGGCTCATCTTCATAATTAGTTCTTAAGCTTTAAAACAGTCAGAAATTTGCATTTTTTAAAACCACCCAGAATGATTTTCATGTACACAAACTTTTGAAGCAGTGTGGTAGTAAGTAGTGTTCTTTAAGTTCAACCTTGATAGGAAGTTCCCCACCAGGTCTACTCTTTTTATTTCCATATCTCTAAGTTGGTTCATGCAACAGTCATCAAGACTAACTGATTCTCAGCTCCCTGTGTGTGTCTCTTCTACCATAGAGCTGTGCAGTCTCTTGCCTGAATTTGTTGTGGTGACTTCTGGAGTAGTCTCTCTGCCTTTAGCTACCTCTTCTCTAGTTCATCCTCCCCCTGTGACCTAATCCTGTCGCTTCCCTGAACAGAAGAAGCACTGATTGCACCCATTGCCCACATGATAAACTTGCACAGGGTCAAAGGCCTTGTGGCATCTCACTCTTGTCCCTCAAACTTAGCACACTTTCCCATAAGCTGTTCTCTCTGCCTGGGACTGCCCACTGGGAACCTTCCTTCCTTAATCTGTTCAGCCCTTTACACATACTTGCACTTCTAGAACAAATATTTTCTGCTGCTTGAAGCCTTACCTAACTCTCCCAAGTAGATTTTTTCTCTTTTTGTTCTCTAGTCTTCCTAACAGTCTCCCAAATAGCATTATCATAAGGGATTATATAAGACAGTATTTGTTATATCTCTTTCAAGAACCAAGGTCCTCTGAGAGAGGATGAGGGCAGAATTTTGTTTATCTTCATAAGGACTTACTGTAGTGACTGGCATGAAATAGGTGCTTAATTTTGACTGTGTGAAAACTGAACTGTACCAGAAACAGGCCAGTATAATGGGCATCTTTTTTTGTGATTGTTTCTGAGTTAAACCTGTAGGAGGATTACATCGAGAGGCCTTTCCCGGGTAAGGCTTCTTCCAGATTTCCTTTTTCATTGTGATGAAAAAGCTGTCTGGATACTCGGTGTATTCAGGAAGTTTGCTGGGAGGCACTGGGTTTTCGTTTACAGAGTCTGTACAGGGACTAAATCGTCCTAGAAATGAAGGAGAACACTTTGACCAGTCGCCCTACACTGCTGGGGCAGCAGGAGACCCGCTGTGTTCTTGAGGAGACATTTGGGGCTCTTTCTCCACTGAAGGTCTAGGAGCGGTGAGTGTTAGAGGCTCAGCTGTCAGCACTTCTCATGGGCCATCTTAGCTTCAGGAAGACCGCATGGGCTTTAATGAACCATCTGTTTTGTGCTCCTGGGGGGTAGGCCAGGTTGTTCTTGTGCGGCTGCTATTTTCTATTTCTTGTTTTATAAAGTGAGAATTTAAAGATAGCTAATATAAAATAATACAAAACTAAAGAAACAAATTGGCATTCTACTATGACGGGGAAAAGAAATAACCAGGAAGTACAAAGTAAGGCATTTGCTTGAATTTAAATGTCTGAGAACAGCTTCCCTCGGAAAGGCTGGATTCCCCGTCAGGGCTTGGCGTCGGGAGTCTGTGGCCCTGCTTTCAACTTACCCTAGACTGCGCTGTGTTGTATACTCTTCCTTTCTTCTGTCTAGCTAAGTTGTAACCTCCTTTCGTTCTTTGTAATCCCTTAGCATCTGGTGGGCACACTGTAAATGTTTTGTAAAATGTTGACTCAGTTAAGCACCTACACGATGTGGGCAAGCCCCTGGGGGACTGTCACCCCCTGCCCTCCCTGACCGGGGAGAAGCTTGCGGCAGCTGCTGCGTGGGTACCTTTGCGTTTCATCACTTACTTTTGGGGGGAAGTTTTTACCATCCAGAATCCCCCCCAGATTCATATTGGCCACCTCTAGGTTACTCTGGGATTCTTTGAGAAAACCATAGGGATTTAGTATAACCTGAGTTCAGCCCTCAGATTTTTTTTGCCCTCAGGGACACCACATGACCTTGAGACCCAATGATTTAAGCCATGGGTCAGAGGTAGTGGAGAAAGTTGGGACCCTGAGTATAGGTAGAACTGGGTTCTAGTGAATAGTAGACACCTCTTATCTCAATCTCAAATTTAAAATGAAATTAATAATGCCTGCTAGCATAACCCACATTCTCTTTTTGAAAATCAAATGAGGTATGTTTGAGGAAGTTCTTGAAAAATATTACATGCTAATCAAATGCAAACCGTAATCATGGGTGTCCTGAAGGAGTTTGGTCCAGGAGCACAGGGGCAAGCTGGAATGTTTACCTACATCCTAGGTAACAGTGTCCTGTTGTCTATTTCCTGAAGCATCTGGTGTCTCTCTTCCCTCCTAGCATACTCCTCATGTCCATGAGCAGAAAGTTAGCTGCAATGGCATGTTCTTTGGTAAAAGCTGTTTTAACCTCTGTCCGTAAGCCTCATGACATGTGGCGCTCCCAGGAGTCTGCTTTGTAACACTGGACCATGGTCCAGCGGGAGGGTTAATAGTAGTGGTGTGAGGAGACTTGGAGGGTAAGTATGGCTTCTTTGGATTCCCTGTAATCATTTCATCTTTAAGTAGTCAAGTCGCATTAAGTAAAAATGATACTCAGATTGCTGAAAGCAGCCCACTTGCAGTAAGAAATCTGGAGGCTTCATGAAGGCTTTTATCATGTTTACTTAGAGCATTTCTGTTACTTAGAGATGCAATTAAGGGCTTAGGTTCTAGGCTCATACTTGAGTTTGAATATTAACTCTGCCACTTAATAGTGTGCTGACCTTGGATATTTCTGAACCCGAGTTTCCACATATAAATGGGAATACCAAATCCATGGGTATCTGTGAAGACTACATGAGATAACATACAGGTTAACATAGCACTTGACACATGAGAGACGTGTAACAAGTTTAGTTGTGTGTTCGTTGGTAGTAGTACTAACAATACTAGTACCGATTAGATATTTGGAGATAAACTTAAGAAACAGATTTTGAAACACTTAAAATAGTGGTTTAGAATGTATCCATTTTGAGGCCAGTCGTGGTGGCTCACACTTGTAATCTCAACATTTCGGGAAGCCAAGGCAGGTGGATTGCTTGAGCCCAGGAGTTCAAGACCAACCTGGGCAACATGGCAAAACCCCGTCTCTACAAAAAAATACAAGAATTAGCTGGGCATGGTAGCACATTCCTGTAGTCCCAGCTTCTCCGGAGGCCAAGGTGGGAGCATCGCTTGAGCCCAGGAGGCTGAGGTTACAGTGAGCAGAGATCGCACCATTGCAGTCCAGCCTGGGCAACACAGTGAAACCCTGTCTCAAAATGAAAATAAAAGTAAATAGAATGTGTCCATTTTGTGCTGATAATTTATGAATTTTTTTTATTGTTTTTAAACTACCTTTTATCTCTGATTACTCTTTTCCTTAACAAAAGTTATTTTTGATTGAACACATCAAATAATTGAAATAATTTTAAGCAGTTTTTGTAGGAGGGGGATTGGTATTTGAACCTATTTACTGATGCTTTTTTTTTTTTTTTTTTGAGATTGGGAGTCTCACTCTGTCACCCAGGCTGGAGTGCAGTGGCACGATCTCAGCTCACTGCAACCTCTGCCTCCCGGGTTCAAGCGATTCTCCTGCCTCAGCCTCCCGAGTAGCTGGGGCTACAGGCATGTGTCACGATACAGGCCAATTTTTTTGTATTTTTAGTAGAGATGGGGTTTCACCATATTGGCCAGGCTGGTCTTGAACTCCTGACCTCAAGTGATCTACCTGCCTCGGCCTCCCAAAGTGCTGGGATTACAGGCGTGAGCCACCGCGCCTGGCCCATTTTATTTATAAATCCATACTCCATATAGTGATTATTCATTTTAGTTTCTTTGATGCTCAGCAAAAGATGCTAAGCTGATCTTCAAACTTTTGGTGAATAACGAAATCTTGAAAGCTACCATTCATTCCAGTGTGTGTCCTTTTATACCTTAAAATATTTGATAAGAAAAATATGATAGTGGGCACTGTCAAATTTTATGCATGAAGGACTAATTTGGCGTATTGAATTTTATATGCGAAGGGCCATTTGGTCTCTAATAAGTATTGTAGTTGCTTATTTTCTACTGCTTTTTTTTTTCTTCACTTTTTTATTTGAGTAATCAATAAGTACTTCTTTTCCTTCGGAGCTCCCAATACTTAATCTAGCCCATGGGAAGGTACCTAGGCCTAAACAGCACACTGTATATTACATACACTGTGTAGCAGTCAGGCCACATCTGAGCCATTGTGTCTAGCTGTCTTTAAATATCGTTTTTAAAGATGGACATAAATAATTGTCATAAGAGTCAGAGTAGACCCAATCAGTTCACATATTTTAAGGAACAAGAATGCTTAGCCTAGAATAGAAGAGACTCTGATAAATTCTTTGGTGTGTTGTGGTTTCATTTGGAAGAGCGTGGTAATATTCAGTGTGATTTCTAGTGGACATAATAGTTCTCTGACATTTTTATGGACTTCTTGGTAAAGTAGTGAGTCTCTGTCAACTGTAACGATCCCAAAACTGAAATGCAGCATAGCATGCGATGTTTAAGAAGAGACTTGTCTTAGTCAGCTTGGGGTACTGCAGCAGAATACCATAGATGGTATTTGGCTTAAACAACAGACATTTATTTCTTACCATTCTCACAGATCAAAGTGCCAGCCGATTGGGCTCTCTTCCTGGTTTGCAGACTTCTTGCTGTATTCTCACGAGGAAAGGAAAGAGAGCGTGGTCTGGGTCTCTTTCTCCTCTTAGAAGGACACTAATCCATCACATGGAGGCTCCACCCATGTGACCTCATCTAAACCTAATTACTTCCCAAAGGCCCTGTCTCCAAATACCATCACATTGGGCGTCAGGGCTTCAATATATGAATTTGGTGGTGGTGGGGGACAGAGGGAGGTCATAGATATTACTTAACTTTTCTAACCCTCATTTCTTTTTTTTTTTTTTTTTTTTTTTGAGACGGAGTCTTGCTCTGTCACCCAGGCTTGAGTGCAGTGGTGTGATCTCGGCTCACTGCACCCTCCGCTTCCCAGGTTCAAGTGATTCTCCTGCCTCAGCCTCCCAAGTAGCTGGGACTACAGGCGCACGCCATCACGCCCGGCTAATTTTTTGTATTTTTAGTAAAGACGGGCCTTCACCGTGTTGGCCAGGCTGGTCTTGAACTCCTGACTTCAAGTGATCTGCTTGCCTCAGCCTCTCAGAGTGCTGGGATTACAGGCGTGAGCCACTACACCCAGCCTTAATTGTCTTTAAAAATAGAAATAATACCACCTCTAAAGTAGTTCTGAGATAATAATGTATAAGTTTAAGAATTTGGGATGTTACGAGCTTTCAAAAAAAGAGTTGTTTCCAGTGTGATTATTGTTAGAGTATTTCAGAGATGTGTTAGAAGCATTTTTGGTATTTGTTAAAAGAATGGGCTGGATGTATTCTTCTTGTTCCAAGAATCAGCAAGTGCACTTTAATATTTTTATTTATGCCCGTAAGCCTCAAGATAGGGATGCTGCTCTGTGACCATTTTTCATTTCCACATTTTGCTTTTTGTGTGGGCATCTCCAAATGAGCCTGCCTTTCTGGTTAAATATTCTGTCTTTGCTTTTGCTCTTTTTTCTCTGTGACTTCTTGTTTGTTTCTTTCTGCATGGCTCTCCTTTGGTCTCTGTCACTCTCCATTATTTATTTTGTCCTCCCACATTTTCCCTCATCATTCATGATAAAATAGGAGGAATAGTTTATAGTGTGTTATTTTGCTATATTTTTTAAACATTTGGGTTACATCATTGTGTATCTTTTCTGCTGCTGGTTCAGAGTGTGGCTTTCCCAGGTGTTGACCAGGACAGGTCTGACTTGGTTCTTATTGTGTAGCTATGCTGGGCTAGCATGTAGGAATAAGGTATATGGCACTAGATTCTGCTTCAAGAGCAGGCTGTTTAACATATCCCTCATGCCTATGACGAACAACTGCATTTCCTCCAGACGTAACTAACGGTGAGGAAGCCTCTTTCCCCAGCTCTGTTGGGGTGACCCTTCTAGCAGACAGCTGCTCATCATACCCAGGGTGTAGCATGTTAAGCTACAGGCCTCCCTTTACTTTTGTTTTACCAGCCTTCACAATATAAATGTCATTGTTTCATTATCTGTCAAGAGAAAACCAGTTATTTGACAACCTGTATTTTTCTACATTTAGCAACTGGCATTTACACATTAGGTTTTCCCATATAACAGCACATCCCTTAACCATGGTAGTTAAAATAATCTTGAATAGGTACGGTTACACTTAATTATGAATTTTATGCTGTAGTTGATGGAAGCTTGTTACACATTTATGTTTATAAGACTTGTTTGTGGCTGAATGTCAATGCTTAAAAGTTAGCATTTTTTTGTTTATTTTAAGAAAAGGTCTAACATGTTTTTTTTTTCTTGTAATAAAATTCATTTTAACATTGCCACCACCATTCAAGCAGTAATACCAAGATTGACTGCTTGGATGCTGTTTAATTCATGTGTGTGCCATGTAGGTAAAAAGCATGTTGTGAATATGCATTACCTACAGAATATGAAAAGGATGCATGAGATCTAGCTGTGTTATTTTTTAGAACCACATGTGAATCTACAGTGACCTCAAAATAGGAATTTAATTATTAAAAACATAATGGGATGTTATATGAATATTTTGATGAAACACTATTTCCTCCCCACACTTTTTTTTTATGTTTCTTATTTTTTTAGTCTCATTTATTACTAGTTCATTTGTTCATTCATTCAATAAATGATTATTGAGCACTTGATACATGCTTAATTTGGTTTAGCTATTGAGGTCAAATCAATTATTCCAAAACCATCACCAGATTATAATTGTTTGATATCACATAAAGGATGTCATCTTATTTTGTTATTTAGGAGTAAGTTTTGCAGCACAAGCGTTTTCCAGCTTTTCTATGGGTGCATTTAAGGGCCTTGGTAACATTAGTTTTAAAATATTTTAAAAATTTCTTCCAGGGTAAAATTATCATGGCGATGCTTCATGGTGTAGAACTGATGGGCCTTGATTACACATTCATCCGCGTGTAGGAACAGGAAACAATTTAGAATCAGGGCTCTGCCGTGGCCACTCATCTGTGAAGAGCAGAGTGAATTTCTGTGCAGGCAGATATCCTGGAGGCCCCTGAGTTTTCCCAAGAAGACAGCATTCTTTCTCCCAGTTCAGTTTTGGACTCACTTGGCAACACAGAACATGATCTCTGAAACTTTTCAGAGCATGGACCTTTAAGCTCAAGGCAGCCTCCAAGCTGGGTGTAGAGAAACCACGAGCTGCTTATGGCAGACAGCCTGGAGAGCAGTCAGTCAGTCCTGTGGTTGGGTGAAAGTTGGCCTCTGAATTAGCTGGAGCATTGGAGGGGCTCTTGGTTACTCTCTGTCATTCCAGTCCCCAGAATGGCTTTCACTGAATTGTGCTTTGGCATAATATTAGGGGTGTCAGCATCTAATGAATAAAATGTGGGGGTGTATTCAGTAGCTGGAAGTAAAATCTGACATTAGGACTGAAGGGGGGGATTTGGTTTTTATTAGTGGAAAAGTTGGGGATGGGGCCAAGGCAATAAAGCCACCCCTGGCTTTAGCTGTACTTCCTCTCCTTTGAGCCTTTCTGGAGAACTCCTTGCAGACCTTTTGATTGTGATTTGAATAGTGAATTGAGGTTGAGGAACAAGAGTAAAACCCTTTTCTGTGCTTTGAACTTTGTAGAACTTGATTGCATGTTCCAGTTAGTTATATTGAGTCATTGAAGGGATTTTTCCGTAGAAGTAATGTTATAAATGGGCTAGGCTCAGGCAGACTTGCCAGAGTTTATTTAATCTAGCATGTGTCCGAACCATACTATTCTGGTAATAATAGTTCCTTACAAAATGTAGCTCTCACTAATTTATTACATTGGTTCTGTTGGAAGATGAATCTCTGGTTTCTCCCGGGGATGATGTTTGTTTTTTCTGTTTGGCTGCTATGGCCAAAGTGGATGCAGTAGCCGCAGGTTCCAAAGGGTCTTGGGCAGGAGGTCAGGGTTCTTTGGTGATTCTGTGCTGATCCTGAACTTTGGGGAAAAAGTCCCTAATGGCAGTCAGTACTATCCAGGTTGCTGAGAAAGGAAAGGGAATGCCTCAGGCCCTGGCTGGAGCAGCCTCTCAGATACAAAGGAGAATAGTCTCGGGAGGTCCGTGTGTGGAAATGCGTAGAAACAATGGTAGCATGAGACTGTTAGGTTGAAAATTAATAAGGCTAATGATATGAAATCTGGCATACAAGTGAGTAGTGTCATTTTTGTTACGACTGTTATTTCTTTGTCAATAGATCACAAATTTAGTGTTAACATCTCATCTAATTTTTGTTTCTTGTAGTCTCAAACCATGAATTATGTGGGACAGCTGGCTGGGCAGGTGATTGTCACTGTGAAGGAACTCTACAAGGGCATTAACCAGGCCACCCTCTCTGGGTGCATTGATGTCATCGTGGTACAGCAGCAGGATGGCAGCTATCAGTGTTCACCTTTTCACGTTCGGTTTGGAAAGCTGGGAGTCCTGAGATCCAAAGAGAAAGTGGTGAGTGTCCTCAAGGAGAGGAAAAGTCATCCTGAGATTCAAAGAGAAAGTGAGTGAGTGTCCTCAAGGAGTAGAAAAGTCATCCTCTATGAATAAATCGCTATTGTGAGTTTTCTAGGCCTTTTTTTTTTTTTAACCTGAATGATGTTGAGACAATGTTACGAGAAGTCAACCTTTATGTATTGCTTTTGAAGTTACTTTGAAAACCACAAAGCTCGACTGCAGAAGTCTCTTCAAGGGAAAGGGAAACTGAAAATTATTATAATAATCTTACATGTTGCAACTCAGAAAAGCAAAACAGAAACTAGATGGGGGAACTTAGACATATTTAGAAAAAGAAAAATTTCCTTTACCTTATATAGTATTTTTAAATACTTAGGCTAATACCTTCATACTAATTGTAAATGGAATAGGTGGGTATAATCAAGAACACACACACACACACACACACACACACACACACACACACACACATTTTTGAGTCGGAGTCTCGCTTTGCTGTCCAGGCTGGAGTACAGCGGTGTGATCTTGGCTCACTGCAACCTCCGCCTCCCAGGTTCAAGCGATTCTCCTGCCTCAGCCTCCCAAGTGCCTGGGATTACAGGCACGTGCAACCATGCCCCCCTAATTTTTTGTATTTTTAGTAGAGACGGGGTTTCACCTTGTTGGCTAGGCTGGTCTCGAACTCCTGACCTCAAGTGATCCACCGGCTTCGGCCTCGGCCTCCCAAAGTTCTGGGATTACAGGTGTAGAGCCACCGCACCTGGCCATATTTTTTTTTTTAAAGGAAATTAATTAATGCCACATTTTGTTTGTTTTGACAAAGCTGTAAAAACTTTTGTAATCTAAATTCTGTTGTTGATACCAGGACTTGTCCCCATATTTGACTGAAATGCTAACCAACAGACCATAGGCTGGTTGACTTTTGTTTGTTTTAGGGAAGATTCATTCAGGAAGAAGATATTTGTGTAGGTTTTTCTTATCCTCTTCAGGTTATGGAGCAGCTGGAAGTTTTGCTAGTATATCTGATGTCAATCAAATTAGAAAACAGAGCTAGTAATAACACTTGGCAGGTACACAGATTTCTCTTTCTATTCTTGCCTCGCAGTATCTACTTAAATAACATAGAAAGGCTTTGTCAACATTTTAAAGCACAACAAAAGAGCCTCACCATTTTCTGGCACAGACCTAAAAGTATGTGGTAGAGGACCACTGGTGTAAGTCGAAAACATTTATTTTCAGCTTTTTGCTATTTTATATAGCTGAGCTTTAAATAGAAATTTCCCTCTATTTAATTAAACTTAAATGTTATTTTGAGAGTGAAAGAAAATGGATTTCACAAAACTAGATATTCTTTTTCTTTTTTTCCTCCAGGAAAAACATCTCATTTCTAGGTATTACAAAATCAGTTTCCACTGGAGAACCACATTTCAGGGTAGCAGGGCTTGTGTGGTCTGGCCTCTGTTCAGAGTCACCCTTTAGAAAGCAAAAGCAGTTGCAGTTTACTTAGGGACTTAGAAACTTTCCATTGCAAAACAGTGTTATTTAGCCATAGTTTAGGTTCTCTGAAATTTTTTCTTTCTTTGTGGTAACACCAATAGTACTTTCAGACTGGACCTGTTCTGGGGGAATTGGCAACAAACTGAAATTTCCCATTAGTTGTGTATGGATCTATTGTAAAACTGCTGATAAGGTATCATCATCATTATTTTTTTTTTTTGCTGAGATTGTTTTTTATCACATTGGATCAGTGTCTGGCCTTTCAAAATGGAACCTGAAGGCAGATGTATTTATAAGCATGTATGCATCTGTAAATGGTGACCAAGTAGATAAAACACCTTTTCCTGCTTGCTGTGTGCCTCTAATTTAGGAAATAATACAATTCCTGTGCAAAAGCTACACAATCGTTGTGTTACTATCTTGTCAAAACGTTGCATTTTTAATAGGAATGTACTCATGAGACACAGGAAAAGAGAATTTTTTTCCTCCTACTCCCTTAGTATCTCAGAAACCCAAAGAATATGTTTGGGAGGAAATTTGGCCATTTGATTTACCAAAACAGCTTTCCTGTGAGAAAACTGAAAAACTGTGAGAGTAAAACTGAAATCATGCCTACTTTGAGATACACTGGCAATTTGCATTAACTATTTGTCTTATTTTAAGTCAGTTTGGGTTAGGGAAAGCTGGCCATTGATGTGAAAGTAAGACCCCAAATTTTCAAATACGGGTGTACCTATGAAGTGAATTTGAAATCATGACCACCTTAAAACCACTGTTTAGAGAGATGTAGTATAATAATTTTCCCACTGCCATTGATACGTAATTGTTTGGTAGAACAGCAGTACTCCCAGTAAATTTAGTAACTTAGGAGTTTACTTTTAGAAGGTAAATGTGTACTTGATATTTTAAAATTTATTGATATCAGAAAAAGCTGATTACTTGATTATTTATAAAAGTTTTTTTTTCTTTTTTCTGTTTTTTTTTTTTGTTGTTTTTTTTTTTTTTTTGAGATGGAGTCTCGCTTTGTCGCCCAAGCTGGAGTGCAGTGGGGCGATCTCTGCTCACTGCAACTTCCGCCTCCCTGATTCAAGCGTTTCTCCTGCCTCAGCCTCCCGAGTAGCTGGGATTATAGGCGCGTGCTACCACGCCTGGCTGCTTTTTGTGTTTTTAGTAGAGATGGGGTTTCTCCATGTTGGCTAGGATTACCTGATCTCAGGTAATCCACCCGCCTTGGCCTCCCAAAGTGCTGGGATTACAGGTGTGAGCCACCACGCCTGGTCAGATTATTTATCAAAGTTAAATAACCCAGTGTATTAAAACTATTTTCATTGCTGATAACAGAAATTTACCCTCTACTAGCTTAGGCAAAAAAGCTTGCTGTCAGAATTCCCTTTTTCTTTCCCCACCTCTGCTCTCTGCTTCCACTTCTGTTTTCTCTCTAATGTAAAATGGCCACCAATACCTCCAGGCTCACAATCTGTTAACTCATCAATCCCAGTGGAGAGAGAGCTTCCTACAGAAGTATCAGTATTTAGTCTCCCTGTCAAAGGAACGGACATATCTCTGGGACCAGTTTCTGTAGCTGGGAAAGAGATATATTTATTGGCTTGGACAACAGCCCACCTCTACTCCCTAAAGCCACACCAGAAATACAGGTTGAGTATCCCTTATCTGAAATGCTTGGGACCAGAGCATTTTGGATTTCATTTTTTTCATTTTTTGGAATATTTACACTATACTTACTGGTTGAGCATCCCAAATCTGAAAATCTGACGTCTGAAGTGCTCCAGTGAGCATTATCTTTGAGTGTCATGTAAATGCTCAAGAAGTTTCAGATTTTTGAGCATTTTTAGATTTCAGATTTTTGGATTTGAGACACTCAGCTTGTATATGATTTGAAACAGGATGAATAGACTCCCAAAAGACATTTGAGATATTCTTACCCAAAGAGTGGTAAGCTAGTTCAAAAGTCTAGTACATCGACTGTTTCTCAGAGATACCAGTTTCATTTCAGCATCTTAGTCCTATATTATGTTCAGCACAATTAAGCCACAGTGTAAGAAGTAAGACTATATGGAAATGAGGGGTTATTTTTAAAACTGTTTTACTAGAATTTCATACATCAAATTAGTGTCCTTTTTAAAATAATCACGTTGGTGGGAAGAATTTGTTCCAACTTGGTGTTCTCTCAAAATATTTTTAAAACCTTTGTGTTGTTGTTGCCTGAAGAGTTCACAGCATATTCTTTTAAGTATTGCCAATATTAGCATAATTTGATGTTAGGTTTAATTTTTGGAAAGACCAAACTCCATTTAAAGTCACACAAAGATGATAAGTAGTCACATTGAGAAATGTCATACTTGATCTCTAAAAGTAAGGGCTGTGAAGTGTTAATTTTTCTGAGATAGTGTATGAATAGTTTAGAGTCTGAATTTGCATGTTAAAGAAGCATTCTTCTATTTTCCCAGCTACACTGTTTAAATGGATAGCCTCCAAAAATGAAATTAGTTGCTCAGATTGTCCCAGTTTGACTGTTAGTGTATGTCCTTCAAGTTGAGTTCCTTTGAAATGCTCCCATCAGTTTTTGAACCCTTCCTTCCTGGTACCAGAAGGTGTTCCAGAAGAAGCTACTTTCCCTGCCTCAGCTCTGGCATTAATTATTTTACGCCAGTTCCTTTTATTGAAGAATAGTATTTACGAACAAAGATCTGCTTATTAGGCGTGCTCGTAACTCCTGAGGTATCATTGCTTCTAGGCAGCCCAAGCTGGCAGAGCCAGGAAATGGGTGGATGTGTGCACGTGTACACACACACACACACACACACACACACACACACCCCTGCATCTATATATGAAAATCATGAGGGCACACGGGTTCCTCCAATTCCCATCCACCATCGCAGGCTTCTTTCCCCCTCCTTATTTATAATTTTTTTCTCTTTCAACAGGAAACATGGTTCTGATTATCGTCAGTATATCTGCTTAGTTACTCAATCCTAGGAAACACAAAATAGTTTCAGAATTGCTAACTCAAATCTCTGTGAATGTATTAACTACTGCACAATGTTTGTTTGGAGTAACATATCAAATATGTCTTTAGACTTATAATACAAGTCAAAATACTGTTTCCAAGGTAAGGTTAGTTCCATTCTTCCTCACTTCAGTGTGGTTATGTTATTCATACATAGGAGGTTTTTTTGTTTGTTTTTGTTTTGTTTTGTTTGTTTTTCTTTTTGAGAGAGTTTCGCTTTTGTTGCCCAGGCTGGAGTGCAATGGCGTGATCTCGGCTCACTGCAGCCTCCGCCTCCTGGGTTCAAGCGATTCTCCTGCCTCAGCCTCCCGAGTAGCTGGGATTACAGGCGGGCGCCACCATGCCCAGCCGATTTTGTATTTTTGGTAGAGGCGGGGTTTCACCATGTTGGTCAGGTTGGTCTCGAACTCTTGACCTCAGGTGACCTGCCCACCTTGGTCTCCCAAAGTACTGGGATTACAAGCATGAGCCACTGCACCCGGCCCATACATAGGAGTTTTATAACAAGCATTTTGACAAAATATGTTGATAAGGTTTGGATGTCCCCTCCAAGTCTCATGTTGAAATGTGAACTCCAGTGTTAGAGGTGAGCCTGGTGGGAGGTGTTTGGATCATGGGGGCAGATCCCTCATGGATGGCTTAGCACCATCCACTTGGGGATGAATGAGTTTTTGCTGAGTTGACAAGATCCAATTGTTTTAAAAGTGTGTGGCACCTTTGTGTGGCACCCCCAGTCTCTTGCACCTGCTCTCACTATGTGACGTGTCTGCCCCCACTTCGCCTTTCACCGTGAGTAAAGGTTTCCTGAGTCCTCCCCAGAAACCAAGCAGATGCCAACGCCGTGCTTGTACAGCCTGCAGAACCATGAGCCAGTTAAACCTCTTTTCTTTATAAATTGCCCAGCCTTGTGTATTTCTTTATAGCAAACACAAAAATGGCCCAACGCATATGTCTACCTGAATTTTTTTTTGACATGATATTACTTATCCCATCGTTTCACCTGGTTCTTGGGAAAATGGAACCGCCATCATCAGTGACCAATCACAGCACTGATTGTCACCTGTTACTTACGTAGTGATCTGTGGGCAGAAGAGCTGTCGGTGAAGTTGTACTTGATGCAGTTGCTCACAGCTCACATACTGAGGTTCCTGAAACTTGTGTGTATCTGAACCGTGTGAGGTGAGGCCTGCCTGTGCCATAACTTGGAAAGTGTGCAAATGTTTGACAATAATATTTCCCCCATTTTAAATTTGAAAAATAATTTTAAAATTTTTATATGTTGTAAAAATAGATGGTGAAACACTTTCTTTCAATTCCTGGTTGTCCATCTCTCCCTCTGCCAGCTCCATTTGGCTTCTTAGGGGTTGGGTAGGGGCAAGTAGCAGTGTTTCTCAGAGGCTGTAGTTCTAGGAACCTCAAAACTATGCTAAGTTTGACTTGAGAACTCAGAGTTCTGGTTTAGTTTAACTTGAAGGAAAGACTCCTTGAACATTAAGTCATACTTTGTTTCTCCCATAGATTGATATAGAAATCAACGGCAGTGCAGTGGATCTTCACATGAAGTTGGGTGATAACGGAGAAGCTTTCTTTGTTGAGGAGACTGAAGAAGAATATGTAAGTTTGCATGGGTTACACCCTCCTTACACAGTGTGCTCAGGCCTCTGGTACGTGGCCCAGACGGACCGTTTAGCAGTTTTTTATGGTTGATTGTACAGAGGACTGTTGTTGGCAAGACAAGCTTTAGTTTCATGTTGAAGAACTAAGCTGTCAAAAAGGAACTGAAGGGATGAGGAATTTTTCTCCATACAAAGTTTCAGGGTGCAGGGAGCATGCTGAATGCACATACTTGCACTTTTTCTAAGGGAAGGCACATCACTTTCTAGCTTTAATGAGCTTTCTTACTTAGTGTTGCTTCTGGTTCACATATTGACTTGAATACATTCAGTTCTGCCTGAGTAGGGCATTTCTCTTCTGGCTATGTGTTTATCCACATGTGCCCTTTGGACTGGGACTCATGTTTACCATTTTGGTTGGGATATTACATCCCTCACCTTGAGTAGTCAGGTGAATTAATTTATTATGATCTCAAGAGAGTTAAATTAATTGGCCTATATCCTTTTATAAGTGATTACATGTTTGACTTCTTCTAGCAAACGAGCATGATTTGTTAAAATCCCCCCTCCCCAGCACACACATTCTGTATGTACTGATTTGAACGCTAGTTAACGACGGATTCTTGATGGATTCAATGTGGATCTTTTTATTTATTTATTTATTAATAATAGATTTTACATTCTCACTAAAGAACTCAGATCACGTAATGTGCATCTTTTTAAAAATTCTTTCAAAGGCATCAGTACATCATTCTTCATAAAGAATAAAGTCTCAAATAGCAAAACTGATAAGCATCAAGTTATTAAGGATACAGGACTACTTTTTTGGCTTTGAAGATGAACTTACAGTTTGATACAATAAATTTACAAAGAAAATTATTACCAAAAAA
Source organism: Homo sapiens (assembly GCF_000001405.40). Lineage (NCBI taxonomy): Eukaryota > Metazoa > Chordata > Mammalia > Primates > Hominidae > Homo > Homo sapiens. Next base: position 2,953,614 of record NC_000018.10, on the reverse strand, counting down.
TACGATAGCAAAATGAGATTGTTTATCATTTTTTGATTGAGAAACCAACAACTTAGGTACCAGTAGGTAAAGCAGCATTGAAACACTATGATTTATGAAGGGGAAGCTTGATCAGACTGGTGCTTTTTCTAGTTTCTTCATTACTTATCTTTGTAATACCTTGTTTGCATTTACTTGGCCTAAGCAACATTTTTCCTTATCAGAGACAGAGGCAAAGAGCAGAATGAAACATAATAAATGACATCTGTCAAAAAAAAAAACCACTTTTTGTATGTTTCTTAAAATTATTTATAATTCATAACACTGAACTTCTAGATCAGCAGGCACCGTAAGCGAGAGGACTGGGTTATTGATGTTAACCTCGTTTTCATGGCTTATTCTGACAGTTCCGCTAAAAATTATGCTCAGCAAGGACAACTTGGAAAATGTCAACTTTCCAGCCTTTTTCTCCCTATTCCACATATGACTACATTGACCAGAGTTTATCTTGTGTAGTATGCTTCTCCTTAAAATAAAAAATTGTTAATTTATCCAACAAATGTTGGAATTACTACTCTATGCCACATGCTATGAATACAACATGCCTCTGTTCCTCTAGGGGTTCGTCATTTAGAGTAGGATAAAGATGACCAAAAACCCAGTTTGTTGCCATTTATTTGATTTTTTTCTCTCAGATTTTTCTCATTTAATTATATGTCATCAACATTCTTTTCAAGTCTAGTTCTAAACCTAACTCTGTGCTTTTAATAGCTGCACAGTATTCCATAGTATGGACATACCATAGTTTGTTTAACCATTTTCTTGCTGGTAGGCGTTCAGGTTATCTTCATCCTACAAACATTGCTATAATAGAACTAAGAAATACCACCAGAAACAAAAAGAGCTTTCAGTAAGTAAAATAAAGATCATTGAATTAAAAATCCTCAAAGTCAGAGACCACGACCTCTCATCTGGGTTTCTTTTGGACATTCAGAATATCTTATTACAATTTCTCTGTAAGTGTGTGTTTCTGGTGAACACAGATTTCTCCTAGCTAAATCAAACTTTAGCTTCAGGGTAATATGTTTATCAAAGCTAAGTTCAAAAGCTTAATAAAAAAATAATTACAGAAACCTATACATTTTCAGAACTATTGTTTAAAAGCTTGAGTATTTTAAATTATATGAGGTTAATTTTTTTGTTGTTTGTTTTGAGATGGAGTCTCGCTCTGTTGCCCAGGCTGGAGTGCAGTGGCATGATCTCGGCTCACTACAACCTCCCCCTCAGGTCCAAGCAATTCTTCTGCCTCAGCCTCCTGAGTAGCTGGGATTACAGGCATGCATCACCAGGCCCAGCTAATTTTGTATTTTTAGTAGAGACAGGGTTTCACCATGTTAGCCAGGCTGGTCTCAAACTCCTGACCTCAGGTGATCCGCCTGCCTCTGCCTCCCAAAGTGCTGGGATTGCAGGCGTGAGCCACCACGTTCTGCCTGAAGTTAATTTTTATCTCTATTATGTACCTTCCATTTCCTCTGATGATACAAAAAGGAATGAAACAAATGGCTAAGACATGAATTTACTGAACACCAGACTTGATCGTTTATTTAGTATTAGGAGTTTGACTGCTTCTAAATATTGGGCCTTATTTTCTTCTTTTGAATTCCTACAGGAAGGAATATTTCTTATTTTTAAACATAAATGCTTTATGGTTTAAAAATTTACTAATGTCATTTGTTACACGGTATTGTCTCTAATTGCCTTTCTCCAATTAATTTGGCAAAACATAAGCATTGGCCGCTCTGTATCACTGCATCCTCGCGTCACTCACCTGTCCTGCTGCCCTTTGTCTGATGTAGTGTCCTTAATCTCTGCCTTCTGCTTTTTCCTGTTCTGAATGTTCTGTGTGAGTTCTTGAGAGAGTCCTTTGTAACACCTCCTGAGATTTTTGTTGCTGCTTTGATCTTTGCTTTGTGAAGAATTTAATAGGCTTAGCTTTAATTATGGCTTTGGGGTGTTCCATGCTGACTTGGCATGTCAGTTCCTTCAGATGGACTCAGTTACATGTACCCAAGTGGGCTGGTACTTAGCTGCCTCACAGGGGAAAGACCTCGTCAGAGTATAGTAGGCAGTGCCTTAGTTCAGTGGGACTTTCTTGCCTTTAGGGAATATGTATTTTTTTTTTTTTTACCATGGTGAAAATTTATATATTCAAAATATTACTGCTTTAATTCACTGTCGAGTTTGTCATGGATAACTTTTCTTTCTCCATTCTCCTCAAGGAAAAGCTTCCTGCTTACCTTGCCACCTCACCAATTCCTACTGAAGATCAGTTCTTTAAAGATATTGACACCCCTTTGGTGAAATCGGGTGGAGATGAAACACCATCTCAGAGTTCAGACATCTCACACGTCTTGGAAACAGAGACAATTTTTACTCCAAGTTCTGTGAAAAAGAAAAAACGAAGGAGAAAGAAATACAAACAGGACAGTAAGAAGGAAGAGCAGGCCGCATCTGCTGCTGCAGAAGACACATGTGATGTAGGCGTGAGCTCCGATGATGACAAGGGGGCCCAGGCAGCACGGTAGGACTCTCAGCCTGGGAAGGGTCTTGTGCGGGTACCTAGAGTTCATGTGAAGCCAGGAGCTGCCAGTTTTTTTATGGATACACAGTGTGAGGTTTGGGCTTGTTTTCCCCCTTTACAGTTTATTGTGGAATCAAGCAGCAAAGGCAGTTTCTTTGTTCCTTTCAACTATTCTATAAATATGCTACTGAAATGTCATTTGTAGCAGACTGGTTGTGTTTCTTTTCATAAAGAAGTTTCCAGGAGCCAAATAAGTTCTAAGTCAAAAGATCTGAATTAGTGATTTGCCCCTCGGTGAGCAGATCCAGTTGGACACCATGTCATCTCTGGGATTTCCCTACCCAGTGGCCTTAGGCTTGGTATGTTTTTCCTGAGGAGTTGAGTTTTGTTTTATTGGAATTGAAAAGGAATGATTTTTATTTTTTTACATGAGCAGTCTTGATCGCTGCTTATTTACCTGCTCTGTAGAAGAGCTCATTATATGCCATTTTTCATGTCAGCACCGCTTGGGGTTGAAAGGTAGCAGTTGGGAGTAGAACACGTTTTCTTATTCAAGATTCCGTTTTCTTCCACCTGTTGCACTCAGTGGCCACCTTGGCACTAGGACCGTGGTGGGGATTCTCTTTATTGGTGACGACTGGACAAGAAGCTGCTGCCCATGAGTGGCCCTGCATTTCCAGACTCTTTATTTGTGGCGGGAGCTGCTGGTCCACTTGTGTGTTTTCACCCCATCTGTCGAAAAGAGGTCACACCCTACTTCCTGGAAAACAGTGATGTTCAAGTGTTTTTCATCCTAGAATAGAGGGAAATAATTTCTTTCACTAGCTATGGAAACCAAATATATATCAAGAGTAAACCCTAGCTCAATCTGGTATGTGTTTTATTTGCCAATCTTTTGTTTTAAATGGTCAAACCAGGAAAAAAATATGCTTTGTTTTGTTTTGTTTTTTAATTGAGACAGGTTCTCCCTGTGTTGCCCAGGCTGGAGTGCAGTGGTGCAATCATAGCTCACTGTAACATTGAACTCCCGAACTCAAGCAGTCCTCCCACCTCAGCCTCCCAAGTAGCTAGGACTGTATGTGCTTACCCCTACACCCAGCTAGTTTTTAAAAATTTTCTGTAGAGTTGAGGTCTTGCTATGTTGCCCAGGCTGGTCTCAAATTCCTGGCCTCAAGCAACTCTCCCGCCTCAGCCTCCCAAAGTGCTAAGATTACAGGCATGAACCACTGAGCCCAGCAAAAAGTGTTAATTAATGTAGTATTAGTATATTATAATTATACTGCATTAATGAATAACATAGTATAATCCTTTTTTGTAAAACAATTCATTTTCCAAAATTTTGAAATCTAGATTTTAAATCTTAGAATTAAACATCTATATTTGATAGTAATTTTTTACAATTCGATATTATAAGTAACATAGCCATTTTTAATACATGAAATTTTTTTCTACTCCTCTTGTTTTATTGCTCACTAGCTGTCATGTCTGTGGTGTTCTGTCTTACTCCTCCCACGCTGAATATGTAACACTTTGATTTCAGTTCTGATAGAATGCAGAATTTCTCCAATAGAACTAAACAACAAAAGATGGAAAGCAATAGTGGAAAAGTATGTTAAGCTCTACAAACCAGAGTACACTATATTTACAAAATTTTAAAATCCTGAATGAATCAATAAATTTAGGTAATTTTTTTTGTCAGTGTCAAAATACTAGCTGAGAAGAGTTTCATCATAAATGTTCTGAACTCTACTTTTAAATATCATTGATTCCCAAAGAAATTTAAGCTGATAAAAAGTACCAGAATTTCTTAAAAAGAGACTCTTCCTGTCCTTTTCCTTCCTTCATTCAGTCTTTTAAAGGTTATTTGTCCTTCTCTTCACTAGGAGAATAAAGTATGAGATTTTTTACTTTTCTACTGCTTGACTTCAGGAATATTAAAAACATTATTAAAAGGCCGGGCACGGTAGCCCATGCCTGTAATCCCAGCACTTTGGGAGGCCAAGGCGGGAGGATCACCTGAGGTCAGGAGTTGGAGACCAGCCTGGCCAACATGGTGAAACTCCATCTCTACTAAAAATACAGAAATTAGCTGGGTGTGGTGGCAGGCTAATTACTCAGGAGGCTGAGGCAGGAGAATCACTTGAACCTGGGAGGCGGAGGTTACAGTGAGCCAAGATCACACCACTGCCCTCCAGCCCAGGTGACAGAGCAAGACTCTGTCTTTAAAAAAAAAAAAAAAATTATAAACAATTTCCTTTAAAAGTTTTGTCTTATGCATACTAAAATGTGTAGGTGGGCAAGAAACGTATTCTTTTGAGAAAAACTTGAAATGCTTACACATCTTAAGTTTTATTAGGATCAGCCTTGTAATGCTCCCAGAAGTGCTTCGTTCCTGAAAATATTTTTACCAACTAAAATTCTTCCAAGATCTACCAAAAAGAGCACTGAAGTAATGCTTTTGTCTTAGAATTTTGTTGACCTGTGTCCTTTGTCAGACATAATAGAGCAACATTTAGAATTCCTGAACAACCTACAGCTTGGGAAATTAAAACAATTTCTAAAACATATGCCAAGTTCCCTACTAAATTGTACAAGAATCATTATTCTAAAGGAATTTGCAAACGAATGTTGTAAGCCAATTGCAGAAATATTAGTACATACCTTGTTTTTCCTGATGGTGTGAAAGGCTGTATCCACTGTGTACTGATGTGTTTGACAGGTATGAATGGCTGCCAGCCTATCTCTAAGCCAGCAGCTTGCTGGCTTGGTAAGCAGGCATGTCACAACACACGTAAGCTAGGGCCTTGCAGTCGTTTTCAGGAGGTTGGTGTTTTGCTTTTTCTTTAGGTTACCATGGAATAATTGATGCTGCCACCTGGAGGAGCTCTTCCATGAAATTTCCTTAAAATAGAATCTGCTTAAATAATATAGCCAACAGAAATTAGGACTTTAAAAAAAGAAAACAAAATGTAAACATCTGTGAAAATTCAGGTTGTTTTCTGAAATAAGCACTGAGCTAAAAGGTAGACAGACTGGGCCCATTATAGATTGTAGAACAGTAGCCTCTTCATCGCTCAGGGCGTTGGTTTCTTAATCTATAAAGTGAGAGGGTCGAAGGGGCCTTTAAAAGGCCCCTTTCAGCTCAGCACCTAGACTCTGACATTATTTGAGGGAAGCTATTTACGGTCATTAACAGCATATGAAACAACGTGTTCAAAATCTAAGAGAAAAAGAAAAGGAAATCAATTGCTTTTGCAGTTGTGAGGACTAGGAATTACGTGGCGTTGCGGAATTTGCAGCTTTCCTATAGCATATTCTCCTCAGCTCCTACCACTTAGAAAAGAAATTATTTTTCCAGAGAAGATAAATGCATAAAATAGGTTTCTGTTTTGTTTTGACAAATGGCATTTCGTTTAAATTCTTTACTTTTCAAGAATTTTGTTGATAATAGAATTAAGGTTAATTGAGGCTCCTTGAAGGAGGCAGATGGAAGAGGGAATCATTCTTTAAAGCAGATTGCTATAGCACAGCTGGAAGAAACTCATTTCTGGAAATCGGAGAGCTTTAAACTATACACGGCTTTAAAAAACTGTACCTAGTAAGTCTCCCTCCCTTCCTAAAGATGGGCGTTGGGCTTAAATATAACATAGAAGCCTTGTTTGTCCTTCTAGAGGATGGATGGATGTCTTTGTGTGAGAGAGAGATTAAAAACATTGCACCTAGGCATATGTAGCCTTTTGGAGGGAAGAGACTCTGCATATTGGATGGTGTTCTAGCATAATCTTGAGTGCAAATATATGAAACATGCCACCGATGGAAATATTTCAAATACCCAGCAATAGCAAAAATGGAGGCTCAATATCACACCATCAGAAAGGAGTCTCAACTTTTAATCCACTAAAGCAGACTTACTTAAAAGTGATATCTGGGAGCTAAATCCAGGGAGCCTAAGACTTTTCACAGATAGCACCTACTGCTCTGATGATCTGCATACTTCATCTCCTGATCGGTAATTGGCTTCTAGAGAACCCTCCATGTTCTTCTGGGGTGAGTGTAGACACTCAGGGTGACATGGATCTTACAGATGCTCCCTGCCTTTTCTCTCCTTCGTTTCTGACACAGAACACAGAGAGAAGTATTGCAGGGCTCCATATGTCTTACGGGAAATGCTCTGTATCCAAATGCCAGCTGAGATCATTAGCCACGCTGAAATTCGTTGACTCGTACTGTGCTAAGGTTGCTGCTAGACGTTGTTAACAGAGTTAGTGGTCTTTGGTTATGGTGGTTAGCAGCCCCACTTATCTGTTCCATACTACCAGTGAATAGTTTAAAATTCATGTTGCACCTATAATTTATCCCACATAAATAATTCAGGCTATTTATTTTGGCATTCAATTGATTTTTTTCTCACTTTAAAAAACTGAGGTATGGAGACTGGTGCTAGCAACACGGGATTGGCTAACGCATCCTCTTGCTGTTCCCGGTGTTTGGGCCTTGCCTGTGACAGTGGGAAAAAAAATGGCCTTGCTGTGCTACAACCGGAGCTGCGGTCAGCGCTTCGATCCTGAGACCAATTCCGACGATGCTTGCACATATCACCCAGGCGTTCCAGTCTTTCACGATGCATTAAAGGGTTGGTCTTGCTGTAAGAGAAGAACAACTGATTTTTCTGATTTCTTAAGCATTGTAGGCTGTACAAAAGGTAGACATAATAGTGAGAAGCCACCTGAGCCAGTCAAACCTGAGGTCAAGACTACTGAGGAGAAGGAACTATCTGAATTAAAACCAAAATTTCAGGAACACATTCAAGCCCCTAAGACAGTAGACGCGATAAAAAGACCAAGCCCAGATGAACCAATGACAAATTTGGAATTAAAAATATCTGCCTCCCTAAAACAAGCACTTGATAAACTTAAACTGTCATCAGGGAATGAAGAAAATAAGAAAAGAAGACAATGATGAAATTAAGATTGGGACCTCATGTAAGAATGGAGGGTGTTCAAAGACATATCGGGGTCTAGAGAGTCTAGAAGAAGTCTGTGTATATCATTCTGGAGTACCTATTTTCCATGAGGGGACGAAATACTGGAGCTGTTGTAGAAGAAAAACTTCTGATTTTAATACATTCTTAGACCAAGAGGGCTGTACAAAAGAGAAACATGTGGACTAAAAAAGATGCTGGGAAAAAAGTTGTTCCATGTAGACATGACTGGCATCAGACTGGAGGTGAAGTTACCATTTCAGTATAGGCTAAAAATTCACTTCCAGAACTTAGTCGAGTAGAAGCAAATAGCACATTGTTAGATGCGCATATTGTATTTGAAGGAGAGAAGGAATTTGATCAAAATGTGAAATTATGGGGTGTGATTGATGTAAAGCGAAGTTATTAACTATGACTGCAACAAAGATTGAAATCACTATGAGAAAAGCTGAACCGATGCAGTGGGCAAGCCTTGAACTGCCTGCAGCTAAAAAGCAGGAAAAACAAAAAGACGACACAGCAGATTGAGTGGGAGATGGGAGGAAGGCTATTACGTATTTCAGAATTTTTAATACTGTGTGAAGTGGTGGCTTGCTGCTGTCATCTTTTGTTTTGTTGTTGTGTTACTGAATGTGGCATTTCAGGGTTAACATTAGGTTCTTAAAAGCCAAAGTCAGTTTATCTTTTTGTGCCTCTCATCTTTCTTTCGTGTTATGTAAGATTGATTATTCGTTTCTCCCTACTGGTAGGAACCATAGTTGTGTCCTGTACTTGAAGAGGCTGAAAAATAGCCCATAACCATAATTGCAGTATTTCTTTGTATTTCTCTGTTAAGCAAAGAAATATTAAGGAACTTTTTTTATGTCTTTGTATTATTCCATAATTAGTAAAGCTAATTGTGAATGTCCAATTTTAATGAAATGTCCAATTTTAATCAGTTTTTTTCATGGATTTGTGTTCTTACGGTACTTGAAAATATTTAAGGAAGAGATGAAGCTCTGCAGTTTTTTCTATGTGGGATGATTGCTTTTTTAAGGAGGATTAATTCTGAGGTAGTATAGTAAGTAAAGGGGAATATATGAATTGTTAACAAATTAGGATTTGTTTACAACTACTTGAATTTTTAAATTATGTCAAAACTTACATTACTTGCCAAGCAGTATGATGTAAGAGTATAGGAAACATAAATAAGAATACAGAGGTATCAATTTGATTAAAATTCACCATTTTATAAGACTAAGCAATAATCTTAAAAACCTCTTTCCTGAATATTTAAATGTGTTTGTATGGTGTTATGACTAATTGTTACTGATTTACAGACTAAGCCCTCTTAAAACCTTTAGTTAAATATAAAAAGAAATTATATATATCTTGCCTCCCTGATGGAAAACTATGTAAAATTGTAGACTTAAAAGGTTTGTGGAGGCCGGGCGCGGTGGCTCATGCCTGTAATCCCAGCACTTTGGGAGGCCGAGGCGGGCAGATCACGAGGTCAGGAGATCGAGACCATCCTGGCTAACACGGTGAAACCCCGTCTCTACTAGAAATACAAAAATTAGCTGGGCGTAGTGGTGGGTGCCTGTAGTCCCAGCTACTCAGGAGGCTGAGGCAGGAGAATGGCGTGAACCTAAGAGGCGGAGCTGGCAGTGAGCTGAGATTGCGCCACTGCACTCCAGCCTGGGCGACAGAGCCAGACTCCGACTCAAAAAAAAAAAAAAAAAAAAAAAAAAAAAAAAAAAAGTTTGTGGAAATACATTAGGATATCAGAAAACTAAATATATGGAGTTGCTTTATGACTATTACATGTTAAATAAAATAGCTTGTTTTGGAGTTTTTTTTTTTAAAGTCATGAAGAGCTTCACAATTCTAGTGATACAGTGTTGATTATATATTGTGCTTTATTTATTTTAAATATAGGTAACACAGAATTAGATCGTTTGGATAGGTTTTGATGCAGTGCAGAGCTTAAGAAGAAAAATTAGGAAATATTCTGAAGGCCAGAACTCTGGAAGAACTTAGAAAGTTTGGGAATAAATTAAACTTACATAGATTTAAAATTAAAAGGGGTTTATTTCCCAAACCCCTTGAGTCTTTTCTTTTCCTTGGCATTTGCGGAATTCTTACAAAGAAAAATTTACAGAAGTACTATTTTCGTTAATAAAGCATATATATCATTCTACTACCATTAGCAAATAACTTAGTTGTAGTTAATATAATTGTTAAAAGGTTTAGCTCTGTTACAAATAAAAACAAAAAGATCTGGCAACCAGACTCATGATGTTACACTACCATGACAAGAAACTCTGGGCAGTGAAAGTTGGACCCACATGGAGTACATAAACATCTGATACTGGGAGATGTATTTAAAATTTTTCAAGTTATATTCCATGATTTAGGAACCATTTAGAGACATGAAGTCTTTATGGGTTGGGGGAAAGGTTGATACTTAGTTTGATTAAAGGTAATGATTAATATGCCTTTTTGTTAATACTTCTTTCTGAGGCTGTCTTCCCCTAAACAGTATCTTAATCTGTTAAATGTAATTGAAATATTATTTGAAGCAGTGAGTTATTGTAACCTCAGATTAGTTACATTGATCAAAACATTGATTTATACACACACACACACACACACACACACACACGCAGCTTTTATATTTAGTCTGGTTACATTAGTGACCATGGTATTTCCTTTCTTACTTCTTAAGGAGCCTTTGAATTTCTTGTCCAGATAAAAATCTGAATAATATTTATCTTAGACTCATACATAAAGGGACACAGTTACCGTTAGGTAGCATATGTTTTACTATCGGTTTGTCAAAAAAGTTAATAAAAAATGCTTATTGATTTGTTTCTCTAAAAAACAAAACAGAAAAAAAACTGAGGTATAATTTACATACAGCAATATTCACAGACCGTAAGTGTGCAGTTCAGTGCATTTTGGCAGTCATATACATCCATGTAACCTCCGTTAGCTTTTGAATTGGAAAAATGTTAGGCTTAGAAAATGATGCGGAATTTGAAAGATGTGATGTTGTAGCACATCTGTGAGGGCTGGAGTGCCCTGTTCACACTGGCTGTGAACCTCAGCCTCCGAGCCCCCAGCCCTGACTGAAAGTCACCGTTTACATCTTTTGCTCAGTTCTGATGTATTAGCAAAACAGAATCAGTGCTTGTGCTGTTTTCTTCACATTCTACTGTGTACGCTCCACTATAGCCTCACGTCACGTGCTTAGTTTGTTACTCTGTCATGGTTTGCCTTGCAGGTCCCTGTTCTAAGGCATACCTGCCATTTTGAAAGTTCCTAAAAGGTTTCTGGAATTTCTATTTTAATAAAGGAATCTTAGGACTGAAAGGGATCTCAGCATAAATCTTTTCTGTCACTGTAGTGGGCCTAGACTAATGGGCTGTATTTTTGTCAGGATATGACCAAAAAAGGCCACCTCTTGTCTTCCTGGGGCTGTGAATTCAGGTGGTACCTGATCGCTTTTTCAATATTTTACTAAATCCTGTTTGCTTTGCTGAATTCTTCTTGGCTTACCTTTTATACTGCAGTGAAATATGTCCCAAAAGTAAAATATTTGTAATATAAAAATTCCGGTTAGAAATTTGTGTGACTTTTACATTGTTCTTTTCAGACCACTTTCACGTATGGATAGTGATGGGTCAAGCTGATGTGTCCTTTCAGAGTGGGCAAATAAAGACCATTCACAAACCTGATTTTCCCTTTCTCAGGGGAAAATTTGCCTTTTGATATTCCTTTATTGAGAAATAGAGTACTTTTTCCTAGATGTCTTTCTCAGGTATATGTTTTCTCCCCTTCAATGAGTGGTATGCCAGAGTAAGGCCCTAGAGAAAGAAGACCAGAGTTAGGAAAACCTTAAATTAAAAGATTAAGCTATGTGGAAAAACTATTACATGTCAGAGTTAGTGGTAAATAAGAGTATGTTAAGTTAAGATATAAAGGAAGAAGAGTAATATTAAAAAAGAACCTGGTTTTCTATCCCTGTGTTTAGTCCAGCAAACTAAGTGATGTGGATATTCTCATTTACATTTATTATCTGTCCTATTAGAACATTGAATTTTCTATAAGAAGCCTTTAAACTTGTATAATATGGCGCTTTATGCTTTGCAGAGTTTTGTTTGTTTTTGGGATGGAGTCTCTCTCTGTCACCTAGGCTGGAGTGCAGTGGTGCGATCTCCGCTCACTGCAACCTCTGCCTCCTGGGTTCAAGCAGTTCTCTGCCTTAGCCTCCCAAGTAGCTGGGATTACAGGTGCCCGCCACCACACCCGGCTAATTTTTGTATTTTTAGTAGAGACAGGGTTTCACCATCTTGGCCAGGCTGGTCTTGAACCCCTGACCTCGTGATCCACCCGCCTCGGCCTTCCGAAGTGCTGGGATGACAGGCATGAGCCACTGTACCTGGCCAGAGTCTTTCTTTGTGCTTTTCTTTTTACTTTTCAGAGATTTCAACATGCTACACCATGTAACTCTCACATTGACTCTGAAGTAGACAGGACAAATGATAAATTTCCAAGTAAAGATGAAAACGGGGGCCCACAGTGCTTCTGAGGGATGTTTTCAAGGTTATATGGCAAGGTAGTTATAGTAACTGAAAATCTGAGAAACCAACAAGTAAATTGATTAAAATCTTATCAGCAGTAGTGTAACCCCCTACCCAAGGTCCTTTTATGAATCTTAAAAGCATTTGTCATTTTTGGTATCATCTTCACATCTCCACATCTTGTAGATTCCAAGTAAAGGAAACCTTCTCAGATAATCCTTGGGCCAAACAAAGAAGAAAATTAGTCCCAAGGTTTTAAGAGGTTAGGGTATTGTTAAAATTTTGAGCCATAGATCTTGTTTGTCTTCAGCTAATATACATTTTCAAATGTATTCAGTAGAAAGGGGAGAGCAGTGGAAAGAATAAGGGCTTACTTGTTTTGAATCCAACTACTTCCTATCTTTTTGACTTTGAGCAAGTTACTAAATTTCTCTGGATCCTTGATTACTTAAAATCTACAATGAAATATTACCTCATTTTGTAAGGATTGAATGAAATAGACATAAAGCCTTAGTTTTCTTTTAGCCTTTGAATCACCCTTAAGGGATGGAAAAAAGAGAAATCACATTTCTCTTTTGTCCTCCCCCTATTTATTCCATATGTGAATAGTGATTGTGGTGTTTTATAGTGGGTGGCATTGGTGTATCCCCCCTTCTCCTTCATATATTTTAGAGAGAGTTAGTAATCATTTGCCCCTCTTCATTTTGATTGTTTGTAGTATCAGTAGGTTTGGGGGATATTTTAAAGCTGACAAGAATGTCATCGTTCCTGCCTTTCTTTGGTTTCTCCTTCACAGAGGATCTTCAAATGCTTCCTTGAAAGAAGAAGAATGTAAAGAGCCTTTGCTCTTCCATTCTGGGGATCATTACCCCTTATCTGATGGAGATTGGTCCCCTTTAGAGACGTAAGTATCTTTGAAATTTCTTGGTTTCTTGAAAGAGGAAGGAGATGTATTAATTAGCTTTTCTGTTAATCTGTAGTAATGATATTTCCCATTTCTCTCACACAGCCAAGGAACTGAATGTTTACTTGTAACATAAATATGAATCTTTTCTCTCAATAATTATTTTGTTTCTAAATTTGATCTGACTTACTCTAACAGTGTTGGCCAGTTGTAGATCTGTATAATCAGCATGGAATTTAGCCATCTACAGTTATTTTTTTTCTTTTTCTTTTTAGTAGAGACAAGGTCTCGCTCTGTTTTCCCAGCCTGGAGTGCAGTGGCACACTCATAGCTCACTGCAGCCTTAAACCCCTGGGCTCGAGTGATCCTCCCACCTCAGCCTCCTGAGTGACTGGGACTACAGGCACGCACCACTGTGCTCAGCTAAGTTTTAAATTTTTTTGTAGAGACAGAGTCTCGCTATTTTGCCCAGGCTATTCTTGAACTCCTGGCCTCAGGTGATCCTCTCGCCTTGGCCTCCCAAAGCACTGGGATTACAGACATGAGACATTGTGCCCACTCATCTGCAATTCTTAAAAATTCTCATCTTTTAGTGTCAACTGTTGGCTGTAAATGAATAATATAGTGAAAAAAAGTATAGTCATAACTGTTTATTCTGCAATCAGATTCTCAGGTGTTATGTTAATTTGCCTGCTTTTCCTTTCCTACAAAATTATCTTCTTTCTCATTGATTTCTTGTGAAAAGCAAATGAGATTATGAATCTACAGTGTTTGTTTACAAAGGACCTGGTAAGTCCTCTTAAATACTAGTTGGTGTCATTTTTATTATTATTATTAAAGAACTCAAGTGGAAGAAATAATTGATGCTCCCTTCCATAGAGTTTTTATATATGCAGGATAAAGTCAAGATATTCAGATTTGTTTCTTTTAATCTGTCAGGCTCAGCAAGACTGAAGGTTTCCCGACTTTCAAGTCATCGTGTGTCTTTGTTCTCTTTGCAGCACCTATCCCCAGACAGCGTGTCCTAAGAGTGATTCAGAGCTGGAGGTGAAACCTGCGGAGAGCCTGCTCAGATCAGAGTCTCACATGGAGTGGACGTGGGGCGGATTCCCAGAGTCCACCAAGGTACTAGGGTTTACTTGCCTGTGGAAAGTGTGTTAATGATTAAACAAGTGACGAATTCCTCTGCCCATAAGTAAAGGAGGCAATTTCTGACTGAGCTCTCATGAATGTAAATGATAGTGCCCTCATGTCATAAAAGTAAATTCAAAGTTAACATTTTTTGTAACATTTGGACTATATATTTGCAACCGAAGGATTTCAGTAGTATTTTGTGTATATTTCTATTTACTGAATAATAATGATTGTTAATTATTATAAGGACATTTTAAAAGGCATCTTAAACTGAAATTTTCACACTGAATTTTTATTTTTTATTTTTTGGAGACAGAGTTCTTGCTCTGTCACCCATGCTGGAGAGCAGTGGTGCAGCCACAACTCACTGCAGCCTTAACCTCCTGTGCTCAGGTAATTCTCCCACACCAGACTTTCAAGTAGCTGAGACTGCAGGTGTGTGCTACCACACCCAGTTAATTTTTTAGTTTTTATTTTTTGTAGAGACAAGGTCTCGCTATATCAGCTTGGCCTGATCGCAAACTCCTGGGCTCAAGAGATCCTCCTGCCTTGGCCTCCCAGAGTGCTGGGATTACAGGCGTGAGCTGCCATCCCCAGCCAACACTGAAATTTTAAACAAGAAATTGTTAAACCTTTTTTTCCAGCTCATAATGAAAGAAGAAAGAACTGAGAAGATAAATTTCTTGAGAGAGAAAATGTTTAGATCTTCTGTTGAATTTAGGTTTTTAAAATATACATTTTGCATATATTTGTGATCGAATTTAGACTTGCCACTTTTACACTGTTTTAACAGAGCCTTGATGTGGTCCAAGGAGGGTGAAATTTTCATTTAGTTTTCTCCCCCAAAATGAGTATTTTCTACTTCTTAGTAACTGAAAATTGTCAGTTTCCTCAGTCTTCTCCAGTATAACTTCACAGTAGAACATTTAACGTACACCTTTTTTTTTGAGATAAAGTCTTGCTCTGTCACCTAGGCTGGAATGCAGTGGTGCCATCTCGGCTCACTGCAACCTCCATCTCCTGGGTTCAAGAAATTATCTTGCCTCAGCCTCCCGAGTAGCTGAGATTACAGGCGCCTGCCACCATGCCCGGCTAATTTTTGTATTTTTAGTAGAGACAGGGTTTCATCCTGTTGGCCAGGCTAATCTCGAACTCCTGACCTCAAGTGATCTGCCCACCTTGGCCTCCCAAAGTGCTGGGATTATAGGCGTGAGCCACTGTGCCCGGCCAGAACATTTATAAGTATCATGATATTGAACAAAAGGCAATTATTAGTTTTTCTCACTTTATTATGGAATTTTTACATGTACAAACTAAGATACTTAATGAATGTGTTAAGTTAAAAATAGAATGAACACATTGCCAGCTTAGGAAATAGATTATAACAAATACTCTGAAAGTAGTTTAATTTTTAAACAATTTAACTTTTTTAGGTCAGCAAAAGAGAACGATCTGACCATCATCCTAGGACAGCTACAATTACACCATCAGAAAATACTCATTTTCGGGTAATTCCCAGTGAGGACAACCTCATCAGTGAAGTTGAGAAGGATGCTTCCATGGAAGACACTGTCTGTACCATAGTGAAGCCCAAACCCAGAGCCCTGGGTACACAGATGAGCGACCCAACATCTGTGGCAGAGCTTCTCGAACCTCCTCTTGAGAGTACTCAGATTTCATCTATGTTAGATGCTGACCACCTTCCCAACGCAGCCTTAGCGGAGGCGCCCTCAGAATCCAAACCGGCAGCTAAAGTAGACTCGCCGTCAAAGAAGAAAGGTAATCGTTTGTTTAATTTGGCTCCAGGTACTCTCAAATTAGATGGTAAATTATTTCAGTGTTCCACATAACGTGATGGCTGCCTCTGTATTTGTATTCACCAGTCGAAACCCGTCGCACTTTTTTTTTTTTTTTTTTTTTTTTTTTAGCTGGAGTTTCGCTCTTGTTACCCAGGCTGGAGTGCAATTGTGTGATCTCGGCTAACTGCAACTTCCGCCTCCCGGGTTCAAGCAATTCTCCTGCCTCAGCCTTCTGAGTAGCTGGGGTTACAGGCACACACCACCATCCCCGGCTGATTTTTTGTATTTTTAATAGAGATGGCATTTCACCATGTTGGCCAGGCTGGTCTCAAACTCCTGACCTCAGGTGATCTGCCCACCTCGGCCTCCCAAAGTGCTGGGATTACAGGTGTGAGCCACCGTGCCCAGGCCCGTCACTCACTTTCTTACAATTGCTTTCCATGGCGTCCCCCTGGAAAGTCCAGTTGGAGCAGGGCCTGACTTGCACACTGCTGTCTCTTGACTGTTGCTACTCAGTGGGTTCTTGAGAAGCATTTACTGAGAAAACAAATAATGAGTTGTAATCAATTGATGAGTAAAATTAACCACTTTATTGATAAGGTATGTCAGTAAAGTGAAGTAGAATCTTAAAAAATTAGAATAGAGAAAAAATGTTTTCACTTGAAACATCTTAGCTGAGGCTAAATTAGGTAGGTTTTTTAGCAGTAATATCAGATAAAAATCAATGCATACTAATTATGATTATGAGTATGTGCTTTCTTTTGCTGATTATTTCCCTCTAAAATAGGTAGAAGGCTAGGTGCAGTGGCTCACACCTGTAATCCCAGTACTTAGGAAGCTGAGGTGGACAGATCACTTGAGCTCAGGATTTCGAGATCAGCCTGGGCAACATAGTGAAACCCTGTCTCTATCAAACATAAAAAACTGAGCCTGGCATGGTGGCGTTCATCTGTGGTCCCAGCTACTTGGGAGGCTGAGGTGGGAAGATCGCTTGAGCCCTGGGGCAGAGGTTGCAATGAGCCAAGATGAAGCCACTCCATTCCAGCCTGGGTGATAGAGTGAGACCCTGTCTCAAAAATAATAAGAAAAAATAAAAATTACCTTAAGAAGTTATTCTAATCACCTGAGCCCAGGGAGGTCACGACTGCAGTGAGCTGTGATTGCACCACTGCACTCTAACCCATGTGACAGAGTGAGACCCTGTCTCAAAATAAGTAGAGAAAACATCCAACTCTTGGTTCAACAGTTCTTCCTCACTTTTGGAACACAAGTTTAATAAATCAGAACATCCTTACTATTTGAAAATAAAAAGCCAACCATCGATACTTGGTACAGTGGGTCAGAACATACATATTCTGAACTCTGGCCTTGGATCCTATTTTTAGGAAAGTGTGAAACCTTCTCTAAAATTACCCAACATCATATATAGCCAATTACCTATTTCAATTAAAAAAAAATTCTAGCACCAAAGATTAGGTAATTATAAACCAACTTAATATATATTAGGTATGGACCTTCAAGTTCACTCAGAAATAATTTATCTAAAATGAAAGAATGTGACTGTCGAAGGTGTTGGTGGTCAGATAAAACCATCTAGCGAATGGTGGCTTAACTTGGCACCTGCTCTTCCACCAAAGGCCTGTAGCCACTTGTTATGCTCTAAGAAATGTTAAGGGGGGAAATCCAGTTCTTTTAGGATGAATGCTTTGTTTTTGGAACTAATGACTCCTGTTCTTAGCACACAGTGCAGGATCTGACTAGAGACAGGAACCCTGAGTGGTTTTTACTATTCTTTTGGCCTCATTCTTTTTCCCCTCTACTTTTTATTATACATTTTTGCCCTCCCTCTCTCCTCAACCCCTCTCTCCCTACATCTCTCCATTCATCCACATACAGTGTTTTATTAATAAAACATTTGAAAACAAATTGCAGGCATGACATTTCACTCTTAGATATGCCAGGATATACCTTCTAAGAATGTGAACATTCTCTGCATAGCCCCAGTACTATTGTCATCTTGAAGAATTCATGTTTACATTTCCCTAATTGTACCAAGAATATTTTTTTAGCTGGCCTGTTTCCCAAGCCAAAATTGCATCAGGTTTCACATGTTGCATTTGATTTTTATGTTTCTTGTAATCTTTTTTATTTTAGAACTCTCTCTCCTACACCCATCCACACCCTCATGCCCTCTCTACACCCGTGATAGTAACCTTTTAAAGAGCTCAGCCAGTGTCTTCTAGGCTCTCTCACGTTCTGGATTTGTCTGATTGTTTTTTTGAAGGTGACATTCCTATATTTTCTTAACTGGGAGTTAGCTCTAGAACTTACTGTCCACTAGAAATGGAATATGAATCACATGTGTAATTTTGAATCATCTCATTGCCACTTTTAAGGAAGTAAAATAAGGTGAAATTAAGTTTAGTGATATATTTCATCTAAGCCAATAAATCCAAAATATAATTTTAATATGTAATCAATATAAAATTATTAAGGAAGTATCTTAGTGTGTTTTACGCATTTTTAACATTTTGTGTACCTCACTTTAGCAACAGTTTAAATGCTCAGTAGCCACATGTGGCTGGTGGTCACTAGAGTGGGCAGTACAGGTCTAGAGGCTTAGAGTTATTGTTTGAATTGAAGATTAGTTTATTGCATGTATTGGGTACTCATATTGTATCTCATGATGACCACTAATAGTAATGCTGAACGTGATTATTGTTTAAGATGTTATCTGCCACATCTATCCATTGTGAAGTATTTTTTGTCCTTTTGTAGTTAGAAGGTAATGCAGGGTGGATACTTGGGCACCATGTGAATATCCTGTGCCCAGACAACCTTGCCTTCATGGTTTTAGAGTAATGCCCTCGTTCCCAATGCAGGTGGTTGCCTTAAGTTTGGTCATGCTTGTTCTTAGACCTATAAATACAAAAAAGACTTCACCATTAAAATATAAATTATTTAGGGGCTAGTATTACTCAATTAACAGCAAATGAGAGAATGAGTAAAATCAAAGTATATGTATGGAGCACTGAACTTCTCTTCTATTGGCATGGATGGCTGGGAACCAACCTAAGTAAAAAGGCTGGTTGACACCTTTAAAATTAAAACCCTATTCAAATCCTGCTTGTCACTCTTACTGTTTGCAAACGTGCGTGTGTTTTGCAGAGCTGTAAATGAAGAATAACTAAATTCTTACCTCTGATTTTTTTTTTAAACAGGTGTTCACAAAAGAAGCCAACACCAGGGACCTGATGATATTTACCTTGATGACTTAAAGGGTCTAGAACCTGAAGTTGCAGCTCTTTATTTCCCTAAAAGGTAGAGTGGTCCTTATTTATTGAAGGACAGCTCTGAAATAGTCTAGTTATTTCTAGAGTAAAACATTTCATCTCAGGAAAAAGGAACAAGATGATGGTGTCCTTTAGCTAAATCTGATGATGGCTTCAGGTTTTGGAAAATTTAGAAATAGCGCGTGTCTTATTTCAATATAGTGACTTGAAATTAATAATTACTTACGAAGACATTTTCAATACAATGAGGAGAGATATACTAGTTAAACCTACATAAGGGTATATGACTTCTGATTAGCATTTCCTGTAGTGGTTAATACAAACTCAACATGCTTGGGAAAATTTTTTAGCATTTATTTTATTATGTGTTTTAAAAGAAACACATCTTTATTTGAAAATGTTTTCCAAAGAATGTGTTCACTTCTTGGGAGTCTGAGATCCTGAGCCTTTTCTGAACCGGGTCTGGGTCTGGTGGGGCACTGCCCCCGCGCCCCGTGTCCCCACATCCCCTGCAGCTCCACAGCTGCCACCCAGCCTCCCTCACTGTCCCGCACCATTTTCCCTTTGAATTACTTCAAATATGGGCCTCAAATATGATACACTTGGACTGCCTTCCCAAGTTCATTTCTACTCTTAGGGGAATTCTGTTAAACTGCTACTCTGTGGTTAGAAAAAAACAACTTTTCTCCACGGAAAGTATGACTTGAATATACTGAGCCATAGGCACACATAATTAAACACTTGTAAATGAATTACTGAAAAGTATATTTTGTTTTTTATTTGGAATAGAAAGATGGGATTGATATAAAGCTATTTAAATTTTTTACAGGTATTTTGGGAAAGTTCTTAAAACTCCTTTCTAGCTCTGTCCTAAATTTATCTCAACATATCTACTTCATTTGAAGTAATAGTTGGATTTTTTTAAGGTGAAAAAACTGAAACGGCTTTATTTTAACAGTAGGAAAGTTCAAATATAAGCTGTCATAGAATTACCACTTTTCCCCCCACATTTCCCAGGCCTTAATCATTTATTTATATTGGTATTCCTTCGGTATATGTCTTAGTTTCTCTTTTAAAAAGTGAGGAGAGTAACTAAGGTGATGATACCTTACTCCACTCTACTGTAATTTAACTGTTCACAGTCACTGTCCATGCACTAAGTAAGCTTCTTACCTCATTAACTATTTCTTGAAACATTTCATAAATATTTAAAGATAGTGAGTGAGACTCTTGTAATCCATGTAAGCATTAGTCATGTCATGATCCTTAGCATCTTCATTACCAAATTTACAGTATTTGTAATTATCACTAAACTTTAATATAAATCACACACTTTTGTATTTGGTGGCATCCTGAGTCAGACGGCATCCCCATGTGTGTAGATGTTGTTGTTACTGGTTGGGGTAACACTAGCTGCTGTAGAGGTGGAACTCCTGATCTCGTTGGCCTACCACGATGGAATTTTGTTTCTTGCCCCTGTGAAGAATGCTCTGTGTTGGTGTTTAGGGGGAGGCCTTGCCCACAGGGATTCAGGAACACAGGCTCCTTTCACCTTGAGGCTCTCCCATCCCCATAGGGTCTCAGAGTCCAGAGTTTACTGGCAGCAGAGAAAGGAATGAGCATCGCATAGGAGAGGGCCCCTGGGGAGGGGCACCATGTATGCCTTCCGTCCATATTCACGGCTCAGTCATGTGCTCACGTGGCCCCACCTGACTGCAAGGGGGCCTCGCCGTGTGCCCCGGAGAAAGAGGAGACAGGTGTGGTGAACACAGAAGGGTTGGCCTTGCCCCTCACTCCCAGTATAACAACAGTTCTGCTGACTTTGTGTTTCCAGTGAGAACATTCTGTCAGTCCAGTTAATCTCAATTTTGTGGGTATGAGTGTGCATGGCTATTAAGAGGAAAAAATATCCAAAAACCTGAATTTTTTTGTTGATTCAAATGGGAAACAGGTTTTGAAACTGTTACCTAGTTAAAACATAATCTGTAGTCTGCTGCCACCTACTGCTCAAAGATGAGATTTGTTTGAAAGAGCCAGTAAACCTCTGGGTCACTGTTTTTTTAATTCACATAAAAATACTGGCTTTTTGAATAAAATAAGTGAATTTGAAAATTCTCAATATCTCAAATGTGACATTAAATACCTATTCAAAGGGTATAGAGTAGTAAGCATTGGGGACTGTGAGACTTAAGGTGCTGTGCCATTCATGATTATTCTTTCTCAAATTTACACTTCATTGCATAAGGTTTCCCTTGATCACCTTCTGAAACCTGGCTTCTGTGCCTTATCTTGAAAAATGAAAATATTCAGTAACCTCATCTTTAGCTCCTGGAATAACAGTTACATCCAGTTTATTTCTGAATACATTTCTTTTTCTAGGTGGGTCTTGCCTCTAGAGAATTTGCTCGTTTAATTTCTCCTTCCTTCTTTGTGAGGTAATAGGCGAACTTAGAAAAGATTTGGTTTTAAAGAATATAGCCTTGGACTACAGTAATTTTCTACAGGATGTATAAAGTGCCACAGCTTTTTCTAGGACGTTAGGATCAAAGGTTTCCAAACAGCAGATTTTCTTAATTACCCTGTCATTTTCATCATGGAAATGTAAATAAATACTTATAACTATTTTACTCCTTTAATTAAAAATCAGAAAGGCCACAGTTGAAATGTTTGCATTATTGTGAATGACCGTGGTGATTTTGTGACGTATTTACTATATTCACAGTTAATTTCTCACTGGTACTATATTAGGTTATCTTTCATGTCATTTATGATATGATTCTAAACCCTATCTAAGAAAAGTTATGCCTGATTGTAGGTCCATCCGTTCTTTTTAGCGGATGTGTTATTTGGTTTGAGCCCCCAGAGAACCATGCAGTAAACTAGGAATTCAAGGAGTTGTAATAAAGCACATCTTTTCCCCATCCCCTGTCCACAGTGAATCGGAGCCCGGTTCCAGGCAGTGGCCCGAGTCTGACACACTCTCTGGCTCCCAGTCCCCACAGTCCGTGGGAAGCGCAGCTGCAGATAGCGGCACCGAGTGCCTCTCAGATTCTGCCATGGACTTGCCTGACGTTACCCTCTCCCTTTGCGGGGGCCTCAGTGAAAATGGAGAAATTTCAAAAGGTACGTTGGGTGTTTGTGCCCCATCTTCATTTCAGAGAGCAATCTGGTCATCACTTGGTTAAAACTTACCGTGTAGCCATTTCAGGATATTTACATTCTTTAGGGATCTTGTGCAGGTAACAGGTATGTTCTGTAATGTCAGACCCTTATACCCTCACTTAAGGTCTTAATTGACACCTCTTTATGGAGTGGCTTTGAGGTAGTGTGCCCTTAAAGGCTCTAATTTCAAATTAAGAGGTTGGGAGTTATCAGGCCGCCCTGTTTTCTGAGCTGCCAGGGTGCGATCATCACACTGCACCAGTTTTCTCATCTGTAAAGTTACAGAAACATTTGTGGAACTGGGGCCCAGCTGCCCTTCTGGAAAGCACTGGGCCTTAGACATGAATATAGGGCCCTGAAGTTGTAGAAAATTGATTGTCCACTGAGTACGTGGTCTTTCTGGCAAAAATTAGGAGGATTACTTTCTGTATAAGGCTGGAGGGTTGGCCTACGAGAGTAAAGCTTGCTCAGGAATCAGGAGGGAGTTTAGCAGACATGTCAGGATGCCTATAGGCTGGGCTGAGTGCCATGTGCATCCGTCCTCAATTCATCAGCATTTTTTTTTAACCTTCCTTTTAAAACTGAACTCTTAGTATTTCTCAGTTTGGCCTGTGGCCCCTGTATGATTTTCTTCTAAGGGAAAATTTTCTTTCCGTGACTAGTGTCATCTTTTGTCTTCCCTCTCCCTTAGAGGAACTGAAGGTGTGATGTGGCAGACTGCATGGCCAGAGGCTCAGGACCATGTGTTCCTGAAGTCTTTCCTTTCCAGGGTCACAGGAAGCTCATTATGCCTCTTCCCTGTCTCTTCATTGTTTGTTTGCTTTATATTTTGCAAGAAATTTAAAGTGTGTTATGGCCAATGGTTCATTCTAGGGACTAAGTTAAATAGGTCACATTCTTTCTGTAATCCTCTTAAATGTTCAGTTTAAAAAATTATATGCGAGGGAATGCGAAATACAAAATGTAGGTAAAATATAAAAGTTACACCTTTGTTTTAAATATTGGTGACTTAGTCTAGTAGAGTTTATTGGAAGAGGCAGAAATGACAAGTAAATGTAAGTAATACACACATTACCTGGAGAAACAATCCAAGTGAGCAGTTTCTCTGTTAGCCTAGATCTAGGAGAATACAGGTTTAGGAACAGGGTACAAAAATTCATGGGAAGCCCTCATTCACTCTGCAAGAACTTGGGATTTATTTCACAGACCTTGAGCCAAATTCTAGGTTTTTTTGTTTTGCCTTGTTTTGTTTTTTTAATTCTCCAAGCAATTGTAACATGTAATTTTTGTTGTTGTTTTTATTATTTAAGACAGAGCCTTGCTCTGTCACCCAGGCTGGAGTGCAGTGGCACCATCTCAGCTCACTGCAACCTCCATCTCCTGGGTTCAAGTGATTGTCACGCCTGCCTCAGCCTCCCAAGTAGCTGGAATTACAGGTTGGCACCACCATACCCGCCTTATTTTTGTATTTTTAGTAGAGATGGGTTTTCACCGTATTGGCCAGGCTAGTCCCTAACTCCTGACCTCAAGTGATCGGCCCACATCGGCCTCCCAGAGTGTTGGAATTATAGGTGTGAGCCACTGTGCCTGGCCCAAACAATTTTAAGATATGTTTTGATATAATGTAGCTTGCTAAAGCTGTAAGACCCCTATGAATATTCCCCAGTTATGCCGTTGCCTGTCAGTAAAGTTTCTTCCTCTGAGAATAGAACTTCGACAGTTTTCGTGTGTGTGTGTCTGTCTGTCTTTCTGTGTCTGTCTTCCGTCCCTCTCTAGCCACATCTGTATGTATTTTTTTTGAAAGTCTCTGTCATGTCCCTTTTTACTAGTTTGTTTGTTTTCACTGGGAGACAGTGGAAAAGGAGAATAGAAAAGAAGTGTTCTTTCTTGTCCTGGGGAAAAAAAGCGTCTGACATTTTGCTTTTGATGAATATTCAAAAATTAGTTTTTTTAGACAGATGATTTTAGCCTTCAATTTCTGCAATGCAGAGAGTATTATAATCTCATATAGGGATTTATGTAATCTCTAACCAAATTGATTATTATTTTACATTGCAGAAAAATTCATGGAGCATATCATTACTTATCACGAATTTGCAGAAAACCCTGGACTTATAGACAATCCTAACCTTGTAATAAGGATATATAATCGGTAAATACTCCTGCTTTTATAATTGTTAAATACTCTTGCAGTTTTTTTACAAGTGCCATTTTTAACTGTTACTTATAAAAGTGTTCCTTCTTATAAAACTTGTCATCTCATATAAATTAGCCAGTGGGCAATGACTTTGAAGTGAAAGTAAAGCTTCAATTTTATTTTTAAAAGAAGCATTGAAATGTTACTCTGTTTGATAGATTTTACGGCTTCTCTGTTCAGAGAAGTTGTGCTTGAAGCGAAGGTTATTCATGTGACAAAAAATTCAGCTGATCATCTTTATTGAAAAGAATAAGCAATTTTATATGTCACTTCCCTCCTCCCTCCCTCCCTGATTCCCTCCCCTCTCTCTTGCTCACTTTCACTGTGTAATGGTTTTGCACAATTTTTGTTTCTCACAGTTACTATAACTGGGCTTTGGCAGCTCCCATGATCCTTAGCTTGCAAGTATTCCAGAAGAGCTTGCCTAAGGTGAGGCGATCCACCATCTGCTGCCTTTCCGAAAGCATCCGCAGTGTCTAGTACTTACACAAATCCATATGTGCATATTTCTGAACTGGGTACTATTCAAAGTTTTACTTGAGCTTAATATTTAATATAAAAGATCAAAGTCATATGTACCCACTAAAAATATCTCATGCCCAAACTCTGGGAAATTAGCAGGGCTGCCACTTCTTTATTTCATTTTTATTAGACATAAATACTAGTTTCTGATGGTCTGTAAAAGTTGAGAGATTTTACTAATCATAAGTTAAATATGGAATGAATGAAAAAAACTTTTTCTCCCATTAATATGGGAAGAAGCAGCAAGAAGAAGGTGATGTAGCCAAGAGAAGCTTGACATCAGTGTGGTTAGGGCAGATGGTGGCTAACATACCTGTTATATACAAACTCACAATTGGTTTTTAATCTGTCCCCCAAGAAGACATCATCAGCCTAGTTGGTCCTCTTAACTCATGAGAACCACATTTTCCAAAGATAGATAAATGAGATTTGCCCACCTGTCAGCCCCTAAGGTCCTACATAGCAGACCGCCTGGTCTCATGCCACAGAGCTGTGCTGCCATGAAAGCAGGACGGGGTCTGTCTCTCAGAGGTGTTAAAAACGCTAGAGGAATCTGGGAGGTGTGAAGAGAGCATCGGTCACGTTCTCACATTCCATAGTAAGGCCCCGTCCTTCAGGCTAGCATAGAAGGTAGGTGCTGTGTGGCCAGTAGATTGCCCAGACTAACCCAGGTTGGTTGTTTTCAGGCCACAGTTGAGTCCTGGGTGAAAGACAAGATGCCAAAGAAATCTGGTCGCTGGTGGTTTTGGCGAAAGAGAGAAAGCATGACCAAACAGGTAACAGACCTAGAGGTCATTGTTTCCGTGGGCTGAAAGAAATGAATCTTTCATTTATTCAAAAAACCTTTTTGTCAGGCACAGGAATTTGGACTGTATAGGGCTATTTTACCATATAGCAGTTTCCATTTTTGAGCACTTAGGACGTGCAGGTGTTGTCCCAAGTGGTCCTTTACTGTAGCTCAGCACTAGAGATGTTCGAGTTGCCATTTCACAGGTAAGGAAACTTGGGTGCTTCACGAAGTCACATAACTGGTGAGAGACGGAGCTGGGGCAAGACCTTGAGTCTGACTCCAGAGCCTGTGCTCTTTCTGCTTCACTGTATTACCTATCAGATAGGAGCAGAAGGTTATCGTCTGCCTGCATAGTTCCAGATGCAAATAACCAGAATCTGTTCCACCAGGTCTCCATAGAAATTCATCCAGAGAACCATACTAAACAAGCAGCAGAGCAAGTCTTTTTTTCCCCAACACCTTCTGAAAAAGAGGGTTCAGGGAGTTCTCACCTGTTTTTCAAATGTCAGAAGGGAAGTCTTGCCTGAACCAAGTTCATGTCCACGTCAGCAAGGGGGCTGCCTTTCAGTCCCTTCTGCACGTGGTGAGTTACTCCCAGGAGGAGAAGGAAGCTGGGGACCTAACAAGTTTGGGTCGCTTGTATTATGTTTTGTGACTTGAAATGGTGCTCTTAAAATGTTTTCCTTCTGGGTCTGTAGGGACAGTGATTTGCATAGAAGCACATGACTTCTGTCTTAGGTTTCTAATTCTTTGGCTCAGAATAGAGAAAGTCTGGTTTTTGAGCATTTTTAAGTTGTGGGTTCAGAAGGCAGTTGTGTTCTTTCCTAGAGAGGGCTGCTGATGAACTTGGCTTATCTGTAGGGAAAAAATTGCATGTTGCCATTATCATCTTGCTGTTACAGCTGCCAGAATCCAAGGAGGGAAAATCTGAGGCACCGCCAGCCAGTGACCTGCCATCCAGCTCCAAGGAGCCGGCCGGTGCCAGGTGGGTGCCCTGTCCTCTGCCCGGCTCATAGCACTCAGGCCCTCTAGCAGGGCCATTACTTCTAAGTTGATTTTGGCAGCTTGTTTAGTTCTTGGGAGTATCTTCTGCAGATACTACATGCTGTGATATATTTGTGCCACTCAGCAGATGACAACTGCTTTTCTAAAAAACATCACCAGCTTAGAAAAATAAATACCCTGCCTCCTTGTGGAGCCGTGGCGCCAGCGTATGGGAAGGGGCCGTGAGGAACGCTTCAGCCATGTTGGCCCAGGTGCCTCTGCTCCCCCTGCATCCCATCCGGAGCCAAAGGGAGACATACAAAATAATCTCCAGGTTGGCTTGGGTGGGTTTCCTTTCCTGGAAGAAACAGCATTCTTTGGACAGTTAGGGTGAGCAGCCCTGAGAGGAGTTGCTCGCGATACGCCGTGTTCCTGCTTCTGCCTGTCCACCTCCCCCGGCCAGTGCATGCTTGCTTCTCCCAGCCCTTGGCTGTCTCATTTAGTGTCTAAGGCTGAGGGTTTATTTTCTTGCCCCTTACCGCCCCCCATCCTATATCTTTTAAGGGGTGTCTAAAATTTTTCTTACTAGTTTTTGTTTTTTTCTAGAGTCTCACTGTGTCACTCAGGCTGGGGTGCAATGGCATAATCATAGCTCCTCGGCTCATACAATCCTGCCTCGGCCTCCTAAGTAGCTGGGACTACAGGTGTGGGACACCATGCCTGGCTAATTTTTAAATTTGTATTTTGTAGAGACAGGGTCTTGCTGTGTTGCCCAGGCTGGTCTCAAACTCCTGGGCTCAAGCAGTCCTCCTGCCTCAGCCTCCCAAGTAGTTAGGACCACAGACAAGTGTCACTACCCCTGGCTAATTTTTAAATGTTCCGTAGAAACTGGGTCTCCCTATGTTGCCCAGGCTGGTCTCAAACTCCTGGGCTCAAGGTGTCCTCCTAACTCGGCCTCCCAAAGTGTTGGGATTACAGGTGTGAGGCACCGCACCCAGCCGGAGTTTGTTAAATCATTGTAAGCGATTATGTTTTCTTTGATTTGTGCCTTGTGAAACATACATACCCTCTTCAACAAGAGTCAGTAGACCTTCTAGCATTCACTGGGCATAGCAGAAAATAGCAGGTCATAGTCAGAAAGTAAGTGCTTGCCAGTTATGAAAGTGGCCTTATCAGTTAACAATATGAATATTTCAGGCGTACAGAGCTGTGGATATGGGAGAATGGCAGAAGGGATAACTCTACCCATTCCTAGAAAAGATTTAGGATATCTTTATTTTCTTGATCCTAAATGAAAAGCTCTCATCAATAAAATGCCCTGCTGCCTCTTCCGTAACTGGGCTAATGTTGAACAGGCCGGCCGAGAATGACTCCTCGAGTGACGAGGGATCACAGGAGCTCGAAGAATCCATCACAGTGGACCCCATCCCCACAGAGCCCCTGAGCCACGGCAGCACAACTTCATATAAGAAGTCTCTCCGCCTCTCCTCAGACCAGATCGTGAGTCTTGCATGATCTGTGTTGTCCAGTAGGACTTATTTTAGTAATGGTTTAATTTGATGCACATCCTCTTCTGTCCACACGTCCCCAGCTGCATACACGCCACACGGCATGGTCGTGTCAATGCCTATCCACAGTGGAACCACGACCGCCGCCCCCAAGAGCTATCAGGCCCACCTGGGGAACCTGTGGCTTGGGTCCTGCCACCCACCCCAGACCTCCTTCCTCCATCTCTTGAGAGTCAGTCGTACACAGCTAACCCAGCGCTGAGCCAGGTACTGTCTCTTAGGAGCCACAGCAATAGAGAAATGACATTTTAGACACAATTTCTCCTCTTATTTTACACCCTGCCTTTGACCCATTTTCGGTATGAAAAGGTCTTGCTGGGACCAGAGCAGGCTGTGGCTAAAGCAGTAATTCTCAGGTGTGGAGTAAGAGTAGTAGACCTTTTGCTTTGTGGGTGTTCAGAGAAGTCCCTGGAACCCCAAAATACTGTTCAGGCAGTGGCTCCCTCAGCATTGTCAGCTGCGCTGGGCACAGGGTGGGCTGTGTCTAAGACCCCGGAAACCATCCTGCCTCTTGTTGGGATTCCGAGACACCAGTTGTTCTGTAAATTTTTAAATCGTTTCAAACTATGTTTTCAGCTGATTTTCTTTATTCTTATGCTTTTTTAAAAGGCAAAACTGAAGCTCCACGATGGCCCAAATGATGTTGTGTTTAGTATTACAACCCAGTATCAAGGCACCTGTCGCTGTGCAGGGACCATTTACCTGTGGAACTGGAATGACAAGATCATCATTTCTGATATTGATGGGACAATAACCAAGTAAGCTCAATCCTTCAGGTGGGTGGCAAGGAACAGCCCCGTGCTCAGGGAGGGGCAGGCAGTGTGTGGTGGGGAGTTCCTCACCTGGGGCTCGAAGCCCTCAGCCAAGGCATTTTATAAGCCATATGCTCTGAGGCGTCCCCAGTACAGTCCACATGGGGTCATTTTTTTGCATGGAGGAGATGGTGAGGGTGCATAACAAATGTCAAAAATCACTTTTGGAAAGATTAGTTATTTGGTTTCAATTCTGATATGAAAACAAGCCCCTTGACATTGGGGCGGAGGAAAAGAGAAAGTGTGGCAGTCAGTTACCTCCGAACACACACATCTGGCGCTCGTGAGACTCCGCTTTCAGAAGCACCTCAGTGGGTGCGTTTGCATGGGATGGCCTTGCAGTTGCTTGAAGCTGTGATTAAATCCCCTTTCAAGAGTGTCCCGCCACCAATTAGTTATTGGCAGCTGATAGTCAACCAAATAGGAAAACGCTGTATGTGTTTGATTCCTGATAGCTTTTCCTGTTTCTACCGTCTTCTTAGGTCGGATGCTTTGGGACAGATTCTCCCACAGCTGGGCAAAGACTGGACCCACCAGGGTATAGCAAAGCTCTACCATTCCATCAATGAGTAGGTACCCTCCCCACGTTAACTCGCTCTGGTGAGCTGGAAGCTTGCTTTAAGAACTATAGAACAATGGTGTAAGTCTTCAGTCCACATGAGTCATGTGTTTATGCTGAAGCATTCCCGCTCTTCCTCACTCCTTTCCTGTTGATGGTGTGGGAGCCGTGTGCACCTGGCATTGGCATCGAACCTGTGTCATCTCAGTTAATCCTCACAGTGCTGTGTTTCAGGCACTACCTACATCTATAACTAGAATGACAGTTATTTTTTTAGCTAGAATTTAATAAGATAGCTGATTTTCATTTTTGGTTTATTTTCTGGGTATTTTAAATTTTTTTTTTTTTTTTTTTTTTTTTTTTTGAGATGGAGTTTTGCTCTTGTCGCCCAGGCTGAAGTGCAATGGCGCGACCTTGGCTCACTGCAGTCTCCGCCTCCCGGGTTCAAGTGATTCTTCTGCCTCAGTCTCCCGAGTAGCTGGGATTACCGGCACATGCCACCATGCCCAGCTAATTTTGTATTTTTAGTACAGATGGGGTTTCATCATGTTGGTCAGGCTGGTCTTGAACTCCGAACCTCAGGTGATCTCCCCGCCTCGGCCTCCCAAAGTGCTGGGATTACAGGCATGAGCTATTGCGCCCAGCCTTAAAATTGTATTTCTTTGAGTAGATAGTGCACGCATGCATGAGGGAAATAGTTCTTGCATGGGCTGCTCTCTCTTGGGGCACCCTTTGAGGGGAAGATAGCCGTGCCATGGCGTTTGTGGGTTCCTAATACATATATTACATTGATCTGAAGAATCTCAGTGTCTTCAGCATTAGTTGAGAATACCATAATATGAAAATTACGAATATGTCAGTTACCTGGGTATAATTTTGCTTCTTGTCTGATGGAGTGGTTTGCATCTTGCACATTGCCTTTATAAATAATATCCCCTATATTTTTTCTTCACAGTGGGTAATTTAAAGATAGTCCAAGGTTTTTTCTGTCCTCTAATCTGGCTTTCATGGACTAGATGCTGAACATTTTATATCAGTACTTACAAACTTAACATAATCCTTAGTTGCCTGTACCTCCATTTTTTTCCCACGTTTTCCATGGAAGGTGAAACCTCTATAATCCTAAGCAGTTTCCTGCTAAATTTGAGAATTTGGTTTTCACAGTAAATGAGAGGAAGTTTATTTGGATCTTTTAAAAGAAAAGTATGGGTTGAGCATGGTGGCTCACACCTGTAATCCCAGCACTTTGGGAGGCTGAGGTGGGCAGGTTGCCTGAGGTTAGGAGCTTAAGACCAATCTAGCCAACATGGTGAAACCCTGTCTCTACTAAAAAATATAAAAATTAAGCCGGGCATGGTGTCCCATGCCTGTAATCCTAGCTACTTGGGAGGCTGAGGCAGGAGAATTGCTTGAATCCAGGAGGTGGAGGTTGCAGTGAGCCGAGATGGCGCCACAGCACTCCAGCCTGGGTAACAGAGTGAGACTCAAAAAAAAAAGAAAGAAAAGTGTGGGGTTTTTTTTTTGTTTTTTGTTTTCTTTTCCCTTAGCCAGAACATGTGGGCTAACAGGGTGTGTTTTCTTTCAGGAATGGCTACAAGTTTCTGTACTGCTCGGCTCGTGCCATCGGCATGGCCGACATGACCCGTGGCTACCTGCACTGGGTCAATGACAAGGGCACAATCTTGCCCCGGGGCCCCCTGATGCTGTCCCCCAGCAGCTTGTTCTCCGCCTTCCACAGGTACCTCTCCGGCAGGCAGCCCTCTGCCCACCGCCCCAGCATGTGGGCGGGGCTGGGCCCAAGGTGGGGGGATGTGTGGGAACAGAAGTCAGATGTTGGAGCCGCCACGCCTCTCCCAGTTCTTTGGTCCCTGGTGGTGTCCTACCACATACTGCTCACTTGCCATGTGGCGGGCCTGGTGAAGAAAGGCAGGTTCTAGGAACCGTCAAGTTTTCTCCTTCCCTAAACTTCATCACTCAAATTTTCTTAGTTATCAGACTGGCAAAGAAGGAGAAGGAAAGATTCCAGTTACAAAGGGTTGAAGAAATTGGGTGGTTGTGAGCACTAAAATTTTAGGACCACTCACTGGGGAAAACGACCATTTTGAGATTGGTGATTGTATTTGTATTTTTTTCTTAGAGAAGTGATAGAAAAGAAACCAGAGAAGTTCAAAATTGAGTGTCTAAATGATATCAAGAATCTGTTTGCCCCGTCTAAGCAGCCCTTCTATGCTGCCTTTGGAAACCGTCCAAATGTGAGTATCTCCTGGGCTCTGGGTTCTGATGTGGGTGAAATTCAGAGGGATGTACTTCGTGGGGTGTAGCCACGTCCCAATTCTCAAAGCAGTTTTGTAAGCAAAATGAGGCATCTGTTCTGCTTGTTCGGTTTTCACTTGATCTATTCCAAATATCTATAGCAACTGGGGAGGTCCTGCAGGTGCAGATCTGCCCCAGAATTTATACGAAGGACGCTTTTCCATCGTTTCTGTGGCTGCCATTCCATTTCCTCAGGCAGCTCCGGCTCCTCTTCTAAGCAGTTCTGAGCTGCGTCCTTGGATCACCCCAGAGCCAGGGTCAGTGCTGGCCCTTCGCTAGCACTTCCCAACCTGCCTCCCTTCTGCAGGGCCATCGGGCCTCAGGTGTGCAGAAGATGTGGCCTCTCTGGCCTCTTCTGCGCCAGGGACCCTGGCTTCCCCTTGGTGGCTGCCCAAGTTTTCTGACTCTCCAAGCACCACTCTGTAGTTTAGGTTTGTCTAAAGCTCAGTTTTGGTGGCAACTGCACTGTGCCGCCTCCGCATGTTTTCTGTCGAGTCTGTCTGTGCAGTGCTTCTGGCTCACAAGGAGCCTGAGAAGTATCTCCTGAATTCTCCTCCCTGGAATCACCCGCTTGCTATTTTCTTCTGCAGGATGTCTATGCCTACACACAAGTTGGAGTTCCAGACTGTAGAATATTCACCGTGAACCCCAAGGGTGAATTAATACAAGAAAGAACCAAAGGAAACAAGTCATCGTAAGTACATTCTCAGCTCTCAGCCCGGCGCCCTGCAGCCAGGGGTACAGTTGGGGACAGACAGACCCTGTCCTTTTCCCCCTGATCCTTGAGATCAGGCCCTGATCAAAGGATCAGCTACATCTCCTCTGTGGGTATCTCTCTTTCACAATATCTGTTTGAGGGGTCTCTGGTTATCCTAGACTTGTAAGAGGGAGTTTGAGCCCTGTGATGGGACTGAGGCCTGCCTCTGAACCTGCCCACCTGAGCAATCTGAGTGACAGCTTCACAGCCCCCCATCTTGTGCCTTTGACCGATCTTGAAGTAATAGCCTGTGCCTCTTCCCCAACCTTTCTCTTAGGTATCACAGGCTGAGTGAGCTCGTGGAGCATGTGTTCCCCCTTCTCAGTAAGGAGCAGAATTCCGCTTTTCCCTGCCCGGAGTTCAGCTCCTTCTGCTACTGGCGAGACCCGATCCCTGAAGTGGACCTGGATGACCTGTCTTGAGGCGGCACCTCAGTGGGTGGGCAGGGCTTGGTCCCCCTCCCCACAGCAAGGGAAGGCAGCTGGCTCTTCTGCTGACCTCAGATACCAGCCTTCCCCAGCGGGGACGGGTGCTTCTGGAGCTGGTCCCGCCATCCTCCTTTGCCTTCCCAGGCCAGCTGCTCAGGCTCGGCAGGTCTGCAGCTCAGCTCCTGGAAGGAGAAGGGAGGAACTGGGCCTGGGGCTGGAGGCCTGGGATCCCTCCTTTGTGGGTCGCACACATGTTTCCTGCTGTGAGCTGGGGCCTCCTTCCATTGCATCATTTTAAAGGAAGAAAAAAGCAGCTAAAAAAGAGTGGACCAAAACACTGCACACAGTGAAGTGTTCCAGTTTCCACTGGGCAGTTGAGGTGGCTTCTGTAACCAGGGCTGTCTTCAGATGTCAGGGTCCCTGAACTGCTGCGGGCCCAGTCAGTGATGCTGGCTGAAGCTGCCTGTGCACGTTTCTTCTCTGGTCGCCTCATTTCCTGCTACACTGAAGGGGTCAGCTGCTCCAGTGGGCCAAGTTGGGCAGGACCCCCGCCCCTGCAGGGCCCATGCACCAGAGCCACTGAGCCCAGTCCCATAAACCTGGCCCTCTTTGGGGAAAGATCCCCACAGAGCATCCTCCTCTCATCTGTGACAACTCCACGAGCCCTTAATTTCTTAGTCCTCACCAGAAGAACAGGTCTCACAAGTATATATTTGATGTCTGTAATAAAAGTGGGAAGGTGGGTCTTAAAACAGACCAAACCCCGCCCCGCCCCCAACAACTCTGCTTTTAGGGAGGCCTCCGAAATGCAGATAGGCGGTTGAGTGGGGTCCTGGGAAGAGCGCTGAATCCCTCTGCTTGCTGCCTGGTGTGGGCCTTTGGAAAGCATCTTGCCTTGGGACAGGATTTCTAAAATTCTGTGATTCAGATTTGTCAGGGAAGCACAGTGAAGCTTGCTTAAAGGCACTGGCCAGCAGTGTGTGACTTTGGCTTTTGGGATCACACCCTGTAATCGGGCCCGTGGAAGCAGCGTCAAAGAGGGGTCTTGGAGCTCCTATGGAGCAGACTGCCCCCCGAGCAGTGTCCCCAGCCTAGCCCTGTGAGACCCCATGGGGACACGGGTGCCTATGTATTTTCACTAAAATATACATGGTAGCTCCATTTACTGATGCGGTTGTAATGAGCTCACATCGTGTCTGAAGAGATGGCACCAGGGAAAGGTGTGCCATAAGCTGCTCCAGAGCTTTTGGTATGCTGAGTGTTGACAGAGCTGCACTCTTAACATCAAGAGAACTGTCAGGAGCCCAGAACCAACCCCAGGTCTTGGTCTCCATTGGCGAGAACACAGGACGTGGTGGTTCCTGAGCAGAGAGGGATCTGCAGATACAGGCTTGGCGCTCGGGGTGGTCTCGTGGCCAACTCTTCATGCCCCTGCCGTTGTAGTGGAACCTCTACATGTTTTAGTTTGCTTCACCTAAAATAATGCTGATCTAGAGATAGAGAAATAGGGGTGGTTATTTTTCCAGATTGGAGAGTTGAAAGTCCCTGACTGATTTCAGCCATTTTCCTAGTGCTTGTCGGATGCAGAGACAATGTTGAAATCCCCTAAACACAGTTCTCAGTGGCAAAACCTAGGAAGGCTCATGTTCCCAGAGAAGGGACCACATGAGCCTTCTCCCATGCAAAGCTTCCCCCAGCTTAAATAGTTGATAAGGACTAATTGTTTAATGAGTTTATTTATCTACAGTAGGTTAGGGATCCTGGGTTCTGTTTATATGAAGTTCTTCCCAGTTTGTGAATTCTAGTACAGCAGCCATGCAGCCACCTTATTTCATAGATGCCATCTGTGTGTCCTCTTGACTACCTTCTATTTAGAGGAAGAATGAGAGCTTTGTGTGTTTAACTGAGCTTATAGTAGGACTTCTTTGCATATGTATGGTACTGAAAAATCTTAATATACATCTTTAATCCTTTTTAGGTTGTCCTTTAAAGAGTTTTTGACTAGTTTCTTTTTCTTGACAGCTCTTCTCTTTGGACACATGGGCCTTCTTAGAGGGTTCAGTCTAGGACCCGGCTCTCCTGGCCCTGTGTTGAGGGTAGCTGGTCCCTCTGTCCCTGTGTCTGCTAGCACTAGACTTTGTTGCTGCAGATTGATCCAGTGGGTACATAGGCTAATTAATGTGAGTCTTTTTCCTTGTTTAAAGGAGTCCCTCTTGCTGAAAGTAGATGATTACTATTGCTGTAGTGTTAGGAAAGTATTAAGTTTGTGCTGAAAATCCATTGCCATTTGGTACAAATGACATTTGTTCTTTCTGTGAAAGAGATGCCCTCGAGTGTGTTTGTACACAAACCCTTAGGATGGTGAGTTGAAGCATCACCCTCGCGCTATCTTCAGTGACGGGTGACGGCTCAGGGAGATGGCAGGCAGATTGGGCTCTAAGTCATTATTCTCTCAGTTACTCCATTGGTGAAATGGCCCTTTCCCTCTTTGCAGTTCAGTCTAAGTCTCGTATTTGCTTTGCTGTCTGTGTGCTGAAGCTCGTCCCGTGTGAGTTGCTGTCTGCCCCTTGTCAGGCTGTGAGGTGCTCGTGTAGACCTGGAGCATGCAGGCTGCCTCCGTTTTTGGGTACTGTGTTGTGTTTTGCTCTGTCTAAAAACATCTGCATAGTTTTCAACTGGAAAAAGAAAAAACTTAAAAATGGGATGTCCTAAAATGAAAGCTGCTCAAAGTCACAGAACAACCGAGGGACAAAGGAGATTGGATGACTGGGAAGCGCTGGCCCGGAACAGCCCCTGCAACTGTGGGGCCTGCACACAGCCCTTCCACAGTTGGCACTGCAGGTGCAGGCCAACCCTTTAAAGAATAAACAAGGAAGTCAGCTCTTTCACTTTTTACAAGTTGGCAAAAACAGACTTCCGGGGAATTTCGATGTTTTCCCGTGTTGTAGAGCTTCCAGGGTTTAATAAAACTGGTTAAAAATTGAGTCTTTCCCTGAAGTAAGTGCTCTTTCCAGATGAAAACTACTCTTTTGGTTTTGTTTGAAAGTAAGAAAGGGAGGGGAAACTTTGCTCTTTTAATAATTATGTTCAGCCTATGATGAAGTATTTGATTATTAGACAGCAATGTCACTAATAAGTTTTAAGTTGTCCAAAGTTAATTGTAAACATCATCAGTACAGTACTCTTAGTTACAGTAAAGCAATTGTTGCAAGATGAATGGCTAATATTTTGGTGCAGTGTTTGATGTTCAAAACAAAATGTTACAACAATAAACGAACATAACATAAACTGAATGCATTTGGCTCTTTTCTTCAGGGGACATTGAAACCATCTTTCTAGATTCTTGCCAGAAATTGGTAATTTCCATAAATTAGCATCTTGATCTTTGCTGACACTTAAATTTGTCTACAGCAGGAGCTCCTTTTTGTTGCTTATTCTTAAAACCTGGCTTCAGAAGTGCAGCTACACCCCCAGGAACTAACCTCTTGCTTTGTACCTTCTGCCAGGAAATGACCCATCCATATGTGACTTCTGCTGTGGTCTCACGGCTGTCCAGGAGGCTGTGTTTACCTCCTCTCCCTAAGCACTTGAATTCCCTGGGAGTCCTGTCCAGAGCCCCTGGACACCCCACCTTTCCTTAAACCCTTCCTTAGGGTGGGTATGATTTAGCAGTCAATCCTGATGTTTTCATCACAGAGTCAGAGTGACCTTTGATCAAAACCACATCGCATATATTACTTACATGGTGATGTTTTGTCCTCTCAGATTGCTGGGCCCTTACCAGATGCAGCATATGCTGAACCCTGCATCCCAAAGGCCCTCCACAGGAGCGTGTGTTCAGGATGGAAATGTTTGTTTGCATGACGTGATGGCAACCATGGGTCTTTGGGAATGCAAAAGAAGAGCTCAGGGAAATTGGTTACAAAGGAAATGGTCTTTACCCAGAGCAGCTTTGAGGGCTTCAGGGGAGCAGTGAACTTTGCATACCTGAGCTCTGAGGACGTGCCTGCGTGTGGCTTCTCTCTGTTTTGCCCCGCACCCATTGGAGTTGGCATGTGTCCTTCCATTTTCTTTCCCGTTTATAGGATGGCATAAGGAAAATACACATTTATCTTTAGAAAGGGGCTGTGGTGTGGATTGGATATGTGCAAAGCTGGGTTTCCAAGCTTACAGGCATGAACGAAGTGACTCCAATCACAAATACTCCCTGTCAAGCTGCAAATACATAAACTGTGAGAAAATTAGTCACCTGGGAAAGCTAGATTAACATGCCAACCAGGAAGTAATTTCAAATGCAGTTTAAGGTTTGCATTTATTGACGATACCATTTTGTTTTTAATCGTGTAAATGAGGCCATTTGTTAGTGTTACATGGAGGTTTGGAGGGGATGTCACAGTCCTTCTCTACTTAAGAAGTGTCCTGACCTTTTCTCAGCAACAACTTGATATCAGAAGTTGTGAACTTGGCTGGGCGTGGTGGCTCATACCTGTAATCCCAGCACTTTGGGAGGCCGAGGTGGGCGGATTGGCTGAGCTCAGGAGTTCGCGACCAGCCTGGGCAACACGGTGAAACCCCATCTCTACTAAAATACAAAAAATTAACCGGGCGTGGCGGCATGCACCTGTAGTCCCCGCTACTCGGGAGGCTGAGGTAGGAGAATTGCTTGAACCCGGGAGGCGGAGGTTGCAGTGAGCTGAGATCGCGCTACTGCACTCCAGCCTGGGCGACAGAGTAGGACTGTCTCCCCCCAAAAAAAAAAAAAAGTTGTGAACTTGTGCCTGATTCTGTCTCAGGGTTTGGTATGCCTCTGACTGACTCGCAGGCACTACTTCAGGGGTGATGACTTCTTGAAGGGCTGCTTCGAACCCCACAGCCTTAAGCTCAGCTGACCTTGTTGTTCTACTACCTGTACAAAAAGACAGCCTTTCCCTTTCTAAAGATGTCTCCTAAGTGGGCCAGGATCCACCTGTCATCCAGCTTTATCTCAAAGTAGAGGCACGCTCCAGCCATAATGAGGCATATTCTGTTTTGCCTGTCTTGAATACACAGAGCTGAGATTCACCATTGTTGGTGAGTAGAGATGCACTGAGAGGAGGACTGGGTTTTACCCGATGTTCCAGACCCATCTACGGAGTAGGGAAAGCAGCAGGTAGTCATCACCCACCTTTTGCCTGGGCCCTGCCCCTGCAGCTCTTGAGCACGTCCCCTTGGGCGCCGAGTGCGGTCTTTTCAAAAGGAGCGTGAGAGGAGAGGAGAGGGCGATGGCGCGTGCCCACTGGGTTTTCCTGAAAACACTGCTGCACTGGGGCGCTTTCCATGAGTCATTCCTAGGACAGCCAAGGATACTCTCTGACAGCTCTCTTTAGCCAGTTCCCCAGCTGTTGTAATGGGGTGAGATGCCATTCTCCCTCCCGCTCCTGGACAAAGAGGTCCACATTTTAAATAGTAAAACGGCAAACCTTTAGTTCTTGCTGGTCTTCCTAGCTGTGGCGGGGGGAGTAAATAAGGAACTCTGAAGTGTCCAGTGGCCACCCTGTAAATTCATTTGCAAACAATTCTTAAAGCATTTTTTTTACAGCATAAGAGCATCTTGTGGGCCAAGGAAACTGCAGCTCTTGATTCTACCGTCCAAACCTTTCCCCAGTGGGACTTGATTAACCAGTAGGTGTTACCAACCTGATCCACAGAGACTACCTTGAACTAAGGGTGCTGAGAGGTCTCCGTGGCCACTGGTGACAGATTGATACTCCCGGGCCTCCCCTCAGTGGAGGCGTCTCGCTGTGTGAAGATGCCGTGTTCTCAGATGGGCTCAGCTGTCAGCGTGTGGCCAGCGTTAGGTTGAGCTTCCTGCTGCTTAGAAACCCAAGAGCTCGGCGAGCTGTGTCTGCTGGAGATTGGTGCAGTGAAGCAGCAGGGATCAAGTTAGCCTGGGCAGCTGCTGTGGGATCTGAGTGCAGCATCCCCAGAGGAGCCGCTCCAGCTGCAGATGACATGGGGCCTTGACCTCCGTGCACATCTGGTCCGTCTTCACAAGCCAGAAACAAAACCCAAGTGTATAGCTTGGATGCGGAGGGGTAACAGTTTTGTAGCTGAGATTAATTTTACTCAAGGTTACTTTCTGTAGCCCTTTTTGAAACAAAACATTTCTTCAGTTTGCTTTTTAGCAACAACTCCCGATCTGTAAGGGACCACACTTAAATTAACAAAAGTTAACTGGAAATGGCTTTCCATCTTTATTGACACTCCCTGTCTTTGCACTTAAATTGTACATGCCATTTAAGGAGCCCAACAAGCTTTGGGAACAGTCTCTAACGCATCCCTATTTGCAGCTGGGCGAAGGCCCGCCTGAGCAGGTTAAGTCCCAGGCGGCAATGGTGAGCCAAGCGTGGAACAGCCCAAACTAAAGTCGGGGTCTCTGTGCGGCGGCACGGGCCACTTCGGCACTTCAGTGTTTAAACTTCTGCATGCAGTGTAAAGACAGACAGCTGGCCACAGTGCTGCCCTGCAGTAAAGACCAGCCACCGTGACCGGCTCTCCCCTGCCTCCCTCCTCCCAGCCCACAGTCAGACGGAGCCTCTGTGGCAAGCTCAGGCCCAGTCCAGGGCCCTCAGAGTGTAGATACAGGTGGAGGCCTTTCCAAGTCTTCCAGTTGTCCAGTTAGAGTGGCAGAAAAGTCAGTGGCCATGTTCACCGTGTGCCTCACTCCCTGCAGCCTGGCTGGATGCAGTAAGGCATGGTGGCCTCAACAGCGAGGGAAGGCCTTTATGTTGGGGCCTATGTGGAAACTCTAGCCCCGTGCTTCCATTACATACAAACCGAATATATTAAAGCTTTAGAGTTTTTACAACTATCTATCTTTCCCCTGACATCTCCCCAGCCACCTTAGAGGTGGGAAAGGAAAGGATATAAGAAAACCCCACTAAATGTGGAGTACATTTCATCAAAGTCTGTGTGAGCCAGCTTGCCCCCAGTCACCACGACGTTGACTGCATCTCCCGCCTTCAGGTGCACGATGAGGTGGAATGCCCCCGGGCCCCCGCAGGTATGCAAAGCTCCTGGAGGGCGGTGGTATTCCAGGAACTCTCTCCTGTACCCAGCGGTATGCAGCTGGGCCACGCTGGCGTTGGAGACCGACAGCACTGCTTCCACGTAGGCGTCTCTCTCGGGGGTGAGGGTGGCCGTGATCAGGTAGCGCCCATCATAA
Organism: Homo sapiens; assembly: GCF_000001405.40. Taxonomy (NCBI): domain Eukaryota; kingdom Metazoa; phylum Chordata; class Mammalia; order Primates; family Hominidae; genus Homo; species Homo sapiens. The sequence continues at coordinate 2,913,082 of NC_000018.10, read as the reverse complement.
GGAGCCGTGAAGACCCCTGCGGGGAGAAAGGCAAACCCTGTGCTCACCTGCTGTCGTCACAGCCCTTGCCATGGTAGTAAGTGGCCCCCCAGTGATTAACCTGGGCCTGGGAGACCAGCCATCTCTGTCTTCCCATGGTAGCTGGCTGCCTGCCTCAGCTGCTTTTTATGCTCATCCCCTACAGCCTACCCGTGATGCAGAGGCCACCTTAGCCCATACCACTTTTTGCCATGGGCCTAAGAATGCCTCTTGGAGGCATTCCTTATTGGAAGCACCTAAAGGCTAAAGTCAGCCTCAAAGCTTGGCTGCTGGGCAGAATACCCGGGAGGCAGGGCCAATAAAAACGAAGCTTGCCACCAACCCAGGGAGAGGCAGACATGGCACCTTGTAACCCCAGGGGCCATGCCAGGCTCCTCGTGGAAGAGGCCCATTCTCCCCATGCTGGGCAATGGCCAGAAGTGAGCACTGATACTCAGCCCATGACCCACACGTTCTGGGCCCAGGGTGGGAAAGGAAGTGGTGGCCAAAGGTGAGGAAGGTGGAAAGATCTGTACATGTCACAATTCGCTAAGCAGAAGCAGCTGTAGGTGGCCCCACAGCTAGGAGAGTCAGTGCCAACACCAAATGCCGGCAGGAATGGCCATCACTCACGGGCTCCGCAGCAGACATCGGACCTTGCCGCTGACAACAAGCCAAGAGTGGACATAAAGCGGAGGGCCCAGGAGCTAAAAAGGGTGGTCCTGGCCATGCGTGGTGGCTCACGCCTGTAATCCCAGCACTTTGGGAGGCCAAGGTGGGCAGATCACCTGAGGTCAGGAGTTTGAGACCAGCCTGGCCAACACGGATAACCCCATCTCTACTAAAAATACAAAAAAAATTAGATGGGCGTGGTGGCGTGCACCTGTAGTCGCAACTACTCAGGAGGCTGAGGCACGAGAATCCCTTAAACCCATGTGGCGGAGGTTGCAGTGAGCAGAGATGACACCACTGCACTCCAGCCTGGGTGACAGAACAAGACTGTCTCAGAAAAAAAAAAAAAAAAAAAAAAAAGTGGTTGTCAGGAGCCCAAGCCTTCAATCTGCTCTGGAAAACAGAAGAGGTCTGGCTACCCAGTCCCCTTCCCAACTTTGAACAGCAAGTAACTGAGGGCTTTCCAGATGCTTCCTAAGGTACCTGGCCCTGAGGCCAGCACCAGCCCTGGCGTTTTGAGTGTGGCCTTCACCTTTGTTCAGAGTCGCCTGTGGTGAAGCCTCACTCAGTTCACCCAGAATTTTCTTTCTGCACCTGCTCCATGCAAGACAAGAGATAGCTCTGGGAATGCGAGACTATAGGTCACAGTCCCTGCCTGCAAGCACCACCCAACCTGTCCAAGCAGACGAACCATCCCTATGGCCAAGGCAGTGCAGAGTGACCTGGGGAGCATGGCCTTGTTACAGTCAGGCAGATGGGAGCAGGGCAGGAGAGCCCCTACCCCAACTAGGAATGTCAGGCAACCATCAGATGATGGTCCTGCAGTTGTTAACTGTCTCTCTAAATTAATGATTGGTTGCAGCCAGCACCACAGAAAGGCAGTCGCCCAATAGTCAGACAAAACCTGAAGCTGATGATCAGCTGCTTCCAGATAAGATCTCCGGAGTTGGGCGATGAAGCTCATGCATGTGCATTAAGAGGCAAAAATGATGTTTCAAATGGTGTTTAACTGGTGTGTGACCTCCTGGGAACACTTGACTGGTACAGGAAGAACACCTCACGTGGGCACATGCACAACTCCAGGAAACACTGCGCACGCCCCCCTCTTAGGCACTGGTAGGCCCCTGTGCATGCGGACGGCCCCCCAAGGGAAGAATCAGGAAAGGGACGCAACCCTGGAAGCATGCCAATGTATAAGACCCCAAGTCACCTGTCAGACCGCACTTGAATCTCTCAAGTCGCCCACTTGGCCGTCTTCCGAGTGTACTTTCCTTCCTGCTCTAAAACTTGCCTCAGTCTCACTCTGCCTCATGCCCCTTGGTCAAATTCTTTCTTCTGAGGAGGCAAGCATTGAGGCCTGTATGGATTCCCCTTCCCTGATGTACTGACCCCAAAGGCCACTGCCACTCTGAGCAGAGGCCTGGAGGTCTGTGGGGCCCAGGAGGAAGCTACATGGCGGTGGAAAGTAAGTGGCGTTCCCTCTCGCCCTGACCTTAGATGCCAAGCTCCAGCTTAATCAGCCTGGGGCACTGAGAATTCATTTCTCTGAGTTCTGCAGGTAACTTAGGCTTGCTAACATAACAGTTAAGAGCCACTGACTAAGGACAGATGGGATTTAGCCAGACAGTGACTAGACAGGGCAAACGTGAGGCTGGGGGTGGCTAAAAACTACCAAGAAGGAAACCAAGTCCCCCTCCCTCCCAGTGGCTTATGGGTGGCAAGGCCTCCCTGAAATCCACTGCCCCACCCCCCTCCAGGAGGCCCTGTTCACAGTGCGTGAGCAGAACAGTGACTGCTGAGGGCAGAGAGAGACGTCAGGAAAGACCCCGGGCTGTGGGGACCTCCCCACACCTGCCTGGGAGCTCTGTCCTGATGGGCCCAGGCACCCCTGGACCCTGTTTCCTTGGAGCTGCCCTCCGTCCGGGCAGAGCAGCCCAGCCCAGGTGGACACTGATGGGACACAGGGAACTCGGAGGTAAACTCCACACCCATGATCCTTGGGACCTCCAGCAACAACCCGGGGCAGGGGGACACGCCAGGCGCTGCAGAAAGACTCAGGCTCCCAGCTGAAGGGATTCTGTTGCAGAGCATGAGGCCCTCTGGGGAGCGCAGTCCCTCTTGTGGCTCTGTTCATCATAAACTAGGAGACCCTGAGGGAGCCTCCCGCTTGTCCTGGCCCAGGTTGTCAGGATGACTGTCGGAGCCTGAGAGAGGGGTGCAATGGTGGCTATCAGAGGTGGCCAGGGCATGGCGGGCTGTGCCGGCACAGCCCTCATAACTGCTGTAAAAAATGAATAGCAACCCCAGTGGTGAATGCTGAGGACTAGCGTGTTGACCTCACGACTAGAAAATGTTACACACCCATGCAGCCTGCAGCCCTCGAGCTGGGACACGTTCTACGTGAAAGCCCACAGAGTCGGGCAGAGGAGTGCAGGCCCACTCGGGCATCTGCTCCAGGGTGGCGTCCTCCCTGAGCCCACGGGACGCTGGGAACCAGCCAGCCATGGTGGGAGGGGTCCCACCTGCGTTGGGGTAGGAGGAGGACACAGTACCAGTTCCGTTCAAACACTCACCGGTGCTGGGGTTGTAAACATCCCCGTCGTTCACCAGCACTTTGTTAAAGAGGACAACGCCCCCATCACTGGGGAAAGGCTTCTGGGTGAGCCCCGCAGAAAAAGACACCAGAGAAGGCACCGGAGCTCCTGGAGCAGAGAAAGGATGGAATGGATTGACCCGGGTGCTTCTGTCCTCCAGGGGGAGGGCCTGGAAAACTGAGGCCTACGTGCCAGGCCCAGGTGCCAGGCCCATTTTATTTCACCCAAAGTGGTGAAGCAAACTCCTCATGCCCAACAGCCAGAGGGTTCCCTGTCTGAGGATCAGCAGGCAGGACAGCTGAGGAATCTGAGAAACCGGACAGACTCTTGTTAGGAGGGTGTGTGTGAGGCTGGGCATGTAAGCATATGAGATGAGCATGTGTATGTGCGTGTGAGTGTGTGCACACACTTGTGAGCACACATATTAGGAGGCCAGGCCAGGCAGTGGGTGCATCATCATCTAGGGAGCTGCTTCCTTACTAATAAATCAGTAAAACCTGGAGCCCCAGGAAGCTCATCAGGACCACACAAGGGCAGAGGCCCACCCAGTGATCCCCTTGGGAAACTCAATGAGCTGGGATGATGGAGGAGGGAAGATTCCTTGTCTTGGGCCTGACTCTGACCCTCTCTGGGGAGCAAACCTTGGGGAATTTGGTCCACTATAGTCAGCAGAGGGCTGTCCCAGTGCTGGTGGGTGGGGAAGGGCTGGGCCCAGGCTTGATTTGTGCTAATAGCCTGGAGGGAGGAGGCAGGAGATGCAGAGGAGGGGCAGAGGCCACCAAGGAGACCGCTCCTCCTGCTCCTGGTCTCTCAGCAGACATACCTGGGGAAGCTACAGGAGGTGACTTCGGGTATCCTGAAAAACAGAAAGGAAATGGCATGTCAAACAAGACCCTAAGCACCAGCTCCTTGTTCTGAGCCCCCTTTTTCCTCTGCTCCTCACAAGTTCAAATCGAGTCTTCACTACTATAGAAACAGACATAGAACAAGGGCACCCACTGTCACTGCCCTCCTTCAAGCAGAGGCACATTTGTACCAGCCCGTCCCTGCTTCCTCACTAGCCCATTTATCCCTGGCGGGGAAGAGGGCACTGAGGGCAAGCTGGCTGCAGGAAAGAAAGAGATGGGCACTGGAGCCTTGGAGACTTCTCTGTGACTGAGAGAGTCACACAAGCCAACTAACATTTGCCCTCTAGCAGTGTTATCTGTTCAAGAGCTCTACCTTCAACTAGACTGAATGCAGTACTTATTAAATGGAGGCATGGATGGGTGGGTGCAGAAGTGGAGGGACAAATAGATGGATGAGTGGATGCACACAGGGAAGAGTGCACGGCTTGATGTGTGGAAGGATGTGCACATGCATAGGTGGGTGGACAGATATGTGCATGGATACATGGGTGGGTGGGTCCCTGGGGTGCCCCAGCCTCTGCATATGAGGATGCATATGTGGGTGGATGGATGTATCGATGGGTGGATACACGGATACATGTGTGGGTGGGTGGCTGGATGGAAGGGTGGATGGAAGGGATACACGGATAGATGCATGGGTGAGTGCTGCATGCACGGAAGGGTGCGTGGATGGACAAATGAGGGAACAAATAGCCCAAGAGAGCCTAAGCATCCATGATACATGGAACTAACAGAAGATAAGTGTTATCTTAGAAAATGCAGGACATCTGCTTAAGAGCTGTGATCACCGCAGCTCAGGTGTCTAAGAAGGAATAGAAAAAAGAAAGCTGGTGAGAGAAAATGTCTCCTTGTCTTCTCAGCAGTGACCCAGCCTTCCAGACAGCCGTGGGCATCAGGGGCCATGGGGGCACCAGGCTATCACCGATGGGGAACAACCCCAGCCCTGCCAGTGTCTGCATGTCCCTGATGGTCAGCCTGGTCTGACTCAGAGGGGACTGACTGGTTTGCATTGTTCTATGCATGTATCTATGGCAGATGACATGACCTGCCCCATTCAGGGTCATCTGTTTATCTGTTATAGCCACAAATCTCAGTTTCCTCATCTGTAAAACAACACTGGCTTCACAGTGCCATTGGGAGGGCTGCAGGAGATCCAGATAGGGTTCAGTCCCTGGCACGTGGTGGGTATCCCACAAATGCTCACTTCCTTCTCCTGTCTCTACTCTGACACCACCCCCACTGTCACCACGACAGTAATGGTGCAGACATTCACAACTCATGGGGAGCACTTCCCAGTGGGGCACTGAACTGGGCTTTTCTCCATCCTCACAGTAAGCCTCTGAGGTCCTGCACTCTCCTCATTTTGTGGTTGAAGGAACTGCAGCTCAGAGAGCTCAGGAAGCTGCCCCAAGTCCCGAAGCCCGTGGTAGACAGCCCTCCTGCCTAGCCACGCTGCTGTGCCACCTGCTTTGCTGCTACCCAAGCTCCCAATACCCTTCTGGCTTCCAAGATCCTTCCTGCTGGGAATCAATGAGCTGCCCGTGTGGCACTCGTACTCCAACCGGCGGGGCCACTCAGTATGTCTAAGTACAGACGACTGCACTGTCCCTGAGGTGCCCCGGCCTCCGTGTGCTGGACTAGCATGAGCGGTCCCTCGGGCCTCGGCATCCTTCCAAAGCTGCATTTCGGAACTTGCCCCCCCGAAGGCTGGACCCCGAACCGCCACGCCCCTCAGCAGACCCCGAGGCTCAGGCGGAAGTTCCGGGAGAGCCCCGCGCTCCTCCCCGCGCAGCCCCGGGCCTCACCTGGTGCGCCCGCGAAGCCTTCTGCGCCGGGGACGGTGCCGCTCCCGGTCTGGCCGTCCACGCCCCGCGGCAGACCCCGCCCAGACACGCCTGCGCCTGCGGGGGGCCCGGCCTGGCCCGTCTCCGCGATGACCCCGGTGGAGCCTGGCGGCTGGGGCGGCCTCTCCTCGGGGGGCCGCTGGGGCAGGACGGGCCGTCGCCCAGGGTCCTCTGCGGTTGCGGGGCCGCTGGGCCTCGGCGGGGCGGGCTCGGGCTGCAGCGGCTCCTTCGGGGCCTCTGCGGGCGGCGGGGGCGAGGGCGCCTCTGCCGGGCGTCGGGGAGAAAGAAACACACGGGATTAGGAAACCTCAGCCCTGACTGCCCCGTCAGGGTCCCCTCCATGAGTCCCGGCGAGCGGGGTCCCCGTGAGGACTCTGCGGCCACCCCTGCGACGTCAGGCCAGCGGGACACACGGGCGTCCGCCCGCATCTTCCGAGGACGCCGCGGGCCACCCGGACGCCGCCGGGGACCCCTGCCCGGGGCCGGGGCGTTTCCAGCCTCTCCGGCGCAGACGGCTGCACTTTCCAAACCGGCCTCACTCTTGGCTCCGGCATCAACAATTCCCGATTTCACAGCACGCGGAAACCGCGGGTGCGTCGCAAGTGACTGAAAGGGACCTGAGGCCACCGACCCCCGCACCGTCTCTGAACCACACTCCTGCCGGGGCCCCACGGCCTCTCCCGCGGGCTGCCGAGGGACCCTGCCGGGGGGCCCCAGGGCTGCGCGGAGGCCGTGAGGAGGGCTCAGGCTCCACGAGGGCCGCGGCCACAGCGCCCACGTCGCCAGCGGAAGGGACTTCCAACGGAGGAAGCTCCTGGCGTGCGTCTCCCGGCCCTCTGGGGAAGGCGCCGGAAGCTGCCGCCCTTTCCTCCTTTGAACTCGTTCCCGGAACGAGCCCTCCAGGAAGCCCCTCCCGACCGTCCACGGGACGCCTGACAATACCCGGGCCTGGCTGAGGGACCCGCTCGCCAAGAAACGCCATCCCCGCCGCCCCCGTCAGCCTGGTGCCCACGATGCCCAGAGTTCCAAAGCGCAACACATTTGATTTTTGTTTAGGACCCGACAAAAATCGGCGGCTGCCTCCCGACCTGCCGTCTAGTTTTGTTTTAAAACTCCCTAAGCGGGCCGGGCGCGGTGGCTCACGCCCGTAATCCCAGCACTTTGGGAGGCCGACGCGGCCGGATCACTTGAGCCCCCAAATTCGAGACCAGCCTGACCAAGATGGCGAAACCTCATCTCTTCCAAATATCCAAAAAAAAAAAACAAAAAAACAAAAATTAGCCCGGGGTAGTGGAGCGCACCTGTAATCCCAGCTACTCGGGAGGCTGAGGCAGGAGAATCACTTGAACCCAGGAGGTGGAGGTTGCAGGGAGCCGAGATCGCCCGCTGCACTCCAGCCTCACTAAGCTGGGGAGAAGGGCAGTGGAGGTGGTTGATGGGTTCAAAAATATAGTTAGACAGAGTTAATAAGATCTAGTATCTGATAGCACAACAGGGTGACTGCAGTCAGCAATTATCTTTTGCACATTTTTAAATAAAAGAGTAGAATTGGAATGTCTGTAAAGAAATGGCACATGCTTTGGGTAATAGATACCCTATTACCCCGATTATTATACACTGCATGCCTGTATCAAAATACCTCATGTACCCCATATATATATATATCTACTCTGTACACATAACAACTAAAAATTAAAAAAATAAAACTAAGATAAATATGGCAGATCAAATACATGCCCCCCCCCCGCCCCACCCACAGAGGCAGGTTGCCAGAACACCCTGAGAGAGGCAGTTTCTCCAACAGCCTTTCCTGACCAATGTTCCATGAGAGAAGCCCAAGAGAAAACAATTTGAGTGATTACTCTCTCAGTTTTCCCTGAGGATGATACAGAGCTAATTCCATTCTAGATACAGAGAAGTTAGTTCACGCCATACAATAGAATGGCATCAGGATTTACATCTCTTTAGAACCCTGGTTGAGAAAGGCTGGGTTAGACAGAGAAACTGAGGCAGAGGGATTGAAAAACATGCAGATACCAGCTACAGTGGAAGATAGGAGTAAGATACCAGTCTAAAAACACTAAGCGAAAGTCTGCTCCCTGAATAAGGAGGCTCACAGTCCCCATCCTCTGCTAAGCTCCCAGCCACTTGCTTATACCTCTAGCTGGATATAGGAGGATTCTTCAAATTGACCCTATGATGCCCACAGTCGTGAAACTCTATCTAGTGTCTCCCCATTAAATGTGAACCAAAGTCAAAATCACCTGACATATGAGGAAAGCCGCCTGTGTGAACGACAGGGACCAAAGCAAGCCACACCAACTAAAGAAAAGGAACTCTAAAGAGACAGACACAGTGCAAGAAAATAAACACATCCTACCCTCAGAGAAGTAGAAGATACTGCATCCAAGATGCAAGAATTGATTGCTATACAAAAGGGATAGTCAGAGAATAAGGGTGAGCCTTTGCTGATTAAAAAGGCACTTGCCAAAACCAGAGATTTCCATGAAAGGGTTGGTAGATAAAAATCAAGGAAATCTTTCAGAAGGTAGAACATGATGACGAAATGATGATCAATAGGAAGGAAATCATAAGAAAATTAAAGGGTCAACCTAGGAAGTCCTTCCAGAAAAAAAGAAATCAGAAAAACTGGTATGTAGGGGTAATGGGATGGTAAGGAGAGAATTATCAAATAAACACACAACTTCCCAGAACTGAAGAAAATGAAAGATGCCAGCACAATTACTGAATAAGAGGAATAAACCAAGCCACATTCAGAACACTGAAGATAAAAAGGAGATATTACAAACTTTCAAGGGAAAAAATATAAAAAGTGACTGCAAATCAGGAAGGCATCACCAGGCTTCTCAACAGTATTGGAAACTAGAAGAGAAGGGAACAATGTCATCAAACAATGCTAGAATGTAATTGTCAACCTTGAAATCTGTACCCAGCAAAAATACCCATCAATTACAAGAGTAGAATAAAGATATTTTTAGACAGGCAATATTTAAAAAATTATAAAATGCCATCTCTCACGCACCCTTTCTTAAAAAGGTATTGGGAAATGTGCACTACTGAAACAAGGGAGTAAACCATGAAAAAGCAACAGAGAGTAAAAGAAAGGGGAGAGAGGCTAAAGACTTTTCTAGGATAGTAGTGAAGGCAGGCTCAGATTGAAAGCCTTATTGCAAAAGTCTAGAAAATAACCAGTCCAGGTTAGATCAGAAAGAGCAAGAATTCCAGGAGGGAGGTCAATTTTTAAAAAAAATGGAACTGACAAATGATCTGATACTTTTTATGATGTAGAAAATTGTATTAAGAGGCTGTTGAAGGGTAGGAAGACTCCAAAATAGATACATAGGATATAAGCAACACTACTACCAATTAAGAGAAAAGTAAAAAGGAAAGCAACACAACCTTAGAGAGCTATTGAGCTCAGCATAGCATAGATGTTGCATATTGACTGTAGGATAACTCTGTTGGGAATTGGGAGGAAGGGGGGGTCAATATACAATGTCTAAAGCTGATAAATCAATTTAGAAATACGGAGGTAAGTACCAAAGAAAAGAAACAGCTGGAAGATTTACATGTGGCTGCCTCTGGGGCGTGGGAAGAAGGATGGGGAAGGGAACAGGGGAGCTGGTTTTCATTATGAGCTTCTTAGTGTTATTTTACTTATTTTTATAAAATATAATTGTAGAAGACACTGACGGCCTGTTTCTGCCCTTTCCCCTCTAATCCAAGCACACTTGAGTTGACTCCTCATCTTTCTTTTCTTTCCTCCTCTCTGGACACCGTCTCCCTGGCTCAGAAGCTGGCCTGCCTCCCAGGGCACACGCCTCTGCCTGAGCCCCAGCCCCACCCTCCCTCCTCTTCTTGGATCAGCTCCATCTGACATCACTCCTCTCTCTTCTCAACCTCTCTTTCCTTCCTCCCCACTAGTTTCTTCCTTTTAGCCCAAGCGTATGTCTCTCTATCTAAAACTCAGGGGAAAACAGAATTTTCCTCTGTCCTTCAACCCTCGATAAGTTAGTCAGCAAAGCATCTTAAAATGGCAAAGCACAGGCCACCCAAACTGGCCCTTATTTTCTCCCCTGTCCTCACCAACCCGTCAAATCACCCTTTTCCTCTGAAATCCGCCCTTGTTCTCCCTCATCCAGGCACAGAGTCCTGTTTCACTCTTCCTTCTCCTTTGGTCTCCCCCTCCTGCTCCTTCACACACAAATTTGTTGCTAAGCCCAGCTGATTCTAATTTGGAAATATTGCTTGGATCCTTCATTCACACCTTTTCCAGAATGCTCTTAGAAAGCATTCTAATCATATTATTTTTTGCTCAAAAATCTTCCATTGTTCTCCACTTCTCGTAAAAATCAAACTGACTCTCTCCGGCCTGACGTTCTGAGTCCCCCGCCTCCTTTGGCTGCCATCAGTATGCTCACTGGTACCCAGCTCTCATGTGACTTCCCTGGCTTCGTGCCTTTACCATGTGCACCCCTGAAATGGCCTCTTCCAGCACCCTCACTGAGACAAACGGCACCCACTCCTGAAGTCGCAGTTCAAAACCACCTCTTCCATGAAGCCTTCTTGGATTGGCCCAGCAGGCTTGAACAGTCCTGCCTCTGCACCAGGAAACAACATGAACCTCTGGGGGCTCTTTCTGTGGTTCAGACCTTTCCTCTCTGGCTGACTGATGAGTACTTGAGCATCTTAATTCTCTGCCATCCCCAGGGCCTAGCACAAGGCCTGGTAACTGACATTGAACAATTTAAGTATTGGGTGAATAAAAGAAGGCTCAACCTATCTATGACAGGCGCTATGGGCCATGCACCCTAATTCCTGCCAGCCATTAAGTTGGGAACCCTAATTTTGCCAAAAATAATTGCCATTCTGGGGTCCTAACAAGGCAGTTCTGATACCTATAGGACAGTGATCATTCTGTCTTTTACTATAATCCATTTTAATATATCCATTACACCCTCAACACCCAGACTTGTTACACTAGTGGAAGGCAGAGGAAAAAGAATGAACTAAGATATTCCTTGAGCCAGATATCCTCAGTGGATCTCCTTGGGGAGTCCGTGCATGAGTGCCGTGGATGGCTGAAGGCTCCAAAGCAGCCCGCCACATCATAGCAGAGACAGTCATGAAAAAGCGACGTCTCACTGGGATGGGTGCCCCCAGCCCTGGCCTCTCCTAGCTCTGGCTTAGTCCACAGCATCACGTGGGGTGCCGAACGCACACATTTATGACCAAGTCCTAACAAAGGCTGGATAGCACTCTGCTCATTCTGGAAAGAGACCTCTCCAGCAGCCGACTGCTTTCTGAACTGAACATGTGTTTCTAATTCAAGAACAGACCATTTGAAATGAATTCTTCATAAGAGCCAAGGTTGCTCCTCATGTGTTTTAACTCCTGAGGAATGATAGGGACAGACCAGCCACACTGCACCAGGCCTGCCTGACACTCCGCACGGGTCGGGTAGGGTCACAGCCTCACCATGGGTGAACCTGACGTGTAGGGATTAAAGGCCATTCCCTCTCCTCGAAAGCTCCTATTAAAAGTCAATTTCAAAACCAAACATCAATTTCAACTTTTATTAAAACAAAGACTTTCCTAAGAAAATCCCCAATAATTCATGGGGCTGATGTGCTAAAAACGAGTGTCTTCCCCCTGAACTAACACCCTCGCTCATTACAGGAGTCAGGGGTTGCCTGCTGTCTCCAGGAAGCCCTGCTTTCTGCAAGAGCCCTGAGCAGCTGGGCTGCAGGAGGAGACCTGGGGAAAGGGTTGGCCCTGTTCTTGGCAACTAAGGGGTGTCTTGTCACAGAGAAGAGGCTGTTGGAGAAAGCCTGGCCTTAGCTGTTAGAGCCTGTGGTTGAGACTCGGCTGTGGGAAAGCCACTGAAACCTTGTCCATGCAACGGGCTCAACCTGCAGTGCCCTCCTGTCATCCAGGCAGAAATTGATGCCAATCAGACCAAGCAATGGATGTGGGTGTGCCCTTTTAATGCCCCGCTATTTGTAAAACACTGTGCAAATGTTAAGTGTAATTCATCAGAAGTCCAGTGAAGGTGAAATCTGATCTCCCTGCCATCCAGAAGGTATACCTGCTGACCAAATGCTGAAACTGGAGAAGTATTTTAAAGATGCTGATCAAGACTTCAGACTTTTTTTTAAAAAAAGCATCAAAGTGCTGACATACAGAATGCTAGGCGGATGGATGGAAGATGCTTTCACAGTTGACTGCTCTGCTGAGTGGCAAAGCTCTAGTTCCTGGGAAATAACCCCATACCATCACGGACTGAAGCATGAGAAATGCTGGACTCATCAGAAAATTCAGAGAAACTGTCGCTTGTGGTGCTAAATGGGCCCGGGGTGAGCTTAGATAAAGGGGCTTTTTCGAAGAAACAGTTGGTCTCCCCTGCGGGACAGGAGGGCAGGCCACCAAGGTGGCTCACAAGTAGGCATGTAAAAGTATCCCTGGGGCTGAGAAGGCAAACATGCATTCCCTGGAATAGTTCTACTCCAAGTCGATGTCCATCTCAACACTGCTTTTGAGCTGGGCACTGTGGCTCATGCCTGCAATCCCAGTACATTAGGAGGCTGCAGTGGGAGGATTGCTTGAGGCCAAGAGTTCAAGACCAGCCTTTCAACATAGCCAGACTCTGTCTCGACAAAAAATTTTAAAAAGTAGCTGGGCATGGTAATGTGTGCTTGTAGTTCTGGCTATTCAGGAGGCTGACGCAGGAGGATAGCATGAGCCCAGGAGTTCAAGGCTGTAGTGAGATATAATCACACCACTGTACTCCAGCCTGGGCAACAGAGCAAGACCCTGTCTCAAAAATAAATGAGTAAATAAATAAATGAATGAATGAATGCTGTTTTTGAATTTGGTTTGAATGAAAAAAAAAACCCTCAAGCTTATAAGAGGGAGCACTGTGTTGGTTGTTAAGGCAGAAGGGACCATATTGACACCAAAATAATAAGAATCCAGACATAAGAATGGTGAAACTCGTGGGATAGGGCTAAATATAGAAAATGCGTCTAAATTTCTGCAAAGTACAAACTCGTGGATGTTGAAATATAAATACAGCTTTAGTCATGTGTGCTAAAATCTGTGGCAATACATTTGAGCTGGAAAGTAATTTGCTATCACAGAACCCCGACAGAGAAGGCACTCACTCAGCTGAGCATCAGCAGCTCTTGGAATTTTTAAATTTTTTTTAGAAATTCACAAGCTGGGCCGCGCGCGGTGGCTCACGCCTGTAATCCCAGCACTTTGGGAGGCTGAGGTGGATGGATCACCTGAGGTCAGGAGTTTGAAACCAGCCTGGCCAACATGGTGAAACCCTGTCTCTACTAAAAATACAAAATTAGTGGGTCGTGGTGGTGGGCGCCTGTAATCCCAGCTATTCGGGTGGCTGAGGCAGGAGAATTGCTTGAACCCAGGAGGCAGAGGTTGCAGTGAGCCGAGATTGTGCCACTGCACTCCAGCCTGGGTGACAGAGCAAGACTCCGCTGAAAAAAAATAAAATAGCAAGAAAGAAATTCACAAGCTGTTTCTAAAATTTATATGGAAGCGCATAGGAGGATCTATACTGCTTGATTTTAAGACTCACTATAAAGCTAAATGAGTAAGCCACCAGGAGAGACCTCAAAAACTGGAACAGAATCGAGTCCGTAAGTGGGCTCACACAAAGCTGACTTCTATTGGTGGCGCAGTGTCAGTCAGTGGTTCATTCTGTGTCCTCCCTCCCCCCCACCTCCTCTTTCTTTTTGGGCACAGCTTACCTGGGGTGGGTAGATCCCTCTGCCTCTGGGGTAGCCTTCAATTTCCAGGACTAGAGCTAGCGGTTTTTTTTAGTTATAAATTTAATTACAAATTCCTGGCCCTCACCTCATCCCTGCTGCTGAGCAGCGATCTCCTGAGTGAGCCGAGGAGTTTTTTGTTTTTGTTTTTTTTAAAGATCCCAGAGGCATTTATGCATGCAGCTCTGGGAAAGCTCCATTCTCCGAACACTGCAGCTCTAAGTTCAAGGCTAAGATGCAGTAGAGCAGCTGCGGTTTACACGAACCAAAGGGCATCGTAGAAACCTGGTGCCTACAGGATAAAGGGGGCGAGTTGTCAGGAGTTCCCTATGGCCTGAATATAAGCAATTTATTGAGCCTTTATATGTTTATAAAACTCTAAGTCCATCATGCTACCTTGGGCCTAAACTCTCCCCAAACTCAGCTGATTTTGAGTTGGGGCAAAGGGGTCAGAATGTTGGCATCAGGCAGTGCCCTGGCCAGGCTTTCTGGTTAAATAGTTATTTGACAAGGCTGTGCTTTTTCATTCTTATAGCTTAACTCAATAAAAATAGTACGCTTAAACCTGCAGCACTCCTAAAAGAAACGCTATGATGAAAATTACTCAGAGACATGAGCAGAAAGGGGTGGGAGAGCAGAAAAAGGAAGTGATGCCATTATCTCTAGTGTGCTGAGATCTAAGAGACATCTGTCTCTACTTGGAAGCGTGACATCTGGAAAGAGAAGTCCCCTGCACACAGCTACGTCCCTCTGCCTTCCCTTCCTGCTCGCCACCAGCACCCCTTCCTTCCTCTACCGGGAGAGGAACAGTGGGAAGGCAGGGTCCAGCTGAGGCTCAACCTGTGTGTGGGGCCAGGGGAAGCTAAAGCCAGCTGGGGAGGGCGGGCTGCCCCATTCTCCACATGCTGCTGCCACTGGGCTGCAGGCCGGGCTAGTCCTGGGTCCCAGGCAGGGAGTCAGCCTCTGCTGGTCACCCAGTGCCTGGGAGGCAGACCCTGTGGCCAGGACACACCCCCACTTGTGGGGATACCTGTGAGTAATTCCCTATGAATCACTCATGGGTCACTCAGACTCGAGTGGGGGTAAGGCTGGGCAACTTGGGAAAAAGGAACAAAAGAGGATGCCTGCTGAGAGAGTGTGAAGGCCTGATGCTCCCCGCACCTGTGAAAATGGGAGCGAGTCCATCTGGGAAGGAGGGCTCAACTCCGTGGCTACACTGCATAGGGAATAAAGGGCCTCGAGCCTCCTTTCCATTTATAACCTAATTTGTTCATAAGTGATGAGATTCTGCTCAAAAAAACTATCGATACACGAGATACATGAAGCTGTGAATGCTGAAAAGGGAGATCTCTAGGCTTTTTTTTTTTTTTTAAAGAGACAGGATTATGCTGTACTGCTCAGGCTGGAGTGCAGTGGTGTGATCATAGCTCACTGCAGCCTCAGACTCCTGGGCTCAAGGGGTCCTCCTGCCTCAGCCTCTCAAGTAGGTGGAATCACAGGTGCACATCACCACACCCAGCTAATGTTTAATTTGTACAGACAGGATCTCACTGTGTTGCCCAGGCTGGTCTTGAACGCCTGTGCTCAAGTGATCCTGCTGCCTTGGCCTCCCAAAGTGTTGGGATTACAGGCATGAGCCACCGCGCCCAGCCATTTCTAAGGCTTTTTATACTGTCTATTTGAACGCTAATTTTAAAAACAAGAAAAAGGGAAAGCAAGAAAAACAAAAAAACCTGTGGCCACCTACAGCATCACCGGAGCCACCAGGGCCCTTCACCCTGTGTCTGCTGTGTTTACAGGCCCTCTCTCTTCCAAGGCTGGAGGCCTGGGGGTTTATAGGTAGAGAAAGGGAGAAAAGTTCAGTCATGAATAGATTAAACATCCATTCTAGGGTATGGAGGGTTTAAGTAATAGGTAATTTTCCTGAGTGATTACTAAGTCCAGGACATTAGTTAATCCTCCACTGTTTACAAGCATGGATGAGCAGGGATTTCAACGGAAGTAATCACTCCCCAGCTCAAAATCCTTCAATAGTTTCTCACGGTACTTAAAATCCAACTCCTTTATCACAGCCTAGAAAGCCTGCCTGATCTCATTCCTACCCTCGCTTTGACCTCATTGCTGATGACCTTCTGCCTTGCTTATACGCTTGGCCATACCACTATTCTGGGTTTTTCAAAAGAACTTCCTCATAGCCTTTGAGAATGCTGTTCCCTCTGCCTGGACCATTTTCTCAAAAGTATATATTTTTTTGTATTTTTTGTAGGGACAGGGACTCCCTGTGTTGCCCAGGCTGGTCTCGAACTCTTGGGCTCAAGCGATACACCCGTCTGAGCCTCGCAAAGTGCTGGGATTACAGGCGTAAGCCACTGTGCCCAGACTTGTGGACCTTTTGTCTCCCGACCCCCATCTCCAAAAAAAAAATTGTCCAGGTGCACTGGCTCATGCCCGTAATTCCCAGCACATGTAATTACAGCACATGCCTGAATCCCAGGCTGAGGCAGGCGAATCACTGGAGTCCAAGAGTTTGAGACCAGCCTGGGCAACATGGTGAAACCCATCTCTAAAAAAATAAATAAATAAATAACAAAAAATTAGCTGGGTGCGATGGCACGTGCCAGTAGTACTAGCTACCTGGGTGGCTGAGGTGGGAGGATCACCTGAACCTAGGAAAGTTGAGGCTGCAGTTAGCTGTGATTGCACCACTGTACTCTAGCCTGGGTGACAGAGCAAGATCCTGTCTCAAATATATATATATCTGACCGGGTGCAATGTCTCATGCTTGTAATCCCAGCACTTTGGGAGGCTGAGATGGGTGGATCACCTGAGGTCAGGAGTTCGAGACCAGCCTGACTAACATGGTGAAACCTTGTCTCTACTAAAAATACAAAAATTAGCTGGATGTGGTGGCAGACACCTGTAATCCCAGCTACTTGGGAGGCTGAGGCAGGAGAATCGCTTGAACCCGGGAGGCGGAGGTTGCAGTGAGCCAAGATCACGCCACTGCACTCCAGCCCCAGCAACAAAGGGAGACTCCATCTCAAAAACAATTATATATATTTATTTATTCATTATATATATGCAATATATACATATGCTATATATATATATGCCCTTAACAGAAGGATATAAAAGAGACTTAGATCTATTTAAGCATCAGCTGAAGGCCCTTCTTCTCCCCTGTTGGCTGCTTCTTGGATAATTCAGCCTCACCTCAGTGATGCTTCCAAAGGAAACAGGATCTGTGAAGAGGGCAACAGGCTGAGTAGAAACACCACAGTGTGTGTTCCCGGTCTGGCGATCTGCTTACTGGTCCAAAACCATCACACATCTTCACCTCTGGATCTGTGCTCACTGTGGTAGATATCATGACCACCATTAATCCCCCTTCCCTCCCCAAACATACCAGCCACGTCACCCTTCAAGAGCAGACCTGCTTTGACAATAGAATGTGGCAGTGATGCCACTCCAGCTCTGGGCTAGCCTGTGGGAGGCCCAGCAGCTTCCACTTTCCCTTGACAGTCGCCATAGTCTGACTACTTGACACCGCCATGCTGTGAGGAAGCCCAGGTTGGCCACATGGAGAGAGGGGCCAGGTGGAGGAGCACCGAGGCACCAGACATATGACTGAGTCTTCACAGACCTTCCAGTCAACCGCAAGCTGAATGCAGCTGAGTGGGCGACTCAAGCTGATGCCACATAGAGCAGAAGAACCGCTGAGCCAAGCCCTGCCGGGGTTCCTGACCTACAGAATAATGGAAACTAATACATCTTTGTTGTTTTAAGCCAGCAAGATTTGGAATGGGTTGTTATAAAGCAATAAATAGCTAATCCACAATGTCCTCCCCTCCTGCTTTCTGAATCCCACCCATCCCTCAATCAGATCCAGTAACACCTCCTCCTGGAAGCTTCTCTCATCTCACCTTATTCCTCACCCCATCAGCCTCTGTACTCTGCTCGGTAAATACCTACACTGAGGGCTCAGCTCAGGGCTCTCTCCTGAGAATCCCTCCCTGACTTCCACTGTGGGTGCTTCTCTGAACACTCAAGGTGGCTCATGCACACCACACCCCATTCCTGTGACCATCTGTCTGCTTGTTTCCCCATCAGACTTTTATCCACATACTCCCCCACACAGCCATTACCTACCACATAATAGGGGCTCAGTAAGAGCTTATGAACTAAAGGGATAAACTGCTATGCCACAAACAATCTCATTCATCTCTCTGCAGACCTGTGAGTCTCTTTCCCACTGTGATTGCAAATGCTTTAGAATAAGGATTATGCCTACTTATCTCCAGGTCCCCCAAGAGCCTTGCACATCGTAGGCACTCAATAAACATTCTGTTGACTTTTAACTGATTGACATGTCACTTTCATTGTGACCTTAGCTCCAGATTCTCCCATGCACCTCTGATACTCAGGTTCCAGGTCTCCTAGACCTGGATGCTAGACAAGGGCAGAGGAGGCTCTGCTTGTTTATTTCTGGCTCTTTTCCAATCAATGAAATTCTCAAAACTCCATGCAGTCTACACTCACCACAATGAGTTCAGTCCAAAGGGATAATGTTTTGTATGGCACATTCTCTTTTAAAAGAATTCACCCCCCAACTCCTACTGCAACAGACAAATGCGAAAATGTTAACACAGCTTCCCACGCCACCAGGGAGTTCCAAATCAACTGGAAATATCTGATTCAACCTGTTATCGTAAGACACAGACCAGACAGCGTTGTCACCACAAGGGACAATCATTCTATGAACACATACATGGTCTTGTGACCTCTACTCAACATTCCAGAGATAGAGGAGCTGAGTGGCCCTGGAGTGGGGGAAGGGCTGGGTTATAAATAGTGAGGTGCAGTGGGCTGGACACTCGGGTGGCGGCCAGATTCCTGGTCCTCCTGGGCCTAGGTGACTCGTCATCTGCAAGATAAGCACAGTGCTCTGGGGACATCCAGGGCATTTTCCCACCTACCTCGGACCCTCTCCACCCTCCTGAGCTGCCAGGACCTGGCCCTGGCTCTCCCTGACCAAGCCAGAGCTCGCCTGCTTCCCACGTTCTAGCCTACGCTGCCTTGGGTTTTATGTCTCATCTGGGACTTGATCATAAAATCCCAAGGTTCACAGAGGCCATGAAATCTCAGTTCCTTGTGCAAGGGCCTGTGTCACCCAGAGCGGAACCAGGTCAGGGAGGTAAAAGTCCCAAAGGCAAGGATGGGAGAAAAGAAAACAGGGAGGGGGAGGTCAGGAATAGGTTCCTTCTAGCACAAAGCAGGCCCCTCAACAAGTCCCCATGGACCAAGTAAGTCTGCACTCAGTTCTGGGAGACACACAGTCATCATGGCTGGACTGCAAGAAAACAATTCTTGGACGCAGCCTGGCCTGGTTTCCATCCTGGCTCCCCCACTGAACAGCCACATGACTTTGGGCACATTTTCCCTGTTGGAAAACAGCCTTTCTGTGAGGCCATGATAGGATTCAGTCCCCCTGAAGTGACCAAGCCAGTGCTGTACATAGAAAGTGTTCAAAAACGCGAGCTCCCTCTTCCTTCCTTTCACGCCCAGACTCCGACTAGAGAGGGCTAGCTTATGTCGGAGGCTGTCTCAGAGTACAAACCCAGGTACAAGAGAAGCTCTGTCCTTTGAGAAGGCTGCGTTTAGCACCCACAAGTAACAAAAAAATCTTATTACATATATTATTCATTCATTCACATTCATTCATTCAACAAACATTTGTTGAGTGCCTAAGGTGTAGCCAGCATTGCTCTCAGCACTACTGCTGAGCTTCCTGGATGCAGGCACTATGGAGCTTTAGATACTTCCTGTCCCTAAACTGCTCTCATCCACGGTCCTGTGTCTGGAAACAAATATGACAGCATCCTATCTGCCATCAGCTAAGCCCTGAAGATGATAACGACACAGATAAAAAGTGATGCTTGAAGAGAGGTACGTAGGAGACTCCCTAGGTAGAAGAGAGGACAACACCCACTGCCCCAAGCTGTTATGCCAAAAATCTGACCCCAACTCTGAGCTCACCAGCCTGATTCTACAGATAATATTTGGCTATCCATCTGTGGGAAGAACCAGTTTTCCTTTTTTATTTTCAATGTGTTGTGAACTGATATTTTTGTAAATTACGTAGATCATGTGCTTAAATACTGCAATGTTGTTTGTTTATTTATTTGAGATGGAGCCTCACTCTGTTGCCCAGGCTGGAGTGCAGTGATGCAATCTCGGCTCACCTTAACCTCTGCCTCCCAGGTTCAAGCAATTCTCCCACCTCAGCCTCCCGACTAGCTGGGACTACAGGCGCGTGCCACCACACCCAGCTAATTTTTGTATTTTTAGTAGGGACGGATTTTCGCCATGTTGGCCAGGTTGATCTCGAATGCCTGACCTCAGGTGATCCACCCTCCTTTGACTCCCAGAGTGCTGGGATTACAGGCATGAGCCACTGCAACCAGTCTGTCAAATTATTTTAGAAGTTCCTAAATATTAACACTGAGAATATATATTTATCTTATTGCTACTCAGCACCAGATAATTCAGGCACCAATCTATGAACCACATTTGGGTAGGACTGATGGCATTTAGTTCATTCCGTGAACTGTCCAAAATCTAGCATAATACTGTCACATTTTTACCTCATGAAGTTTCAACAATATCAAAAATGAACAAAAAATTATTTTTAAAATGTTGTTGCGTGCTGCAAAGAAATACAAGAAATAGAATTGTAATATTCAACTTACTTGCTGATGGCTGAAATTTGACCAGATCTTGCAAATCAGTAGAAATCTGGAAGACGTGGCTGTAGAACTGCTGGACTGAATTCTTCAGGCCAGAAATGTCTCTGGAATGCGACCTGAGCGTTCCGTTCATCTGCCTGACACAGTTCCACAGGCTGCTGACATGCTTGTTGAGCCCCTCCTTGATCCTCTGAAGATTTCCTGAGATAGAGTCCAGCTTGCTGCAAGTTTTCTCCATATGAGACACCCTGCCCTCCACCATGGAGACCTCCCTCTGGACCCCCTGCGTGCATTCCTTACAAGCATCCAGCTCCGAGATGACCTGGCTCTGCAACCTCTGCCACCTCTCCTCCAGCTGACTGCAGCAATGAGCCACGGGGTGCTGGGGGGACGGCAGGGTGTCCACTGTCCTTTCTTGCTCACCCACCTTAGTGAACCTACCCATGCCAGCGTTTTCACCTGCTCTACAATTGCTCATTTCCTTTTGAAGATGAGTCACATCATTTTCTGTGTGGTTTAATTGAGAATAAAGAAAACTAAAATCCTGTTGAAGTTTCTGGATGGTTTGTTCGGTTTCTTGAAACTTCCTGTGCATCGTGTCGTTGAGAGATTTCAAAAGGTGCAGGCTGTCGCGTACTGCGCGGTCTTCCCTGTTTGGCAAGGCACCTTCCATCCCATGAGGCTTTCCCTGGATGTTCAGCAGGCAAATGTCTTCAACAACTTGAACTTTGTCCTTCAGGTGGTTTAATTCCATCATGACCCGTTCATCTCCTGACCCTGACACTCCTGGCAGGGCTGCTGCCCCTGGGGGACTGAGCTCTGCACCAGTGTTATTGGTCATCTGTAGGAGAACGCTCCCCAGACGGTCTTCCAGAGACTGTATTTTCTGATCAACAAGCTGCTTCAAGTCACCCACCTCTCCATTAATGGCGCCCCGAAGGGTTTCCTCAATGTAAAAGCAATGTTCTTCAGCGTTCTTCTCCGTCACATTGATCCTTGCATCGAGTTCATTCCATTTTGCATCAAAATCCACATCTGGCTCTGGAACTATAAGGCGGTCAAACTCATTGTCCAGTCTTCCATTCAGCATTCTGGTGGCTTCAGCAACTCTCTCGATTTTCTGGTCCAATGTCTTGATCTGTTGACCAATGTCACCATTCTTTTCACTGTCGCAGCAATTTGCCTGGGCTGAAGGCTCCTGTAGCCGGGCTCGGAGGTTATTTATTTCTTTTCTCAGGCTTGTTTCCTTCTCCCCTATGAGCTCTATCACTCCCAGGTAGCTGCTCCCATAGTCATCACACTGCTGCTGGAGGCCAGTGAGCTTGTACTCACATGAGTTTTTCAGGTCAGCCAGCTTTCTGTCCATGCCCTCCATGAGCTCCTCTCTCAGGGCGTCGATCTTACTGTCCACATAGGCTTGGTAGAGTTCGTTGGTTGTCATGGTCACCGTCGGGCCCTGAGCTGCTTCCTGGAGCTGTCTGAGCTGCCCTTCGTAGCCCTTCACTTTTCCATCCAGCTCTTCCAGCTTGTCACTTTTGTTCTTTAGAGTATCTTTGACTTCAGCCAATTCAGACTTGATGTCCTTCATGCCAGATTCCTTAGTGTTGAAGACACCAGGACTCTGGCCCGTTTCTGTGTCTCCACTAACAGTGGTGTCAGGCTTGGGGTGCTGGCTGCTGAGCCCTGGTGCCCGTGTTCTACTGGCATCATCCTGAGTGGCATGTTTGAGATTTTCACTCACTCCAGCAAGGGAAGACTGGAGGTCAAGAACCGTCCTTGTGAGTCGAAGAACCTTCTCCTCTAGCACCTGTATCTTCTTTTCCTGAAGTTCCTGAGGCCCCTCTTTTGGATCTACCCCCCAGCTTGGTTGTGCTGTACCAGTTGGGGACAAAGTCTTCCTGGGCTCTGAGAATTGGCTGGGTTCATTATCTGTTACAAAGATAAAGTTGGACATGAATGAACATTTTCTACCTTTAGCCAGATTCTGCCAAGACAATAAACAAGGTACCTACAAAATACATGTACATCTTCACTTACAGGTCACTACACAATTGTAGGTAAGTACTGTGGTACAGTAGAAAAGAGTATGGGCTTTGTAGTCAAATAGACCTCTACTTGCATTCTGGCTCTGCTATTTACTGTTTGTCCTTGAGCAAGTTAACTAACTTCTGTGAACTATAATCCTCTCATCTATAAAGAAGAACAGCTTCTAGAGCTGTTAAAATAATATGTACATGACACCTATTAGATAATCAATGGTCTCTTTCACCCTGAGGGGAAATATTCATTATCCGCTTTATCATATGAACACTTCATTCCCATATTAGTGAACTGCAGCCACACCCCAAGAGTTGACTGCATACAGTAAAACCACAAGAAACCACTTTAGCAAGATCCACCCATTAGCTGTTGGATGGTGATATCATATGATATCATATTTTCTGATGTTATCCTCAAAGCAGTGCCTGAATGTTTTGTCCTTTACTTTCATTAACATCTCTGTGCTCAAAGAGTCTCACAGACATTGTTTAGCCCTGCTTGCAGTTTGGGAGACAAAAAGCAACAGAGATAAAGCAACTATTCATCAGTGTCTCCTAGCAACAGCACCGTCTGACCATATATAGTAAGATTCACTACGTCAAAGAATGCAAATATTGAAAGCTGGTCAGGGAGGTGGTGTGTGCCTGTAGTCTCAGTTACTAGGGAGGCAGGAAGATGGCGTGAGCCCAGGAGTTCAAGGGCATCCTTGGCAATATAGCAAGACCCTGTATCTTTAAAAAAAAAAAAAAAAAAAAAAGAAAAGAAAAAAAGAAGAAGAATGCAAACATTGAATTTTGGGTAATCTTATTTTGAGAAAACACCAAGGAAAAAATCCAAAAGAAAGAAACAATTATTAATTTTTAATAAGGGGGGAATGATAGTGATGAGTCATAAAATGAAGATAAATTGATAGACATAGAGGTAAATAAAAAGGAGACTATTGAAACCTGCAGCAATAGGACAATAAGAAACAAACTATGCCCTGAATACAGCAGGATACAAGAAATACTGCATCCAGCCATGATGGCTCATGCCTGTAGTCCCAGCACTTTGGAAGGCTGAGGTGGGTGGATTGCTTGAGGATAGGAGTTCAAGACCAGCCTGGCCAACATGGCGTAACCCCATCTCTACTAAAAATACAAAAATCAGCCAGGTGTGGTGGCTGGTGCCTGTAATCCCAGCTACTAGGGAGGCTGAGACAGAAAAATCGCTTGAACCCAGGAGGCGGAGGTTGCAGTGAGCCGACATAGTGCCGCTGTACTCCAGTCTGGGCAACAGAGAGAGACCCTGTCTCAAAAAAAAAAAAAAAAAAAAAAGAAAAGAAAGAAATGAAAAGGAAAGAAAAAGAAAAAGAAAGAAAGAAATACTGAAAGAGGTTAACACTGACAAACCTGGCAACTATAGTGAGACATATAAAGTGGAAAAAATCAAACACAACATAGGTTGCAATTAAATAAAATGCATTAATATATTACACTGGAAAACATTGGAAATTAATTCAGAATGTTGTAGATATTTGAATTCAACGATCATTGTTTTTTCCTCCTCTGAACTTTTGCACAAGCTCATAATAGCAGCTATTATTTATTAAAATCAAGTTAGTGGTAAAACCAAATCTGAAATTCAGATATCCAAATCCCCAAGAATCATTCTTTTTGCAGAGAGCTACAAATAACACCTTGTTTTCCTTACTGAAATATTTATTCTCTCTCTCTCTCTTTTTTTTTTTTTTTTTGAGACAGAATCTCCCTCTGTTGCCCAGGCTGGAGTGCAGTGGTGCTATCTCGGCTCACTGCAAGCTCTGCCTCTTGGGTTCACGCCATTCTCCTGCCTCAGCCTCCCGAGTAGCTGGGACTACAGGTGCCCACCACCATGCCCGGCTAATTTTTTGTATTTTTGGTAGAGATGGGGTTTCACTGTGTTAGCCAGGATGGTCTCCATCTCCTGACCTTGTGATCCACCCGCCTCGGCCTCCCAAAGTGCTGGGATTACAGACGTGAGCCACCGCGCCCGGCCGTTATTCTCTCTTAAGACACTAAAGAAAAAAACAAGTTACTGAATCATGTGCAAGTGGAATGCTATTCTAAGCAAAGGAAATAAAAACAAAGGGCGGCAAAGGGGGGAAGATTGAGGATGTAAGGAAATGCTTTGCTCATATACCACGGTGACTGTGCAAATTGCATTTTTTTCAAAGGATAATTTGGCAACATGTATCAAAATACTCAGAATCTTTTGACCCTACAATTACACTTCAAGAAATTTATTCTAGTGAATAATCAGAAATGAGTGCAAAAATTTAACAGGAAAAGATGCATATTCATATATTATCTATAATAGTGAAAAATTACAAACAACCTAAGTGACCAACAGTAGAGGATGGTGTTCAATAACTCACATTCTCTCAAGCCATTAAGTAGTATTGTAGAATATTTCATGACATGGAAGGTTGTCCATTATAGGTTATTCAATAAAAAATAAGTTCCAGGTCGAGTGCAGTGGTTCTGCCTGTAACCCCAGCACTTTGGGATGCTGAGGTGGGAGGATCACTTGAGTCCAGGAGTCCAAGGTTGTGAGCAGTAATCATGCCACTACACTCCAGCCTGGGTTACAGAGCAAGACCCTGTCTCTAAAATAGAAAAAGTTGTAAAAATAGTATTTTTTTTATAATGACAGTGAATTCAGGGTATGTTTGTCCATTCTGTATTGAAATAAAGGAATATCTGAGACTGGGTAATTTGTGAAGAAAAGAGGTTTATTTGGCTCACAGTTTTGTAGGCTGTACAAGAAACATGGTGTCAGCAACTGCTTCTGGTCAGGACCTCAGGAAGCTTCTACTCATGACGGAAGGTGAAAAGAGGGCCAGTGTGTCACATGGTAAGAGAGGGAGCGAGAGGGAGCAAGAGGGAAGGGAGAAGGTGCCAGGCTCTTCCAACCAACCAGCTCTCGTGTACTAACAGAGCAAGAACTCATTTATTACCGCAAGGAGGGTACCAAGCCATTCATGAAGGATCAACCTCCATGACCCAAACACCTCCCATGATACCCCATCTCCCACATTGAAGATCACATTGCAACATGAGATTTGGAGGGGACAAACATTCAAACTATATCAGAGGAAAAGCATTTCTTTTTACTCCTTCCTAAAATCCCACTAAAAGGACAAAATAAAAGGAGGAGGGAGACAAAAAAACCTACTCAAGTCACACACAAAAAACTGGGAGTCAGAAAAGTTTTGGTGTTTTTTTAGCAGCAATATTGGAAGCTAGAGAAAAACTGAGCACTATTGTCAAAATTCTGAAGGAAAGTGATTTCTGACCTAGATTTCTGAAGCTAGAATAAAAAATAGTGTTCATACTATAAAGTGGTAAAAAGTTTGCTTCCCATGTAATTGTCTCATGAAGCTACTAAAGGACATGCTCAAGCAAAGCAAGGGGCTAAGCCAAGAAAGAGGGAGCAGGGGACACAGGAAACAGGGAATTCAACAGGAGAGGGGCAAGTTAAGATCCTCGGGTGAAGACAGGAAAAGAGGATGTCCCGTCCAGGTAGGGCAAGTGAGAAGGCTCAAGGGAGACTTCTTCAAGAAGATGAAAATGCTGTGTCTGAACATATGGAGGGGACATTTAGAGAGCCAGAGAAGAGTTGGGTTGAAATAGCAATAAAAAGAGAGAAAACTAAGCAAAGGAAAAACATAAGACAATGATTTAACTGTAAGGAATCAAAAAGCTGCGTAGGAAAGAAAATCTATTCATAGTACACCACATGGCTCAGCTGTAAACATTATCTACATAGTTACTACAATGTAAACACTGAATACTGAGTAAATAAAGAATATGGTCTAACTGTATGGAAGGGATGGGGGGATAGGAGCCATGTGTTGAGGAGTGGATGAAAGGGAGTTAAATTCTCACCTTCCATAATGAAAAACCAATAGATATGGAGGTAAATTCCAAAAGATTCATCTGAAGAGTTTAAAGTACTACCCATGGGAAGGGAAAATGAGAAAAAGGGTTTCAGGGTGGTCATTGTTTTTCCTATTAGTCCTTATAAAGCTATTCAACTTATTAAACTACAATATGCTTAAACTTCTGTCAAACAAAAACTAAAATGAAACAAAACAAAAATAAATGATTACAATCCACCAGCCCCCATGTCATGTTCCCTCCATCCCAGTATCTGTCATGAATTATTGTAATTACTCTCTAATGTCTGCCTTCCATGAAGTCAGGGACTCTGTCTGCCTTTTTTCTCACTTATTCCAAGTACCCAGTATAGAGCCTGACAGATATAGAAGTTCAATAAATATTTGTGAGATAAATGAATTTTTCTTTAACAAAATCAATGTACAGACATAGGAAAGAGAGTAAGGTTCTATAACAAAATGTCAACAGTAGTTCTCATTTAGTCATGAGATTATGTATCCTTAAATATTTTTCAAACATTCTTTAATTGATGTGCATTACTTTTGTAGTTAAAAAGTCATTTTAAAATCTATTTTTACAGACAATGTTGGGAAGAACTACGAGTTTCAAACCTGAGAACACCTCATGGCAAAATATAATCATTTAAGCATCTAATTTCATAAGAAAACCTAGGCTGCATTTATTGTGACTGAACTTAAAAAGATGAAGTGATGGCCAGGCACAGTGGCTCACGCCTGTAATCCCAGCACTTTGGGAGGCCGAGGTGGGCAGATCACTTGAGGTCAGGAGTTGGAGACCAGCCTGGCCAACATGGTGAAACCCCATCTCTACCAAAAGTACAAAAATCAGCCGGGCATGGTGGCAGGCGCCTGTAATCCCAGCTACTCGGAGGCCAAGGCAGGAGAATTGCTTGAACCAGGTAGGCAGAGGTTGCAGTGAACCGAGATTGCGCCACTGCACTCCAGCCTGGGCGACAGAGCGAGACTCCATCTCAAAAAAATAAAAAATAAAAAACAATTTTAACCCCCCTAAATTCAGATGTATGGGCCCAAGTAAAAACAAACAGTACATCATTACATCTGAATCTCTTCACAGCTGTGCCTCCAGGTGACACAAGTCTGAACCCACTGGCATTTCCTACCCTGATGTTTAAGGCATTGGCTTTCACAACAAGCTGGCCCTAGCAAAGCAATTTACTTGCAAGGAAGTTTGTCTTACAATTGCTACTGCTCCTGAGAATAAATTTGTCACATGTGGCTACTGCAGGTATCTATGTGTGTTATTCGAAGGCCATTCAAAGCTCACCATTGTAAAGCACAAATCCTGTTGTTTGAAGGAGCACCGGAAATATTAAAGGTGGCCATACATAATAGCACAAATAAGAAGTTACCTGTGGCTTTCTTCAAGCTGTTTCGAGGCCGAGCCGGCGTGGGGCGGAGGGTCTTCACGGGGTCTTTGGGACCTTCTTGGCAATCTCCCCCTCTAAAGCCAGGACAGCACCTCCATTCCAACTGTGTCACTGTCTTATACCTAGTGACATATCTAGGTCTGAAGTTCACTCGATACCTGTGGACAGAAGGGATGGCATCTCTCTTTACTGGCTGCCGTTACAAGCAACTTCCGGCGCTAGACCCAAATAAAGAGGACTCAGGGCATGCAGGACCCTGCCTGCTCTCCAGGCTGGCCCAGAGGGGATGTTGGTCTCCTCAGTCCAGATCTGACTGGGGGGTTCAGCCTAACTCAGATCAGCCTCAGGAAGGCAGGGGCTCCCCAATCCTCCACCTGCCCTGAGCACCCGTTTCCCAGCAAGGGGAACACACAGCTTAGAAAATCTCCACCAAGACTCCCATTTGAGAAGGATACTTTTCAGCCCCCAAACTGAGCTTTTGTTTCACCAAACTTCTGTTCTACAATTCAGTTTGTGGGGATTTGTTTCAGGTGTCACTAGAGATTGTTTTGTTTTGTGTTTTAAAGAAATATTCCTGGCCGGGCACAGTGGCTCATGCCTGTAATCCCAGCACTTTGGGAGGCTGAGGCCAGCAGATCACTTGAGGCCAGGAGTTCGAGACTAGCCTGGCTAACATGGTGAAATCTAGTCTCTACAAAAAATACGAAACTTAGCCAGGTGTTGTGGCGCATGCCTGTAGTCCCAGCTACCGCTGAGGCACGAGAATTGTTTGAATCCAGAAGGCGGAGGTTGCAGTGAGCTGAGATCACGCCATTGCACTCCAGCCTGGGAGACACAGCGAGACTGTCTCAAAAAAAAGAAAAAGAGGCTGGGCGCGGTGGCTCACGCCTGTAATCTGAGCACTTTGGGAGGCCGAGGCAGGCGGATCACGAGGTCAGGAGATCGAGACCATCCTGGCTAACACGGTGAAACCCCGTCTCTACTAAAAATACAAAAACATTAGCCGGGCGTGATGGCGTGCGCCTGTAGTCCCAGCTCCTTGGGAGGCTGAGGCAGGAGAATGGCGTGAACCCGGGAGGTGGAGCTTGCAGTGAGCCGAGATCGCGCCACTGCACTCCAGCCTGGGTGACAGAGCAAGACTCCAACTCAAAAAAAATAAAAAGAAAGAAAGAAACATCCCTGGCACCCTGCTCTCCATCATGTCTGTGTGTTTACCGCTGCACCTCCCTTTCCTGATGCTAGCAAAGGTAGCCACCAGCTTTTGCAGATGGCAGCTCACACTATTTGTGTCCACTTTTTACAAAGATGCCCTGGTTCATACTGTCAATGACAGAAATCAGGAAGCAGAATTGGAAGCACTCAAAAAGTCCTGTTGACAGTGCACATCCCCTCATGCCCTGGAATATCACACAGAGAGCTTTGCAGTGAGCTGGAAAGTCCTCCAGACTCAAGGCCGGGCCTGGGCCCACAACAGACTTTGACAGCCCTGCAGTCCCGGGCTCACCAGGGAAGGAGCCAGGAGTTCAGCCCCCGCAGCGGCCCCTGCTCACAGCACAGGCAAAAGCCACAGCCACACAGGATGGGGCCTCCCTACTTCAGCCCAATTGTGATTTCCTGCCTTGCAAATCATCTCTCTTGAAGCTCTTCAGCTCCTCTTCATTTCTTACACCAGCACCAGCAGCTGGCCTTCTTCTTGAGCCAATTCCCAGAAAGCAATAGGCTGAGTGTCACTTTTTCAGGGTTGCTGAGAGCTGCCCATGGGGGGAGGCGGGACAATAGCAGCAGCGGGGTTACCCAGCAAAGCAACTCCCTCCCAAGCACCAGCCCTGTGGCAGGTGGACTTCAAAGTTACCTCCCTGAGGAAAGCACAAATCATGTGCTGGACCTTTGACATCCTCCCCGAGGGTCACACACTGACAATTACACTCTGGGTATAGGATCCACCCCGCTGGGACTGGCTAGGCACCCTGCAGAATCCCAAGAGGGCCCTGCCGACAGCTAGGACCCGCCAAGCCCATTAGACCTCCTAGCACCTTCCACTGTCCCTGTTTCCTTTGGTTTTTGTTGTGTTTTTTGTTTTGTAGAGATAAGTATCACTTGGTCGCCCAGGCTGGAGTGCAGTGGTACAATCATGGTACACTGCAACCTCAAACTCCTGGGCTCAAGTGATCCTCCACCTCGGCCTCCCAAAATGCTGAGATTACAGGCACCATGCCTGGGTCATATTTTTTTTTTTTTGAGATGATGTTTCACTCTCGTTGCCCAGGCTGGAGTACAATGGCGCGATCTCGGCTCACTGCAACCTCTGCCTCCCGGGTTCAAGCGATTCGCCTGCCTCAGCCTCCCAAGTAGCTGGGATTACAGGCACCCACCACCATGCCTGGTTATTTTTTGTATTTTTAGTAGAGACATAGTTTCACCATGTTGGCTGGGCTGGTCTTGAACTCCTGACCTCAGGTGATCTACCCACCCTTTAGCCCCCAAAGTGCTGGGATTACAGGTGTGAGCCACTGTGCCCAGCCAATTTAAAAAAATTTTTTTAAGAGATAGGGTCTCACTATGTTGCCCAGGCTGGTCTCGAGCCCATGGCCTCAAGTGATCCCCCAACCTCAAAGTGCTGGGATTACAGGCATGAGCCACCACACCCGGCCTGTTTGCCTTGATCTTTAGGGCAGTGGTTCTTAGCCTGAGCCATCAGAATCACCCAGGAAACTGTGAAAAAATACCCACGCCTGGGTCTCACCCTCAGAGGTTTTGATTTAAGGGGTCTGGGGTGGCAGCCAGGCATGCAGATGTTAGAAAGCTCCAGAGAGCCTTTTCCAAGGAAAACTGAAGAGGAAGCCTGGTAGTAAAATGGAAAAACAAGGGCTGCTCGGGCAGTTGGGAGGATGAGGAGAGGAAAGACCTTCCAGGCTCTTCCTTCTCTCATTGCTGTCCACCTCCACCAAGGCCCTACTATACATTTTCCCCTTTTCACAAGTGAGAAAACAGAGGCTCATGGGGTTAAGCGACTTATCCAAGTTCAAACAGCCCGGAAGGGGCAGGGCCGTTAAACCCAAGCCTCCTCCCTGCACCCCACACAGCCGTTCTCTCAGGCGATGCCTTACATTGGAGGAAGCGGCCCCACCTGGAGATGTTCCAGAAGGCCCTAAGGGCTGGGTAAGAAGGTAGGCAACCCCCACTTCGGCCAACCCATTCCTGAGCATCCCACCCGTGGCCAGGTACACACCAGCCCTCGGTCCCCACCACCACCTAGCAGGAGTCCTCTGTGTGGTCCTTGAAAATGTAAAAAGGGAAGAAAGCATCATTGCGCTGGATTGTTTTGCGTTCTCAAGTAGAGCATAATGCTGGAAGAATGTGTAATCTCAGAAAAACGTGGTTCCTCTGAGCATTCAGACTGAATGTGAAATGTGTTTGCTCTCGGGTTTTGTTCATCGGCCAGGAGATGACGGCCCAGGCCTGCATGAAGCTGTCTCAGAGGAGGCTGAGCCAGGCCAGGCAGAGCACACTCCTGTGCCCATTGAAGAGGAACGGCCCCCACTCCAGCCCAGCAGCGGGCTGTGACCTCTGTCATGCCCCAGAGCGGAAGAAAGGCCTTGCTGTGCCAACACACTTTGTTCTTTTCTTTCAAGGCAATTTTATTTTGGGGCCAGCTCCCCAGCTCCTAATGTAGGAAAGTTCCCTGGAGCCTGGAGCCCCCACCCCTCCCACTCTACACATGTTCCCCACTCCTGCTCCGCGTCTAATCTGCCTGCTGTTGAGTTTCTGGCCAAGGGAGTTCAGGTTGAGGCGCTCCTGACAAGTTTTCAAGTCTAGCATGGGGAAGAGGACTTCCTGGCTGGCATCAACAGTTGGAATCCATCAGCAGCCACCTCCTGCGGTGAGAAAGCTCCCTAGGGATGTCGCATGACGATGACAAAGCTGGATCTCAGAGGTGGCCTTGGGCCCTGCTAGTCAGCCCTCGGGCTCAGTTGGGAGCTCAGGGGGAGGTGGAGATGAAAGGGTTGTCCAATCCCAAATCCCTACTGGGATTTTCCCAGCAGAAAGGGGTTCCCACTAAGACAGTAGCCAGCTAGAAGCTTTCCTAGAGGATGGGGAGCAACAAAGGAGGATTCTGGGTCACCCTCTTCATCACCCAAGGCACTGCAGGAAAATAGCTAGTGAGCTTTAGAAAATGCCAAGGAATTTTCAGCAAAATTATACCTTAATTGGTGGAGGGTGCTCGTACCTTTCTAAAAGTCCCCAAGTCGTTGTCAAGTGCAGCCAAAGTGGAAAAGCCCCAGACCCAGGACCCACTTCCTCCCTTCAGGGAATCGGCCACCCTCCTAAGAGGACCAGGCAGGGGACATGAAACAGAGACAGGCGGCCCAAGCATCCCCAGGGGCCCCGGGCTGTGAGCACACGGGAGATGCTCACTCGATACAGAATCAGTCAACTAACTGCAGTGTGGGGGTGGCCAAGCCGAGGGACCCGCAGCCAGAGGAAAAGTTAAGGCGGCGGGGCTGCGCAGCGCTGGAGGGGCGGACTCGGCTGCAGCCCTGGCTCCCTTCCCAGCCTCGGCTGTGACTGTGATGGTGCCCCAGCCCTCTGGAGAGCCCCGTCCACAGGTGCCTTGGGTATGGGCGGGGGCGGCCCTTGGGGCTGTAACCCTGGGCCTGTCGCCCTGCCGCCTCGCCCCTGTGAACTCTCCCCCATTCCAGCCAAGTCTCCTTTGCCCGCCTCTTCCTCTAAAACCCTTTTCGGAGGTGAAAACAAGGGTTTCCCATTTTAATGGGTTCAGCAACCGTGTCAAGACACTAGACTGGCCCAGGAGATTCTAATGAGAAGGAAGGTGTCAAAAAAAAAAGTCCTGGAAAAGTTGTGTCAGCGTCCAGGGACCATATGACTGGAAGTGTCCCTGTTAAAACAAAATGACAGTACCTCCACTTGATGTCACCCCCACAAAGACTCCTTCTACTGACTCAAGTTGAGACCTCCTTCATAACACGCCTCAGTTCACACTTGTGTTTGCTTACTCCGTGTTTGTCCTCCCTGCCAGACTGTAAGCCCCATGAGGATAGAATTCCTGTTGGTTTTGTTCACTATAACATCCCATTTTTAAAAATTAATATACTAGGCTGGGCACAGTGGCTCATGCCTGCAATCCTAGCACTCTGGGAGGCCAAGGACTGAGGATTGCTGAGCTCAGGAGTTCGAGAACAGCCTGGGCAACATAGCAAAACCTCATCTCTACTAAAAATCTTTAAAAGTTAGCCACGCATGGTGATGCACACCTCTTATCCCAGCTACTTGGGAGGCTGACGCAGGAGGATCATATGAGCCCTTGAATTTGAGACTGCAGTGAGCCATGATCACACCCATTGCACTCCAGCCTGGGCGACAGAGACCATACCTCAAAAAATAAATCAATCAAATTAATATACTTAACTTTCTTTTTTTGGGGGGGGTGTTGGGGGCAGGGAGGACGGAGTCTCTCTCTGTCGCTCAGGCTGGAGTGCAGTGGTGCGATCTTGGCTCACTGCAACCTCTGCCTCCTGGGCTCAAGCGATTCTCCTGCCTCAGCCTCCCTAGTAGCTGGGATTACAGGCATGTGCCACCACGCCTGGCTAATTTTTTTGTATTTTTCTTAGAGACCGGGTTTCTCCATGTTGGTCAGGCTGGTCTCGAACTCCCAACCTCAGGTGATCCGCCCGCCTTGGCCTCCCAAAGGGCTGGGATTACAAGCATGAGCTACTGCGCCTGGCATGGCTGTTAACATTTAAACCAATTAAGATTGAACATTTTGTTCCTCAGTCAAACTAGTGTATTTCACAGACTTAACAGCACAAATGCCAGTGGCCGCACTTGCAGTGTTGGGCAGCGTGAACATCTCCATCATCGCAGAATATTCTACCTGACAGGGCTGCGCTGGGGATTCATGAGACTGTTGAGTAATCAGCAGCAGGCGCGCATCTGTTCACGTCTTGATCCCTAACCCCCATCAACCCATCTTCTCTCTCCCCCGACATCCATTCCAGACCTACGAATGGAATCTTCCCTGAAAATACCCACATGTCCCAGAGGGAATCATCCCAGGGGACCATCTCGCCAGCTGCTCCACAAGGCAAGGCTCCTTGCCTTGTGTTTACAGCACTGACCTGGGTTTTATTTTGACACAGGCTACTAAAACTGCACAGAACCAAAACCCGTTGCCCCCTTGGGGACACTCGCTTAATGGGATTTCTCTGGAGAGCCGACTTTTAGTAAATCCCTCTCCTTCCAGTCATTGGTTGCCCCCAGAGGCCTGGAGCCAGCTCTTCTTGCTCCATTCATGTGTGTGGGAACACAGTATTGACTGGAACGGAGCCGGGAGGATGGAGGAAGAAACCAGAAAGGAGGTGTTTCCCCAGGGATGGTAGGAAGTACCCTAGCCAGGCAGGGGGGAAGAACTGCCTGCCCCAAAGAAGGAAAATGAGCATTGCCAGAAGACTCCAATTCTCACACAGGGCAGACTGGGTTGGGTTACCCGGAATCCGCTACTGCACTAAGTTTCCACAGAGCAGTTCATTCCAGCCACAGTAATTCATTCTTTTCAAGTTTTGGTAAAATACACATAACATGAAATTTAGCCTCTTTTTTTTTTTTCCTTCCTTGAGACAGAGTCTCACTCTGTTGCCCAGGCTGGAGTGCAGTGGCGTGATCTCGGCTCACTGCAACCTCCACCTCCAGGGTTCAAGTGATTCTCCTGCCTCAATCTCGCAAATAGCTAAGATTACAGGCACCTGCCACCACACCTGGCTAAATTTTGTATTTTTAGTAGAGACAGGGTCTTGCCATGTTGGCCAAGCTGGTCTCGAACTCCTGACCTCAGGTGGTCTGCCGGCCTCCGCCTCCCAAAATGCTGGGATTACAGGTGTGAGCCACCACACCCGGCCACCTGAAATTTAGCATCTTAACCACTTTTAAGCATACAATTGTGCGGTGTTAAGCACACTTAACGTTGTTATGTAATCATCACCACTAACCACCTCCAGAACTGTTTCACCTTCCCAAACTGAAAGTCTGTTCCCATTAAACACCATCTCCCCATTCCCCTCTGCCCCCAGTCCCTGGAAACCACCACTGTACATTCTCCATGAATTTGATGACTCTTATACCTCATTTGAGTGCAATCATAGAGTATTTGTCTCTTTGCGACTGGCTTATTTCACTTAGCGTAATGTCCTTAAGGCTCATCCAGGTCACAGTGTGTCAGAATTTCCTTCCTTTTTACACAGCAATTCACTTTTACAAAGTTGACTTCAGTGTTCTAATTTAGAAATTCGCAAGACAGTGGACTGGTTTTCTTTCTTTTTTTTTTTTTTTGAGATGGAATGTCAGTCTGTCACCCAGGCAGGAGTGCAGAGGTGCGATCTCAGCTCACTGCAACCTCCACCTCCTGGGTTCAAGTGATTCTCCTGCCTCAGCCTCCTGAGTAGCTGGGATTACAGGTGCAGGCCACCACGCCTGGCTAATTTTTTGTATTTTTAGTAGAGATGGGGTTTTGCCATGTTGGTCAGGCTGGTCTCAACTACTGACCTCAGGTGGTCCGCCCACCTCAGCCTCCCAAAGTGTTGGGATAACAGGCCACCGCGCCCAGCCAGTAGACTGATTTTCTAGAAACTACTTATGACAAATGTTTTGTTTGTAAAAAAAAAAAAAAAAAACTGTCAGTCAATGAATAAAAAATAAGCTTTTGTCTTAGACGATGTGGTATGAGAAAAAAAAAGAGGGCTTTTTATATTTATTGACACTTTGCTAAACATGTTGGGCAGTAGAGGCTATAAAGTCTGAAATAGGAAGTGATTTCAAAACTAGGTCGAAGGAAAAGTAGTTCTGTCCAGTGGAAGAAACATTTCCCATTTGAATCTACTTTGTCCTACTGACAGTCAAAAATTGGCCATTTGAAACCATGTGCATCTATAAAGCCAATCTCTGCATGTTAGGAGGTGCACTCTGACCCCGGAGATCCCTTCCAATGCAAACATTCCACAGTCTGAAACAGTCTCCCACTCCAGATAAAGTCAAGGAACCAAAGGACCTTCTTGCAGCTTAAAGCACATCAAATGCCAAAATCAGAATTTTCATCTTATCTCTTTCTGCTACATCACATATTTTAATCAGATCTCTACATGGAGAAATTAATAACATGAAAGCAAAGAAATGTGAAATATTTCACTTGGCCTTTTAGGAAAATTCATCTAAATTCTAAAAGCCAGAATGCTCGGGCAAATATATTTCTGAAACACAAAATGTATCCAGTGAATCTAAAAGGTTGAAGAGCCCTGATAAAAATCAGATTACAATGTAGCTTTGTACATATATCTATATATTTTTTGAGACAGAGTCTCACTCTGTCTCCCAGGCTGGAGTGCAGTGGCACTATCTTGGCTCACTGCAAGCTCCGCCTCCCGGGTTCACGCCATTCTCCTGCCTCAGCCTCCCGAGTAGCTGGGACTACAGGCGCCCGCCACCACACCCGGCTAATTTTTTGTATTTTTAGTAGAGACGGGGTTTCACCGTGTTAGCCAGGATGGTCTCGATCTCCTGACCTTGTGATCCACCCACCTCGGCCTCCCAAAGTGCTGGGATTACAGGCGTGAGCCACCGCGCCTGGTGCTTTGTACGTATTTTTAAAATAACAGATCTAAGACCAATGCAGTGTGTTCAAAATGAAAATATTCTACAGGAGACTGTTTCCCAGTACAAAAGATATATCTGCTGGAGAAATCACAATTGTAAGCTGCTTATTTTTCCATTTCCTCTTGAATTAATTTCCTTATCACATAGAGTAACAAGCTAGCTTTTAAAATCTAAAACCCTGGCCGGGCGCGTTGGCTCATGTCTGTAATCCCAGCACTTTGGGAGGCCGAGGCGGGTGGATCACGAGGTCAAGAGATCGAGACCATCCTGGCTAACATTGTGAAACCCCGTCTCTACTAAAAATACAAAAAATTAGCTGGGTGTGGTGGCACGCGCCTGTTGTCTCAGCTTCTCAGGAGGCTGAGGCAGGAGAATCGCTTGAACCCAGGAGGCAGAGGTTGCAGTGAGCTAAGATCGCGCCACTGCACTCCAGCCTGGGTGACAGAGCGAGACTCCATCTCAAAAAAAAAAAAAAAAAAAATCTAAAATCCTTTTCACTTCTCAGTATTTTTGCCCTGATCATATAGGGTAATGAATAGAAGTTTTCCCCACAATTTATCACCCCTCATATCCCAAAAGACAGAACTATTCTACAGTCCAAAAGAAAGGTGATGAAAGAAAACCACAGCAGCTCTGCTGCGAGGCTTGGTCCCAACTTGGCTGCAGCAGACAGTGAAGTTGTTATTCTTAGATTTGCTAGGAGAGCCGTACCTTCCTTCTGAGCAAACTCACATGGCTAAAAATGACATCATCTCCAACTGCAGGCTGCGCCCAACCCCTTGAAATATAGCTCATGCATGCCTTCCACTGTGGGAGACGCATCACAAAACTCAAGGCACTGCCCTAAGCGTGGGGAGGTGGGGAGTGAGTGTGGGGCATCCCACGAGCCTTAGCTAACTGGCATGGCTGAACCATCGAAGACTTGATGGAGGCCCACACACCCTCCTAAAGAATTATTTTGGGGAGGGCCATTGCTGCTGCAGGCTGTTTCAGCCAAATACATTCTATACTATCCCATTCTGAAACAGACATCATGTTTCCTCATTCCTGGAGGCAGAATCACAGAACACTGGTCTCACGATCCCTCCCTCATCAGCTCCCCGAGTGTTCCCACGGCACGGCCATGAGAACATCTGCTGGCCTGAGCCATGAGCGTGGTGCTCACCATGAAGCGACCCTCCCTCCGTGGACTTGTGATCCAACCCTTTCTATTCAGAGCTGCTGAACAACTCTATTTTGATTACTTCCTTTCTTTTTTAATGGCCCAAGTTCTCCTACAAAAGTCACAAGAATGACTGACATCCTTTCTCCTGCTCTTCCCTTGACCTGGGCTTTCACTGGTTTGCAGCACCGGCACCCCTCCCTCTTCAAGGACTTTGGTCACCCTGTGCTTTCTCTTCCCAGGTGCCACATCCTCCAGCCACACTTCAGCATGTAGCTGCCCATCCACTGTTCTCAGTGTTGCTTTTAGATCCTGTACATCAAGAGAAGTGGCCGTGACATCCCACTTGGAATCAATTTCAGACCTTTGGGTGAAGGCCACAGATGCTGACAAGCTCTTAAACAGGCCACGCCTGTAAACGGTGCCAGTCACTCAGAAGCATCGAAAATCTGGAGACATTAAGAGTTTCTTTGCAGATTTAAACATAGTTTCTTCCTTTCGGAAAATTTCTTCTCGTTTTTAAAAAATCTAGATTTGAAAACACAGGAACACTTATATTTCTGTTCTAATTTATGACCATATGGAAGGAAAAGGACCCAAACATTATAACCTAGTTTCAAATTTCTTCCATAGTCCAGGCTAACACAGTATTACTATGTTTTTGAAAT
This sequence comes from Homo sapiens, assembly GCF_000001405.40. Taxonomy (NCBI): domain Eukaryota; kingdom Metazoa; phylum Chordata; class Mammalia; order Primates; family Hominidae; genus Homo; species Homo sapiens. The sequence goes on along the minus strand of NC_000018.10, from coordinate 2,874,630 downwards.
TCACACTTCACATAGTGAGGTGCAGATGTTTTCATTCGCCTGTACTCTGCTCAGAAGGGGCATGGTGTTTCTGGAAAAAAGTGCCAGAGCCCAACCCACCTCCAGGCCTGGAGGGATGGACAGCACCAAGGAGGGGAGGGGGCTGCTTAGCGAGATAAAGAGAAGAACTGATGCAAAGTTATTTTCCCCATTCTGTATGTCACCGCATGTCTTCAGCAAATGATGGTACACACACACACACAGGAATCTATCCAACAACAAAAAGTAATCAACTACAGCTGGGTGCAGTGGTGCACACCTGGAGTCCTAGCCACTCAGGAGGCTAAGGAGGAAGGATTACTTAAGCCCAGGAGTTTGAGACCAGCCTGGGCAATATAATGAGACACTGTCTCTTAAAAAAAACAACAACAAGAAGTAATCAACTACTAATACATACTATTATACAACATGAATGTGTTTATTTGCTCTTAAACGGGAGCGGTGATGGAGGAGGTGGCCATGCGGGGGTAAGAAGGAAAGAGGAGCTTTTCTCCAGGACAAATCAGGGTGGCCAACGGACTTTTAAGGTTGGTGACAACTATGATGTCCTTTAAGTCATTTGTGTTTTGACAGTCATCAGTAAAGTCCTCACAGCTTATGCAGGCTTGTGGGACTGTACTTCTATTGGAGAACTTGAGGGTATAAGGTTTGATACCACGGCCAACCCAGAGTGGTTCAGAGAGCTAGCGCAGAACTTAGGAGGCCGCAGGACACTAAGCCTTGGGAATTGCCCGTCTACAGGGAAGATTTGGGGCTGCTACAACTCCTGTACTTCAAGAGGAATGAGACACATATATAGACTTTTGGGGTGAAGAGGAACCCAACTGACATCTGTTCACGATTTTTTCCATTTTTTAAATTTTTATTTATTTATTTATTTATTTTGAGATGGAGTCTTGCTCTGTCGCCCAGGCTGGAGTGCAGTGACGCGATCTTGGCTCACTGCAAGCTCCGCCTCCCGGGTTCACGCCATTCTCCTGCCTCAGCCTCCCGAGTAGCTGGGACTACAGGCGCCCGCCACCACGCCCGGCTAATTTTTTGTATTTTTAGTAGAGATGGGGTTTCACCGTGTTAGCCAGGATGGTCTCGATCTCCTGACCTCGTGATCCACCCGCCTCGGCCTCCCAAAGTGCTGGGATTATAGGCGTGAGCTACCGCGCCCAGCTATTTATTTATTTTGTTGAGACGGAATCTTACTCTGTCACCCAGGCTGGAGTGCAGTGGTACAATCTTGGCTCACTGCAATCTCTGCCTCCTGGGTTCAAGTGATTCTCCTACCTCAACCTCCTGAGTAGCCGGGATTACAGGCATGTGCCACCATGTCTGGGTAATTTTGTATTTTTAGTAGAGATGGGGTTTCGCCATGTTGGCCAGGCTGGTCTTGAACTCCTGACCTCAGGTGATCCACCTGCCTCGGCCTCCCAAAGTGCTAGCATTATAGGCATGAGCCACCATGCCCGGCCCCGGCCTGTAAGTGTTAAATATAGGTGGCTTGCTTCCCATTTCTTTAAAATTAAGTTTTTGGTTTTGTTTTTTTTTTTTAAATCACATAATCTGCATTATTTTGTTGTTTTATTTAAATAAAACACTTAAGATCTGTGGGTTAAGCAGTGTTTCTTGTCCTCTTAATAATAAACATGGGCATAAGCTAGCCCACGACTCAAAAAGACTTCACTTTGCCTCAATCAATTTTTGCAAATAAAATATAAAACCAGACATGGTATTCTCAAAGAAGCCACACAATTAATATTAAAATAATTCCCTATGTGTTTAGTATTCACCTTTTTCAAACAACAGTTATATCTTTGGTCACTGTATCCTCTTGGTAACACCAAACTCTTCTCTATAGTGGCGTGACATGAACCCTCGCAATTTGAAAGCTGTGTCATAGATCAGAGAGTCACTTACAGCTTAGCAAAAAACATGTAAAGGTCACACTGAGATTGCCAAGTAAGTAATCTACATTACAATTTACATCATTACTTTGGTTGATTTAACTAGAACCTACTGTATCACATCATTTTAGCTGCAAGCTACTGCTTTTTCATCGAGTATTAAAAACCATTTTCAGTCCAGGCATGGTGGCTCATGGCTGTAATCCCAGCACTGTGGGAGGCCGAGGCAGGAGGCTCGCTTGAGCATAAGGGTTCGAGGCCAGCCTGGGCAACATGGTGGGACCCCATATGAATTTTTTATTTTAAAAAAACCAATTTCAAAGACTATATCTCTCACAATTCCATTTAAAAAATACAAGCCATGGACAGTTGTTCAAATTTATAGTCTCCATGACTGAAAATTGAAAACCCAACCCAGATCACGTGATTCTTAGTAGAAGGAAAGACAAGCTAAAAACACATGCTTTTTCATCCATTCATTGAGCAACAGCAGCATCCTTTGGATGCCTACCAGGTGGTACCCAGGCACCACGGCCTTTCTTGAGCCGTCAGTATTCAATATGAAGCAATTATACTGATATGGAAACTATATGAACAATAAACTTATCTCTATCATCCATAACAACTGAGGTGCACTAGTCCCAGCTTGGCCAAAGATCAGTTACATCAGACAAGACCCAACCCTGCTCTAATCCTCAGTTACCTCAAATATCAACTAAGATTTATAACATTTGCTCCTCTTTTGCCCCCCAGACATTGAAAGGATAAAAAAGGAAAAAGCTTTGAAACAATAAAGCTTTACAGAAATGAAAATTATATACAATGTATTTATTTACCATAAGGCAAACATTTGCAATAAAACTAAAAACTTGGATTACCTCCGTAATAATGGACTCCATTGCCCACATGAAGGGTTATAGTTAATTTCCGACAATCAGGTGATGAATAATGAGGTCCTGAATGTCTCTCAGATAAAAGCAATCCTGCCATAACCTCCAAATGACAGGCCATGAACTAATTCAACTTCTTTTGCAACACGTGGTCCTTTCTAGCAATACCCTCAACAGAGGAGCACACAGATCCCCGCTCAGTGCCAAATCTCCACGTCCTCAGAACCTGTGGAGCAGGAGGAACTGCGGTCCCAGGCCCAATGCTCACACCCTCCACTGCCAGCTGGGCATCCCCCTCCATTCTGGCACGGACTGCCAGTCTCCTGAGTGAGTCCCTCCTGTGCCCCTCACCCCACATGGTCCCCCAACCCAAGTACGTTTTGCACACACAGCTGGGTAGCATTTGAAAGCACAGCTCTGATGATGTCCCTGCCAGGTGTGGTGGCTCACGCCTGTAATCACAATACTTAGGGAGGCAGAGGCAGGAGGATCACTTGAGCCCAGGAGTTCGAGGCCAGGCTGGGCAACATAGCAAGACCCCATCCTCCACAAAAAGGGGGGAAAAGCCCAAATTTGATGATGTCCCCAATGAAAGCATTCATGACCCTCCTCTGCATGGATAAGAAAGCCCACACTCCCAACCACAGTGTTCTGGACTGAATTGTGTGCCCCCCAGAAAGATATTTTGGAGTCCCAACCCCCAGTACCGGAAAATGTGACTTTATTTGGAGATAGGGTCTTTACAGAGGTGATCAAGTTAAAACAAGTTAAAACAAAGTCATTAGAGTGGGTACTGATCCAATAGGTCTAGTGTCCTTAGAAACCAGGGAAAATTTAGTTAACAGGTAGCTAAAGAAAAAAAGGGTGGTGGGGGAATTTGGAGACAGAGACAGACACACACAGAAGGGAAGATTATGTGAAGAGACACAGGGAGAAGACGGACATCTACAAGCCATGGAGAGAGGCCTGGAACAGATCCTTCCCTCGAAGCCCTCAGGAGAACCAACCCTGCTGATGTCTTGATCTACGACCCCCTGTGGACACCCACCTCCAGGTCCCTGCTCGTGTGTCTTGGCTTACGCTGACCTTGGCCTTCTCTCACATCTGCATATATTCAACTAGAAGCTTCCTTCAAAGCCATAAGACGTCACCACTTGCAAACAAGTTCTCGGATTCCTCCTGGCTGGAAATAACTTTCTTCTACCTCTGAACACCCCAGCACGTTGTGTTTCTCTTACTACAATTCTCATTCCCACCTTTTATGTCGTAATTATTTATGTTTATCTTTCAATTCACTTGCTAGATGTGCACTTCCAGAAGCCAACAGAAAGATCCTTACTGTATCACTGTAGAAACTAGTTCTGGGCCACATGTAGGCTTTGAACAAAAATATTTGTTTAATGAAACAAATAGTCTTCAAATAATAAGTCTTCTTTCAAGCCTGTTGAGCTTTCTGACAATTCAAAATGGCTTATGCTAATTATGAATCCTTAATCCAACATTTTCCAGGGCTATAAATGTGAAATGTTTTTTACTTCATTATGTTTTTATTTTTATTTACTTATTTCTTTTGAGACAGGGTCTGTCACGTAGGCTGGAGTGCAGTGGCACAATCATAGTTCACTGTAGCCTCAACCTCCCCAGCCCAAGCGATCCTCCCACCTCAGCCTCCTGAGTAGCTGGGACCACAGGCGTGCACCACCACGCCCAGCTAATTTTTGTATTTTTGGTAGAGACTGGGTTTTGCCATGTTGCCCAGGCTGGTCTCTAACACCTGAGCCCAAGTGATCCACCTGCCTCAGCCTCCCAAAGTGTCGTGTTACAGGTGTGAGCCACCATGCCTAGTCCATTATTATCTAGTGTTCTATATCTGTAATGTATTTCCCATATCAGTTGTTCTTCAGAAACTCCGAGAAGTATCCTTACTATCAGTAAAAGTTATTTTGCCCACTCTGTATTTCACCACGTCTTCAGCAACTATACAAATGATGGTACACACACACACACACACACACACACAAACACACACACACACACAGAGGAATCTATCCAACAACAAAAAGTAATCAACTACAGCCAGGTGCAGTGGCACACACCTGGAGTCCTAGCCACTCAGGAGGCTGAGGTGGGAGGATCACTTAAGCCCAGGAGTTCAAAAACCAGTCTGGGCAATATAGTGAGATCCCATCTCAAAAAAAAAAATCAGCTACTGATACATACTACAACATGAATGAATCTCAAAATCTTTCTGTTCAATGAAAGAAGCCAGTCAAAAGAGAGTACAACCTGTATGACTCTATTTACATAAAACTTTAAAATATGCAAACTTATCCCTAGTGAGGGAAAGTGGATCAGCAGTTCCCAGGGAGGGGGTACGTGGAGAGAAACTGGAGGGAGAGATTAGCAAGGGATATGTTGATTGTGATGTTGGTTTCACGGGTATATATGTCAAAATATTAAACTGTACAACTTCAAATATGTGGCTTACTCATGTAAATTATACTTCAATTAAGCTTTTTTTTTTTTAACTATGTAATTTCTGCATTAAGGTATTTTTAAATCTCTTCAAATCTGTGAAAGGGAAGTACCAGAGAAGTCTTTTCTTGACTATGCAATAACATATTTCAATTACATAGAAACTAAAATCAGCATCATTAAGTCTTTGTCAAAGTTTCAGAATGTAGGTTTAACTAGAGTTGGTTTTTTAAAAATGTATCAGATTACTCTTCAGACACATAACCAATTGTTTCTGCCTATAGAGAACTCAGGTCTAATATTTACTTTTGTTCTTTTAAAGGTATTGGATCAATGATTAAGGAAGAAAGCCAAACAGGATTAAAAAAAAAAAAAACTCCCTTCAAACTGACATATTGTGTAAAATAACACAAAACATCACAGATGTATGTTAGCATTTTGAAAATACAACAAGAAAAATGTCCAGGACCAGATGGATTCACAGCTAAATCCTAACAGACATTTAAAGAAGAATTGGTCTCCCTCTCCCTCTCCCTCTCCTCTTTCCACGGTCTCCGTCTGATGCCGAGCCGAAGCTGGACTGTGCTGCTGCCATCTCGGCTCACTGCAGCCTCCCTGCCTGATTCTCCTGCCTCAGCCTGCCGAGTGCCTGCGATTGCAGGCGCGCGCCCCCACGCCTGACTGGTTTTCGTATTTTTTTGGTGGAGACGGGGTTTCGCTGTGTTGGCCGGGCTGGTCTCCAGCTCCTAACCGCGAGTGATCCGCCAGCCTCGGCCTCCCGAGGTGCCGGGATTGCAGAGGGAGCCTCGTTCACTCAGTGCTCAATGGTGCCCAGGCTGGAGTGCAGTGGTGTGATCTTGGCTGGCTGCAACCACCTCCCAGCCGCCTGCCTTGGCCTCCCAAAGAGCCGAGATTGCAGTCTCTGCCCAGCCGCCACCCTGTCGGGGAAGTGAGGAGTGTCTCTGCGTGGCCGCCCATCGTCTGGGATGTGAGGAGCCCCTCTGCCTGGCTGCCCAGTCTGGAAAGTGAGGAGCGCCTCTTCCCCGCCGCCATCCCATCTAGGAAGTGAGGAGCGTCTCTGCCTGGCCGCCCATCGTCTGAGATGTGGGGAGCGCCTCTGCCCCGCCGCCCCATCTGGGATGTGAGGAGCGTCTCTGCCCAGCCACCCCGTCTGAGAAGTGAGGAGACCCTCTGCCTGGCAACCGCCCCATCTGAGAAGTCAGGAGTCCCTCCACCCGGCAGCCGCTCCATCTGAGAAGTGAGGAGCCCCGTCCAGCAGCCACCCCGTCTGGGAAGTGAGGAGCATCTCCGCCCGGCAGCCACCCCGTCCGGGAGGGAGGTGGGGGGGTCAGCCCCCTGCCCGGCCAGCCGCCCCGTCCGGGAGGTGAGGGGCGCCTCTGCCCGGCCGCCCCTACTGGGAAGTGAGGAGCCCCTCTGCCCGGCCACCACCCACTCTGGGAGGTGTACCCAACAGCTCATTGAGAACGGGCCATGATGACAATGGCGGTTTTGTGGAATAGAGAGGAGGGAAAGGTGGGGAAAAGACTGAGAAATCGGATGGTTGCCGTGTCTGTGTAGAAAGAAGTAGACATGGGAGACTTTTTGTTTTGTTCTGTACTAAGAAAAGTTATTCTGCCTTGGGATCCTGTTGATCTGTGACCTTACCCCCAACCCTGTGCTCTCTGAAACATGTGCTGTGTCCACTCAGGGTTAAATGGATTAAGGGCGGTGCAAGATGTGCTTTGTTAAACAGATGCTTGAAGGCAGCATGCTCGTTGAGAGTCATCACCACTCCCTAATCTTAAGTACCCAGGGACACAAACACTGCGGAAGGCCGCAGGGTCCTCTGCCTAGGAAAGCCAGAGACCTTTGTTCACTTGTTTATCTGCTGACCTTCCCTCCACTATTGTCCTATGACCCTGCCAAATCCCCCTCTGCGAGAAACACCCAAGAATGATCAATAAATAAATAAATAAATAAATAAAGACCTACAAACAAAATAAATAACTACTATTGTCTTAAAAAAATAAAAAATAAAAATAAAATAAAGAAGAATTGGTACCAATCCTATTGACACTATTCCACAAGACAGAGAAAGAGAGAATCCTCCCTAAATCATTCTATAAAGCCAGTATCCTCCTAATACCAAAACCAGGAAACGACCTAACAAAAAAAGAAAACTACAGACCAATATCCCTGATGAACATAGATGCAAAAATCCTTAACAAAATACTAGCTAACCAAACCAACAGCATATCGAAAAGATAAGCCACCATATCAAGTGGGTTTCATACCAGGGATGCAGGGATGGTTTCACATATGCAAGTCAATAAATGTGATATACCACATAAACCAAATTAAAAACAAAAATCACATGATCATCTCAATAGACGCAGAAAAAGCATTTAATAAAATCCAGCATTGCTTTATGATTAAAATCCTCAGCAAAATCGGCATACAAGAGACATACTTCAATGTAATAAAAGCCATCTATGACAAACCTACAGCCAACATAATACTGAACAGAGAAAAGTTGAAAGCTTTCCCTCTGAGAACTGGAATAAGACAAGGATGCCCACTCTCACCACTTCTCTATTCAACATAGTACTGGAAGTCCTAGCCAGAGCAATCAGACAAGAAAGAAATAAAGGGCATCCAAATCTGTAAAGAGGAAGTCAAACTGTCACTGTTTGCTGATGATATGATTATATACGTAGAAAACCCTAAAACTCCTCCAAAAAGCTCCTAGAACTGATAAGTGAATTCAGCAAAGTTTCAAGATACAAAATTAATGTACACAAATCAGTAGTTCTGATATACACCAAAAGCGTATACACCAAAAGTGACCAAGCTGAGAATCAAATCACAAACTCAACCCCTTTTACAATAGATACAAAAACAAAAACAAAACTTAGGAATATACCTAACCAAGAAGGTAAAAGACCTCCACAAGGAAAACTACAAAACACTGCTGAAAGAAATCATAGAGGGGAAGGAGCCAAGATGGCCAAATAGGAACAGCTCCAGTCTACAGCTCCCAGCGTGAGCGACGCAGAAGACAGGTGATTTCTGCATTTCCAACTGAGGTATCGGGTTCGTCTCACTGGGGAGTGTCGGACAGTGGGTGCAGCACACTCAGTGTGAGCCGAAGCAGGGCGAGGCATTGCCTCACCCAGGAAGGGCAAGGGGTTGGGGAATTCCCTTTCCTAATCAAAGAAAGGGGTGACAGACAGCACCTGGAAAATCAGGTCACTCCCACCCTAATACTGCACTTTTCCAATGGTCTTAGCAAACAGCACACACCAGATTATATCCCGCACCAGGCTCGGAAGGTCCTACACCCATGAAGCCTCGCTCATTGCTAGCACAGCAGTCTGAGATCAAACTGCAAGGTGGCAGTGAGGCTGGGGGAGGGGCACCTGCCATTGCCGACGCTTGAGTAGGTAAACAAAGCGTCTGGGAAGCTTGAACTGGTTGGAGCCCACCGTAGCTCAAGGAGGCCTGCCTGCCTCTGTAGACTGCACCTCTGGGGGCAGGGCATAGCCAAACAAAAGGCAGCAGAAACCTCTGCAGACTTAAATGTCCCAGTCTGACAGCTTTGAAGAGAGTAATGGTTCTCCCAGCACACAGCTGGAGATCTGAGAACGGACAGACTGCCTCCTCAAGTGGGTCCCTGATCCCTGAGTAGCCTAACTGGGAGGCACCCCCCAGTAGGGGCAGACTCACACCTCACATGGCCAGGTGCTCCTCTGAGACAAAACTTCCAGAGGAACGATCAGCCAGCAACATTTGCTGTTCACCAATATCCGCTGTTCTGCAGCCTCCGCTGCTGATACCCAGGCAAACAGGGTCTGGAGTGGACCTCCAGCAAACTCCAACAGACCTGCAGCTGAGGATCCTGACTGTTAGAAGGAAAACTAACAGAAAGGACATCCACACCAAAACCCCAACTGTACGTCACCATCATCAAAGATCAAAGGCAGATAAAACCAAAGATGGGGAAAAACAGAGCAGAAAAACTGGAAACTCTAAAAATCAGATTGCCTCTCCTCCTCCAAAGGAACACAGCTCCTCACCAGCAGCGGAACAAAGCTGGACGCAGAATGACTTTGACAAGTTGAGAGAAGAAGGCTTCAGAAGATCAAACTACTACGAGCTAAAGGAGGAAGTTCAAACCCATGGCAAAGAAGTTAAAAACCTTGAAAAAAAATTAGACAAATGGCTAACTAGAATAACAAATGCAGAGAAGTCCTTAAAGGACCTGATGGAGCTGAAAACCACAGCACAAGAACTACGTGACGAATGCACAAGCCTCAGTAGCTGATGCGATCAACTGGAAGAAAGGGTATCAGTGATGGAAGATCAAATGAATGAAATGAAGTGAGAAGAGAAGTTTAGAGAAAAAAGAATAAAAAGAAACGAACAAAGCCTCCAAGAAATATGGGACTATGTGAAAAGACCAAATCTACGTCTGATTGGTGTACCTGAAAGTGACGGGGAGAATGGAACCAAGTTGGAAAACACTCTGCAGGATATTATCCAGGAGAACTTCCCCAATCTAGTAAGGCAGGCCAACATTCAAATTCAGGAAATACAGAGAATGCCACAAAGAGACTCCTTGAGAAGAGCAACTCCAAGACACATAATTGTCAGATTCACCAAAGTTGAAATGAAGGAAAAAATGTTAAGGGCAGCCAGAGAGAAAGGTCAGGTTACCCACAAAGGGAAGCCCATCAGACTAATAGCTGATCTCTCAGCAGAAACTCTACAAGAAGAGAGTGGGGGCCAATATTCAACATTCTTAAAGAAAAGAATTTTCAACCCAGAATTTCATATCCAGCCAAACTAAGTTTCATAAGTGAAGGAGAAATAAAATACTTTACAGACAAGCAAATGCTGAGAGATTTTGTCACCACCAGGCCTGCCCTAAAAGAGCTCCTGCAGGAAGCACTAAATATGGAAAGGAACAACCGGTACCAGCCACTGCAAAAACATGCCAAAATGTAAAGACCATCAAGGCTAGGAAGAAACTGCATCAACTAATGAGCAAAATAACCAGCTAACAACATAATGACAGGATGAAATTCACACATAACAATATTAACCTTAAATGTAAATGGGCTAAATGCTCCAATTAAAAGACACAGACTGGCAAATTGGATAAAGAGTCAAGACCCAACAGTGTGCTGTATTCAGGAAACCCATCTCATGTGCAGAGACACACATAGACTCAAAATAAAGGGATGGAGGAAGATCTACCAAGCAAATGGAAAACAAAAAAAGGCAGGGGATGCAATCCTAGTCTCTGATAAAACAGACTTTAAACCAACAAAGATCAAAAGAGACAAAGAAGGCCATTACATAATGGTAAAGGGATCAATTCAACAAGAAGAGCTAACTATCCTAAATATATATGCACCCAATACAGGAGCACCAAGATTCATAAAGCAAGTCCTTAGAGACCTACAAAGAGACTTAGACTCCCACACAATAATAATGGGAGACTTTAACACCCCACTGTCAACATTAGACAGATCAACGAGACAGAAAGTTAAGAAGGATATCCAGGAATTGAACTCAGCTCTGCACCAAGTGGACCTAATAGACATCTACAGAACTCTCCACCCCAAATCAACAGAATATACATTCTTCTCAGCACCACATCACACCTATTCCAAAATTGACCACATAGTTGGAAGTAAAGCACTGCTTAGCAAATGTAAAACAACAGAAATTATAACAAACTGTCTCTCAGACCACAGTGCAATCAAACTAGAACTCAGGATTAAGAAACTCACTCAAAACAGCTCAACTACATGGAAACTGAAAAACCTGCTCCTGAATGACTACTGGGTACATAACGAAATGAAGGCAGAAATAAAGATGTTCTGTGAAACCAACGAGAACAAAGACACAACGTACCACAATCTCTGGGACACATTTAAAGCAGTGTGTAGAGGGAAATTTATAGCACTAAATGCCCACAAGAGAAAGCAGGAAAGATCTAAAATTGACACCCTAACATCACAATTAAAAGAACTAGAGAAGCAAGAGCAAACACATTCAAAAGCTAGCAGAAGGCAAGAAATAACTAAGATCAGAGCAGAACTGAAGGAAATAGAGACACAAAAAACCCTTCAAAAGAATCAATGAATCCAGGAGCTGGTTTTTTGAAAGGATCAACAAAATTGATAGACCGCTAGCAAGACTAATAAAGAAAAGAGAGAAGAATCAAATAGATGCAATAGAAAATGATAAAGGGGATATCACCACCGATCCCACAGAAATACAAACTACCATCAGAGAATACTATAAACATCTCTACGCAAATAAACTAGAAAATCTAGAAGAAATGGATAAATTCCTTGACACATATGCCCTCCCAAGACTAAACCAGGAAGAAGTTGAATCTCTGAATAGACCAATAACAGGCTCTGAAATTGAGGCAATAATTAATAGATTTCAAACCAAAAAAAGTCCAGGACCAGATGGATTCACAGCTGTATTCTACCAGAGGTACAAGGAGGAGCTGGTACCATTCCTTCTGAAACTATTCCAATCAATAGAAAAAGAGGCAATCCTCCCTAACTTATTTTATGAGGCCAGCATCATCCTGATACCAAAACCTGGCAGAGACACAACAAAAAAAAGAGAATTTTAGACCAATATCCCTGATGAACATCGATGCAAAAATCGTCAATAAAATACTGGCAAACCGAATCCAGCAGCACATCAAAAAGCTTATCCACCATGATCAAGTGGGCTTCATCCCTGGGATGCAAGGCTGGTTCAACATATGCAAATCAATAAACATAATCCAGCCAATGACAAAAACCACATGATTATCTCAATAGATGCAGAAAAGGCCTTTGACAAAATTCAACAACCTTCATGCTAAAAGCTCTCAATGATTTAGGTATTGATGGGACGTATCTCAAAATAATAAGAGCTATCTATGACAAACCCACAGCAAATATCATACTGAATGGGCAAAAACTGGAAGCATTCCCTTTGAAAACTGGCACAAGACAGGGATGCCCTCTCTCACCACTCCTATTCAACATACTGTTGGAAGTTCTGGCCAGGGCAATGAGGCAGGAGAAGGAAATAAAGGGTATTCAATTAGGAAAGGAGGAAGTCAAATTGTCCCTGTTTGCAGATGACATGATTGTATATCTAGAAAACCCCACTGTCTCAGCCCAAAATCTCCTTAAGCTGATAGGCAACTTCAGCAAAGTCTCAGGATACAAAATCAATGTGCAAAAATCACCAGCATTCTTATACACCAATAACAGACAAACAGAGAGCCAGATCTTGAGTGAACTCCCATTCACAATTGCTTCAAAGAGAATAAAATACCTAGGAATCCAACTTACAAGGATTGTGAAGGACCTCTTCAAGGAGAACTACAAACCACTGCTCAATGAAATAAAAGAGGATACAAACAAATGGAAGAACACTCCATGCTCATGGGTAGGAAGAATCAATATCATGAAAATGGCCATACTGTCCAAGGTAATTTAGAGATTCAATGCCATCCCCATCAAGCTACCAATGACTTTCTTCACAGAATTGGAAAAAACTACTTTAAAGTTCATATGGAACCAAAAAAGAGCCTGCATCGCCAAGTCAATCCTAAGCCAAAAGAACAAAGCTGGAGGCATCACACTACCTGACTTCAAACTATATTACAAGGCTACAGTAACCAAAACAGCATGGTACTGGTACCAAAACAGAGATATAGACCAATGGAACAGAACACAGCCCTCAGAAATAATGCTGCATATCTACAACTATCTGATCTTTGACAAACCTGACAAAAACAAGCAATGGGGAAAGGATTCCCTATTTAATGAATGGTGCTGGGAAAACTGGCTAGCCATATGGAGAAAGCTGAAACTGCATCCCTTCCTTACACCTTATACAAAAATTAATTCAAGATGGATTAAAGACTTAAATGTTAGACCTAAAACCATAAAAACCCTAGAAGAAAACCTAGGCAATCCATTCAGGACATAGGCATGGGCAAGGACTTCATGTCTAAAACACCAAAAGCAATGGCAACAAAAGCCAAAATTGACAAATGGGATTTAATTAAACTAAAGAGCTTCTGCACAGCAAAAGAAACTACCGTCAGAGTGAACAGGCAACCTACAGAATGGGAGAACATTTTTGCAATCTACTCATCTGACAAAGGGCTAATATCCAGAATCTACAATGAACTCAAATTTACAAGAAAAAAAACAAAAAACCCCATCAAAAAGTGGCAAAGGATATGAACAGACCCTTCTCAAAAGAAGACATTTATGCAGCCAAAAGACACATGAAAAAATGCTCATCATCACTGGCCATCAGAGAAATGCAATCAAAACCACAATGAGATACCATCTCACACCAGTTAGAACGGCAATCATTAAAAAGTCAGGAAACAACAGGTGCTGGAGAGGATGTGGAGAAATAGGAACACTTTTACACTGTTGGTGGGACTGTAAACTAGTTCAACCATTGTGGAAGTCAGTGTGGCGATTCCTCAGGGATCTAGAACTAGAAATACCATTTGACCCAGCCATCCCATTACTGGGTATGTACCCAGAGGATTATAAATCATGCTGCTATAAAGACACATGCACATGTATGTTTATTGTGGCACTATTCACAATAGCAAAGACTTGTAGCCAAGCCAAATGTCCAACAATGATAGACTGGATTAAGAAAATGTGGAACATATACACCATGGAATACTATACAGCCATAAAAAAGGATGAGTTCATGTCCTTTGTAGGGACATGGATGAAGCTGGAAACCATCATTCTCAGCAAACTATCACAAGGACAAAAAACCAAACACCACATGTTCTCACTCACAGGTGGGAATTGAACAATGATAACACATGGACACAGGAAGGGGAACATCACACACTGGGGCCTGTTGTGGGGTTGGGGGAAGTGGGAGGGATAGCATTAGGAGATATGCCTAATGTTAAATGACAAGTTAATGGGTGCAGCACACCAACACGGCACATGTATACCTATGTAACGAACCTACACATTGTGCACATGTACCCTAAAACTTAAAGTATATTAAAAAAAAGGAATCATAGATGACATAAACAAATGGAAACACACACCATGTTCATGGATGGGTAGAATCAGTATTGTGAAAATGACCATACTGTCAAGAGCAATCTACAAATTCAATGCAATTCCCATCAAAATAACACCATCATTCTTCACAGAACTAGAAAAAAATCCTAAAATTCTTATAGAACCAAAAAAGAGCCCACATAGCCAAAGCAAAACTAAGCAAAAAGAACAAATCTGGAGGCATCACATTATCTGACTTCAAACTATACTATAAAGCCATAGTCACCAAAACAGCATGGTACTGGTATAAAAATAGGCACATAGACCAATGGAACAGAATAGAGAACCCAGGTATAAACCCAAATACTTACAGCCAACTGATAGTCAATAAAGGAAACAAAAACATAAAGTGGGGAAAGGACACCCTATTTAACAAATGGTTCTGGGATAACTGGCAAGCCACATGTAGAAGAATGAAACTGGATCCTCATCTCTCACCTTACACAAAAATCAACTCAAGATGGATCAAGGACTTAAATCTAGGACCTGAAACTATAAAAATGCTAGAAGATAACATTGGAAAAGCCCTTCTAGACATTGGCTTAGGTAAAGACTTCATCACCAAGAATGCAAAAGCACATGCAACAAAAACAAAGATAAATAGGTGGGACTTAATTAAACTAAAGAGCTTTTGCAAGGCAAAAGGAACAGTCAGCAGGGTAAACAGACAACCCACAGAGTAGGAGAAAATCTTCACAGTCTATACATCTGACAAAGGACTAATATCCAGAATCTACAGCAAACTCAAACAAATTAGCAAGAAGAAAACAAACAATCCCATCAAAAAGTAGGCTAAGGACATGAATGGACAATTCCCAAAAGAAGATGTACAAATGGCCAAAAAACATATGAAAAAATCCTCAACATTACTAATGATCAGGGAAATGAAAATCAAAACCACAATGCGATACCACCTTACTCCCGCAAGAATGGCCATAATCAAAAAAATTTAAAAATAATAGATATTGGCTTGTATGTGGTGAAAAGGGAACACTTCTACACTGCTGATGGGAACGTAAACTAGCCCAACCACTACGGAAAACAGCATGGGGGTTCCTTAAAGAACTAAAAGTAGAACTACCATTTGATCCAGCAACCCCACTACCGGGTATCTACCCAGAGACAAAGAAGTCATTATATGAAAAAGATACTTACACGTAAATATTTACAGCAGCACAATTCGCGATTGCAAAAATGTGGAACCAACCCAAATGTGCATCAATCAACAAGTGGATAAAGAAACTGTGGTATAGGGCCGGGTGTGGTGGCTCACGCCTGTAATCCCAGCACTTTGGGAGGCTGGGGTGGGTGGATCACTTGAGGTCAGGAGTTCGAGACCAGCCTGGCCAACATGGTGAAACCCCGTCTCAACTAAAAATACAAAAATTAGCCGGGCATGGTGGCAGGCACCTGTAATCCCAGCTACTCGGGAGGCTGAGGTGGGACAATCATTTGAACTCAGGAGGCAGAGGTTGCAGTGAGCCGAGATGGCGCCACTGCACTCCAGAGCCTGGGCAACAGAGTGAGAATCAGAAGAAAGAAAAGAAAGAGAAAAAAGAAACTGTGGAACATATATATATATACACATATATATATATATATATACACACACACACACATATATATATATATATATATATATATATATATATATATATATATATATGATGGAATACTACTCAGCTATAAAAAGGGATGAATTAATGGTATTCGCAGCAACCTGGATGGAATTGGAGACTATTATTCTAAATGAAGTAACTCAGGAGTGGAAAACCAAACATTATGTTCTCACTCATAAGTGGGAGCCAAACTATGAGGATGCAAAGGCCTAAGAATGACACAGTGGACTTTGGGGACTCAGGGGAAAAGGATGGGAAGTGGGTGAGAAATAAAAAACTACAAATTGGGTTCCGTGTATACTGCTCAAGTGATGGGTGCACCAAAATCTCATAAATCACCACTAAAGAATTTACTCATGTAACCAAATACCAGCCATTCCCCAAAAACCTATGGAAATAAAAAAAAATAAAAAAGAAAATACAACAAAAAGTGCTTCCTAATTGGGATTACTCATTTTCCGGTAATGATTCTGACAAGGAGTTTCTAGAAAGTGCTTTGCTCTTTGGTTCCAGACACGAGATACAGCGGCATTTCTGCTTTCCCCCTGCACCGGCCGTGAGAAGGAGATCTGTGCCTTGCCTTGCCAGTTATTTTCAGCAGCAATGCAACAGAATGACTCGCAAATCTCGAGAGTGGCCAGGAGGTGATGAAACTTGTTGTGATGGGAAAGGGCGCATTGCCCATCGTGGTGGAGTGGGGGCCCTGACCTTGCTTCCTGGCACCAGCAGGCTGCTGCTCCTGCTGAAAGCTGCCCAAAATCTCCAAGGTCAGAGATGCCTGACATAAACCAGGCCAGAGCATCGTCAGCACAACAGACCGGACTCAAGGTTCTGGAATGTGTGAAATATTAAGAAAGGCTTGACCATGCCTCCCTGCCCCAGTCCTTCATTCAAAGGCTAAAGGCAAGCCAGAGTCGCTTTAATGGAGAGAGGTTCTCCCCAAGAAGGGCTGGATTGCAAAACTCGTCCCACGCCCTGAGTTCTGTCGCAATCGCCCCCTCGGCTTTCCTCCTCCGTTTCAAGATATGTGCAAAAGCTTCAGTTAGCAGAAAAACAAGCAGCATTGTCACCACTATGGTTTAGAAAACACTTTTAGGTCTTTACCTCATTATCCTCTCACAACATCCCTGTCAAGCAGATGTAGGGAAACCACTTCAAGTAAGAGGGAAACATCTTGTGCCTTGTCTTCTGATGGACTGAGAGTAAATCTCTGTAAAACATAACCTAATGAAGGCCATGCATTAGGCAGAACCTGTGCAATCACAAAGGTGCACAGAGATGGGAAAAGTTGGGGAAAAGCTGCAAAGTCTCAGCAAATTCTTCCATTGAAATGATCCACTTAAAAAACTTCACCTACACAGTTTTTCTTTAACCAAACACATAATAAAATACATTGTCCTGAAAGGCTGACACTGCAAAGAGTAATTCTTAGGCGTATTCCCTCATCTTCTAATATTTTCTTAGGTGGAACAAAAAAAGGGCAGCTGAGTCCTTCTGGGTCCTTCTAAGTGACACACCCAGAAACGTTTGCTTTTACAGCATTTTCGAACCAGGAATTTGGCTCATTTGAATGCTCCCTACTTTGTTTCAGCCCTCATCACCATTTTAAAACAGGAAGGAAAGAAGAAAACTTACTGGCATGTTTAGTTTTAGTCATTTCATTATTTTCCCTTCAGTGTGAACTGCTGTCATGTTGAAAAATAAGGGGCTCCTCCCTCGATTCTCCCAGGAAAATGGTTCTTTGTAAGGAGAAATCATGCTCAGCTGTACCATGTTATCAAGTGGTTTGTTGTTATTTTTAAGCCCAGAAAACTACTTCATCAAGGATGGAAGTAGTTAACGCTGAGCAGTAAAGAAGTCACGCGGCCAATGATAAATCAGAACATTTGTGTGGGAGACTAGAAGGAACCTCACCACTGGTACGGTTTCCCCGCTTTTGATTTTTAAAGACAGGATGTAAAGTTCTGTGTAACTGTTGGATGCGGCACCTACTTCATTATGTACACGCAGCACATGTTAGTAACAACAATATTAGGCACACGAGGAAGAGGATTTTTTTCTAAAAGAATTCAAGGAACACATTAGGGGCGGTGGGATAGATCACCTGGGGATTGGCACTAGTTTACCACCACTCACAGCAACATCCACCATCTAGCTAACCTTTCTTTACTGACCTACTCCAGGCACACAGACACCTGCAGAACCAGTAAGAAATACCCACAGGCTACTTCAGCACTGACTTTGACCATAATCACTTATGTGCATTTCCCCAAAGAGACTGCACTGCTGGCTCGGCTTCCAGTGCAATTTCTAAGAATTTCACTTAATTTTTTTACACTTAAATTTTATTTTATTTTTTAGAGAGGGGGGTCTCACTATGTTGCCCAGGCTGGATTCAAACTCCTTGACTCAAGCGATCCTCCCGCCTCAGCCTCCCGAGTAGCTGGAATTACAGGAACATACTACCGTGCCCGGCTGAGCTTCACTTAAAGTTCATCTTAGGCAAGCCAGCATCATTATTATCTTAATTCACTGAATTTAACGATTTCAACCGTGAGCATTTTAGCCTTTCTCCAATGTGTCCGTAAGCATTAACTTCAAACCCAAAGTCCTCAAAGATAAAATCACCTGTGAGGCAATAACATTCCAAACCGACAAACAATGAAAACGGTGAGTGTTCACCAGACGTGCCTGCTGGGTATGCAGTACGTTAGTGTGACAGCGCAATTTTTAAAAGTTCTGTCAGCTGTGTTCCCGCACTGGGGCCTCCTCCCCACAACCCTGTCATGTAGACGTGAGGAAAGTGTGCCTCAGACGGGCTAAGTGACTCGCCTGTGATCACACAGCTTGGTGGTGGGAGATGTCAGGCTGTAGGACAACTCTTCTGTCTCCTCTTCCGAAGCACGTCAGCCACCCACCCAACCTGGATGGAGTTCCCACCCACTTGCCGTTCTCTGCAGCCTGGCCCCACCTGCCTCCCCTTTTCCGGCTACCTCAGGATTTTAACTCAAATACCACGTGCCACCGTGGGTGGAACACATCAACAGAGGAAGACCAGTTACGGAGCTTAATTAAGACAAGTTCTAACAAAAAGCAGGCTGCTTTTCGTAAGGCCATTACCCCTATTTGAATGCTATTCACTGTTGTGTAAGACGAAGGTAGAAAGTGTAGCCCCTCAGCATGAAGTTCTTTTTCCAAGGCCCCAGTCTCGGCCCTGCCTAGTCTCCTGGCTGAACTTGTGGTAAGAATAAAATAATGGTGTGGAAATGTTCTGGAAATGCCGAAGGGCCCTGCAAGCATGGCATCTCCTCCACTGGGAACCTAGGAAGGAGACAGGAACAAGAGAAATAAGAAACCTGAAAGGAAGGTCTGGAGATTCTAGGGAGCAGCCCCAAGGGGCCCATAAGGAATGGAAACCCAAAGAAAGAAACTCAAAATAGCAACAGTCTGCAGCTCTCGAGGGCTGGGCGCCTGGGATTCCAGCCCTCCCGTGCAGGAGTCTCTGACACGAGCTCAGTCTTCCTCAGCTGACTCCAAGTTACCTCCGATGCCAAGGAACAAGCCTCCTAACAGCCAATTGATGGCGAAACTTTTGTTTAAAAGCTGAAGGAAAGAAAATTCCCCCAAAGCTATACACAAAAGGTACTTTTTGAACTGAAAGTTATTCTGTTCCTGGAGATGTAGAAAACAGAAAACTGGCTCTGGAAGATGTAAGCCCTCATTTTCTTTCCCCCGATCCCTGCAGCCTTACATGTTCTGTTCTGGGTTTTTTTGTTTGTTTTGTTTTTGACTCTGTCATCCACGCCTCAGTGCAGTACTGCAATCATGGCTCACTGCAGCCTTCAACTCCCAGGCTCAAGCAATCCTCCCGCCTCAGCCTCTCCAGTAGCTGGGACTACAGGCACGTAGCACCATACCCAGCTAGTTTATTCTATTTTTTGTAAAGACAAGGTCTCACTATGTTAATCAGGCTGGTCTTGAACTCCTGGGTTCAAGCGATCCTCTTGCCTCAGCCTCCCAAAGTGCTGGAATTATAAGCATGAGCCACCACGCCCAGCCAAATGTTCTGTGTGTGTGTGTGTTTTAAGCCACATTTCCTGGCTGAGGTTACTCCCTAATAAGACAAATTTTCTGCCAACTGAACAACCATCTGCTCCCCTCGGAACCTGAGGAGGATTAGAGGTGTCCTGAACTCCACGGAACTCAACACCTGCTGCAAATTCCTGGCAGGCCTTATCTCAGCAGCACAGGCTCTGTGTGTTGGCCCCACCCAGATCCCTCCCCCGACTGGTAAGATCTTTTTAGAAAAAGAGCTAATAGGAAAAATTCCACCAAGATACAACACAGGCCTCGAGGGGCTGAGGGGGGAGGTGGCCAGATGCTGATAAGCCCAAGTCAGTGTGTGGTGTCAGAAAGAGAAAACTCTGGGCCCTACAGAAACTCAGCCCTGAGTTGGGAGGCAAAGTGAACTCAGAGGGAATAATCCTGCCTCACCTCTGGGGTCCTTGGATGTCTTCACCAACAATGCAGGCTATCTGTGGACCAGACACCTCCCAAAGCCCCCAATACTAAAACCATCAGGCTGAGCAGGAGGTGATGGGACAATTTGGAAGCATGAAAGAAAACAACGCCAGTCCAATAAAGAGAAGAAACACGGTGCTGTTTTCTACCAGCCGTACGTCCAAACACTACCAATGGGTATTGGAGGCTGTAAGAAATGTCAGGCCCTTCCCTCCTGCCATTCCACCCTGACAGGGAGGCTGGCAATGCAGCACCCGCTGCGGTAGGCATCACACATGCACCCTCAGGGTGCTCAGCCCGGCTGTGGATTGAGACCTCCAGGGGCTGCCAGGTGTGGAGCGGGAGGAGTGCGAGGCTTGAAAATAACAGGCCTGGGTTTGAAGGCAGGCTCTGCTGCTTCCTAACTACTTGCCCTCCTGTAAAATGGGGGTAGTGACCCCAGAGGGTTGCTATAAGAATGGAAAACAATGAACATGGCAGGGCTCGTCACATTCTCACGATGCACTTTAAGGAAATATTCCCACTGCGGTCAGCCTCAATCCCACGGATGTCAACCTGCCCAGTGCCTCAAAGAATTCCAAGTCACTCCGATTCCATGTCTCCACATATCTGTCCCTAAAACCAGCCCATGACCAAGGCAGAACCTCTGCACTTTTACAGCAGCTCCGGAGAGTCCAGATTCAGAGGCTGCGTCCACCACACTGACGGGCGATCGCTGGGAATGTCCCAAGGGCTGGGGGGGTGGCAGGATCTACCAGACTGTTCAAGCTGCCAAGGGTTTTTAGGATTAATTGGGAAAATTCCCCAATACAATGAAATTTTTAAGAGATTTGGCTTTATTAATGTAGAAGTATAAAGTAAAACAATTACCTCAGGAGGGGAAAACCACCCTTAGACCCACCTTGGGAACTAGGACTGAATGGTAAATGCCTAGCATGCAGCTAGGTGTTATTTAGAGTCCACAGGTCCCTTCTGTGTCCTCTCCTTATCTCCCAGGGGATGGTGCCCCTTTCCTTCTCCTCTTCCTCAGATTCTATTGAGCCACCCTTAGGAATTTACAGAGGGAAGACAAATCATGTTTTGTTGAAGCAATCCTGTGCCCGGAGGATCCAGAGCCCTCCTCACATCTAGTACCTGTGCACTAGAGAGAGACACAGAGAGAGAAGACATCCCAATTTTAAATTCCTAAGTGATGGTGAATCTTTATAGGTGTTAAGAATTATTATTGCGGGCCAGGTGCAATGGCTCACGCCTATAATCCCAGCACTTTGGGAGGCCGAGGCAGGCGGGTCACTTGAGGTCAGGAGTTCGAGAGCAGTCTGGCCAACATGGTGAAACCCTGTGTCTACTAAAAATACAAAAATTAGCTGGGCGTGGTGGTACAGGCCTGTAATCTCAGCTACTCAGCAGGCTGAGGCAGGAGAATCGCTTGAACCCAGGAGGTGGAGGTTGCAGTGAGCCGAGATGGTGCCGCTGCGCTCCAGCCTGGGCAATAGAGCGAGACCCTGTCTCAAAAAAGAAAAAACGAATTTTTGCACAATTACTTACACACAAAACTAGTATCACAACCATTAGGGCATGGGCTTTAAATTCTTTTTCTGGAAGCCTGCTTTTAACACCATTCCCCTGTGACAAGTTTCATGTTGGCAGCTGAGCTCGGGAACATACATGTGGAAGTCCTGAAGCGGTCGAGCTCACTGGTCCATGCAGTATGTCCGATAACTCTCGCCTCTCTAATAACAACTTTAAGCGTTCAATCTGCCAGTGCTTCATTAAAATAAGCCAACAAACTGTATAGTGTGAAAAATGACATAGTTCATGCGTCATAGGCAAATGACCCACAGTAGAGAGGGTTAAGGGCACATGCAGGCACATGCATGCACACGCGCGAATGCACACAGAAATGCATTCTCAACACTTCTATATGAGAATTGCCTTTTATGAAAGAAGGTGTAAATGCTCTTAGTAGTTGAGTACTGTGCAACCTACCGAAAGCACACACTAAGACAAACAAACAGGCACATTCTGCATTGCTATAGAGACAGAGGGCAGTCCGCAAAGCCCTGGATTAGCAGGCGGCTCAGTGGCTACCCTCACGTGATCACAAGCAACTTAGGGAATGGCTCATCTCAGTTTCCTCCTTGGTAAAATGGAGACAATACTATTCAACCCGAAGGGCTGTTGCAGAAACTAAATAAACTAATGTATGGAATGGAAAGCCCTAACATGGGGCCTGGCACATAGAAGGTACTTTATAGTATCAGAAAAGTGATTACTTAAAATGCCCACTTATATAAAAACCCCTTCTGTTCCTGGTTGCACATAACAATATTCAAATTCACAATCTGGAATCTAAGGCTTTTCATACATGTAAACAGGGCACCGTCTAATCCTTCTGACAAGGCACCTGCGGCCTGTAGTCAGTCTCTACAGCTAAGGAGGCTGTCAGGGCCCAGTGACATGGCTGGGCGCAGAAGCCCTCCTCCTGTTATTTAAATGAGTACCTCCATCACACCCCATTTCCCAGCGGTTTCACCCTCAGTCTCGGAGCACTCTCTCTATGGCTACTTTACTTCTGTCCCCAGATAGGCAGAATGCTCTCTCTCTGTGTTTCGAGACAGGATCTCACTCTATCACCCAGGCTGGAGCGCAGTGACGTGATCATAGCTCACTGCAGCCTCGAACTCCTGGGCTCAAGCAATCCTTCTATCTCAGCCTCCCGAGTAGCTGGGACTACAGGTATGCACCACCATGCCCTGCTATTTTTTTTTTTTATAGTGATAGGGTCACACTATGTTGCCCAGGCTAATTTCAAACTCTTGGGCTCAAGTGATCCTCCCGCCTCAGCCTCCCAAAATGTTGGGATTACAGGCAAGAGCCATCCTGCCTGGCCCCGATCTCTCTCTAAGTAATTCTTTACCTGCTTGGCTACTATTCAGCTCCTTTTTTTTTTTTTTTCCATCAGAGCCTTTTTCCCATGATATCATTTTCTGTATAACTAAGTTTCTTCATGACTCACTCCCTCAATCTCACACAAATTACAATGCCTGCACCCCACTGACCTGAATGGCCTCTTTCTGCAGAAACAATTGCTTCCTGCTCACTAACCCATGGCCTTTCTGGAGCCTGAAGCCTCCAGGACTTCTCCTGAGTCTCTAAGATGGGGTTTCCTCCACCAATATCTTTGCTTCACTCTCTCTCCTTGCCCAGCTCTTCCTCTTCCTTCCCCTCCACTGTCCCTAAGAACTCAGCTCTGCTCAACCATGTCAAGGCCTCAGTGATGCCAACCTGTCCGTCACTCTCAACTGCAGAAATGCGTTTCTATCTCCAGCATCTCGGCCAACCTCCAGCCCTGTACTTCCAACACTGCTCACAAATTATCCCTCAGTCACTCTAGAGTGAGTTTCTGAAGAACGTTTTTTTCCAGCCTGGGTAACATAGTGAGACCCCATCCCTAAAAAAATAAAAATAAAAAACTAGCAGGATGCAGTGACTTCTGCTTGTAATCCCAGCTACTCAGGAGGCTGAGGTAGGAGGATCGCTTGAGCCGAACAGTTAGAGGTTGCAGTGAACTATGATGGTGCCACTGCACCCCAGCCTGGGTGACACAGTGAGACCCTGTCTCTAAAAAACAATAATAATAAAAAAGAACCTCAGGTTTCCTTCCACAGGTCCCAGGTGACTCAGGCTTCTGGATTCCTCAGAAAACACTGAACAATTCCATGTGAAACAGCCATTCCTCCTTGTTAAGTATAAAAAGAAGGCTCCTTCCTTTGTCTTCATTCATCCACCAATTCTCAAAACTTAGGGGCCAGACATGGTGGCTCATGCTTGTAATCCTAGCACTTTGGCAGGCTGAGGCGGGCGGATTGCCTGAGCTCAAGTTCGAGACCAGCCTTACCAACATGTTGAAACCCTATCTCTACTAAAAATACAAAAAAAAAAAAAAAAAAAATTAGCTGGGCATGGTGGCACACACCTGTAGTCCCAGCTACTCGGGAGGCTGAGGAATGAGAGTTGCTTGAACCCAGGAGGCAGTTGTTGCAGTGAGCCAAGATCACGCCACTGCACCCCACCTTGGGTGACATGGTAAGACTCTGTCTCAAAACAAAACAAACAAAAAACAAAAAACAAAAAAGAAATCTTAGGAAGCATTCCTCAGTTGAAAAATAAGATAAACCATTCTGTTCCATCCCTAAAGAAACTGAAAAAAGTCAAGACTGAATTTACTGCTGAAGCTAATGTCAAGATTTTCAGGTTCATCAACTCAGTCTTTGTTTCTTAAACTTCACACTTACAGTGCAGTACTTAAAATGTAAAAATGCACTTGTATTGTTTATATGGTTATTATTGAAATAAAACATCCAGGTCACTTATTTTGGCTTTGTTTAATAAAACAACAGAAACATCTGTCATTTTTTATAATAATTCTGTTGTCCTACTCACTGGGTGGCAAAAATGCACTCCCACTGCCTTGCATTGACCTGCCAATCTGGAGGCGATTCACTCCCCACTGACAGCCAAGTTTCACTGAGTTTTGGTCAAATAGAACAATTAAATCATCCTTTGGTTTTCCAAGCAGCTAAAATAATTTGAGAAAATAAAAACAAGCCATCTTTTAAACAAAAATGCATTACCTCCCAAAATGAAAAATTCATTTATCTCCGAATTGTCACCAGTAAGTTTTAAGGTTATAGCAAGCCACACCATGCAGTTCTTGTATAAGATGAATAAAATATTCCTGACTAATAACTCAATTCTAATTTTAAACAAATGCATTCAAACTGAGTTGAATACTTAGTTTGTATCACTCCCACAGTGTAAAAACCTTGCTTGGTTCTGATGTCGTTGACTGCTGGCCATAGACGATGAGGTCTCAATCTTACTAAGAGATTAAGGTTGGATGACAGTACCTTATCTCTCTGACAATGTATCCAACTCAAAGAGATAGCCTAGCTGGGCATTCAATTTCAGCGTTTTCCACTGTATATTAGGAAATGGGGACCTCGTCTAAGTTTCTGTTTGTTTTACTTTGTTTTTGCCGAGCAGGAATTAGCTGAACCCTGTTGGCAGCTCCTCCAGAAGCCCACGTGGGGTGGACCCAGCGACCACTTCCCATAAGACTACAGGCTCATCTACTGTTCTCTGGAATAAGGTTTCCTGGAGTACAAGTTCCAGTCTGTCCCTTGGTTTTGCCAAAGACAGATCCGCCTACTGACTATTCTCTGCTGTAATGACAACTGTGCTCTAAGACAAACAACTTATTCTTAGTGGAAAACAATTAATTTCAGCCATCACATGTGTTCCTCAACAGCCATTTATTCACACTGGCCCATCTTCCGGTATCAGACTGATACAAAACCCCCAAAGACTTGCCTGATGACAATTGAATGAGTGTCATGTATTTAACGGCATTTGTACTTTATTGCATTGCTTCCTGTTTTTTTTTTTTTTTAAGATGGGGAAATCTTTATAAGCAAAAAGATGATTAATTCTTCCCCCTGTCTTTAACGGCCATTCTCTCCCACAATCTCTAGAGAATCTCCAAATCTAAGTTGCGGGGAGGGATGCTGGGGAGCCACACTTTTAAGCAAAGTGTTCCTGAGGTTTTAGCTTAGACATCTACAAAACTGGAAGATTCCGTTTTATGGGGACATACGGACAGAACTCACTCGTTTTAGAACACTACTTAGCCAAACCTCTCAGCGAATCCTATACGGAATAGTCTTTAGCAGTATACATTTTGGAATCTTCTGTGTGCCCCAGAACACACAATATGGATCCAATTAGATTCAGCTGCCTTATGTTACAAACAAACATTGAAAGGGAGAAAACAGAAGTGGGAGTGGGAGCTTTGTTCATCCTCTCCTACGCCCCCGCGACCCCACACTCCCGAGGCGCGCGCATCCTCCCCACTCACTCGGGCAGCACCCACTCCCTAAATAGCCCAGCGTGGCCGGTGCCCCGCGAGCGCTCGGAGCGCTTTTCCGCTGCGGGCTTTTCACCGGATCTGGAAGGGATTTACCGGAGGGACTGGAGCCCAGCGCAGCAACCCCACCCCACCCCCACCGCCCCGGCCCGGGCGCGCCCCGCCCGCTCCCCGGCTCCAGGACTTACACCAGCGCCGACGGACAGGGCATCTGGTTCCAGGCACAGTTGTACTGAGCCTGAATAAAACTCTCACTTCCCTCCAGCACGGAGCAGCTCACATTCTTGTTCACGATGTAGGCGCACCAGTTCCTGGGGTGCAGGAGAGAGAGGGAGAGGGGCACGGGGTAAACCCGGAGAACAATGAGGCCAGGGGAGAGGGGACTGCGGCACCAGACCGAGCGAGGGTCGGGGGGGCCCGTCGCCCTCTGCGGAGGCGGGAGCTTCACCGAGCAGACGCCGGAGGGTGCCCGGGTGCGCCTCTGGAGAGCGCGCGCCTGGACCCGACCAAGACGGGAAAGAAAAGCACCCATGGTCCCAGGGGCTCATGGAATTCCTGGGAGTCGTTTTCGGATCGCCCGGGTCTGCGGGACGCTCTCTGCGCCCACGCCCCCGGAGTCAGCTCTGCCTGAGGCGCCGGCTGCGGAGCGCGCGGTCCCCCGCAGAGGGAGCCGCCCGGGGAAGTCCAAGGGAGGCCCCCGGCTGCCGCTCGTCGTCTTTGGCAGGGCAGCTCTGGGGCTCAACTGGGGGCCGGGGAGGGGTAGGCGGTTTGGGGCCAGCCAAGGGGCGCGCACTTACTTGTTCCTGGCGCTGGGCCGCGCGGGATACCCGGGCTGCGGGCCGGCGTGGCACAGCCCCGCGCCAACCAGGGCCAGCAGCGCCAGCGCCCAGCGCCAGGGCACGCGGGGCCAGGGCCGTCTGGGCTGCCACATCCCGCGCGCAGCGGGCGCGCCCCGCCTGCCCGGGTCCGGAGCGCGGCGGATCGGGGCACCGGCCACAAGGCTGCCGGCGGCCAGGGCGCCGCCCGCGAAGGCAAGAGGCTCGGGCGCTTCGCGGCGCTCCAACCAGTGCTCCGCGGCCGCCCCCTCCGGCTTCTCGTTCCTACTTCTCCTTCTGCAGCCCCGTGCGCCCTGCGCTTCTCCCCGGTCCCTCAATGACGCACAGGTCCCCCCGGGTGCCGCCCTCTTTATTTCACTTCCCTCTCCGAAACGTGACTCTCCCCCCACCAAGTCTCCCCGTCTCCAGTCCCTTCGCTTCTCGGCAGGGGGCTCGGGGTGGAGGGGCGAAAGGGTTTGGGATAAGGGTCTACGTTACAGCATTTCCAATGACTCATTCCTTTGGTCTCTTCCCAGATGCCGAGCGACTCCGCCTCCCACCTTCCGACAGGCTCGCTCCCGGCCCCCCGGGACGCGGCCGCCGTCGGCGAGTCTGGCCGTCCTCGCGTCGTGCCTGGGTGCCAGCCTCCCGGGGCGAATGAGGGACATGTTTATCAGTCCCGCGGGGAGAGGAGTGGGGGCTCGACTCGAATTTCCTCCTCGGGCAAGACAGGGCCGTTCCCCCACCAGCTCCATGGACCTAGAGAGTCCAGGAGGAAACGAACGCTGGTTCTTTCTTTGCCCAACTCTGCCTTAGGCACCATCTGACAGTTTCCGAGGCCACGCGGGGGGCGGCAGGACAGGACAAGCCACAGCCCCGCCAATTCCCAGAGGCTGCTGCAGCTCAGCGTCCGGCTCTATCACTTACTGCAATTCTCCTCCAATTCTTGAAAGGTGATCTCACAGCCTCTGCTTCTGAGGTCCCACTGTGAACTTTCTTTTTCTATTGAAACTAAGGCATTTACTCACGTTTGCTTCTTAACAGTTCAGGCACTGCTAGACATCCGTCTTAAACTTTCTTGTATGTTTTCTGCCTGTTGTTGAGTTACACTAATCTCTACCGATGTCTTTTTGGGATGAAGTACCAGAATGTTAAGTAAAATCACCACCCAAGTGTTGTATTCTAAGGGGTGTTGGAGAGAGCTGTGTGTTTGAGATGACCTGCTGCATCTAATCAATGTACAGGGTCGTGAGTGGCGTGGTTACCAGACTCCACAGATAAAACTGTGGCCTCTGTGAGCTAACCAGACGCTGTTGGCCATGACTCGTTAAGTGAATAAAGCTTTGCTATGGGCCAGGCGGGGTGGCTCACGCCTGTAATCCCAGCACTTTGGGAGGTCGAGGCGGGTGGATCACCTGACGTCGGGAGTTCAAGACCAGCCTGACCAACATGGAGAAACCCCGTCTCTACTAAAAGTACAAAAAAAAAAAAAAAATTTGCCGGGCACGGTGGCACATGCCTGTAATCCCAGCTACTTGGGAGGCTGAGGCAGGAGAATCGCTTGAACCAGAGAGATGGAGGTTGCAGTGAGCCGGGATCTCACCACTGCACTCCAGCCTGGGCAAAAAGAGTGAAAATCTGTCGCAAAAAATAAAAAATAAAAACGTTTGCTATGTTCCTACTTTACTAAATGAAGCCATTGGTCTATTTTGTTTCTAATATTCTTTGATGGTGTTGTTGGACCTTTTGATTTGCAGATGAAAGAAAGAGAAGTCCCTAAGTAGAAACTACAAGGGCCAAGCAGAACATTATACCATGTAAGGACATCATCTGTCCCTGGACTCTTAAGCGGAAGATCATGCAAATAGTGGACTGAAGTCATCCCAGCCTTCAAAAGAGCCACCGTGGGGGGGAAATAACAGAAAGGGATAAAAAGCTGTCTTTCGTAACCCAATCTGTATCTTTCTGTGTGACTTCCCTATCCTGCCTGTCCTAACACCATCTTGGCCGTAAAGACTCATAGAGTAGAAACAGAGTATAGAAATGAAGAAGAGGAAGAGGGGGGGAAATGGGGGAAACACACAAGTTGTGTGTGTCTACAATTAGCAGAGAACAACTCCAATGTGTGTCTGGTACAGGTAAATCTCAAACTTGAAAGTGCATTGAACTGATCAAGTCAATCTGTTTTTTCCGTCAAATCAAAGTTATAATAGGAAGTTGTCTAAGAGTATAAGGGCCAACTTGTCATTGAGATGACCACAATACTATATTTAATCAGCTATCAATAACATTTATTGGTAAATAAATTTCATTCTGAGCATCTGTTACAAGCTAGGCATTGTGCAAAAATACTGAGGATTCATGAGTGAGCCCAAACTGACACGGGGCTTGTGTTTGGAGAGCTTCCAGGCATTGCCATGCAATGAAGGGTGTTAGCGTTCCTGATGGACAGTCAACTAAGTGAGCTAATGTTTATTGCATGTCTTTCTCTAGACATAAGCCCATGTATGTTATTGTGGGTCTGCCCCTGGAAGACAGAACATTCTTGACTTTCAGAAGGTTACTTCCCTCTTTTGTATTTTTATTTATTTATTTGGGGGAAAGGGTCTCACTCTGTCACCCATGCTGGAGTCCAGTGGCATGATCATGGCTCACTGCAGCCTCGACCTCCCAGGCTCAAGCAATCCTCCTACCTTAGCCTCCTGAGTAGCTGAGACCACAGGTGTGTGCCATTACACTCAGCTAATTTTTTGAATTTTTGGTAGTGATGGGATCTCACCACGTTTCCCAGGCTGGTCTTGAACACTTAATCTCAAGCCATCCTCCTGTCTTGGCTTTTTAAAGTGCTGGGATTTCAGGCATGAGCCACTGTGCCCGGCCTATTATTCCATTCTTTTACTTTTTTGTTTTTTTTTTTTCTCTTGAGATGGAGTCTTGCTCTCTCATCTAGGCTGCAGTACAGTGGTGCAATCATGGTGCACTGCAGCCTCGATATCCCTGGGCTCAAGCAATCCTCCTGCCTCAGTCTCCTGAATAGCTGGGACTACAGGCGCACACCACCATAACAGGCTGATTTTTTGTATACCATCACAGCTCACTATAGCCTCCAACTCCTGGGCTCAAGTGATCCTCCTACTTCAGTCTTCTAAGCAGCTAGGAGTACAGGCACACACCACCATGCCCAGCTAATTTTTTATTTTTTGTAGAGATGGGCGGGGGGGTCTAACTTTGTTGCCCAGGTTGATCTTGAACTCCTGGTTTCAAGCAATCCTCCTGCCTTCGCCTCCTAAAGTCTTGGGATTACAGGCATTAGCCACTGTGCCCAGCCACAAGGTTATTTCTTGATTTGAGGCCAAGATCCCAAGAGACCCTCTTTGTTTTCTCTACTCCAGCTGGAGGAAGGGATGCAACAAACTCAGGAACCAGAGAGCCCTGCATAAGAAACAAGACAGAGGGAAGCTTCCGGAGGATAGAGAGCTTCAGCACACTAAGAAACAGACTAATTGGGCAGGACTTCTGATCCCTGCCATGAACAATAACGTGGATATGACTGCCAGAAAGCTGCAAGTATGAATTTTTTATATGCTGCCAAGTACCTTAAGTGAGCACTTGAAAACTATATTTTATATAACAATCTGAAGGAATTTCTTCTGCTTTAAAAACAAGTGTCCCATAGTAACTTGGGACACACACCCTTGATTGTGTGACCAACTTACCTAAAGCAAAAATTCAAGGAAGAACTACTTCATACAATCCATTCTCTTATTCACTTGTGGGTCATGACGTAAGATGTTCATCAGGCTCTGTACGTGTTTAGGGACAGTTCTCTTGGAAGCAGTGAGCCTCTTGGGCCTCCAGCACACCCAGGTGCCCCCTCCATTGCCTGTTGGAAAAGGAAAGTGACTATCACTGAGGCAGCAGGCAAATACATTTCCCCTAGCCCCACCCCCGTCATCTGCGCAGGGGACATTTGATCAAGATGAACTGATTTGCATCTAGGATGTGGTCAAGAATCATGAGATTAGCCTTGTCTTTCCGCCCTTCTGATCCCTCATCTTCCCTTTTTTTTTTTTTTTTTTTTTTTGATACAGGATCTTGCTCTGTCGCCCAGGCTGAAGGGCAGTGGTGCTACCATGGCTCACTACAGCCTCCACCTCTCAGGCTCAAGCAATCCTCCTGCCTCAGCCTCCTGAATAGCTGGGACTACAGGCACGTGCCACCTCATCTGGCTAATTTTTATCAGTTTTTTTGTAGAGATAGGTGTCTTACTATGTTGTCAGCCTGGTCTCGAACTTGTGGCTCAAGCGACCCTCCCGCCTCAGCTCTTTACTTTCTGGAATTCAAAAGTTCAAAAAAACTGTCCCCTGGATTTCTAGGTGTACTTTTAGGTGTCTTTATTGCTTCCTTTTTCTGCTTATTTAATGATGGAAAAACAAAGTTCTTGAAGACTAGATATCTTGAATAAAAGACACCCTTCTTTCTTTTAAAAACAATGAGTTTAATAGGGAAAGAGAAACATCCCCAAGAAAAATGAACTGGCTGCAGCATCTAGCCTGTTCTGTGTTCTGGAATGCCAGGATATGGGCAATACAATTTTGTTTAGCTCCATTTGAAATAGGCATTATGTTGGAGAGGGACCTTCAGAACAATTTTTTTTTCTTTCTTTTTTTTGAGATAGTGTCTGGGTCTGTCACCCAGGCTGGAGTGCGGTGGTACAATCAGGGCTCACTGCAGCCTTGACCTCCTGGGCTCAGGTGATCCTCCCACCTCAGCCTCCTGAGTAGCTGGGACTACAGGTGCACACCACCACACCCAGCTAGTTTTTGTATTTTCAGTAGAGACAGGGTTTCCCCATGTTGCTCAGGCTGGTCTGGAACTCCTGAGATCAAGCAATCCACCTGCTTCGGCCTCCCAAGTGCTGGGATTACAGGCACAAGCCACTGTACCAGAATCGCTAACCCCACTAAAACACTTACCAAGACCTCAACCCCTGACCCCCATGCCTCAGGATACTCCTCAATAGCCATCGCTGTAGTGTACCCAAAGACAACCCTTATTCCCCCCAAATAAATTTAAAAACCATTAAACCCATGTAACCTCCCCCATACCCAGAACAAATTCAGTGAGTCTCCAGACTTCAAAATTTATAAATAACAGCTGCTTTCTTGTCTTGTCAAAAGCTTTGATCAAACAAATGAAATCAAAACAAAGAACACTTGCCCTCTTCAGTTTTTCTTAACTTACTTATTTGTAAATATCTCCTTTGCGATACAAAGCTAAGAAGTCAAAAATCTCCTTGTCCTTTGAACCTAAGACAGACCTTATCAACTGACTGATTAGATGATACTCTCAAGGACTATGGCCATTATTTTAATCATCTTTCATGAGAGATACGGGGAGGAAATGTTTCTATATTGATTAGGGGTGTGTACCTTCATACGTTTTACACTATCACCTGAGAGTTTCAAAACTGTGAAAAATTGAAATCACATGGAAAAAAAGGGTTTTCAGAATTCATGCAGTAGAGTTAGTGTACTGTTCAAAATATGGCACCCTCACCCACTTAGCTGAATGATCTTGGACAAACAATACACCCCTCTATGTTCCATGTTCTTCTCTGAAAATTGGAATCACTCATCTGGCTGTGGGGAGGATTCATTGCATTGCCAGATGTAAACTGTTAACATCGTGCCTGGCACTCAGTGAACGGAGGGTGAATATTTACCATTGTTATTGACATACCCACATCAGTAACAATAACAAATTTGGAGTCAGGTTCAGGGGCTTTATCATTCCTTTTGTTTGCCAGTCAACATGGAAGCTGACCATCTACTGCAGTTCCTTCCAAACATGAAGTGTAAAGAGTGCATGTGTATAACTCAATCAGAATAGCCCTAAGTGCGATTGTCCAGAATAGAATACTGTGCTCTTAGGGGCTCACGCCTGTAGTCCCAGCACTTTGAGAGGTCGAGGTGGGCAGATCACGTGGGGGCAAGAGTTCAAGACCAGCCTGGCCAACATAGCAAAACCCCATCTCTAATCAAAATACAAAAAATTAGCTGGGTGTGGTGGTGGGTGCCTGTAGTCCCAGCTACTCTGGAGAATCACTTGAACCTGGGAGGTGGAGGTTGCAGTGAGCCGAGATGGTGCCACTGTACTCCAGCCTGGGTGACAGAACAAGACTTTGTCTAGAAAAACAAGAATACTGACTTCTAGCCCAGTTTTCTTTCTGCTGCTCCCCAGATAAAGCATGTAGCTCAGCTTATTGTTTAGAAGATTTATCCTCTATACAGCGAAGGATTTTATTTTAGAACAAGGCAGTGAGTTCTTCGAGAGATTGATAATGCTGCGTAAATAAATTCAGATCATCAGGCAATTCGACAGTGAAGATCTTCTTCAAAAAGATGAAATTAGTTACTCCTTCCATATCCCTTAATTTTTTTCAGATGTTTCTTAGATCTAAGAATACTTTCTACAGTTAACAGTATACCATACACTACATTTGAGATGTCATCGCTGACACAGTTATGGTATGGTTTTGAACACATTTTTTTCATCATAAGAAATAACTGACAAAAATAGGCTCTTAGAATTTTTTTGCATGTTTGTTTCCAAGAGAGCTGTAATAGCTTAGGCAATAATGTCTTCATATACATGAGCCACATCAAACTATGTTGTAGTTCATCATTTATTTAAGGAATGTGAGTTGACTGTTCTGGAGTCAACAAAATGTTCTAAATAGGCAAAATGTATTTGGTGATTCTGAAATAAATTATTAAATTTTGGCACAATCATGGTCTATACTCAGAATAGTATGGACTAGTCATGAACAAGTTAAGTCTCTAGTATTTCAGACTGGGCAATTCTAACAATGTTTATTTAAGTATAGTCAGTTCTCTTTATTTGCAGTATTTACGTTTTATAAAGTTGCCGTGAACACTGAACTGGCAAATATTGAACAATTGCTTCTAGGGGAAATACAGCATTAGGTTCTTACAAGCCTCTGGTCAAAAAGTGTTTTTGTCAATCAAGCAATACATAACTTTGTTTTATGTGTGTTTTTATTTAAAGATACCTAGTTTAATATATCTTTTTGATTCACTAACACTGAACTCATGGCCAACCCAACTATAACTCGTGCGGGAATGATGCTTCACACACACACACACACATATTTTTTCCATAAGGCACATCATAGCCTTCTTGTGCTAGGAATGTTACACAGCCCTTCAGCACTATGCCTGGGAGCCATTTTAAACAGTGAAATTGTTACCAGCAGTGAATCTGTATCCGCAGGGGTTCGGCAGCAACCTCAATTCTTGCCTCCTCAGAAGGAAGAATTCAACTAAGGGGCATAAGGCAGAAGGAAAGGCTGAGACAAGTTTTAGAGCACGCCGGGCATGGTGGTTCACGCCTGTAATCTCAACACTTTAGGGGGCCGAGGCAGGCAGATCACATGAGGTCAGGAGTTCGAGACCAGCCTGGCCAACATGGCGAAACCCTGTCTCTACTAAAAATACAAAAATTAGCCAGGTGTGGTGGCAGGCACCTGTAGTCCCAGCTACTCGGGAGGCTGAGGCATGAGAATCGCCTGAACCCAGGAGGTGGAGGTTGCAGCCAGCTGAGATCACACCACTGCACTCCAGCCTGGGCGACAGAGAGAGACTCCGTCTAAAAAAAAATAAAAAAATAAAAAATAAAAAATTTAGAGCAGAAATGAAAGGAAGTACACTTGGAAGAGGGCCAAGCGGGCGACTTCAGAGATCAAGTGTTCGGTTTGACCTTCTGACTTGGGATTTTATACGCTGGCATACTTCTGAGGGTCTTGCATTCCTTCTCCCCTGATTCTGCCCTTGGGCTGGGCTGTCCGCATGTGCAGTGGCCTGCCAGAATTTGGGAGGGGCCGCACGCTCAGTGTGTTTACTGGAATTGTACGCATGCTCATTTGAGACATTCTTCCCTTACCAGTCTAGCATTTCTAGAGGCAGGTGTGATGGGTAATACTGAGTGTTAACTTGATTGGATTGAAGGATACAAAGTATTGATCCTGGGTGTGTCTGTGAGGGTGTTGTCAAAAGAGATTAACATTTGAGTCAGTGGGCTGGGGAAGGCAGATCCGCCCTCAATCTGGTGGGCACAATCTAATCAGCTGCTGGCAATTAAAGCAGGCAGAAAAACGTGAAAAGGAGAGATGGGCCTAGCCTCCCAGCCTACATCTTTCTCCTGTGCTAGATGCTTCCTGCCCTTGAACATTGGACTCCAAGTCCTTCAGTTTTGAGACTCGGACTGGCTCTCCTTGCTCCTCAAGCTTGCAGACAGCCTATTGTGGGACCTTGTGGATCGTGTAAGTTAATACTTAATAAACTCTCCTTTAGTTATGTCCCTCTAGGGAACCCTGACTAATACAGATTTTGGTACCAGGTGTGGTTCTAGAGGAACATAATATTAAGAATGGAGTTATTTCGTTGGTTTTGGGGTTTCTGGAGTTGGCTGCTTAATATGATTAGACCCCAAAATGCTAAGGACTCTACTTCTAACAGTATGGAGAACACGGATAGTCCTTGGCATGAACTGCTTAAAGAGTTATGCAAAATAAATGCATTTGACACTCCTGATTCATCACTCCTGAGAGGCAAGGAGTTTAGTGACTCTATATATAATACCTTTGATCATGTGTGGAGAACCAAGGAACATAATGAAGCTGGTTGTTTGCTCCTAAGTTCAGTGGACAAAGTGATGAAAGAAAATGATGAACTCAGGGATTCTGTCTCCCAGCTTCAGAAGCAGATACTGACCCTCAAATATTCTAAGATTGCCCTGAGTGAGAGTCTTATCTCCTGTAGAGAAAGAGCTGAAATTGTGGAAAAACAGACACAAGCTCGTATCATGCAAGTGGCTGACCTGCAATGAAAGGTGCATGCACAGCCTCGCCAGGTGTCTACTGTTAAAGTGAGGTCATTGATTGGAAAAGAATGGGACCCTGCAACTTGGAATGGGGATGTGTGGGAGGACCCTGATGAAGGTGGGGACACTGAGTTTGTAAACTCTGATGAAACTTTTTTGTGAGAAGGAACAGCTTCCCCATCCCCAGTAGTGGCAACATGCCCTCCCAGACCCATGCTGCCATCAGTCTTTCCACCTTTGTCTGGGGAGATAAACCCTGCGCTGCCTGAGGCAACAGTGATGGCCTCCCCTGAGGCTGTTGCCAGGCAAGGTAATGTTGATTCTCCTCTGGAGCCACCCCCAACACCTGTTTGCTTCTAGACCTATAACTAGACTAAAGTCCCAGTCGGTCCCTAGAGGTGAGGTTGAGAGTGTGACCCATGAGGAGGTATGCTACACTCGAAAAGAACTGTTTGAGTTCTCTAATTTATGTAAACAGAAATCTGGAGAACAGGCATAGGAGTGGATATTACGGGTATGGGATAATGGTAGAAGGAACATAGAGTTAGATCACACTGAATTTATTGATTTGGGCCCACTGAGTAGGGACTCTGCTTTTAATATGGCAGCTTGGGGAGTTAAAAAAGGTTCTAAAAGTGTAATTGCTTAGTTAGCTGAAATATGGATTAAAAGATGGCCCACTGTGAACGAGCTGGAAATGCCTAATCTCCCTTGGTTTAATGTAGAGGAAGGGATCCAAAGGCTTAGGGAGATTGGGATGGTGGAGTGGATTAGTCACTTTAGACCTACTCATCCCAGCTGGGAGGGTCCAAATACCCTTGACCAATGCATTTAGAAATAGATTTGTGAGGGCAGCACCTGCATCTTTGAAGAGCCCTATAATTGCTCTTCTCTGTATGTCAGAGCTAATGGTGGGAACTGCAGTCACTCAACTACAAAATTTAAATACAATGGGAATAATTGGATCCTGAGGTGGCAGGGACCAAGTAGTGGCACTCAACCATCAAAGGCAAGGTGGGAATATCTACTGTAATGGACAGCAGAGGCAAAGTCACAATCAGAATAGTCTGGTGTAGAGCTCTGGCATTGGCTAATTAATCATGGTATTCCTAGAAGTGAAATTGATAGGGAGCCTACTGCATTCCTACTTAATTTATACAAGTGGAAAACTTCTAGGTCGAATAGACAAAAGGCTAATTTGAATTATAAAAACAGAGAATCACGGCCCCTCAATTTCCAGACTTGAGCCAGTTTACGGACCCAGAATCCCTTGAATAAAGGGGAGGTCGGGTCTCCTTGAGGGAGGACCCCACTACATTACCAACAATTTATGCAGTGGATCTTTCTCCCATCCTTCCCCAGAGAGACCTCCAGCCTTTTACCAGTGTGACTGTGCATTGCAGAAAGGGAAATGACCAGACATTTGGGGGACCACTGGACGCTGGCTCTGAGCTGACATTGATTCCAGGGGACCCAAAACATCATTGTGGTCCCCCAGTTAAAGTAGGAGCTTATGGAGGCCAAGTAATTAATGGAGTTTTAGCTCAGGTCTGACTTACAGTGGGTTCAGTGGGTCCCTGGACTCATCCTGTGGTCATTTCCCCGGTGCCAGAATGCATAATTGCCATAGACATACTTAGCAGCTGGCAGAATCCCCCATTGGCTCCCTGACTGGTAGTGTGAAGACTGTTGTGGTGGGAAAGACCAAGTGGAGGCCATTAGAGCTGCCTCTACCTAGAAAAATAGTAAATCAAAAACAATATCACATCCCTGGAGGGACTGCAGAGATTAGTGCCACCATCAAGGACTTGAAAGACGCAGGGGTGGTGATTCCCACAACATCCCCATTCAGCCCTCTTATTTGGCTTGTGCAGAAGACAGATGGATCTTGAGAATGACAGTGGACTATTGTAAGCTTAACCAAGTGGTGATTCCAATTGCAGCTGCTGTATCAGATGTGGTTTCATTGCTTGAGCAAATTAACACATCTCCTGGTACCTGGTATGCAGCCATTGACTTGGCAAATGCCTTTTTCTCCATTCCTGTCCATAAGGCCCAGCAGAAGCAATTTGCCTTCAGCTGGCAAGGCCAGCAATATACCTTTACTGTCCTACCTCAGTGGTATATCAACTCTCCAGCTTTGTGTCATAATCTTATTCGGAGAGACCTTGATTGCTTTTCGCTTC
This sequence comes from Homo sapiens, assembly GCF_000001405.40. NCBI lineage: Eukaryota > Metazoa > Chordata > Mammalia > Primates > Hominidae > Homo > Homo sapiens. The sequence continues at coordinate 2,836,214 of NC_000018.10, read as the reverse complement.
CACTAGATATCACACTGGTCCATTACATTGATGACATTATGCTGATTGGATCCAGTGAGCAAGAAGTAGCAAACACACTGGACTTATTCGTGAGACATTTGCGTGCCAGAGGATGGGAAATAAATCCAACTAAAATTCAGGGACCTTCTACCTCAGTAAAATTTCTAGGGTTCCAGTGGTGTGGGGCCTGTCAAGCTATTCCTTCTAAGATGAGGGATAAGTTGCTGCATTTAGTCCCTCCTACAACCAAGAAAGAGGCACAATGTCTAGTGGGCCTATTTGGGTTTTGGAGATAACACATTTTTTACTTGGGTGTGTTACTCCAACCCATTTATTGAGTAACCTGAAAGGCTGCTAGTTTTGAGTGGTGTCCAGAACAGGAGAAGGCTCTGCAACAGGTCCAGGCTGCTGTACAAGCTGCTCTGCCACTTGGGCCATAGGACCCAGCAGATCCAATGGTGCTTGAGGTGTCAGTGGCAGATAGGGATGCTGTTTGGAGCCTTTGGTAGGCCCCCATAGGTGAATCACAGTGGAGGCCTCTAGGATTTTGGAGCAAGGCCCTGCCATCTTCTGCAGATAACTACTCTCTTTTTGAGAGACAGCTCTTGGCCTGTTACTGGCTTTGGTGGAAACTGAACATTTGACTATAAGTCATCAAGTCACCATGCGACCTGAACTGCCTATCATGAACTGGGTGCTTTTTGACCCATCTAGCCATAAAGTGGGTTGTGCACAGCAGCATTCCATCATCAAATGGAAGTGGTATGTACATGATTGGGCTCGAGCAGGTCCTGAAGGCACAAGTAAGTTACATGAGGAAGTGGCTCAAATGCCCATGGTCTCCACTCCTGCCACCCTGCTTTTTCTCCCCCATCCTGCACCAGTGGCCTCATGGGGAGTTCCCTATGATCAGTTGACAGAGGAAGAGAAGACTAGGGCCTGGTTCACAGATGGTTCTGCACGATATGCAGGCACCACCTGAAAGTGGACAGCTGCAGCACTACAGCCCCTTTCTAGGACATCCCTGAAGGACAGCAGTGAAGGAAAATCTTCCCAGTGGGCAGAACTTTGAGTAGTGCACCTGGTTGTACCCTTTCCATGGAAGGAGAAATGGCCAGATGTGTGATTATATACTGATTCATGTGCTGTAGCCAATGGTTTGGCTGGATGATCAGGGACTTGCAAGAAGCATGAGTGGAAAACTGGTGACAAAGGAATTCGGGGAAGAGGTATGTGGATGGACCTCTCTGAGTGGTCAAAAACTGTGAAGATATTTGTATCCCATGTGAGTGCTCACCAATGGGTGACCTAAGCAGAGGATTATTTTAATAATCAAGTGGATAGGATGACCCATTCTGTGGACACCACTCAGCCTCTTTCCCCAGCCACCCCTGTCATTTCCCAATGGCCCCATGAACAATGTGGCCATGGTGGCAGGGATGGAGGTTATGCATGGGCTCAGCAATGTAGACTTCCACTCACTAAGGCTGACCTGAATACAGCCACCGCTAAGCGCCCAATTTGCCAACAGCAGAGACCAACACTGAGCCCTCAATATGGCACCATTCCTCAGGGTGATCAACCAGCTACCTGGTGGTGGGTTGATTATATGGGATCTCTTCCATCATGGAAAGGGCAGAGGTTTGTCCTCACTGGAATAGATACTTACTCTGGATATGGGTTTGCCTATCCTGCATGCAATGCTTCTGCCAAGACTGCCATTTGTGGACTCACGGAATGCCTTATCCACCATCATGATATCCCACACAGCATTGCCTCTGACCAAGGCACTCACTTTATGGCTAAAGAAGTGCGGCAGTGGGCTCATGATCATGGAATTCACTGGTCTTACCATGTTTCCCATCATCCTGAAGCAGCTGGATTGATAGAATGGTGGAATGGCCTTTTGAAGTCACAATTACAGTGTCAACTAGGTGACAATACTTGGCAGGGCTGGGGCAAAGTTCTCCAGAAGGTCGTGTATGCTCTGAATCAGCATCCAATATATGGTACTGTTTCTCCCATAGCCAAGATTCACAGGTCCAGGAATCAAGGGCTAGAAGTGGCACCACTCACCATCACCCCTAGGGATCCACTAGCAAAATTTTTGCTTCCTTTTCCTGCAACATTACAGTCTGCTGGCCTAGAGGTCTTAGTTCCAGAGGAAGGAACGCTGCCACCAGGAGACACAATGATTCCATTAAACTGGAAGTTAAGATTGCCACCCAGACACTTTGGGCTCCTCCTACCTTTAAATCAACAGGCTAAGAAGGGAGTTACAGTGTTGGCTGGGGTGACTGACCTGGACTATAAAGATGAAATCACTCTCCTACTCCATAATGGAGGTAAGGAAGAGTATGCATGGAATACAGGAGATCCATTAGGGCTTCTCTTAATATTACCATGCCCTATGATTAAGGTCAATGGGAAACTACAACAGCTCAAGCCAGGTGGGACTACAAATGGCTTAGGCCCCTCAGGAATGAAGGTTTGGGTCACTCCACCAGGAAAGAAAACATGACCTGCCGAGGTGTTTGCTGACGGCAAAGGGAATACCGATGGGTAGTAGAAAAAGGTAGTCATCAATACCAGCTATGACCATGCGACCAGCTGCAAAAATGGGGACTGTCATTGTCATGAGTATTTTCTCCTTCTTTTGCTAAAAACATATTTGTGCATGTATATACTTGTACTAAGAAAATATCTTCATTTTATTTCCTTTTCCTTTATCGTGTGACATAAGATTTATTGCCTTTATCTCAGCATTTAAGTATTGTTAACTTTATGTAATAGTATTTGGGTTGGGAATTGATGCGTTTCCATCTGTACGAAGGATAGTTGTATTATGTTAGGCATAATTATGACCTCATTATTGTCTTTATTTGAATATTATGTATGATCTCAGGAGATATATATGGGTTCAAGTTGACAAGGGGTGGACTTGTGATGGTTAACACTGAGTGTCAACTTGATTGGATTGAAGGATGCAAAATATTGATCCTGGGTGTGTCTGTGAGGGTGTTGCCAAAAGAGATTAACTTTTTTTTTTTTTTTGAGACAGAGTCTCGCTCTGTCGCCCAGCTGGAGAGCAGTGGCACAATCTATGCTCACTGCAAGCTCCGCCTCCCGGGTTCACGCCATTCTCCTGCGTCAGCCTTCCGAGTAGCTGGGACTACAGGCACCTGCCACCATGCCCGGCTAATTTTTTTGTATTTTTAGTAGAGACGGGGTTTCACCGTGTTAGCCAGAATGGTCTCGATCTCCTGACCTCATGATCCACTGCCTCGGCCTCCCAAAGTGCTGGGATTACAGGCGTGAACCACAGCGCCCGGCCAAGATTAACATTCGAGTCAGTGGGCTGGGGAAGGCAGATCCACCCTTAATCTGGTGGGCACAATCTAATCAGCTGCTGGCAATTAAAGCACGCTGAAAAACGTGAAAAGGAGAGACAGGCCCAGCCTCCCAGCCTACATCTTCCTCCTGTCCTGGATGCTTCCTGGCCTCGAACATCGGACTCCAAGTCCTTCAATTTTGAGACTCAGACTGGCTCTCCTTGCTCCTCAGCTTGCAGACAGCCTACTGTGAGACCTTGTGATCATGTAAGTTAATACTTAATCAACTGCATAGACAGACAGACAGATAGATAGATAGATATAGATATAGATATAGATATAGATATAGATATATATCCTATTAGTTCTGTCCCTCTAGGGAAACGTTACTAATACAGAAGGTCATATACCAGTTAAACTCTGCCATCTTGTCTTGTGCGCATGCTTAAGCACACTCACCCAGCTCCTGAGATCTTATCCGGAAGCTGCTGATCACCACCTTCAGGTGTTTTCTATCTATTGGGAGCCTGCCCTTCCCTGGCTCTGGCTGAGACCAATTATTATTTTAGAGAGACAGTTAACAACTGCAGAACCATCACCTGATGGTCGCCTGACATTCCTGGTGTGTGTTGGGGGGCGTGCAGGGGAGCTCTCTCCTGCCCTGCTCATGCCTGACTAACTACTATAACAAAATCACCAACAAAAAGCACAAAAATGCAAAAAATATAGTACTGAATTTACCATGAAAAGGATACTTATCTACAGTGTGAGCTGAAACAAGAAGGCAGGGTTTGGCTTTCTTGTACGTTGCTGGCAAACACACACATCAGGCAACACACATTTTTCACCGCTGTGTGCATATCCACAAATGACCATGAAAGTGCCATAAATGTCACTCTTGAGGCTACAAATTTTAGAAAGTGAATTCACAAATAGGGAATCCATGAATAATGAGAATTAATTATATTTCAACTGTCAGAATAATAAGTAAATGCCACGTGGGGGTGGGTGAGGTGAAGAAAAGTTCTTGGAATTTTTGGCCGTCAAAAGATTTCTTTTTTCAGTGAGAATATTGAGGGCTGGGTGCAGTGGTTCATGCCTGTAATCCCAGCACTTTGGGAGACTGAGGCGGGCAGATCACCTGAGGTCAGGAGTTCGAGACCAGCCTGGCCAACATGGTGAAAACCTGTCTCTACTAAAAATACAAAAATTACCTGGGCGTAGTGACGTGCGCCTGTAATCCCAGCTACTCAGGAGGCTGAGGTGGCAGAATCACTTGAACCTGGGAGGCGGAGGTTGCAGTGACCCGAGATAGTGCCACTGCACTCCAGCCTGGGTGACAGAGTGAGACTCAGTCTTAAAAACAAAAAAAGAATATTGAGGACGTGTTGCATATTGAACAGTGTACCAGGCAATCTGGGTGCCAGAGAAAAGCAGTTCTAGTCCTGTCTCATCTTAATGGATGAGTAAGACACAGACATATGAAAATATGCAATGACTTCGGAACACTGTAAATTACAATCAACAAATAGAAGACAGCATAGTGAAAACCTGTGTACCTGGGTGATGATGAAGAAATAGACCTTGAAGCAATCAGAAAAGTTGAACATTAATTAGGAAAGACTGTGGAGTGGTGTGGGTTTGAGCTGAGTGTTCTCTTTCTTGTTTGGTTTGGTTTTGCTTTAAATCAGCCATGATATCCAAAATGAATGTGATTTGCAAGAGAGGGTTAATGTGACCTTGTACACTGGATGTTTTTAATAAATAAGGAAAGGCAGGGCCGGCTGGTAGATTAGCTAGACCGAGATACACGGCCCTGCAGTAGCTAGGAGGGAGAGAGGGCAGGGAACCAGGTAAGATTGAGGAGCGGTGGACTTGAGGAAAGGGTGCAGGATATGCCACTGTGAAAAGATGCAGTGGGCCAGGCGCGGTGGTTCACGCCTGTAATCCCAGCACTTTGGGAGGCTGAGGTGGGCAGATCATTTGAGGTCAGGCATTCAAGACCAGCCTCACCAACATGGTGAAACCCTATCACTACTAAAAAATACAAAAATTAGCCAGGTGTGGTGGGGTGCACCTGTAATCCCAGCTACTCAGGAGGCTGAGGCACAAGAATTGCTTGAACCTGGGAGGCGGCTAGCTCAAAAAAAAAAAAAAAGAAAGAAAAGAAAAAAAGACACAGTAAAGTCTAGTGGGGAAAAAAACCCCAAAAACTCTAGTTTGTTTTCTCCCAGAGAAAAGTAGGGAGACCACATGTCCTGATTTGCCCGGTCAGTCTCAGTTTGCTTGTGTTGTAGGTCGGTAACACTGTTAATTATCTTTAGTGTCTCTTTTCGTCTTCAAAAGTGCCTAGTTTTGGGTAATAAATTATTCGGTGATTCTAAAGGACCCAGAATGAACTGAAAGCCACACGATGTTTAACAAATCTTGATAAAGGCTACATCAGCAAGTATCAATGCACTAGTAAAGTCAGGAAGGGAGACAGAGCTGGACTGTCAGTCATCACTCTTTCCAGGACAGGTTCTTCTCTTATTACCTTATGGATTTTGGTAACTTTTGAAGTTTATATATATGTTTTTTAAGTTGAATAAACACTTGACACTTGGTGGTTTAGTTGGTTGTGGATGAAGCAGGATATTCGCATGTGCTTTCCTTGGCTTTATCTTTGCAGACTTCATTACTTAAAAGTTAATCATCAGAGACATACTTCTCAACTCATCCTCAGGAGCTAAGTAAGAAGAACACAGACGCATGGTGCTATAGTCTATTTAAATGTGCTGGACTGGTTATAGCAAAGTTAAATATCACAGAGCAGGTTCTGCGCATGTGCCGTCCACAACCTAAGCCACGTTGACACCTTAGAACAATTTTTTCTTTTTAGATGGAGTCTCACTCTGTCGCCCAGGCTGGAGTGCAGTGGCGCAATCTTAGCTCACGGCAACCTCCGCCTCCCAAGTTCAAGGGATTCTCCTGCCTCAGCCTCCCGAGTAGCTGGGACTACAGGCATGTGCCACCACACCCGGCTAATTTTTTGTATTTTTAGTAGAGATGGGGTTTCACCATGTTAGCCAGGATCGTCTCGATCTCCTGACCTCATGATCTGCCCGCCTCAGCGTCCCCAAGTGCCGGGATTACAGGCGTGAGCCACTGCATCCAGCCAGAACAATTTTTATTTAAAAAGAGTAAAACATAGCAAGGCACAGTGGCACACGCCATGAGGTCAGGAGTTCAAGATCAGCCTGGCCAAGATGGTGAAATGCCATCTTTACTAAAAAATACAAAAAATAGCCGGGCTTGGTGGTGGGTGCCTGTAATCTCTGCTACTTGGGAGGCTGAGGAGGGAGAATCACTTGAACCCAGGAGGTGGAGGTTACAGTGAGCTGAGATCACGCCACCACACTCCAGCCTAGGCGTCAGAGCGAGACTCCATCTCAAAAACAAAAAAAGACTAAAACAACATAGACAGGCATGGTGGCATGTGCCTGTAGTCCCAGCTACTCAGGCTCTTAGGTTTTTGGTGAGAATGTTATACTTTGATAATATTTACATTAGAAAACTATGATCCACAAATATATTTATTGAGACAGGGTCTCGCTGTGTCACCCAGGCTGGAGTGCAGTGGCATGATCATAGCTCCTTACAGCCTTGAATTCCTAAGCTCAAATGATCCCCCCTGCCTCAGCCTCCCAAGTAACTAGGATTATAGGTGCATGCCACCACTCCTGGCCCACAGACATTTATTTTAAAAACAGCTTTATTAAATTGGAATCCCCAGTAGTGCAGTGAAAGTTTCTTTTAAGATTGCAACACATTGGAACTAAATTAAAGTATCTTTTTTTCTAATGTTCTATTTTTCCCAGAAATCCTGGCATCACTTTGCCCCCAAAAAACCCTTTAGAAAGCAAAACCTCAGAATATTCAAGAAATCAAATACTTTGTTTTTGTGTTTTTTAAAGTTAGGGAAAAACTTGTAAGAGTGCAATAGAATATGAAGGCAGGGTCCTCCTTGACCCCTCGACACTCTCTAAACAGGAAACGCTCATTTCACCTTGCTTTTTCCATTAGTCAAAAGATAGTAGCAGCTTTGATCTGTCCATAGCATGTTTATGTTGTTTTAGTTTTTTCATTTTCCCTGCTTGAGAATTTTTTTTAGGGTTTTTAAACAGTTTTGAGGTCAGAAAGTTCCAAGTTCAAATCATGTGATGATTTTTTTCGTTTTAAGAGATGGTGTTGGGCCAGGCGCGGTGGCTCACGCCTGTAATCCCAGCACTTTGGGAGGCCGAGGCAGGCAGATCACAAGGTCAGGAGATTGAGACCATCCTGGCTAACATGGTGAAACCCCATCTCTACTAAAAAAATACAAAAAAATTAGCCGGGCGTGGTGGCAGGCGCCTGTAGTCCCAGCTACTTGGGAGGCTGGGGCAGGAGAATGGTGTGAAGCTGGGAGGCGGAGCTTGCAGTCAGATGAGATCGTGCCACTGCACTCCAGCCTGGGTGACAGAGCAAGACTCCACCTCAAAAAAAATAAAATAAAATAAAAGAGATTGTGTCTTGCTTTGTCACCCAGGCTGGAGTGCAGTGGCACAACCGCAGCTCATTGCAGCCTCGAATGCCTGGCTCAAGTGACCCTCTCACCTCAGCTGCCTCTTGTACAGCCTGTAGAACCATGAGCCCAATAAACCTCTTTTCTTTACAAATTACCCAGCCTCAGGTATTCCTTTAAAGCAACACAAAACAGACTAAGATAGGGCCTGAACTGGTTCAACTACTTTGGAAAACAGTCTGCATTACTATTTATATTTGAACAGGTGTGTACTCTAAAACCCAGCAATTGCACCCCTAGATATATATACCCTTAAGGAAATCTTGGACAAGTGCACCAGGAGACTTATATTAAAATGGTACCCAGCCTGGGCAACATCATAGATAATCAGCCCAGTGAATTTTCACAAAGTGAACATAGCCATGGAACCAGCATCAGGATCATGAAGCAAAACACGACCACCCCTGGAAAGCCCCTTGTGGCTCCTTCCAGTTATCAACAGTACCCCAAAGTCACATCCGTTCTGACCCCCAACACCAGTTTTTCCTTTTTTTTTTTTTTTTTTTAATAAAGATGGTGTCTTGCTATAGTGCCCAGGCTGGCTTCCAACTCCTGGCCTCGAGTGATCCTCCTGCCTCAGCCTCCCAAAGGGCCGGGATGATAGGTGTGAATCGCTGTGCCCTCCTGTTACTTTTTTTTTTTTTTTTTAAGCAGAATCTTGCTCTTTCATTTAGGCTGGAGTGCAGTGATGCAATCTCAGTTCACTGCAATCTCCGCCTCCTGGGTTCAAACGATTCTCCTGCCTCAGTCTCCTGAGTATCTGGGGCTACAGGTGTGTGCCACCACACCCAGCTAATTTTTGTATTTTTAGTAGAGACAGGTTTTCACCATGTTGACCAGGCTGGTCTCGAACTCCTGGCCTCATGTGATCCGCCCGCCTTGGCCTCCCAAAGTGCTGACATTACAGGAGTGAGCCACCGAACCAAGCCCCAGCTATTAGCTTTGAACAAAGACTCATCAGAGGAAAAGCTTGTTTCTTATTTGTCTTATTCATATTTTATCCCTATGCCTGGCACAGTTCCTGGTGCATAATACTTGTTTAATCACATAGGTCAAATGAGTGAGAACAAGCAGACAGGCATCTGACTTTTACAAGACAGTTGACCAAATTAACATAATAATATACAGGGGGAAAGTGATGCTTGATTTCGATGAGAACTAAGATCCAGGAATGCTAACTCAGAAATGAGTTGAAAATTCAAACTTTGAACAGAAGACTACACTTTAGTTTTCTCTTGTAACAATTGTAAACAACTGTAATCAATCTAAAGCTCTGTAAAGCTTTGCTTAGGACTTCCTCAACTGTCCTACAAACACATGCACTGTCCCTGCTGAGGCCGACCTCCGGGGACCTTGTGTCTCCGTCTCACTTGTCAGCGACCCTGTGTTACAGAGACCCTCCTGCCTGACCAATGCAGCCAAGAAATGACTATTTTCAGCCTTCCCTGCCCGACTCCAGGGCCCGGTCAGTCCGAGGACAGAATAGTCATCCTCTCCCTAGGCCAAGCATGTGACCCCAGCCTGAGTGCTTCCCGCCCCAATGAATGAGATAATGAGAGGCCAAATAAGGTTTCAAAACACGCATTGCCTCAGAATTACAGTTTTCCTTAACTGTACTTTTAAATAGCTGGGATTAAGAGCCAAGCACTGCCAAATCGCAGCTTAGCAAGAGAGATCTGTCAACTGTGAGAGATAACAAAAGAAGAAAACCCATTTCAAGCTTTGAACTGCTGTTCCTAAATGATTCCCAGAGAAATACAAATAAATTATATCTTTTGAAGGGCAGATTCATGATGAATGATCTTGTTAGATTGGGGTTCCAAATACTTATTCAAGATACTTCAGAATTTTAAAGGAGCACTTTGGGAGGCTGAGGCAGGCAGATCACTTGAGGTCAGGAGTTCGAGACCAGCCTGGCCAACATGGTGAAACCCCATCTCTACTAAAAATACAAAAATTAGCTGGGCATGGTGGCAGGCACCTTCTCAGGAGGCTGAGGCAAGAGAATCGCTTGACCTCGAGAGGCTGAGGGTGCAGTGAGCTGAAATCATGCCACTGCACTCCAGCCTGGGCAACAGAGCGAGACTCTGTCTCAAAAAAAAAAAAAAAGGTAAAGGGAGCAAGTCTTGACCATGAAAATGACTTCATTTAGAGGATGCTGTCCTCCAATCTGCCCCACTCTCCTCCCCAAAGATCTGTGGTAATTTCTCAGAGATAAGCCTTCAAAGACTCCAGGCAGAGCTAAAGCCCCAACTGGAGATACACAAATCCATTTTATCCACATTGTAAGCAGTCTTCAAAAACAGGAATGTTCAAGCCAGAAACACATTGAATTTGCCTGAGAAAGCTGAGTGGAGAAAGCAATTCTTTCTCCTTTCTACCTCTTTCCAGTTACGTGTGATTGGAGGCCCTTCAGCCAGTGTAATCTTTGCCCAAGCTGCTCCTCTGTGTGGGATGGCAGGGCTAACCTCGCTGCCTGGAGAACTTCAGCTCCACCTACAAGACCTCTGTCCTCAGCCCTTCTTTGAAGCTTCTCCGGTGCCTCCAGGCCCTCTCAGATGTTACAACAAATAACTGAGAAAGAATTTATGGTGGAACTTAGCAAATCAGCAACAATGACAAATCAACAAGAAAAAGACAAACAATCCAATAGAAAAATAGACAAAAACTGGAATCTGCACTTCAAAGAAATACGAAACTCAAATGGCCAATAAATGCCAATATGCTCAACCTCATTAATAATCATGAAAGTACAAGTTAATACCTACTTCATGAGTTAATATCTAATACAGTCGGATCATGCTACATGCCTGACAGATGGAAAAAAATTTACAAGTCTGACAATGCCCAGTGTCAGTGAGAATATGGAGAGAAACGGTCATGTGCTCCTGGTAGGGGTACGCTATCATTTGGGCCTCTGTCCCTCCAAATCTTATGTTGAAATGTGATCCCCAAGGTTGGAAGAAGGGCCTAATGGGAGATGTTTGGTTCATGGGGCAGGTCCCTCATGAATAGATTATTGCCCTCTCTGGGGAAGGGGGTCAGTTCTCACTCTATTAGTTCTCATGATTGCTGGTTGTTAAAAAGGAGCCTGGCACTCGCCGACTCTCCTGCTTCCTGTCTTGCCTTGTGACCTCTGCACATGTTGGTGTCCCTTTGCCTTCTGCCATGAGTAGGAAGTAGCCTGAGGCCCTCATCAGAAGTAAGTGCTGGGGCCACGCCTCTTGTATAGCCGGTAGAACCATGAGCCCAATAAACCTCTTTTCTTTATAAATAACCCAGCCTCAGGTATTCCTTTAAAGCAACACAAAACAGACGAAGATAGGGTCTGAACTGGTCCAACTACTTTGGAAAACAGTCTGCATTACTATGTATATTTGAACAGGTGTGTACTCTAAAACCCAGCAATTGCACCCCTAGATATATATACCCTTAAGGAAATCTTGGACAAGTGCACCAGGAGACTTATATTAAAATGTTACTCAGCCTGGGCAACATAGTGAGACCCCATCTCAACAAAAAAATTTTAAAAATTAGCTGGGCATGGTGGCATGCACCTATGGTTCCAACTGCTTGGGAGGCTGAGGTGGAAGGATCGTTTGAGCCCAGGAGGTTGAGGCTGCAGTGAGCTGCAATCACACCACTGCACTCCAGCCTGGGTGACAGAGTGAGACCTTGTCTCAAAAAAAATTAAAAAAGTTCCAGTGATGTTTACAATAGCCAAAATGAGAAACAACTGAAATCTTTATTAAAAGTAAAATGGATAAGGCCGGGTGCAGTGGCTCATGGGTGTAACCCCAGCACTTTGGGAGGCCAAGGTGGGCAGATCACTTGAGGTCAGGAGTTCAAGACCAGCGTGGCCAACATGATGAAACCCCATCTCTACTAAAAATACAAAAATTAGCCAGGCGTGGTGGCATGCACCTGTAATCCCAGCTACTCAGGAGGCCGAGGCATGAGAATCACTTGAACCTGGGAGGCAGAGGTTACAGTGAGCTAAATTCACACCACTGAACTCCAGCCTGGGAGACAGAGTGAGACTCTGTCTCAAAAACAAAACAACAAAACAGAAAAAGTAATATAGATAAATTGTGGTACATCCACACTATGGAGTACTATACAGCAGCGAACATGGATGACTACTGATGTGCACATCAATATGAATGAATCTCACAAGCATGTTAAGTGAAAGAAACAAGTTAGAGAAGACTCTTCCATTAAAGTATATATTTTTTATTTCTATGAAGTTCAAAAATGTCAAAACTAACCAGTGGGAGCCTTTGGCAGGTAATTAGGTCCTCAGGAGCCCCCATGAGGGATCAGTTCTCTTATAAGAAGAGGAAGAGAACTAGCTCTCTTTCTGTCATGTAAGGATACAGGGAGAGGTCAGCTCTCTGAAACTGGAAAAATGACCCTCAGCAAGAACCCAACCCTGCTGGCATCCCAATCTGACTTCCAATCTGCAGAACTGTAAGAAAGAAATTGTTGGCTAGGTGCCGTGGCTCACGCCTGTAATCCCAGCACTTTGGGAGGCCAAGGTGGGTGGATCGCTTGAGCCATGGAGTTCAAAACCAGCCTGGGCAACATGGTAAAACTCCATCTCTACAAAAAAATACAAAAATTAGTGGGGTGTGGTGATGCCCACCTGTAGTCCCAACTACTCAGGTGGCTGAGGTGGGCGGTTTGCCTGAGCCCAGGAGGTAATGGCTGCAGTGAGCTGTTATGGTATTACTGCACTCCAGCCTGGGTGACAGAGCAAGACCCTGAAAAAAGAAAGACAAAGAAACAAAGAAAAAAAGAGAAAGAGAGAAAGGAGAGAAAAGAGAGAAAGGAAAAGAAAGGAAGAAAGGAAGAGCAAGAAAGCAAGAAAAAGAAAGGAAGGAAGAGAAGGGAAGGAAGGAAGGAAGGAAGAAAGAGAAGGGAAGGAAGGAAGGAAAGAAAGAAAAGAAAGGAAAGAAAGAAGGGAGGGAGAGAGGGAGAGATTGCTAATCAGAACAGTTCGTGGCATTTTGTTATAGTAGCCCAAGCTGACTAGGACAAGGTGTATTCAGATTTTCTAATTTCTTCATGATTGAGTTTTAGTAAGTTGTGTATTTCTAGGAATGTGTCCATTTCATCTAGCTTATCCAATTGGTTGGCATATCCATACACATTTTAAACTCAGGTTGTAAAAAATCCTCTTTCTCATATTCCCCTTCAAAAAACTATTGCTATTAGTTAAGATTATGATTATTTTATAAATAATATTTTTGTAATATTTTTCTTTAATTCTATGTAGATTGCAATTTTAAAGTTTTTAATTTTCTAACTAATGCTGGCATATAGAAATACAATTGATTTTTATATATTTATTTTGTATCCTGAAATACATCTGGTCTTGTTTCTTTATTCCTAATTATTCCTAATAATGAGGTTGAGCATATCTTCGCTTACTGGCCACTTGAGTTTCCTCTTTTGCAGTGCAGATTCCAGCCTTCTGTCTTTTTTTTTTTTTTTTTCTTTGAGACAGAGTTTTGCTGTTGTTGCCCCAGCTGGAGCTTACTTACTTACTTACTGTCACCCATGCTGGAGTGTGGCGGTGTGACCATGACTCACTACAGCCTCCACCTCCTGAGCTCATGCAATCCTCCTGCCTCCGTCTCCTGAGTACCTGGAACCCCAGGCCTGTGCCACCACACCTGGCTATTTATTTTTTTTTATTTTTGTAGAGAGAAGATCTCACCATATTGCCCGGGCTGGTCTTGAATTCTTGGGTTCAAGTGATCCTCCTGCCTCAGCCTCCCAAAGTGGTGGGATTATAGGTGTGAGCCACCACACCCAGCCCATAATGGCAGGTTATACATGGCATAATGTATAATGGCATATAATGGAATAATGCCATAATGCCATAAAGGCAGGTTATACATTAGCAACATGGACTTCCACTCACCAAGGCCATCCTGGCTATAGCCACTGCTACTGCCCAACCTGCCAGAAGTCAACACTGAACCCCTGATACGGCACTCTTCTCCAAGATGGTCAGCCAGCTACTTGGTGGCAGATTGATTACATTGGACCGCTTCATCATGAAAAGAGGAATGTTTTCTTCTTACTAGGATAGACACTTACTCCGAATATGGATTTGCCTCCCCAACATGCAATGCTCCTGCCAAAACTACCATCTGAGGACTTACAGAATGCCTTATCTTCCATCAAGGCATGCCACACAGCATTGCTTCTGACCAAAGAACTCACCAAAGATGTGTGGCAGTGGGCTCATGCTCATTAAATTCACTGGTCTTACCCTATTACCCACTGTCCTGAAACAGCTGGCTTGACAGAATGGTGAAATATCCTGTGGAAAACTCAGTTACAGGGCCAGCTAGGTGGCAGTACCTTGCAGGCCTGGGGCAAGTTTCTCCAGAAGGCTGTATATGCTCCGAATCAGCGTCCAATATACAGTGCTGTTTCTCTGGTGGCTGGGATTACTCCTAGTGATCCACTAGCACAATTTTTGTTTCCTGTTCCTACAACTTTTTCCTCTGCTGGCCCAGAAGCCTTGGTTCCAAAGGGGGTAGTGTTTCCACCAGGAGACACAACAATGCTTTCACTGAGCTGGAAGTTAAGACTGCCATCTGGCCACGTTGGACTCCTCATGCCTCTGAGTCAACAGGTCCAGAAAGGAGTTACGGTGCTGGCTGGGGTGATTGATCCAGGGTACAAAGGGGAAATTGGACACTACTCCACCATGGAGGTGGGGAAGAGTATGTCTAGAATACAGGAGATCCATTAGGGCATCTGTTGGTACTACCGTGCTCAGTGATTAAACCAATGGAAAAACAACAGCCCAATCCAGGCATGACTAATGACACGGACCCTTCAGGAATGACCCCCCTGGGGGGTCAGCCTACCTGGTAAAGAACTATGTGCTGGGTGGGCATCATCTGGTCCCTTGAAGGAACAAATAGAAAAAAATAGGCAAACTCTCTTTTTTTTCCCTCACTCTCTCTCTCTGTCTGTCTCTCTCTCTCTCTTTCTTTTCTCTCTCTTTTTCTCCTTGAGCTGGGACATCCATCTTCTCTCACCCTTGGAGATGGGACCTCTTGAGTCTTGGGACTTTGGACGCCCCCAGGACATACATCAGCAGCCTCCCTGGTTCTCAGGTCTTGTGTATGGAGTGGGAGTGACACCATTGTCTCCCCTGGTTCTCAGGACTTCAGACTTGGAATAAATGATACCACTGGCTTTCCTGTGTTTCCAGACTGTAGGTGGCATCTTGTGGGACTTTTCAGGCTTCATAATTGCATGAGCCAATTCCCATAATAAACCCCCTTTTTATATAACTATGTATTTATATTGTATTGATTCTGTTTCTCTGGAGAACTGTGACTAATATTGTTGCCATACAAGTATCCATTTCTGTCCCTGTTTTCAATTCTTCAGGTATACTCCTAGGAGTATAAATGCTAGATCATATGGTAATTATACTATATCTTTTTGAAGAATCGCAATGGCACCATTTTTTTTATTCCCATCAGCAATGTATGAGGGTTCCAATGTCTCCATGCCCTTGCCAATTCAGATGCTCCTCAACTTACAATGAAATTGTTATGCCCCAATAAACCCGTCATACACTGAAAATATTGTAAGTTGAAAAGGCTTTTTTTTTTTTTTTTGAGACCGTGTCTCGCTCTGTTGCCCAGACTGGAGTGCAGTGGCACGATCTTGGCTCACTGCATCCTCAACCTCCCAGGCTCAAGCAATCTTCCCACCTCAGCCTCCCAAGTATCTGGGACTACAGGCACATGCCACCATACCTGGCTAATTTTTTTTTTTTTTTTTTGTAGAGACAGGGTTTGACCATGTTGCCCAGGCTGGTCTTGAACTTCTGGACTCAAATGATCTGCCCGCCTCGGCCTCCCAAAGTACTAGGATTACAGGCATGAGCCACCACACCTAGCCAAAAATGCATTTAATACACCTACAACCAGCCCAGAAAAAGATACGGTTTTCTAGTGAATGCATCTTGCTTTTGCACTGTCATAAAGTAAAAAAAATCCTGTCAAACCGTTATAAGTTGGAGATCATTTGTACTTGTTATTTTCTGTAGGTGTTTTGTTTTTTAAATTATAGACATCCTAGTAGATGCGAAGTGGTATTTCTTTGTGGTTTTGATTTACATCTTCCTAATAACTAAGAATGTTGAGCATCTTTTTATGTGTTTATTGGCTATATATTTTCTTTGGAGTAATGTCAGTTCAAATCCTTTGCCCATTTAACAATTGGATTTTCTTTTTGTTTTTGAGTTTTAGGAGCTCTTCAACTATTTGGGATATTAAATCCCTATGAGATATATGATTTACATATGAGAATCATATATGATGTCTCTTATTCTGTAGCTTAGCTTTTTCACTTTTTTGATAATGTCCTTTGGTGCAGAGAAGTTTTGAGTTTTGATGAAGTCCAATTTATTTATTTTTAATTTTGGTGTTGGTGTTTTTGTTGTCACATATAAGAATTTATTGCTGATTCCAAGGCCATTATGATTTACCCCCATATTTTATTCTAAGAGTTTTATCATTTTAGCCCTTGTATTTAGGCTGTTGATCATTCTGAGTTAATTTTTACTTACAGTATGAGGTAGGCATCCAACTTCATTCTTTCCCATGTGGAAATCTAGTTTTCCCAGTACTATTTTTTGAAGAGTCTATTCTTCCCCCATCAAAGGGACTTGGTACCATTGTCAAAAATTGGTTATAGGCTGAGCGTGGTGGCTTATGCCTGTAATCCCAGCACTTTGGGAGGCCAAGGCAGGTGGATCACCTGAGGTCAGGAGTTTGAGACCAGCCTGGCCTACATGGCAAAACCCCGTTTCTACTACAAATACAAAAATTTGCCAGGCATGGTGGCAGGTACCTGTAATCTCAGCAGGCACCTTGAACCCAGGAGGCGAGGTTGCTGTGAGCCGAGATTGCACCACTGCACTCCAGCCTGGGCCACAGAGCAAGACTCTGTCTCAAAAAAAAAAAATTGGTAATAGATGTATGGGTTTATTTCTGGACTCTCAATTCCATTGCATTGGTATATCTATCTTAATGCCAGTACTGCATTGTTTTGATTACAGTAGGTTTGTATTAAGTTTGAAATGAGGAAGTGTGAGTCTTCTGACTTTGTTCTTTTTCAGGATGATTTTTTTCTGTGCCCCTTGCAATTCCATATGAATATAAGGATCTATTTTCCTTTTTTGCAAAAAAGAAAAAAAGCTGTTGTTATTGTGGTAAGAATTGTGTTTACTTTGTAGATCACCTTGGGTGGTTTTGACGTCTTAGTATTCAGTCTTCCTACCTAAGAATATGGGGTGTTTGTCCATTTATTTAGATCCTTAATTTCTTTCAGCAATATTTGTAGTTTTCAGTGTACAAGTCTTTCTGCTCATTGTTTAAATTTATTTCTATGTATTGTCTTCTTGAAGATACTATTATAATTAATCACTTTCATAATTCCTTTTCTGATTTATTGCCAGTGTTTAGAAATTCAACTGATGTTTGCATGTTTATCTTGTACTCTACAACTCTGCTGAATTCCTTTATTAGGTCTAATAGCTTTCTTGTGGATTCCTTGGGATTTTCATATATAGGATCATAACTTAGAATAGATGGTTTTGCTTATTCCTTTTTAATTTGAGTGCCTTTTTTTTCTTTTACTTGTCTAATTGCTCTGGCTAGTGCTTCCAGTACCATGTTGAATACCAGTTGTGAAGGCAGCATTCTTGTCTTGTTCCTGATCTTAGGGGAAGAATTTCAGTCTTTCATCATTGAATATAATGTTAGCTGTGGGTTTTTCATAAAGGCCCTTTCATTATGTTGAGAACATTCCCTTCCATGTCTAGTTTTCTGAGTGTTTTTATCATGAAAGAATGTTGGGTTTTGTTAAATTCCTTTACTACATTAAGATGATCATGTGATTTTTTTTCATTCATTCTATTAATGTGATATATCTGTTGGTTTTTCTTTTCTTTTCTTTTCTTTTTTTTTTGAGACAGAATCTCACTTTGTTGCCTAGGCTGGAGTGCAGTTATGCAATCAAGGCTGACTGTAGCCTCAACCTCTCAGGCTCTAGCAATCTTCCCAGCTCAGCCTCCTGAGTAGCTGGAATTACAGGCATGCACCACCACATCTGGCTAATTTTTGTGTTTTTTGCAGGGACTGGGTCTCACTATATTGCCCAGGCTGGTCTCGAATTCCTGACCTCAAGCAATTCACCCATCTTGTCCTCCCAAAGTACTGTGATTAGTTTTTTAAATTTTAAGACAGGATCTCTCTGTCTCTGCAGCCCAGGCTTGAGTACAGTGGTACAATCATGGCTCACTGCAGCCTCAACCTTCTGGGCTCAAGAAATCCTCCTGCCTCAGCCTCCCAAACAGCTAGGAGCACAGGTGTGCACCACCACACCCAGCTAATTTTTTTTTGTTTTTTGTAGAGACAAGGTTGCGCCGTGTTGCCCAGGCTAGTCTTGAACTCCTGGGCTCAAGCAATCCTCCCGCCTTGGCTTCCCAAAGTGCTGGGATTACAGGTTTGAGCCACTGCTCCTATTTAATTGAGGAGTTTAATCCATTTACATTTACATTTAAGGTAATTTCTGAGGATTACTTTTGCCATTTTGCTATGTTCTGTAGTCTTATACATTTGTCCCTCATTTCCTCCAATACTTCCTTGTGTTTAGTTGAGTTTTTTTTTTGTTTGGTTGGTTGTTTTTTTTTTTTTTTTTTTTTCATTTGTGGGGAACGATTTTGATTCCCTCCTCATTTATCTATGTAGGTTTTTTTTTAAGATATCTTCTTTGTTGTTCACATGAAGTTTGCATTTAACTTTCTAAATATATGACAATATAATTTGAATAGCATTTGAGATAGAAAAAAATGAAGTAGCTTTCCTGCCATCACACACTCATCACAGAATACTTCACTTCTGGTCACCAAAATATGTGGAAGTTTTTCCCCACACACCACGCGATTCTCCAGTAGACAGCAACTGGGTGTCCTACAAGTCAATTCAACAGTGATACTATCTACTTGGAGTTAGAGTCAGAGCCCACAGGTTATGGGCTCAATTGCACGGGATAGCCTGCCCTTTCATATGCCAAGTACAAGTAGTAGCTTGTCACCTATTTTTCTGTCCAAGTGGCTATAAATTGGAGTTCCAATGACCACATCCTTAGTTTCAGTTAATTTTCTAAGAAGGCTCACACGACTCAGGAAACTTGTATTTACTGGTTTGTTATAAATATATTACAAAGGATACAGATGAAGAAATACATAGGGCAAGGTATGTGGGAAGAGGCATAGACCTCCCATGCCCTCTCCAGGCACACTACCTTCCAGGCACCTCCAAGTGTTCAGCAATCCAGAAACTCTTTAAACTCTGTCCTTTTCTTTTTTTCTTTTTTTTTTTTTTTTAATGGAGGCTTCATTAGATAGGCACAACTGATAATATTGGCCACTGGCAATTATCTCAAACTTCAGTTGCTCTGTCTTCCCCAGATGTTGGGAGAGTTCTTTTGGCAATCAGCCCCCATCCTGAGGCTTTCCAGGTGCACCCAGCCACCAGTCATCTCATTAGCATACAAAAAGACATTTATCACTTAAGACATTCCGAGGATTTTAGGAACTGTGTACCAGAAAATGGGGAGGGAGGGAAGACCAACTATGTATTTCTTACTCTAAATCACAGTATCACAGTAGTTACCAACTTAACCTCAATAGTATACAAAAACATTGCTCCTATCAACTTTGCCTCCCCCAACTCTTTTTTTTTTTTTTTTGAGACAGTCTCGCTCTGTCGCCCAGGCTGGAGTGCAGTGGTCCCATCTCAGCTCACTGAAAACTCCGCCTCCTGGGTTCACGCCATTCTGCCTCAGCCTCCCGAGTAGCTGGGACTACAGGCACCCACCACCACACCCGGCTAATTTTTTGCATTTTTAGTAGAGACAGGGTTTCACCGTTTTAGCCGGGATGGTCTCAATCTCCTCACCTCGTGATCCACCTGCCTCGGCCTCCCAAAGTGCTGGGATTACAGGTGTGAGCCACCGTGCCTGGCCCTACCTCACCCAACTCTTACATTGTTACACGTTACATCTTCATATATGTATTTCTTACTCTAAATCACAGTATCACAATAGTTACCAACTTAACCTCAATAGTATACAAGAACACTGTTCCTATCAACTTTGCCTCCCCCAACTCTTACATTGTCACGTTACATCTTCATACATGTGTGCCCAATAAGAGAGTTATAATAATAGTTATTATTATTATTATTATTATTATTATTATTATTAGTTTGAGACAGAGTCTTGCTCTGTTGCCCAGGCTGGAGTGCAGTGGCTCGATCTCAGCTCACTGCAGCCTCCACTTCCTGGGCTCAAACGATTCTCCTGCCTCAGCCTCCCAAGTAGCTGGGATTACAGGCATGCTCCACCATGCCTGGCTAATTTTTGTATTTTTAGTAGAGAGGGGGTTTTGCCATGTTGCCCAGTCTGGTCTCAACTACTGGCCTCAAGTGATCTGCCTCCCCAAGAGCTGAGATTAGAGGCATGAGCCACCATATCCAGCGAATTCATAATTATTTTTCATGCATTTGTACTTAAATCCTGTAGGAAATAAAAATTATAGTTACAAACAAAAAGTAGAACACTGGCTTTTATATTTGTCCATGCATTTACCTCTACTTGAGATCTTTATTTCTTTATATGGCTTTAACTGTCTAGCATTATTTTATTGCAACCTGAAGGACTCCCTTTATCATTTGTTGTAGAGCAAGATTGGTAGTAAAGAACTCCGTCAGCCTTTGTTTAACTGGAATGTCTTAATTTCTCCCTTTTTTAAAGAAAAGTTTTGCTGTATATATAATTCCTGATTGATTTTTTTTCCTTTTATCACTTTATATATGCCATCTCAACCCATGGCATCAATGGTTTCTGATGAGAAATCCGCTGTCAATTTTATTGAGGATTACTTATATGTAATGAGCCACTTCTCTCTTGTGTCTTTCAAAATTCTTCTCCTTTGTTTTTCAACAGTGTGATTATAATGTGTCATGGTGTGGCTCTGTTAGAGTTTATCCTACTTAGAGTTCATTGAGCATTTTGGATTTGTAGATTCATGTATTTCATCTAATCTGGGAACTTTGGGCCATTATTTCTTAAAATATTCTTCATTGTTTGTGTTTCTATCTGCTCCTCAGATGCAATAATTTCAAGTGTCCTTCATGATCACTGATTTTTTTCATTTTTGTGCTTACGACTGCTGTTGTACTCTCTTAGTGAGTTTTTTATTTCAGTTATTATACTTTTTAATCTCAAGAACTTCTCTTTGGTTCCTTTTTACAGTTTATCTTCACTGATATTCTCATTTTGTTCATACATTGTTTTCTGATTTCCTTTAGTTCTTTGTCCATGTTTTCCTTTAACTCTTTGAGCATATTTAAGATAATTGGTTTAAAGTCTTTTTTTTTTTTTTTGAGACAGAGTCTTGCTCTGTCGCCCAGGCTGGAGTGCAGTGGCGCAATCTCTGCTCACTGCAAGCTCTGCCTCCTGGGTTCACGCCATTCTCCTGCCTCAGCCTCCTGAGTAGCTGGGACTACAGGCGCCCGCCACCACGCCCGGCTAATTTTTTTTTGTATTTTTAGTAGAGACGGGGTTTCACCATGTTAGCCAGGATGGTCTTGATCTCCTGACCTTGTGATCTGCCTGCCTCGGCCTCCCAAAGTGCTGGGATTACAGGCATGAGCCACCGTACCCGGCTAAAGTCTTTGTATAATAAGTCTGATCTGGACTTTCCCAGGGACAGTTTTTGTCCATTTATTATTCCATTAAATGAACGACAGTTTCCTGTTTCTTTGTATGCTTTGTGATTGTTGTCGTTGTTAACTGAACATTTGAATAGTATAATACTACAATGTGACAACTCTGAGAATCTCCTCCCTAAAGTTTGCTCTGTGTGTGTGTGTGTGTGTGTGTGTGCGCGTATGTGTATGTGTTAAGGCTGTAGTAGTCTACTCAGTTAGTGATTTCCCAAACTATTTTTGCAAAGACTATTCCTTGTTGTATATGGTCACTGAAGTCTCTTCCTTAACTAGTGTTCAGCTGATGTTTTGACAAGTTTCCTGGAGTACCAGGAACTAAAAAATCAACAGCCCTCTCCCAGTCTTCGCAGGTTGACTTTGTGTTAGGGCCCTCCTTCAACACTTAACTAGGCTTGTCCTAAGCCTAGGGATTAGCCTGAGGTGAAAACTTATGGTCTTCTCAAGTCTTTCCTGAGCATTCATCTTGCCTGGGCAAATATGTGGCTTTTTAAATAGCCACATATATATGTATACATGATACTTTTTTTTTTTTTGAGACAGGATCTGTCTCTAGCTCCCTGCAGCATTGATCTCCTGGGCTCAAGTGATCCTCCCCCCATAGCTTCCCAGGTACTGGGACTATAGGTGTGCATCACCATGTCTGGCTAAGTTTTAAAAATTTTTGGTACAGATGAGTTCTCGCTATGTTGCCCAAGCCAGTCTCAAACTTCTGAACTCAAGCAATCCCCCGGCCTTGGCCTCCCAAAGTATTGGGGTTATAGGCGTGAGCCACCAACCCTGGCCTCCATGATACTTTTGAATGATTTTAATTTTCCAAGGAAACTCTCCCCAGCTTTTCCTCCTAGGCCTTAAGCAGTCTATTGTATATTTTTATCATAATCTTTTCCCCAGACATCTATGGTTTATTAATGTAGCTTGTTTTTTCATGTTTCTGAGCAATGCCTGTTACCTTCCCATTCTGAGCTCTGAGTTCCTTTTATATGTTGCTGGATTTATTTTGCTGGGTTTTTTTTTTTTTTTTTTGAAACAGAGTCTCGCTCTGTCGCCCAGGCTGGAGTGCAGTGGCACGATCTGGGCTCACTGCAAGCTCCGCCTCCCAGGTTCACGCCATTCTCCTGCCTCAGCCTCCCGAGTAGTTGGGACTAATTTTTTTGTATTTTTAGTAGAGATGGGGTTTCACCATGTTAGCCAGGATGGTCTCGATCTCCTGACCTTGGGATCTGCCTGCCTTGGCCTTCCATAGTGCTGGGATTACAGGCATGAGCCACCGCACCTGGCCTTGCTGGGATTTTATTGAGGATTTTTGCATCCATATTCATAAGAAATATTGGTCTGTAATTTTCTTGTGATATCTTCATCTGGTTTTGGTTATCAGGGTATTACCGAACTCAAAGAATGAGATGGAAAGTTTTCCTTTCTATTTTTGGGGAGAGTTTGTGAAGAACTGGTATTAATTCCTCAAATGTTTGGTAGAATTGAGTGGTGAAGCCATTTAGGCCTGGGCTTTTCCTTGCAGGTAGTTTTTTGATTACTGATTCAATCTCTTCACTTGTTATAGATAAATTCAGATTGTCTATTTCTCTTGAGTCGATTCCAGTAGTTTGTCTTTCTAGAAATTTTTCCATTTCATCTATTTTCTAATTTGTTAATATATAATTGTTCATAGTATTCCTTTATAATCCATTTTATTTCTGGAAGGTCAGTAATAATGTTCCCCCTTTCTTTTATGATTTTAGTATATTCTCCATTCTAGTATACTTTCTTCTTTTCCTTAGTCAAACCAGCTAGTGATTTGTCAATGTGATTTATTGCTTCAAAAAACCAACTTTGTGTTATATTGCTTTTTTTCTATTGCAGTTCTGTTCTTGATTTCATTCTATTCATTTCCACTGTAATCTTTATTATTTTCTTCTTCCTGCTTACTTTAGGTTTAGTGTTTTCCTCCTTTCCAGTGTTTTAAGGTGAAATATTAAGTTATTGATTTTAGATCTTTTAGCTTTCTTAATATAGTCATTTGCAGCTACAAATTTGCCGCTACAAATTTGCCTCTAAGCACTGCTTCAACTGGATCCCATAAGTTTTGGTATATTGTACCTTGACTTTTACTCGTCTCAAAGTACTTTCTGAATTTCTTTTGATTCCTTCTGTAGCCCATTGGTTATCTAGGAGTGTATAGTTCGATTTCCACATATTTGTGAGTTTCCCAAATTTTCTCATTACTTTCACATTTTATTGTATTGTAAGCAGAGAACATATTTTGTTTGTATTATTTCCGTCCTTGTAAATGTGTTGAAGTGTTATGGCCTTACATACCCTGAAAAATATTCCATGTGTGTTTAAGAATGTATATTATTGTTGTTAGATGGAGTGTTCTACACATGTCTGTTAAATCTAGTTGGTTTATAGTGCTGCTTGAGTCTTCTATTATGTTTTCATCTTATGCCTAGTTGTTCTCTTCATTATTGAAAAGGAGGTATTGACGTCTCCACCTATTATTGTTGAATTGTCTATTTCTCTCTTCGTTTCTGTCAGTTTTTCCTTTTGTATTTTGATTTTCCATTTTTAGGTGCATATGTTTCTAATTGTTATATCTTCCTGAAGCCAAAAAGTTTCCTCTTTAATAACACTTGTTTTAAAGTCTATTATGTCTCATATTAGCATCTGATTTCCTGTGGTTGCTGTTTGCATAATGTATCCTTTTCCATTCTTTTACTCCTAATCTATTTGTGTCTTTGAATTTAAAGTGTCTCTTCTATAGACAACATATACTTGGATTTGTTTTTTAAAAATCAAGCATGACAAACCTCTGCCTTTTGACTGGATTATTTAAACCATTCACATTTAATATTATTGATAAATTGGATATATGTTTGCCATCTTACTTTTTGTTTTCCATCTGTCTCATGCTTCTTTTCATCTTCTATTCCTCCTTTACGGCTTTCTTTTGCAGGCATATTAGTCAGCTCAGCTGCCATTACAAAATAGCATAGACTAGGTGGCTTAAACAACAAATTTATTTTCTCACAGTTCTGGAGATAGGAAGTCCGAAATCATGGTGCCAGCATGGTTAGGTTCTGGTGAGGGTTCTCTTTGTGGCTTGAAGATAGGTGCCTTATCACTGTGTCCAAAGAGAGACAGGAAGAGAAATCATTTCTTCTTATAAGGCCATAGTTCTACCAAATTAGGGCCTTGGCATTGTGACTTCATTTAACGTTAATTCCCTCCTAAAGATTCTATCCCCACATACAGTCACACTGGAGGTTAGGGCTTCAACATATAAATGTCTTGGAAGGGAAACACAATTCAGTCCATAGCATGTAGTATATTAATTTTACAACAATCATTTCACTATTTTTTTTAATGGCTACTTTTGGGTTTATCATATACATCTTGACTTAGAATCGGCTTCAATTTATACTAGCTGATATGGTTTGTCTCTGTGTTCCCACCCATATCTCATCTTGAATTGTACTCCCATAATTCCCATGTGTTGTGGGAGGGATCTGGTGGGAGATAAGTGAATCATGGGGGTGTTTTCCCCCATACTGTTCACATGGTAGTGAATAAGTCTCATGACATCTGATGGTTTTATCAGGGGCTTCTGCTTTTGCATCTTCCTCGTTCTCTCTTTGCCTGCTGCCATCTGTGTAAGACGAGACTTGCTCCTCCTTGCCTTCTGCTATGATTGTGAGGCTTCCCCAGCCATATGGAACTGTAAGTCCAATTAAACCTCTTTCTTTTGTAAATTGCCCAGTCTCAGGTATGTCTTTATCAGCAGTGTGAAAACAGACTAATATGGTAAATTGATACTGGAAGTGGGGCATTGCTGAAAAGATACCCGAAGATGTGGAAGTGACTTTGGAACTGGGTTCCAAACAGGCAGAGGTTGGAACAGTTTGGAGGGCTCAGAAGAAGACACAGGAAAATGTGGAAAAGTTTGGAACTTCCTAGAAACTTGTTGAATGGCTTTGCCCAAAATGCTGATAGCAGTATGGACAATTAGGTCCAGGCTGAGATGGTCTCAGATGGAGATGAACTTATTGGGAACTGGAGCAAAGATGACTCTTGTTATGTTTTAGCAAAGAGACTGGCAGCATTTTGCCCCTGCCCTAGAGATTTGTGGAATTTTGAACTTGAGAGAGATGATGTAGGGTATCTGGCAGAAGAAATTTCTAAGCAGCAAAGCATTCAAGAGGTGACTTTGATGCTGTTAAAAGCATTCAGTTTTAAAAGGTAAACAGCATAAAAGTTTGAAAAACTTGCAGCCTGACAATGCGATAGAAAAGAAAATTCCATTTTCTGAGGAGAAATTCAAGCTGGCTCTAGAAATTTGCATAAGTAATGAGGATCCCAATGTTAATCTCCAAGACAATGGGGAAAATGTCTCCAGGGCATGTCAGAAGTCTTCATGGCAGCCCATCCCATAACAGGCCCGGAGGCCTAGGAGGAAAAAGTGGTTTCATGGGCCGGGCCAAGGGTCCCCAAGCTGTGTGCAGCCTAGGGACTTGGTGCCCTGTGTCCCAGTCACTCCAGCCATGGCTGAATGGAAACAACATAGAGCTCGGGCTGTGGCTTCAGATGGTACAAGCCCCAAGCCTTGGCAATTTCTACATGGTGTTGCACTTGTGCATGCACAGAAGTCAAGAATGGAGGTTTGGGAACCTCTGCCTAGATTTCAGATGTACGGAAACGCCTGGATACCCAGGCAAAAGTTTGCTGCAGGGGCAGGGCTCTCATGCAGAACCTCTGCTAGGGCAGTGCAGAATGGAAATGTGGGGTTGGAGCCCCTGCACAGAGTCCCTACTGGGGCCCTGCCTAGTGGACCTGTGAGAAGAGGGCTAGCATCCTTCAGACCCCAGAATGGTAGATCCACTGACAGCTTGTACCATGCTCCTGGAAAAGCTACAGATAGTCAATGTCAGCCTGTGAAAGCAGCTGGGAGGGAGGCTGTACCCTGCAAAGCCACAAGGGCAGAGCTACCCAAGACCATGGGAACCCACCTTTTGTATCAGTGTGACCTGCATGTGAGACATGGAGTCAAAGAAGATCATTTTGGAGCTTTAAGATTTGACTGCCTTGCTGGATTTCAGACTTGCATGCACCCTATAAGCCCCTACCCCCACCCCCACTTTTTTTTTTTTTTTTGAGATGGAGTCTCACTCTGTTGACCAGGCTGGAGTGCAGTGGCATGATCTTGGCTCACTACAACCTCTGCCTCCTGGGTTCAAGTGATTCTCCTGCCTCAGCCTCCCAAATAGCTGGGACTACAGGTGCACGCCACCATGCCCGGCTAATTTTTGTATTTTTTAGTAGAGATGGGGTTTCACCATATTGGCCAGGCTGGTCTTGAACTCCTGACCTCATGATCTGCCCATCTCAGCCTCCCAAAGTGCTGGGATTACATGCGTGAGCCACCATGCCCAGCCAGCCCTTTTGTTTTAGCTTTTTTTTCCCATTTGGAATGGTTGTATTTACCCAATGTCTGTATCCCCATTGTATTTAGGAAATAACTAGCTTGCTTTTGATTTTACAGGCTCATAGGTGGAAGGGACTTGACTTGTCTCAGATGAGACTTTGGACTGTGGACTTTGAGTTAATGCTTAAATGAATTACGACTTTGGGGGACTGTTGGGAAGGCATAATTGGTTTTGAAATGTGAGGACATGAGACTTGGCAGGAGCCAGGGGTGGAATGATATGGTTTGACTTTGTGACCCCACCCATATCTCATCTTGAATTGTACTCCCATAATTCCCACATGTTGTGGGAGGGACCTGGTGGGAGATAATTGAATCATGGGCATAGTTTCCCCCATACTGTTCTCGTGGTAGTGAATAAGTCTCATGAGATCTGATGGTTTTATCAGGGGTTTTCACTCTTGTGTCTTCCTCATTCTCTCTTTGCCTGCTGCCATCGGTGTAAGATGGGACTTGCTCCTCCTTGTCTTCTGCCATGATTGTGAGGCATCCCCAGCCATGTGGAACTGTAAGTCCAATTAAACCTTTCTTCTGTAAATTGCCCAGTCTTGGGTATGTCTTTATCAGCAGTGTGAAAATGGACTACTACACTAGCTTCATTCCAATAATATATAGAAATGTTTCTTTTATATAGCTTTCTTTACTTTTGCCTCTTTTTGTGGTATGTTATATACACACAAATTAATGCTACAAACCCAGCAATACATTTTACTTAACCATGTCTTCATATACATAGCCTATTATAGCTTTGCTCCCACCCACTTGAGTGATGTTATTGGCAAAAATATTATGCACAGATTACATTTTATATATTATAGGCCCAACAATATATTTTATACATATTATTTTATACAACTGCATTTCAAATCAACTAAGAAAAAAAGAACAAATATGCATTAATAGTGTCAATTACATAACTACCTTTTCTGGTGCCCTTTGTGTGGATTTAAATGACCATTTCAGGTCATTTTGTTTTTTTTTTTGTTTGTTTCTGTTTTTTTTGTTTTTGTTTTTTTCCTGAGACAGAGTCTTGCCCTGTCACCCAGGCTAGAGTGCAATGGTGCGATCTCGGCTCACTGCAACCTCTGCCTCCTGGGTTCAAGCAATTCTCCTGCCTCAGCCTCCCAAGTAGGTGGGATTACAGGTGCCCGCCACCACGCCCAGCTAATTTTTTGTATCTTTAGTACAGACAGAGTTTCACCATGTTGGTTAGGCTGGTCTTGAACTCCTGACCTCGTGATCCACCTGCCTCGACCTCCCAAAGTGCTGGGATTACAGGCGTGAGCCACCGTGCCCAGCCTGGTCATTTCATTTTCAACCTGAAGAATTTCCTTTAGTGTTTCTTCTGACGTGGGCCTGCTTGCAACTTTGGAGTTGCAATGAATTGTTTATCTTGCAATGAATTGTGTTTATCTAGGAAAGTATTTTTCCTTCATTTCGACAATAGCTTTGCTGGGGATGGAATTATTGATAGTTGTTTTTCCTTAGAGCACTTTGAAATGATAACCCACTGCCATATGGTCTCTATTGTTTTTGCTGAGAAGCTGTTAATCTTATTGGGGCTGTCTTTGTAAGAGATGTGTATTATACTTTTATTCCTGCTGCTTTCAAGATTTTTTCCTTGTCTTTGACTTTCAGAATTTGATGTGTCTATCTGTTGGTCTCTTTGTGGTCATCCTGCTTGAAATTTGTTCAGCTTCCTGGATGTATAGATTATTGTATTCTAATAGTTTTCAGCCATTATGTATTTGAATATTTTTCCTACCTTCTGTGTCATTAAGTGCACATTGCTGCACTTAATGGTGTTCCACATTTCTCTGAGGCTCTATTTTCTTCATTGCCTTTTCTCTCTGTTTTTACATAATCTCTACAATCTGTCTTCAAATTCACCTATTCTCTCTTCTGCCAGTTCAAACCTACTGTTAAGCCCCCTGGTGAATTTTAAAATTTCAGTTATTGCACTTTCTAACTCCAGAATTGCCACATGGTTCTTTAAACATTTCTCTCTCTCTCTATATATATATATCTCAATTATATATACACACACACATAATTTCAACTTTTATTTTAGATATACGGGGTACACATGTGTGGGTTTGTTACATGGGTATATTGCACCCAGGTAGCGAGCACAGTACCCAATAGGTAGTTTTTCAACCCACTCCCACCTCCTCACCCCAGCAGTCCACAGTGTCTATTGTTCCCATGTTTATGTCCATGTGTGCTCAATGTTGAACACCCCCTTATAAGTGAGAACATGCGGTATTTGGTTTTCTGTTCCTGTTAGTTTGCTTAGGAGATATTCTTTATTTGATGAGACACTGTCATAATGTTTACTTCTTTAATCTTTTGTTTAGTTCTGTGAATATATTTATTTATAATGGGTACTTTAATTTTTGGTTAAATCTGACATCTGATCACTCTCACAGGCAGTTTTTGCTGCCTGCTTTATTTCCAGTGTATGAGTCACACTGTTTCTTTGCATGCCTCATACATTTTTGTTGGAAACTGGACATTTTAAATAACATACTGTAGTTACTCTACTAGTTCACCTCCCTCTGGTTTGGTTATTATTATTTGCTTAAGCTTAGTGCCTGGATGGATTATTTTAGTGAAGTCTATCCTTCCCTAATCCCAACAGCGTTGTTTCTCAAGTTCTTCCTCAGGGAGGCACAGCTTTTGGTATGCCCCAGAAATCCTGCGTACTCTCGCGCACTTTTTCCTCTTGACCATATACCCTGTTGTTCAACTCCACTAATTGCTGGCTTACTGTTCTATTGTTTACACTAGTGTAGTCTTTGCAGTCTCACCCTTAAAAGCAGCCTGCCCTGAATCCTTTCTCTCAGGGTGTACTGTCTATCCTGCACTTAACTTTCAAAATATTCTTTCTCCTTTACAATAAATTACTCTATGTTGCACTTCTTTTGCTGTGTGTCTCGAGCTCTCTAGTTTAAACTTCTCATGCTCTTTTTTTAAAAGTCAGTTCCTTTGGAAAGAGATTAAGAGCTACCTGTTTTGTTTTCATCCTACCTCATTTGCAGGCAAAAATCTCTGAGCCAGGGATCTGGAGCTAGAGGTGGGGACAATGGCAAGCTTGAGTTGGCATTCTAGCTCTAGAAGCTGAGTGCAATGGAAGGGGGCAGTAGCCTGAGATCCTCTTGGCTTGCTTTTCCTGGGGTAGAATCCTACTTCACGAGCCAGAGAGTTATCAAGGCCCCAGCAATCTCAGCACATGTGTTCAAGGTTTTGTGGCCTGGTGGGGAGAAGACGGCTCTCACCTGGCCACACTGACCCAGGACTTAGTGCTAGCAAAAGGCAGTTGAAGGCAGGACAAGAATCACTACAGTCTCGCTCCTTTCGGGAAAAAAATTTCTGGCTGGGAGATGGTGGGATAAGGAACCCAGCGTTTTTGGCTGCGTTAGTCTGCTTGCTGAGCTTGGAGGTGGAAGTGAGTAGTCAGTCTTGGTTCAAACTACCACAGATTCTCATCTTCCTTACTGAATTTTTGTAAATGTTCTTGAATAGATGTTTCTTCATTGCCATTTGTCCTCAGGACCATTTCCAGAAGTTTTAAATGGTTGTTTTTAATATTTTTCACCAGTTTCACAGTATGAAAATTAAACATTCAATTTTTTTACTAAAATGTATTATTTGAAAATTCTATACTAAAAATACAATGGAATTAACCCCATCAATTTCATAATGACTATAAAGTAATCAAGTCACAGAGCCAAAGTATAGACAGTTTAGAAGACTGAACTTTCCTTAGCACTAATATTTAACAATAGGAGCCAATTTCACTTAAAATAATCTGAATGTTATATATGCAACAAATTTTAGTCTCTGTAAAGAATCTTATACCAAAAACCCTATAAAAATGTTAAGTAAATTGAGCCTATTTTTACCATAGGCCTGGCCAAATGTACACATGAAAACTGATGAACGTAATGTGCAAAAAGGCTTGGAGAGAGTTTTATTTCAGTTACTTCAAAATACAAGTAGGCTATTATTTTCCTTTGGAAGAAGAAACCAGAAAAAAAACTTCCTGATTGTAACATTGTGACAAATTTCAGATTATATAACACATAACACAGGATAAATGGCTGTAGCATTAATTTTTTTCTCCAGTTACATTCCTTTATACTAAAAGACTAGTATTAAATCTTAGAAGAAAATTTCAATTGTTCTTACGTGTTACATATTAAACACAAAAGCAATTTATTATTATTTGGTACAACATGAACCTCAGTATTTGCTCAAATGTAGAAAAGGATTCCTTAATATGCTGAGAAATATCCTTAGATAAATCCAACTGTGAAAATATAGAAAAACTCCTTACTGTAATTACTGGGAACCACAAAGTTAATTTTTACAGGGTAGAAAAACTCCACAAAAATGGAGATTCATACTTAAAAACCTTCTTTTACTGATAGAACATTCTTTCTGGTATTATAAAATGAACAAAAGTGTACAGATATGGGCTTGGGGCTAGATAATATCCATAGAACTCGCCATTTTAAGCAATAAAAATTGGCATGTGGGTGCATGCCTGTAATCCCTGCTACTTAGGAGGCCAAGGCAGGAAGACTGCTTGAACCCAGGAGTTCAAGACTAGCCTGGGCAATGTAGTGAGGCCACTGTCGCTCAAGGGAAAAAAAGACATGTTTTTAAACACACTTCTAATAAAAAGAATTTTTAAAACCAACTTTTTTGCTTCTAGATAGTCTCAATGCCTTGGATTTAAAACATGACTCCTTCTTGATACAATGAATTATAAAAGCAAACTAGTTCCACATATTAATTATACGTTCAAGTCTAGTTCCTAAAAAGTCATTTCTCTTTAACCTTTCTTACCTATCAATCAATCATTTTCATATAATCTAATGTCTAAGGACTCCAAATATTGGTACGGGGTGAGTATCCCTAATCTAAAAGTCAGAAACAAGAAATGTTCCAAAATTCAAAACATTTGAGCGCAGATATGACACATAAGGGAAATGCTCATTGAAGCATTTCCAATTTCTAATGAAAGATTTTTGGATTAGGGATGCTAAATTGGTAAATATAATGCAAATATTCCAAAATAATAATTTAAAAACCCCACAAAAAACCAAAATCCAAAACACTTCAGGTCCCAACCATTTTGAATAAGGGATACTCAACCTGTAGTACCATGGGAGCCAATCTTCCCCACAGCTAATTCTGTAATTACCATTTTGTTTCTTCTGTAACAACAAACAGTTTAAATAATTTCCAATTATAAAGATAGATAGGTTAACATCATCATCGTTTTTTAACAAGATAACTTTTATGAAGCTTCCAATTTTAAAAAAGAAAAACACTTATCTATTCAGTAGGGAAGAAACAATCTTATTTATTAATGGCCTGCATATTTAGAAAGGGTTTAAAAACACATACATTTCCTGGGACACAAACTTACTTACCAAATGTATGTCCTTACAAAATAACTTCACAGATCAATAGTCTTGAACTTACACAAAGACATATATATGACATACATTAGGTTAATATACATTTCAAATGTTTTTGCAGCAACTTTCTACCAGAAAGTACACTAATGTGAGAATGTATGTTCTCTTTAACCCCTTAAAAATAGTAATAAAAAATTACAAAATAATGTAAATGTAAAATTAAGGCTGAGACTACATATTCTAGTATTAATAAAGTCAAACAAACAATAGTTATAAAACTTGGTGCTGCTGAATATTTTATATATATATATTTATATATATATATATATATACACACACACACACACACAGGATAAGTCTTTTGAAATTTGAAATGCTACCACTGTCACAAGTTCACTCATTGATTTAATGTTGTTCTGGGTATCTTAACATTTCAATTCCCAAATACCTGTGCTTTTAAAATTTTTATCCTGAATTCTGCATTGAGTTTCCTCACATATTTACAATTAAACATCTAGCCTCTAGAACCTCCCTTACACAAAAGACAAAACATCTTTGTTAAATAAATTCACGCAAAAGTAATAAAAAGGTTTTCAAGAAATAGTTCTGACATGTTCATTATATTTATACTGAAAAATAGTACATGTACTTTTCTTCAGGATTAATAAATGCCATGTGCCAGTTTTACAGTCACTGCCACATTAGCACATTTTCCTCTTACACATTTGCAAGGTAGTGACAACCAAAGGGCATAATGTCTGGAATAATTCCAGTAAATCCATAATGTCCAGTAAGATTCATAAAATTGAATGGTTGTTTCCAGTCCCATCTGAATCGAAATGGAAATTCATGCCCAGGTACTTGTATTGTCCCCAGAAATACTCAGTCTGGTAAGTCACCCTCTTGGTCTTCTGAAACAGAGATGCAGAAAGCAGGGCATTCTTACTGAGACCAATGGCCTCTTCTCTCTGTCACCTCTCATACATCTGTTTTGGTTATAATCCTGGTCAAAGGGGAAAGAAAAAAAAGTTTTATGTACCAAAGGTTTCCTTTCCCTGAATTCCCTCATCACACCTGAATGCTTAAATATCCAATGAAACCATATTCTTTTAAATATAATTCTTGGTATAAACAGATTTAATTAAATCCTTATATATAATCATTTCCTTCACATGTATGCAAAACAAGCCCCCAAATAAAAGTAGTTAACACACACACAGTATATAACATATATAAGTAATTTGTATCACAGTGCTTTGAAATGGTATTATCTCAGACCTAAATTCTGCAGATTTTTCCTTTCACCCCCTTTTCCTTAAATGAACTTATTATTTTAAGAACAGGAATTATAATGCTTATTACAGAAAAGTAACAAAGACAAGCAAAATAAAACATTTAATATTCATAATCTCATTCATGTAGAGATGAACACAGTGAGCACCTTGACATATATAGCTACAGATTTTAAAAATTCAGGTATATGTAAATATTTTCTAATAGTTCCCTGAACTATCTCCAAATAGAAGATGATACATATTTTTAACAGAACTAATTTTTAATCTTTATAAGTGGAAAATTATTTAGAAAACTGAAGCCTCTATTCAAGAAAACAATGGAATCTACTGCATAGTATCATATATTGCTAAGCATATCTAATGAATTCTAAGATATTTTTTCACACTTAACATCTCTGAAATCCAGATGTACTTTATAAGGTCATGAGTTAATTTGCAATATTTTTCTTTAATGTTTCATAAAATGACATTTTTATAGTTAATGAAATCTTAAAGTTGATGAAACATAGTATGTGATCTATAAGCAGTAACAAATATATATTCAGTATACATATGTAAATAAAAACATAAACATAAATATACAGAAACACATATAATGTACCTATTTCCTTTCCTACTATTAAATTTGTTCCTGATTGTATGGATGAAATATACCAATATTCAATACTGTTAAGATTTTTATTTCAAATGCTCTGACCTCTTGAGAGTGTGAGATTTATTAAAGATTTATAGAGAATAGGAAAAGACTGAGGATGAGAAAATCCCTCATAGTGATTTTAACAAATTTCATGAATATAATCAGGATGCAAAGAGGAGAAAGTCGCAGTCCAGAATACACCAAATTTTCCACCTAAACTTCTAATACCGCCATCACAAAGCTAAACAAATGATAGCTTTGTGTGTGTGTCTCCCCATGTACTAAAGGCTGCACTGAAAATATGGTTCTTTGGCTTCTCTAAAATCACTGACACTCTTTCTCCCTCTCCTTGATATGATACAGTATTACTATGAAGTATCTTAGTGAGTATTTTGTCAGTCACTGTTGCTGGGCATTCAATGAATTTTATTCATCCCTAGGA
Source organism: Homo sapiens (assembly GCF_000001405.40). NCBI lineage: Eukaryota > Metazoa > Chordata > Mammalia > Primates > Hominidae > Homo > Homo sapiens. The sequence continues at coordinate 2,801,156 of NC_000018.10, read as the reverse complement.
AATCCTCTTCCACATGATAGCATTTCCTTCTCCATTTTCTTCTTTCTAGATTCCTAATAGTCTGAATTGGTTCTCTATGTCTTCTATCTCTTTTTGTATTGGGGAAGTTTTCTTTTTGGACTTTAATCCTCCTATTGAACATTTTTATTTCAGCAACAATATTTGTAATCTGTTTATTCATTCTTGTCCTGGCTCCTTTCTGCTACATAGTAATTATAATTTTATAAAAGAGGTCTAGTCTCTTTACTAAATTGTCCTCCATGTTGATTTTGGAACTTAATCTTGAATTTTGTCTCTCACGTTGCTGGCTACCCTCATATGTGTGATGACTGTTAGTTGTACAATTACATTTAAGAAAGAGGATTACATTGCTAGCTGGAATTTCTTCTACTATTATAAAAATAGAACTGTTTTACCAACAAGTCTCTTCTCCGAGTGGGACTTGATGGTAACTATAACTGGGATAGGGCAAATCAACGTCATGGGTCCACAGGTTTTGCTTTAAACATGTGGATGTTGGGCCGAGCATGGTGACTCAGGCCTGTAATCTCAGTACTTTGGGAGGCCGCGGCAGGAGAGTAGCTTAAGCCCAGGAGCTTGAGACCAGCCTGGTCAACACAGCAAGACCCCATCTCTACAAAATAAATAAAGTAAAAATTGTTGAATTAAAATCAAAATAGATAAATGTGCAGGTGCAGAGCCAGTTATCAGCCTTTTAGTTCCCAGAGGCCAGCATTAGGTCCTAGTGTGCCAGCAACTACCAAAAGCCAATATACCAACATTTAATTCATTTCCATTGTTATCTAACTTTGTAGTGGCATCTTTTCATGCCTGTTGACAAGGAAACAAAGCTTTCAAAGTTTGGGTTGAAAATCTGGTACATTCTAGGCTGTGGCTTCCTTTCCTTTTCCATTCTGTTCCGTCCTTTTTATTTGCCACTCTCCCTGTTTGGGAGACAGGACTCCCAAACAGGGAGAGTTGCTGGACTTCTCACTCTTTTGTTCTAACTGACTCTGAATCCAAAGTGTTTCTGGGGCTAAATCAGGCAGACTGTCTCCTATTATTTCTAGACTATTTCCCAATCCCTTCACCTCTAGTATATTCTAGCCTTGTTTCTATCCTGTTATCTCCAGAAAACCTCAATCAAACGTGAACGCAAAATGAAGACATTTTTCGGACATAGAAGGGCTCCAAGTTATCTTTCTACACATTTTTTCTAAGGAATTTATAAGAGAGAGAAAGACATGGAATCCAATAAATAATGGATATAATCCAAGAGAGTAACTAAGGAAGACCCAGGATGGCAGATTTACAGGAGGCCTGCACAGTTACTAGTCACTGGTACAGGAGGAAGAAGATGTGATTAAGATACATAGGGAAAGAAAAAAAAAGGTGGCAATTAAAAACTCCAGAAAAATTAACAAGAAAGAGTCTTAGTAACAATTGGAATAACACTTCACGTGATTTTAAGAATAACAGAGTAAGGAAGATTTATTTGAGCCTGATGTTTGGAGCACTAACTGGTGGCCTAAGTAAGAGTCATGACATTAGACCCATATAGAGAAGGAAGTGTAATTCTAGCACACAAGTTTGCTTAGTACAATATTTGCCTGAACAATATTTACATAGTCATAATAATGTAACTTTTAAAAGTGGAGGCAACAATAGAGTAACTAAAAATTAACAGTTAAAACAAAGGTTGCCTCTGAAGGATGGAATAGGGGTAAGGATGCATAGGATACAAGATTTTACGATCATCAGCTCTTTCTATACCTGTGCAGTCCAAAACGGTAGCCACCAGCCATGTGTGTGGCTCCAGAGTACTTGCAACGTAGCTAGTCCTAATTGAGATTTGCTGTCTTCTGAATTGTGAAGACTTTGTATTTAAAAAAAAAGAATGTAAAATAGCTCATTAATCATTTTTAACGTTGTTTACATGTAGAAATATTTTGGATATTGGGTTCAATAATATCTATTATTAAAATTAATCTCACTGTTCCTTTTTTCCTTTTTAATATGGCTTCTAGAGAATTTAAAATTATATATGTGACTCACGTATAGTACAACACTGTAAATCTATACCATTTGATATATACACATATGACCGATGATCATTATACTACTAACAATATTATAAACTAAAACATAAACTCCCTCTGAATTGCTACAAAATCTTAATTAACAAGTTCCAAATCAATGTCCACAGTAGCGCTGTAGTAACTGGAAGGTCTAGGGCAAATTTAGTGCTGAGACTGTGGCACAAAAACATGTACCTTACATCTTAGCCTAGAACTGCACCTTGAGGAATTTCCTTAGTGGGAAGTGGGTTCTGGTCTCTCTAAAAAATAATCCCACTGTTCATAAAATACTTCTTTAAAAAATTATGGCAAACCTATATAAAAGCAGAGGGAATAATACAGTGAATTTCCTATTTCAAGCTTTAGTAATGAAAACATTTTGCCAAGTCTTATTTTGATATCCTCTGCCACTTTATTTTCCTGGAGTATTTTAGAGTATATCCCAGACACCATATTATTTAACCAATATAAGAACTTTCTACAAAGAATAACTTTTACAAAGAAGAACTTTCTGTAACTATTTGGAAACCTGGAAGATAGTTCATACACATGTCTTTTCTATATAAATACATAAATTTTCACAGTCACAAGCAGGTGCCCTACCAACCAGCAATGATGACCAATAAGGGATTTTTGCGTCATTTTGAACTCATAATTTCTAAAAGTTACATGTCTAAATCCACTGCAAAGAGTCTTTCTTTCTGATGCTAAACTGCCCCAACACACTTTGAATGATCAGCTTAATAGTCTGTATACACCTCATGCCCATGAACACATCATTCACATGCCTACATGTGTGATACTCAAGAGATATCAATGAACTTAAAATAGATTTTTTTTGCAACATGATGAGGGAGGAGTTTCATAATCTGGCCTCTGCCTCTATGTCCGACAATAGTTTGGTCCTCTCCCTCTTGCATACCATACCATGCCTTAGACACTAACATCTTTTCAGTTCCTCAAACATGCCACACCTGTTATTTTCTTAGAGCATCATGCCTCCTTCCCAACCTCTGACTGAAACCAATCCCTATATGGCTGGTTCCTTCCCATCCTTCAGTTCTCTGTTTCAATGCATCTCTCCAGACAACTGATATTGTTTCCCTATTATTTTCTATTACTTCATCATTTTTTCATTCCCTATTTTCTTTCTTTTTTTTTGAGACGGAGTTATGCTCTTGTTGCCCGGACTGGAGTGCAATGGTGCGATCTCAGCTCACTGCAACCTCCGCTTCTTGGGTTCAAGCAATTCTCCTGCCTCAGCCTCCCGAGTAGCTGGGATTACAGGCGTGCGCCACCATGACTGGCTTATTTTTAGTAGAGACAGGGTTTTGCCATGTTGGCCAGGCTGGTCTCCAACTCCTGATCTCAGGTGATCCACCTGCCTCGGCCTCCCAAAGTGCTGGGATTATAGGCATAAGCCACTGTAATTCCTTACAAATAGAAAAAAGTTTACTTTTTAAATTGTCCCTCTACTGCATAGAATTACAGAATTCCAATGGAGGCAAGAACCATGTCAGTTTTATTCACCCAGCAACATACAACACAGAGTGAGATTTCAAATCTTTACTGAATAAATGTAGAATACGCAGATGAATATGGCAAAGAATACCAATTCCAAACACCATAGTTTCAAGGGAATTCCTCTACGGTTGATATGAGAAAACATATTCAGGTAGAGTCTACAATTAAACCTTTTGAAATAATAAAAGAGAAACACCAGTACCATGATATCCTTCTGTGGGATGACTTTACTAACATTTAATCTAAAAGGGACAGTTTTCTTACTATGAAGTTAGGGTGGAAATAGCTGTGTTGGTTTTTTGGTGATCTAAATGGCCAAAATGGTTTGGTGATCTGATTCTCCAAACCAAAAATTATAAGCAATTTTAAAATAAGTGATTTACAAATGGTTTTGCATATTCTATACTTATTAAGTTACTGATCCTCTGAAAGAGAATGCAATGAGCCAAAAAATAGACAAGCAATTTGACTCTTAACAATCACTTTTAACATAAAATATAAACATTTCTAAATAATTAGCACAAGTTATTTAGAAGATTGAGTATCCTAAGAAAACATAATGCTTAAGTTTTATCTTCATTATTACTTTATTTTTTTTAATTTAAAATATTAATTCTGGCTCAAAGGAAGAATTAGACATGAACTCATACTGTTTTTAAAGTATGATGACCAAGTCAGATGCAGTGGCTCACACCTGTAATCCCAGTACTTTGAGAGGCCAAGACAGGCAGACTGCTTGAGGTCAGGAGTTTGAGATTAGCCTGGCCAACACAGTGAAACCCCATCTCTACAAAAAAATACAAAAAATTAGCCAAGCATGGTGGTGCATGCCTGTAATGCCAGCTACTCGGGAGGCTGAGGCACAAGAATCCCGTGGGCCTGGAAGGCAGAGGTTGCACTGAGCCAAGATTGTGCCACTGCACTCTAGCCTGGGCAACAGAGCAAGACTTCATCTCAAAAAAACAAAGCTATCATGAGACCCAAGAACTTTGGTAAACTAACCAAGCATAATTCTCAGGTCAAACAAACTCACCTATTTTGTCTTGTAGCTTCTCGTCTCATTCTTTTAGGAGGAACTGGACAATCTGTCGTCTCAACCTTTGGTGAATGACGCAATGAGTCATTACACTTACGTATGGGAGTCATACCTGTGAAGATGGAAAATGTAGAAAGTTAAATTTACAATAAAAACAATGGAATTAGAGAAATGCAAACATGAATATGTCATAATTTATAGAAAAAGAATTAAGAAAGTATACTGAGAATGCCTATTACTTCTGGTGAAAGAATAGTTTATAACCATTTATCAGATAGGACTTGGAGGTTAAGAGTTTTTGTTAAGTTCTGAATCATTTGCATTCTTTTTTCTTACGGTTGGATTCTCTCTCATCATAAATATTTATCTCCATATAAAGAAAGTAGAAGTTAACAAAAAGCAAAGACTTACCTAGTTTTTCCTCTATTAGTTTGAGATTTTTCTCATGTTCATCAAGTTCTTGCTTTTTCTTCCTCATATCCGGAGTGCGAAGGTACTCTAATTGACTGTTAAGATCCTTATTCACACTGTCTAGTTTGCACACAGCAGAACGATACTGCTGAAGAAGATCTGTAAAGAAACCAAATGCATTTGATTAAATTACTGCTATTAAACCAAACTCATGTTTTAGGGGAAAAAATGAGCAACACTGGAATTTGTGTTATGGTAACATAGGGGATCTACTTTTAAAGCCATAAAACATTCAATATAAACAAATGAAATAAAAAAGCATAGTTAAGATCCCAGCACAAAATTGTTAAATTTAATTTTCTTTGTTTGACTTAAGTTTACTTCTGTGTCAGGGAAGAGTTCTCTATATAAAAGTGCTCTGTTTTTTATTGGATCACTCTCTCAAGCCAGTGTTTATATCTTGTCTGATATTCAGTATTCAATATAATTCCATGTGGACAAATTTTGCAGGGAGAAGGCAAATACATTAAATATTGTGTTGTTAGAAATCACTATTTCCCAAATGAAAACTGATGAGTAACAGGGGGTTTCTAATAAAAAGATGTGTAAGTGTAACTGACAGTGAGCATGCTGTGGTTCAAACTTGGCAGCAATGCAACTCATTAATTGTTCTTATTTTTTGTACTGTAAAAAAAGAAAATCATCGCTTCCAAAAAGCATGACTATTATTTTTAAACACAGAATTTTTAGGCTGGGCATGGCAGTTCACGCCTGTAATCCCAGCACGTTGCAAGGTTCCAAGGCGGGTGGATCACGAGGTCAGGAGATAAAGACCATCCTGGCTAACACGGTGAAACCCCGTCTCTAATAAAAATACAAAAACAAAATTAGCTGGGCATGGTGGCGGGCACCTGTAGTCCCAGCCACTTGGGAGGCTGAGGCAGGAGAATGGCGTGAACCCGGGAAGCAGAGCTTGCAGTGAGCTGAGATTGCGCCATTCAGCCTGGGTGACAGAGCGAGACTCCGTCTCAAAAACAAAAACAAAAACAAAACAAAACAAAAAAAAAACCCAGAATTTTTTAAAAACACACTCAGAAAAATACTTCACTTTCAAAAAACTTAACTTTTCTTAAATTACTTTGTCTAAAAATGTATTACATTATTCAAATTAATGACCTGGGAAAATTTCCACCACAGAACAGTATATAGAAAAGGACCATAAAACAACATTGTTAGAATAATCCAACTTATTTTAAACTATATATACTCCCACATGTATAGACAAAAGGCTGGAAGGTGATACAATAAATTATTAACAATGTTTAATCTGTAGGTTTGGGAATTATGAGTTCTTTTAAAAATTCATGATGCTTGCCTGTATGTTCCAATTTTTTTCCACAATGATCAAGTGTTCTTCTTGCCATAAAAATAAATTTTGAAATTCCAAAAAAGTATTACATTATTCAGGTTTGAGATTATTGCCTGTCTCCATGATTTACTAGACACTAAGTATTAAATAGTAACTATACTCTAGGCTAAGGGTTAGTACACTACCACTCATTGGCCAAGAATGGTTTATTCAGTTTTTTGTTTTTGTTTTTTGAGATACGGTCTCACTCTGTCACCCAGAATGGAGTGCAGTGACATAATCACTGCTCACTGCAGCCTCAACTTCCTGGGCTCAGGTGATTCTCCCATCTTAGCCTCGTGAATAGCTCGGATTACAGGCAATAGCTCGGATTACAGGCAAATTGGCCAGCACACCTATCTAATTTTTTTAGAGACGGGGTTTCACTATGCTGTTCGACCTTTGGGAGGCCAAGGTGAGCGGACTGCTTGAGCCCAGGCTGGTCTTGAACTCCTGGGCTTAAGCGATCTAACCATCTTGGGCTCCCGAAGTGCTGGGATTACAGGAGTGAGCCCACTGGCCTATCCAGTTTAAAATGGTCACATTTTAAATAGTTATATAAATATCTTCATAACATCATCCTTGATTTTGCCACTTGACTTGCAAAACCTAAAACATTTAGCATCTGGATAAGACTCTAGTCACACACCAAGATGATCAATATCCATGGAAATGGACATATAAACATTCAAACACTTAAACATATATAAGTAGTTTATAAGTAAAACTGTGGAAGAAATTACTTAAGAGTACAGAGTACATTAGGTATAACATAAGATATTCTATACTTTAAGGGTCAAGAGTAGTGTTTTAAAAAGAAATCTACCCAATATTCTAGAAATCTACACTTAGAATGAGTGACCAAATTACATATACACATCTGTGTGTGCTTGTGAACATATTCATATTTAAATACAAATTCTATATGTGAAACTGAGTGACGACAAGACCCTTAAGTTCCTTACGCTTTATTGAGAACTTTATTCTGGTCTGATTTCTAATTCCACATTAAAGCAATGTTTTCTTTCTTTTTTTTTTTTTTTGAGACGGAGTCTCGCCCAGGCTGGAGTGCAGTGGCGCGATCTTGGCTCACTGCAAGCTCCACCTCCCGGGTTCACGCCATTCTCCTGCCTCAGCCTCCCAGGTGGCTGGGACTACAGGCGCCCGCCACCACACCCAGCTGATTTTTTTTGTATTTTTAGTAGAGACAGGGTTTCACTGTGTTAGCCAGGATGGTCTTGATCTCCTGACCTCGTGATCCACCCGCCTCAGCCTCCCAAAGTGCTGGGATTACAGGCATGAGCCACTGCGCCTGGCCTCAAGCAATGTTTTCTACGTACATAAAATAATACTTATTTTGTATGTAAATGAGTCACAATATTAAGATAGGTTATTTCAACATGTCCAGGAAAATGACTATGTGAAGCTACTAGAAACACCACAAAAGGATGGAAAGTATATCTGAAAGGCTGTTATCAGGTAAGTGTGTAAGGACTTCCCAAACATGAGTTAATAGAAGTCTGAAGCAACTTTCTCACCACTGAAGGATTTATGCAGTTAGATGCACAGGTAGACTTTCCTAAATAATATTTAGTGCTCTTCAAACTTTGTGCTCCACATAATTCGAAGAAACTTATTGGCAAAAAAACTGATAAGCACTTATGACTGGGAAAAACTACAAGAAAAAATACACCAGAACCTCTGCTTTGACTTGCTTCAAATAACCCACCCAGGAAGAGGAGGATAGAGGCAAGCTGTGACAGGGTGGGTATAAATGAAACAAGACTGGCTATGTTTTAATAATCAAAGCTAGGTGACAGGTCCATGAGAGATCATCACACTGCTCTATTCCCATAACAAAACAAAACACCCTTTCCCTGAAAGCCAGAGTGCTTAACTAATCTTCGTCACTATTCATAAAAATATTAAGAATAGCTTTATTTAAAAAACCATCATAATTGACTGAAATATTGACAGTATTATAATAAATCAAGTATGAAAGCAATAAAGTATAAGAAATGTCTAACCTGGTCAGATATATAATATTTTGAAGAATATGAACATAATAAAAATGTTAATACTTTTGATGATGTCATGATTACAAACTATGTATTACAGTAGTCCCTCCTTTTCCTCATGGGACATGTTCCAAGACCCCCAGTGGATGTCTGAAACCCCCAGTGGATACTACTGAACCCTGTGCAGTCATGTGTTGCTTAATGATGGGGATATGCTCTGAGCAATGTTTCATTAGGTTATTTCGTCATTAAGTGAACACAACAGAGTGTACTTACACAAACCTACATGGTATGTAGAACCTACAATGCTCCTAGGGTATATGGTATAGCCCATTGCTCCAAGACTACAAAACTGTACAGCATGTTGACAGTACTAAATACTGTAGGTAACTGTAACACAATGGTAAGCATTTGTGTATCTAAACATAGAAAAGGTAATCAACTCCATTATAATCTTATGGGACCACTGTCTTACATACAATCTGTTTTTGACAGCCTTGTGCGGCACATGACAGTATTGCTGTTTTTTTAAAAGCAAATTTTATTTGTAAAGAAATATTTCTAACTCTATGAACTCTTTTTGTACTTTATTGGTAAAGTTTAAAGGAGCAAATAACGGGAAATATTTGGGAATATAGCAGCTCGCAGTTAGTATAGTTTCAGATTTTACAATTCAATAAATATTTTGGAAATGATTTATTATAAAATTAAACTAAGAGTTCTGACTACTGTTTCCTCTTCAGGGTGTTTCTTTCTGGCCTTGGGTGGTCTTCTCACATGCATGCACTAATTAGTACTAAGCTGGATACTGAAGGGAGACCTACTGCATTTCTAGAGCTCGCTCACTCTCTAAAGCAGCTCTTGCCTTCCCAGTAACCTGTCTGTGAACTATAGTTGTCTTGACCTTCCTGGACTCCCAACCTGTTCTTCTCAACTTTGAGACTACTGAGCTTCTCCTGGGTTCCCCTTTTCTGTTTTACGTAGTCTGGAAAATCTCTCTAGGCAGTAAGCTGAAACAACCACAGGGATACTTCGGTTGATTCCTATTTCTCAGGAATCACCATTCTTTACTGCTTCATATCCAAAGTCTTGAAAACTATTCTTTCACGTATTTTGCTCAGTGCTTTGTTTTTTTGAGACAGAGCCTCACTCTGCCACCCAGGCTGGAATGCAGTAGTAGCTCAATCACGGCTCACAGCAACCTCAGCCTCCCAAAGAAGTGGGACTAAAGGAGCGAGCCACCAGGCCCAACTAATTATTTTATTTTCTGTAGAGATTAGGTGTCACTGTATTGCCCAGGCTGGTCTCAAGCAATCCGCCCATCTTGGTCTCCCAAAGTGCTGGGATTATAGGCGTGAGCCACTGTGCCTGGCCTCAGTGGTTTTTTTCTTTGGTTTGTTTGATGTAAGTTATTCCATCTTGGTGAGAAGCAGAAGTCTCTGTTCTTAGGTATTCATTCATATTTATTTTTCTTTGTATTTAAGGATCAACATGTTTAGCTGCAGAAACACCTTTTAAAACTTATTCTTGTTGTTCTTGTATATGACTTTTTTCCTCTCCCATTATATCTTCTAACTGCTTACTGTAAGATTATATGAATGCTATTATTTTTGTATGCTAATTTTATAACTTTCTCCCTTAATAAATTCTTTTAATTTTCATCTTTGATTACCTTGGGTTTTATAGGTATACTGTTACACAATCTACAAATAGTTACCATTTTATTTCCTTTCCAATTCTTATGACTTTGTTTTTCATTTTTAAAATTGATATATGACAGATGTACACATTTTCAGGGCACATGTGATATTCTGATACTTAGATAAAGATAATTGGGATATCCCTCATCTTAATATTTTTTCTTTATGCTAGGGACATTTGAATTATTTTCTTCTACCTGTACTGTGGTATTTTGTTTTTTGAGATGGAATCTCGCTCTGTTGCCCAGACAGCAGTGCAGTGGTGCAATCTTGGCTTACTGCAACCTCTGCCTCCTGGGTTCAAGCAATTCTCTTGTCTCAGCCTCCCAAGTAATTGGGATTACAGGTGTGTGCCACTACGCCCAGCTAATTTTTTGTATTTTTAGTAGAGATGGGGTTTCACCATTTTGGCCAGGCTGGTCTTGAATTCCTGACCTCAGGTGATCCACCCACCTTGGCCTCCCAGAGTGCTGGGATTACAGGCCTGAGCCACCGTGTCCGGCCTATACTGTGTTTTGTCCTATACATACCAGCCTATGATAAATTTTAATTTATAAGTTAGGCATAGTAGATTAACAACAACAATAAAACAGAATAAAAATATACTGTAATAAAGCTATATGAACGTGGTCTTTCCCTCTCAAAGTATCTTATTGTACTGCACTCACCTATTTTGGACTGTCATTGACTTCGGGTAATTGAATTTGTAGAAAGCAAAACTGCAGGGGAGGGGGGACTTATGCAATTACTTATTGATTATGATAAGATGCTTTTCTTGAGTTATTATTTTATTTATTTTTGAGACAAAGTCTCGCTCTGTTGCCCAGGCTGGAGTGCAGTGGCGCGATGTCGGCTCACTGCAAGCTCCGCCTCCTGGGTTCAAGCAATTCTCCGGCCTCAGCCTCCTGAATAGCTGGGACTACAGGCACGTCCACCATGCCCAGCTAACTTTTTTTATTTTTAGTAGAGACGGGGTTTCACCACGTTGGCCAGGCTGGTCTCAATCTCCTGACCTCGTGATCCACCCGCCTCGGCCTCCCAAAGTGTTGGGATTACAGGCGTGAGCCACCACGCCCAGCCTGAGTTATTATTAACATCTCTTTTTCTCTTCTGTCTACATTCTGGCTTCTACAGTGTCCTTAGTTATTTCCTTTGCATTTTAAAAGTATTTCTATTCCCAAGATCTCTACAGAACACTTGAAATAATACAGATGCTCCTCAACTTACGATGAAGTTATGTCCCAATAAACCCATCATAACTTGAAAATATTGTAAAAGTTGAGAGTGCGCTTCCAACTTATGATATTCTCAACTTATTAAGAGTTTATCCAGACACAGCCCCATTATAAGTTGAGAAGCATACTGAATGTGTATTGGTTTCACACTACTGTGAAGTTGAAAAATGTAAGCTGAAACATCCTAAGTCTGTATAGGAAACAAGAAATGGTGGGGGGAGAAAAAAACAGGTCTACTCTCTCACTTTTTTCTTTTCATTCCACAGGTTTAAAGGTTTAATTTTTAACGTGTGATATTTGTATTTTTATTCACCTTCCACTTAGCCTTGACACAGACATTCTCCAGATTACAAATTCAATTAAAGGATTTAACATTTCTATGTTTTACTTGAAAAACAAGGCTGTAGCCAGGCAGAGTGACTTACACCTGTAATCCCTAGCACTCTGAGAGGCCAAGGCAGGCAGATCGCCTGGGACCAGGAGTTTGAGACCAGCTAAGCAACATGGCAAAACCCCATGTCTACCAAAAAAAAAAAAAAATAATAATAATACAAAAAAATTAGCCAGTGTGGTAGCACAAGCCTGTAGTCCCAGCTATTCGAAAGGCTAAGGTGGGAGGATCACCTGATCCCAGGAAGTTAGAAGGCTATGGTGAGCCATGATTGTGCCACTGCACTCCAGCCTGGGCAACAAAGTGAGACCCTGTCTCAAAAAACAAACAAACAAACAAAAAAAGAAAAACAAAGCTGTGATATTCATTTGAATAAAACAATGCCTTGTCTGTAGTTAGGATTGTTTGCTTAGGCATGTTTCCTAGAAGATCAATTATACATTAAAAGAATATTAATTTGGCCAGGGGAGGTGGCTCACATTGTAATCCTAGCACTTTGGGAGGCTTAAGTGGGCAGATCACTTGAGGGCAGGAGTTCGAGACCAGCCCGGCCAACATGGTGAAACCCCATCTCTACAAAAATATAAAAATTAGCTGGGTATGGAGGCGTGCACCTGTAATCCCAGCACTTGGGAGGCTGAAGCACAAGAATCACTTGAACCTGGGAGGTGGAGGTTGCAATTAGATCAAGCCACTGCACTCCATCTTGGGCAACAGAGCGAGACTCTGTCTCAAAAAGTAAAATAAAATAAAATAAATGAATATTAAAAACAATAAGTAAATTTTTCTGATTATAAAAGTGATACAATGCTCACTGAGGCAAGTCTGGAAAAATATATAGAAAGGGATAATGGAGAAAATTATCCCAATTATATAACCCAGAATTAAAAGTATATTTCTTTCTACTTTTTTCAATGTGCTAACGAATACACACACTGTTCTAAACATGAGAAAGCTATCTAACCTTTTTGAACCTCAACTTCTTCATCTATAAAATGAAGATAACAGCAGTAAATACGATCATTCATGTGACAACCTTAACAGGGTGTCTGCAACGTAATATTTTATAATATGTAAATGTCCAGTAATTTTTTTTTCTTATGCTCTGATTTGCTCTTATACTAATCATGCAAGACAACGTATAGGCAAATTATTTAGAAAACAAATACTTTGCTTATAACTGTGCTAGCAGTTGACAATTTTTATGGTGATGGCCTTCCTCAAAATTGCTTTTGCTCTGAGAATGATTCCATGATACCCAGGGGAGGGTCTCCAAAACTGTTTGCTTTATTTGATCCTTACTAAGTCTGGCTGACCTGGAAGGTGGTGGGCATTTCTCTCTCCTAGGACTGGTGGGAGTTAAGTTATATTAAAACTTTAGGGTGAAGGTATATGGAGCCCAAGGCTGCTGACTGTCCCAGAGTTATCTTTGACTTTGTCTTGGCTGTTTCCATCTCCTTTAAATCTGTGATTTCTTCCAGTTTCCTTCCAATAGATTCCTGTTTGGCTTAAAGTAGTCATGCATGGCTGCTATTGCTTACAATCAAAAGTACTTTATATATATTAGTAACCTTAAACGGTCTCCTTTGAGTTCTTATCAATGAATCATTAGTCTGTATGTGGGAGTGTATCTTTGAATATATTTGTCAAGAAAGCTAAGCAACTATTAAATATGACATCTGTGTATTTTTTAAGTTCCACAGGTAATTCTTTCTGGTTTTGGGAACTACTGCCATAAAATGCTTAGGTATAGAGTCTAGGCCTTTTACATTAATTCACTGACTTTGATTAAAATGTTTTCTCTGATTTCTTATCAGTTTCTTTAGATATTCACTCATTGTAGAGACTGTATGTGTCCACTGATGTCATAAACAGAAGTATGACTCCTCTTCCCACCACCTTTCTCAACTACTAATTAAAAAACTTCTGAGGCTGAACTGATAGCCCCAAATGGAAATTACCTGCTATGGTTGGTTTGTCCCCACCAAAGCTCATGTTAAAATTTGATCCCTGGTATGGTGGTGTTGGGAGGTGAGGCCTAATGTTGGGGTCATGAGGGCAGATCCCTCATGAATAGATTAGTGCCATCCCTTGGGAGTGAGTGAATTCTTGCTCTGTTCCTAAAAGCTGGTTGTTTAAAGAGCCTGGCACCTTCCCTCCCCTTCCCTTTTGCTTCCTTTCTTGAGATGTGATCTTTGCACATGCCAGCTCTTCATCTACTGTGATAGGAAGCAGCCTGACGCCCTCACCAGATGCAGATGCCCAATCTTGAACTTTTCAGCCAGAAGAAGTGTATGCCAAATTAAGTATCTTTTTCTTTATAAATCACCCAGCTTCAGGTATTCCTTTATAACAACACAAAACAGACTAAGACACTGCTCAAATTCCTCAACAGTAGAATAAATAAATTGTACATTTCATTCACACAATGAAGTATTATCCTGCAATGAAAATGAACTACATGCATAGTGTTGAACAAAACTAGACATATAAAAAAGTACGCACCGCACAATACCAAGTATATAAAGTACTAAAATGGGCAAAATTAATCTAAGCTACTATAAGTCAAGAAAGTTGTTATCCTTTGAGTATGGAGTGGTGGTAGGGAGTGGAGGAGCCAAAAAGAAATCTTCTACAGTACTGGTGTTTCTTTTTCTTTTTTTTATATGGAGTTTTGCTCTTGTCACCCAGACTGGAGTGCAATGGCACAATCTCGGCTCACTGCAACCTCTGCCTCCCAGGCTCAAGTGATGGTCCTGCCTGAGCTTCGTGAGTAGCTGGGACAACAGGCACCCACCACCACGCCCAGCTAATTTTTGTATTTTTAGTAAAGATGGGGTTTTACCATGTTGGCCGGGCTAGTCTTGAACTCCTGACCTCAGGTGATCCGCCTGCCTTGCCCTCCCAAAGTGCTGGGATTACAGGTGTGAGCCACCAAGCCCAGCCTAATGTTCTATTTTTTAATATAAGTGCAGTGTTCATGTTGTGAAGATCCATCAAGCTGAATGTTCACAAAATATGCACATTTTTCTATGTGTATTTTACTTTAATAAAAGCAAACAAAGTGGCCAGACACGGTGCCTCACGCCTGTAATTCCAGCACTTTGGGAGGCCAAGGAAGGTGGATCACTTAAGGCCAGGAGTTCAAACCCCATCTCTACTAAAGATACAAAAGTTTGCCAGGTGTGGTGGCGCATGTCTGTAATCCCAGCAACTTGGGTGGCTGAGGCACAAACATTGCTTGATCCCGGGAGACCGAGGTTGCAGTGAGCTGAGATTGTGCCACTGCACTCCAGCCTAGGTGACAGTCAGACTATCTCAAAAAAATAAAAAATAAAAAATAAGAAAAAAGTAAATAAAAGTAAACAAAACGTTGCAAATAGATACAGTGAAATATATATTATTCAGCCTTACAAAGGAAGGACATTCTAACACTTATTACAACATGGACAGACCTGAGGACATTATGCCAAGTGAAATTAGCCAGTCACAAAAGGACAAACTCTGTATGATTCTACTTATATGAAGTATCTAGAAGTCACATTCAGAGAGACAGAAAGAAGTATAATGGGTGTCAGGGAATGGACAATGGAGAGTTTATACAAAGTTTCAACTGTGCATACCGAAAACAGTTCTGGAGATAGAATGAACAACAATGTGAATGCACTTAACACCAATGAACTGTTTTTTTTTTTTTTTTTTTTTTTTGAGACAGAGTCTCTGTTGCCCAGGCTGGAGTGCAGTGGTGCAATCTCAGCTCACTGTAACCTCCACCTCCTGGGTTCAAATGATTCTCCTACCTCAGTCTCCCAAGTAGCTGGGACTACAGGTGCGTGTCACCACGCCCAGCTAATTTTTTTTTTGTATTTTTAGTAGAGACAGGGTTTCACTGTGTTAGCCAAGATGGGCTCGATCTCCTGACCTCATGATCCGCCTACCTCGGCCTCCCAAAGTGCTGGGATTACAGGCGTGAGCCATCGAGCCCGGCCAAACTGTACTCTTAAAAATGGTTAAGATGGTAAATTTTATGTTATATGTATTTTTCAATTAAAAGAAAGTTAACAACAAACTGCTCTGTGTTAGGAAAGTAGAGTTGAGTGTATCAGAATTAATTATATAAATTAAGAGCAAATAGGCTCTAAGCTAATGGATGGTAAGGAGACTTCCTGGTAAGTATATGCACTTCAGAGCACAGACGTGCAGGGACAATTATATTGGCTAATTAGATGCAAAGGGACACAGCCTGTGGAAGGGAAAAAGGGGCAGGAGATCACATGTCATACACTTTCTAATAAGCCTTAATTGTTCTAGATAGTTACAAATTTCAAGATAGAAATAAGTATTATGATTATGTAATAAAATACTGACTTATTCAATAATGACAGAAATTTCTTCTTTTTTTTTTTTTAAGAGATGGAGTCTTGCTACGTTGCCCAGGCTGACCTCAAACTCCTGGGCTCAAGCGACACTCTTGTCTTAGCCTCCTGAGTAGCTGGGAACACAGGCATGCACTACATATAAGAATGAAAATACAAAGGATAAAGCTACTATTTACATAACTCTAAACTACCTGATATAAAAAAGCTGAAAGTAGTAGACAAAAACATCTTACTTACATTTGTTACTTACTTACATTTGTTAATTTTTCATGTTAGATTCTCAAAACATAAGCTCTTAGAAAAATAAGAGTAAAATTAAATTAGAAATTGCTATTTAAGTACTTATTCAACTTACCTATTTGTTCCCCTAAGATCAGACACTGTTTTGGAACTGGAGCTCCAAATACCATTCCCCGAAGTTTATCCATTGGAGGAGCTTTATTCTGAAGGCCCCCAAACTTTCCATTACTTCGAATTCGATCTCCATCTCTGGTCAGCAGTGTAGGACAGTGTGTAATTTTAACAACCTATTGTAAATAAGTGAATAGTAAGTAGTGAGCAACTTATTTCAACTGCTCCAAAAAAGGAGAAATAATTTAAAGTTTCTGAGATTAGAAATGACAGGATCACAGTAGTATTTTCAAAAACTTAGTAACTAGCAATATGTAAGATAAACTGGAGGGAAAAATCCAGAGGCAGAGAGATGAATTAGACAACTTTTCAAATGTCAGCCTAAACTAGAACAGTGACAACGCAAGTGAAAAAAGTAAATGATGGATTGATAAGTGGAAGGAAGAGGACAGGCCAGAGAGTTCTGTGCTTTGGAACCCATGGCAGTTAAGTATCAAGGTAGCATCACCAACCCAGTTTCCTCTGTTAGATTTAAGTTTTTTAGATGACCAAAGGATAGCAAAAGGAGAATATTACATTGAAGAAAATACAGACTGGAAAGCACTAGACTGACTCTTCCAAAGATAATACTATGGTTTTAGGTATGGGAAGATAAAGAGGTGATAATTTGAGAGTTAGGGGAACTGAAATAATGTAGAAAAACTGAAGTCATGGATGGGAAAAGATGAAGGGTTAATTAAGAATTAAATTCTTAATGTCAGGTGTGGTGGCTCACACCTGTAATCCCAGCACTTTGGGAGGCCAAGGTGGGCAGATCACGAGGTCAGGAGTTCGAGACCAGCCTGACCAACATGTTGAAACCTCATCTCTACTAAAAACACAAAAATTAGCTGGGCATGGTGGCACGTGCCTGTAATCCCAGCTACTCAGGAGGCTGAGGCAGGAGAATCGCTTGAATCCAGGAGGCGGAGGTTGCAGTGAGCTGAGATCGCACCACTGCACTCCAGCCTGGGCAACAGGAGACTCTGTCTCAGAAAAAAAAAAAGAAAGAAATTCTTCAGAGAAGTCAGAATAAAGGAAAAATACTGGATTTAGTACGTCATAATCTAGAAGAATGTTCTTGCAAAAAAGGTTCAGAAAATATTAAAAAATAAAAGTTAAACTTCATTGGTAACCAGAGACGTGGAATTCAAATAAGATATTTTTACTACTCAATATGTTAAAATGCACACACACACACAACTTTGGTGGGGGGCTATGGAAAAAGGGCCTTCTTGTACTGATATGCCCTGGGACAGCCCTTCTCAAAGGAAATGGGACAAGTGTTAAAAAGTTTAACATTCTGCACGATTCAGCAATTCTAAGAATCTAATCAGGAAAAAATAGTAACAGATGTGAACGATGTATACGGAAATATTGTTTTAATAATGAAAAGTAGTAAACTTACATGTCTCAACAAGTTATACAAGTAAATTACGGCACATCCATACAATGAAATAGTATACATATATTAATGAATGAAGAAAAACACTAATTTTTAACAAGTATAAAAACGTAGTCCAACCTAATATTGGGGCTAAATAGTCTCTGAATTATATAAATACAAGATAAAGTAAATGTAATTAAGATGGTTATTTGAAGAAATCCTGTGGTGAATTCTTTGGTAAAGCCAGTATTTACAAATTCAAAAATCATTTGTTTTTACAAGAAATAACCACAACTTAATTTCTTAGTTTTGGTTTGGGTTTATATGTTTTCTAGTGGTGAACAACAACAACAAAAATACAAACTGGCTTCATGTGCTATCCACTTATCAAGATTCAGGCAGTCAATGTTTCTAAGGATTTAATATCTTTTTTTTTTTTTTTTTTTTTTTTTTTTGAGTTGTGGTCTCGCTCTGTTGCCCAGGCTGGAGTGCAGTGGCATGACCATGGCTCACTACAGCTTCCAACTTCTGGGCTCAAACAATTATCCCAACTGAGCCACCTGAATAGCTGGGACTACAGGTGTAGGCCACCATGCCCGGTTACTTTTTTTTTTTTAAACTTTGTAGAGTTGGCGTCTCACTATGTTGCCCAGGCTGGTCTCGAACTCTTGCCTTCAAGTGATATTCCTGCCTTGGCCTCTCAAAGTGCTGAGATTACAGGCATGAGCCATCATGCTCAGCCTAATATGATCTTAAATAAATACACTAAAATGTATAGATTTTCTATTATCTTGTTAAGAAGCAACATGAGGGAAGAGTTATGGTAGAAGGACAGACAGTTTGGCTCTCCTTTTATAATGATTCTGGAAATACTACTTTCACAGACAGTTTCTCAATTCTCCCTCAACCTTGATTCTACCTCACTAAGTACACTATTAGGACAAAAAAAGTTATCATGGTGTTTGCAAATTCTGCAAATTCTGGAATGAACAATATTACAACTCTGAAACTCAACAGTGTTACCAAGGAATGTCATAAGAGCTTTTTCTTAGAAGAGTTTTAAAATAACATTTGATTGGCAAAGTTACATATGACTTCATTTAGAAACCTGGAAGCAAGGAAATCAATATGTGCTATTATCAATTATGAAGAACAAATTCTATTCCTTTTTTGTCACGTATGTGCTACAACATTTTTGCAAAACTAGTATTGGTATCTTTCATCAGTTTTAAGATATTTTCAGCCATCAGTTCTTCAAATATTGCCTATAATCCTTTTATAAACGCTCTCCTCTTGATACTCTGATTACATTTTGGTTAGATGCTCTCTCATTCTACCCTCCATGTCTCTTCAACTTCTTTGTCTTACATTCCATTTTCTCTTTCTCTCTGGGTTGCAGTCTGAATATTTTTTTCTGACCCTCTTTTTAATTCACAAATTCTTAAGATGTTAAACCTGTTCAGTTAGTATTTAATTTCTATTGTATCTTTTGATTTTTAGAAGCTCTATTTGATTTTTTCAAGTTGACTTATTCTTTTCTTATTTTCAACACTTTCATTTTTTGAACTATATTAATCAACTATTAATATAGATATTTTTCAATTTAACTTGTTCTTTTCTCATTTTCAACACTTTCATTTTTTGAACTATATTAATCAAATATTAACACTTTAAAAATATTTGCTCTCATTTTCAATGTGGAAATTATTTCCATTCAAAAACAATGGTGAAATTCCCCCAGAAAACATTTATTTGCTTCAATCAGGTATCTAAGGATACTACTAGTCCAGCACATGAAACCAAATGTTTACCGTGAAGGTTTTCAGAACATCCAAGTAGTATGAATACACATTGCAAACAGATATTAGAGTCAATTGTTATGTTGATGAATTCTCTAGAAAAATGTTTAACTTTTTTACTTTTCCGCTTAGTGCCAAAGTTCAAGAGAGAGACTTTTCTGGTAGTTCCCTGAAGCAGCTGGAGTTGAGATGAAGGTGGCAGGTTTATATGTTTGTTTACCCTTATACTAAGGTTTCCCCCCACAGAGGGGGTGTCCCCAGTTATCAGACTCCCCATGTTGTTTAGAGCCCTGGGTTTTGTCTCCTATCCTAAAGCCCCTCGAGGGAGTGAAAAATCAATGCTTAAGTTCAATTAGTTTGGCAAACGTTCTCACTGCAAAAATCTGGCATTAGTGTTCTGTTTGTCTCTCCAGGTTCCCACTTCCACTTAGAATCCTGACTCTCTTGCCAGTTCATTAAGATACATATCTGAAATAGCATTTTAGCTAATCTCAGCTGGAGTTTCCAAAGGCTATCTGGTTTGTCTAATTCATCACTGTATAACCCTCAGTGCACTGTGCCTAGTGATACGCTGGAACCAGCTTGTACTGGGTCATGAAAGCCAGGTCTCCTGAACACCACATTCATATAGGCATGAAGGACTTCATACAGACTGCTGGAAATCATCCATGATACAAGTACTTACACCATAGAAATTGGCAAAAGCTACAAATCAGGGACTTCCACATGCCTCCTCAGAGAGCTAGTTCAACACATAATAGCACACTACTGTGTCTCATACATAGTAAGTATCCAAATATCTCATTGAACAGGAGTCTTCCGGTTACCATCCTATTAGTTAGTTCAATCCTTACCAGCAAGCTTCTCACCGTCTCCAAACTGATTCCATGTTATCATAACATTTAATGGGTATGTTTCTATTTCATAATTCGGGATATATAAAAATGCTAATCACTACCAGAATATAGTAGCTCTCCCACCCACAGCCAGTTTCTGGTACAGTGTATTATACTTAATATTAGGTTTACAAGGAAACGTTCATGAAGATGCCAAATACCATTTTCCAATTAGCTATATAATGCTCAAAATCCCAGTAATTTAGTTTTCCTAAACTAAGATGAATTTATTATTGCCTTTTTTTTTTTTTTTTTTTTTTTTTTTTAGATAGAGTCTTGCTCTGTCACCCCGGACTGGAGTGCAGTGGCATGATCTCAGCTCACTGCAACCTCCACCTCCCAGGATCAAGTGATTCTCCTGCCTCAGCCTCCTAAGTACCTGGGATTACAGGTGCCTGCCACCACGCCTGGCTAATTTTTGTATTTTTAGTAGAGACGGGATTTCACCATGTTGGCCAGGCTAGTCTCGAACTTCTGACCTCAAATGATCCCCTACCTTGGCCTCGCAAAGTGCTGGGATTACAGGCAGGAGCCACTGTACCCGGTGCCCTATTATTGCTTCTTAACGAGGCCCAAAGAAAAATTACTCATACCAGTTTAGTTCTAGCTCTGCCATAAATTAGTAAAGTGTGACTTGGGACAAATCCCCCACCTCTTTAACAATTTTTATTTTTTTAGACAGAATCGCATTATATTGCCTAGGCTGGAGTGCAGTGGCTATTCATAGGCATGATCAGAGCACACGACAGCCTATAGCCTTGAACTCTTGGGTTCAAGCAAACCTCCCTCAGCTTCCCAAGTAGCTGGAACTACATGCATGCATCACATGTCCAGCTCTCCATTATTTGTTCTCAGCTTAAGGTCTCTCATCTATTCTCACTCGTCCTAGATCATCCTAGATGATCCCTATAGTCCCCGTGATTCTAGAATACACTATTTACAGATACTGGCTTAGATCAATCCAGGGTACTGCCTATAACATGTGGCTTTAGGGTTAAAATCAAGTCAAGGATGTTCCTTTGTTAAGACCTCTGAAAGATTTAAACTACTGCCCTCCTGGATCCTCTTAGCTAGACAAAAGGGCTTCTAAAACTCTAAATGGCATTACCCTACTCTATCTCACCCTCATGGGTGAGAACAATAACCCTAGCAGACATCCCCAAAAGAACCCCTGGCTAATACCAGCTGATGCCAGATGACAACAGGTACCAGTTGCCAGCTACATAAGGCAGGCATTTTAGAGCTGCCACCACCCCAGTTCAACTAGCCAACATCACTTGGAGAAATCTACAAAGAGGACTAATATGTTGTTGTTTAAACTTACAATTTAGAGTGTTATATATATAGCAGCAGTAAATAACTGAAATATTTATTTTACCAAACTCCCCTGCAAAGGTGCTATGGGCTAAACTGTGCTCCACTATAATCTTTTATTTATTTACTTTTTACAAGACCAGTCAAGTAGACTAGTAAGAAGGGGAGGAAAGAATAAAACAGAGTTAGATCTGTAGCTGATGGTGAACCATCAATTGAGATAACTCATTACCTTTGTTTGGGACCAGCCCCCAACAAATCCATGTTAAAGTCCGTAACCCCCAGTCCCTCAGAATGTGACATTATTTGGAGATAGGGTCTTTACTGAGATAATCAAGTTAATATGAGGTCACTGCGGTGGGCCCTAATCCAGTATGACTGGTATCCTTACAACAAGGGGGAAATTTGAACACAGTCACGCACAGATGTGAAGAGACAGGGGGAAGAGAGTCCTCATCTCCAAGGCAGGGAGAGGCCTGGAACAGATCCTTCATTCACAGTCTTTAGAGGTAACCAACCCTCCTGAAACTGTGAATTTGGATCTCCAGCTTCCAGAACTGTGATACAATAAATTTCTATTATTTAAGCCACCCAGTCTGTTGTGGGACAGTAATATTTCTATTATTCACATCAGTTAATGGCTGCCCTAGAAAACCAATACAAAGGGCTACAGCAAATTACATTTTACACCAAAATTACCTGACAGTACTTTTTTCCAATCCTAACAGACACTGTTTTGAGTCTTAGACAATTTCGTAGCCCCAAAACATCTATTTAAATTTGCATCCTGGTCCATTCATTCCTACGTTTTGCCTACTTTTATGTTGCTTATCAATTTGCAGAATTTAAATTGGTTTTGAAAAGGCTAGTCGTTTGTATATGTATCATCAAATGGACATGATACACATTAAAACTGAAGTCTACAAATTTAAAAAGAAATCAAATACATACCTCTTTTCTATAATGATTGGCCGCATCCAGATTATCCAAAATAATGGTGTCTCCTAACAGCATACCAAATACTAAAAAAGTCAATAAATGAATTTTGAAAATTATGATATTTTCCTTGGCCATATTAAAATATAATGCACATTGCAAGTCTTTCTTTGAAAGAGTGCTAGTATTCGTTCTAATTTTATTTGTACTCTAAAAAAACTGATAAAACTATGACTGATAAGCAAAATAAGAATATAAATTTTCATTATCAGTAATTTATAGATTTGTGTCACAAATTTAACATCTGTACAAAAGTAAAGTCACCATAATGTCTTTTACCTGTTTCACAATGTTCTACATTATCTGGAAATGTTAACAAGTCTCGAGCAAAGACTGGATCTCCAATGGGTTTAAAATACAATTTTCCATTTCGGAAATGAGGTAGAGATCTAAATAAAAAGAAATTTTAAAAAGATATTAAAGCACATGACTTTTTAAATTTAAAAAAAGACAATATGGAAAACATGAATATATTGCACATCATTTTGATCATACAATCAATTCCCAATCCACCACAAGTGATACTTCTAAATGATCAGCTATTATGCCCTTAGAAATGGAAACAATATTGACCATATAAAAAATCTACTTGGTTTTATCTGTACTACTACCCTCTATTAGTTTGTATTAACAATAAATAACAGTTTCATTTGACAAGGAAAGAAAAAAAGAAGCCTCTGTTCCAAATGACAGTATGAATGACATAACTGTTCATGTGAAGAGTGGTCACAGAATGACTAGGGGAAGGGGCAAGGCCCAAGACTGAGACACATATGAGGAAGGCAGCTCTATGTCCCCTGTCTTCCTGTCCTTCCCACACAATAGGAAGAGCAATTGAAGCCAGTAGATGATAACAATGGAATTTCAGAGATGGTAGTTGATTGGGGTGTCAGAGACTTTCCCTTCAACATAGGTGGAGAGGAGCTCTAGTTAATTCAATCCCAGTAAGAGGGAGAATACCAGAAACAGAGAGGATAACTCGTTTCTAGAACAAACGTTAGCCCTAAATGTCAAATCCATACTTTCCCTAAATCAATGATCCTTAACTTAGTCTCCAGGGATTACAGAGATAAAGAAGCCCTCCTGGAGAAAAAAATTCTTCTCACAAAAAGTATTAGGGTATGGGGGGGGGAGGTGGTGGTGCATGCCTCTAGTCCCAGTTACTTGCGAGGTTGAGGGAGGAGGATCACTTGAGCCCACAAGTTTGAGGCTACAGTGAGCTATGACTGTGCCTGTGAGTAGCCACTGCACTCCAGCCTGGGCAAGTGAAAACCGTTCTCTTAAGAAAAGAAAAAGTATTACCCTTATCAACATAGTAACTATGACCCGTCAGGATTTCCCATGCTGTTCCTTTGAGTACTGACTAGTTGCAGGGTGGCAGATTTTAGAATCTGATAGATCTGAGTTCAACATACAGCTGTTTCCTCAATCTATTTTTAGATTTATAAGATGAAATAACAAGTTTACTGACATAGTAGACTCTTAATGAGACACCATTCTCCTTCAAGTCCCCATTCCTATGCAATTACAGGCCGTGAAAAGCTTTGTTTAGTAATCTGAGAAAATACTGACTAATAAATACTCTGCTATACATTTTTATTTACTTTTTGTTAGTATTTCCTTCCTGTCTTTAGGTACATTTTAAAAAGTAGGCCTAATCAGGGTACATATAAAATATAAAAAAGGGGCTGGGTGCAGTGACTCATACCTGTAATCCTAGCAGTATGGGAGGCTGAGGTGGGAGGACTGCTTGAGCCCAAAAGTTTGAGACCAGTCTGGGCAATATAGCAATTAAAAAAAAAAAATTTAGCTGGGCATGCTGGCATGCACCTGTAGTCCCAGCTACTTGGGAAGCTGAGGTGGGAAGGTAGTTTGAATCCAGGGACGTTGAGGCTGCACTGAGTTGTGATCACGCCTAGCCTGGCTGACAGGGAAAGACTGCATCTCAAAAAATAAAAATTAAAAAATTTAAAAAAAAATATTATGTCTTTGTGTGTTTTTATGTCTTTGTGTGTATACGTTACATATACATGTAATGTATGTTTTTGTGTATACATTACATATACAAATAATATTTAATTGGCAAATAAAACATAGCCAGCATATGCAGTGAAAAATGCCCATTTGTGATGAAGACAAAAATAACGTATATAATTCAAGTCAATTCTCTGTTTTAGGTATCTTTTAGAGAAATCATTTTTAAATTCAAGGCTTTGATAAAAAACAGAAAATATATTTCAGAAAAAAAATTACTTTCACTTTTTTCTAACCTTTTCCAATCTGGAAGAGTCTTCTTGTAAATAGAATCAAGGGGCAACACCTGCTGACGACCTTGGGTTTCATCATAGATACGACGTGCAGCGTCAGTGGTTAGGGTGACTACACAGTCCATGTCACTTGCCAGATGCCAAGAAATAACCATCGCAGCTCTATCATCTTCAATTTGTGCTAGATGTGCAATCTATAACCCATTTTCATAAAGTAAAAAAATATAAAATCCATATATAAAAATTTGATATTATGTTAAAAGCCCAAGCCTAGGTAACAAAAACTTCTCTGAAACACATGAATTAAAAATAAACTGTCAAGTTGTCAAAAACTTAACTTGAATATATTAAACATTGTATTCTGATATTAAATTAAAATTTCTTTTTCTAAAGATTAAACTCCAGTAAAGTTGCAAATGAGCAAATAAAAATATTAGGAATTTTTCCTTCTTTTCTCAGACCGTTCAGGGATGAAATAATTAGAAATTTTATTAGCTAGTAATATATACTTTTTTCACATTTTAACACTATAAATGGGATCTGTCTTATTGGTAGAATATCATAAAGTACACTTAAATAATATACACATAAAATAATGCAGTTAAACATAAATACAGTTAATAAGCCCTTCCCTTCTAAGTAAATACTTTACTCCAATATTATAGTATTCCTTTCAGAAAACAAATCTAAACATCACAAATAAGAATTGTTTCTTCTGCTGCTCAGGAGGCTGAGGAAGGAGGATAACTTGAGCCCAGGAGGTAGAGGCTGCAGTGAGCCGAGATTGTGCCACTGCACTACAGTCTGACAGAGCAAGACCCTGTCTCCAAAAAAAAAAAAAAAAAAAAAAAAAAAAAAATTGTTCCTTTTGCTTCTGTTTCTAGGAACAATGCTTTGGAGCTTAGAATAAATAAATAATTACAAATCCTTCCTTCAGTCACAAGTATTCTTTTTCTTTCCCTCAGGTCAGACAGGTAATGTGCCAACAGTGTAACAAGGTTCAAGGGTGGCATATCTCACGCATGTGCGTGAACACCCAATCATCAACAAGCATTCTTGTTCAAAGTCAAGTCCACCAAGATTGGACTACTGTGGCCAGTATCAAAGCCTAGTTCATTGTGCTAGGATGGTGGTGTCTACCCTTTAATCTTACTTGATCTGGTAGCACAAACCTACTCTAGCAATAAGAACATTGTGTGTCACTTTTAGAAACATCAGGCTGGACATGGTGACCCAAGACTGTATTACTAGCACTTTGGGAGTTCAGGCAGGCAGAGTGCTTGAGCCCAGGAGTTTGAGACCAGCTTGGGCAACATCACGAAACCCCATCTCCACTAAAAATACAAAAAATTAGGGGGGCATGGTGGCACGAAACTGTAGTCCCAGCTACTTGGGTGCTGAGGTGGGAGGATGACCTGAGCTCAGAAAGTCCAGACTGCACTGAGCCGAGATGCACCACTGCATTCCAGCCTGGGCGACAGGAGTGAGATCCTGTCTCAAAAAAAGCCAAAAAACAAAACACATCCTAACATCTACCCTTATATTCTAATTCTCTAGAAGTTAGTGGAAGAAAGGTAAGAAAATGAACATGCAAAAAAACTAGTACATGTAAACGAAAATGAAAACAATGTTCTAGCCAATGGAGAAAGAATTAGTAGAGGCAAATGAAATGTAAGCAGAAGAAATGGCTTACTTGTGACATTTAGATGTGTTTTGTAAAAGAAATACCATGATACTGTCATAAAACCTATTTAGAAGGGCATGTTAAGTATAACTATAATATGTTTAACTGAAAAAAAAATCTTAAAACTGCTACTACATCTTCCTCATTTAGAGATGGGATTTCAAGATATTTGGAATTAAGGAAGAAATGTGTAAAATATCTAAGTTACTTGAGGTATTCACGATGTTAAAAATAAATACATTTTGAAGTTTGGGGGAAAAGTCTCCCCTTGTTCCTACTGTATTTCTACGATTATTTATTCTAGGGTTTTTTTATTTTTTTGAGACAGAGTCTCGCTCTGTCACTCAGGCTGGAGTGCAGTGGCATGATCTCGGCTCACTGCAACCTCCGCTTCCCAGGTTCAAACAATTCTTCTGCCTCAGCCTCCTGAGTAGCTGTGATTACAGGCACATGCCACCATGTCTGGCTATTTTTTGTATGTTTTATTAGAGACGGGGTTTCACCAGGTTGGCCAGGCTGGTCTCAAACTCCTGACCTCAGGTAATGCGCCTGTCTTGGCCTCCCAAAATGTTGGGATTACAGGTGTGAGCCAACGCGCCCGGACTATTCTAGTTTTATAATAAATGCCAGGAAGAGTATTTTTTAAGGAAGCGAGGGAAAAGACTAAGGATGACATGGAGGGACTGTAAAGTTTTCTCCTACTGGTTAGGGTAGGGTTTGTATTTCTGAGGGGACAAAAGAGAAACTATGTAAAACGAAATTTCAAAGATTTCCCCCAGATTTTCAAGACATGCAATGGGAAATATTTAAAAAGGAGACTTTAAAATACATTTCTCTTGCTAAAATTTATATGTTGGTAAAAATCTCACATATTGTCCAAGAATTTTGTATTGGATGAACTATTAAAATGTGGAAGCCATATATTTATATGCTTAGGATCAAAGAACTGCTTTTTTCTAAAAATTGGAATAATATTTTAAAACATTGTATATTAGCAACTTGTTTCCTAATACATAAATTTATATTTAACTTGAATTAAAATTCAATTTTTCAGTTTGCGGATCTGAGGTTTGGGTAATAACGTAACACGGTTTTGGTCATACACATTGCTACACGTTACCCCCTATTTTCAGTGGACAGTATATTTGTGAAGTTATAGGGCATATAAAAAAACTATCACAGACTTTAGAGTCAGAGAGACCTTGAGTCACATCTAAGCTCTGCCTTTAACTATATTTTAACAAGTTATTTGAGCTCCCTGAATTTCAATTTCTTTATGTATAAATGAGAAATACTACAAATAATAGTTCATATGGTGGTTACAAAAGTAGAATATACATGCAAAGGCAATAACCAAAGACTCCAGAGTCAGACTACTTGGGGTTTCACCCCTGGCTCTGCCACTTGCTATCTGTGCAACTCTGAGCAAGTTACTTGACCTCAGTTTCAGCTGGGCATGGTGGCACATGCCTGTAGTCACAGCTACTTGGGGGGCTGAGGCAGAAGGATCACTTGAGCCCAGCAGGTGGAGGGAGCAGCGAGCCACAGTCTTACCATCGTACTCCAGCCTGGGTGACAGACTGTCTCCCCCTCCAAAAACAGAGCTGCATGACATGAAAGCATCTCTAAGTAAACAACAAGCCTTGAACTAATAGATGTTAACAACTTTTGCCACAGCCCTCAATAGTAACATTACAGATTTCAGTTTTAAACTCTGCCAAATCCCTATTGCAATAATGAGAGCAGGTACTTTATTGGAAAGAAGTAAATTACAAAGAACCTGACACTTTTTTGTCACTTTTAGAAGACCCGTTTTAAACAAACAAGATAATAAAATGTACTGCCTTTCAAAAGGCTTAATAAACACAAACCTTTCCCAAAACATCTCCACTGCCTTTAGTATAGTTTGGAAGAGTACACGATCTTCTAGGTTTTTTCTTCAGTTCTTCTTGTTCTGATAGCTTTCTTTTCAGAAGTGCTTCAATGTGTGGCACCTATAATTTATAAAGAAAAATTAACTACAAGACCAATTACTCTTGAACCAGGCAGCCCATAATGACAGTGGAGAAAAATTAACAATTTAGATAACTAAAGAATATAAAGTTGGTAAGTAGGCATTATTAAAAAAAAAACTATCAGAAAATACACACACACACAAAGAAAACACAATTTTAAAAACCATGGTTATAGTAATATAAAGTTCCCACTTCACTGAATTTAAAAAAATCTTAGCCAAGAAATACACTACCTATAATAGGACTTCTCTTGAAACTGAGTTACACATATAAAAGAATATAAATTTTAAAAATCTAGATTGCTTTTTATTTTCTCTTATTTTGTTTACCATCACGTGTAGTGGTTATGCAGCCTTTTCAATGCAGTACTTGAACTGATGTATTATTAATTGCATTTATTGGTGTCATTACATTAAAAATACAAATTGCAATTTCTTTGAATAGAGCACTCTATCATTTTGTTAGTCATTTTTAATGTCTAGTGACGATAATGCACGTCTTTGTACCCTAAAACAACAATACTCAGAATTCCTAATAAAAACTGAATAATTGAGAAAATTGTAGAATAGACTTTAATAAAAAATCTTTCACGTATAGTTGGAAGCTGTACCTGTTGTGTTGTAGGAATGTCAATATTATGTATTTTTAGTTCATTTCGCAATTGGGCCTCTTTTAATCTTGCTTCTTCAACTTGACCTAAAATAAAAAACCAAAAATTTGCATCAATTTCTGATAGCCCCCAAATCATAGTTTTTGAAAAATATTTTAAAGTTCCTTTTGTTTTTTCCTTTTAATGTCTGTTGCTAAAATGAAAACTGATAGGTGACCATTTCAGAAATTCAAAATTAAACTATACATCTTAAGGCTCAATTCTGATATACAAAAATGAGAAAACAAAATTAATGCAACTAAAGGGAGATATGATATACTGCAAACTCCTAGTAATCTTGGATAAGTTACTTAATCTTAATCCACGAGTATACATAATTTATACATAATTGCACAAGGCTGTTCTCAAAGACTTTATAAAAACAATTTTTAGTGCTACACAAATGACATTATCTCACTACTAGATTTAGCTCCTATTATATTCTAAATATCCTTGATCTTGTGCAGGCATACACAAAAGTGAGTACTTTGAGGCAAGCGGTAAATATTTCTTGGTTAACTTGATCAAAATAACACAAGGCCAAAAACCTTAGCAAAAAAATATGACAAATGAAAAGGGAAGAGATGATAGAGCACAACTCAGAAAATGTCTTGTCTTTCAATTATATGAAACATTATTAAGAATTGCAGCAAACGTAGGCTGGGTGTGGTGGCTAACACCTGTAATCCTAGCACTTTGTGGGGGCCAAGGTGGGCAGATCACTTGAGGTAAGAAGTTCGAGACCAGCCCGGCCAACATGGTGAAACCCCGTCTCTACTAAAAATACAAAAATCAGCCAGGCGTGGTGGCATGTGCCTGTAATCCTAGCTACTTGGGAGGCTGAGGCACGAGAATCACTTGAACTTGGGAGGCAGAGGGTGCAGTGAGTGAGATCGTGCCACTGCACTCCAGCCTGGGCGACAGAGACTGTGTCTCAAAAAAAAACAAAAAACAGAAAACAAAACTAAACAAAACAAAACTGCAGCAAACTTTCTGTGAATTGACTCAAGAATAATTTACATATTTCAGTATCAGTGTGTGCTGCCCCAGATACCTCCATAGTATGACAAACTGCAGATGTTTGAAGTAAAATACAAACAGCTCATTACCCAAATGAAAAATTACATTACACATCACTCCCTTGGTGATATTATTATCCAGTATCTTTTGCCAGAAGCTAGAGCTAAATATAAACATTATTATTATGTAGAAAGCCTTAAATTTTCCACAGGTCCAGATTCCTAACAGAACGTGTTGATTTCTTTTAAGCAGGATACAAATTTATTTAAAATAAGAAATACTTCATCTTAAGAATTCTCAATGACAGTATCAACCATCATTACCACCTTTCTGAAACATTCTGTATTTTACTTGTAATTTAGGAAAGTGGAAGCTTGTTTGTGTATCACGATCTCACCTGCCTCATCATTCCCCAAAGCATAATTTTTGTCTTGAATACAAAATGACTTACATTTCATTTCATTAAGAAGCTGTTGGCTGGCTTCAAATAAACTTTTATACATAACAATAGACTGAGATAATTGGTCCTTTTCTTTTGTAAGTGCTGCCATTTGTTGCTGCTTCTTAACATCTAAGAAAAAAAATTGAGATAATTTAAATAATTTAAAAACTGACTTTTCTAAAATATGTCATAAAGTGGTTAGATAGCTAATAAACACCAAGTTAATGGAAAGCAAAACAAGGTTATCTAAAGTATCACTAACAACGGAGTTTAACCATTTATTTCCTAGAAACTTACCATTGTAAAACATGAACGGTAGGATATATGGTTCTAAGGTTCTTGATAAAAGTGGTAGCCGGGGCTCAAATACAATAAAATATTCAGTACTATCCCTTCCAGGACTACTTTCTGCCAGCACCAGACTCTGTACATATAAACAAACAATAGGGGAAAACAAGATTTAAAAAGAAAATTTACAACATATAAATGTTACATAACTCATTATGCTGTTTTCAAGTAAGTGGTTAATTTTAAAGGCCAAAGGCATAGGCTGATCCTTAAGATTCCATTAAACCATTATCACCACCACCACTACCCAAGACATACAACTTTTTACCTTCTGGTATTGGTTTGAAAGCCAAATGATCGTATCAATAAACAGCTTATGTGAAAAGTATATATGATAAAAAATTTCAAGAAAAAGTTATTTCCTTCACATTAGAGATGGCCACTTAAAATTTTGACCTGTAAAATCTTCTTGATTCTAACCTCTAAATTGAAAGCAGCATGAAAGAGCTGATAGTGTGAAAGTTATAAAAACAATCACAAAGCCCAATGCTGAGTTTAAGTTACAGCTGTTAACATGGAAATAGACCCATCAAAGTCCCAGGTGACAGAACAAGAGATTTTGAAAAGCTCTAAAGATTTTTTAAATTGTGTCTTTCTCATTAATGGATAAAAAACCTTTTGATATACTTTAAGACCAAAACATATAACTAGTAAATGACACAAATATATTTTTATCTGAAATGATTTTTTCACACAGTTCTAAGGGAAACGATAGTAGCTGTTTTTGTTTAGACTATAACAATACAATTTACAGAGAAGTAGTATTTTTAAAAAATCTAAATCGATATGGCACTGTAGGTCAATCCATGAAATAAAATTATAAATTACAGCTCACAGACTTTTTCCCAAAGAATATAGAATACAAGCCCACCATTAAACCAACTGCCAATCAGTTTCTGAATGTGGTTTTCAACAGACTTACATAAATGCAAACATGTATTTAAAAAATACTATTTGCATTTTAAAAATAAGTAACATATACTTTAGCAACTTGCTTTCAGCACTCGATTTGATCAATTCATGTGAATGTATAGATGCCAATTTAAAATTTATGTATAGTATAGTATATAGTACTATACTAGTAGTATAGTATATAGTACACTATATACTATACTATATACTGTATACTATATATACTAGTAGTATAGTATATAGTACACTATACTATACTACTCATTCATTGGGTGGCAAATATTTAGTATGTTTACAATTTTTAAACAATTATCTATAACATAGCAAAAATATATCTCCAAATGTTTCTCTGCAAATGTGTTTTCTGGGATGAATAATGAGAAGTATAAGTTTATTTTAAAAGGTAAGTATCAAATTTCCCTTATAAGAAGCTGTATCAATTTATCCTCTCACCAGCAGTATATGGGAGTGCCCAATTCCCCTTATGCTGGCCAACATTTAATATCAATCATATTTTTTTCTAAAAAGGGGAATTAAAAAGCAACCAGTCATTATTATTTTAACTAACATCTCCCTGAGTGGTACTGAAATCATGCTTCTTATGTTTACAGGTTATTTATATTTTCTTTTCCATTAATTGCCTGCTCATATTCTTTGCCCATTTATTTTTCTACCGGTTTGTCTTTTTTTTTTAATTGATTTGCAAGTAGTTCCTTAGGAGGTTTTAGAAATCTGTTCAATATATCAGTCCTTTAATTATATGTATCTAACATACAGTCATGCACCACATAACAATTCACTAACAAAGGACCACATGTACAATGGTGGTCCCAAAAGATTATAATACTGTATTTTACTATACCTTTTCTATGTTTAGATACACAGATACTATTATGTTAAAATTACCTACAGTGTTCAGTACAGTCACATACTGTACAGGTTTGTAGCCTAGGAGAAACAGGTTATGCTGCTGGGTGTGGTGGCTCATGCCTACAATCCCAGCACTTTGGGAGGCCGAGGTGGGTGGATCGTCTGAGGTCAGAGTTCGAGACAAACCTGGCCAACATGGTGAAACCCTGTCTCTACTGAAAAAACAAAAATCAGCTGGGTGTGGTGGGCACGCGCCTGTAGTCCCAGCTACTCGGGAGGCTGAGGTGGGAGGATTGTTTGAACCCAGGAGGCGGAGGTTGCACTGAGCCAAGAGTGCGCCAAAGCACTCCAGCCTGGGTGACAGAGCAAGACTCTGTCTCAAAAAAAAAAAAAAAAAAAAAAAGGAAATAGGTTGTGATATATAGCCCAGGTGTATAGTAGGCTATATCACCTAGGTTTAAGTATACTCTACGATATTTGCACAACAATGAAATCACCTGATGATGTATTTCTTAGAACATATGCCCGTCATTAAGTGATGACATGACTGCATACAGCAAAATCAATATTTCTCCTTAATTTACTACCTTAAAAACTTTTTTTTTCTACTACAGAATCAGATAATAAACCTGATTATCCAGTGTCAACAATTATCAACACATTGTCACTGTTCTTTTAATTCTGTTTAAGATATGCTTACGTACATAAAGTGTAACCTTTTTTTTTTTTTGAGACAGGGTCTTGCTCTGTCACCCAGGCTGGAATGCAGTGGCATAATCATGGCTCACTGCAGTCTCAACCTCTCAGGCTTAAGCTATCTTCCCACCTCAGCTGCCTGAGTAGCTGGGGCTATAGGTGCGTTGTCACCATGCTTGGCTAATTTTTAAATTTTTTGTAGAGATGGGGTTTTGCCATGTTGCCCAAGCTGGTCTTGAAATCCTGGGCTCCAGCAATCCTACCTTGGCCTCCCAAAGTGTTAAGGTTATAGGCATGAGCTACTGTGCCCCGCAGAAAGTGTAACTTTTAATGTAGTTAAATATAATCTTTTCCTTTTTATCTTGTTTGAAGAGGAATCTCCTATCTCAAAGTTTTATAGTTTTTAATCCCTGATGCATACCTACCAAGAAAAAAGGATAAACAGAATAACAGAAATGAAGAGTCCCAAACTGGATCCAAGTATAAACGGAAATTTGGCATATGAGAAACAAACAAATGCATATCAGAATGAAACTTAGACACTGCCATCAGAAATGTCCAGATCATGTAGGCAAATAATACAGTGAATCTGAATAGCACAATTAACAAACTTAAGCAACTACAAATTTAGATTGTAACTTTAAACAAAGCAATAATGTGGAACATTTACAAACATTGGTTGTGCTCTAGACCAGTGTTTCCTAAACTTCCCTAATGATAAGAATCACCTGCTTTTTAAAAATCAGATTCTAGAGCCCTGCTCCAGACATACTAAATCAATATGTGAGGCAGGAGCCAAGAAGGACTTGAGTTTTCTATTGATTCAGTGAGATATCAGGGTCCTCTAGTGGTAAGAGTACAATTTACATGCATGATGTGAAGAGATTTTTATATACAGCTGCTGGGGAATAGCTAAATCTCTTGTCTGAATCTCAGGAGTATATACAGCAGGTTTAGCAATTTCAAATGACCATAAGGGGGCCAAGAAAACTGGAGACAGGCCGGGCACGGCGGCTCACGCCTGTAATCCCAGCACTTTGGGAGGCCGAGGCGGGTGGATCACAAGGTCAGGAGATCGAGACCATCCTGGCAAACACGGTGAAACCCCGTCGCTACTAAAAATACAAAAAATTAGCTAGATGTGGTGGTGGGTGCCTGTAGTACCAGCTACTTGGGAGGCTGAGACAGGAGAATGGCGTGAACCCGGGAGGCAGAGCTTGCAGTGAGGGGCAATCGCGCCACTGCACTCCAGCCTGGGTGAGACAGTGAGACTCTGTCTCCAAAAAAAAAGAAAACTGGACATAGCTAAACAGGAAAACAGGTAAAGTTTTCTTTAGAAAACTTTCTTTAGAAAGAAGACTAGATGTCTTCTTCCAACACAAATCCACTCTGCATGTTAAGTATGTCTCCCCACTCCCCTTTGTTTTTCAACGTGGCTTTCATTACCTAATTTTTGTTAGAGCACAAGAAAATCTTACTTTATTCTCCACTATAATAAAAAAGGAAGAACAAGTGTGAATATAAGTGGTAAATACACATGTCCTCAATGTCAATAAATGAAAAGAAGTGGCATGGAAGCGGCTGACTGGAAACCAGACACACTGACAGGAGCAGTCACTGTTCAGGGTGCACATACAGCTGGCTAAGAGAATCCTCACCCAGTGTTGACAGATCTTTAGATTTCACCAAATAAATTAGAAATGCAGATTTTTATGTAAAAATTCCAGAACTTTAAATGTTGGAAACTAATTACAATGAAAATGCTGTACTGGTCAGTCACTGCCAGACCAATTGACAAGTCTTCAGGCCAGGTACAGCTGGCAGGCTCCTACCGTATAAGCCTAATTTTACTGAAACAATGTGATGCTGCAATGAGTTAGACACAGAAATGAACAACAACAAAAATACAAGAAAAGGTAACATTTCATATCTATTAGTACTGTTAGAATTACTGAAAAGATATCAAGAAAATTAATGGATTTGAAAAAGGGTCAATAAAATCCAGATATATCAAAAATTAAAGAAATTAAGGATATCAGAGATAGCACTGTGAATATGATCTGCCCCTCCAATATAAACAAAGGCAAGTTCTAAAAACAAAAGAACATCTCATGAAAAAGTACTTATATACCAAAGAGCACTAATATTTTTAAGAAAAAAATGAAAATTCTAAAAGAAATGGTCGGTAAACAATCTTAGAAAGATTAAAACCAAAAAATATTCGACAAAAATAAATTTTTAATCAGATACTTGGTTAGAATTTTTAAAAGTGTTCACACATATAGTGTTGCTAATATGAGTAAGATAGACATATACTTCTGGCAGGAATATAAACTGAAGAGCACTGGCAGTAACTACCAAAAGGCTTAAAATATGCATATCCTATCTCTAACGCATTCTGCTTCTAGTAATTTCTTAAAGAAATAATATATGCAAAAGGATATATAGTCATCCCTTGGTATCTGTGGGGTACTAGTTCCAGGACTCCCATAGATACTCAAATCCATGCATACTCACATCCCTGATATAAAATGGTGTCGTATTTGCATACAGCCTATGCACATACTCCATATACTTTGAATCATCCCTAGATTACTTAGTAATAACTACTAAAATGCTATGAAAATAGTTGTTGTATTGTTTATGGAATACTGACAAGAAAAATGTATGTATTCAGTACAGATGAAATTTTTTTCCTAATTATTTTTGAATCTACAGATGTGAAACCCACGGATATGGGGGGCTGACTATACATAGAAGAAAGCTAATGGAAGCACTGTTGATAAAAACAAACTTTAGAAAAGAACTAAATTTTCACTAAGGATTGATCAAATAAACTGTGGTCATTAATATACAATGATGTAGGCTTACTTTTACTAAGAATATATTAGAGATGTTGAACAAGAAAAGATTTTTATAAAGGCACAATTCTATTAATGAAATTTTACACCCTCCGAACATGTATATAAATCATATACACACATGGTATGCAGGCAGCATTAGTGTATATGCCGAAACTCTGGAAGGTAATACTAAGTTGCTAAGCATCTATTATCTCTGACAGGTGACAATATCTTGATTATTTATGGAGGTTCTTGCACTGTATATTTTTAAAATACAAATAAAACTATTTTCATTTTAGAAAAAAATGAGTAACAAAGACAAGTTGTTTAATTAAAATTTACCTGGGCTACATTTTTTGTTTCTATCCACATAACGGCAGCTTTTCAATGAAACATAAAACATCACGTACTGTCACTAAAGTTAAAAACAACTAGAATCAGAGAAAGCTGTTATCCCATAGGAAAAACGAGAGTCTTACTTATAAAGATCTTGGGTTCAATTTGTAATAGCAAAAACAGAAAATATTTCAGCTGACTTCCCAATTTAGTGCTATGATTAGAACATCTTCATAGCTATACAAAAGAAAAGGTGTCTTAATATGGTGGTTAAAAGCATTAAATACAGAAATTCTATCTACCAAAAGATATAAAAAATTTACCATGATTTCAGCCGAACCATTCACGAAGGGGAATTCAAGTGTTCTAACTTTCCCAATAAAAAGTGGGGTATCAGTATCTTCCTCATTAGAGCCTTTAATGGTGGCTATTATAGTGCCAACCAAATCAATTCCAGTATGGTTGTCGTAGTCATCCTTAAAACAAAAAATGGAAAACAATTAGAGAAACTGATGAGAAGATTAAACCCAGAGAAGAGCATGTACAAATCAGAAATAATACAGAGAGCCCCCAACATTAAATTATCTGGATCTTTCTTAGTCTAAGCACAAAATTCAGTTCTAAGTTTGAGTGTTCCACAGGCAAGAAATAGTTCCAGAAACCATAAAAGAACAAGAGACTTCAATACAACAGTTCCTACCTTACTAAATTACAAGGACTCCCATTTTAAAATATCACCTTTTCATGTACTTTTAGTACCTACAGATGTGAAAAAGTGCTTAATAAGTTATTATAAACTTGTAGTGACTTTAAATATTTTATTAACACCAGCAGCACCTGTATACATTTGAAAACCAATAGGCCTATATGTGTTTCTCACAATGTTCGGTGCTTATATGATATTCAAAGACCCTTGGAGTAATTCTATGGCACCGTTTACCCCAACAAGATGTTTTGGGAAAAGAAGAGATGTCTAGGGAAGAATAACCCATCATCTAAAACAGGAAAATAAACTGAAAGTAGACAAGCATCCCACCAACCAAATTTTCCATGAAGGTGCAGTCCCACTACTGTGTTTTACATGTTTTTGTTAATATTTTTGACAGCTGTGTTGCTGCTTATGCTTCATGAAATCTGCAGCCTTGGAGGAGCTCTGATTTTCTTTCTTAACTATGAGCAGTCATCAGAACAGATCTCTTTAAAAAAAATACTTATGTCCTTCAGTCCCCTCAGTGAACCGGACATTGAAGAGTCAATATAGTTCACACTCATTCGTGATAGATACACTAAACAGGTGAGTAAAGGTATGTATTAGAAAAGGTAGCAGCTGGGTGTGGTGGTTCACAGCTGTAATCCCAGCACTTTGGAAGGCTGAGGCAGGAGGATAACATGAGGTCAGGATTTCAAGACCAGCCTGGGCAACACAGCAAAACACAGCAAAACCCCACAGAAAAAAAATTTAAAACTAGCCAGGTGTGGTGCTGTGCACCTTGTGGTCCCAGCTACTCAGGAGGCTGAGGTGGGAGGACTGCTTGAGGTTGCAGTGAGCTATGATTGTGCCATGCTACTCCAGCCTGGGTGACAGAACAAGACCCTGTCTCAAAAAAAAAAAAAAAAAAAGGTAGGCAGATTGAGATTTCTGCATTTTGAGTCAGTTCTGCTTATTATTCTGAATTCATTTTATGTATAATGTTATATATTCTCTATTTGTATTCAAATACAAAGATATTTATAAATATTTAATTCATCTGCACAAGTTTTCCCTATAACCTTAATCAGAGTAACTGACAGAATCCATACAAATAATTTTGTACCCTAAAATCAAAGATAATTTTTCTTGTTACCCTTCGCAGTTTTGGAAGAAAATAAACATTACCGTGATACTAAGATGTAGATCTCTGACCAAGGTCCTACTGGCAACTGAGCGAACATTTGAAACAGCTGGTGTAGGTGGTTTAATTTTAGGTACTAACTTCACAGGTTGATTAGGCAGGACTTCAACTATAACCTTACAAAACAAAAGAGACATTCTGATTAACAATATATTGATGCTTTAGCATTTAAGAGGAAGGGAAGACATAACAATGGCACATACTAAATAAAATTAAATGTTACCTTCTAAAATTTATTTCCATTAATCTTTTAAAAGTAATCAATTTGCTTTTAAAATTCAGCATAAAAAAGTTAGGTCAGGTTAATTTTTGGATGTTTACAGCCATCTAAGAACAAACTTAGAGGTATTAAAAAACATAGGTAATCAAAAAAATTAGTATACCGACAGTTTTTTGTTTTTTTGAGACAGAGTCTCACTGTGACACCCAGGCTGGAGTGCAGAGGGGTGATCTCTGCTCACTGCAACCTCCGCCTCCTGGGTTCAAGCGATTCTCCTGCCTCAGCCTCCTGAATAGCTGGGACTACAGGTGTGCGCCCACCACGCCCAGATGATTTTTGTATTTTTAGTAGAGGAGGGGTTTCACCATATTGGCCAGGCTGGTCTTGAACTCTTGACCTCAAGTGATCTGCCCACCTCGGCCTCCCAAACTGCTGGGATTACAGGCGTGAGCCACTGCACCCAGCCTATACCAACAGTATTATATGTAGATGTGTATTTAAACTGCCTTGAACATCACTATCCAGAATTCTAATAACTGAAATACTATTTATTTTTAATTTCCAACTTTCATTATTTTAAAAATTATCTTAGATTCAGGGGGTGTATGTGCAAGTGTATTACATGAGTATATTGCAGGATGCTGAGGTTTGGGCTTCTAATGATCCCGTCACCCAAGTAGCAAACACAGTACCTAATAGGTAGTTTTTCAACTCTTGCCCACCTCCCTCTTTCCCCTCTTTTGCAATCCCCAGCGTTTACTGTTCCCATCTTTGTGTCCGTGTGTACCCAATGTTTAGCTCCCACTTGCAAGGGAGAACATGCAGTATTTGGTTTTTAGTTTCTTAATTAATTTACTTAGGATAATGGCCTCTAGCCACATCCATGTTGCTGCAAAGGACATAATTTCGTTCTCTTGTTATGGCTGTGTGAAATATTACTAATATTTTTCATGCATGGTTGATATAAGCAACTTTACAACACTACACACTAAAATGCTGAGTCTTTGATATAAAGAGAAATGGAAATGTGACTCCTGTAACAGGTCAAATTATTGAACAAATTTAAACATATTATATACTAATTTTCCTGAAAATTGAATTATTTATATTTCACATCCAATAATTACTTCACTTTTAAACAAAATATTTCATTCATAAACTAAATGAGAAAATGTGAAGCTATTTCATGTAATGCAGAACCAAGAGGGAAAAAAAAAGAAAATGTAAAGCTAACTGTGGTATATAAAAAAAGTAAGCAAACCTGTTCACTGTTGAGAATATTTGTTTTATCCATCATAAAACCAAACTGGATACAATATGTCCCCACTTTATTAGGAATTACTTTATCCCTAAATTTAAAAGAAAGTTAAGATTACTGACAATGTTTGTATAAAGGGGGAAGGAATTCAAAGAGTCAACATTTCTGTTCTTTCCACAAAAATAAATGAGTAGGAAGAATAGAACTACTAATAGTATATTGACCTTCATTCGTTCAACAAATATTTCTTGCTTACTCCCAGGTTCCTCTTACCTGTACATTCTTTTACAAAACATCCAGAATAAACGTGCTGGATATGGTAAAAATTGAAAGAACAGGAATATGAAGTTGAGAAAGCAGTAAATACGTAAAAAATGCTGAATTACATGTCAAGTAAATTTTGCTTCATTTCTACTTTATGAATTTCTAAGCGACAGTTTTGTATTTCAAAATTATAGAACATCCTGCTGATCTTCTATGTAACTTTTTTTCCATTCAAGTACTATTTGAAATATTTAACTACACATACAAGGTATTTACTGTGAATCAATTACCAATAATGAACTCAGTGCCTAAGAAGAGGTACACTTATTAACCTATTTTTGGTCACGCTTTACCACAAAGAAAATATGAATAATATTCTACAATATGTGCGATGTGGCTCATGATCCCTAGGGTAGCTTTTGCATGTCATTCATATTCTCAAAATACCGGCTCAATGCAGTACAAAGCACAGGCTTTGAATACATACTTGAATTCAAATCCCGACACTGTAACATCTATGCAACCTTGAAGAAAATTATTTAACCTTTCTCTATATTGTTTTCTCTGAGATGGTAATTCCTAAGAAAGTTATATTGAGAATTTAAACAAGGCTGGGCGCAGTGGCTCATGCCTGTAATCCCAGAAATTTGGGAGGCTGAGGCAGGCGGATCACTTGAGGTCAGGAGTTCAAGACCAGCCTGGCCAACATGGCGAAACCCCATCTCTACTATTAATATAAAAATGAGCCAGGCATGGTGGTGTGCGCCTGTAGTCCCCGCTATTCAGGAGGCTGAGGCAGGAGAATCGCTTGAACCCGGAAGGCAGAGGTTGCTGTGAGCCAAGATCACTCCACTGCACTCCAGCTTGGGTGACAGAGTGAGACTCTATCTCAAAAAAAAAAAAAAAAGAGAGAATTAAAACGGACTTCTGCTTCCAAATGGCAGGCCAACCCTTCATGATGAAAACAGCTGTACAAAAAAAAAAAAAAATTGCTTGAAAATGTTAGAGTTAACAAGCTAAAGTAAAAAATAACTTAGTAGAATATAAGATAGAAAGGAGGCCCTGGGATATAAATTTCATATTTAAGGATGCTTTAGTCCTGGGAGTAAATTCTAGCAGCACAGGTAAACCTAAAGCAGACCAGCTTGCAAAAGAAATGCAACTTCCTTTGAATCATGTCAATCTCTGAAACTGAAGTGGTAATAGATGGGTAGCAGCCCAGACAACGGACAGAAGCAAATGTAACACACTCTTATCCTATATATCCAATTATTTCTATAAATATTCATAAATAAAATGTCTAGTACAACAATACTAGAATCACCAGATACATGAAGGACAGAACTAGAATGAAAACCAACAGAAACTAAGAGAAAATCACAACAGACCTAAAGGAACTCTAGGCAGACTTTAATACATTGATTAACTGAAAACGTCAAACAGAAATTGGCAACTGAAGGAGGGACTTAACAGAAAATCAGATGTCACTGAAGAGAGAATTAGTTAACTGAAGATAGTTCAAAGTAATCATCTGGAAGGAAGAGAGGTAAAAGAATGGCAAAATTTTTAAAAACTGAAGACCACGAAATCAAAGCCCGTGAAAACCAAGCAGGATGTAAAAAAGAAATCCACATAGACATATCACAGTAAAACTGCTGGGCAGGGGATGGGGTGGGGGCAGGGGAGGAACCAACCACAAAATAACCAAAGGAGGGAAAATACATTTTTTTAAAACAATAATGAGACTGACAACAGAATGAGATAGTGAAGGATGGTGGTTAAGAAATTGCTGACCTTGAATACCATATGCAGTAAAAATATCCTTCAAGTATGAAGGTGGAATAAAGATATTTTCAGGTAAAAATAAGATAATTCATCACCAGCAGACATATTGAAGGAACTTCCTAAGATGGAAAACAATACCAGATGAAAGCCTTGAGTTAAAGATTAACAGAAAGGATAAATGAGTAAATCCCAATAAACACTGATTGTAGGCAATAAAAATGATGCCTTGATAGGTTTAACATTCACAACAAAAAGGCATGTAAATTGGGAGAAGGGAATGGAAGTAAATGTTCTAAGATCCATGCACTGCTTAAGAAGGTAAAAAAATACAAATTGTTACTAGATACTGGCATGTCAAGTATACACGTTACAAATCTCCAAGGAAATCACTTAGAGAACAGTGAAAGATTGTATAACTACCAGAAAATGACTATTAGAAACAATAAATCAAAAAGGAAAACAGGAAAGAGAAGGGAAAAAACAGTTAGATCATACAGAAAACAAAACAGATCCAAAACCAAGTGAATTGGTATATGTAAGACCTAAACTTTCAATGAGAAGACAAAGATTATCAGGAAAAAAACGATAATGCCATTTACAAAAGATACACTTAAAAGAATATATCTATCTATCTATCTATCTATATATGCAAACACTAATCCTCATGATTCCCAAAGTGGCTTTTTCATGTCATTCATAGGGAAAGTTGGTATACTATTACCAAAGTAAACTTTAAGGCAAAAACGTTACTAGAGAAAAAGAATACTTCATAATAATAAAAGGTTTAATTTGCAAGAAAAAAATAATAATAATAATCTAAGTCTGTATGTACCTAATAACAAAGCCTCAAAATATGTATTTGTTCTCTTATGTAAACTAAGAGAAAAAATAGACAAATCTTCGTTCATACTTGGAGATTTACTACACTGCTAGGTGAAACAGACAAAAAATATAAAAGATATAGAACACTGTACCTCAAATGCAAAAATCACATTATTATCTAGTATATTTGGAACATATACAAAAATTGACTATATTCCCAGCACAAAAACAAATAACAACTAATTTCAAAGGACTGAAATCATACAGGGTAAACTAAATTTCACAATTCAGTAAACATCTGAATAAGCCATGGTCAAAGGATGAAATCACAATGAAAATTAGAAAATATTTTAATCCAAGGGTGGGCTCAGTGGCTCATGCCTGTAATCAGCACTTTGGGAAGCTGCAGTGAGAGGACTGCTTGAGACCAAGAGTTTGAGACCAATCTGGGCAACACAGTGAGGCCCTGATATCTACCAAATTAAAAAAAAAAATTAGCTGGGTGTGGTGGCACACATCTGTAGTCCTAGCTACTAAGGAGACTAAGGTGGGAGGATTGCTTGAATCCAGGAGTTCAAGGCTGTAATGAGTTATAATCACACCATGGCCCTCCAGCCAGGATGAAAGAGCGACACTCTGGTTCAAAAAAAGAAAAAAGAAAAAACAATTTTTGATCCAAATACTAATAAAAATAAAATACATAAAACTTGTGAATGCTATTAAAGTTATGCT
Organism: Homo sapiens; assembly: GCF_000001405.40. Classification (NCBI taxonomy): domain Eukaryota; kingdom Metazoa; phylum Chordata; class Mammalia; order Primates; family Hominidae; genus Homo; species Homo sapiens. The sequence goes on along the minus strand of NC_000018.10, from coordinate 2,757,139 downwards.
TAGAAATGTACAGCTCTACATACATATACACATATACATGTTTTGTGTGTGTGACCAAAATAAATGAGCTAAAAAACCTTCTCAAGCAGTTTTAATAAAAGAACAAATGAAATGCAAAGTAAATGAAATTAAATAAAACACATAAAATATATTTTAAAAGCCCAAAGTTTGTTCTTTAAAAGATCTAAAAAATTGAAATCTCTTACTACGATTAATCAAGCCACAAGAGAGTACAAATAGTGTCAAGAATGAGAGATCACAGATCTTACAGAAAATAAACAGAACGGTATGAACAACAAATTTGAAAATTTAGATAAAATTAATAGTCTGACAGCCTATTTATTTAAATTATCTATTTATTTAGATAAAATTGATAGTCTGACAGACAGTGGTGGTGCATGCCTATAGTTCCAGCTACTTGGGAGGCTGAGGCAGGAGAATCGCTTGAACAGGGAGGTGGAGGTTGCAGTGAGCTGAGATCATGCCACTGCACTCCAGCCTGGGAAACAGAGCGAGACTCTGTCTCAGAAAAAAAAGATAGTTTGATAATTACAAGATATCAAAACTGAGCAAGAGACAGGAAATACAAATAGTTCTATAACTTCTGAATTTGAACAAACTGAATCCATCACTAAAACCTTCCCCCCACAAAAACACCAGGCTCAGATGGCTTCGTTGATGAATCTATCACCATTTAAGGAAGGAATAACACTCTTAAGATTCTCCTAAGAATAAACCAAGACTGAGGGAAAATTTCTTCCTACTTTTGTGAGGGCTACATGATGTAGACAGCAAACTAAGAATGTGTAAGAAAGAAAATGCAGGTTAATTTCAAAGATCAAGGTAGATGCAAAAATCCTAAGAAAATATTAGCAAAACACCTCCATCGATATATAAAAATAATACAACATGATAAAATTGGGTTTATTCCAGTAATTGCAAGGTTGGCTGACCATTCAGAAAACTAATGTACTATAATTACCACATTAAAAAGTAAAGTAATAATGTCTTAAAGGATTTTAAAAGTAAAGGAAAAATATCACATAGTGCCTCAATAGATGATGAAATCTGAAGTCAATTTATAATTAAGACTTAGAAATGAACAGTTTGATAAAAGAAAAACTCTAAAGCAAACATCACACTTAGTGGTGGAATGCTGAAATGTTCCCTTTGAGATTCGAAACCAGATTAGGATGATCACTCTCATCATGTCTATTTAACATTTTGCTGTAAATCCAAGATGCTGTGGTATGATAAGAAAAAGAAAATACACGGCCGAGGGCGGTGATTCACACCTGTAATCCCAGCACTTTGGGAGGCCAAGGCGGGTGGATCACAATGTCAGAAGATCGAGATCATCCTGGCTAACACAGTGAAACCCTGTCTCTACTAAAAATACAAAAAATTAGCTGGGCGTGGTGGCAGGTGCCTATAGTCCCAGCTACTCCGGAGGCTGAGGCAGGAGAATGGCATGAACCCGGGAGGCAGAGCTTGCAGTGAGCCAAGATCATGCTACTGCACTCCAGCCTGGGAGACAGAGCAAGACTCCATCTCAAAAAAAAAAAAAAAAAAAAGAAAGAAAGAAAAAGAAAATACACAAAAACTGGAAAATAACAAACCTACTATTATAAATCCTAGACATTTTTCTTAAATCCCAAAGAATCTACAAATAAAATCAGAGCCAGGAGTGGTGGCTCACATCTGTAATCCCAGCACTTTGGGAGGCTGAGGTGGGAGGATTGCTTGAACTCAGGAGTTCAAGACCTGCAATGAGACCTTGAGTCCACAAAAATTAAAAAATCAACCAAGTGTGGTGGTGTGGGCCCATAGTCCCAGCTAGTTGGTAGGCTAAGGCCCAAGAGTTTAAGACAAGCCCAGACAACATAGTAAGACCCTGTCTCCACAAAAAATAAAATCATAAGTCAGGCGTAGTGCTGTGGGTCTGTAGTCCCAGCTGCCTGAGAGGCTGAGGTAGGAAGATTGCTTGAGCCTGGGAGGTCAAGGCTACAGTGAGCCATGATTGCACCACTGCACTACAGCCTGGGTGACATAGTGAGACCCTGTCTCTAAATTAATTAATTAATTATTTAAAATAAGAAATGAAGGAGTTTAACAAAGATAACTGCTACAAGGTCAATATACATAAATCAATTGCATCTCTCTAACCAAAAACAACAGAAAATAAAAATGTTTTAGGAGATATCATTTACGATGGACCTCATGTGATCTGCCTGCCTCTGCCTCCCAAAGTGCTGGGATTATAGGTGTGAGCCACCGCACCTGGCCTCACACTATACATTAAAAAAAAAAAAAATCAATTCCACGTATAACTGTATAAAAAGAACACAGCAAACCTAAAGTGCTATCCTTAGAAGCACTTGTCTGCTTGCAAGATGGGCCCTTCGCAGACATCTGTGAGTTTAGATTTCAGGAGGGTTCTCACCTTTAACTGATATGAGTGGCTCACATTGCCTAAACCACTGCACTAATATGGTTTATGCTACACACTTGCTTTTCTTCTGAAAATCTGGTATTTGCTAGGCAGAGGCTGCCTATGTGACCACACCCTAACAAAAACCCTGAATGCTGAGTCCCCAGTGAGCTTCCCTGGTTGACAACATTTTATACGCATTGTCACAATTTATTGTTGGGGAATTAAGCACATACTCTGTGACTTCACCAAGACAGAATCCTTGGAAAGCTTCCTCTGTGTCTGCTTTCCCTTGGACATCACCCCATGAGCTTTTTACCTTGCTCATTTCACTTTGAATCCTTTTGTTTCAATAAAACATAGCTATGAGCCCAGCTATATATTAAGTCCTGTGAGTCCTCCTGGTGAATCATCAAACCTGGCATTGGTATTGGGAACCCCCAACACAATAATATAGTAAAATGTGTTGATGACCTAAATGTAAGGAAAGACTTAAACAGGACACAAAGAAGATCAACTATAAAAAAGATGATTAACACATTTGCTTATATAAAAATTAACCACTGCTGTTCAAGATATCATAAAATGAGAAAGCAAGCCACAGGATAGGCAAAGATGTCTAAACAAAAGGCTTGTATCTCTAATATATAAAGAACTCCTACAAATTAATATAAAAAATAATACAAAAGTTATTAAGATACTCAAAAAAGGCACTTCACAAAAGGTAATCTAAGTGGCCAATAAATATATGATAAACAGGGAAATGCAAATTAAGAGTAAGTGTGATGCCACTCTATTACATGTCCACCAGAAGATTACACCTGAAAAGACCCACAAAACCGTGTTGGGAAGGGCCGGGCACGGTGGCTCATGCTTGTAATCCCACCATTTTGGGAGGCTGAGGTGGGCAGATGGCTTTGAGCTCAGGAGTTCGAGACTAGCCAGAGCAACTTGGTGAAACCCAGTCTCCACACACACACAAAATAAATAAATAAATAAATTTGCTGGGCATGGCAGCACATTCCTGTAGTCCTAGCTACTTGGGAGGCTGAGGCAGGGGGCTCGCTTGAGCCAGGGAAGCAGAGGTTGCAGTGAGCCACTGCACTCTAGGCATTGCACTCTAGCAAGGCTATGTATTAAAAAGAAATAAACCCTCAAGCTACTCAAGTTAAACACACACATCTATGTTTAACATCTATATTTAACATCTAACATACACATCTATATTTAAATATACACATCTATGAACTTATGACCCAGCAATTTTACTTTTATATGAGCACCAGTGTTATAAAGATTATTTGTAATAGCCCAAAATTGAAAATGCAAATAGCCATTAACAGAATGGAAAATAGTAGTGTGTTCACACAATGGACTTCTATACAGCAATGGAAATGAATGAATTTATAGCTATATGCCACAGAATCTCATGATGCTGAGTGAAAGAAGTCTTATGCAAAGGAAAATAATTGTATATCAAGTTCAAAAATGGGCACAACTAAATCAGAGACTATAGAGATGTATGCTAAGATAAACGGAACTCTAAATAAGACCAAATCAGGAGAGGGTTTGTGGTGTGTGCATGTGTGTGTCTACATGAGTGTGTGCATGGCATGCACAACAGGAAGGAAGACGGTAATAACTGGAAGAGGTAAGGGGTGGAGCTTCCATGATTGGTCCTTTACCAATTAGTCTGAAAAAGCACTGAACAAATATAATGAGCATTTTGACCCTATTGATGATAAAGGATTTGTAAAGAAACTTAACACATAATGTTTTTAGATTTGAAAATGGAGGTCCAGAATGAAGCAGCAACATGCTCAAAGTCACAGAAATGTTAAAAGCCAGTCTAATCTTTATAGAAACCTCCTATATAATAAGAAGTTATAAAGTGCCCTGACAACATAAAAGAATTCTTCTGATGGCTTCGATAGTTTCAAAAGCAAATACAATTACAATTTACAAAGCTTAAAACCAATTTAATGCTTAAAAACGAAAACACACCTTTTCCCAAAAAACTGAGAAAAATTTAGAGACACTAACATTTCTATTTGATCATAAATTACTTTTCCTCAGGTGAGCCCACATATATCTCCAGGGTTGAATTACTTTGTAACAAGATATGTATTCAAAATATGAAATGTTTTGAGAAATACCTGAAATAGAAGCAGCCATCTTCTTTGTCATTATCTTTTATTTTATTACAACTAAATGTTTCTGCCTAGAAAGGGGAGTAGGAGAGAAGGGGAGAGGGGAAAATGACAAAATTTAACATAGTATACTTAGGAGGAAAGCTTATTATATACCTAAACTGAATGTGTATCTGGATTCCATTTATAAACATACAGGTATATATACACACGTTTATATCTTCATAATACATGTAAGGTACAATGTGAGATTAGTGACAGTGGAAAGACACCCCATTATTAAAAGACACACAGTAGAACTTTATGGTGATATTATTTAAAGATAATACCAACTTGATTGGACTGATGGTCTAAATTAAGCAAGCAAAGATTCAGGATTAATTAAGCAAGATAGTTTCCAAAACCAATGATTAAAATGAACCATAAATGTTGAAGTAGATTATTATATCAGGACACTGATAAACTTTAGTTCCCAATTTTAGATTTATTTCAGATCTGCATTATCCAATATGGTAGCCAATGGCTATGTGTGACTACTGGGCACTTGAAATGTGGCTGGTCTGAACTGATATACAGTGTAAAATAAACACCAAATTTCATAGACTTGGTAAGATAAAAGAACGTAAAATCCTAGCAATAATTTTTAAACTATTGAATATATGTTGAAATGGTAACTTTTGATATATTAGGTTAAAAACATTAGAATTTTACTTATTTCTTTTTAGCTTTTAAATGTAGCTACTAGAAAGCAGAAACACCAGGTATGATCTTTCCACTGGACAGCACTGTTCTAGACCCTCTAACTCTCCACTCTCTTTCAAGCAGTCTATCAATCCTATCTCTTTACTATCTCATTTTCTATATTATCCCCTCATATTTAATAGCTTCTGCCTTGTGCTACTGTCCTTCAGATGAAATAATTTTAATGTGTAGGCATCTTAAAATGTTAAGAAACATCACAATGTAGACTACTCTTTTTCAATAGCATCAATCTTTAATTTTGAAACATACATTGATGTAATTTCTTTAACCCCAAAGGAATGAAGTAAATTCACTTCCATTTCTCAAATTTATATAACATTATATATTTACATTAAAGGAGACTTAGTTTTAAGTTAAATGTAAGAACTATTTTTAACTTCAAAAAATGCTTCCCATGACTCACATTTGCTGGGGGTCGGTTCCCACTGGTAGACAGCTTCCACATTTTCATGGAAATACGTGCTGGATTAATGTTTTTAATGATACTGTCATCTTCAGAAATAACACTAATCATAAAATCTGTCATGGTAAACGTTAAAAAATTATCTCTTTCTAGTTCAATTAATGGATATGGTTAAATAATTGTATGCCTTAAAGCAAACATCTTATTTAAATGTTTAAAGCACACGTTATTTAAATGTTAATACAATTCTGATGAAGAAATGTATAAATTCTAGCATACAAGACCAAAAAGACTAGAATGTATACTCAGCAACTTAAGAGTTAGGCCAATTGGTCATAGCACCATATGCTTTATGTATTCCAAGAACAGAATATTTACTTTCTTGTATGATTTTCGATAGCATATAATAGCCAAAAGATCAATATATATAATATTCCCATTATATTTACCACCTGTAACATTCATTTGGCACCTGTTACTAATTTTTTAATCACAGGAAATAGATCTCCCTGAAATAGATTTAAAACTTTATATACGGTATAGTCTACTTTATAGGGTAAAAAAAGCTATGTATACATGTAACTTGATTATTAAAAATTATTGTCAACAATTTTTAAATCTAAACTTTGAGGTGCTTCATTCACTACTTAAAACTATGTATAGGGATTCATCCTTTTAAGAAAACAGAAGTCTTCCAGAAAATTATTTGTGTAAAACAAAAACTAATTTCCTATTGACTTAACATCTGCAACATGATATTGAAATCATTTGCTTCCCTGTCTCCTACATTAGACTGAGCACACTTAACCTAGGATAAGTAATTTATTCCACTAATGTACAAAGCAAATTATCATTATAGATTTATTTATGTATGTGAAATACTCACCAGTGAAAAGACCCCCTGCTAAGAAGGATGCATCTTTGTCATATTTAACATTGAGACGAACGGGTTTTTCTGGGTCTGGAAGAATCATTAACTTAATTATAGGTCCTTCTATGATACTTTTGTTATAGATGGCTTTAACCTGAAGAGTATGCTCTCCCCTAACAAAACAAAAGAGGAGAGGGGTTCAAATTACATTAGTTAATAACCTAAAAATTCTGAGACAATTTATGCAAAGTTCAACTCTTAGAAAAACCTCTCAACTTCTATTCAGTCCCAACTCTTGCCTAACATTAAACAGAAGGATAGTCATTAGCTGTAACTTCGGCAAGCAGTAAGAAAAACGAATCTCTATAACACCAACAACTATCAAACTTTTGGTTCTTACCTAGGGGCAAAAACACTGAATACTCCCAAATTAGCCCTGCCTTTCTCATCTGTTTTATGCTGTTGGTTTGAAGGCATGAGCTAAAAACAAAACAAAACAAAATGGTTAATTAGAAAATTCTAGAGATCAATCAAGTTCTTTTCTTCCATTACAATGTTCTTTCCCTCTATTCCTATTTTAAAAGCAGTATTTGCATACTTCTAAAATCTAAATTTTAAAAATCTGAACTAGTTGGAATAATGTAGTATGTAATGATATAATCCAAAGTAGAATAACAATCACTCATCTTGATCAATTTCACTAGAATTTAATGTATTTCAGTTACTAAGTTGCAGATTTCTAGTTCACTGTTTCAATATCACTGATAGATCAAATGAAGTTTGTTTACACAAACACAGAAGGTATATTCTAAAGCTGGGGCAGGTATAGGGGACTGCACTGGAGAAATATATACTGTACACACATACTCAAGTCAAAGCATCATAGCACTATCTTCATTCTTCATTTTTCTCTTGAAAGTCTACTCAGATACACTTCTCAAATTTTTGCTGCAATACTACATTCACAGTGATAACCAAGCTTTCACTTTCAAGAGATTAAGAATCAGTGGCCACATTTCCTAATAACTGGTCTAGAAGGGTCTCTCAGCCTTTTACAGATGGTTCTCCAGAAACTAGAATCATATCTTTATTCTGGGGTTGAAAGTAATCATTGTCTAACTCTACTGGAAGCAAACATTCAGAATAACAGTGAATTTGTAGACCACAGTAGAAGAAAAATCAGACTTTCTCCCAAATCCTAAAACCCATCTCAACTTAATAGAACCTAAAGAGTAGGTAATAATGGTACATGCAGACAGGAAAAGCAATAGCTGAACAGGAAAAAATGAGAAAGGGTACTTGAAATGATAGGATGAAATCCTATGTTTATACCTGTCCCAATTACCCTCTGGTCCATTGTCTCTCAACCCATCTTTCTCAAAGTATGTCTCCCATCTGGGTATCAAATCCTTACTGCTAAGCCAGAGAAGTAAGTCTTTTCAGGTCTTAGAGCAGCAGTATCATAGCCTCATTTAACAGACTCATTTAAAAACTCCAACTGTAATTACTATGAAAACAGGTCCATGTGTAACAAGCCATTCTTGGCACTTTAATCTTCCATACGACTTTTAAGATCACCTTTTCAGGTTCTGGGAAATCCCTGTTGGGATTCTGATTGAACTATAAATAATTGCAAGAGAAACATCATCTTTACATGATATCAACTGGTTTCTCCATTACATTTATATTTATTTTTTATATGTGGAGGGATACTCAAGATTGTCTGAATATGACCCCAACTCCCTCTGGCTTGCTTAGCAACAACCTGGCTGGGACCAATGAATTCCCTTCAACCAACAGAAGAGACAGTATAAAAATACAACTTTATGGCCAGGCGCAGTGGCTCACACCTGTAATCCCAGCACTTTGGGAGACCAAGGCGGGTGGATCACCCGCGGTCAAGAGTTTGAGACCAGCCTGGCCAACGTGGTGAAACCCCGTCTGTACTAAAAATACAAAAATTAGCTGGGCATGATGGCACATGCCTGTAATCCCAACTACTCAGGAGGCGGAGGCAGGAGAATTGCTTTGAACCTGGGAGGCAGAGGTTGCAGTGAGCCAAGATCACGCCACTGCACTCCAGCCTGGGGCGTTGCAGCGAGACTCTGTCTCCAAAAAAAAAAAAAAAAAAATTTATATACACACACACACACACACACACACACACACACACACACACAACTTTGCAAAGACTAGCAGCTTTTCCTCTTTCCCCTAGAAGGAGTGCCTCCAACTTTGCACCAGCCACTAGATCCCATGCAGCTTCTCAATACTCATAGGAATAAATGATACCTAATCTTGAACTTTCTGGTAGTCAAGACTGTTCCCAAACTTTACAAGACCATGTTCATACTTGCCCCATAAAAAGAACAATAAAGGGCAGGAGCCTCACCCTAAAATATATCAGTATGTTCCAGTAGCTCTGCCCAGGATTTGGTAGCTCTCCATAAGATAAGTAGAGGATAGGTACCTGCAAGACTTTTTTTGTTTAGCCTCACCATGTATGTTTCCCCAATAATGCCTGTTCCTTAATCCATTCTGTAGGTCACTGTGATATCTGTCTTCATTCACTTTGTCAGTGTTAATTATCTATTTATTCATCCTAATCTGAAATGCAAGTCTTACTAGCACTATATAAGAAACACTAAAACAGCCATAACTGTACAATGTTGGCCCCTTGTTGTACTACTGTAAGATATAAACTTTATTTCCTCAAAATAATTTTAAAAATTTTTGAGGTTTATTTACACTAAGCAATAATAAAGATTATGTAAAATATATTTTTTAGAAAAGAAGCAATATGACAGCTAAAGATACTATCATGAAAATGAAATCCAGAATTTTAAATGAAGATGTAAGGAAGTTTAAAACTTACCTTTAAATTGCTAGCTTTTGTAAGACTTATTTTAACATGTTGTACCGGTGCTGGATTATCCCACTGATCACAAAGTTGAACAATAATAGGGTTCTGTAAATCTCTTCCATTAATCACTGGAATGGACTGAAAAGAATAGAAATATTTTAAGAAACACTAAAATATATGGGCCAAACAATGCAATTACTTGTATATTTGTGTAACGATCACTTAATTTATCTCTGTTCTATTTGCAAATGGCTTCTTTGGTCAATGAAAATGAACTTTTGAAAGCCAACTAAATTGTGTGACCCTCTTATCAAAATGATAAATGATCTGAAAAAAGAAAAAGCAACACCTGACATTACAGTCTTCCCTCAGTATCCACAGGAGATTGGTTCTAGACCCCAGTGGATACCAAAAGCTGCAGGTACTCTTTTATATAAAATTGCATAGTATTTGCATATAACCTAAGCATACACTTGAAATCATCTTTAGATTACTTTTAACATCTAATACAACGCAAATGCTATGTAAGCACTAGAATGTGTTCAACAGCAACAGAAACCTATCTTTGGTTCTCAGATTTAGCATTGGCAATCTGTAGTTTAGCTTCTCCCTCAGTCAGTGTTCAGCTCTCTGCTATTGTGCATTAAAAGCAGTAACATGGCTTTCTAGCCCTTGGTTAAATAGGACTATTCACTGATGATCTACACTGTCTTGCTGATTTAAAATGCTTCTTGCTGTTTCCCCAGCTAGTATATAAGGCTGTATAAATCTAGAAATCTGCCTACTGACCTATTAATATTGGGCACATCAAAGGAAACACAGTGTTAAACAAGATACCTGACAAAAGCCCAATCCCCTGGGCCAACATTTTAAAAGTTTACAAAAGATGGAAGGGAACTAAAGGACAACTACAAAAAAAAACTGATTTATCACCTCTCCTCTAACAAGAAAGTTCCTTCTGCTGCTTCTACCCCCTACTCTTAACTGAGGTAGCTGGTTACCAGATTATGGGGAAAGGCTGCTGAAAATGGAAAGAAAAATTAACAGTCTGCTATGAATAAGACATTATGAAAAAAACCAAACACCCTTGAGATTGGTTTAGTTATGTCCCTCTACCATAAAGTTTACACAGCTACAGCCATGTTCCCTCTGCCAAAGTTTATAAAAAGCTTGAATTTTGAAAACTGCTGAGTTTCCAAATGTAAACATACAGTATTTCATTCCTAATCAAATAACTGTTTACCCAAACTACCTTTAAAGGACAGTCTAAGTTTTTAAAGGACTCCTATCTACTTTTAAAGGTTATCTTTAAGTAAATGACTTGTAGTCCAAACTGCTAATGTTTTCTAGAAAATAGTAGAAAAAGCAAATTTCCAAAATCAAATGTCCATAAGCATTTTAATATCACATTTAATGTCACTTTTTAATACTGGCATGTTAATATTTCAGAATTTCAGTTTCCTCATTTACTTGTATTTTATTTTATTTTTTTACTTTTTTACAGAAACAAATTATCACTATGTTGCCCCACCTGGTCTTGAACTCCTGGGCTCAAGCAATTCCTCCACCTTGGTCTCCCAAAGTGTTGGGATTACAAGGCATGAGCCACTGCACCTGGCCAGTTCCCTCATTTATAAAGAATAATATATGTATTTATTAATACACATCTATTTTTCTATTCATCATGTTAATGTATTATATCAGTTCCTCCTCTCTGCACAGATCCTATCAGGGGGAAGGTGGGTCAGCAATTAAATTAGAAAACTTAGAAAAATTAGATATCAAATAATCATTTTTCTAGCCTCATCTATATATAACCATATCTCAAGAGACTGATATATTAGTTTATGTTTTATTTTAAATTTCTGGATTATTACGGATCTACAAATAACTCTTATAATAAATTTTTGAGCTAACAAGCTGTCATTATTTTTTATATTTGTCCCCCAAAACGATATAAGACAAACATGTCCAGACTTTTTCCACCTCAAAACTGTTCCACACAACTGTTCCAGGTAACAGTCAATCAACAAATACTTCACTGGCATCAGTAGGTATAAAAAGTGGGTTAATTTATGTTTTGTAAGTGCTCCCAGAAAAAAAAATGCACTGGCTTTTCAGTAAAACCCTTTAGTCAACACACTATTATTCTAAAAACTGTGTTTTATAAAGCACACTGTCACAACCAGTTTATCTGCTTTTTAAACTCACAAGTGAAAAAGATCAATCTCAAACTAAGGCATGAGCATGTTAACCTTTCTTAGATGACCTGCCCCTTTACTAAGATAAATTCACCTACTACCATGATTGTGTGACTTCATTTTCTTTTACAGAAAACATGGGCTGGGAACGGTGGCTCACACCTGTAATCCCAGAACTTTGCGAGAATGAGGCAGAAGAATTGCCTGGGCCCAGGAGCTCAAGATCAGCTTGGTCAGCATGGTGAAACCCAGTCTCTATTAAAAATAAATAAAACTTGTTTCAAAGTTAGCTATCACATCAACAGTTAAAAGTCCTGGCCGGGTGCAGTGGCTCATGCCTGTCATCCCAGCACTTCGGGAGGCCAAGGCGGACATATCGCCTGAGGTCAGGAGTTTGAGACCAACCATGGCCAACAGGTGAAACCCTATCTTTATTTAAAATACAAAATTAGCCAGGAATGGTGGCACATGCCTGTAATCCCAGCTACTTGGGAGGCTGAGGCAGGATAATCGCTTGAACCCAGGAGGTGGAGGTTGCAGTGAGCCAAGATCGTGCCAATGCATTCCACACGCCAGCCTGGGTAACAAGAGTGAAACTCTTTCAAAACAAAAACAAAACAAAACAAAACAAACAAAAAAACCATTAAAGCCCTGCTATTCCATAAGCAAATGTCAGAATCTGGACATTTTAAAACTAGAATTCCATCAAAGGATACAAAATTTCAGTTAGGAGTATTAAGTTCAAAAGATCTATTGTATGATGATGACTACAGTTAATAGTATATTACTATTCTTCAAAACTGCTTCATCTATTGCATGTCCTTTCCGTGACAAGATGATTCTTCAAAACTGCTAAGAGAATAGATTTCAAATGTTTTCACCACAAAAAAAAGTATGAGAATATGTGCGTTAATTAGCTTGATTTAGCCATTCCACAATGTATACATATTTCAAAATATGTTGTACACAATAAATATGTACAATTTTTGTCTGTCAATCAAATTAGAATTCTGAAACTTCAGTAAAAAAAAAAAACAGATTTGACAGACATTTACAAAATTAGTATTTAAAATTTAAGTACTTGCATAGGAAGGCATACCGAAGTATTTACGGATATGACTTGATGTCTGAGATATGCTTTTTAAAACTCCAATAAAAAGTTATTAGATTAGTATAAGAAAACAAAGAACAAAATTGGCAAAAATCAGTAACTGTAGAAACTAGGTAATTGGCACATGGGAGTTTGCTACACTATTCTTTTTATTTTTATGCATGCTTGAAATCCTCTGTAATGTAGTTTTTAAGATCTGAATTATTACACTCATTATTTTTAACAAATGAGGACACAATGATGAATCAAATAACAAAGTATTAAGACTCACATTACCTTGCTTTTTTGTTATTTTTACTGTTAACAACTGTTAGTTGTTACTTCAGCAACAAAATATATCTATTCTGATTCACTGACAATCTGAAAGTAATAAGCCATATGATATTAAATTCTTTCAGTGAAGACATGAAGTGACTTACCTCCTTTAGTTCTGGCCAGTCTATAAGGAGAAGTTTAGCAGGAGGTCCAGAAATTAGTTGCACTCGAATAAAGTCAGAAAACTCACGCCAAGTAAAACAAAGATCCTTATTTCCAGGAGGACCTGGAATAAATTTGATGCCTCTTACACTTATACTCTGTGTGTTTTCCTAGTGAGGAAAAGTACATTGAGAAAGACAGGGGGTATCACTTAGTGTTCAGAAAAACAAAATAAAATGTTTTGTCATTAACCCATGGGCGTACAGATGTGTTTCTTGGTAACATGACAGAAAATAAATAGCACCCATGCAATAATGGCATGCCATGCATTTTATTTTCAAGAGAGGAGAAACTGAATTTTTTCTTTCAAGGGGTAGGGGATCTAAAAGGTTCTGGCAATGTCTCTTTATTTTATCTTTTCTTAATTTCCCTCTTCTTTATACTTCCTCCTTTCTGCTACCTGAATAGCTTTTATACTTGTTCTTTCCCTCTGTTTGCAACATTATTTACCAGATATACACACTGTTTGTCTTTAGATTTTTGTACATGATACCTTAATAAGAGGCTCTTCCCTGATCACCTTACTTATTGGCATACTATCTATCCCCTTCTTTACTTCATTTTTCTTACCTCTTATTTCTTATCTATTGCATGTTCTCTCCATGACAAGATGATTTCCACAAGGTCAGGAGCTTTGATTTGTCACTACTCAATCTCTATTACTTAGAATAATGCGTAACACATCATATTAATGAGAATCAATGAAACTAGCCTATAATCTTTGCAATATGACTGAATGATTCCACACTGGCGTGAGTGCTGCAGTATTTGTATTTTAATGGTGACCCTTGATGATTTATTCATCTTAAATTTCTGCTAGGTACAAATCTACTTCATCAAAATTTTATTTTTGTTTCTGGGCTGCTGTAACAATATTTCAGCAAAATTTTAAAATCAGGCCAGGCACAGTGGCTCCTGACTATAATCCCAGCACTTTACGAGGCCAAGGTGGAAGGATCCCTTGAGCCCAGTTCACGACCAGCCTGGGCAACACAGTAAGACCCCGTCTCTACAAAAAATTTTAAAATTAGCCAGGTGTAGTGGCATGCGTCTATAGTCCTAGCTAGTTGGGAGGCTCTGGTGGGAGGATCACTTGAGCCCAGGAGGTTGAAGCTACAGTGAGCCATATTCACAACACTGCACTGCACTCCAGCCTGGGCAAAAGAGTGAGATCCTGTTTCGAAAAATTAAATAAATAAATCAGAGAGAAAACTTCATGTTTTATGTTCTCAAACAATGATCTGTAGAACAGAATATTTTATGTAAAAAGTCACTGTAAAATAATCAAAATTAATCTCTCCGAAAAGCCCAATAAGCACAGAAGAATTTTTCAATATTCAGAAAACTAATTAAATAGATATTCCTTAGTAAAATGTACTGAAGTTCAAAATATGCAAAGTCTATCTTAGGGTTCCAAATTTGATAGCTCTTCTGAACCAAAAGCCCTTCTGAAGGGGTGATTTCTTTTTAAAGTCATGTTGGAAGTTGTTCTGGTTTTATTTCAAATCTTAGAAATGAAATTGCATTTACAAATTGTAGATGGGTACAAACAGAATTAAATACACAATTCCGAAAATGAGCCAAGATAGTATACGTCAATTACAGAAAGACAGAAGTAGAAAAAAAGTCCACTTGGCTGGAGAGTAAAGAGCTATGGAGAGAGAAAGGGGTGAGATTATGGTAGGGTGGAATACTATAGGTATTACAGGCCATACTAAGGCAATGGATTTCAAATGCAGTAGAATGTAACATGCTGATAGGTCTAATGGGTAGCATGAGAACTGAAAATTGACCCCTGGATTTGGTCAGGTAGAACAGAGCAGAAAAACATGATCAGAGTGGCTTGCTACAGAATGACAGAAAAGGATGTGAAAACATACAACTCTTCCAAGGAGTTTTACTATAAAATGGAGGAGGGCAGTAGATGGACAGGAATACAGGGCCAAAGGAAGCTTTGCTGGTTTTTCTGGAGGGATTTTTCCTTTTGTTTGTTTAAGATGAGAGACATTCCAGCATGTTTACATGCTGGTGGGACTGCTCTAGTGGAAGAGATAACTGAAGATGTAGGAAGACAGGTTATAATTTAGGAGCAATTAGGAGCCTGTGCGCAGAGTGATAGGAAGCAGGGATTGTTTATTCATAACAGGAGCGCATTTATTTTCTGATTTCATCTACGTGTAGGGTGAAGCTAGAAAATGGAAGAAACTAAAAGTCAAAGAGCATATTTTATCATTGTGGAGGGAACAAAATATCATTCAAAGTTCCGCAGCAGTGAAAATGATGCTCGACATTAGAAAATAGCAGAACAGATTACTGGAGACAGAAACTCTAGTTAGAAGGGAAACATGGAAGTTATTTTTGTGACTGCTCTGTTAAGAAAAAGTGTAATAGAGACTCTCAAAGGAGGAAAAGTTTTAAAAAGCATTCAATGATCTAAATGAATTTAACTTCCCTTTGACCTGAGAGATCTTCTCTCTCACCCACTGTGGACTACTACTGGCAGGTTCCTTGAAGACCCAACTCCAGCATGTCCTTTTCCCTAAAGCTGTCTTTACCTCTCTAAGCAGAGTACAGCATGCTTGTTTGTTTTAGACTGAAAGAATTCCACCAGAGTTTTTATTTTTTAAGCTAACATGAATTAAGTGCACAGTTGCAAACCTTTATAATGATTTTTCTCCTCATCATCCTGTTAATACAGGGTTTAAACATCAAGAAATTTTATTTAAACAGCTACTATGAAAAGCTATCAAAAAAATCTATATACCACAATCTTTATGGATAAAATGGTATGATGTCTGGAATTTGCTTCAAAATGATATGGTATGGGGAGAATGATGACTGTTGAAGATGATGGGAACACAAGAAATACTCATTCTATGTTTATTTCTGCATATGTTCAAACTTTTTCAAGTTTTTAAAATGCCTTTTATGACTTTTCAATTTAAAAACTAAAATCAAACTTTTTTCTTATACTAGTTTTTCCCAAACTTTTTGTTACACATATAACAATGAATAAATCAAACCAAAATGGTATAGAAAGTAGCCATACCTGAAAGGTTGTTTTCAAATTTGAGCTATCAAGTCCAACCCCAGCAATTGACAAAGAAGATAAAGAACTTGGTGAAAATGCTTGAATCTGATTTCCGTACTGATCTGTAATTATTATAACTAAAAAAGGGGGAAGTTTTATTTTAGTATTATCTTTTAATAGAAGATATAAATATCTACAATACACTATAAAAACATGCTTAGAAACTTACTCTTTGTTCTCTTACTGAGTAATTTTTGGTACAAAAATAATAATTATACTCATTTTTTAAATTCACGACAAAATAAACATCAAGAATTTACATAAGCATATTTTCAACTACATTTAACACGATGCTAATGTTAATCAGATTTTTTTACCATGAAAATTTGAAGATAATATTTTAATGTAATTTTCTAGATATAAGAAAAAATACATAGGAATCCATTCATACATGTATGTTATACTTTTATGTTTAAAAAAGAATTTTTTAACCCAAATGCCCATCAGTGATAGAGTAGATAAAGAAAATGTGGCACATATACACCATGGAATACTATGCAGCCATAAAAAATGATGAGTTCATGTCCTTTGCAGGGACATGGATGAAGCTGGAAACCATCATTCTCAACAAACTAACACAGAAACAGAAAACCAAACACCACATGTTCTCACTCTTAAGTGCGAGTTGAACAATGAGAACACATGGACCCAGGGAGGGGAACATTACACACCAGGGCCTGTCGGGGAGTCGGGGCTAGGGGAGGGACAGCATTTAAGAGAAATACCTAATGTAGATGACGGGTTGATGGGTGCAGCAAACCACCATGGCACGTGTATACCTATGTAACAAACCTGCACGTTCTGCACATGTACCCCAGAACTTAAAGTATAATGTTAAAAAAAAAAAAAAGAATTTTTTTAGGAGTACAGTATCACTATTTTGTCCAGGCTGGCCTCAAACCCCTTGGCTCAGGCAATCCCCTCGCCTCAGCCTCCTGGGTAACTGGGACTACAGGCATGTGTACCATGCCAAGCTTACTTTATACTTTTATTATTAACTTCTAACTAGTAATATTACTTCTAACAAAAGACAAGATTTTTTTTCGACAAAATGTGTTTGTCAAACTGATTTTAAAGCTATGTCAGCCTGGGCAAAGATAATGAAAATACTTCAATCTTATCTGACAATAGATTTTATATCAGTAACATTATATGAACCCAAAAGCTTTCCTTTCAGATTAGGTATCTAAAACATCCATGGAAGGAAACATCACAGAAGATTTTTTTGTTGTTTGTTTTTTAAAGCAAGCCATACTAACCTACTTCTCCTTGAAGCTCTTGGCCCATCTGTACTGTTTTTCCTCCTTTCATTTCACATTTTAAATGTTTAGGTTCATCAGGAAGTGGTCTGAAATTGTTTAACAAGTTAGAAGTCTTTAGTGACACCATTAATTGAAGTAGTTCCAACATGCTACAGAATAACACATATATAATGTTCATATCCAATAACTCAAATACAATAACACTCCTTCAAATAACTGTTTAATTTATATAATCTGCTATTAATCCAAAAGAAAATAGGAAAAAGACACTTTGCAAAGATAGTAGAGAATATGGACCAAAAACTTACAGACATGTTAAGTCACAGTATTTATGCTGGATTAAAAGGAAATTATGACAAGAAAACAGATGAGTTAACAACTCATTGAGAGATCTCATTACGGTCAGAATGCAGTACATTTGAAAATTCTATCTCAAAAACAGAACTATCCTAAGTGTTGGGTAAAGTATAGAAATGGGTAGAGGAATTAAAGTGCAAGAGGTTATTGGAAAAGAGGTGGCCAAGAAATTGATAGGCCAGTGTAAAGGTTTTTTTTACACATTCACTTAATTCTGTCCCTTCAATATGAGTTCTACATATTAACTCTGGTTGGACTCTCAGCTTTAAAAATTCTCACTAAGCAATGAAAGGATTTTTCCTTCTGAACAACACTGACTGATCACACTGTATCTTTTGTATTTTTCACGTCTTTGTCATTTTGCAGGTGTTTTCACTGTTACTGGCACTAAACTTTCCTTTAATGAAGGTTCCAGCTACTAGAAGGCCAATTCAGTGCAAGATTACAGTGATAACAAAAATTAATCGCTATCACCAATGACACTTTATTCCAAAGACAATCTATTATATTTCATAGAAACCGTAATATTTTTACATTAAAAACAACTTTCATATATGTGCAATGGAGGACAGTATTTTGTTGCCATAGGCTGCAAAATATAATGAGTCCACAAACCTTACTGTAAACGCACTTTCCAAAGACACATGATCATCTTGGAATGAAACCTGGCAATAGCGCATATCTTTTACAGATGTTGGTACTTGCACATCAGGAAGCAGACCCTGTAGCAAGTGTTCTTTGTTAATCTCAGGAGTCCAATTAACCTAGGAGAAAAAGAGATATTTAACAATAATAAAGCTTCGTCTAATGTTCTCTTACTGCCACTTATCTTACTCTTAAAACTACATTATAATCCGTCTTCTTCACCCCCAAGAAAAAAGTCTCTTTATGGTCAGAAACGGTGTGGTTCATATACTAATATGATACAAAGGCATCCTCTTTGTCTTTGTTGTTAATATTGCCCTATTTTTTTAGTGAGATAAAATAAAAATTCTTAAGTCATTTCTTTAGAGCTCTGCCACAAAAGTATCACTGTGGCCATTATCGTTTAAAAGTAACATATAAATCAGATCATGTGATTAATTCTGAAAAGCAATATTCAATTATTTTTTGAAAAGAATCCTATTTATGGGAAAGCTTTCAATGAGATCTAGGTGGACGTTATTCTTAGCAAGGTGAGAAAAAAGAAGTTTGATCTAACTTTCTGGCCATACTTTGGCCTTAATCTCTTCTTAGGTGTTTTTAGTTCTGTATTAATTTATACCTCTTACATTCCATATTTTGTCACTTAATCCATACTTTTTCAAGTTGTTTGCTCTACTCTGTACTTACTTTTAAACTCCCAATACTTTCTATTTAAGAATTCTGACCTCAACTTTCTCTCTACTTTTATTTAGCCTTCTATAGTTGTGATTTTAAAATCACTCATATTCTATTTTTATTTTTGGTTTTTATAGACAAGGTCTCACTCTGTAGCCCAGGTTGGAGTGCAATGATCATAGCTCACTGGAGCCTCCAATTCCTGGGCTCAAGCAATGCTCCTGCCCCAGTCTCATGAGTAGCTGAGATTACAGGCATGCACCCCAGGTCTGCCTAATTTTTTGTTGAGATGTGGTCTCACTATGTTGCCCAGGCTGGTCTTAAACTCCTGGCCTCCAGCAATCCTCCCACCTCAGCCTTTCAAAGTGCTGGGATTACATGTGTGAGCCACCACATCTGGCCTTAAAATCACTAATAGTCTTTTTAAAAAAAATTTCTAAATTACACTTTATTTTTCCTCTACTTTTAGGTTCAGTAGGTACGTATACAAGTTTGTTACATGGATAAATTGCATGTCACTGAGATTTGGTCTATGAGTTATCTCATCACCCAGGTAATGAGCATAGTACCCAACAGGTAGTTTTTCAACCCCTGCTCCTCTATTACCCTCCCCTTTTTTGGAATCTCCAGTGACTACTTTTCCTATATTTTTATGTCCATGTGTATTTAATGTTTAGCTCCCACTTTTAAGTGAGACCATTCAGTATTTGGGTTCCTGTTCCTGCATTAATTCACTTAGGATAATGGCCTCCAGCTGCATCCATGTTGCTGCAAAGGACATGATTTTGTTCTTTTTTATGGCTGTGTAGTATTCTGTGGTGTATTTTCTTTATCCAATCTACTACCGACAGGCACCTATGTCTTTGCTGTTGTGAATAGTGCTGAGATAAACAGAAAACTGCACGTATATTTGGTGAAATGGTATTATTTTCCTTTGGGTATATATACAGTAATGGTATTGCTGGTTCAAACGATAGTTCTATTTAAGGTTGAGAAATCTCCAAACTGCTCTCCACAGTGGCTGAACTAATTTACAGTCCAACCGACAGTGCATAAGTGTTCCCTTTTCTCCAAAATCTTGCCAACATCTGTTATTTTTTGATGTTTTAAATATAGACATTCTGACTGGTGTGAGATGGTATCTCTTTGCTTTTGACTTGCATTTCTCCATGATTATGATTATGATGTTGAACATTTTTTCACATATTTGCTGACCACATGTATGTCTTCTCTTAACAAGTTATCTATTCATATCCTTTGCCCATTTTTTAAATGGGGTTGTTTTTTGCTTGTTAAAGTTCCTTATAGATTCTGGTTATTAGACCTTTTTAGAATATATAGCTTGTTAATATTTTTTACCATTCTGTAGGCTGTCTGTTTACACTGTTGGTAGTTTCTTTTGCTGTGCAGCTGTTTAGTTTGATTAGGTCCCACTTGTCAATTTTTGTTTGTGTTGTAACTGCTTTTGGGGACTTGGTCATAAATTCTTTGCCAGGGCCGACATCCAGAATGGCTATTTCCTAGGTTTTCTTCTAGAATTTTTATGGTTTGAAGTTTTACATTTAAGTCTTTAATCCATCCTGAGTTAATTTTTGTATATGGTAAAAGGTAGGGATCCACTTTCATTCTTCTGCATATGGCTAGCCAGTTATCCCGGCACCATTTATTGAATAGGGAGTCCTTTCCCATTGCTTGTTATTGTCGCCTTTGTCAAAGATCAGATAGCTGTATGTGTACAGTTTTATTTCTGGGCTCTCTAACCTCCTCCACTGGTCTATGTGTTTGTTTTTGTACCAGTAGCATGCTGTTTTGGTTACTGTAGCTCTGCAGAACAGTTTGAAGATGGGTAGTGTGATGCCTCTCATTTTGTTATTTTTGCTTAGGATTAATCACTTTGGCTATTTGAGCTCTTTTTTAGTTCCATCTGAATTTTAGAATAGCTTTTTTCCAATTCTGTGAAAAATGACAGTAGTTTGATAGGAACAACACTGAATCTGTAGATTGCTTTGGGCAGTACTAGTTCTTCTGACTCAGGAGCATGAAATGTTTTTCCCTTTTTTAGGTATCATCTATGATTTCTTTCAGTAGTGTTTTGCAGTTCTCCTTGCAGAGATCTTTCACTTCCTTGGTTAGATGTATTCCTAGGCATTTTGTGTTTTTTGTGGCTACCGTAAATGGGACTGTGTTACTGATTTGGCTTTCAGCTTAAAACGTAGTACAGAAATGCTACTGGTTTTTGTATACTGATTTTGCATTCTGAAACCCTACTGAAGTCGTTTATCAGCTCCAGGAGGATTTTGCCAGAGTCTTTAGTGTTTTCTAGGTATAGAATCATCTCCACAATGATGAGACAGTTTGACTTCTTTTCCTATTTGGACACCTTTTATTTTTCTCTTGCCTGATTGCTCTGGGTAGAACTTCCAATAGTTGAATAGAATTGGTGAGAGCAGGCATCCTTGTCTTGTTCCAGTTCTCAAGGAGAATGGTTCCGGTTTTTGCCTGTTCAATATTATGTTGGCTGTGGGTTTGTCATGGATGGTTCTCATTATCTTGAGGTGTGTTCTTCAATGTCCAGTGATGGCTTTTATCACTAAGGGATGTTGGATTTTATCAAAAGCATTTTCTGCGTCTACTGAAACCATATTAAATCATACGGTTTTAATTTTGTTTATGTGGTGAATCACACTTTATTTGCGTATATTCAGGGTTGGTTCAACCCTGAATCTCAAAAATAAAGCCTACTTGTTCGTGGTGAATTAACTTTTTTTTTTTGAGATGAGTCTTGCTCTGTCTCCCAGGCTGGAGTGCAGTGGCGCAATCTTGGCTCACTGCAACCTCTGACTCTCGGGTTCAAGCAATTCTCTCTCTCAGCCTCCTGAGTAGCTGGGATCACAGGTGCCCGCCACCATGCCTGGCTAAATTTTTGTATTTTTCTAGTAGAGATGGGGTTTCACCATCTTGGCCAGGCTGGTCTTGAACTCTTGACCTCGTGATCCACCTGCCTCATCCTCCCAAAGTGCTAGGATTACAGGTGTGAGCCACCACGCCTGGCCCGTGGTGAATTAACTTTTTAATGAAAATCACTAATATTCTGTTTCCTAGTTTATGCTCCTCTAATGTTTTTAGTTACCTTTTTATCTTTTAAAACCATCTTTAGTCTCTGTTCTTTATTGTATTAAAAAAAAAAAAGGAAAATAAGCAAGCAAGAGTTCCACAAAAAAGATAAAAGGCTTTCCTCACTCACCCTGGCTGCGTACTCCCCTCAATAGATTCCCCAGCTCAGTTCAGGCTGACTTCCTTGTATCTTGGCTTAATTCTCTCAACACTACAAAACCACTGTAAAGGCTGTACATTCAACTTAAGTAAAATGGAGTACTCACTATCTTTTACTGTCAATGAAGAAGTGCACAGACATACATAATTACCAAATTAGAGGCAAAATGTGTCAAATGCAGGCAACAACCTTAGAGAAGGTATGATAGGGAGAGGCTCTCCAGTCGGTTTTTCTTAAACTTCTTAAGAGAGGAGGAAATGGAAGCATGATTGTGAGAAAGCAAGGAAATAGTTCAGAAGCCACATCCCTGGCACCACTATTAAACCACTACTTACCTTCAAATCTGCTTATAGAGATAAAAATGGCTTACCTCCTTTCCAAGCAGAATCAGAATTATTTCTATCTCAATTCTCTCTTCCCTCATTATGAAGGGGAAAAAAAGCTGGCTAGAACAAGCATTGTTCCAAATAAGATTTTAAAACTCAGGTCAGTTGAACCCGTGGCTAAATAATCCTTTTGAATTACCAGATCTTATGTTTGGAAACACAAGATGGGTATGGTGTATACCGGTATGGAAGAGCAACTCCTACATAGTGCCAAACATGTTAACTCTCCAAAAATTTGGCTAATTGGGACTCCGTACTAAGAGTCTATGAATGTCAGCTCTCCAGACATGGAGGAATGCTTATTTCTAACTACCTCAAAAGCCTGGAATTTTGATAAATTATTTTTCCACACTTGGGAATTTTATCTCCATAGACATCAAGGGAAAAAAGTACAGTAAGTTCTGTTACAATGCTTACTTTGAAAATGTAAATTTGTTCCAGTACAATTACGTTTACTTTGAAAATGCAAATTTGTTCCAATACAACTATCAGTAAACAATTTAAGCATAAGGCAAATTTTACTTTTGCTTAGGTACAATTTCATCTATGAAAAAACTAGGTCAACATAGAAAACTGTACCCAGCTGAACCAAGTGGGAACACAACAAATGTTGCACCTCAAACACCTATCAGTCACCTCAGTTGACTATGTGTTAATGAGCCACGCTCATCCACAGACTGTTAAAACAACTTTCCCCTCACTTTCAGATAACCTTCCTTCCACCACTTCACAGGAACTCAAAAGCTGCAATCATTGCTTCATCAAGCTAGGTAACCTCCCATATTATTATAGTATTTATGTATTTCTTAACATTTAACATGTATTATCATTATTGTTTTTGCCACTATTTTATTAGGTTCTCTTAACGGGTTACTGAGAAAGTTTGAGTATTGTGCCTCTAGTTTCCATTTTCCCTCATAAGCCCTGTGATTTTTTATTGTACAATTTTGCACAGCAGAGTGATTCTGGAGAATGCATGTGTCTCATTATAGAAGAACAAACTGAACTTTGAAAGAAGCAAGCATAGACTGTCCACTATTCTTTCAGTCAACCATCAAAGGAATGCTAAAAAGCTGTCTACTTTATGTAATAAGACTTAACATTTTGATTTGGCTCCCTGTTCAGTGAGGTGTTAAGTTTCAACATGCAGACTCAACCCTATCAAGGTACAAATGTCATATTTAGATGACAGCAGGTTGATGAGGACCAACAAAACTCTTTTCTAAGGATCATATTTTTAGAGTGGTATACCAATTTCAATAATTTCCAATGGCCAAATAGAGGCTCTGTAGTTAACAACACTGTTTCACTGCTTGCCTTTAACAGATCTTTTGTTTAGTGCTTTCAGAACTGCTACCAATTTATTGCTAGCTTTATCAAGGTGGTGATGTTGATTATGATTGCAGAAAAACAGCTAGTCAGGAAGAGCACAACTAAACAAAATGCCAAAACCTAGATTTTTAAGTGTCAAAATCATTTTTCTAAGTATAATTTTGTCACATATGAATCATTTGCATTTCAACCTATTCCATGAAAAAAGCTTATTCTGCTTACAATTTGAAATGATAGTATAACTTTTCTGTGACAAGCTTCTTTTTTAGATGCTACCCATAAAACGGCTTGTTCAGTCTTACAAACATAAAATTTAAAAAGTTCTTACAAATAACCAATCTGTTAGAGATACTTACTTTAATTTTTTCTGCTAAAGCTGATGTTATATTGATTTCTCTTTCTCCTTCATCATACATTTGAAAAATAAGATTATGCATAATATCACCCGCTATCCAATTAACCTCATCCTGATGTTTGATCTGAATTGCCTTTTGTCCTTCTACACTGAATATTTGTAGTCTTGCAACATGGCTACTGGGAAGCAACTTAATAGTCTTCTCCACAGGTGCCACATCTTTACAACTCTAGAAAGAGAAGAAAACACAAACACTGAGTGATATCTGTACTGAAATTTTACACTCCTGAAGAATTTACTTTCAATATTATGGAAGACCATCTCATACATTGTTATACTCACAGGTTTTGTCATTAAGATGGCATTATACTATTAATAATTCCGTATTTTATACCATCAGGTTATAAATGGCAGTGGCCACATTCTTAAAATAAAAACAATTGTATGTGGACTAAAAGGATTCCCCTCCTTTTTATTTTTTTTGAGACAGAGTCTCACTTTGCCTCCTAGGCTGGAGGGCAGTGGCATGATCTTGGCTCACTGCAACCTCTGCCTTCTGGGTTCAAACTACTCTCCTGCCTCAGCCTCCAGAGTAGCTGGGATTACAGGCGCCTACCACCATGCATGGATAATTTTTGTATTTTCAGCAGAGATGGGTTTCACCACGTTGGCCAGGCTGGTCTCAAACTCCTGACCTCAGGTGATCCACTGGCCTCGGTCTTCCAAAGTGCTGGGATTACAGGCATCAGCCACTGCGCCCGGTCCCTTCCTCTTATTTCCAAGTTTCTTTAAAAGTATTGCCATCTTGTGAAATTTTAATTATGTTACATACTCTGTTAGTATTTATGAATAAGAACAAAGATGTAAGAAATTAAGAACTTTCCATAAAATCAGAGACAAACAGCTACCATAAAATACATTATTTAATGGTAACAGATTACATTAAGGCTTTCAGTATTTTTTCAATTCATAACACATTGGGGTAAGTGATCAAGGTTGTTTATAGCCAGAGAAGGCCTCTAGATGCCCTGAAGACAACTGGTCAACATATTGGCATATTTACAATTTATTATTGGCATACCAGTGTTCTACAGATCAAAGAAAAGACCAAGATTATGCTATATAAATTGATTTTAGGCACACAAAATTAAAATATTACATTATTTCATAATCTAGTTATAGTCCATTCAACAGCACACACTAAATTTAAAATAAGTTTAAACATAAAATACCTTTATAATCTTACTTAACTCATGTCTCCTTCCTCATCCAGTTGCAGCCATTTAACTTATGGAAGCCTATCCACGTGAGTGATATTAAAAATTCCTACCTCATGGAATGTCAGGCACATAACCATCTTCTGTTGTATCTTACTTGCCTTACTCCTAAACTCAGTTATTGCCATTGGATAACATTTTGTAACTGCCTATTAGAGGATTTACGTTGGCATTTGTTTTAACTGACCTGAATTCTTGGTCTTCTCCTGAGTGGTCTGTAGTATTTACAAAAGTCCTAATGCCTGCTGCTCTTGCCTCCAAGTCCAGATTCCTCCCTAATTCATAGTCATCTTTTGCAAGAAAGTGTGCTCAAAAGTATGTTGCCCATATTATTGCATAAAGAAAATGCATAAAAAATACTTTAAGCTTATCAAATATAACAAGCTTAAAAAGAACTGGAATGAAGAGTCATCTCATTCTAATTTAAAAAGTAAAAGACATCTTGTATCCATTTGAGGTTCAAGCTATGTTAATAACTGATGTATAATTAGTAGGAAAGTATGAGTTAATCAACCAATTAGATTATCTATCACCATATCAATTACTAAGAAATCACATTTAAGTATTTTACTTAAGTATCTGTTACCCTACTCAGCAACCTTTGAAGTTTTACTTAAGTATTTGTTATCCCACTCCACAACCTTAGATTGTTTACAGCTCTTGCCTCCATGTTGGCTTTGCTATCAGCCACGATGAATCACCAATAAAAAGCATCCTACTGGCACATGATATAGAAATCCCTTTGTGGGCCAGGCACGGTGGCTCACGCCTGTAATCCCAGCACTTTGGGAGGCCGAGGTGGGTGGATCACGAGCTCAGGAGGTCGAGACCATCCTGGCTAACACGGTGAAACCCCATCTCTACTAAAAATACAAAAAATCAGTCAGGCGTGGTGGCGGGTGCCTGTAGTCCCAGCTACTGGGGAGGCTGAGGCAGGGGAATGGCGTGAACCCAGGAGGCAGAGCTTGCAGTGAGCTGAGATCGTGCCACTGTACTCCAGCCTGGGCAACAGAGCAAGATTCCATCTCAAAAAATATAAATAGAAATAAAAAAAATCCCTTTGTGTAAAAACACAAATAAAAAGCTATGTGTGTATAGAAAATTACATACAAAAATTAAAGGTTTATATGTCCTTCCATGGTGGTTTAAACAGAGATATTTACCAAGCTTTCTAAAACAAATGAGAACGATAAAAAGCAAAATGGCTGGGCACAGTGGTGCACACCTATAACTTCAGCACTTTGGGTGGCCAAGGTGGGAAGACTGCTTGTGGACAGGAAGTTGAGATCAGACTGGGCAACACAGCAAGACCCTCTTTTTCAAAAAATAAATAATAAATAAATAACCAGGTGCATTGGTCCTTGTCTATAGTCCCAGTTACTTGGGAGGCTGAGGTGAGCACATCACTAGAGCTTAGGAGTTGGAGGCTGCAGCAAGTCATGATTGTGCCACTGCACTCCAGCCTAGACAACAGAGTGAGACCCTATCTCTTTAAAAAAAAAAAAAAGCGAAAGAATAAAATTATGTATTTTAATAGAAGAAAAATATTTTAGGGAAATGTAAATCAATAATAGTTATAGACACTATAAAAGACACTGTAAAAATCAAGACAATTACTAATATTTGACACAAAATGTTAAAATAGTCATTACAGCATTTCATATTGTCTTTGCTTTGCTTTGGCTGAAAGAACCACAAATACCTCATTTTCAGAAGTTAACAATTTTGCAAAAAATGTTATTAAGCAGTTGAAGACTATTTGTATGAAGACTCAATATAATATCAATGAGTAACAATAATAACTTACAGGTATTTCAATTCTTGCTTTAAGCGTCTGGTCTTTTTTAATATTCTGAACTTGAATTGCAGATCCTGTTAAAATACTGGTTCCAGAACTACTGCAATCTACAACATAGACTGGAAGGTTTGGAGCACCTGAAAACTATTTGAAAGATGAAAAATAATGTAAGACCCCTATTAAATATATTTGATTCTTCCGTAATTGTTCAAAGTTTCAAATAATTCAGTAGAGCTACTATTTCTGGCAATGAATAAGAAAATTCTAAGTAAAAGTCACTAAAACTCTAGAATACTGAACAAAAACAGTAATTTTCTACTATACTATGTAAAATTTATCTGTTTTGGAAGGAAAGAACTAACTTCCTCAATTACAATCCTTTTCTTTTTTACTTAACTGGATTTTCTTTTTCTTTCTGCGGTCTTTTACCTACCTTCATTTAGTCATCATTCCCTTTTTTTTTTTTTCCCTAAAGTAAAGGAATAAAGAATGGCTACTCCATAGGCAGAGCAGCCCATTCCCAATCCTGAAAGACATTTTTGTCTTTCTATTCATATATATGAAATGAGAGGCATGGAGTCAAGAGAGGAGAGGTGAGTAAACTTTTATTCACAAATTTATGAAACTGGGCACAGTTGGCATCTTTATTGGTTTAGGTACGATTAAAAAAAAAAAACTATTGGCAATAAGATCCCACAAATCCTTCCACGGAATAATCGTTTCAGACTTAAATCCTGTGTAAGACTTACTATTAAGTGGCTAAAATAGTCATTGCCACTTACTACAATGGGACTCAATCTAAATATCTTCCAATAAGCTTACCTTACAATGAACAATCAATTTTGGTTGTGCTGTTATGTTGTCTGATTCATCTAAAACTTCCACCTGAAATGGGAAAGCTGTTCCATTTTCTATAACTAAAATTTCAGAATCAGGTTTCACTTTCAGTCGACGAGGGTGACCTAACAGTAAATTATACAATGAAATACATATTCAGGTTTCAAAGACTAAAGTACTGAAATAGCAAAAGAAATAACTTTAACATTAAAGACTTAATATTTTATAAATATTGCCAAGAAAGAAAAATATAGGCAATGTCCATGCTTAATCAGTTTCATCCCAAAATGCACAGATTCAATACATGACAAGACTTATCTCAATTGTATAAAATGCTTGGTGTCTAGGCTAAGTTTTATTCCACAAGGTACAACACAGTGATAATTCATATTAGAAATCACCTAAAATCTTTAAAAGATACTGGGAAAAAGGTATTCAAAAACAAAAATAACAGCTTATTAAAACTATTTACCAATCTTACCTGATGATTTTTCTGGCACAAGTAACTATATGTTTTAGACATTCAAAGAATTAGTTCTTGTAATGACATGATCAGGTCATTTACTTGTTAGATTGCCCACTACCTCTGATGTCATAAGCAATTAACATCACAAATTTCCTTTAAGATTAAGAAAAGTAGGCTTATACTTCTACAGTAAGCCAGTCTGATTCGTTCATAAACACTGATATTTTAAAATTCAATTAATGCTACATACTGATAACAAGTATATGGAGAGAATTACTTAAAATATTTTATTTTGTACTAATATTAGTTATATTCATTCATTTACTATATATGAAGCACTGTGCTAAGTTTTTTTAAGCACTATTCTTACGTAAACTTCACAATAATCTTAATGAAGACGTTACTATTATCATCATCCCCATTTTACAGGTAAGGAAACTGGGATTCAGAGAAATTAAGTATTTTGTCCAGGTCACAAGGCTAGTAAGTAGCAAACATAGGTTTAAATTCTGGTTTGCAATTTGAAACTCCTTGACTTTTATCACTACACCATGATACTTCCTATTTACCCCACAAAAAGAACTATCTAGCTACTAAGAATTGTACTACTCAAATCCATACTTTTAATAATCTAATCTCTCAAATAAATGAATGTTTGTTGATACGTATGATTTTTTTCTTATACTTCCACCAATGGACCTACCTAAATTCTTTCAACAATTCACACTGGAGGGAAATGTCAAACAACTTCAATTTGTGAAAGCAAATAGCTAATATGTTTCTTTTTGCTTAAAACCAGTAAAAAGGTCACATATGCACACAGATATGGTTGTGGTATCTTTCATATGAGAGTTAAAACTTACATGCTAAACACTGTTGTGTTTTACAGGTGCAGGCAGTTCTTACTTGGTACAGTAGGTGTTAATGAAAACTCACGCATATTGGAACTGTGTCCTCCATTGAGTACTACAGAACTGTGCAAGGCAAGGACTACCTGTAGTAACTCATTTAATCCTCCTAACAACCCCAAGGGAGTAGATATTATCTCATTTTACACATGAAGAAACTGAGGCATAGAACGAGTTTACCTAGATACTAACCCAGAAGGGCTGACTCCAGAATGTACTTAAAATCTCTACCATAGACTACCTCTCAAATTAGCCAGCATATTCTACCCTACGTAACTTTAATGCAACTTCATTTTCTCAGGTTAAGTCATTATCAAGTTAACTTAATAAAAATAACATTAGAAGTTTTTCTTCTTAAAATATGAAACAGTTTTATCAACAAAATGTAAAGAACAGACCCATCTCTAATAAAGCCTAATAGACATATTCCAAGAAACAGTTCCCCAAACATTTTCAATATCCAAATTTTTCTCCCAAGGTTATATTCAGAATGTCAATAACATCTTCCTAAATGTTTTCCTTTTTAAAAACTGGTCATTTCTGTCAGTGCTATGGTTTGACATTTAAGTGTATTTTCAAGATTTACACCACTACTAAAAGCCCAAAAACCTCTAACTTCATATCATTATACTTTAACATAAGAAAATTATTTTAAATAATTATATTTCTTGAAATAATATTACCAGGTAGTAATCTAATTTTCAAAATCTGTGAGTCTTCTTTTAAGCCAGGCAGAGTAACCTTCAGATTATAATTCTGTTGGAAAAAAACAGTAAAAATTAAACCCAGTCCTGAATACATACTTAAGTAGTTTATCACATCAATTCTGATTTATATTTTGGTTTTATTTTCATACCATTGTAGAAATTACTTACCAACTTTATACTTACTAAAATTATCATATATGGAGTCAGAAATCTTAGAGGAAAAAAACTGATCAATACTGCTTCCTTATAGACAGTGAAAGGAAGAGAATTATGGTAGAATCTACTTTTCCAAAATAGGAATATCATTTTAGGATCAATTTTTCTCTTAAATTTTTATTCTCAAAAGGCATAACCTCTGAATAATTATCATAATCAAGATAGATATTATAAAACATATGAAATAGTAAAGTAGAAAGAAACAAAAACCAGAAAATTTTGAAATGCAATGTGGTACTCCATATTGGTTCATGGAACAGAAAAATAAATTAACTGGAGACAAGTAAAAAAAAGTCCACGGTTTTGTCAGTAGTATTTTGTCAATGTGTGGATAAATATATAAAGCTCTGTAAGACATTAACAGAGGAACTTTCTACATGTAACCTCTCTATACTATCTTCGAACTCCTTTGTAAGTAATTTCCTCTAAAGTTATTTCAAAATAAAAAGGTTTTTAAAATCTAGAAATTTTTAGTAAGTTTATCTTACTAAAGTCAAATTTTCTGTGAATTTCAAGTTCTTTTTCCAGAAAAATCTGAATTCAGAAAGAATCAAGAACTCAATTTTTGACTTGATTATACAAAGCAGCATATAGTACTTGAAAAAAATACACATGCTCTGTTTTAAACATCACACGGATAGGGAAAATTTTTAAATATTTAAAGTAATGATACACTGAAAAAAAACTTGCTACAGTGTTCCTTTTAGTCAGTTAAGTCTATTAGCTGCTTTATAGACCTAACTGAAAAATTACCTTATTAGAGTTTCTATCTTTAGCTTCCCTGTTTTTTTTAGACCAACAAACTATGCATAGGATTCCTTCCTTAACTGTATCTCTCACCAAACACTTCCTTTTATCTAAATACCAAAGTGATATGTTTAAAGATGTGAGCTGAAATTTCTCATATTTCTAATTGTCATTTTTGTTCTAAGAAAAATATTCAAAAGTGGACAGAAACAGTAGGAGAGAGAAAAAAAAAAAACAGCAGAGTCCTAGATAACTATGTCGAAAAAATGGCTTTGAATGTGAAAAAACTGAAGTATAGATAACGGGGAGAGGTGAAAAATATTTAATTCATGTTTAATCAACAACAGTAGTAAATGTGCCAACTTTTCTTACAGATGTAACTGATAAGTCAGGTGGCATAATGCTGATAAATTCCTAAGAACCCAATTACTGTCATCTGTTTTTTAAAAATAGGTCATTCCACTTTTCATTTACAATTTCATTCTTACCATATGATAAATAAATACTTAACAAGTATCATAGGATCTATACATAATGCTTACCTTGCCTTGACAAGAGTTTACAGGGCCCTTGGCTGTAACACCTCGAATTACACAATTTGGTCCTTTGGTTATTTCTTCATAATGTAAAGATAAACCACTGGGGAAAAAAAATTATTTTTTAACTCCCCTCAATTGCCTACAAGTAAGCTGCAAATGTGTTTTTGCTTTCCTATGTGACATTGGCATGTCTAGTTTTCTAATAAAATATTTTTTAAATATAAAAAACTAAACAGAAAAAAATTCCAATGGATTTCTTTTACAAAGAAAATTGATCCAACAAGTATTAATAAGTGATACCAATGGGTTAAACACTGAAAATGATATAATACATATAATGTAAAATTAAAATAGCACATATTGAATTAGTAAAGATACAATGTAGTACCTAATCTAATGCTAGACCATGTATACAAGCCTAAGGAAAGGAAATAAATACCTAAAGAAGCCAGGTTTAAGGATGTCCTCAGCATTTACCATGAATTCTTTCAAATCTTTCACCAGTGGGATTTTAGAGAATTCTGGGCATCTGTTATTAAACTGAATGGCAATTTAGATAAAGTCCAAATAATAACAGACAGGCTTATGATGACATAAACCGAAGACATCACCTAATCTACTTCCATGAGTAATATGGTTCCTAAAGCTGATTCCAAAGCTAATTTCATCAGATTTGACCAGATGTAGATCTTTGCAGTGGCAAAATTTTACTCTGTGAAAGGTAAAGAAAGGGAAAAAAAGTAAAAAATATACCATGATGGAGAAAAGCCTAATTTTTCTGAGGAATGGAATTTAAGTGTTTACAGGTATTTTCAGAATAAACTGTAAAGCTCATTTGAAAAAAGATGCAATGTGGCATACAAGATAAAATAAATCCCCTGGGAAAGATGGCACATTAAACATATACACCTACTTTCACTGTCTCTTAAAATCCCACTAATATGACAGTAAAGGGATGTATTTTATTATTAAAGGAAAACATAAAGAAAAAACGGAAAGGAAGCAGAGACAGGGCAACCAAACTTATCTGCTAGAAAACAGGACAGCAAGTGGCAAATGATAGCAGTCTCCAAAAAGCTGAATCGTAAAACACAAATAGAAAAAGCTAGAAACCAATCTCTACCATCGAGTGCCCAGGTACTGTTCAGAATTGGCAAAAGGAAAAGGTTTAAACAAACAAGCAAAAAGACTGATGAAAAGTTTAGATCTCAGATCTCCAGATCTCTCCTCTCTGCCTCTGGCAGATGAGTGAAAGATGAATCTCTGAAAAGGTTAAAACAGAAGATCTCTGAACCAGGGACAGCAGATAAGCTGAGGATGAGAATGAAATACTAAAAAGAAGAGAAGAGGTTATCTGGAACGAATGCATATGGATACTGAGACCTCTCCTCCCCAATTCCCACCCCAGCCCTGTTCTTTGACTCACTTGGAACCAAACTATTCCCTGCTCTAGGCAAAAGACTGAAGATTCTTCTTTGAGGAAACTGCCCAGCCCAAGACCTAAAAATACTGACAACAGGATTTCCCCCAACAATGTACTCCAGACAGATCATCCCACAGTGGAGCTCACAGGCAACAGCCTCTCCACACTCTTTCACCTGCATTCCAGTCTCCTACTCATTTACAAGCAGATGACCAATAACCAGATATCTCTAGAGACCAAGAACAAGCAACTGACTAAGCTAGAGACAACAGAGTATCTGTAGAGGTAAAAGAAAGCTTTTAAAAAAACCCTAACCATTTGCTTTATCAGTGAAAACGGTATTACATTCACAAAACAAGAGGGTCTTTAAAAAATTTCAGAGAACCAGAAAGAACTCACAGCAACTAAAAATATGTTAGCAGAAAGGAAAAATTCAATGGAAAGGTAGTAATCATAAGGTCGAGAAAATTTATCAGAAAGTAAAACAGAAACAAAAAGATTGAGAACATTTTTTTAAAAATTGGGGATTAAATCCAGAAGGTCCAACATCCAATAACTAAGAACGCTAAAAGAGAAAACAGTGATGACAGAAGACACAGAATGAAGTATTTCAAATAATGAATTGTTAAGAGACATTATATCATACTTGCAAAAGAACATAGAGTAAGACATAAACACCTTAACAACTTCAGCAATAAATCCAGTCAAAACATAAACTTTAGTGAAGCAATTTATATATGACACTAGTCACAGAGGATAGCTTGGAGCTAAATTACCCAGATATAATAAAATTCACTAATATTTTAAATAATTAAAGTTGAACACCTTACACACAAAAAAAATGAAGCTGAAAAAAAGAGTAAATGCTTAGCAAATATCAAAGGACAAATACATATTGATCCTTCAAATTACCTTGCTTCAAGAACTGGCTGAATATCAGTTACTAGTTGACTGGTATGACCAAATTCATCCTGAAACTCCAGAGGGATATTAAATGGAACTCCAACACGAAAAGGAAGATCCAGAAGACCAAATGAAAATTTCTCTGGCTTACCCTCTTTAACAAAAACAAAAATGAAATGAAAAGCAAGTACATTGGTCAGAAAAGCCATTGGGGGTCAAAAACAGATCCATTTCTATCTGAGAAATTTTAGAAATCTATTTTAGACTATGCTAAAAATAACATTTTAAAATCAGCGCAAAAATTATATGTTATGCAGACAATCCACTTGGGAAAAACCTCCTGAGTAGCTGGGACTACAGGTGTGTACCACCACACCTGGCTAATTTTTGTATTTTTTGTAGCGGCAGGGTCTCATCATGTTGCCCACACTGGTCTTGAACACCTGAGCTCCAGCTATCTACCTGCCTCCCCAGGCGTGAGCCACCATGCCCAGCCATTATACCTTTTCATAGGAAAGAGCTTTAAAGGCAAAACACGATATTCAATAGTTATAAAATGATATATATGATGAAGTTAAATAGAAGCTCGACATGAGAAAATATTTGCAACATGTGTAACAAGGAAAATTCAGACTACATGAAGCCCTCCTATAAATTGGCTGTTCTCAAAGTGTGGTCTCTAGTCCTGAAGTTTTAGCATCCCCTGAGAACTTATTAGAAATGCAAATTCTAGGGCCTATCTCAAACCTGCTGAATCAGAAACTCAGGGTGAAATTCAGCAAGCTGTGTTTCCTTTCAGGTGATTCTGATACAAACTCAAATTTGAGAACCACAGCTTTAAACTATTAAAATGGGCATAGTAAATGAACAAGCATTGGCATACAATGTCCAATAATGGCTAGAAGAGGTACACAATCTAAAAATTAGAGAAGCAGTTTCACCACCAACTATGCTAAATGAATATATAGTTCAGCCAGGAATGAGCATGCAGTCAATTGGAACTCTCATAGTGAGAAGTGAAGGTACCATGGCATAGCCTTTTGGGATGTCCACTTCTTGGTATCACCCTAAAGAGATTCTAACATACGTACAGAAAGCAGCATAATTTTTTTTTCCCCAAAAAGCACTACGGTTTCTAATAGCCAAAAACTTGGAAACAATCAACACGATTCATCAACAGGAAACTGCTTAAACTACAGCACGCCCATCTTATGAAAATATGTTCCACAGGTGTTAAAAGAACACAGTAGATTTATGTATAAAAAAGTCTCCTAAAACATTTAAAAAAAAAGAAAACCACACTCCAAGGTGGGCCTTCTTGATATCACAGCTACCTAGATCAGTTCTCTCCAAAAACCCTGTAACAATGACTCTACAAAAGCAGTAAACAAGAAAAAAGATGAGAGTAATAGAATTGGAAAGCCAAAGAACATATGAGTAAGTGTAACTGACTTAGCAGAAAGACCCAAGAACATCAAATACTCAAACAACAAAGCAAGCAGAGACTGAATCTGATTCACCGTTATCAGACGCCCATAAGTCTCAGGAATGGCTGTATAAAGTTGTAGTGAAATTGAAATAAAACAAGAAGGTTGGCTGAAGTCAGTTTGAGAAACAGTTTCACAGATCCCCATCCTTCAATGCATGTGCTAGTCAACGACCCTCCTCATCCCCAGCAAAAGATGGAAGGTTTATTCTTCAGGGAAAGAAGAAAAGGTCTAGAAGTGAGAGACACAGCACTACTAAAAGTGTCACTGACCAGGCGTGGTGGCTCAAACCTGTAATCTCAGCACTTTGGGAGGCCAAGAAAGCAGGATAGCTTGAGCCCAGGAGTTCAAGGCCAGCATGGGTAACATAGTGAGACCCTGTCTGTATTTTAAAATCTAATCAATTAAATGTAAAAGTGTCACTGAAAATAGGAAAGTGTTTATTGAAAATAGGAAAATCACGTGGAAAATTATATACTAAATATGAGGACCGCCCCCCTACAAACATAAATGGTCTTTCTCAGCTTGGTTCCCAAAATGCTGGCAGCTAGGTCTTGTACCCTTTTAGCAGGTGACTGAAAGGCTCCACTCCGGGGAATCTGAATAGCCAAAGAGACAAGACCTAAAAATTCTCATATCATAATTACCCCAAGGAAATTTTCAAGTGCCCTATTCTTCAATGTTAGCAAATCACTAATTATATAACAGAATATCTAATAAAAAAACAACATGGAGGAAACAAACTATGAATCAGGAAAAACGCTGTAAGAAAAACCCCCACTATTATTAATATCCTCAGAGAATAAAGATACTGAATTCATGAAGTAGGAAGAGAATGCTTAAGGAATTGTTTAACAAGATTATTTTAAAAGAGATTTTAGAAACTAAAAATGGTAGCAAAAAGGAAAAAATAGAAAGCATAGAACATCAAGCTGTTAAGAAAATCTCCAATAAGGTAGTAAAAACAAAACCAAGAGATGGAAAGTAGGAAAAACAAAAATAATATACCAATCCTGAAATCCAACATCCTAACATTAGATATTTTAGAAAGAAAGAACAGGTTGGGCACAGTGGCTCAAGCCTGTAATCCCAGCACTTTGGGAGGCCGAGGCAGGAAGATGGCTTGAGGCCAGGTGTTTGAGGCCGAAATGGGCAACATAACATAGCAAGACCCTGTCTCTACAAAAAAATGTTTTTTAAAAATTAGACAGGGCCACGTGCGGTGGCTAACATCTGTAATCCCAGCACTTTGGGAGGCCGAGGCTGGCGGATGACCTGAGGTCAGAAGTTCAAGACCAGCCTCACCAACATGAAGAAACCCCATCTCTACTGAAAATACAAAATTAGCCGGGCGTGGTGGCATACGCCTGTAATCCCAGCTACCCGGGAGGCTGAGGCAGAAGAATCGCTTGAAACTGGGAGTCAGAGGTTGCAGTGAGCCGAGATCACACCATTGCACTCCAGCCTGGGCAACAAGAGCAAAACTCCATCTCCCAAAAAAAAAAAAATTAGGTGCAGTGAACTGCAGTCACACCACTGCACTCCAGCCTGGGCAACAGAGGAAGACACTATCTCCAAAAAAGAAAAAAGGCCAGGTGCAGTGGCTCACACCTGTAACCCCAACACTTTGGGAAGCCAAGGAGGGCAGATCATGAGGTCAGAAGTTCGAGACCAGCCTGGCCAACATAGTGAAACACCATCTCTACTAAAAATACAAATAAATTAGCCAGGTGTGGTGGTGGGCACCTGTAATCTCAGCTACTTGGGAGGCTGAGGCAAGAAGAATCGCTTGAACCTGGGAGGCAGAGGTTGCAGCCAGCCAAGATCATGCCACTGCACTGTATTCCAGCCTGGCCAACAGTGTGAGACTCCATTGAAAAGAAAAGAAAAGAGGGGAGAGGGGAGAGGGGAGAGAGGAGAGAGGAGAGGAGAGGAGAGAGGAAAAGAAAAGAAAAGAAAGGAAAGGAACAGAAAAGAAAAGGAGAGAAAAAGAAAATAGAAAATCAAAGTGATTCAAGAAAAATTCCTAGAAAATAAAACAGGGATTTCCAGACTGAAAGGGTATACGAGGTACATGGCTGGATGATACTAGATAAAAACAGGCCTATGCTAAATCATACAATTGAATATTTCAGAAACTGGGATTCCCCTAAAACTTGAGGACTGGGGAACAGAGAACGTTTTGGGGGAGGAGGGGCAATATGCCCAGGGTCAGGAATCAGGACAGCTTTAGACTTTACCAGCAACAATGAAAAGTAGAAAACAATGTCTTCAAAATTCAGAAGGAATATGATTATCGAGTAGACTTACAAAGCTATTTGAAAATCAAAATGGGCCGGGCACGGTGGCTCACATCTGTAATCCCAGCACTTTGGGAGGCTGAGGCAGGTAGATCATCAGAAGTTATGAGATCGAGACCAGCCTAGTCAACATGGCGAAACTTTGTCTTTACTAAAAATACAAAAAGCCAGGTGTGGTGGCGGGCGCCTGTAATCCCAGCTACTCGGGAGGCTGAGGCAGGAAAATCACTTGAACCCAGGAAGCGGAGGTTGCAGTGAGCCGAGATTGTGCCACTGCACTCCAGCCTGGGTGACAGAATGAGACCCCATCTCAAAGTAAGTAAGAAAATAAAATAAAATCGAGATGGTTACCCAATTGTTCAAACATCTTTTAATGGCTTATCTCTCTTTTCTCTTTGGATTTAAAATGCCACCTTTAGCATATATAATTATATATTACTGTTTTGCTTACCTTTAACAGAAAACTTAATTGCTTTAGATGGTAGTGGTCTTCCTGCATAAGTGTCTGCATTACTTTCATTCAACACAACTTGTAATTTCAAGGTATAATTCCCCAACTTCTGAATATTTTCTGGATAAATTAAGAAGAAATTAAAAATCAAGTCAACACAATACCAATGTATTTTTTAACATTCAGAATAAGAACTCACCCATTTTTTTAAACCAGTAAGGCCATTTTCCTCCATGTTGACTAATATGCGAAATAATCTCTTTATTTCCACTTGAAGCTTAATAAAAGAAAAAAGAAACAATAGTGTCTTGAGAAATTCAACGTAAAACATGAAATACGCAATGTCACATTGGCACCAAATACCTATTTGCTGTATTTTAAAACCTGCTTTGAAGCTTCAAAAGATCTAACACTATCCTATGAAAGTGAACAGCAATAATAATAGTTAACTCTTCAATTCATTAAAATCTCTTTATTTCAAGTCTTATAAACTCTTTCACTTTATTTAAAATTACTATTTAAAGAGAAAGGAAGACAACAGAAGACAAATAACATGACCTCTCCAAAAAATTCCTTATTTATTGCCCACTCTAGAATTATATAATGTAAATATTAAAAAAAACAAAATTTTTAAAAAGGCAATTCATGAACAAATCCGAAATGTTTATCAAGTAGGTAACATGACCACACAGACCAAAAAGAGGGAGAAAGAGAGAGAAAAGCAGTCAACCTTACCCACTTGGAAACAGTACAATAGTGCATTCACACTGTGAACTTCTATCTAAGAAGGAACACAGGAGCTCAACATAAAAGCATAACAGGCCCAGCGTGGTGGCTCATGCCTGTAATCGCAGCACTTTGGAAGGCTGAGGCCAAGAATTTGAGACCAGCCTGGGCCATATAGTGATGGCTTGTCTCTACAAATATTTAAAAATTAGCCAGGCATGGTCCGGCTAAGCAGTCCCAGCTACCTGAGAGGATGAGATGGGAGGACTACTTGAGCCCAGGAGGTCAAGGCCACAGCGAGCTATGAAGGTACCAGTCTGGGCAACAGAGTAAGACCTTGTCTCAAAAAAAAAGCAAAAGAAACTTTGGATACTTTGAACACTACAGTGGGCAACAGCACTGCATGTCCCATGAAAAACTGGGAGTGAATCCTCTGTGTGAGAAGGGAAGAGAGCAACTGAAGCCAGCTGGGAGCTCCTTGGCCCTACCAAGCACTGGATCTGACTTGGAGAGCATTGGGAACAGTGGGAAGTGCTCCACCCATACTCCCAGACCTGGGTGGTACAAATAGAAGGCAGCCATTCCCGATCCTAAGTCACAGCGGGCTGCACAGAAACCTGCCAGCCAGCATAGGTGGCACTCACTGGTATGGAGAGTCTCCAGACTAAGATTTGTGATCTAATATTGAGGAGAGCAGCCTCCACAACCAGAATTGAGAGGCAAGTGTAATATGGGCCCCAGCCATGGGTATGAGAATTGGGTGCCCCTGCTTTGCAGAGCCAGACTGGGAGGGGTATGGCCTGGAGCCTGGTTTTTGTCCCTGGCAGGACGTTTTGCAGCCTGAGACAGATTCACAATCTGAGGACAGACTGCCTGTGACTTGGCTGGCTGTTTCAGCTTGCTGCCAGCAGCAGATGGTAGGAGGGAATCCAACCAGGTCAAAACTGTAGAGAACCGGGTCCCACTATCACCTGCCAGGTTGTGGAGCCCTAGCGACCCCACTTTCCCCATGCTGGATCTTTGGCATGGCAGTGGTTGCTCTGCTCCTCCCTGGAGCATTCCTTCGGGGCCTGAGAACTGCCTTGCAACCCCTGCAAGGGCTGGTGCTTGTGCCCTGTTGGGGTGGCCAGAATGCAGGATTCTCCAGCCCAGCCCTGCCTAGCTTTGCCCTCCCTACCTGCCTCAGGGGCAGAGTACAGGACTGGGACCCCTGGAAGTTACACAGTCCAGCCCATCATCTAGGACATCAGAGTACTTCTGGTTAACAAAGGTAACCCATAAATGCTACCACAACAGCTGCATCCAGCTCTTACCTTCTAGCACCACATACCGGACAGGAGGCCAACCTTCACAGCCCATTAAAACATCTGCTAAAACAATTGTGCAGTGCTCAGGAAGGAGACAAGCTCTGCACCACCTCTACTACCACAATTGTCCATACCACTGCAGCTACACAGGAGGCCCTGAGACTGCTCACCCGCCTGATACATTACTACAACAGCCAGCACTGGAGAAAGCCACCACACTAAGGCTATTTATAAACAAGGAAATCATAGATAATCTATGTCACTGAATACACCCAAGAAGCAAAGCCACAAGAATCTATTAAACATACATCATAGACACATCATCAAGGAAAAAATAAGTCCTGCCCCAACAAATGTAAATTCAAAACTAAAAATAAGCAACTACTACTACGGATACAAAGGAAATCAGGACAATACAGAAAATATTAAAAAATAAGGTGCTATGACAGTTCCAAAGCAACATGGTAATTCTCTAACGATGGATCCTAACCAAAAAGAAATCTTTGAAATATCAAATAAAAAATTCAAAATACTGATTATTTTATTTTCTTGAGATGTGGTCTTGCTCTGTTGCCCTGGGTGAATTTCAGCGGCACAATCATAGCTCACTGCAGTCTCATGGGCTCAAGTGATCCTCCCACCTCAGCCTCCTAAGTTGCTGGGACTACAGGTATATATTACCATGCCCACTTCTTAAATTAAAAAAAAATTTTTTTAGAGAGTGTCTCACTGTGTTGTCCAGGATGGTCTTGAACTCCTGGCATCAAG
Source organism: Homo sapiens (assembly GCF_000001405.40). Classification (NCBI taxonomy): domain Eukaryota; kingdom Metazoa; phylum Chordata; class Mammalia; order Primates; family Hominidae; genus Homo; species Homo sapiens. The sequence continues at coordinate 2,715,633 of NC_000018.10, read as the reverse complement.
CTATCTTCCCACTTCAGCCTCCTGGGATTATAGGCATCAGCCACCAAGCCCAGCTAAAATACTGATTTTTAAAGAAGCTCTATGAGATACAGGAGATAGCTGAAAACTAATATAAAGTAGTGAGAAAATGAAATTCAGGATATGAATGAGAAATTTACCAAAGGCATAGTTTTTTGTTTTTTTAAAAAAGAACTTCTGTAATAAAAAAATTCATGGAAGGAATTACAAGATATGGTTGAAAGCAAACAATGGACTAGACCAAGCAGGAGAATCTCAAAATGTGAAGATAAATCTGTTGAATTAATCAATCAGACAAAATAAAGAAAAAAGAATTGTAAAAAATGATCAAAGCCTTCTCGAAGTATGGGTCAATGTAAAACAGCCAAACCAACAAATCCCAGGTATTCCCAAGGGAAAAGAAAAAGCAAAAACTTTAGAAAACCTATTTGAGGAAATAATTGAGGAAAACTTCCCTTGTCTAGCAAGAGATCTACACATCCAAAGAATAAGAGGCTCAAAGAATGCCAGGCAAAAACACTGCAAGAAAGGCCTCACTACAATATATAGAAATTAGACTGTCTAAAGTCAATGTGAAGGAAAATATCCTAAAATCAGCAAGAGAAAAAGCATCCAGTCACCAGTAAAGGAAAATCCATTAGACTAACAGCAGATTTCACAGCAGGTACCTTATAAGCTAGTAGAGACTGGCATTTTGTTTTTTCTTTTTTTACAGTCCTGCTCCCTCTGTAGGATTCTGTTTTCAAAGTGCTGGGGGTAGGGGGCAGGGGGGACTGTCAACCACAAATCTTGTGTCCTGCTAGAACAAGCTTCATAAATGGAGGCAAAATAGTCTTTTCCAGACAAGCAAATCCTGAAGAAATTCACTACCCCTAAACCAGATCTACAAGGAACAGTCAAAGGAGTTCTAAACATGGAAACAAATGGTCAATACTAGCCATCATAAAAACACATGAGAGTATAAAATTCACAGGTATTATAAAACAATTATACAAGGTAGGAAGAGAAAAAAATCAAATAGCAGCACAACAGAATCCCACCAAACCACAAAGACAGAAAGGAGGGAAAAAAAGAAAGGATCTACAAAGCAACTAGATAACAACATTATGACAAGAGCAAAACTTCACATATAAATACTAACCTTGAATGTAAATCAATTAATGTTCTACCTAAAAGATATAGACTGACAGTAATGGATTTTTTAAATGAACCAACTAAATGCTACTCACAATAAACTCATATTACTCATAAAGACAATTATAGACTGAAGGTAAAGGTGTGGAAACAGCTATTCCATGCAAACAGAAACCAAAAGTGAGCAAGAGTAGCTGATATCAAATAAAATAGACTATAAATCAACAACAGTTAAAAAAATTATATAATGTTAAAGGAATCAATTCAACATGAAGATATAACAATTCTAAATATATATGTACCAAATACCAGTGCCTAGATTCATAAAACAAGTATTACTAGGCCTAAGAAGACATAGAAAGCAATACAATAATAATGGATTCAACACCCTACTGATAGCACTAGATGGATCATGGAGATAGAAAACGTTGCAACAAAGGAACATTGGATTTAAACTGGCCTTTAGACCAAATGGACCTAAGCAAACATTTACACAACATTCTACCCAACAATATGCAGAGTATACATTATTCTGCGGAATATACATTCTTCTCATCAGCAAATGGAACATTCTTGAAGAAAGGCCATACATTAGGCCACAAAACAAATCTCAACAAATTTTGAAAAATCAGAATCATATCAAGTAACTTCTTGGACCATAGTGGAATAAAACTAGAAATCAATTCCAAGAGAAACTCTCAAAACTATAAAATACTTGGATCAAACAGCTTACTCTTAAATAATCTTTATGTCAATGATAAAATTGATATGAAAATTTAAAATACATATATATATTTTGAGATGGAGTGTCACTCTGTTGCCAGGCTGGAGTGCAGTGGTGCAATCTCAGCTCATTGCAGCCTCTGCCTCCCAGGTTCAAGTGATTCTCCTGCCTCAGCCTCCCGAGTAGCTGAAATTACAGGCGCACATCACCACACCTGGCTAATTTTTTTACTTCTTAGTAGAGACGGGGTTTCACCATGTTGGCCAGACCAGTTTATGATGTATCTTAAAGAAAGCATGCCTATATTTGCCTTTTACTGCTGGATTTCTCAACTTGTACCAATAGAGAAAGAAACATGTTCTAGAAACATCTTCTCAATATTTGCTTTAAAAAAAGGGTGCAATTATAAATCAGACAGCAAATCACCACGAGAAGTTCTCTAAAAAGACCCAAGCAACTTTCTGATTTTTGATGTATTTATTCAACAAATATTAATTAATTACCTCCTATATACAAAGTACTAGAAAAAGGGTAAAGAAAACATCATTGCTTTCCTGGAGTTTTTAATCTTGTAGAACAAGGGGACTGGCAAACTACTGGACTGCCAATGGCTGCATTCATCTACAACAACAGACTTACGTAATCATAAGAAACAGCTCATACAGCTCTCAAAGCCTAAGTATTTACTACCTGACGCTTTCCAAATAGTTTGTCACCCCTGTCCTAGAGGGGAAAGACACATTTAAGGAACAAAATTTGGTCTAGAGTTGGGAAAACTGGGGTTCGATAAGAACCAAAAGAAAACAGTTGTGGTTAGAGGTATGGTAAGTGAGGATGAGATCAAGTTGGAGAGAGAGGAAGGGCCAGATCATGCGTGGAGTATTGCAGAGCTATGACTAGTTTCCTAGGCCACTAAAGATGAAATAATATAAAACAGGTGAGTGATATACACAGTTTTGCAATTCAAAAAAATCACTTTGGCGTAAAATGAGGAAAATGAGCTGGAGCAGTGCAAGAGTGAAAGAGGACTTTTCATTGAGGCAGCTACTACGTGGTTAGAATGAGAGACCATGATGACTCGGACTTGAATGGGCAGAACGAAGATATACAGTTGTCCCTTGGTTTATGCAGGAGATTGGTTCCAGGATCCCCATGTATACCAAAATCTGCACATACAACTCCTGTGGTTGGCCCTGCAGAACCTGTGTATATGAAAAGTTGGCCTCTGTTTATGTGGGTTTCAAATCCCGCAAAAACGTATTTTCAATCTGCATTTGATTCACAAATGGCCACATATAAGTGGACCTGCACAGTTCAAACCCATGTTTTTCAACGGTCAACTGTACTTTAGTGTGATACTTGGTGATAGATTGGTTACAGAGGATTAAGAAATAAATGGAAACACCAATCCTTTTCAAACTCTTCCAAAAACTTAAAGAGGAGAGAACACTTCCTAACTCATTCATTCTTTGAGGTCAACATTATCTGATACCAAAGTCAGACACAGACATCAAAAAAAAAAAAAAGGAAAAAGAAAACTACAGACCAAAATCCCTTATGAATATTGATGCAAAAATTCTCAACAATATGCTAGCAAGCCAAATTCAGCACAATTTTAAAAGAACTCACCTTAGTCTATATAGTGTTGTTGTAAAGGAATACCTGAGGCTGAATAATTTATAAGAAAAGGATGTTTATTTGGTTCACAGTTCTGCTGGCTGGAAGACTGGGCATCTGGTGAAAGCCTCAGGCTGCTTCCACTCATGGTGGAAGGTGAAGGGGAGCCAGTGTATGCAGAGATCATATGGCAAAAGAGGGGTGAGGGAGGTGCCAGGTTCTTTTTAACAACCAGCTCTCATGGGAAATAATAGAGCAAGAACTCACACAATAAGCCCTTCATGAGAGATGTGCACCTATGACTCCAAAACCTCCCATTAGGTCCCACCTCCAACACCGGGGATCAAGACAAACATCCAGGCCGGGCGCGGTGGCTCACGCCTGTAATCCCAGCACTTTGGGAGGCCGAGGCGGGCGGATCACGAGGTCAGGAGATCGAGACCATCCCGGCTAAAACGGTGAAACCCCGTCTCTACTAAAAATACAAAAAATTAGCCGGGCGTAGTGGCGGGCGCCTGTAGTCCCAGCTACTTGGGAGGCTGAGGCAGGAGAATGGCGTGAACCCGGGAGGCGGAGCTTGCAGTGAGCCGAGATCCCGCCACTGCACTCCAGCCTGGGCGACAGAGCGAGACTCCGTCTCAAAAAAAAAAAAAAAAAAAGACAAACATCCAAACTATACATAACAACCAAGTGAGATTTACTCTTGGAATGCAAGCATGGCTCAACAAATAAAAAACAAACAAGGCTACGTGCAGTGGCTCATGCCTGTAATCCTAACACTTTGGGAGACTGAGGCAAGAGGTCATTTGAGGCCATGAGTTTGAGACTAGCCTGGGCAGCATAGGAGACCCTGTCTCCACCACAAAAAAAAAAAAAGGGAGCCATGGTGGCTCAGGGCAGTTGTCCTGGTGCATAAGGAGGTGAGGCTACGCGTTCGAGGCCAACCTCGTCAATATTTTTAAAAAACTCTCATCCATTGATAAAAAGAAAAAAAAAAATTAGCTGGGTGCAATGAGCATGTCTGTAGTCCTAGCTACTCAGGAGGCTGACGTGGGAGGACCACTTGAGCCCAGGAGTTTGAGGCTGCAGTAAGCCACGACTGTGCCGCATCATTCCAGCCTGGGTGACAGAGTGAGAACCCGTCTCAAAAAAAACCCCAAAAAACAAAAAACAACCAATCAACGCAATACATCACTTTGAGAGAATAAACCTACATAATTATCTGGACTGATGCAGAGAAAACATTTGGGAAAACAATACTCTTTCATGATAAAAACACTACACAAGGAATAGAAAGAAACTTCTTCAACATGATAAAGGCCTTATATAAGACCCGCAGTTAACATCGCATGTACTCAACTGTTAAAGACTTAAAAGCTTTTCCTCTAACATCAGGAACAGGACAAGATTCTCATTTTGGTTACTTCTATTCAACATAGTATTTTAAGTCCTAGCCAGACCAATTAGGTAAGAAAAAGAAATAAAAGGCATCCACTTTGGAAAAGAATAAGTTATTTCCGTTCATAAATGACATGTTCATATATGAAAAAACCTAAATAATCCATAAAAAAAACCCTGGTATAGCTAATAAACTCAGCAAAGTTGCAGATACAAAATCATGTTCACGGATTGAATGACTTACAATTGCTAAGGTAAAAATAATACTCAAAGTGATCTGCATATTCAGTGTAATCCCTACCAGGATCGCAATGGTGTTTTCTGCAGAAATAGAAAAACGCATCCTACATTCATAGGGAATCTCCATGGACCCAAATAGCCAAAACAATCTTAAAAAACAAGAATAAAGTTGGAGGACTCACACCTCCTCATTTTAAAACTTACAAAGCTACAGTAAACAAAAACAGTGCAGCATGGGCATATGAACAGACATATAGACCTAGGGAACAGGGAGCCCAGAAATAAATTCTCACATATGTGGTCAACTGACTTTCAACAAGTGGGCCAAAACAATTCAATAGAGAAAGTATAGTCTTTGACAAATGGTGCTGGAAAAACTGGATATCTACAGGCAAAAGAAGTTTTCCATATAAAAAGAAGTTAACCATATGCAAAAGTCAAGGTCAGATGGATCAAAGTAATAACAACAGAGCTAAAGCTATAAAATTTGTAAGGAAAAAACATTCAGGAAAAGCTTCGTAACACTGAATTTAGTAACAATCTCTTGGATAAGACACCAAAAGCACAGCCAACAAAAGAAAAAAGAAACTAATTGTTTGTCAAAATTAAAAAGTTTTGTGCATCACAGTCACCATTGACAAAGTGAAAAAGCAACCCACAGAGTGGAAGAAAATATCTGTAAATCATTTATCTGATAAGGGATTAATATCCAGGATTATAAAGAACTCTTACAACTCAACAACAAAATTTAAAAATGGCCAAAGGACCTGAATAGACCTTTGTCCAAAGAAGATATACAGATGGCAATTAGCCCATAAAAAGATGGCCAAAATCACTGAATATTGGGGAAATGCAAATCAAAACCACAATTATCTTTAGTAGGAAAAAGGGGGGAAAAAACCACAGTAAGATACCACTTCATATCTGTTAGGATGGCTATTATCCGTCCCCCACAAAAAAACCCACAGGAAATAACAAGTGGGGGTGACATGGAGAAACTGGAATGTACAATGAGGCAACCACTGTGGAAAACAGTACGGCAGTTTCTCAATAAATTAAATAATAATATGACCCAGCAAGTCCACTTTTGGGAATGTATCTAAAAGGAACCAAAGCGGAGACTCAAAGAACTATTTGTACACTGATGTTCACAGGAGCATTCTTCACGATAGACAACAGGTGAAAGTAACCTGAGTATCCATCAAACAAATGGATAAACAAAATATGGTGTATGTGTATACATGTGTGTGTGTATATATATATATATATACACATATACACATATATACACACACAAGGGAATATTATTCAACCTTAAGAAGGAATGGGAATTCTGACACACTATGCTAAGCGAAACAGGCCAGACACAAAGGACAAATATAATTCCATTTTTATGAGGTACCTAAAATAGTCAAATTCAGAGACAGAAAGTTAAAAAGTAGTTACCAGGGCAGGGAGAAAGGAGTGATGAAGAGTTATTACTATAGAGTTTCAGTTTGAAATGATGAAAAAATGCTTTACATGGATAGTGGTAATGGTTGCACAACAATATGAATGTACTTAATGCCACTTCATAAATTTCATGTTAATATGTTATATATATATATATATATATATATATATATATATATATATGAAGTTATTGAAAATAGAAGCAGGGACCAGCCTGACCAATATGATGAAACCCCATCAAACCCCATCTCTACTAAAAATACAAAAATTAGCTGGGAGTGGTGGCATGTGCCTGTAATCCCGGCTACTCAGGAGGCTGAGACAGGAGAATTGCTTGAACAGGGGAAGCGGAGGTTGCAGTGAGCCTAAATTGTGCCATTATGTATTCCAGCCTGGGCAACAAGAGCGAAGCTCTGTCTCAAAAAAAAAAAAAGCAGGAAGGTCATGAAAGGTGCTGCACTGCTGGCTTTGAAGATGAAGGAATGAGAGTGGTGCTTCTGTGTGATTTATTTATTTTTTAGAGACAGGGTCTTACTTTACCACCCAGGCTGGAGTGCAGTGGCGTGATCATAGCTCACTGTAGCCTCGAACTCCTGGGCTCAAGCAATTTTCCTGCCTCAGCCTTCCGAGTAGCTGGGACTATATAGGCTCGTGCCACCAAGCCCAGCTGAGAGTAACTTCTAAAAGGCAGAAAAGGCAAGGCTCACCCAGAACCTCCAGGAAGAAATGCAGTCCTGAAGACACTTTAATTTTAGCTCAGTGAAACCTGTTTTGGATGACTAATAATACTGTAATCAATACTGTAATTATTACTGTAATTATTAGAACTGTAATAATACATATATGCTTATAGAAATTCCTACTGCAAATTCTTCTACATATATGTATCATGCCTTTACTTTAGCCCAGTTACCCACATGAAAAAATTCAAGATGAAGTATTTTTTAAAAACCTTAGAAAAATATCCACCAAGAAAATGAGCTATTCATAACATTCCTGAAATTCCTAACTTCAATAAAATTTGCTATGCCTATCAGATTGCTAGGTCATCAATAATTACATGAAGATATTTAATTTGATATTATATTTTAAAAACAATATTAAAGATCTAAATTAGTTTGTATACTTACAATGTAAAATAACTTTGAGCTCAACCAGGAGTTTCTTTGACCCTCCATGGCTTGTTCCTGGAAGCTTTTGCATTGCTTCCCCTTTTTTATTCAGTATTTCAATTCTTAACGCACCTATGAGTCAAAAATTAAAAGTATCTTAATTACACCCAAAAATTTGCTGAATCTGCCAAATCTTCCCATTGCATTTTAATATCTCGTGACCTTTTACATATTGGAAATGTAAGACAAAAGAAAAGCACACTTTTTGGTATTAGAAAAATAAACAAACATACCAATAGGGGTTCCAGCAGGCCTAACCTCATTAGGCAATAATTCATCTCCTTCAGGCCAAGTTACTGACAATCTATCAGGGAGCCTGTTATGAAACCAGCATATTAATGTTCCACAAACTTTGTTAATTATGATCTTAATTAAAAAGATACGAGTTATTAGAAACTTAAATATTTATTGCTGATATATTTTAAAAGGTTAAATCTGGAATTCTTTACGATTAATCATCTAAAAATTTTTTTCCTCCCTAACCATTCCTGTGGCTACTGAAAAAAAAGAAGAAGAAAAAAAAAAACCTTTTGGAATTAAAAGCCAGAAACTGTCAAATTTTTGTTGATTTTTTTTTTCTACTTGTTTATAGTACAAATTACCTTTAGAAGACAGGATAACCCCTAAGAATCAAAATTCAGTAAGAATCAAAATGATTGCATCATTAGCTATACAAGAAGAAAAGCCACTTTCTACTTCCTTCTTCTTCTTTATAACTCACTGATAAGGTTTGGCTCTGTGTCCCCATCCGAATCTCATCTCGAATTCTAATCCCCAGGTGTCAAGGGAGGGACCTGGTGGGCGGTGATTGGATCACAGGAATGGTTTCCCCCATGCTGTTCTCTTGATAGTGAGTTCTCACGAGAGCTGATGATTTTTAAAGTGTTTGACAGTTCCCCCTTCCCTCTCTCTCTCTTCTGCCGCCCATGTAAGACATGGCTTGCTTCCCCTTCGCCTTATGCCATGATTATAAGTTTCCTGAGGCCTCCCCAGCCATGCACGACTGAGTCAATTAAACCTCCTTGCTTTATAAATTACCCAGTCTCAGGTAGTATCTTTATAGCAGTGTGAAAACGAACTAATACACTCATCTTTACCTCTCAGCAGGTATTGTAATATCCTAGTTGTAGGCCAAACTGAGTTTTTTTAAAACATGTTAATCATAGTGCCTATAAAAGTGACACTTTAGATATATAAGATTTCCTTCTTTGTCTACAAAACAAATGCAGAATTCTGTTTGTATAACTAGACCTCTTAATTTTTTTCAACAAGAAGTTCATCTCAATAGGTACAATATCTAAGACTACAAATGCCCTAACAGCAGAGTAAATGACATACTCAGAATACTTACAGCACAATTCTTTCCAATTTTTCTTATTTTTGTCATGCATCTTGAAGTGTGACTTACCTTGCCATTTCATCTTCTACATATTTTTTAACAGCTTTCTCAGCAACTGTCCTATCCAGCTTTGCAATTGGCACAGTTCTTACTTCATCATATAGTGCCTGAGGTTCCTGAATAAATACATTTACCAACATTTCAAAGAAAACTATTTAAATCTAGCTGTAATAAAAACAAACACCCATTTGTTTCTTCCAAAGAAATATATTTTATCCTAATTAAGTACATAAATAACAGTAGCTATTCTTACGTTACACCACAATGTTTGTTTATATTTTTTATATAACCTCTGTAGTCCTAACATATCAAACATTAACAAGAAAGCATGGTATAGGGAAAAAACCCACTCCAGTTTTGTAGTTACTCATTGCTGAGATAGAATTCTGGCTCCAATGTTTACTAGTTAGTGGGCCCTAGAGGAAATATGACTTTATAAAATTAATTTGGTAACTAGTTATAATGTATATATGTTTACAAAAACTGAGCATATGATGTTAAATTGTATAGATTATTAAAAACATCAACTTATGACACATAAAAATCCACACAAAAACTACAACCACTTTATCCAATGGAAAACTAGTCACTAGCGAAATATACTGTATCTTAACAATTATGCAAAAGTGTTATCAAGAAACTTTCAGTATGTTTTATCACTTGCTGTCTTACCATTGCAATTTGAACCTCTCCTCCTGTAGCATATACTTCTCCATCATGATCGCCATAAAGAAAAAATCTTACTATGCTTCCATAAAAGAGGGGAAGTGTCTTGATTGTCTTGACCTAATATTTAGTTTTTAAAAAAAAAAAAAGCTTCAGTATTAAGATTTACGAAGAGAAAAAGGCTTAATAATAATTTTACAGAACTTCTTTATTACAAAGAAAAAAACCTTGGTAACTATCATTAGAAAAACTAATGAAAACAGCATTCTAATATTAAAATAAAATTGTATTTTTGAAGTTCTGTACTTAACAAATAGTTGTAAAAATATGGCAGCTTCTTTATACAAATGTGTTAGAATTAAGCATGTGTCTTACAAGTCCAGAATTCCTTCAAATTCAGTCATAATGAATGCCAACATATCTGAAACCTTTTTTCCCCATAAAATTCTGCTCTCAGATGATGAACAGCAATTTATAAACTTTGACAAGTTAATATTATTTTTCAAATACATCAGCTCAAAACTTGCCTATCATATTTCTTCTCCTTACTTGGTTTAAAAAATCTAAGGGAAATTTCCACTACTCCAATTCAGAAATTCCCAACAAGGACTATAAGAGTTTATCCCAACCTACCTTGCCTGCCCCATTTCTAAACTATTTCTCTTCACACATACAATAGGCAGCAGGACAACCCAACTCTTACTACTTGCTGTTTTTCTGCACTTAACCTACGCACATCTCTATGCTCAGATTACCTTCTAGAAAGCACTTTACTCCATTACCACTAAGCATTTGACTAAACTGATCACTCCTTTCTTCTTGTAACTCTTCACTTGGCTCTAGGGATGTCACATTCTGCTAGTTTCCTTCTGTCTCACCAGCTTATCCCTGTCAGTCTCCTCTGCCAGCTCCTCCTTTTCATTCTAACCACTAAATGTTGGGAAAGCTCCAGGCTCAATCCTTTTACCTCTTTAGCTATACTCACCAAGTATAGATGATCTCATCCAATTCTATAGCTTTAAATATATGATGGTATCTCTCATTTATGGAGAGAACAGAGAGCCTTCTACCTTGTAATTATCTGTGTAAACCTGAGCCTCTACCCCTTTCAAGGTCCACACAAATGTTACTTCTTTTCCAAAGTATTTAACGATCTGCTCTGTTCTTCCAGCCCACACGACCAACCAAAGTAAAAAAAAAAAAAAAAAATCCTCTCCTCTTCTCTCCTTCTAACCTGCCAAAACACTATTAATCCTTTCTTTCCATTGCATTGATCCACTTCTTACCTATTATTTATGCTTACACTATCCCCATTGCTAGGATATAATATCACCAAGAGCAAAGCACATCTCCTATATCTCTGAATTCTCCACCACACAGTCAAAAGGTGCAGTAACTTACTATGTCAGCAGATGCTCAACAAAAAAATACTTAAAAATCATTACTTAACGCATTACATTAAAAACAAACAAACAAACAAAAAACACTGAGATCTCCATGTGAGTAAAGTTTAGTTTAGGAAACCATAAAAACCTTGTTAATTGAGCCTCTGGCAATAGTTTTTTTAATGCTATAATAAATTATGGAATTTAAAATCAGTTTGTCCTTTTCATTCTTACCTAGCTCCTGAGGAGCCAATATTTGCATTATTTGTTGTTACTGTTGTTAAATTTTAATACATCTAATTTAGTCTCAACTTCTACTAAAAATTGAATCTAAAAATAAGTTAAATTTCCTTAGAGATGATGGAAGACACTGATGTCAAACAGGCCTGTGAAGAGTCTGAATAAATGTTCTTCATGAAATGTGAGAATGGGAAAAAAAGAAATTTTTAAAAATAGCTTATTTTCTATACATGTGATTCTGCATATGTGTTTTAAATTAAATTAAAAATTATAAGAAAAAAGTGACAATAAGTTAAACCTACCAGCTGTCCTGCTTTGTATATCTTTCCATCCCATTCTATTGCTGCATATGTTGCCCAGGGACCTTGCTTTTTAGAAGGAAGATCAGGACGTGTAATTACTCCCTTAAAAAGTGTAAATTTTATTTGTTTATCATACTTCTCATGACAGTCCTTCAGCCACAAAGCAAATTCTCTGTCAATTTTCATTCGCTGTTCCTGTAGAATTTTAAAATGTTTTATGAAATATAGCTACTAGCAAACAAATATAACCATAAACATTTGTCATTCATTTTATTTTTTTCCTTTCATATACTCCAATTCAGAAAACCTAATAAAAAATTAAATATTCTGCTGGATCCTTCCTCTGTACACATTTAGGATATTTCAAACAAATGCATTACCAAAGAAGAAAAATTTGATATTATTCTTAGAACCAAGGTATCCCTGGTCAATATCAACAATAAAACCTTCCTTTCCGCCTTTAATTCCTAGGATACACTAAAAACTGATGAACCCTTACTGCCTGGGAGGAGAACTAGCTAGCTCCACAAAAGGGATGAGTGGAGGCCTTCTAACTGTAAACCACATTCTCAATGGGACGATAAAAATCTCATTGTGTATCAAGTACTTTATAAACGTGAATACAATATACAAACAGATAGATGGTAAATCTGCAGTAGTAAAATTTCATTGGGGAAAACAATTGAGAAAAAGATGCCAAGAAAGACTCCTTATGAGGGTGATAACGAAAAAAGGTTGAGAAACACTGCTATGCAAAATGTACTTTTCTTTTTAATTTTCTCTTTTATATATAGAGCCTATCCAAAAAATAAACTCATAAAACTGAAGTGTTTTCTAATAATACTTAAGAAGATGTGTTTTTGCCAACCATTCTTCACCCTGTTGGGAGAGAATACAGAAATCTGTATTCAAGCATAAGGTGCTATACACTTGTTTGATGCCTGCCTCTAGGGCAATGAGGAGGTAAGACAATCTCCCCATTACATGCTTTCGCAGAGGACAGTCTGTAAAGTTACAGAACTCCATTCCTTCTTACGTACCTTATACCATAATATACCATTTCCAAAGGAAAGTAAGGCAAAATTAAAAATAATTTCAGCCTAAGTTTTTGATGCTTGCTGTCAAGAAGGATACTATCTTAGTTATTAATAAATTTGATTTTTTTAAAGTTATATGAATGAAAAAGGAAATATATATACATGGTAAAGACTCACAGGTCCAATATGGTATACAGTTTCTGGGAAATTGCTGCCACACTTACTCCTATAACTAGGTACCAACTCTTTCCCAAATCAGCAAATCATTGTTGTCAGTTTGCCAGCTGACATGGAGATTAAATTAGTAACTAGGAACCAGAAAGTCTGACAACCAAAATGTTAAACTACCCTTCTAAAACTCTCAGGATGGATTCACTATCAACCAAACAAATTACCAAATGCATTAATTCCAGACACTCAGTAACAGTCAAAGTACAATTCAGAAGGCATGTCAAGGTGACAGGTAACCTAGGGGAAAAGTATGCAGATATTCACTTTATAATATTCTTTCAACTTTTCTGTGTATTTGAACATTTCCTTCTTTTTTTTTTTTTTTTAAATACAGAAGGTGTCTCACTGTATTGCACACGCTGGTCTTGAACTCCTGGCCTCAAGCCATCCTCCTGCCTCAGCCTCTCAAGTAGCCAAGATTACAGGTGTGAACCATTATGCGCAGCTTGAATGTTTCAAAATTAGAAAATATATATTTTAAAAGTACAGTGTAACAAAGGAATAGAATTAACTTATTCTGGATAGCTTTTGAAAACACCCACTGCTCAATAAATGTTGGATAACTAACACCATATTATAAATGAATTCTAAGTGTATTATAAAGGAGTAGTAACTCATTTTGATAAGGTCTTTCTCGGTGTATAATTCTTAAAAGTGTCCTAATCTTCTATGATTCACAAGCTTTATAAGAGCAAAATTAATTTCAACATCTTACAGGACTGACTGACTACAAATACTATGTACTATGCACTGTATTTATTGCCCAGCAATAAATTGATAATAAAATCATCTATTTCTTGGCAATTCAACATTAAACTACTGAAAGAGTAGTATCAAAAGTCTCTGAGGTCTGTTCACAGAATACAAGTACACTAGTATACTAGTTTCACTCAACTTTGTAACAAATTTCAAAGTGAAATCATTCTTGTTGTATTAATCAATACATGTATTTTAATACTGATCAATCTCAAATCACCTTTTAGCTCAAAGTACTTCACAGTTTTACCCCATTTTTACCCTCAAGACTAGCTAAAAATTGCACAACTAGGTTATTAATATACAAATATAGCCCTTAAAGCAAATACAATTGTTCATACATGTTCTCATTAAGATGCTTCTGTGGCTTCTACTATGTCAAGGGCTAGATATTAAGATCTTGGCTGGGTGCGATGGCTCATGCCTGTAATCCCAACATTTTGGGAGACCAAGGCAAGTCGATCACCTGAGGTCAGGAGTTCGAGACCAGCCAGGCCAACATGGTGAAACCCCATCTCTACTAAAAATACAAAAATTAGCCAGGCGTGGTGGCACGCACCTGTAGTCCCAGTTATTTGGGAGGCTGAGGCGGGAGAATAGCTTGAACCTGGGAGGCAGAGGTTGCAGTGAGCTGAGATTGAGCCACTGCAATCCAGCCTGGGAAACAGAGTGAAACTCCTGTCTTAAAAAAAAAAAAACAAAAAAAACTAATGAAGATATGTAAATTCTATCCAAACCTAGTCTTTACTAGGTAGGTTTAGTCATTACTAAAAAATTAGCTTTAAATTTTTTAGTAATGTGAACACTTGACTGCTCATAAAAAAATTTATACATCATAGTCTTTTGATGCAAAATATCAATAAAAACCTACACTGCTAGTGTCTTCTTTTACTTAAAAATAAAACATTTGCAAATATTCACAACTTTATATTTAAAAATCATACCTGTCCATTTAAAATCCTTGTAAAAAGGGTGTTCTTATCTTTCAATTTTAGCTCAAGATCCATAAACGTCAATTTATTTGTGCTGACCTGGAATTTGTCATTAGTGAATAATGCACCAGATATCCTATTGTAGCATTCAATTGGTGCAAGCCCTCTCTTCTTAGGAGGAGTACACCAGTCAAAGCTTGAACAGAACAAAATGTTAGTTAGTAAAAGAATTAAGTTGTAAAAACATAATTTCAGCAAAAATCAAACTTACTCTTCAACTGATGTATATGGTATTAATCGTCCATTCCAAAAACATTCAAAAATAGGCCTTTTCCCTCTAGCTGCTTTCTCAAGTATGAAACAATCATCTTCATCATCTTCATCTTTTAATTCTAGATCAAAAGGGCAAATGGAACAAAATGTTTATTGCTAAAATGTGAGAAATAATGAAACAAACACATAAATGTTTCAAATTGCATTCTATAAAACCTAAAGGTAGTTTTATACTGTTTGCCCACAAAAAGGTAGGTTTACAAAGTGGTTCCACATTACGAATGCTGTCTGTCATTTAGAAGTCAATAATTACTTATATATGAACCAATGTACTAGCTGCTGGGCCTGTCATCTTTAAAACCTATTCATGAGGCTAAAAGAGTCTTACATCCAAAAAGATTATCCCCTATAACAAAATCCCTCCTTCCTACAAATATAGGAGCTTAAATCCCGTATCTAAAACAGTTTCACAATTTTATCAGAACTAGTATGTTCACATGAAAGTCATCTGAGAAATCTATGACATCTAATAGCAGCGAGTTTACCTAGTTTGAACAAATTAGTGAATGATGCTAAAATTAAGTTTACTTTTTAGAAATTATTTTCAGATTCAAGTAAGCATGAAAAATGTACACAGAACTGTAAGACATGTTACTATGCATCAAGAGCATTAATTTGCACAATTGTCTATAATCTTATGTTTATTAGCAACACACTCTCGTGTATCCAGATAAATTAGGATTAAACAATGTGATCCTGACATATTAACACCTCAGCTACCCTGGAATTAGTTTACCCACCTAAAACAAAACCTTCTCCCTAAAAGCCCTCACAAGAAGTCCCTTATATAAAAGCTGCTTTCAATCAAACAAAATCACTTTGCTCTTAGAGGAGAATCCCTCTGATTGATCACTCAACTTACTTGCTCTTCTTTTTAAGGCAGCATTTGAAAAAAATTATATCTTTTTGTCTATTAGCACACAAAAATTGGAAACAGCAAATTTAAGAGGTCAGAGATGGCCAGGCACAGGGGCTTACGCCTGTAATCCTAGCACTTTGGGAAGCTGAGGTGGGAGGATTACCTGAGCTCAGAAGTTTGAGACTACCCTTGGCAACATGACAAAACCTTGTCTCTAATAAAATACAAAAAATTAGCCTGGCATGGTGGTGGGCACCTGTAGTCCCAGTTACTCAGGAGGCTGATCCATGAGAATTGCTTGAACCTGGGAGGCAGAGACTGCAGTGAGCCTACATTGTGTCACTGCACTCCAGCGTGTGTGGCAACGCAAGACTTTTGTCTCCAAAAAATAAAAAACAAAACCAAAAAGGCCAGTGGAGCCACTGAGTAACAATATGTACTGGGCAGGAGCACTTAATAAATAGTGTTGAGCACTATTCTGAGAAGTTGCCCCAGTTTTTAAATTTGATCTTCACAACACCCCTATGAGGTGTGAACTACCCATTTCCCAGGTAAGGAAACTAAGGCAGGGAGTAGTTTGTCCAACAGAAAGTGGCAAAGATGGGATTCGAATCAGGATCTCTGGTTGCAGGCCCTAGAAAACCAAGAATGTACTAAGGAAGTATTCTGAATGAAAAAGTTTAATATTGTTAACCTATAAATTCAATGCAATCCCAATAATCTCACTAGAATTACTTCAAGTGAATGTACAAAGCTGATTCCAAAATTATCTAGAAGAGCAAAAGTATTCTCAAAAAGGAACAATAGTGAAAATGTTTTTTCCCAAAGATACCAAATTACAAGATAAAGCTACAAGACAGTATCATTACTCATATTAAAAAAAAATAAAATAGTACTTTATAGTAAAGAATCTAGACCTATGTACTTATGGGAACTTTGTATTATACAAGTTCTAACTCTTGGGTAAATTATAACATTCAATAACTGGTGCTAAGAAACTGAATATGAATACCACATAGAAAATAATTGTTAAATCCCTATCTCTCTACTGGGGGGGGAAAAAAAGGTGGGGGCCAGGTGTGGTGGCTCACACCTGTAATCCTAGTACTTTGGGAGGCCAAGGCAGGAGGATTGTTTCAGGCCAGGATCTTAAGACCAGCCTGGGCAACACGGCAAGACCCCATCACTCAAAAATTTAAATAAATAAATAAAACCCCACCTTGCTCTACATACAAAAAAGAAAAACACAGATGCATTGACCATAAAATGACAACAAAAACAAAAAAGCTACAGATTTATATAATTTTGAGATGTAAAAAGCCTTTCTACAGTAAGACAAAATCAGAAAGCATAAAGAAAAAGTTAGTAAATATGACTGCATAAAGTGTAAAACTGCAACAAGGATAAAGAGAAGACAAGGGAACATATAAAGGATTAATACGCATACATATCTAAAAGTTTGGTTTCGTAACAGAACTAAAAGAAGAGTTCATTAAAGATTTATTCATCTAGAAATGAATGTACACAAAAATCAGGAATTACAAAAATTACAAATACCTAACAATCTAAGACTTGCATAAGAAAAAATTTAATATTTATCTAACCTGAATAACCCAACCGATAATCATTTAGAAAAACAAATCACTGTCCTAAATTACAACTTCATATTTTATAACTAAGATAACAGATTAACATACTTGATGGAAAGCATGGATCATCAGGGTAAGTTTCTCTATCATATAAGAATGGATGATAACGGATAATCCCTTCCACTACACCATCTCCTTCAACATGAGCTTTGAATTCAAAACTATCAGCTGCTGTGTTTACATACAACGTCTGCATGTCGTCTTGTATTTCCCTTAGGTTGACAATCTTAGGTACCTTCCCTTTTTCAAACATAGAAATCTAAAATAAAAAGGAAACAAAAATAATTAAATTCTATGGTAACTTTACTTTTGTTCTCAGCTATGATTCAACAACAGAATAAGTAAAAATTATGTTTATTTGTACAAGTAACAATCTGGCTTAATGAAATACATATATTTACATATGAGTTAAACAGCTTTAAGTAGCATCTCAATAAGGAACATACTACTAAAAAATATAAAGTAAGCAAAGAAACAGCAAATCAGAGCTGAAGGACAGAAAAGTCATGAGTACATTTAATTCGAGGTTTCTTGCTAGAGGTAGGAAGTGGGACAACATCGTATGTGAAATTCTAACGTGTGGGTTAGAGGATTGAGAATCCAATACTCAAATGCTCTGTGCTGCTAAACCTTGTCACCACGATATAACTTCTACAAACAAAAGGAAAGCTACATTATCTCCCTTTTCCTCCATGCTTCAAGAGATGATTGATGTTCAGTAACAATGCATAGCTCCACAGAAGAGAGACAAAAAAAGATAAACCAAGCCTACAGTAAATAAAGGTTTGAGAAAAATACATCTAGGAATAATCTCTTTAGTTGGATATCAAACAATGAAAGTAGTTTGGTAAAAAACAAGGAGAGAGAAGTTGTCTAATTATCAAGTGTTTTTTATTATCCTGAGTCATTTGGAACTGGAACAAATATCTCATAATTTTTATTATTTTAAGATGGATTTTTCTCTTACTTCAATATCAATATTGTTGAAAGGTTCAACTTCTTTTGATGTTCGTATTTCATTTCCTTTTGGGCCATGAATATAGTAGTGATAAATATGCCTAAAATAGAGAAGAATAATTTTATACTTTTAATTCACATAAAATTATAGTTAATGTAATCTTCTATCAAAATATTTTAACACTATTTACTAGGTATCAAGCACTTTATTAAGCATTTTAAAATACATATTCCATTTAATGGTAAAAACAATTGAGATGCAGGTATTACTGCATCTCATTTTACAGATATAGAACCTGGGGTGCAAGAAGTGTATGTAAGTTATCTGACATCACAGAATAGAGTTAGGGAGCCGTGGGCTTCAACCCAGACCTTTCCAACTTCAAAGACCACATACACCACTTCCAAGAGGAATAATTCATCAAATAAATATAAACTAGACAGCAAGAGTCTATAATTCTACTTACCAGGTACGTTCCAGAAAGGACTCAATTATCGGTGGTAAACTGGATTAGGTATCTAATCTCAATAAGAGAATACCATTCCAGAACAGCAGTCCCCAACCTTTTTGGCACCAAAACCAGTTTCATGGAAGACAATTTTTCCAGAGATGGGAGTTGAAGGGGGGTGATTTGGGATGAAAATGTTCCACCTCAGATCGACAAGCACTAGAGTCTCATAAGGAGCACGCAATATCTCACATGCACAGTTCACATTAGGGTTCGTGCTCCTATGAGAAATCTAGTGCTGCCAGTGATCTGACAGGAGGCGGAGCCAGGTGGTAATGCTCACTCGGGCCCACCACTCACTGTGGGGCCGGGTTCCTAAAAGGCCACAGATGGGTACCAGTTCACGACCGGGGCGTTGGGGACCCCTGTTCTAGAACATTCATCTCTCCTCTCCTATAGCACTGAGACAATCTTACCCTAAGATTCCAAAAACAAAACTAGTAAGTTTGACACCATCTCACTGAAAACCAACATTTTGGAAATAACACCTCTTTATTTTTTCAGAAAAGGTTAAAAAAGATTATATTTTGGTAACATTGTTCAGGATTATAAAATACCACGTCTTTATTCGTGAAATAGAAATTTGCAATATTTCTTCATAATCCTTCATTAGAGCAAGAGTATATTTAAATTATGTGTTAATGTACACTGAGTTCCTTCAATAAACTATAAAATAGCTAATAAAATATGTACTTGAAGAAAACTGCAAAGTCCTACTTAAATACCTTGGGTAACAGGGATAATAAACAACTTCAACAAGAAAAAAGGTATTCCTAAAACCAAATTTATTTTCCCATAAAAAAATTTTAAAATTCTCTTAGCGTATAATTACGTATAAAATTGAGACTCTCAAGAACAATAGCCTTTTGGGTAAATGTAAAAAGATACATTTTTAAAATATGAATTTTGAGCAGATGTACCCATTTTGCAAGTCTCAGTAATTCATACTAATGCAAATTAGGGAAACAATACAGTAAATCGTATGTATCACATAGCTATAAAAAAAAAATTTTAGGCCGGGCGCGATGGCTCACGCCTGTAATCCCAGTACTTTGGGAGGCTGAGGTGGGTGGATCACCTGAGGTCAGGAGTTCAAGACCAGCCTGGCCAACACGGCAAAAACCTGTCTCTACTAAAAATACAAAAATTAGTTGAGTGTGGTGGCACGCGCCTGTAATCCCAGCTACTCGGGAGGCTGAGGCAGGAGAATCACTTGAACCCAGGAGGTGGTGGTTGCAGTGAGCCAAGAGTGCGCCATTGCACTCCAGCCTGGGCAACAAGAGTGAAACTCCGTCTCAAAAAAAAAAAAAAAAATTTTTTTTTAGAGCCATTAAATAACTATTCCTCTGATTTGGTCTAATGGAATATAGAGTCCCTACAAGTGTTACTGGAATAAAAACACAATGATTATTTTCAGTACTAATGTCATATAGGCACATATGTACGTATATTTTTTATTTTAATAGGCTTGATGCATTCATTCACTTGATAAACATTTGAGCATCTACCATGTAGCAAGTATTCTTCTAGAAGACATTGGAGATACAGCAGTGAATTTAACAACAAAAATAAATATATATGGTATGGAAGATTACGACAGGTCCTATGGAAAAGAAGCACAAAACGGGGTCATGGAAGTGATATAGTGCTCAATCTGACAAACTGTGAAGTTCTTTTTTAATTTTATAATATTGTCAAAATCCTGTGCCTCAAATAATGCTCAGTACACTAGAGGTGATCTATAAATATTTACAGAATAAATGAATAGAGAGCTGTTTTAACACCAATATCAGAGTACTGGATAATACTAAAGGGAAGAAAATGAGACAGGAGCAAAACGGATACCAAAGAGGCTTCAATATATCTGTAATGTTTTCTGCCTTAAAAAAGTTAAGTAGCAACATTTCCTAAGCCAAATATAATTACTTACGCTAACTGTCGTGTCCAAAGGTGGAAATAATTTTTCAAGTACTGTATGTGTTCTGGTTGTACCCCTGTGATAACCACAGCAGTAAAGCTATCTTTTTCCTTCTCCTCTATGATAAGATGATGTAGAAATCTTTCATCATCATTTGTAATGTGAACAGAATCAGAGGGCTACAAGAGTGAACAGAAATACAACAGATTAAATCATCTAAATTATAATTATACAAATAGCTATTGCATCAAATTTTAATGTGATTTACTTGGAGTTTCACAAATAGGTTTCAGAAAAGCTTTGGAGGAAACTGGCCCAATACAACAAACTGGCTGAGTATGTGACAACACTGTGAAGACAAGGGAACTTTCACACAGACTGCTAAACTAGCATGCATAAAGAGCACCCTATCTTATAATGCTAAACCGATTTTAGAATCATAAACGAAAAGGTAAAGACAAATACTGAGTTTTAAAATGCCTTAAAAAATTGAGGACACTTACCCCTAGGGTAGAATGAACGCTTGCTTGGGAGACCTACCACTTAACTTGGTCAGGACCAATGCCCAGCCCTCCATGTTCAAGAAAACTACAGGGCAGGCTGGACCCAGCTAGCTAAGCCCAAACACATAGTGCTTAAAAGTAAAATCATCCTGGACACCAACCCACTTTCAGAGAATATCTAAAACTTATGGAAGGGAGTTAGTAGGGGAATTTGAGGATAAAATTACAAACTTCTCCATCTGTAGTATGAATCTATGTTTTAAAAAATTGCAGGCCGGGCGTGGTAGCTCACTCCCGTAATCCCAGCACTTTGGGAGGTTGAGGCGGGCAGATCACCTGAGGTCAGGAGTTTAAGATCAGCCTGGCCAACAAGCCGAAACCCCATCTCTACTTAAAATACAAAAGTAGCCAGGCGTGGTGGTACACGCCTATAAACCCAGCTACTAGGGAGGCTGAGGCAGGAGAATCGCTTGAGCCCGGGAGGCTGAGGTTGCAGTGAGCCAAGATCGCGCCACTGCACTCCAGCCTGGGCAACAAGCATGTCTCAAAAAACAAACAAACAAACAAACAAACAAACAAAAAACATGGTATGCACGCATGCGCGTTTGTGTGTGTATTCATATACAGTCATATGTCACATAACATTTTTGTCAACAATTGACTGCAGTGGTCCCATAAGATGATACAGTATTGTAAAATTAGTGTACCTTTTCTATGTTTAGCTACACAAATATTTACCATTCTGTTACAACTGCCTGGGGTAACAAGCTGTACAAATTTGTAGACTAGGAGCAGTACCCTATACCATATAGCCTAGGTGTGTAGCAGGCTATGCCATCTAAGTTTGTATAAGTACACTCTATGATGTTCACATAGCAACAAAATAACCTAATGACACATTTCTCAGAATGCATCCCTGTCCTTAAGTGATAGGAGACTATATCTACTGTGTATGTTGCTATATACATTATAAAACTGTGGAAATAAAAACAGACTAAACTATTCTATCTAGGAAATCAAGTTGATTTTTAAAAATAAGTATGTATGATTACTTGCTTAATTAAAAAGTGTTACAGCTCTTTCAGAATTTGTCTATCAAATTCTAAAATTTCTGATTTAAAAAACAATAAATCCTTAAGACCATACCCCTTCAAAACCATTATAATGCATCTCTATACACTAATTGCTAATATCACAGCTACAATATATACAAGTAACATTTCATATACTTTGAGTCAGGAGATTAGTCTGAATTTACTAACGATGCAAATTCATTATCCAAATATTTATCAAGCATCTTCTGTAAGTCCTATGCCTCAACTTGGGCCTGAGAAAGATAGGTTCAAGATAAATAAGACAGTGCCTTTGTGCTCTACAAATTCCATCTGGTAGGAGATGAAAAAACAAATGATTACAAAACAATATGCTATTATGTATGAAGATATGAACCAAGAGCTACAGAGGTAAAACGAGGGTGACAGTCACCCAGCAGATGACTGAATAATAACATTCCAGACAAATGAGAACATGAATTCAAGAGCATAAAGGAAACAAGGTAGTTTTAGGACATACGATAAACATGATAAAAGATGAAGCGGGATGGCTGAATTAGAGCAGTGGAAAGTGGGTGGAAGAGAGGATAGATGAAAGAAAATAATATAAAAGACAAAATTAAATGTGCTGAATGATTAACAAAAAGGATTACCAACTTTAACTGCATGGCTAGTGGATGCCAGTAATTGTAAAGGGTAGTTGAGAGGAAGACAGGAGAAGGAGAGAATAAGAAAGGTTTACGGATAATATTTGATCTCTTTCTTTTAAGAGACATGGTCTCTCAATGTTGCCCAGCTGGTCTTGAACTCCTGGGCTCAAGAGATTCTCCCTCCGCAGCCTCCCAAACTGCTAGGATTACAGGCATGAGCCACTGTGCCCAGCCAATATTTGACTTCAAAGGTACCAAAAGTGAGTTACTCCTCGAACACCTAAGAAAGAACATCTAATTGAACCTGGAAATGAGTGTACTGGATATGATCAGTTGGTATTCATCACCCATTCCTACCACCTTTTACTGTACTCTCTTGGGCTGCAGAGGTTGGAAGGCAAAAAAATACTGTTTGGATTGTGGATGCAAATTAGTTTTCACCAATTAGATGTACCAGCCAAAATGTGGATGCCAAAAATGAAGCAGAGGCTATTTCCTGAAGTTTTTTAAAAGTTTTGTGTTATCACACAAGGCACTGAAAGATCAGTAACCAGGTTTCAGGTTTAAAGTGTCAAAAGGCCACTGCAGCCCTAGTTATGGCCAGAAACTCTGTTTTCCAGTTTTGGAGCAATTGTGGCAGTGAGATCATTCCAACTCGTGGATCACAGATACAGCAGCGAGTTCCTGAATCCCAGACCCAGTGGTGGTCCTCTAACTGAATGATTATAGCAAATGTTGCAGCATCCCTCCAGGATAACTTCAGATTCCTGGCATCATTCTAGAAGGCTTAGCCCATAATTCATTCCTTTGGCCCTTCCAATAATCAGGTAAGCATCTAATTCCCTCTATTAAATATTTTCTGTTAAAAGGCCCAGGATGGTCTGTTTCCTTTACTGAAGCTAGCATGATTCAGTGTCTCAGTATTGAGAAAAGTTTTCACACGAAACACAGATTTGAGAGCTTTTGACATAAGTAGCAAATAACACATCTTTAGAAAAGGTAAGACTGTTGACTATAGAACAAGAACCACCAATTCCACCCACATTCTGAAAACTGCTCACAGATCAGAGATAGAAGTCCAACAAAAATAGGCTGGAAAAGACTAGTCAGAAAAGGAAACAGACCAGGTACTTGTTGGTACCCAAGAAATGTTTGTTGGGAAGAACTAAGCACAAAACACAGAAAAGGCTGGCAGAAAAATGGTGCTCCAAGAGACACAGTTGTATACAAGCTTTGTAATATGCACACAGTTTTGAAAACCACCTAAATTCTCAATTCCTATTTTTCACCAGTTTTATCATGGCAAGTAATATTTCCACCATTATATTTTATAGGGCTCTGTGGTGGTTAAGACAAGATGGAATACTGTTATGTAAAAATATCAAAATATGCAATTTGTTAAGTAAATGAAACAAAGAAAAGAAAGTAATGTCCTGCACAAAGGGTATATTAAGTTATCGAGAAAATAAAAGTGGATAATAAAATGGAAAAAAAAAATCCAACCCATCAACTAATGAAAGAAAAGGTTTTTTTTTTTTTTTTCAATTATCAAATGGCCAACATTTTGCTGCCCTCTCCCCTTCTCATTCTTTTGAAAAATAAATGATCAGAAATGTGCTTCCATACAGTTGTTGGAAGTGTATGTGACTTTGGGTTTAACCTTTCTGACAAGCAGTTTTGAAATACATGCCATGAACATTTAAAAAGTTCAAATTCAGGCTGGGCGTGGTGGCTCACACCTGTAATCCTAGCACTTTGGGAGGCCGAGGTGGGCGGACTGCCTGAGGTCAGGAGTTTGAGACCAGTCTGGCCAACATGGTGAAACTCCATCTCCACTAAAAAAAAAAAAAAAAAGAAAAAAATTAGCCAGGTGTGGTGGCATGTGCCTGTAATCCCAGCTACTCAGGAGGCTGAAGCAGGGGAATTGCTTCAACCAGGGAGGCAGAGGTTGCAGTGAGCTGAGATCATGCCACTGCACTCCAGCCTGGGCAAGAGAGTGAGACTCTGTCTCAAAAAAAAAGTTCAAATTCATTACCACAGCTATTAAAATTATAACAATCTAACCTAAGAAAAAAATCTGTAATTCAGGTAAGATGTTATGCAAAGATACTCATCGCAATGTCTTTACAATTACTGTAAAATCCTTTAAATAAGCCAAATGCTCAACAGAATCATGAAATTATGTTACATTCATTGAAGGAAATGTTATAAAGCTACTAAAAACCATTGTGTATCAAAATATTTTATAATGGGGAAATACTCAACATGTTAATTTTTTAAATGTGGGATCAAAACTATTAAGTATATATTTTAAAAAGCTGAATTAGAAGGAAATTCACCAAAATGTTTCAGTAGGCTTCTCTAGGACTTGGGAGTATTTTTATCTTCCTTAGGCTTTTCTATAAAGTTTCCTACAAGTTGTTTTAGAATCAGAAAGCCAAATTTTTAAAAGTTCAAAATTACCTTTTAAAAATTTTTTATTGTTTTTGAGACAGTCTTGCTCTATCGCCCAAATTGGAATGTAGTGGCATGATCATAGCTCACTTGCAGCTGGGCTCAAGTGATCCTCCCACCTCAGCCTGCTGAGCTGCTGGGACTACAGGCGCACACCACCACACCCGGCTTTTTTTTTTTTTTTTTTTTTTTTTAGTAGAGACAAGGTCTCCTATGTTACAGAGGCTGGTCTTAAACTCCTGAGTTCAAGCAATCCTCCCACCTCAGCTTCCCAAAGTACTGGTATTACAGGACTGAGCCACCATGCCCAGCCCAAAATCACTTTAAAATAAATATTTTCCCGTAATCCCAACACTTTGGGAGGCCAAGGTTGGAAGACTGCCTGAGTCCAGGAGTTCGAGGCTGCTGTGAACTGTGATAGCACCACTACACTCTAGTCCAGAGGGACAGAGTGAGACCCCATCTCTTAAAATAGTAAGTAAACTAACTTATATATTAAAGATTTTAGATTAAAAATCATGTTTCAGGCTGGGCGCGGTGGCTCACGTCTGTAATCCTAGCACTTTGGGAGGTTGAGGCAGGCGGATCACTTGAGGTCAGGAGTTCAAAACCAGCCTGGCCAACATGGTGAAACACTGTCTCTACCAAAACTACAAAAAAAATTAGCAGGGCATGGTGGCAGGCACCTGTAATCCCAGCTACTCGAGAGGCTGAGGCAGGAGAATATCTTGAACCTGGGAGGTGGAGGTTGCAGCGAGCTGAGGTTGCGCCACTGCACTCCAGCCCAGGAGACAGAGTGAGACTCCATCTCAAAAAAAAAAAAAAAGAAAAAAAATCATGTTTCAAACAAAGAAGAGTTGAAGGAATATACAATAAATATACCATTTACTTGCCACCAAGATTCAAATTTGTTAACATTTTGTCTTATGAACACAAGAATTTCAATGCAAACTTGTAAGAGCAATCTCTCATTTATTTCTCTAGAGGTCCAATTTCCTGAAAGTCCATTACCCTGTTACTGTTTTTCTACTCTATAATTTTATTATACAACAAAGATTTTAAAACCCAAATTCAGACCAGGGAAAAAAGCTTACAATCCTACAAGCAATTTACAGAAAGCTTAGTAAGCTTTATGAGACAACTTGTCTGAAGATTTTTGGCTTGAGAAAGCCCATTTTTGTTATTATGACTAAAGGAAAGGGTAACTCATTTTGAAAATTTCATACTTTCAAGTTAAGTTCTGTCCCACCGTCTATCCAAAGGAGTAAATTTATAATTATGAGTTAAAATGTATTGTACCTTTCTGTTTCTAATATATCCACTATATATTGCCTCTTTATTTTTCTCCTTCTTCTCAAAATCTTCTTTAGAAAGCACAAGCTCGTGAACATCTTGGGAATCTGCAGGTTTGCTTATCATCTGTTAAATATTAAAAAGAGTACTTTTTAAATTCCTAATAAACTGGTTAATGCATTTAGACAGAGTCAACTTCAAAATATTTTGATCAACTTTCATTTATAAGAAATCTTTTTACTTACTCTGGCTGATTGTCCAACAAAGAAGACAGCTTGCTTGCCCCCAACACCAAAATAGGAAATATCACTATTTAAACTGCGTGGCACTGGTACTGGACGAACATATCCTGAATGATCACTAAAATAAAACATTAATGCAGTGATTTTAAACAAGCTAGTTAAGTGTCAAAAGAAACTTTCATTGCACTTGTATTCAGTGTTAATAAAATGATCACGCCTGCAAACACCCCTAACTGAAAGGTGAAATAATCAGTGTCAAGACATCTACTCCAGTGCATCTCAAAGTGTAGTCCCCAGGCCAGATGCATCAGCTTTAGCTGAAAACTTTTAAGAAATGCAAACTCTTGGGCTCAATCCTACTAAATCAGAAAATCTCTCAGCAAACAGGACTAAATAAGTATTTTTATTATCCTCATGCCTCTAAAACTTTCCTTCAAAACTGTTTGCTACTTCAAAACTTGCTAAAATATTGTCTGAAGAATAATGGTAATTAGAGCAAAGGAGAGTCTCACTTCCATATATCATGATAAATGAAGAGCTCTGAGGGAACAGTGCACCATAACAATATTCTGAAGAAGAGGCATCACTGGTCTTTCAAAATGTAGGCAAAGTCTCCGGGGACATCATCCCCCATTATCAGAAATAAACAGAATGAAGGTGAGGCTGGAACCACTATTAAACTCAATGGAAAGATTAAAGAGCAGGTGTGACATAGCTGGAGAGAATTAGAGAACAGAAAGATGCAAAGAACGTAACCACAGGAAACAAAGAAAGAAAAGAAAACTGAAAATATCAAAGTGGCGTTAAAAGACATAAATGACCAAAGGAAAATATCTGGCACAAGATTAAATGCAGCTCTAGAAAGAGAAGGGACAGAGAATGGAAAATAGCTGTAAATATTCTTGAACCAATAAAAGACATGGCTTCACAGATCCAGGAAAACCAAAAGAGCCCAAACAAGATACATAAAAAGAAATCAACATCACTGTAAACACCAAAAACCAAACAGAAGAACTAGAAAATAGACTAAGAGATAAGACAGGACAAAACAGATGAGCAGGCTTTGACAGCAACAGTAAAAGACAGAGAGGAATATTATCTCTATAGTGCCTGAAAAAAATCTGTTAACCTAAAATTGTCAACTAGAGAAAAATAAACAATTTATAGATAAAAACCAAAGTAATTTACCACCAGAAGACTTGTTCTAAAGAAATGTTCCTACAAGCACAATCTAACATACAAGAGGTCACCATAATACAACACATACAAAAGTAATTTTTTTAAGGACTACATATGAGACATTTACTGGTGTGGTGAAAAACTGGTGTGTGCATATTGTTGAATTTCTAAAAAGTCACACTTTAAATACCTTCAATAACAAAAGTGTCATTTCAGGAAGGGAGTGACCAAAGCTAATGAAGTCCTTAAGTTGGGGGAAGGAAAATATTTTAAATCCTGAAATCTAAAGTTAAATATGCATGTTAAAACTTCAAAGAAGATCAGAGAAGATATAAAGTCTAAAATATTAAAAAGAAAAAGATGGAGCAAGAAAACAAAACAGCAGAAGACAATAAATTTAAGAGAAAACAGAAGAAACAGAAACAGAAAGAATGGGATAAACAAAAACATTTTAATTGGTATAAAAAGTCCTATCCTCATATATAAATAATCAAAATAAAGACAACATTGACCAGGTAGGACACTGTAATACCAGAGATACAAAACAACAAAAGCACCCAAAAAAGTATCCCCTCACAATACCCTCCCAACATCTACAATCACATCCCCACACAACATACACAAACTGTCGACACAAAATAACACACAGAAAATGCCTCCCCACACAAGTTTGCATTTATACAAAACACCTCACACAATACACAAACACACAACTACTTTCAACAGAAACACACACCACAATGCTACAAAGCATACACACTGATGATTTAAAAAAAAAATCTTAAAACAAGTCAGAGAAAAACAGACTATATGTTTTGAGATACAAAGATAAGACTGACAACAGATTTCTCCTTATAAACGATGCAAGCTGGTAGAAAATTGAGTGACATATTTAACATACAGGTTTGAGTGCCCCTTATCCAAAATGCTTCGGACCAAAAGTATTTCAGATTTCTGATTTCTTTTCCAATTTTGGAATAGATGCATTATACTTACCACCTGAGCATCCCAAGTCTGAAAATGCAACATCTGAAATGTTCCAGCAGCATTTCCTTAAGTGTCACATTGGTGCTCAAAAAATTTTGGATTCTGGAGCATTTCAGATTTTGTATTTTTGAATTTGAGATGCTCAACTTGTACTTAAATTTTTTGAAAGTCAAGCTCAAACAGATGCTCAGCAAAACTATCTTTGGGGTTTGGGGGGAAGAGAGAGAGCCTATCAGACATACAAAATCTGAAAAAAATTCACCAAGAACAGACTCAAGTTATAAAAGAATGTTTAGAAAGAGCTTCAGAAAGGAAAACAATACTGGACAGATTTACACAAAGGAATGAATACAAGCTCTAGTAAATATGGTAAATATGTGGGTAAACATAAACTGGTTCAGGGACTCAGATTTTGCATGCAAATGTTCATAGCAGCATTATCAAAAGACAAAAGGTAGAAACAACTTGTGTCCATTAATCTATGAACTGATAGACAAAACGCAGTATGGTTGTACAGTGGAGAATTACTCAACCATAAAAAGGAATTAAATTCTGATACATGCTACAACATGGATGATCCTCGAAAATTATGCTAAGTGAAATAAGTCACACATGACAAATACTGTATAATGACAAATACTGTATAATTCCACTTAAATAAGGTACCTTGATTAGGTAAATTCATTGAAACAGAAAGTACAATAATGGTTACCAGGGGCTAAGAGTGGGAGCAACAGGGAGTTACTGTCTAATGGGTAAAGCTTCAATTTGGGGGTACAGGGTAAAAAAACTTTAGGAATACATAGTAATAATAGTTGTAAAAGACTGTGACTGTAATTAATGTCATGGAATTATATACTTTAAAATGGTTATAACTGCAAATTTTATGTTATTTATATCTTACCACAATTTTTTAAAAGAGAACTGCTTTAAAAAGGGACAGAATAGGCCAGGTGCGGTGGCTCACGCCTGTAATCCCAGCACTTTGGGAGGCCGAGGTGGGCGGATCACGAGGTCAGGAGATCAAGACCATCCTGGCTAACACGGAGAAACCCCATCTCTACTAAAAATACAAAAAATTAGCCGGGCGTGGTGGCGGGCGCCTGTAGTCCCAGCTACTCGGGAGGCTGAGGCCGGAGAATGGCGTGAACCCGGGAGGCAGAGTTTGCAGTGAGCCGAGATAGCACCACTGCAGTCCGGCCTGGGCAAAAGAACGAGACTCGTCTCAAAAAAAAAAAAAAAAGAAAAAAATAAGGGACAGAACAGAACAGTGTGCTGTTGGAAAACAGGGCAGACGTGTATAGTTTAGCAAGAAATGTCAGGAAGTTGAGAAGAAGCCTTTTTACATTAAGGAGAGAGGCAAATGAATATTTAAAGCTAAATAACAATACTGTACTTTGACATTTATGCCAAAGTAAAATGTACAAAAACAAAAGTACAAAGACCAAGATAGCATAAACGGAAGTATACTGTTGTGATGTATTTATATGCGAAGTGGTTTAGTATTACTTAATACAGACTGTGATAAATTAAAGATTTATACTATGAATCCTAGAGTTTCCAGTAAAGTAACAGCTATAGTTAATAAGCCAAAAAGGAAATAAAATGGAATCACACACACACACACACACACACACACACACACTGAATCTGCAATAAGGCAGGAAAAAAAAGAAAATGGGAACAAAAAATAGGCAGGAAAAATAAAAAATTAACAAAGATGGTAAACTTAAATCTAAACATATCAATAATCCAATTAAAAGCAACTGATCTAAACACTCCAATTAAAAGGCAGAGATTGTTAAATATTAAGACACAAATATCTATAGCGTAAAAGAAACCCTCTTTAAATATAAAGAGACAATAGGTTAAGAGGTTGGAAAAACATTTACCATTTTAACACTAATGAAAAGAAAGCTAGAATGAATATATTAACACCAGAGAAAGTCAATAAAAGATACCAGGAAATGAACAAAGAACAATTAAAACAAATAAATGGGTAAACAGATGATCACTCTTTGTATTATTACATTTAATTACATTATGGATGTAATAATATCCAGTATTATTTTCCTTTCTGGATAACGTAATAATATCCAGTATTGTTTTCCTTTCTGAAGATCTTTCTAAACATTCTTTTATAACTTGAGTCTGTTCTTGGTGAATTTTCTTCAGATTTTGTATGTCTGACAGGATCTCTCTCTTCCCCGCAAACTCCAAAGATAGTCTTGCTGAGCATCTAGTTTGAGCTTGACTTTCAAAAAATTTAAGTACAAGTTGAGCATCTCAAATTCAAAAATACAAAATCTGAAATGCTCATTATACATTTAATTACATTAAATGTAATAATACAAAGACGCTAAATGAAATTGTAAGTGTGGTTATAAAACATGAACCAACTATATGTTGTCTATAAGAAACCCATTTCATATATAATAATAAAGGTACATTAAAAGAAAATGGATGAAAAAAGATATAGCATGAAAACACAAATGAAAAGAAGCTGGGATGGCTACACTAACAGAAAAAGTACACTTCAAAGCAAAGAAAATAACCAGTGACAAAGAGCAACACTACATAATGAATAAAAGGGTTGGTCAACCAAGAAGGCACAGAAGGCATAACAATCCTTGGAGACTTCAATACCCCCTAGTTACTACCACACAGAAAATCCAGCAAGGATATAAAGAAATGAATAATATCATCAACCAGTAGAATCTAACTGACATTTTCAGAACACTTCTCCCAACAAGAGCAAAATACACCTTCTTTTCAAAGACACATAGAAAATTCATCTAGATAGATAACATCCTGGATCATAAAACGCAACAAATGTAAAACAGCTGAAATCACTTAAGAGTACATTCTCTAGCTATCACGAAATTACACTTGAAATCAATAGAAAGACAATAGGAAAATATGTTGGAACACTTATAAATTCACACACTTTTAAAACAATCCACAGGTTAAATACCAAGTTGCAAAGGAAAAAAGTAGACTAAACTGAATGAAACAGAAAATACAGTGTAACAAAACTTGTGAGATGCTGCAACTTATTTCCTAGAATTATGATTAACCAAAGTCTATGAGCTAATGTTTATTAAGAAAAAAAAAAGTAAATGAGTTCTAAGTATTCAGTTACTATGGCAATACTTCTAGGAAATAAGTTGAAAATACTCTCTGATATTTTCCTTAAAATATTTCTGGGAAAATATACAAAAGTTTAGAGAAAGGAGAAGCTCACTGATAAAACACAACATACATACATCAGGTCATGCAAAACTAAAGAATTCTCTCCACTAGTTAGAAATGCACAAAATCATAAATCCCTTTTTCAACTTAAATGACCCATGCAAACCAAATCTAGGCAACAACTCTATCACAGCAAGTAAGGCTGAGAATATTTATTTCAAGACAGTCTCAGACTTGTGTTAATGAGTCTAGAAAAATTCCTATATCCACTCAAGGACTATATAAATATCCCTTCATGAATATAAATAAAAGTAGAAAACTACAAGTTCAAGGAACAGTTTTACACCACAGCAGTCCTCTGGAGAATTAGGAAATTAATCTCCTTCAGGAATAAATTTACATCAAAGTCCAAAAATATTTCAGAAAATATCTTAATTCATAATCTTCATACAATGAAAGGACACTTAATCTTTGGGAAATTTTGATGGAAACAAAACATAAGAGGTGTCTCAAGTAAGAAAAAGTATCAGGGGGCCGGGCGCGGTGGCTCACGCCCATAATCCCAGCACTTTGGGAGGCTGAGGTGGGTGTATCACCTGAGGTCAGGAGTTCAAGACTAGCCTGGCCAACATAGTGAAACCTCACCTCTACTAAAAGTACAAAATTTTTCAGGAGTGGTGGTGTGCATCTATAATCCCAGCTACTTGGGTGGCTGAGGCAGGACTGCTTGAACCTGGGAGGCAGGGTTGCAGTGAGCTGAAATCACGCCACTGCACTCCAGCCTGGGGCTGAGAGGTGGGACTCTGTCTCAAAAAAGAAAAAGGAAAAAAAAAAAAAAAGAAGAAGAAAGAAAAGAAAAAGTTATCAGCGAAGAGGATCAAATTAGTAAAAGAAACTATCTAAATGATTGCCAGGAAGCCAGGGTAGAGTAACTACGTATGTATATGTCTCACTATCTTGAATCTAACAAAGGAGGAAAAAAAAAACACCAAACTTAAGAAAACTCCACCTCTAACAAAACTGGCCACCAATCTCTATCAGAGCCTCTAGAATAAATGTGCCAGACATATGGAAATGACCAAATTAAAGTAGGGTGCTTAGATGTTACAAACGTATTCCCAACATTCAAGTAAACACAAATATTAGAAAACAAAAGCTCATCTTAATTTGCTGAAAACCAACAAAGACAAACCAGCTTTTTCTTTAGGAATATTAGGAAAAATCTTGTTGGGGATCCATTTCTACAGCTTAAAATACATACGGCATGGGTCATGTAGCATTTTTACTTATTCATATTTCAACAAAATGGCTCTGAGTTGAGAGCCTTTTAATTGATGGGCAAGTTGAAAGTGCAGAAAGAGTAGCGCTGACCCAACACATACCTGAATCCAGCTGACCTAACTAATGTCATACCTCTCCCCTACAAAATAATTATACACATACTATTATAATTATGTCCCAGGTATCCAAGTTAAATTCTAAAGCAATAATTCTTATAGTGCCCAAGTTATGAGAGAATTTTCTAGGTTTATGTAATGTTATATATCCTTTTTTTTTTTTTTTTTTTGAGAGATAGGATCTCACTCAGTCGCCCAGGCTGGAGTGCAGTGGCGTGATCATGGATTACTGCGGCCTCGACCTCCTAGTCTCAAGCGATCCTCTCATCTTAGCCTCCTGAGAAGCTGGGGCTAAAGGTGCAAGCCACAACACCTGGCTAATTTTCCTTTTTTTTTTTTTTTTTGAGATGGGGTCTCATTCTGTCACCCAGGCTGGAGTACAGCGGCGCAATCTCGGCTCATTGCATCCTCCACCTCCCAGGTTCAAGTGACTCTCCTGTCTCAGCCTCCTGAGCAGCTGGGATTACCAGCACACACCACCACACCTGGCTAATTTTTGTATTTTTAGTAGAGACAGCGTTTCGCCATGAAGGCCAGGCTGGTCTTGAACTCCTGACCTCAGGTGATCCGCCCACCTCAGCCTCCCAAAGTGCTGGGATTACACGCGTGAGCCACCATGCCCGGACTACACCTGGCTAATTTTTTAAAATATTTTTTGTAGAGGTGGGTTCTCATGTTGCATAAGCTGGTCTCAAATTCCTGGGCTCAAGCAATCTTCCTGCCTCAGCCTCCCAAAGTGCTGGCATTACAGGTGTGAGCCACTGAGTCTAGCTTATTGTCCTATATCTTAACAAGGGTTTGAGATACACAAGTGTATATATTTGTCAAAAATCAGTAAACGAGTGAACACTTCCAGAATGGTGGCATAAGGACTTCCAAGAATCCACTCACTGATGAAAGTAATGAGAATGCCTGAAAAAACTGTCAAAATCAATCAGCAGCAAACATTTATCATTAACAGCTGTCTGAGGCAATGAAAACAGTTGGAGAAAACAAGAATCTGACCAAAAATATACAAGGAAAAGCTGGGAAATGCGAGGTCTGCAGGGTTTTGTAAAAGCTTCAACATATTCACTAGACTCAATAATTAGGTCATTTCCACGTGCAGAACTAAACACATGTTCAAGAAAGAATTGAGAAGGTCCTAATAATGACTCACCTCTAGCTTACCTTGAGGTTCACTACAAGCAAGAAGTTAAAGTAAGGCAGAGTTGTAAACTCTGCAACAGAGCACTAAAAACATACCCCACTATGCACACAGAGCCCCTCAGCAAAAGCTGGGAGACTTAGTGGTTCAAGGCACTTAAGATAATGTTTGATCACTAGCTGACCACAAAGCTAACTAATCAGAAACTTCAAGGGTAACACAAGGATACAGACTTAACAGAATTAGTTCAGGGAAGCCATTACATAAACAAACAACAGATGCAACAAGTCTTGGGGAAGGGGGTGGCATCAGATTTCCAGAGTTGCTACATTATATTATTATAATATGACCAGTTCTCAATAAAAAATTACAAGCCATGCAAAAAGATATTAAAGTATGGTTCACACACAGGAAAAAGAACAGTTGGTAGAGACTGTGGCAGAAGAAGCTCGGCTATTTTAAATATATTCAAAGAACAGAAACCATGTCTAATGAACTAAAAGAAAGTATAAGAAATGTATTTCACCAAACAGAGAGTATCAGTTGGGATAGAAATTATAAAAAAGAACTGAATAGAAATTCTGGATTTGGAAAAAACAATAACCAAAATGAAAAAATCACTTAAGAGACTCATGAGCAGATTTGGGTTGGCAGAAGAATCCATAAACTTGAAGGTAGGCTGATTGAAATTATTTAGTTTGAGGAACAAAAAGAAAAATGAAGAAAAAAGAACAGACCTGTACTATAGAACACCATCAAGTATATGGATAAGAGGAGTCATAGAAGCAAAGGAGAGAAAGAATACTTAGAGAAAAAAATGGCCAAAAACTCCCCAAATTTGAAGAAAAACTTTATTCTATATATCCGAGAAGCTCAATGAACTCTAAGTAGGATGAACTCAAATCCACACCTAGACACATCAGCATTAAACTGTCAAAAGCCAGAGACAAAAAGAGAATCTCAAAAGCAGTGAGAGAAGCAATTTGTTACACAGAAGTGATCCTCAAAAAGATTAACAGCTAATTTGTCAACAGAAACTATAAAGCCAGAAGGCAGTGAACGAACATATTCAAAGTGTTGAAAGACAAAAGACTGTCAACCAAGAGTTCCTTTTTTTTTTTTTTTTTTTGGAGATGGAGTCTCGCTCTGTCACCCAGGCTGGATGGAGTGCAGTGGCACCATCTCGGCTCACTGCAAGCTCCGCATCCCGGGTTCACGCCATTCTCCTGCCTCAACCTCCCGAGTAGCTGGGACTATGGGTGCCCGCCACCACGCCCTGCTAATTTTTGTACTTTTAGTAGAGATGGGGTTCACTGTGTTAGCCAGGATGTCTTGATCTCCTGATCTTGTGATCTGCCTGCCTCGCCCTCCCAAAGTGCTGGGATTACAGGTGCGAGCCACTGCGCCCGGCCCAACCAAGAGTTCTTTACCCAGCACAAGTAGCCTTCAAAAATAATGGAAAGGGGCCGGGTGCGGTGGCTCACACTTGTAATCCCAGCACTTCGGGAGGCCGAGGCAGGCAGATCACGAGGTCAAGAGTTCAAGACCAGCCTGGCCAATATGGCGAAACCTCGACTCTACTAAAAATACAAAAATTAGCCGGGCATTGTGGTGCATGCCTGTAATCCCAGCTACTTGGGAGGCTGAGGCAAAAGAATCGCTTGAACCAGGGAGGCAGAGGTTGCAGCGAGCTGAGATTGCACTACACACTCCAGCCTGGGCTACAGAGCAAGACTCCCTCTCAAAAAAAAAAACAAAAAAACAAACAAACAAAAAAAAAAAAAAAACAAAAAACGGAAAGATTAAGACATTCTAGACATTCTCAGATAAAAACTGAGGGAATTTGTTATTGGCAGATCGGCCCTAATGGAGCCACTAGAGAGAGTCCTTTGGGCTAAAATACCAGGATATTAGAAAGTATTATAACTCAAATACACATGAAGAAATAAACAGAAAATAAGGTAGCGGTAATTACATAATTAGAAAAGACAAGCCAGGCGCGGTGGGGCTCACGCCTGTAATCCCAGTCCTTTGGGAGGCCGAGGTGGGCGGATTACCTAAGGTCAGGAGTTCGAGACCAACCTGGCCAACATGGTGAAACCTCGTCTCTACTAAAAATACAAAAATAAGCCGGGAGTAGTGGCATGTGCCTGTAATCCCAGCATGTGCCTGTAAGCCAAGCCCAGGAGGCTAAGGCAGGAGAATCGCTGGAACCCAGGAGGTGGAGGCTGCAGTAAGCCAAGATTGTGCCATTGCACTCCAGCCTGGGCAACAAAGCAAAGACTCTGTCTCAAAAAAAAAAAAAAGGAAGAAAGAAAGAAAGAAAGAGAGAGAGGGAGAGAGAGAGAGAGAGAGAAAGAAAGAACGAAAGAAAGAAAGAAAGAAAAAGAAAGAAAGAAAAGAAAGAAAAGACAGTATAAATGCATTCTTTGTAAATCTTCTATCTGATTCAAAAGATCAAGGCATAAAATGGTAAATATAAAACTCTAGTAACAGGGCTATAATGTATAACGATCACATTTATACGAAAATGATAGTACACGAAAGTGGGAGGAGAACAAAGCTAAGTAGGAGCGGTTTTTGTATACTACAGAGTATGTCGTTGGTATTAATCCAGACTGGATTGTTATCAATTAAGATGCTGGTTGTAATCCCTAGAAAAACAACTAAAAATGTAGATTAACAACTATTGGCCAGATGCGGTGGCTCACTTCTGTAATCCCAGCACTTTGGGAGGCTGAGGCAGGTGGATCGCTTCAGCTCAGGAGTTGGAGACCAGCCTGGGCAACATAGTGAGACTCCACCTCTATAAAAAATTAGCCAGGTGTGGTGACATGCACCTGTGGTCCCAGCTACTTGGAAGGCTAAAGTGGGAGGATCACTTGAGCCCAAGAGGCAGAGGTTGCAGTGAGCCAAGATAGCACCACTACACTCCAGCCTGAACGACAGAGCGAGATTTGTCTCAAAAAACAAAACAAAACAAAACTATTAAAAGGATATTAGTGATTGCCAGGAGATAGAAAGTGACAACCACTTAGTACAGTGTTTCTTTTGGAGTTGTAAAAATATTCTGGAATTAGTGGTGATGGTTGCACAATTTTAACTCAAACTACTGAACAGTATGCTTTAATACTGTGAATTTTATGATACGTAAATTTTATCTCCATAAAAGATAAATTCAATGAAGATACATTTAAGACAGATACAAGCAATTAACTGTATAATATGTGAATTTTACCTCAAGATTAAAAATATTGAACCCTAGAAATTAATACGGATACTTTCAAAACTAGGAAAAAGTATACTGACATTTATAACTTGTTTTGAACTGTATTAAAAAACCAGATAAACTAATGGTGGGACAGATATATAAGGAGTAAAGCAACTATCAACGGTAAAACCTAGGTGTGAGTATATGGGTATTCCCTGTAGAATTTCAACTTTTCTGTATGTTTTTAAATGTTCATAATAAAATACTAAAGGAAAAAAAACAATGCTGAGGAAACACTCAGATCCAGGTTGTGGACCATTCTACAAGAAAACTAGCCTGAACACTACAGAAAAATTGAAATATTATGAAAAACACAAAAGCTAGGGAAACTATCATAGAATGAAGGAGATCGAACATGACAACAGGAAAAAAACTTATGAAAATCTTATGTTAAATATTGTTGCATTAATGATAAATTTCTTAGATGTAATAATGATTTTGTAGTTATTTATGAGAATCCGCTTGTCCTCAGAATACACATGCTACAGTATTTGGGAGTGAAATCTCACAAACTGACAGCAGTGTACTTTCAAATGATTCAGAAAAGCAAAGTGTGTGTGTGTAAGTGTGTAGACAGATCATAAATGTGACAAAATGTTAACAACTGATAAATCTAGGTGAAGGATATATGGGTGCTAGTTCTTTCATCTTGTCTATTGGCTTGAAACGTTTCAAAATAAAAAGGGTGGGGTGAGGGAGTAGTACCCAGGTAAATGAGAGTTACAAATAATATTTCCAAACTGAAATTCTCACATCTCCCTCTACTCTCCCCTCTATCTACTATGCTACAGTCACAATAGTCTCCTTTCTGTCCTTCAAACAAAATGAGACTGTCACAATTTCAGTCTTTGCTTTGCTGGTGCTTCTTCTACCTGAAACACACTTCTCACAGATCTTTATTTGGCTACTTTCTTCTGATCATTCAAGCCTCAACTCAAATATAATCTCAAAGAGGCCCTCTTCTCCAACCACCTTATCTAGAGGAGATGTGCATCA
The DNA here is from genome assembly GCF_000001405.40 of Homo sapiens. Taxonomy (NCBI): domain Eukaryota; kingdom Metazoa; phylum Chordata; class Mammalia; order Primates; family Hominidae; genus Homo; species Homo sapiens. Next base: position 2,676,342 of record NC_000018.10, on the reverse strand, counting down.
GCTCTATTATTCTACATTTTTTTTCTAGCAATCCATTCCTTCAACATTACTCTTACATTTTATTCATAGTAATAATAACTGAAATGCTTTTACATGTAATTTTTTGTATTTACTTCTGTTTCTCTCTCCAATACAACATAAGCTACAGGTCAAGACTGTTAGTTGTTTAGTACTTTTAGCCTGTTCTTGCCTTTCTTCTACAGCCTGTCTTCTATGACATCCATCCTTGTATCCAGAAAAAAACAAATGGAAGGAGTAAAGCAACTGAGCAGAAGCTAGAGGCTGAAGGGGTGTATCTGATATTGATAGAAATTAGAGTGGGTCAAGGAACTGATAATGGACTTAAAAGACAGTACGAGTACCTAACAGCTATAATAACAACTGATTGTTTACTGACACCAAACCCATAAAGCTAAGACTAAAACCAGCAGCAAAAAGATTTTTGCCAGAAATTACAATTTCCCTAATATTTGGTTAAGTTTAAAAGTTTGTTTTGTTCTAAGAACTAGAGAGAAATCAGAGTCAATGTCCCATGAATTCAGTTAAGATTTGCATTTCTTTCTACTCTTCCAGTTGATATAACTGATGTTTTTCTGACCATTTTGCCTAATCTACCATCTGTTCTACCTTCCCTTCCACCTAATACTTCTGTGATATGCTAAATCCTATCCTCACACTATCAAAGACAGTGGTCTTTGCCTTCTCCCTGGCTTTTTATAAATCCTTTAAATGCCACATATTTATGAAAATGGTGAAATAGAATGGTTGTGGAGAAATCTAGGCCAGGTGCAGTGGCTCACGCCTGTAATCCTAGCACTATGGGAGGCTGAGGAGGGCGGATCACCAGGTCAGGAGTTCGAGACCAGACTGGCCAACATGGTGAAACCCCATCTCTACTAAACATACAAAAAATAGCCAGGCATGGTGGTGGGTGCCTGTAGTCGCAGCTACTCGGGAGGCTGAGGCAGAAGAATCGTTTGAACCTGGGAGGCAGAGGTTGCAGTGAGCCGAGATTGCACAACTGCACTTCAGCCTGGATGACAGAGCGAGACTCTGTCTCCAAAAAAAAAAAAAAAAAAAGGCTGAGGTCAGGAATGAGAAGTAATAACTAAAATGACAGCTTCTATAGCTTATATTTATTGACTGTTTACCATATGCGAGGCTCTGTCCTAAGGATTTTACATGTACTAACTCACTTAGTTGTCATAAAACCTCATGGGATATTATCCCCATTTTATGGCTATGTAAGCTGAGGCACAGAGAAGTAAAGTAAGTTGACCAATGTCACACGATTAGTAAGTGGCAAGGCTAGAATCCAAACCAGGTTCAAATGATACAAGAGTCTGTGTTTTTCATACTACCTTGTCTCTTAAATGGCACTGTTAAGTCTTTACTAATTTGATTAAAATTCTGAGGGTGCTGAAATTTTAGAAGACCAATGTTTTAGCTATATTAACACACTGAGATTGATCCTTAAACGTGGGTGACTTTTCTTGACAAGGTAAAGAACAAAGCAGGTTATGAACAGACACCAACTATTTAGTAAGAATGACAAGAGACTCTTCCCAAGTATGTTGTTAGAAGTAGAGCAACATAGCTTAAAATATCAAAAGACTTGTGGGTCAAAGCTCTTCTTACTAGAGTTCCACTAATATCTCAAGAATCTAAATCTTTTTTATGTCTGATGGCTTTTAGCACATTTTGTTTTCCCTGTGACATCCTCATTCAGGATATTTTCTACAAGCACATTCTGATATATAACTCCACTAGATTCCACTCCTGAATGTTTTGCAAAAAGAGCTCTGAAAGTAGAGCAACAGTGAGCTCCACAGAACCACATGCAATTTTAGACATTTTGCAAATGGTATGAAGCGATTTCTAAAGCCCATTTTAAAATGATTCTACTGCTACAGAGGCTATACAGAGTTAGGAAAGGGGAAAAGCTCTCAGGTACCCAACATATCAACTCCTACATACCTCAGGAAATGCAAAATGAGCTGTTTAATGGAAAGGCACAATATTACATAGTTCTATTTCTGAGTATCAATCATAAAAATTCTATAATATAAAACCTAAATAAATATGTGAATAACAGTAAAACCTCCAATGTATCATATGCATCCAAAGGCATACCAGTTTTTTATCCTTACTAAAATACATAGCTACCCACAAAAAAAAAAAAGTAAGGTTTTCTAACCTTTCAAAGTCACCTTGCCTTGTGAATTTTGACAACCTATACACGGCCCAGTTGTTAAGCTGTTTAGAGGTCATTCCTCTTCCATTATCTATCACTGCAACAGCAGGTTTTCCTTGTGTTTCATCAAAAAGCTATGAAACAAAATAAGTTCAAAAAGACAGGAAAAGTCAAATCAATACTTAAAACATGAAAAGTTAAACATGAAAAAAATGATTCAACAGGCTCACTTATACATTACTGATGGAAGTGCAAATTAATACAATTTTCTGAAAGGCACTTCAGCAGCAGTATGTATCAAAAGCCTCAGAATTCTTCATGTCCTTTAGCCTAGAAATTCCATTTCTCACAATTCAACTTAAGGAAATATTCAGAGACATGTACCAAGGTGTGCAAGAATGTTCATCATTCCAGCATTCCTTCCAGTGGCAAAAATACAGAAAAAAAATCTAAATGTTCAACAACAGAACACAAACTACACAATTTATATTATAGCCAATAAGTCACTGCAACAACAGATTATATTGCAGAACATTCATGATATGACACATGTTAACAATGTACTGTTAAGGGAAAGTAGAAGATTACAAAAAACCAAAGGTACATATACATGTATACATATATGCATAGGAAAAAAACGTGAAAAAATTTTAACAATGGATGAAGAGATATCTGACAATTATTTCTACTTTTAGTTTTATCTCTATTTTCTCATTTTCTCCAATAAACTTTTATTACTCTTACAAAAGGAAAAGTTAAATTGCTTTACAGTATTATTTCCTTACCAATTTGATCTGTATTCTTCTAACCCCAATGTTACGAGAAGTAGCAGACAATGAATTGTCAATTAATTCCGCAAGAGCAAATGCTGCAAGAGATCAAGAAAACATTGCTTAACTTTTCCCTCCCACATACTTTATATAAAAGTTCAAAGAAGAAGAAACTATCAAGTACCTTAAAGCCAAAGAGCTAGAATTAAAGTATTATCCTGATCCTAATGATATAATACATAATAAAGGCATCATCACCAATCACCACCAGCATCAAAAAAGCAGTCATCAATCAGTACTTGTATGGCACTATACAGCATGAGTCAGCCAGCCATGATTCCTGGCTTCAAGGAGTTTATAATCTAAAGACAGACATACAGACATTAAGAGACAAACAGAAGACCATAACCATAAAATCAAATAGTCTGCAGTATGTAATTACATCAAGCACAAGTCCAAAGTAAGCACATCTAGAAATACGAGGGCAAATATGAAGTGATAATAAGTGTCTTTTTTTTAAATTTCCTATACTGCTCATCTGCAAGATAAGTGTCTCTTGAAAGCTAATTTGGATATAGAATTCTTATGACTAACAAATTTTTCAAGTGGCAGAATACATCTGTTCAACTGACACAGAACTGCTATAGATTCACTACCACACCACCAACGTGACATTCAATTTATCACTGGCTCAACATTAACTAATATTCTCCTTTCTTCAAGGTCACTATTCACACTATTTCCTGCTTTTATCCCTTTAGTAAAAAGAAAGGGAACATATCAAATTTACGTATCTTAATTCTGCAGAAGCTTAACCCCACAAAAGCTGTAATTAATGCAAAGTAGCATTTCACGCTGGATGTGGGCTCACGCCTGTAATCTCAACACTTTGGGAGGCCGAGGCAGGCTGATGACATGAGGTCAGGAGTTTGAGACCAGCCTGGCCAACACAGTGAAACCCTATCTCTATTAAAAATACAAAAAAATAGCTGGGCGTGGTAGCTGGTGCCTATAATCCCAGCTACTCGGGAGGCTGAGGCAGGAGAATCGCTTGAACCTGGGAGGCAGAGGTTGCAGTGAGCCAAGATTGCACCACTGCACTCCAGCCTGGGCAACAGAGCGAGACTCTATCTCAAAAACAAAAACAAAAAAACCAAAGTAGCACTCCAGCAAGCACTTCTACTCACCCTAAACACTCCAAGGACAGCTATGTTTATAAACGAATTGCAAAGAAGTTACCACAAATCAGATTATGTACAAGGGTAATCTGGCTAAGGTAATAACTCCAGAAAATGAAGAAGGGACACTGTAGGAAATGGCAGGAAAAGAAACCTAAAGAGAAATTTGGAAGGAAGAAATGAGTAGAATTTAGAATCTGATTAGATGAAAAAGAAGAGGGGAAAAAGAAATTTGCTTCATCACACAGGTACAACAGTTAAGGCTTGGATCAGTTTACTGAAAGTATAAAAAGAAAAGATCAAGGCCAGGCGCGGTGGCTCACGCCTGTAATCCCAGCACTTTGGGAGGCCAAGGCGGGCGGATCTTCAGGTCAGAAGATCAAGACCATCCTGGCTAACACAGTGAAACCCCGTCTCTACTAAAAAAATACAAAAAAATTCGCCAGGCGTGCTGGTGGGCGCCTGCAGTCCCAGCTACTCAGGAGACTGAGGCAGGAGAATGGCGTGAACCCGGGAGGCGGAGCTTGCAGTGAGCCGAAATAGTGCCACTGCACTCCAGCCTGGGCGACAGAGCGAGACTCTGTCTCAAAAAAAAAAAAAAAAAAGAAAAGAAAAGATCAACATAACTTGAAGAAATGTCCACCAGAGTCAAAAAGAACCAGAAGTAGGGAAACAGAAGTAGGGAAAGACCCGGGAATGTACTGTAAAGTCACAGAAATCAAGGCAAGATTTTAAACACTGGGGTTTTCTGCTTATCCATATAATGATGGTATGAATGAAAACTGATACGGTTTTCAACTGATATGGTTTCAACTGATAGGGTTTTCATATCATTTCATAATGATGGCATGATGAAAACTGATCAATATGAAACATAAACTACATTAAGAGTTTAAAATACTTCTGTTGACTCTATAATTATACACTTAGCAATTTATCCCCAGGAAAATAATTAAAGATTCATGGGCCAGGTGCAGTGGCTCACGCCTGTAATCCCAGCACTTTGGGAGGTCGAGACGGGCAGATCGCCTGAAGTCAGGGGTTTGAGACCAGCCTGACCAACATGGAGAAACCCCATCTCTACTAAAAATACAAAATTAGCCAGGTGTGGTGGTGCACGCCTGTAATCCCAGCTACTTGGGAGGCTGAGGCAGGGGAATTGCTTGAACCCAGGAGGCGGAGGTTGCGGTGAGCCGAGATCACGCCATTGCACTCCAGCCTGGGCAACAAGCCAAACTCCATCTCAAAAAAAAAAAAAAAGAATTAAAAGATTCACTCAATTTTCTTTTTTTTTTTTTTTAGATGCAGTCTCCCTCTGGTGCCCAGGCTGGAGTGGCAGTGGCATGATCTCAGCTCACTACAAGCTCCGCCTCCCAGGTTCAAGCGATTCTCCTGCCTCAGCCTCTCGAGTAGTTGGAATTACAGGCACCCACCTCCACGCCTGGCCAATTTTTGTACTTTTAGTAGAGACGGGGTTTCACCATGTTGGCCAGGATGGTCTCGAACTCCTGACCTCAAGTAATCTGCCCGCCGGGGCTTCCCAAAGTGCTGGGATTACAGGCGTGAGCCCAGCCAGATTCACTCAATTTTAAAATATTTAAGCACCTATGTGCCAGGCATTGTTCTAGGAACTGAATAAAGCAGATGAAGGTTCTGTTCTTAGGGATTTAACATTCTAATGGAGGAATATGGGAAAGAAAATATAATCATAATAAATAAATTCTATAGCATGTTAGAAGATGGTTTGTGCAATAGAGAAAAAAGAAACAGCAGAGAAATGAAATCAAGTAACAGTAAAGACACAGAAGGAATACAGTTGCAATTAAATAGACTAAGTTTTGTTGAGAACACAACAGATAACCAAGACTTGGAGGAAGTGAAGAAATGAGTGCAGGGCTAACTGGAGGAAAAGCATTCCAAGCAGAGGGCCCTAAGCTGAGAATATGGATGGCAGTGAAGGGGAGTGAAAAAGTAAGAAAGGTAGTAGAAACAAAGTCAGAGAAGTACAAAGCAGAGCTAGTAAGTCCCTGCAGGCAACTGTAACGACTTTGGTGTTTACTCTTAGTGAAATGGGGAGCCATGGGTGTTTTCAGCAGCGAGTGACACAATCCAATTTCTCAAACCTTTTATGGACAGGGATGAAAAGACAGGTACCAGTAACTACTAGTTAGTGTAATCTGGGTGATACAATGGTGCCTCCAGACCAGGTGGTAGCAATAGAAATGGTGAGAAATGGTCATTTTAAGATAAAACATTGAGAATAGGACCCAAAGGATTTTCTGTCAGATTAAGAGGTATGAGAGGTATGAGAAATACAAGTATCAATTTGATTTTTGGCCTGTGCAGCAGGAAGGACACAGTAATAATCAATTCAGATAGGGGGAACTATGTGTGGTATAAAATTCAGTGAGCAGATGAGGGTTCCCATTTTAGACATCCTAGAGGAGATGCCACATGGGCAGCTGGATGGATAAAACTGGACTTCAAGAGATAAACCCGGCACCATTTTCAATATTTAACTAAAAATGACCATTTCCTACCTCTTCCTTGTGAGAGTCACTTCTGTAATGATGTTATTTAGAACCATGAGATAGGACCTGATCACCAAGTGAGGAAGTAAGATACAACATAAAGGGCAAGAACTAAGCCCTAAGGCACTTCAATATTAATAAGGTGGGGAGAGAAGAAAGGGCAGGCAGTGAGGTAAGAAGAAAATCAAGGTGCTTATAATCCCACGGCTTTGAGAGACCAAGGCAGGAGAATAATTTGAGGCCAGCAATTCAAGACCAGCCTGGGCAACATAGTGAGACTCCATCTCTACAAAGAAAATTTTATTTTTATTTTTATTTTTTAGAGAGAGAGGCTCACTCTGTTGCCCAGACTGAAGTGCAGGGGTGCAGTCATAGCTCACTATAGCCTCGAATTCCTTGGCTCACTCAAGCAATCCCCCTGCCTCTGCCTCCCAAGTAGCTAAACAAGGCATGCACCAAAATGTCCAAATAATTCCTGTATTTTTTTGTAAAGATGGGGTCATATCATGTCCCCCAGGCCGGTCCTAAAGTCCTGGTCTCAAGTGATCTTCCTGCCTCAGACTCTCAAAGTGCTGGGATTACAGGTATGAGCTACTGCATCCAGCTACAATTTTTTTTTTTTTTTTAATTAGCTGGGCATGGTGGTATGCACTTGTAGTCCTAGTCATTCAGGAGACTGAGGCAGGGGGATTGTTTAAGCTTAGGAGTTCGAGGCTACAGTGTGCTATGGTCACGTTACTGCAAAAAGGAAAAAAATCAAGAATATGGACCCTCGAAAGTCAAGTGAAAAAAGTATATCAAAAAGGAAGAAGTGACAAAACAATGTCAAGTAACACGTCAAGAAAAATTAGAACTGAAAATTAAAAATTTATCACTGGATTTAGCTGTTGGTGACCATAAGAGCGTGGGTACAGTAGAGTGGTAGGCGAAAACGTCTGGTCAGAGTAAGAAACAATGGGAGGAAGAGAAGGACTGCTAATAGCGAATGCATTCAACTCTCTGGAGGAGTTTTGCTATAAACAGGATCAAAAAATTTTAGGCAGTAGCCAGTGAAGGAAGTAAGACTTTAGTGTTTTTAAGATGGGAGAAGAGCTTTTTTGTACAAAAAGAACAACATGAGAGGTAATAAATATACTAGTTATATATTCAAGCTCTGAAGTCACTCTCCTAAAGTTTAAATGCTGGCTCCACTACTCACTAGTAGTGTAGCAAGTCACCTAAAATCTCTTAGCCCCAGTTAATTCTGCAAAACAGGATCTTTACCTATATTATTTCCTAACATTAGCTACCACACAGGATTAAGGAGTAAATGAGACAACGCTCATAAGTACTTGGTACAATGCCTGGCACTGTAGCCAATAGTAATGACAGCAGTGGTAGTGTTACATTAAGAAAGCACACACAGATTTAGTCACAAGAACATTCAGAGTCATTTGTAACCATAACACAATTAAAAACAACCTAAATGTCTAATAGAAGAACACTGTTCAGACCGGGCATGGTGGCTTATACCTGTAATCCCAGCACTTTGGGAGGCCGAGGCGGGAGGATCACTTGAGGTCAGGAGTTCAAGACCAGCCTGGTCAACATGGTGAAACTCCGTCTCTACTAAAAATACAAAAATTAGCCAGGCGTGGTGGTGCCTGCCTGTAATCCCAACTACTCGGGAGGCAGAGGCAGGAGAATCACTTGAACTTAGGAGGCAGAGGTTGCAGTGAGCCAAGATCACACCACTGCACTCCAGCCAGGGTGACAGAGAGAGACTCTGTCTCAAAAAACAAAAAAAGAAAAAGAATACTGTTCAAATAAATTATATTACCTAAATATTATCAAAATATACAGAGACATATATATTAAAAGATGTTCACTTTATTTTTAAACAAAATGTAGGTTAAAGAAGTATGCACCATATAAAACCATTAAAAATCAAATAATATGAAAAGGTCTGAAATGATAAACACCAAAGTGTTAGTGGTGGTTATGTCTGGGTAGTAGAGATATTCTTTATGTTCTATTTGCTTATCTATGTTTTCTAATTTCCTGCAAATACACATATAATGAGAAAAAAATAATTTTAATACAAAAGTTTACGATGAACATGTAAGTAGTATTAGACACTTTGGCAAGTCCTGAAAGAGAGGATTCAGTAAACTAATTGATTTGTAAAGATCACTAGCAAATGGTCCAGAGAAAGGACAGAAACTAGCAAGTAGTAAAGGTAGAAAGAAATGATAAAGACATGGAAATATGAACACAAACTTCTTACTTACGCAACCTAGCTATATGTATTTGCAAAGTAAAACAAGTATTTTCTTAATTGGGAAAGGTCTATGGGAGGCTAGGAAATCAGGAGAAGAGAGTATACAGGCGATGGAAAGCTGTATAGGTCAAGACCCCTTATGAGTTGAAAAGAAAAGTTCTACTAGTAGGTTAGCTTTAAAGGAGAGTTTTTTTTCACTGAAGATGACACAGGTAGAAGACATAATAATACCGTGATGAATTTGAGTAAGAAAGAAAATGAGTGGTCTTCTAATAAAGTGTAATAAGAAGATTTACAAAAAGTGAAGGAATGGGATACGTAATCAGGGGATAAAGGCAGGTAATAATTTATCAAAATTAGTATGAATGGGATACTTACGCAAAGGATTTTGTCCTTCACTGGCATAATATTCATACATGCCACTTTTAACCAGTGTGTCATAGTGAGGTAAGAAGTCAATTCGTTCTTTCGTAGCTGTCAGTAGTAACTGATTGACCGACTGTAGCAGGTATAAGGTGACTCCATCTTTAACAGTTTCATCTGTAATCAAGAGTGAAAATCATAAGTGCTAGGTCAGCATCAGAAACTCAATGAACTTATAATTGTGAATATACAAATTCTATCTATGAAATATCTTTAATGATGGTAAAGAAAAACCCCCAATCATCTACCTGTAAGCAAAGTCATGTTAAGGATATTAATGAAACAAGCACAAATACTTCCTTCCATTCATTTGAAACACTCAATTCTTAATAAGTTAAACTATCACAGGAAATCAGACGAGAATCTAAAATAGCGTAGTGTCAACATGAATGGAGAATGGTTAAATTCAGATGGAATCAGGCATGAAAAACCAGCAGGTCTTGGAAAACTAATTAGGTTAAAAAAAGATAATGGAATAATCCAAGTTGGTTAGCAAAATTAGCTTCAGAAGATTTGTGCTAGGCAGAATCATCTTCTGTAGCCATAACTGATATCAACTATTTTTCTATAATCAAGCTTGAAAAATATAACCTCTGTGCAGACTATGCACATGCAGCCAGTTTCCTCCCTCATCCCAACAAATTAACAAAAGTCATCAACAGATTTAGATGCATATCTAATAAAAGTTATTGCTATATATGTACTAAACCTTATTAAATATAAAAGCATCAACTTAGTAACACTGTTTACCTACCAAAATTATCACAGGTAATTTCTTTCCTACTTGTTGTTGTAATAACAAATTTTTCTTCAGGTGAAATGCCAAGTGTCTATCCAAAATAAGAAATAAAATCACTTATTACACAAAGGAAATAAATGTATTATTCAAATTTATAAAAATATGAAAATATTGATAGTACATTATAATTCTGTAACCACTACACTTATCTAGGAAATACAAAACTCAGTATATCTAAATTTTGCCTTTGCATAATTAATAGTGCATAAATCTATATAAATTACTTACTTAACAAGGTCATTTTTTCTGCTACTATAAGCAACCTAGGAACACTAGTGATTAGGTGGAACGTTTTAAAAGCATTTTAACATCATCAGCAGGACCCACCCAGACAAAAGACATAGTATTTCATACTAACGTACAAGTTATCAACTTATTTGGAACAAAGCTTTAACATAACTCATGTTCATATAGACTAGATATTTAAGTATGCAAAAACAAAATAGAAGAAAACAGAAGTTAGCATTTTATAGCACGGAGGGAAGAACAGCCATGCTTTGTAAGACATACAGGTCCATTCAAACGAATAACTTTAAAAATTAAAGCAAATTATAAATTAGAGGGAAACTGGCCAGGCATGGTAGCTCATGCCTGTCATCCCAGCACTTTGGGAGGCTGAGGCCGTCGGATCACAAGGTCAGGAGTTCAAGACCAGCCCGACCAACATGGTGAAACCCTGTCTCTACTAAAAATACAAAAATTAGCCAGGTGTGGTGGCGCACACCTGTAATCCCAGCTACTCAGGAGGCCAAGGCAGGAGAATCACTTGAACTGGGGAGGCGGAGGTTGCAGTGAGCCAAGATCACACCACTGCACTCCAGCCTGAGCAACAGAATGAGACTCCGTCTCAAAGAAAAAAAAAAATTAGAGGGAAATTGCAACAAGAAACAAAAGGGTGACAAGGATCAACAAAGAGAAAAAGTAAAAACACAAAAAAATGAAAAGGAGAAAATACAAATGACCAATGAACACATGAACTGTAAAATCACATTAATCAAAAAATGAGAATTAGAAAAGTGGTTAACATTTTCATTTACATTAGAATTAAAACATACATGCTCTGTCTAAAATGAAACAATACAGCAATATATAGTTAAGAGAAAAGGCTTCTGTTTCGGGTAGTAATGGACTAGTCTAAAGATTAACATTCTTATTGAAAACATCTAAAAAATCTAGACTAGTGATACTCAAATCTTCAAAAATGATATTAATAAAAACCATTATTGCTCACCACTGGGATGAGCTAGGGCACCAACTTGTCACTCTGAACACTGACAAATTAAAGGGAAAGAACAAATTATTTACACTGCTTTTCTTGTATCAATGGTACTTCAGGATAACCAAAATAGCTCTGGCTGATGAGGCAAAGTTGTTCCTTAAAGAATTCCAGCTAATAAACACAGGAGGAATGGCAAGTCAGATCAAAACTTCCTTATGGAGGAATCCTGCTGAAATCACGTGAATCCCAAGATTTTAATGTTAGCATTGCTATGAGTGGGTGAAACACCCACACATCACGTGCCTCCCAGTGTAATGCCATATGAAGTATCAGTACTACCTACAAAGCATTCTTTGCCTCCTGACCCCAAAGAAGTTGAACCTAAATCAAATCAAGCCTTTAAAGCTAACTTTTAGTTTACAGAATACATACGGAGATAAAACAAATTAAGTAACACCAAAAAAGAGCACAAACAAATCCATAATGTGGAATATTAAAGACCTAGTTGATTTCTTCAAGAGGTCAACTGCAGGAAAACTAAAGAGACTGGTGGAGGAGGAATTTGCTCAAATGCTTTAAATTGAAAATAATTAGGAAACAAAAAAAAAACAAATTTAATGTGAGGACTATGTCAGATCCTGATTTAAACAAACCAACTATAAAAAGATACTTTTAAACATTCAGAGAACTCAATATGGACAGGGACATTAGACAATATTAAAAATGCTTTATTTTAATGGTTTGATAATACATATTCAGGCTGAAGTATATGGGGTGAAATGACCTAAGACCTAGAATATGCCTTAAATACATTACAAAAACAAAAATGATCCTAGTGTGGTAAATTCCTATTAACTTGAATCTGGATGAGTACACTGGGGTTCATAACATGATTCTCTCTTTGTGTCTGAAGGTTTTCATAAGAAAATTTCTACTTTAAAATATCCTGGAATAGGCCGGGCGCGGTGGCTCAAACCTGTAATCCCAGCACTTTGGGAGGCTGAGGAGGGTGGATCACGAGGGCAGGAGATCGAGACCATCCTGGCTAACACGGTGAAACCCCGTCTCTACTAAAAGTACAAAAAAATTAGCCAGGCGTGGTGGCAGGCGCCTGTAGTCCCAACTACTCGGGAGGCTGAGGCAGGAGAATGGCGTGAACCCGGGAGGTGGAGCTGGCAGTAAGGTGAGATCGCGCCACTGCACTCCAGCCTGGGCGACAGAGCGAGACTCCGTCTTAAAAAAAAAAATTCCTGGAATAGACCAGTGGAAGAGAATAGAGGGCCCTTAGACAGGTCCACATATATATGGATGCAGAGCCTAGCAAACAAGAGAGGTGACATTACAAATTGGTGGGGAAAGAATAAACTATCCAATGAATGATATTAAGACAACTAGTTATCTCAACATGGAAACAGATAAAATCCACACCTTAACTTAGACAAAAATAAATTCCAGGAGAATTAAAGCAGTTGTACATTAGCCCAAAATTGTAAAAGAACACATAGGGAAATAATTTTGAGTGAGCATAAAGGGATTTCTGAAAAGGTACAAACAGTGGGCCAGGCACAGTGGTTCACAGCTGTAATCCCAGCACTCTGGGAGGCCAAGGTGGGCGGATTGCTTGAACTCAGGAGTTCAAGACCAGCCTGGGCAATGTGGTAAAACCCCATCTCTACAAAAAATGGAAAAAAAAAAAATAGCTGGGCATGGTGGTGCACACGTGTAGTCACAACCACTCAAGAGGCTGAGGTTGGACGATCCCCTGAGCCTGGGAAGCCGAGGCTGCAGTGAGCCGTGATCACACACTACTGCACTCTAGCTTGGGTGACTTTTGAGTGAGACTCTGTCTCAAAAGATGCAAATAGCACAAGTCATAAAGAAAAAGACCAGACAACATAAAAAGATCAACATCACTAGTTATCAGTGAAATTAATATAACTTATTCTCATCAGGTAGGCAAAAATGTTAAATTCTGAGCCCATCAAGTGTAGGCCTCTGTACAGAGAAATAGGTACCTTACACACTGCTGATATGACTGAAAAAAAGTCAAACATAAAGAAAGTAATTAATTTGGCATACTTTAGTAAACTTAAAAGATACTCATATTCCATGCAATTCCACCCTAGAGAAATAAAGCCATGAACATAAACTGACTGGGAAGATTCTATTTGTTTAACAGAGACAAAAATGACCTTATAGATTTTTATTAGGTTTCATATAACCATGACAGTCGTGTATTTTTTAATTCATTACTACTTTTTTATTTCTATGATGTCCCTTTTTTTTTTTTTTTTTTTTTTTGGTTTTTTGTTGTTATTGTTGTTGAGATGGAGTCTTGCTCTGTTGTGCAGGCTGGAGTGCAATGGCACGATCTCAGCTCACTGCAAGCTCCGCCGCCCGGGTTCACACCATTCTCCTGCCTCTGCCTCCCAAGCAGCTGGGACTACAGGCGTGTGCCACCACACCTGGCTAATTTTTGCATTTTTAGTAGAGACAGAGTTTCACCACGTTGGCCAGCTGGTCTCAAACTCCTGACCTCAGATGATCTCCCTGCCTTGGCCTCCCAAAGTGCTGGGATTAGAGGCGTGAGCCACCAGGCCTGGCCAATGTCCCACTTGTTAAATCATGTAATTATGCATCCTGTAGTTACTGAAAAACTATGTGCAAATGATTTTTTTAAGATCTATGTTCACCTAAACATATCTAATTATTCCATATAATCCCACATAAGTCTATTATTTTTTCTTTCTTTCTTTCTTTCTTTCTTTATTTATTTATTTATTTATTTTATTTTTTTTTTTTTGAGACGGAGTCTCGCTCTGTCGCCCAGGCCGGACTGCGGACTGCAGTGGCGCAATCTCGGCTCACTGCAAGCTCCGCTTCCCGGGTTCACGCCATTCTCCTGCCTCAGCCTCCCGAGTAGCTGGGACTACAGGCGCCTGCCACCGCGCCCGGCTAATTTTTTGTATTTTTTTAGTAGAGACGGGGGTTTCACCTTGTTAGCCAGGATGGTCTCGATCTCCTGACCTCATGATCCACCCGCCTCGGCCTCCCAAAGTGCTGGGATTACAGGCGTGAGCCACCGCGCCCGGCCTTTCTTTATTTTTTACAGATTTTTTTGAGTACTCTTCTACGATAACTGCATATAATAGTTCATTTAGCCTTCACTAACTACATAGAAGACTCCCCCTATTTCCTAGCTGTCAAATTATCTACGGATAGGAATGCTAGCACCTTATTCTCTTCTTCAAACAATGGCAACCGGGTTATCGCTCCTGACCATCTAATTGTATCCAGTATTGCCTGTATTTTCCTGCACTGGAGCAAATAGTTCATTTTCTTTTGATTTTTAACCCATATTAAAAACCCACAGATGTTTAATCCATATTAAAAACCCAGATGTTTAATCCATATTAAAAACCCACAGATGTTTAATCCATATTAAAAACCCACAGATGTTTTTTAATCCATATTAAAAACCCACAGATTTCTAATCCATATTAAAAACCCACAGATTTCTAATCCATATTAAAAACCCACAGATTTCTAATCCATATTAAAAACCCATAGATTTTTAATCTATAAATCTACTATTATTCAATTAAGACACACAAACTATCTTTTTTTTTTTTTAAGTTCCTGGATACATGTGCAGAACATGCAGGTTTGTTACATAGATATACATGTGCCATGGTGGTTTGCCACACCTATCAACCTGTCATCTAGGATTTAAGCCCCACATGCATTAGGTATTTGTCCTAATTCTCTCCCTCTCCTTGCCTCTTACCCTACAACAGGTCCCTGTGTGTGATGTTCCCCGCCCTATGTTCATGTGTTCTCATTGTTCAACTCCCACTTATGAGTGAGAACATGCAGTGTTTGGTTTTCTGTTCCTGTGTTAGTTTGCTGAGAATGATGGCTTCCAGCTTCATCCACGTCCCTGCAAAGGACATGATCTCATTCTTTTTTATGGCTGCATAGTATTCCATGGTGTATATGTGCCACATTATCTTTATCCAGTTGATCATCAATAGGCATTTGTGTTGGTCCCACGTCTTTACTATTGTAAATAGTGCTGCAATAAACTTTAAAATTAATCCATATTAAAAATCCATGGTTTTTAATCCACATCAAAAATCCATATGAAATATCCATGGATTTTTCATCCATATTAAATATCCATGGATTTTCCAGGGGGCATGGTGGCGCATGCCTGTAATCCCAGCACTTTTGGAGGCCGAGGTGGGTAGATCGATCACCTGAGGTCAGGAGTTCCAGACCACCCTGGCCAACATGGTAAAATCCCATCTCTACTAAAAATACAAAAATTAGCCGGGCATGACGGCTGGTGCCTGTAATCCCAGCTATTTGGAAGGCTGAAGCAGGAGAATCGCTGGAACTTGGGAGGCGGAGGTTGCAGTGAGCCAAGATTGCGCCACTGCACTCCAGCCTGGGTGACAAGAGTGAAACTCCCATCAAAAAAAAAAAAAAAAAAACCATGGATTTTTAATCTATAAATTTATTATTATTTAATTAAGACACATAAACTATCTTTTTGTTTTCCCTGCTTCATCTATAAAAATTATTTCTTGAATTCACAATTTTTCTAAGTATTTTATTTTATTATTGTTTGTTTGTTTTTTGAGACAAGAGTCTCGCTCTGCCACCCAGGCTAGAGTGCAGCGGTGCGTTCTCAGCTCGCTGCAACTTCCGACTCCCGGGTTCAAGTAATTCTCCCTGCCTCAGCCTCTCGAGTAGCTGGGATTACAGGCACCCGCCACCAGATCCAGCTAATATTTGTATTTTTAGTAGAGACGGGGTTTCACCATGTTGGCCAAGCTGATCTCTAACTCCTGACCTCAGGTGATCCGCCCGCCTTGGCCTCCCGAAGTGTTGGGATTACAGGTGTAAGCCACTATGCCGTCCCCAACTTCTCTTAAATATTTAAGGACTAACTGACTTGCAGTGCATAAAATGATTACCTACCAAAATGATCAGTTAATTTTATTTTTAAAATTATTTTTTCACTATCTCTGAACAACAGGTAATTTTCATCCATGGATTAGTCAGAAAGCACACAGCTTAATTAGCACTGCTCTGAAACTCTGCAAACTAGTCAGCTTTTAATGTGGCTCCATTATATTTCGTTACCTTACTATGGCACTTGCTAAGCCATAGTTTTCTGCTTTTTTTTTTTTTTTTTTTCAAAATCTCAAGTTTATTGTAGAAATTGATGAGCACATCTTATATTAAAATACAAAACACCTAGAATAGCCGCACAACAAAAAACATTGGAGCCACACAAAGGAAAATGTAGACAATTTCTTCAAATTGGTGGTGGGGGGATATGCACACATGGGACTTAACATCTGGGCATATTTTAGAACTAACCAAATGAGTCATCTTCTAATCGTTGATTCTGCAAGGCCACAAGGGCTCAGGTGAGTCAACAGCTGCTTATCAGAGGTCTAAGGGCTTCTTGCAGATTTGTCCTTTCCATTTCTTCCCTCTCCTTTTCCATGAGGTGAACTTTATTCAAATAACAATTTAGAGCTGGGCGTGGTGGCTCATGCCTGTATTCCCAGCACTTTGGGAGGCCAAGGCAGGTGGACCACCTGAGGTCAGGAGTTCAAGATCAGCCTGGCCAACATGGCAAAACCCCATCTCTACTAAAAGTATTAAAATTAGCCAGGCGTGGTGGCAGGCACCTGTAATCCCAGCTACTCAAGAGGCCGAGGCAGGAGAATCACTTGAACCTGGGTGGCAGAGGTTGCAGTAAGCCAAGATGGCACCACTGCACTCCAGCCCGGGCAACAGAGCGAGACTCCGTCTCAAAAAAAATAAATAAATAAGTAACAGTTTAGGATCACCCATAATACTGCCTGACACTACAAACATTTATTGGTTTAATTTACATTTTAACAAAAACTTTAGTATATTATTTTGTCTCTTCCCCTAAGGACAAAAGTGATGGTTCTAATAAATAGTGTGGAGTAGTGTAAAAAATATATATATGTGTGTGTATATATATGTGTATATATGTGTATATATGTATATATGCGTATACACGTATATATGTGTATATATGTGTGTATGTGTGTATATATATGTATATATACATATACATATATATACACACACACATATATATGTATATGTATACATAAGCTTTGGAATCAAATTGACCTAAATTCCAATCCCAGTTTCACTGCTTGTTGACCATGTAATCTCAGATTATTAATTCACTGACTTAATTCAGTTCTTCGAGTACGTAATGGAGACAAAGTTATGGGATCCGAGGCACAATCTAATAATGCTTAAAAGAAGTCTAACAACAAAAAAGTTAGCCTTCTCAGCCTTCTTTTTTCTTACTAGTTGGTCCCTCTCATTTCTAACTAAATTTAAAACGTTTTCTAGCAGGATAAAGTGGGAGGAAGGAGGAACAGAATTAGTTAAAAGAAATATTTTCCTTGGTTTTCCAGTTGAAATATTGAAGGAAGGAATAAATACATCTGTTCCCTACAGCAAAGAATGCCATTTGAGTAGTATAACAGAATGAACAGAGGTTCTGGGTTTGAATACTAACTTGAGCTTTACTATCTGAGTAATGAGTCACCATTTCCACGACTGTGTTTATACTTCTGTAATAAAAGGCCAATAATACTTCCTCTATTTATCTAAGAGTTACTGAGACATCTCACGAGAGGGAAATAGTGCATTTCTAGAGGAAGGGTAAAGTAGCAAAACATTTTCAAAAAGCAATTTTAAAATACGAAACAAGAGCTTTAAAGATGTATCTCATCTTTGATCCAGTTCTAAGATTTCAAACTAAGCAAACAATAATAAAAGACATAAACGGCTATGTATTCAAAGATGTTTTTCCACTGGGTGCAGTGGCTCACGCCAGTAATCCCAGCACTTTGGGAGGCGGGTGGATCTCTTGAGCCCAGGAGCTCGAGACTAGCCTGGGCAACACAGCCAAACCCCCGTATGTACGAAAAATACGAAAAAAAAAAAACATAGCTGGGCATGGTGGCGCTCACCTGTAGTCCTGGCTACTTGGGAGGCTGAGGTGGGAGGATCACCTGAGCCCGGGAATATTTGGGCCTGGGAAAATGTTTATTACAGCATTACTTAAAATCAAAAAAATTAAAAGTAATGTAAATGTCAACAGAAAGGAGAGATTCGGTTATGTAAATAGTGGTAGCAAATGGACCATTTCAAATTTTGATTTGAAGACCTACGTTTAAAGAAACTTCTGACACTATTAAGTGAAAAAATTAATAGAATATAAAACACATATTTTAGTAATTTAAAAAATGGAGTGGGAAGGAGGAGGAAGGCTGAAAAGACATAACCTCAGGTGCTAAGAGTAGTCATATAGTAGTTTTACAGCGAGTAAAAGATTTACTTGTTTCCCCCCTCTGGTTCCATATTTTCTTTAATGTACTGATATTTTTACTATAAACACAATAAACGTAAAAAGTTTCCCTTTTGTAGAATGGTTCTGAATAGAAAGCATTCAACAAAAAAGATGAGCATTCATTCACTTTTCAAACACAACGGGAATCTACTACGTTCAGGCACAGAATTAACTTGAGGGGATAGGTTTTTGTCTTCATTCATTTATCCATTCTAATCTGGGCATTTACAATGTCGCAGGCACAGTTCTAGACGCTGGGACTACAGCTGTGAACAAAAGAAAGTCCTTACTTCTCCAATCGTTTTCATTCTACGGATCACGATTTCAATTATTTCAGCAACCATACAGTTATATGGTCTAGAACATTTCTAAACCTATCAGCCTCACGACAAAACACGGCTTCAAAGTTCTTTTTTTCCCTTGGACGCTAAGTGTTCTTAACAGCTTAAAAAGGGACCTCATATGGTTAATTCAGAGCATGACAATATTCCTTCTTCAAAGCTCAGGCAATGCCACCACCTCATATCTATAAAGTACATCACAGTTTAAAGCGGATTTCCCTCCACGTTCATTTTCAAAGCGAACCAATACACGGGGTAGGTACGTTTTCTGGTGCTCCACAGCCACCCATACCAACCTTTGACTTGGTTTGGAAATTCCCAAGGGTTAGGGCTCAGACAGGCAGAAGGCCAGCTCTACCTGCAGAGCTGACCTGGACAAGTGTCTCCGTGCGGAAGGATCCCCCCCGCCGCCCCGCCCCAGAAGGACCTGCAACCTCGACAGGGCAACCCGGGGACACCCCGCATCATCTAATGAACTTGGGGGAGATGACTCCGGGCATTTCACAACTTCCCACCGTCGCAACACTCACAACAGAGCCCCTGGGCGTTAACTCCCTTCTCTCGTTTTAAAAAAGTTACAAAGTAAAAACAGACACCACCAACGGCTTTCCCTAGACTGCAGGGCCGCAACCGGGCTAAGCTCGCCCAGGGCCAACAAACGCTGAGCTCTCCACCCGGGCCGGCAAGGCCTCCCGTAAAAGGAGCGGAGGCAGAGGGAGGGCCACGGGGGAGCCGGCCCTGCACTTCGAGGCCCGGGCCAGGGCCCGCCCGAGGCGTCCGGCCACCAGGTCACGGACATGGCGGGCACACGGGAGAGGGAAGCCAAGGCCGCAGGACCGGGACCGGGTGACAGGTTTATTGCCCTCAGTGAGCAAGTTGAGTTTCTCATCACCCTCCCGCCCCCAAGTCTACACGCGCATCCCTTCCTCGCCCCTTCGCGTACCTGACACACACACGCGCGAAATCCCGCGTAGTCCGAGCGCTCCCCGACCTGCAGAGGCCGGTCCCCGAGCTCGGACTCCTTTTCGCGCCGATCAAACAAGTACACCGTCCTGTGGCCGACGCCTCCGCCATCCTCCTCAGTCCCCACAGAGGCCCCACCAGGCCCGCCGCCGTCCGCCGCTGCCATATTGGGGAAAAGGAGAAAAGACAGCGACGCCTGCCGCCGCCGGGCTCAGGGCTGAGGTGCGCGCTCCGCGCGGCGCCTTCAGCTCCAGCTCCCGGGGCGGCTCGAGGCCTCGGCCCGGCGCGCTGCAGCTCCTCGTCAGCGGCGGCGGCCGAGCAGCGGCAGGCGCGAGGATCACCCGGGAACCGATTCAAACGCGCTCCTGCCCGTGCACCACGTCACTTCCGCGGCCCGCCACTCCTGAGGAGAAGGGGACGCGCGGCGCGCTCCTCACCGGGCCCGGGCCCAGCGCCTATCGCCGCCCACGCGAGCCTCACGGTGCGACCCGCGACCAGCGCCGCCGCCGGGACTGTGGCGCAGGAGGAAGAGCGGTGGCGGGTGGCGGGCGGCGGGCGACAGCGAGGGGCGGGGCGAATCCAGCAGGCCGCGCGGGCAGGGGCGGGGCTTCGCCGCGCGCGCGCCCGGGGCCCGCCCCCTCGGCCCTCGCGAAGTTGGAAGGAGGCTGAGTCTTTCGCGGCTGCCTGCGCCCTGCGGGTAGTCCTCAGAGGCCGAGGCGGGAGAGCAGGGCTCGGGGGCAGCGGGGGAATCTCCCGAAGAGCTGTGTTCTCTCTGTGGAAAGGGCCCCGCTGCCTTCCCGCCTCTCCAGGATCCCGACTGAGCTTGTAGGTGCCGCGCCGGCTGACTGAGCCCTCTCTGGCTGGGTCGCGTGGACGCGGCGGCGGGAAGCTTCAGGCCGGCGGTACTCGCCGGGCGCAGAGTCCACCAAAGCGAGCACGTGGGTCCCTCTGCCGAGAAAATAGGCGCTACGAGAGCCGGCGCCCCTTTTTCCTCCTCATTTCTTAGTAGTACTGGGTGGGCTCCAGCGTGGGCCCCCGAGGCAAAGCGGGTCCGTGAGAACGTCAGAAGGGCGCTCTGTGACGTCACAGCGTCCCCGCCCCCCGCACCCTCTGGGGGCCCTGGAGCGCCGACGGCATTCGGGGTACGGGGGTGACTCCAGCGCCCTAGTTTTAACGCTGCCTGCGCTTCGCGGTCTCCCACGTGCGTGTAAATTCTGAAAGAACCCACGCCACAGTTACTAGGGTTAAATTAGATGTTCGCAAAATTCTTAAGGCCTAATACGTTTTCAATCAAAGCCTTTAATCGTCGTTACCGGGCAGCGTTTCATTAACTATCCTCATCGTGGGCAGGTAGTGCCCTAACTCAACAAATAAAATGCCATTGTTAGAGGACTAGGTTTACTCTCCAGTTCTTAGAAATCGTGAATACTGTATACTTGAGAGTGGTATGTAAATTCAGAAACCCAAAGGTAGCAGATAGAGGGGTTTTTCAAATCTCAGAATATAAGCCTGGATAATAGTGCGTTTTCTGTTTTACTAGGTTTGCTAAAACCTTATATGGACAGACTTACAAAGTTAGTGTTATGTTAGAAACCTAGATTTGCTTGTGGATGTCAAGACGTTTCAAGATCGTGGGGAATGTGTGTATAAATTGACTACACATATACTAGAGGTAGACACCAACTAGAACGAAATTGTGAAGGCGTGTTTGGGGAACATACATTGTTTGGCTGGAAGTGAGGAGAACTGAGCGGTAGATGGTGGAAGATAAAATTGGAAAGACATAAACTGTGGCCAAATGCCGTTCATGTTCCTTAAGGTGGAGGTGGAGGAAAAGAAAACAAAAAAGTAACCCCCGATTCTAATGGAATTTCTTTGAAGTCTGATGTTTTATTTACCTTTCAAATTCATGCGAATGTCTCATTCTATTCCTTTATATAGTGGTATTTGAGTTAAATGACTCAAAGAAAAACACAAATTGTTTTTCTAATTCTTAGTTAATGGGTAAGATGAATTGCCTCTCTACTTCAGCAAATTGAGATTAGAGCTGGAGATTCGTCATCAGGGCAATTTCTCATTTCTTTGTAATACCAGATTATACAAGCACACCTCTTTCATGTCTTTAGAAGAGATTTCAGGATCATCTCTAAGAGATTTTTTTTTTAATGGTGCCAGAGAAGTGTACTGCAGTATTATGGGCAGCTCTTGATGGGAACATTGATGTCTTACCTTGTTGAGAGATCGAGTCTGAATCAGTTTCTTAATGGCAGTATGGCATCACTTTTGTTCTCAGAATATCAAACAATTTTTTCATCAAAGAAAGATGACGAGTTTGTTCTTTATTTAATTGTCATCACAAGTAAATAAAAGCGTTTGAAATGACCCACTTCCTTAATGAGTTCTCTTCAATTGACTCTTAGTTTTTGTTAATTAGCTATCTTACTACAGAGTAAAATATTTAAGTGGCCTTGTATCAGTTATTTATTGCTACATAACGAACTTCCCCAAAACTTAGTGGCCCCTGAAGAAGTTCCCCATTCCCTTCTTCCTTGCATGTAGCTCAAGTTTGAGTCAGGCAGGATTTGAGATGCCACAGACCCAGACCAGGTGCAGCTCAGAGATGGTGAACGAGATGGTGAACAATAGCTCTTCATGTCTGCAATTAAAAATGGCCTCCAGTAAAACTACAGTCGTCCTTTGGTATCCTTGGGAAATTGGTTTCTGGACCGGGACCCCCATGGATAGGAAAATCCAAGGCTGCTCAAGTCCCTCATATAAAAGAGCGAAGTATTTGCATATAACCTACATACATCCTAGATTACTTATAATACCTAATGCAATATAAATGCTATGTAAATGGTTGTTATACTGTATTGTTTTTCATTTGTATTTTTTTGTTTTATTGTGATTTTAAAATATGTTCTATCCTCGGTTGATAGAATCCAGGAATGCGGAACCCGAGGATACTGAGGGCCACTGTACATTGCAAAAAAATGGGACAAAAGACTTAGTGGAAAGGGTATAAAAGCTGATGAAGCAGAGCCTGAGGATTTTGTGGTGGAAAAAGTACTACACCAAGGTGTGGTGAATGGGAAGGTGGAATATTCCCTGAAGCGGAAAGGATTTACACTTGCTGACAATAATTGAGAACCTGAAGAAAACTTAGATTTTCCTGAGTTCATTGAACTATTTCTTAATCCTCAAAAAAACTGGTAAAGGAAAAGATAGTACAAAAAGAAAATCTTTATCCGAGAGTGAATCTGATGACAGCAAATGAAAGGGATGCTGCTGAAAAACCAGGAGACTTTGCCAGAACTCTTGATCCTAAGCAAAGAATTGGTGCCACAGACTGCAGTGAAGAATTAATGTTTCTAATGGAATGCAAAGACTCAGACGAGGCTGACTTGGTGCTGGCAAAGAGGCAAACGCAAAGGGGCAAACACGAAGTGTCCTCAAATTGCAAATTATTTTTATGAAGAGAGACTAACTTGGCATTCCTGTCCAGAAAATGAAACTCAAAAATTGTTGCACTGCAGTATACTGCCATATAGTGTGTGTGTGTGTAAAACCTAGGTCTTGATTTTCTTATTAGTGTGAAATACTCTATTTTTAAAAAAATAGAGATAGAGTCTCACTATGTTGCCCAGGTTGGTCTCAAACTCTGGGCTCAAGTGATCCTCCTGCCTTGGCTTCCCAAAAGTGCTGGGACTACAGACGTGAGCCACCCTGCCTGGCCAGCTATTTTCTAATGAAATCTATTTTCTACTGCAAAATCTTGTTTTGAAGTAGAATCAAAAGAGTTTTTGGGGTTTGTTTGTTTTGGGTATTTGTTGGGGTTTTTTTCATCAATAGCACTTGTTACTTTTGAACAAGTAGGAAAAGCTTTCTGTAGCTGCTTCATTTACCAGAAAAGAATATTTGGTTCCATGGTATATTATTTCCTCTTTTCTAAATGTTGGGAACATTTTCCATAATCATTACTCAATCATAACTTGTGTTTAACCTATAATGCCTAAGGCTATTCTGAATTTTTGTTTGTTTGTGCATATGTAAATATACATGTACATAGTTGTGGTTTTGTTTTTTATTTTACATGAACTAAGAAATAGCATTTCACAATCATGGGTAAATTCAAGTTTTCTTCTGGAATGCCATCGTTCTAAGCAGCCCAAAGAATAGATCATCTTAAGTTAAAATTTTACCTAAAGCCACAATGTTTCAAATTGAATAATTTGTAATTAGTTGGCCAAGTTAAATACAATGTAAACAATTTAAATTGGACAATTTAAAGAAGCCAAATCAGAGCCGGGCACGGCGGCTCATGCCTGTAATCCCAGCACTTTGGGAGGCCAGGCGGGCGGATCACCTGAGGTTGGGAGTTCAAGACTAGCCTGACCAACATGGAGAAACCCCATCTCCACTAAAAATACAAAATTAGCTGGGCATGGTGGTGCATGCCTGTAATCTTAGCTACTTGGGAGGCTGAGGCAGGAAAATCACTTGAACCCAGGAGGCGGAGGTTGTGGTGAGCTGAGATTGCACCATTGCACTCCAGCCTGGGCAATAAGAGCAAAACTCCGTCTCAAAAAAAAAAAAAAAAAAAAGCCAGGTCAGAGTCCATAATGTCTATAGCTATAGTCATATAAAAGCAACAGTTTATTTGCAAAACCTTCTAAAAGGAGAAATTTTATCACCAACAACCTCTGCACTCAGATGAGGAAACCAGACAGATACTGATGTGGCTTTTTTTTTTTTTTTTTGAGACAGGGTCTTGTTATGTTGCCAAGGACGGTGTGCAGTGGTACAATTATAGCTAACTGCAGCCTTGAACTCCTGGGTTCAAGCAATCCTTCCGCCTCAGCCTCGCAAGTAGCTAGGACTACAGACATATGCCACCACACCCAGCTAATTTTAAAATTTCTTTGTAGAGACAGGGTCTTGCTTTCTTTTCCAAGCTGCTCTAACTCTTGGCCTTGAGCGATCCTTCCACCTCAGCCTCCCAAAGTGCTGGGATTGCAGACATAAACCACCACTCTCAGCCCAATACTGGTGTGTTTTAATTAGCCAAGCAAGGCTTAGCTAAGTGGGCATTTAAAGGTTCCTTCTAAAGAGCCATTTCTTTACAAAAAGTTGAAAATCTTATGCTATATTGGCCAAAAGGTCATAATTCATGGAATGTCTTTGCTCATGAAACTAAATAGATGGTTAGAGATGTTGCTGTTTGAGACCTGGTGGCATACATGGGTGAACAATTGCAATGTAAACTCTTGACTTGCATGCTTTTTCTTTACCTCAACCCATTCATTACATGTAGGCTCAATCATTTCACTATTTAGGTTACTGGTTCAGAAGAAGCCAGGAAAAACAATAACACTATAGTAATAAGAATGTTGTTACCTGAGTGTGTATTGCTTACTTTCTTGCAGATACTGCTGAATGGCGATCAATACGTAGCTTTATATTTTTAAAAATAAAAATAACTTAGTGGCTTAAAGAGGAATCATTTATTTGCTTGTGATCGACAATTTGGGCTAAGCTCAGCTGAAGAGATCTTCTGCTGGTCTCACTTGAGATCACTTCAACAGCTGCAATCACCTGGTAGCTTCACCAAGGCTGGATGGCTCACAATGGCCTCACTCACATGGCTGGCAATTAGCTAAGGCTGTTGGTTGGAGCGCATCAATTTTCCTCTAGTAGGCATCTCTAATAGCATAACTTGGCTTCTTACTTGGTTGTCACAGCGTTCCAAAAGAAAAGGCTCCAGTGTGCAAGTGCTTATGGAAGTTCTGCTTGCATCACATTTTCTTTTCTTTTTTTTTTTTTTTTTTTTTTTGAGACTGAGCCCCACCCTGTCACCCAGGCTGGAGTGCAGTGCGTGGTCTCAGCTCACTGCAGCCCCTGTCCCCTGAGTTCAAACAATTCTTCCACGTCAGCCTCCTTAGTAGCTGAGAGTATAGGTGCGCGCCACCACACCGGGCTAATTTTTCTATTTTTAGTAGAGATGACATTTCACCATGTTGGCCAGGCTGGTCTCCAACTCCTGACCTCAAGTGATCCACCTGCCTCGGCCTCCCAAAATGCTGGGATTACAGGTGTGAGCCACCGCACCCGGCCTGCATCACGTTTTCTAATGTCCCACTGGCCAAAGCTAGTCATGCAGCCAAGCCCCTGTGTGGTCCACTCCCACAATAGAGGTAGGCTTACAAAAATCCCGATATGGAGAATAGCACTGTATCTGTACATTGAGATGAGACAAGTTTGAAAAAATATTGCAGATATACGGTAGCTGGCAAAAAGAAGGAAAAGAAAAAGCAGTCTTGTTAGGATTTGCTGATGAGATTAAATTTCCCCCAAATAATAATACCTAGAAAATTGTGCTTGCTTTGGCAGCACATATACTAAAATGGGAATGATACAGAGAAGATTAGCATGGCCCCTGCACTAGGAAGACACACAAATTCGGGAAACATTCCACATTATAAAAAAATAAAAATACCTGGAAAATAAAGGGCAAGGGCTGGGCGTGGTGGCTCACGCCTGTAATCCCAGCACTTTGGGAGGCTGAGATGGGCAGATCACAAGTTCAAGAGATTGAGAGCATCCTGACCAACATGGTGAAACCCCGTCTGTACTAAAAATACAAAAATTAGCTGGGTGTGGTGGCGTGCTCCTGTAGTCCCAGTTACTCGGGAGAATCACTTGAACCTGCGAGGCAGAGGTTGCAGTGAGCTGAGATCGTGCCACTGCATTCCAGCCTGATGACAGAGCAAGACTCCGTCTCAAAAAAAAAAAAAAAAAAAAAAGAAGGGCAAGGAAAGTGATTTTGGGGGGTTATTTTTTATTTTGCCCATTTGTGGGGAATTCTACAGGATGAAAGTGATTTTTTTAATACCTCTATCTTCTCAAATTTATTTATTTTTATTATTTCTGGAGAGAGAAAAACAATTGTAGTGACATGAATTCAGGCTTTGCCAGTTAAAATACTTTCTGTAATATAATTTGTGACTTAGAGCCCCAAATCTACCAAACTGGTAGAGAACATTTTGGAGTTCCTTCATTCCCAGTTTTTGTTTGTTTGTTTTTGTTTTTGAGAAAGAGTCTCATTCCGTCTCTCAGGCTGGAGTGCAGTGTCAGGATCTCAGCTCACTGCAGCGTCTACTTTCTGGGCTCAAACCGTCTTCCCACCTCGGCCTCCTGAGTAGCTGGGACCATGGTCGTGCACCACCATGTCCGTCTAATTTTTGTATTTTTTGTAGAGATGGGTTTTCACCATGTTGTCCAGGCTGGTCTTAAACCCCTGAGCCCAAGTGAGCCACCCACCTCAGGCTACCAAAATGCTGGGATTACAGGCATGAGCCGCTGTGCCCAGACTCATTCCCAGTTTTAACAAGTTTGATGCTTCTGGGTGGTAGGGGTAGAGGCTCATCCATGTCTACAAGGCAACCTGTTTACATCTAGTGGCTTCCTGCTGCTTTTGTGCTGTTTAGGACATAAGCGCCATTTGCAAGGGTTATTTTTAATCCCATTTGCCTATATATACATATAGCTATTTTGGGGAGGGGGGAACCAGGCCATTTTACCACCCTACAGGGAATCTCTTTTTTAATCTGGATAGAATCCTTTGCCTTTCTCTTTCTTCAAGGCACTCTATCAATGCCTATAAATCCTTTTCTTGGTCAGGTACAGTGGCTCACGCCTGTAATCCCAGCACTTTGGGAGGCTGAAGTGGGCGGATCACCCGAGGTCAGAAATTTGAGACCAGCCTGGTCAACTTGGCGAACCCCGTCTCTACTAAAAATATAAAAATTAGCCGGTTGTGGTGGCGCACACCTGTAGTCCCAGCTAGTCGAGAGGCTGAGGCAGGAGAATCGCTTGAACTAGGGAGGCAGAGGTTGCGGTGAGCCAAGATCGCGCCACTGCACTCCTGCCTGAGCGACAGAGCAAGACTCCATCTCCAAAAAAAAAAAAAAAGTTTTTTGTTACCTGTTTGATTACACGTTAATTTTGATTGTAAAGCACTGATTATTTTTCCTTCAAAAATCCACGTAGTTAGGCCGGGGCGGGCGGATAACCTGCGGTCAGGGGTTCAAGACCAGTCTGACCAACATGGAGAAACTCTGTCTCTACTAAAAACATAAAATTAGCCGGGCGTGGTGGCACATGCCTGTAATCCCAGCTACTCCGGAGGCTGAGGCAGGAGAATCGCTTGAACCCAGAAGGCGGAGGTTGCAGTGAGCCGAGATCGCACAGTTGCACTCCAGCCTGGGCAGCAGTGCGAGACTCCGTCTCAAAAAAAAAAAAAAAAAAAAATACATGTAGTTGATTTTTTCCTTACATATGAAAAATGGTACTTAGAATTTATTGAGTTCTTAAACTGCCAGTACCTCTACAAACACTTTACATTTTCTTGTTCAGTCTGTTTCTACATTTTTATATCATGAAATATTTCATGCATACAAAAGAGTATACATAATCTAAACGTCTGTGAAAAGACAAACACATCTGTCTTAAAACCATTAACTTAAATAAAAGAGCATTATTGATGCTTTTAAAGACCCCAGTAAGCCCCTTCCAAAATGACATCTCTCTACTACTGAAGTATTCTCTATTCTGAAATTTGTAGGTATTTGTTTTCCTTCTGTTTGTAATAAATTATTTAGTTTTTGAGTTTTTGAACTATGTGTACATATATACATTCTTCTGCTCATTTTTTGTTCATCATATTTGTAAGATTCAATAATGTTGATGCAAGTTACTGTAGTTCATTCTTTTTTTATTCTGTTTTATTGTTATATAGTATTTCTTGATACGAGTACACCACTGTCTTTCCATTCTCCTATCAATGAACATTTAAATTATTTCCAGGTCTTTGGTTTCTTTATTTGCTTTTACTTTTTAGAAATCAAGCTTCTATGAGTATGTGTCTGTTGTATCATGATGTTCTTATGCAATGGATATAATATTGCATAGGTTATATATGAAATGTCATAGAATATGGCTAATTTACACACTTACCTGATAATGCCAAATTATTTTCCAGCAGTATAGAAGACCTGCTGCTCCACTACCTTGTCAACATGTAGGAGTGTTTTACTTTTGAAAATGTTTGTCAATCTGGTAGATGTGAAATAGTACCTCATTGTGGTTGTAATTTGCACCTACCTCATTATAAATGAGATTGAGGTTGGGTGTGGTGGATCACACCTGTAATCTCAGCACTCAGTCGAGGCAGGCAGATCAACTGAGGCTAGGTGTTCGAGACCAGCCTAGCCAACATGGCAAAACCCCGTCTCTACTAAAAATTCAAAAAATTAGCCAGCGTTCTGGCACCTGCCTGTAATCCCAGCTACTTGGGAGGCTGAGGCACGAAAGTTGCTTTAGTCTGGGAGGCGGAAGTTGCAGTAAGCCGAGATTACACCATTGCACTCCAGCCTGGATGACAGAGCAAGACTCTGTCTCAAAAAAAAAAAAAAAAAAAAAACAGATTGAGCACCTTTTCATACGTGTATTTCCTAATTGTGTTTCCTCTTCTATGAAATGCTTATTCATGGCTTGTGCCTTTTGTTGATGTTGTTGTTGTTTGAGACGGAGTCTGGCTCTGTGCCCAGGCTGGAGTGCAGTGGTGCAATCTTGGCTCACTGCAACTTCCGCCTCCCTGGTGCAAGCGATTCTCCTGCCTCAGCCTCCCGAGGAGCTGGGACTACAGGCACGTGCCACCACGCCCAGCTAATTTTGTATTTTTAGTAGAAAAATACGGGGTTTCACCATTTTGGCCAGGATGGTTTCAATCTCTTGACCTGATGATCCGCCCGCCTCGGCCTCCCAAAGTGTTGGGATTACAGGCGTGAGTGAGCCACCACACCTGGCCTTATTTTTTTTTTACACAGGGTCTTGCTCTGTTGCCTGGGCTGGAGTGCAGTGGCACAATCAGGCTCACTGCAGCCTCAGCCTCCTGGCTCAAGGTATTCTCCCACCTTAGCCTCCCAAGTAGCTGGGGCTACAGGTGCGGGCCACCACACCTGGCTAAATGTGCTGGTTTTTTGATGAAATTACTTGATTTTTTCCTATTGATTTTTTTAAAGTTCTCCACATATTGTGGAACTCAAATTTTGTTGGTTATGTCTATATAACATCTTTTCCCAGTTTGTGATTTGTAATTTCCCTTTCTTTGTGAGACCTTTTAATGAATGGTAGTTCTCGATCTTAGTATGTTTGAACTTATCAAATTCTTTCCATTATGATTTGTACTTTTTGGTCTCTAAGAATTCCTCTAATACAAAGGCATTTTCAAATTTTATTTTATTTTATTTATTTATTTATTTTCAGACGGAGTTTCACTCTCGTAGCCCAGGCTGGAGTGCAGTTTTGCGATCTCAGCTCACTGCAACCTCCACCTCCCGCGTTCAAGCGATTCTCCTGCCTCAGCCTCCCAAGTAGCTGGGATTACAGGCACCAGCCACCACGCCCAGCTAATTTTTGTATTTTTAATAGAGATGGGGTTTCACCACGTTGGCTCGACTTGTCTGGAACTCCTGACCTCAGGTGATCCACCCACCTCAGCCTCCCAGGGTGCTGGGATTACAGTTATGAGCCACCGTACCTGGCCTCAAATTTTATTTTTGAAGTTTAAAATTTTTCTATTAAAAACACTTAATGGCCAGGCATGGTGGCTCATGCCTGTAATCCCAGCACTTTGGGAGGCCAAGGAGGGCAGATCACCTGAGATCAGGAATTCGACATCAGCCTGGCCAACATGGCGAAACCCCGTCTCTACTAAAAATACAAAAATAGCTGGTCGTGGTGGCACACGCCTGTAGTCCCAGCTAGTCAAGAGGCTGAGGCAGGAGAATCACGTGAACCTGGGAGGCAGAAGTTGCAGTGAACCGAGATCGTGCCACTGCACTCCAGCCTGGGTGACAGAGACAGACTCCGTTTAAAAAAAAAAAAACAATTAGTCCTTAAATTGTGCAAAGTTGATTTTTATGTATTATACTAAAAGGGGCTCCAACTCCTTTTTTTTTTCAAATTGTCTGATCATCATTTATTGAATAGTTTATCCTTCCCCTGCTGTATTATGTGTGACGTACTGTTACATACCAAGTTTCCATAAATGCATGCCTCTGTTCCTGGATTGTCTAGCCTGTTTGTTGGTCAATTTTTCACCCTCTCTACTAATACTACACTTCCTTAATTACTCTAGCTGTATTATATTTTGATGTCCACTGGAGCAAACCACCTCATCTTATTCCTTTTCCGGAGTGTCATGTAGTTGGTTTTGCTTTGTTTTTTTTTTTTTATGCCATTGCTGCCTTAAAGATATGTGGTTGTTTTTTAGGTATCACTTGTGATAATTTCCTCCTCTTTTTGCTCAGTGCTTTCTCACACAAGAGACACTTAGAATTATGGTCAACTGTGTTTCCATAATAGTAATACCTGAGGTTCAGTAAAAACCTGAGTACATCATAAGCTTTCTAAATTGACTAGTATTGCTTTGTAAATTGCTTACCAAATGCTTAGTTGTGGTTGGAAAGCTGCTGTTTATTTCCACATCAACCTCATTATCAGATCCCACAACCCTTGATATTTCATACTGTTCATAATTACCCTG
Source organism: Homo sapiens (assembly GCF_000001405.40). Classification (NCBI taxonomy): domain Eukaryota; kingdom Metazoa; phylum Chordata; class Mammalia; order Primates; family Hominidae; genus Homo; species Homo sapiens. The sequence goes on along the minus strand of NC_000018.10, from coordinate 2,644,633 downwards.
TGCATTCTGATTCAATTACAGCGCTAATAGACCAGGTTCCCTAACAACACAGAAAGACCAACTTTTTAAATCACTCACTGCTTATAGAAAATTTTCTCCTTCTTGGCTTTTCATGGGTTTCACCCAACTGAACTAAATAGGAAAACATGATTCTGCTAATTTCACTTGCATGTATACACACATGTGGCAGAAATTTTCAAGACAAATAAAATTGGGAACTTCTCCCCTGGCCCCAGGTTCTATAAGTAAAATTGACTCTCTGGATTAGAAAAATGTATGGCTTTATCCTGTGATTTCCTCACCCCCTTGTATCCCAAATTGAGAAGCATGGCTCTTGGCAGTCAGAAGCAATAAAAAATTTTTATAAGTGGGTATGGCATAATAAGATCTATCCTAAAAATAAAACTCTGGCAAGAGTGGAAAGAAGGGACACCATTTTGTGCATACTTTATACCTTAGTTAGATGATAAAGTGACAGTTACGAAAGATCTATCATCATTCATCCATTCAGCAAACACATATTGTGTAGAAATTGAGATAACAAATAGAAGTCTCTATCTTCATGGTGCTTACATTCTATAGGGGGAGACAGAAAAAAATGAACAAATATACAGAATGTCAGATGGAGATCAATGTGCTGTGGTGAAAAATTAAGGATGCAGAGTGCTAGGGGCTGGATGGTCACACTTTGATATAAAGTCAGAGAAGATCTCTCTGATAAGGTGACATTGTTAAGACATCTTTCTTAAGTTGAGCAGAAAGCTAAAGGAAGTAAAGGAGCAAGTTGTGTAACGATCTAGGAGACAAGTGTTCCTGGCAGAGGGAAAAACAAGTGCAAAGATCAGAGTTTTGGCAGGATGATATGATATAGTTACAGAGGGGGCGATCAGAGAGATCAATGGGGAAGAGTGGGAATTATGGGAAGAAAAGATCATGCAGGGCCTTGGAGGCCATTGTGATAACTTTGGCATTCACCTCAAACGACATGGGATGTGTTGGAAGACTTGGAGTAGAGGTGTGTTATGGTCTGAAATATTTTTACAGAGAACTACTCTGACTGCTCTATTGAAGATACACTGTCAGGGGCCAAATGCAGAGGCCAGCCTACCTGTTAAGAACTGATTCAATAATCCAGGCACAAGATAGCGAGGACATGAGCTGGGCTGGCAGTGGTGGAGCTGAGCAGAAGGGGTCAGATTTTTAAGGCGCAACTGACAGATGCATTAATGGATCAAATGCGGGGTATATGAAAAAGATAGTAGTTAAGCCAGTCTCCAAAATCTGTGGCTCCCGGGGAAGTATTGTGCATACTTGCATGTTTTTGGCTGTCCAGCATCTCAGTCCCTTCTGATGTTTGGGGGATTCCCCATCATATAAATCTGAGGGGCAGACAGAGCCCACCTCCCACTGAAGGAGGCCAGATGCTCCTTTTTCCCGTCTCCCCTGCAGTCGAGATGTATGCACATGAATAGGACTCAGTCTGTCAGAGATTGATGGGGCAGCAGCACCAGTATCCAGTTTGTGGAGGCAACAGAGGCACATGTACCTTAGGGTGGAATAGTGTTAGCTGTGCAAGGGACAGGTAGCAGTGGTATCCCCATGGAACCAGTTCATGATTTTAGCTATGCTTCTGACTATGTAGCTTTCAAGTCAGATTGGCCAAACTCCCAGCAAAGCCACAGGCTACCCAATTTCCTAGCCACAAATAATATTTCTACTTTTAAAGGAACCAGAGGTGGTTTCTTTTCCTTGTAACTAAAAACCCTGATTTATCCACCAAGGACTGACATTCTACTGTGAATGTTGTCATAATAATAACTGTCATTCATTGAGTGAGCAAGGCACTTATTTCAACGAATTCTGTTAGATGAATATTGCTGTTTGAGAAGTGAGGACACTGAGATGTAAAGGACAAATCATCAGGCCAGGCACAGTGGCTCATGCCTGGAATCCCAGCACTTTGGGAGGCTGAGGTGGGCGGATCACTTAATCTCAGGAGTTCGAGACCAGCCTGGCCAACGTGGCGAAACCCCGTCTCTACTAAAAATACAAAAATTAGCTGGGCGTGGTGGCTCATGCCTGTAACCCCATCTTCTTTGGGGGCTGAGGCAGGAGCATCACTTGAGCCTGGGAGATGGAGGTTGCAGTGAGCCAAGATTGCGCCACTGCACTCCAGCCTGGCGACAGAGTGAGACTCCGTCTCAAAAAAAAAAAAAAAAAGGAAATCTAAGTTTATTTGGCTCCAAAGCTTGGACACTACAAATAACCTCATCCGGGGTTCATAAAATATGAACTCAGCCATTTTTACATTAATTCAGCTTTCTCTATGTCTTATATATGTATTCACAACAAATTCTCAACTTTCCTTGAAATCCTCTGAAACTATGTATAGGACTTAATGCTGAAATATTAAGATATATCATTGTTTTGAAAAAATTATCATAGTCTGATGAGGGCCATAAATCAAGTTCAAAATAAATTCTAATGTTTGTTAGTATTGTTTGAAATTTGGGCAAAATTAGTTAAGTTTTTTCTGAATTTCAGTTTTAATAGACCTTGTTTTGGTCAATTAGAAGTTGGAGGCAAAGTGCTTTATCAGTAAATATACTGAGCTCCTTCTCAGATGGTATCTATTACCAGAAACATTAAATACTGTGGTTGATTGAAACACCTATTTTCATGCTATTTTAAATAATTAAACAGCTATAGTTCCCCAAGGATGAGGGATTTCAATATTTGAAACATGCTGCTGGAAAATAACGTGATGCTTGCCAGCAAGAGATGTGACTATGAAGAAATGAAACTGATTATCAGAAAAGAAACCGAAACTGTGGTTTGTGAGCCTAGAGAAGCACTCAGAGGAGGGGTGTGTTATAATATTTTTATTTGCAGAGCATTAAAGAGGCAACATGGTGTTAGGGACAAGTAAATTGATCTGGGAGTGAGGACTTGTGCTCCCAGGTGCCAAACCTAATCCCTTTCTAGCTAGCTATGCAACAAAGGGCAATTCAATGAGCACTGAACACAAGATTAAAAAGACAGATTAAAAATAAAAAAAAAAACAGGCAAAAAACAGAAATAACTGTGACACTTTATTAGAAGTATTCATTCATTGGCCGGGCACAGTGGCTCACACCTGTAATCCCAGCACTTTGGGAGGCTGAGGTGGGTGGACCACGAGGTCAGAAGTTCAAGACCAGCCTGGCCAACGTGGTGAAACCCCATCTTTACTAAAAATACAAAAATTAGCCAGGTGTGGTGGCAGGTGCCTGTAATCCCAGCTACTCAGGAGGCTGAGGCAGAGAATTGCTTGAACCCGGGAGACAGAGGTTGCAGTGAGCCGAGATCGTGCCACTGCACTCCAGCCTGGGTAACAGAACAAGACTCTGTATTAAAAAAAAAAAAAAGTGAGCAGAGGTAGGAATCACAGATGACTCCCAAGTTTAGGGTTTAGGTCACTGGGTAGATGATGATGCTTTCATTGAGCTGGGGGAGAGAAGTGCTATTACTGCAATAGAAGGGATTCCCAAGAGCACAGTACAAAGGCTTGGAAGAGAGTGCCACAGAGATCCTCAGGAGACTTCCGCATTTAGAAGAGGAAAGAGATTCTCATAATGAAAATAATAAGTATATAAGGTAATGCATATGGTAATTAGCTTGATTTACCCACTCCAGTAGGGTATGTATATATATTTTGAAACATCCTGTTGTACACAGTAAATATATACAATTTTTATTTGTCAGTTTAAAAATATGTATTATTTTAAAAAGCCTAATTCTACTCTGAAAATTAAAAACAGAAGAAAAAGAGACCAGGAAAGAGAAACTTAACTTGCTGTCAGTATAAGGGTGTCAGACTTCTTTCTGATGAAGCCAGAAAGAGTGGCTCAGCAAATTGAAAACACAAGTATTCAAATGGAAAGAAAGACAAAATTATCAGGGCACTAAATTTATATCAGCCTGTTGAAGGTGAGGAAAAAAGCCACTTACTCATACAGGTATCATATATGCAAAAATCATTCATGTTGGCCAGGCATGGTGGCTCACAACTGTAAACCCAGCACTTTGGAAGGCTAAAATGGGTGGATCACTTGAGCCTAGGAGTTCAAGACCAGCCTGGGCAACATGGCAAAACCCCTTCTCTATAACCCAGTACAAACGTTAGCCAGGTATGGTGGCACACACCTGTAGTCTCAGCTACTGAGATGACAGGATCGCTTGAGCCCAGGAGGTCGAGGCTGCAGTGAGCCATGATTGTGCCACCGCACTCCAGCCTAAGTGACAGAGTGAGACCCTGTCTCCAAAAAATTAAAAAAAAAAAAAGAAAAAGATCATTCATATCAGCATAGCAAAAGTCAGGGACAGCATTATTTAGAGAATCCAGGCTCACTGCAAATTTTTTAGAGTTTATTATTTTGGAGACCAGAACCAGTCAGGATGACCCTATTCTTTTAAGTTTTTCTTGAGAATGTGAAGTGGTTTGATTTTGTTCCTATCTATAGTATGTGATGTGCTTAATCATACTGGAAGCAGAACAAAGCGTGAGTTTTGCTTCTATAGGAGATTAGCAATGGCATAAGGCATATGGAGGGAAGGAAAAGAGAGAGGGAAGGAGGGACTGACCATACAGAGACATAGAGTAGGGTGTGCATGGCACGCATGTGTGACAAAGAGCAAGTATAAATTATTATTGGGGCTCCTGTGTGTCTGTGTCATCACTCAGGTGTCCAGGCCTCATTAGGCCACACAGCAGACTGATCAGCAATTCCCAACCTTTCATTTGGGTTCCACATGAAATACTGATGAGGAGTCTTTGTAGAACTTGGAGAAGGTAGAACTGAAACTCAAGGGAGATCCTACTAAAATGGTTACAGGAGGTATTGTCTAGTTCAAAGAAGGTCACTTTCGTAAGGATTTAACGGTAGTCCAAGATGAAAACCTCAGGCTTCATCTGTTGTCAAATAATACATAAGGTATTTCTAGGCTTCTCCAGAGAGAAAGAGTCAAAGTCTGCAGGAAATCGCTAGCTCCTGCAATATCAATCAAATTAAAACTATACAATTGGCAATAGATGGGGAATTTACACATGTTACACATGGGCTCTGTAGAATAGCTAGACTTTGAAGCCCCGATCTTCCCTTTGGGGTCCCTTTCTATTGCTATCACTGCCAGCTCCTTTTTGGTAAATCCTATTACTTTTTTTTTTGTGGTTGGGAGAGGATCTCACTCTGTCGCCCAGGCTGGAGTATAGCGGTGCAATCACAGCTCACTGCAGCCTCCACCTCCCTGAGCTCAGGAGATTCTCTCACCTCAGCCTCCCTAGTAGCCGGAACTACAGGTGCCCACCACTATGCCTGGCTAATTTTTGTATTTTTTGTAGAGACAGGATTTTGCCATGTTGCCCAGGCTAATCTCGAACTCCTGACCTCAGGTCAGGAGGCCGATGCATTTGCCTCGGCTTCCCAAAGTGCTGGGATTACAGGACTGAGCCACCACGCCCGGCCACTATCACCTTTTATGAACATACGTCCCCACCTTAATTCCTGGCAGCATAGTAGAGACTTTGCTGGTGTTCAGACTATAGTATGTGTAAGAATAACCTGTACTGTGTGTTTAAAATACAAATTCCTAGGTTCCACACCCAGATATTAATATTTTGAATCAGTCAAATATGAGACTGAGAATGTATATTTTTAACAACTTTCATGTGGTTCTGACAGAGATAGTTCAAACACCACATTTTGAGAAACACTGAACCAAATGGGACAAAAAAGGTGATGGATATAGAAAAGAATATATTGAAGCCAATCTGAAAAGGCTACATACTGAATGATGTCAAGTATATGACATTTCTGGAAAAGGCAAAACTATGGAGACAGGAAAATGATCAGTGGTTGCCCAAGGGCTGCGAAGAGGAGGGATGGGCAGGCAAAACACAGAGGATTTTTAGGGCAGTTAAATTATTCTGTCTGATACCATAGTGGTGAATACATGTCACTTATACATTTGTCCAAACCCAAAGAATGTGCAACATGAAGAGTGAACCCTTATGTAAACTACGGACATTCCGTGGTTATGATGTATCTGCATAGATTCCCTCATTGTAACACATGCTGCTCTCTGGTGGGCAATGTTGAAAACCAGGGAGCTGGCATGTGTGGGGGCAGGAGGTACCTTTCTTTCCATTTTGCTGTGAACCTAAAACTGTTCTAAAAACATAGTCTCTCGCTCTCTGTTTTTTTTTTTTTAGACGGAGTCTCGCTCTGTCGCCCAGGCTGGAGTGCAGTGGCTCCATCTCGGCTCACTGCAAGCTCCGCCTCCCGGGTTCACGCCATTCTCCTGCCTCAGCCTCCGGAGTAGCTGGGACTACAGGCGCCCGCCACCACGCCCGGCTAATTTTTGTATTTTTAGTAGAGACGGGGTTTCACCGTGTTAGCCAGGATGGTCTTTATCTCCTGACCTCGTGATCCACCTGCCTCGGCCTCCCAAAGTGCTGGGATTACAGGTGTGAGCCACCACGCCCGGGCTAAATTTCTGTTTCTTATCTAAGTTTCACTTTCTTTAGAGAGAAATAATCTCTTCTCTAAAACTATATTACTCATCCTCCCCTTACAAGGCAATTGGCCGGTTCTAGAGTTAGAATGCAGCATCCCCACACAAGATACACAGATCCTATAGCACACAGGTCATTAGCCATCCATAACCATATCAATTATGAAAAATAAGGACACTTTTTGTCACATTCCTCAAAATGTGTATTTTTCAGTTCTAAATATCCCTATTAATAGTTAATTTAAGTCCGGGCACGATGGCTCACGCCTGTAATCTCAGCACTTCGGGAGGCTGAGGCGGGCAGATCACTTGAGGTCAGGAGTTTGAGACCAGTCTGGCCAACATGGCGAAACCCTGTCTCAACTAAAAATACAAAAATTAGGTGGGCGTGGTGGCACGCACCCGTAATGCCAGCTACTCGGGAGGCTGAGGCAGGAGAATCACTTGAACTGGGGAAGTGGAGGTTGCAGTGAGCTGAGATTGTGCCATTGCACTCCAGCCTGGGCGACAGAGGGAGACTCCTGGCAAAAAAAAAAAAAAAAAAAAAGGTTAATTCAAGCTGACACTTGCCAAGCCTGGGTCAGTTCCTCCTCACAGAATGTACTCTGGCTTGACGTGAATCTGACTTCTATAATTGCCCCCTGCTGTCCTGTGGTACATAACTCTTGATACTTCTGAGATGTGATTTAGAAAATGAATACTTCTCCAAAGGAAACAATAAATTTGCAGAGATAAAACTGCCTAAATCATGCTGAATATGTTGCACAAGGAGAACCAAGCCCTCCCCATTCCCAATCATATGTATAGGAAATGTAGACTTTTTCAAGGCAGTCAGCAGGAACAAAATATGCGCAAAGACTCTGTTTTCATGTTTTTGTACTTTAGTTTTGTATTAGATATTTCCTGCTTCTACAGCTGTTGGGTGTGTCCCTCCTCCTGTTCCGGTGATGTAAACCTAAAAAAAAAAAAAAAAAAAAAAGAAAGCTTCTCAAAAAAGAATAAAGAAGTAAACACACACACACACACACACACACACACACACACACAAACACTGAACATTTTAGATTCCCTGTTATGTCAACCCTTTTCATTTTAGAGAATGTTTTTGCCTCACATGTGCAAAACTAAATCTATCCAACCTTGTTGCTTTTTCAGAAGAAAAGGAAGTATACACTTGTGTATTGTCTCCAGCTTTGCTAGCCTAAGAGAAACTAACTGCTTGTAACTCAAAGCCAAATCCTCAAGGTGTTCTAGCTCAAAGCCAACCACAACAGGAAGGGGAAGTACACAATATCTTACACTTTATATAATTTTGCTGTTCTCTCCTCACGTCCCTACGTCTCTCACACATCTCTAAATCTTCTTACAGGGCACAGCATCCTTGGAAATGCAGGAAACAGCTTCTGGATATCTGATGCAGGGCTCCCCTTAGATTTTTCACAGCGGCCGAGCAGCCTCCTATCTCCATACAAGTCGAAGTCCCCATTTTCCTCTGCTGTGGTTGAAATTTTCACAGAGTGCTCCTCTGGAACTACAGTCCTACTGAGCCTTTTCTATGGCCTTCTATGCAGTTACTTTCCCCAAACAGGACCCTTAATTCTAATCAGAGCTTGAGAAACTCTGCCAGCAGTCAGACTGTGATAAACAATGTTTTCGACAGGACACAGAAAGGCCAACAGAACAATGTTTCTAACCAAACATAATTAATGCTGTACCGTAGTTGGAAAAAAAAAGACTAACCATTCCTTCTTAGAATCACCGAACAAAGGCCAAACCCTATAAAAAGCCCCTCCCTGGCTGGGCACGGTGGCTCACGCCTGTTATCTCAGCACTTTGGGAGGCCAAGGCGGGCAGATCACTTGAGGTCAGGAGTTTGAGACCAGCCTGACCACATGGTGAAATCCTGTCACTACGAAAAATACAAAAATTAGCTGGGCGTGGTGGCATGCACCTGTAATCCCAGCTACTCGGGAGGCTGAGGCAGGAGAATTGTTTGAACCTGGGAGGCGGAGGTTGCAGTGAACTGAGATCACGCCACTGCACTCCAGACTGGGCAACAGAGGGACTCCGTCTCGGGAAAAAAAAAAAAAAAGCCCCTCCTTGCTCCATGTTTCTGAGATATCCCATGACCAGTTCCTCCTCACTACAGCAAGTACAGTCATGCAACTATTTTCTGTAGGTAAGACCTGTGGTCTTTTCTTTGGTTGGTGAGCTTTAACTGGCTTTTATTATCTCTGGGTGGCATTTTCAATTCTCAGAGTGATTGTCCCATAGAATTGAAGTCTCCTAACCCTCCCTTCCCCTAGAAGCCGCATTCTAATCAGGGCTTGAGAAACTCTGCCAGCAGTTAGGCTGTGATAAACAATGTTTTCAACAGGACACAGAAAGGCCAACAGAACAATGTTTCTAACCAAACATAATTAATGCTAAACTATAGTATAGCATCCCCTGCCCCACCACACCACACCCTTGCTTACTATACCTACTTGATGGAACTCCCCAAGTTCCTTCTCTTTGCCCCAGGATAGAGGTTGCCTTAAGGAAAGACATCAGGATAATGCTGTTCTTGGCTCCCGGTTACCCAGTGACTCCTTCCTTTCCATGCACAGATTGAGAGCATCCACTGCCGGGCGACTTTTTTGTCTGTCCTACTCGTCACCCTCCATCAGGGGATTTTGGTGGAAGTGCCAGCCTTTCCCAGCCCTTTCCAGGCCTCTACAGCCAGTTCTGTTTCTAGCCTGACTCAGTTCCACATCTTTCCTCCCTCTCCTGAAAATGGACAATTTTGAGTAACCAACTGTTTGACTTCTCCATATCTCTCTTCCAGGATGTGAGGCATGAAGATGCGGGTGTGAGAGTAGATCTAAAATTCATTTTCAAGGATCCAAATAACTTGGCCCTTGACCCTCCTGGTGCCTAGAAAACCAACTCTCTCCAATAGACCTACTCTCATCTTCCCTACTCCAAAGCTGTCAGATACCTAGGGAATCCGTTTTACAACCATTTCATTGGTCTCCCAGCATTTTGATGGAATTTTGCATTGTTTATCTTTGTGAACAATATACTTCTCTTAAGTGCCTGGGCAACTAACTTAGTCTCTAATTTGTAGAGAGTAGAACCTCTTCCTACTTCTAAGGCTGAAAGATAAAAAGGGAGTAATTTTCCCCACCATTCCATCCCTCTGCTGGGACACTGGTCTAGTTTGTATCCTCTTCGAGTTCCCTAGGGTGGAACCATGTCTTCTAGCAAACAGACTGGCTTCTTCAGCACTGATGTTTTCCTCTTTTCTCAGGAGTGGAAAGAGCTGTCGATGGAGGGCTACCCATTACCCTCCCCTCCTCCACAAAGGAGCTGTCACCTCCCCTTAATAGGCAAACAACTCAGGGGCCATCCCCATTTGTTTCTTAAACCTGCAAGTTTCTGGTGGGTGGAGTCTCCTGCTTCAGAACAAATGATATCTTTCTCCCAAGTCAGAGGTCTCAAGGTATGTAGAGGAGAAAAGATTCCACTATGATAACCCTCTTACAGAATGTTGATGGGACTTGTCCCCCGCTCACTCAGTTGCTTGATATGAGGCATTTTACCCTCCCACCTTACCCACATATCTCCTGCCCCGCCACACCACACGCTTGCTTACTGTACCAACCCTTGGCAACTTCACTGACCAAAATTCCATGTAGTTTGCAGTTCCTTTTGCTCTAGTCACGTTACCATTTTGCACCATTCCTCAGCTTCTCGGAGAATTGCCTGACTGCATTAGTCCGTTTTCACACTGCTAATAAAGACATACCCGAGACTGGGAAGAAAAAGAGGTTTAGTTGGACTTACAGTTCCACATGGCTGGGGAGGCCTCAGAATCATGGCAGGAGGAGAAAGGCACTTCTTACATGGCGGTGGCAAGAGAAAATGAGGAAGAAGCAAAAGCAGAAACCCCTGATAAACCCATCAGATCCCGTGGGACTTATTAACTATCAGAAGAATAGCATGGGAAAGACCCCCCCCCCCACGATTCAATTACCTCCCCCTGGGTCCCACCCACAACACATGGGGATTCTGGGAGATAAAATTCAAGTTGAGATTTGGGTAGGGACACAGACAAACCATATCATTTTGCCCCTGGCCCCTCCAAATCTCATGTTCTCCCATTTCAAAACCAATGATGCCTTTCCAACAGTCCCCCAAAGTCTTAACTCATTTCAGCATTAACCCAGAAGTCCACAGTTGAGAGTCTCATCTGAGACAAGGCAAGTCCCTTCTGCCTATGAGCCTGTAAAATGAAAAGCAAGCTAGTTACTTTCTAGATATAATAGGGATACAGGCATTGGGTAAATACAGCCATTCCAAATAGAAGAAATTGGCCAAAACAAAGGGGTTGCAGGGCCCATGCAAGTCCAAAATCCGGGAAGCGGTCAAATTTTAAAGCTCCAAAATGATCTCCTTTGACTCCAGGTCTTACATCCAGGTCATACTGATGCAAGAGGTGGGTTCCCATGCTCTTAGGCAGCTCTGCCCCTGTGGCTTTGCAGGGTACAGCCTCCCTCCCACCTGCTTTCATGGGCTAGTGTTGAGTGTCTGCAGCTTTTCCAGGTGCATGGTGCAAGCTGTCGGTGGATCTACCATTCTGGGGTCTGGAGGATGGTGGCCCTCTTCTCACAGCTCCACTAGGCAGTTCCTCAGTAGGGACTCTGTGTGGGGGCTCCGACACCACATTTCCCTTCTGCATTGCCCTAGCAGAGGTTCTCCATGAGGGCCCCACCCCTGTAGCAAACTTCTGCCTTTGCTATGGCTATGCTATGCCTGGGTATCCAGGTGTTTCCATACATCTTCTATAATCTAGGCAGAGATTCCCAAACCTCAATTCCTGACTTCTGTGTACCTGCAGGCTCAACACCACGCAGAAGCTGCCAAGGTGTGGGACTTCCACCCTCTGAAGCCACAGCCCAAGCTGTACGTTGGCCCCTTTCAGCCATGGCTGGAGTGGCTGGGAACAGGGCACCAAGTCCCTAGACTGCACACTGCAGGTGGGCCCTGGACCCAGCCCACGAAACCACTTTTTCCTCTTGGGCCTCTGGGCCTACGATGGGGGAGGCTGCCGTGAAGTTCTCTGACATGGCCTGGAGACATTTTCCCCATGGTCTTAGGGATTAACATTAGGCTCCTTACTACTTACGCAAATTTCTGCAGCCGGCTTGCATTTTTCCCCAGAAAATGGGTTTTTCTTTTCTATTGCATAGTCAGGCTGCAAATTTTCCAAACTTTTATGCTCTGCTTCCCTTATAAAACTTAATGCCTTTAACAGAACTCAAGTCACCTCTTGAATGCTTTGCTGCTTAGAAATTTCTTCTGCCAGATATCATAAATCATCTTTCTTAAGTTCAAAGTTCCACAAATCTCTAGGGCAGGGGCAAAATGCTGCCAGTCTCTTTGCTAGAACATAACAAGAGTCACCTTCACTCCAGTTCCCAACAAGTTCCTCATCTCCACCTGAGACCACCTCAGCCTGGACCTTATTGTCCATATCGCTATCGGCATTTTTATCAAAGCTATTCAACAAGTCTCTAGGAGGTTCCAAACTTTCCCACATTTTTCTGTCTTCTTCTGAGCCCTCCAAATGGTTCCAACTTCTGTCTGTTACCCAGTTCCAAAGTTGCTTCCACATTTTGGGGTATCTTTTCAGCACTGCCCCACTCTATTGGTACCAATTTACTGTATTAGTCCATTTTCATGCTGCTGATAAAGACATATCCGAGACTGGGAAGAAAAAGAGGTTTAATTGGACTTACAGTTCCACATGGCTGGGGAGGCCTCAGGATCATGGTGGGAGGTGAAAGGCACTTCTTACATGGTGGTGGCAAGAGAAAACGAGGAAGAAGCAAAAGCAGAAACCCCTGATAAACCCATCAGATCTTGTGAGACTTATTAACTATCAGGAGAATAGCACGGGAAAGACCTGCCCCCATGATTCAATTAACCTCCCCCTGGGTCCCTTCCACAACACGTGGGAATTCTGGGAGAGAAAATTCAAGTTGAGACTTGAGTGCGGACACAGCCAAACCATATCACTGACTTCCTGAGTATCTTGCTAACTCCTATGTCCTCACAATCCTTTTTATTGATTTCAAGTTGTTTCCCTGGGAGATCTGCCTTTCTCCTGAATGGTTTGACCCCAAGTGACAACATATGAAGAAAAATCTAACAAATACCGATGAAAGCCAGCATGGTATAGTAGTTAAGAACTGAAGTCAGATTGCCTGAATTTGGATTTTGCCATTTACTAGAGAAGTTTGCCATTTGCTAGAAGAACTGGGTAGATATATTTAACCTTTCTGTTTCTCAGACTGTCAGTGATCAAGTAGATAAAAAATAAATAAATCACAGAAGAACTTAGTAATTGATAAGATAGATCTGGTTGATAACATGCCAATGTATACATCCTGAAATCTGAATATGCTTTCCTTTCCATTGCCCACGAACACTCACTAAAACTATTAGGCCATAAAGAAAAACCTCAGCAAGGTCCAAGCAGAATAGTGAAGACAGCATTCTGTGATTACAATGCAATACAACTAGGAATTCATAAAGTTTGGGGGTTGTGTGGGGTGGGAATTCCTTCTATGTGGAAATTCAAAACTATTTTAAACAGTTCTTACAGCAGAGAGAAACCACTAACTGAAACTGTAGAAAATGAATACACAGCACATAAAAAATGTGATATGCTACTAAAGTAGAAACCAGAGGAAAATTCATAGGTTTAAATACTTATTTTTTTAAAAGAATTAAGAATGTAATCAAAATTTAGGGGGAAAAACAACAAAATAAATGGAAGCAAAGCAGAAGGAGTGGGTTAGTAAAGAAAAAAGCAAACATTTAGTAAGATAGAGAACAGAAAGACAGAAGTGTTAAGTTAAAACAATTTTTTTTTTTTTTGAGACAGGGTCTCGCTCTGTCACCCAGGCCGGAGTGCAGTGGTGTGATCATGGCTCACTGCAGCCTCAAAGCCTCAATCTCCTGGGCTCGAGCGATCCTCCTACCTCATCCTCTGGAGTAGATGAGACCTCAGGCATGTACTGTCATACCTGGCTAATTTTTACTTATTTATTTTATTTAAATTTAATTAATTAATTAATTAATTTTGAGACGGAGTCTTGCTCTGTCGCCAGGCTGGAGTGCAGAGGCACGATCTCGGCTCACTGCAACCTCTGCCTCCCGGATTCAAGCGATTCTCCTGCCTCAGCCTCCCGAATAGCTGGGACTACAGGTGCACGTCACCATGCCCAGCTAATTTTTGTAATGTTAGTAGAGACGGGGTTTCACCATGTTGGCCAGGATGGTCTTGATCTCCTGACCTTGTGATCCACCTGCCTTGGCCTCCCAAAGTGCTGGGATTACAGGTGTGATAATTTTTTTTAAATTTTTTGTAGAGACAGGATATCACTATGTTGCCCAGGTTGGTCTTGAACTCCTGGGCTCAAACGATTCTCCCACCTCGGCCCCCCAAAGTGCTGGGATTACAGGTGTGAGCCACCACGCCTGGCCAAAAAAAGGCAATGTTTGGGGATGGGAAGCACAAATTCCCCAGTGGGTCATTCAGAGTGATGCTAATGGAGCCACTTTGGTTCTACTCCTCAGTTCCCATTCCCACATATCCTTCCTACTGGGGACACAGCTCCATAAAGAGTCTCTGATTTAATACACGTGTTGCAGCCTATGGAATGATTCCTTCAGAGAGTTTCCTGGAAGATGGCATTTCAGTTGCACCTTTGGATGTCTGTTCCAACATTCTAGAAGGCAAGTACATGATGTGACCAGTGGATCCCATGGTCATAGGTTCACTCCTGTATTTCCTTCACTAATCAAATGCTATGTGTATGGAATTCCATGTTTGTGGACCAGGCATTCCATGAACCCCAGGTAATGGTGAGGGTTGGGGCTCTACAGGCAGAAAAGGCAAACCCTTACTCAGAATAGTAATCCATCCTTGTGAGGATGAAGTGCTGGTCCTTCAAGAGTGGAAGAGGCCTCATGAGTCAACCTGCCACCAAATAGCCAGTTGGTTTCCTCAAAGGACAGTGCTGTATCTGGGGCTCAGTGTTGGTCCCTACTGCTGGGGAATATGGACATTTACAAGTAGCAGTAACTAGATCAGTTTTTGTGCGTGGAAGTTCTTGCTACAGGGCCTACACATGGCTTCCATCTCTGGTAGCATGGCCATTCCACCCACGTGCCTGTCACACCAGTTCTATCCATGTCAACTGCTGAGTGCTTTTGTCAGTGCCTCTTCCATTGTAGATGTTTTCTGGTGGGTGTTAACATGTGATACAAAATTCTTCACACTTTGTGCCCACTCCCATGTGTTCATACACATGGCTCTACCCCAGCCATGGCATAAGTTTTCTGTCATAAGTTTACTCTAGAACCCTAGAGATCCATCCCTGGAATTCCCTAGCATATCTTTGCCTACCACAGACACTGCCAACACGCTAAGGTCTCCAGCATTTTATGAAACAGGAAGCAGAGCTAATTGCACCATGGCTTGGACCTGCTGCAGGCCATTTTCCTGTTCCTGGCTCCACTCAAGGTGAACAGCCATGGCCTCTTGGCCAGCATATGGGCCAATATATACTCCTGGGTATAGAATATGTTTCTTCAGAAATCAAAGATGCCTACCAGGCATGGTGTTTCCTTTTTATGGTAGGGAATGCAAAACATAGCAATTTGTCTTTTACTTTGGAGTGATGCCCTGGTATGCCCCAACCACTGAACCCCTAAAAACAATGAAACAGTAGGTCTCTGAATCTTCCATAGGGTTTATCTCCAATCCTTTGGAGCATGTGTGTATGACTACCCAGTTCTTGGTTGTCCTGTCAATCAGCATGATGTCATCGACATAATGTATTGGTATATTGTCCAGGTGGTCTCGATATATTTGATATCCAGGTATCTTGATGTATTATGGCAGAAGACTTAACATAGCCTGTGACAAACACTGTAAATGACTATTAATGAATATTGTTGTCTGTCTCACAGTAATGCAGACTGTTCTATCTTTTAAAATCAGCCAGCATGGTAAGGAATATATTCACCAAATCAATGGTTATATACCACATGCTGAAGCCTTATTAATATGATCTAGTAGGCTGGGCATGATGGCTCACGCTTGTAATCCTAGCAGTTTGGGAGGCCAAAGCAGGCAGATCACTTAAGCCCAGGAGTTTTAGAGCAGCCTGGGCAACATGGTGAAACTCCATCTTGACAAAAAATACAAAACATTAGCTGGGTGTGATGGTGCATACCGGTAGTCCCAGCTACTTGGGTGGCTGAGGTGAGAGGATCACCTGAACCTGGGGAGGCTGAGGCTGAAGTGAGCCATGATCACATCACTGTATTCCAGCCTGGGTGACAGATTGAGACCCTATCTCAAAAAAAAAATTTTTTTGACACCATGTTTGGAGAAAAAAAAAAGGTGCTCTAGCACTGATAGCACATCTGGTATAGGAACTGGGAATGAGGCTACTACTGGGTTAGTCTGGGGTAGTCTCCATTTCCCAGGGCCCATTCACTTTCTGAAAGAGCCAGATTGGTAAATTAGATGGAGATATGACAGGGTTCATCACCCCTGAATCCTTTAAGTCTTTAATGATGGCGCTGATCTCTGCCTTCCTGGTATCTGATGTTATTTAATTTACTATCTTAGCCTAGCAGGCAGCTTCAGCAGTTTCCATAAGGCGTTCCTCATTATAATAGCTCTTATGCTACAGCCTAATGACCCAATGTGGGTGTACTCCAAATCCCAAGTATACCAATTTTCATTTTTGCAGTTTGGGTCAAGGAACTGGCCCTTGGGTGGGTCTACAGACCCAGTGGGTATACTATGAGCCAGGCCTCTTAGCCAAGACTCCTTGAACTACTTAGTTCTCACAAACCCTACTCTAATAGAGGGGTTGTGGGTGGTGCTGTTGGTCAATGACAACTCAGATCCTATGTCAAGTTGTCCTACAACTGTCTGTTAATACCCTTTGCAGTCTACAACCACCCAAGTACAGCCATGAGTCACCTAATGACAGGGATCTGTTCTGAGAAATGTGTCATTAGGTGATTTCATCATAGTGTGAATGTCATAGAGTGCACTTACACAAACCTAGTGGTATCACCTAGCTTTCACCCCTGAATCCTTTAAGTCTTCAATGTAGGTATCACCTACACACCTAGGCTACGTGGTATAGCCTGTGGATCCTGGGCTACAAACCTGTACAGCACATGACTGTACTGAGTACTGCAGGCAATTGTAACACAACGGTAAGTATCTGTAGTTAAATCTATCTAAACATAGAAAAGGTACAGTAAAAATATGGCATAAAAGATAAAAAACATGGTACACCTGTATAGGGCACTTACCATGAATGGAGCTTGCAGGACTGGAAGTTGCTCCGAGTGAGTTAGTGAGTGAGTGGTGAGTGAAAGGGAAGAGCCAGGATGCTACTGCACACTACTGTAGACTTTATGAACACTGTATACTTAGGCTACACTAGATTTATTAAAAATAATGTTCTTTCTTTGATAACAAATTAATCTTAGCTTGCTGTAACATTTTTACTTCATAAACTCAATTTAAAAAACTTTTTGGCTTTTCTAATAACACAGCTTAAAACACAAGCATTGTACAGCTGTACAAAAGTATTTTCTTTATATCCTTATTCTCTAAGCTTTTAACTATTTTATTTAAAAAAATTAAGCTTTTTTGTTAAAAACTAAGACAAAAACATGCACATTAGCTTAGGCTAATCATTAATATCACTGTCTTCCACCTCCACATCTTGTCCCACTGGAAGGTCTTCAGGGGCAATAACCTACATGGAGCTGTCATCTCCTAGGATAACAATGCCTTCTTCTGGATACCTCCTAAAGGACCTGCTGAGGCTGCTTTTCTTTTCTCATCTTTTAAAAATTTCAACTTTTATTTTAGATACAGAGGGTACATGTGCAGGTTTGTTACATGGGAATATTGTGTAATGCTGAGGTTTGGGTTATGGAGCCCATCACCCAGGTAATGAGCATAGTACCCAATAGGTATTTGTTCAACCCATGTCCCACTCCTTACCTCCGCTCTCTTGTAATCCACAGTGTCTGTTGTTCCTGTGTTTATGTCTATGTGTGCTCAATGTTTAGCTCCCCTTATGAGTGAGAACATGTGGTATTTGGTTTTCTGTTCCTGCCTTAATTTGCCTAGGATTATGACCTCTAACTGCATCCATGTTGCTGCAAAGGACATAATTTCATTCTTTTTTATGGCTGCATAGTATTCCACGGTGTATATGTACCATATTTTCTTTCTTTTCTTTTTTAGAGATGGAGTCTTGCTCTGTCACCCAGGCTGGAGTGCAGTGATGTGATCTCGGCTCACTGCAACCTTTGCCTCCCAGGTTCAAGTGATTCTCCTGCCTCAGCCTCCTGAGTAGCTGGGACTACAGGCATGTGCCACCACACTTGGCTAATTTTTTTTTTGTATTTTAGTAGAGATGGGGTTTCACCATGTTAGCCAGCATGGTCTCAGTCTCCTGACCTTGTGATCTTCCCGCCTCGGCCTCCCAAAGTGCTGGGATTATAGGCATGAGCCACCGCGCCCGGCCGATTTCATTCTTTTTTATGGCTGCATAGTATACCATGGTGTATATATACCATATTTTCTTTTTTCTTTTATTTTTGAGATGGAGTCTCACTCTGTCGCCCAGGCTGGAGTGCAGTGGTGCGATCTCAGCTCGCTGCCACCTCCGCCTGCCAGGTTCAAGCAATTCTCCTGCGTCAGCCTCCTGAGTAGCTGGGACTACAGGTGTGCGTCACTATGCCTGGCTAATTTTTTGTATTTTTAGTAGAGACAGGGTTTCACCATGTTGGCCAGGCTGGTCTCGAACTCCTGAACTCAGGCGATCCACCTCAGCCTCCTAAAGTGCCTCCCAAATTAGCCAGGCATGGTGGCGTGCACCTGTAGTCCCAGCTATGCAGGAGGCTGAGGCAAGAGAATTGCTTGAACCCAGGAGGCAGAGGTTGTAGTGAGAAGAGATCACACCACTGCACTACAGCCTGGGTGACAGAGCGAGACTGTCTCAAAAAAAAAAAACAAAAAAGAACTGGGGGAATTGCCACAGTATGCGCTTGCCATGGTGTTGTTAGGGTTTTTTTTCCTAGAAAGTCAGCTACATCTTCAGTCAGTGAGTTTCAGATCTGAAAATGGCTCAGATCTGGGAACTGAGCAAGAGATTGTGATTCTTTCATAGGAGTGACTGCCCTTAGGTCCGTGTTCCACCATTTTTGCTTTTTTCCCGCCACTCCAAAAAACACCCTTGTTCAGTATTTCTGTAAACTTAAAACTGCTCTAAAAATAATCTATTGATTTTTTTTAAAGATTTAAAAAACATCCTGCCCTTGTGGGATCAGTGTGATGTCCAGGCATTCTAGGTCTCTGGACTAAATTGTGACAGAGGGCAGGAGAGTTAACACAGCTCTGCCCCAGCTCTGCCCTTCTATTTTGCCCCTATGGGCACTATCCCTATTAACTACCTGCATAATTTCCTTCAGGTCAAGCCTCCCTTGAGAGCTTGTCTGGCCTTGCCCATCACTGTGGGCGGCCTCCCGGCCTTTGCTACTTCGGGGCTCCGTCATGCACGTGGATGTTAATGAGCTGCACTCTGCACCTGCCTCTCCCACCTCCCACAGCCTGCAGAGGAGACACCACTGAGCTTCCTGGTGATGCTGCAGCCCCTCTCACCAGGGCTGATGGCCTTGATGGGGTGTCCTCAAGGCCTTCCTGTGGAACATGGTCCTCTGGAGGGTCTTCTGGCTTTACATGATAGAGGCATTCCAGCATGCCCACTTCCCTCAGCCTTTCCATTTCTTCCTCTCCTCTCTGCCAGGGCAACTCAGCCATTTCCACCTCACTGAGAGCCATCATTTTACATGTGCTGTTATGAGTCACCTCAGTAGTGAGTTTGCCCCCATCCCCTGGGGTCCTTGCCATGGTGTTAAATCCTGTGTTCTGAAAAAGTGCCCCCAAGCCAGTGAATTCTTGCTTATCGAGATTTATGCTCTGGTCCTCATGATGAAGCACTCACGTAGTGTTGGATTAAAGCTGGAGATATCCATATGAACTCCTGGTTTTTAATATGTTGATACAGATAGAGATATAAATATAGATGTGTGTATGTACCTACATACTTCTATTTTCTCTTCTTTTTTCTTTTTAGACAGAGTCTCGCTCTGTTGGCCAGGCTGGGATGCAGTGGCTCGATCTCAGCTCATTGCAACCTCTGCCTCCTGGGTGCAAGCAATTCTTCTGCCTCAGCCTCCCCAGTAGCTGGGATTACAGGCACCCGCCACCATGCCTGGCTAATTTTTGTATTTTTAGTAGAGACGGGGTTTCACCATGTTGGCCAGGCTGGTCTCAAACTCCTGACCTCAGGTGATCTGCCTGCGTTAGCCTCCCAAAGTGCTGAGATTACAGGGGTGAGCCACTATGCCCAGCCTGCATACTTCTATTTTCTAGCTCTGTCCTTGGAGAGGGCCTGAAAGCAGTGGCGCCTTAGGAACAATGGGCACATATGTGCCCAGATTGTTTATTTTTATTTTTTTTGAGACAAGGTTTCGCTCTGTTGCCCAGGCTAGAGTGCAGTGGCACCATCGTAGCTCACTGAACCTCAATATCCCAGTATCAAGCTATCTTCACACTGCAGCCTCCTGAGTAGCTGAAACTACAGGAGCATGCCACCATCCTGGATAATTTTTTTTTTTTAAAGTGCAGATGAGGTCTCTATGTTGCCCAGGCTGGTCTCGAAGTCTTGGGCTCAGGTAATTCTCCTGCCTCAGCCTCCCAAAATGCTGGGATTACAGGCATCAGCCACTCTGTTTGACCCAGAGTTTGGTTTCTAAACATTATTGTCCACTAAAAGGAACCAGGGATTGTTGGAGGATTGGCTGATTCCAGGGGTGGGGCATGGACAATACAGGATGGGACTGGAACATCCTATTGTGTCAGAAATTAAGGAAATGCTCAAAGAATGATGGAGAAATGTCAAAAAAGGACACAGGAACCAGCCTGATGGGCTCCCGCTGGCCAAATCTGGGACGATTTAAACATAAAAATAAATAGTGATAGTTACAGATTACAACCCACTGATTGAAATAAGAATCCAGGCCGGGCGCAGTGGCTCACGCCTATAATCCCAGCACTTTTGGAGGCCGAGGTGGGCGGATCACCTGAGGTCAGGAGTTCGAGACCAGCCTGACCAATATGGAGAAACCCCATCTCTACTAAAAATACAAAAAAACTTTAGCCAGGCATGGTGGCATATGCCTGTAATCCCAGCTACTCGGGAGGCTGAGGCAGGAGAATTGCTTGAACCTGGGAGGCGGAGGTTGCAGTGAGCCAAGATTGCGCCATTGCACTCCAGCCTGGGCAACAAGAGCAAAACTCCATCTCAAAAAAAATAAAATGAAAATGAAATAAGAATCCATGGGTCCATACTGACATAAATGAATAAATGGTGGGGAAGGGAAAGTTCTCCCTTAAGTAGAATGCTAGTTAATAAGAAAGAATTATAGAAAGAATATAGAAATTTAAAAATCATTTTTTGGCATCCAATGCGTAATAATTCATTCAAGAGACACAGATGTTAAGTAAAAGCTTGATGAGAAATATTATATTTACATGGTCTCAAAGTATCCTCCTTGTGAGATACTTATTAATTACAAAGGTGAACATATTAACCTTACAGACACCACCACAATCAGCTGATTAAAGTTAACAACACCATGTACCTTCTGGTAGGATGCACTGAAAAGAATGTAACATCACTTCTGTGGATATCCTATCTAATCATGAGATCCATTAGGCGAAAATTGAGAAATATTCTATAAATGACTCTTCAAAAATACCAAGGTCATAAAAGTCAAAGTCAGAATGAGAAACTCATCCAGTTGTAAAGGAGATTAAATAGATTTGGGCCAGGTGCGGTGGCTCATGACTGTAATCCCAGCACTCTGGGAGGCCGAGGTGGGCAGATCACCTGAGGTCAGGAGTTCGAGACCAGCCTGGCCAACATGGTGAAGCCCCGTCCATACTAAACATACAAAAATCAGCTGGGCGTCATGGCATGTGTCTGTAATACCAGCTACTTGGGAGGCTGAGGCAGGAGAATCACTTGAACCCAGGAGGCGGAGGTTGCAGTGAGCCGAGATTGCACCATTGCACCCCAGCCTGGGTGAGAGTGAGATCCTGTCTCCAAAAATAAAATAAAATAAAATATAAAAATAAAGGAAAAGATTTGACAACTAAATGCAATGTGTGTACTGGGTTGGATCCTGCACCAGGAAAAAAAAATCCTAATAAAGAACATTTTGGGGTCAACGGGCAACATTTGAGTACTTTCTGTAGATTAGGTAGTAATGTACCAATATTAATCTCCTGATTTTGATAATTGTATTATGATTATATAAGATTGACATTGTTTTAAGGAAATATATACTGAATTATTTGAAGTTAAAAAGGTATCATGTCTGCAACTTACAGGTGAGTCAAGATAAGAGAAAAGGCTATGCACAGTAATGATGCCTTTAATCCTATCTCTTTGAGAGGTCGAGGCTAGAGGATCGCTTGAGTCTAGGATTTTTATTTATTTATTTATTTTGAGACGAAGTCTCGCTGTCGCCCAGGCTGGAGTGCAGTGGCATGATCTCTGCTCACTGCAAGCTCCGCCTCCGGGTTCACGCCATTCTCCTGCCTCAGCCTCCCGAGTAGCTGGGACTACAGTTGCCCGCCACCACACCCTGCTAATTTTTTGTATTTTTAGTAGAGACGGGGTTTCACCATGTTATCCAGGATGGTCTCGATCTCCTGACCTCGTGATCCGCCCGCCTCGGCCTCCCAAAGTGCAGGGATTACAGGCATGAGCCACCGCGCCCGGCCGAGTCTAGGATTTTGAGACCAGCCCAGGCAACATAGCTAGACTCTGTCTCTGCAAAAAAAAAAAATACAAAAATTAGCTGTATGTGGTGGTGCACACCTGTAGTTCCAGCTACCCAAAAGGCTGAGGCAGGAGGATTACATGAACCCAGGAGTTCGAGGCTGCAGTGAACCATGATCACACCATTGCATTCCAGCCAGAGCGATAGAGCAAGACCCTATCTCTAAAACAGATATTAATAAATAAATAGAAAGGAGAGGAGCGAGAATGATAAATAAATGTTTGTAGTGAAATATTAGCAAGAGAATTTGTATGAGGGGGACAATTTGAATTACTCTTGCAACCTTTTTAAAAAGTCAAATTCTTCCAAAATTTAAAATTAAATAAAAATTTAAAAAACACTTCCATAGAAGAAAGACTTAAATAACAACACTGAAAGTGAGGAAAAATGACAAAGAGATTAAAACAATTGGGAAAAAATTGATTTAATGAAACATAGAATCAAACATAAGATGGATAATAAAAAATAAAGATAATTGATGTTCCTCAATGGAATTAGACTGCGATAACCCAACTACTCAGTGGTAAAAACATGGAACTAGAGGAAGTTACAAAGAGGCAGATTTTGGTCCAGTAGAAGACAGAACTTTATGACAAGCAGCATGCTCAAACATCAAATGTTTTAAAGTAATGAGCAGTTTGGAAGAAGTCCTATCATACAAAGCGTCAGTAAGGATTTGGACCAACAGGAACCCTCACTGCAGGTAGGAACATAATATAGTACAACCACTTGGAAAACAAATATTTTGTGAGTTTTCTTTCTTTCTTTCTTTCTTTCTTTCTTTCTTTCTTTCTTTCTTTCTTTCTTTCTTTCTTTCTTCTTTTTCTCTTTCTTTCTTTTTCTTTCTCTCCTTCCTTCCTTCCTTCTTTCCACTCATCAAGTGTAGTAGTGAGAAGAGGGAAAGAGTAGAACAAGGAGTTTGATCTGTAACTGAATATGAAAAATCAATTGAGATAACATACTACCTTTGGACAAGCCAGTGAATTTCTTTTTTTTTTTTTTTTGAGATGGAGTCTCACTCTGCCATCCAGGCTGGAGTGTAATGGTGTGATCTTGGCTCACTGCAACCTCCATCTCCTGGGTTCAAGCGATTCTTCCTCCTCAGCCTCCCAAGTGGCTGGGATAACAGGCACCCGCCATCATGCCCGGCTAATTTTTGTATTTCTGTAAAGATGGGGTATCACCATGTTGGACAGGCTGGTCTTGAACTCCTGACCTCAGATGATCTACACGTTTCGGCCTCCCAAAGTGCTGGAATTACAGGCATGAGCCACCGCGCCCAGCCACCAGTGAGTTTCTTAAAAGTTAAATTTGCGTCTATGCTATACGGACTAGCTATTCCACTCCAAGGTTTTTAACTAAGAGTAATGAAAAAGCATGTGTCCATATGAACATTCATACATGAATGTTCATAATGGCTTTTTATTTGTAATAGTCAAAAACTATAAACAACACAATGACCATCAACAGGTGAATGGATGAACAAACTCAGCGTGTTCATATAATGGAATATTACTTGACAATAAAAAGGAATAAACTATTGATACACAGAACATGTGTGAGTCTCAGAAGAATTATTCTGAGTGAAAGAAGCCATGCAGAAGTATACATACTACATTATATATTTATGTAATATTCTAGAAAGTTGTAAATTTCTTTGTTTTCAATTTACTGTTTCTGTTACCAATTTACTAATTGGTCTGTAGTAACAGAAAGGTGATTGATCAGTGCTTTCCTGGAGATTGGTGTGGTGTGGGGGGTGAGAATGGATGGCAAAGGGCTATAAGCAAACTCTTGGTGGTGATGGATATGTTCATTAGCTTGATTGTGATGATGGTTTTACAGATACAGATGTCAACACTTATGAAAACTTTAAATATGTAGTTTATGTTAATACACTATAAAAAGTACAGATTCTGATTCAGTAGGTTTGGGGTGGGATCAAGAGTATGCATTTCTGGACCAGGCACAGTAGCTCACACCTGCAATCCTAGAGTTTGGGAGGCCAAGTTGGGAGGATTGCTTGACTCCTGGAGTTTGAGACCAGCCTGGACAACATAGTGAGATCCTGTCTCTAAAAAAAAAAAAAAATTAGGCCAGATGTGGTGGCTCATGCCTGTAATCCCAGCACTTTGGGTGGCTGAGGCGGGCAGATCACTTCAGGTCAGGAGTTCGAGACCAACCTGGCCAACATGGTGAAACCCTGTCTCTACTAAAATACACAAATTAGCAAGGCATGGTGGCACGTGCCTGTAATCCCAGCTACTCGGGAGGCTGAGGCATGAGAATTGCTTGAACCTGGAAGGTGGAGGTTGCAGTGAGCCAATTTGGTACCACTGCACTCTAGCCTGGGTGATAAGAGTGAGACTCTGTGTCAAAAAAAACCAAAAACAAACAAACAAAACCAACCAAATTAGACGTGGTGGCATGAGCCTGTGGTCCTAGCTACTTGGGAGGCTGAGGTGGTGGAATGGCTTGAGACCAGGAGTTTGAAACTGCAGTGAGCTATGATCACACCACTGCACTCCAGACTGGGCGACAGAGCGAGACTCTGTCTCTTAAAACAGAGTCTGCATTTCTAACAAGCTCACAGGTGATGGTGATGCTGCTGTTGTTTCTGTACCAGGTTGTGAGTGGCAAAGATCTTGAGTCTTTTTAATTTTTTTTTTAACAATTTTTAGATTCAAGGGTTACTTGTATGTTACACGGGTATATTGCATATTGGTGGGGCTTCTAGGTAAAATAGGTAATTGTTCAACTCTAGGCTCCTTTCCATCCTCCCCCACTTTTGGAGTCCCCAGTGTCTATTATTTCCATCTTTATGTCCCTGTGTACATGTTTAACTCCCAGTTATACATGAGAAAATATGGTATGTGGTTTCTTATTTCTGAGTCAGTTAACTTAGGATAAAGGCCTCCAGCTCTATCGATATTGTTGCGAAGAATATGATTTCATTTATGACTGTGGCAATTTTATTTTTTATTGATACATAATAGATGTGCATATTTCTGGGGTACATGTGATATTTGGTATTATTAATATAATGTATAATAACCAAATCAGGGTAAATGGAACATCCATCACCTTAAACATTTATCTTTTCTTTATGCTGGAAACATTTGAATTATTCTCTACTATTTTGAAATATACAATAGATGTTTTACTATAGTCACTCTACTGACTTATCGAACACTAGGTCTATTTTTTCTATCTACCTGTATTTTTTTGTAGCCATTTATTGACCTCTCTTCATCCCTCCCTCCCCCTACCCATCCCTGCCTCTGGTAACCACCATTCTTTATGAGATCCACATTCCTAACTCCTACATCTGAGTGAGAACATGTGATATCTGTGTTTCTGTGCTTGGTTTATTTCACTTAACAGTGACCTTCAGTTCCGTCCGTGTTGCTGCAAATGATAGGATTTCATTTTTTTAAACGGTGGAATATTCCATTGTGTATATATATCACATTTTCTTTATCCACTTATCCATTGACGGGCACTTGGGTTGATTCCATATTTTGGCTATTGTAAGTAGTGCTGAAATAAACATGGGAGTGCAGACATCTCTTCAATATATTGATTTCTTTTCTTTTGGATATATACCCAGCAGTGGGATTGCTGGATCATATGATAGTTCTATTTTTAATTTTTTCAGGAATCTCCACAGTTTTCCATGGTGGCTGCACTAATTTACATTCCCATCAACAACGGAGGAGGGTTCCCTTTTGTCCACATCCTTGCCAGGAACCCTATTCGCTTTTTGATAAAAGCCATTTTAACTGGCGTGAGGTATTCATTGTGGTTTTGATTTGCATTTCTCTGAATAGTGATGTTCAGCATTTTTTCACATACCCATTGGCCATTTGTATGTCTGATTTTGAGAAATGTCCATTCAGATCTTTGAGATTCTTTCTTCATGTGTCACTTGAGTGCACAATAACTACATGTGGCTGGTACCACACTGGATAGTGCAGATAGAACATTTATATAGAAGAAAGTTCTATTAGATGTCAGAAGTCAAGATTTTTCAATACATTGGTAACTACTACGCTTGTCATTATTAGTTATCCCTAAACTGTAACCTCTTTTTCATTCCATTCTAAATGCACTTCTCTTCATAAAGCCTTGCTGTAATTCCATTCCAAGTTTTTATTGTATTTTACTTACATTTCTTTTTATGTTCTTCATTCTGACTCACATTTGAAAGAACAGAAATTTAAACCTCACATTCTAACGTCCTGAATATTCATTTGTCATGGCTCCTGTGGCTGTACCCAGGATTGTGCACCAGCTCAAATAAGTTCCACTGTGGCTTGTAGCACTACTAAGAAGTGTAATCTGAGGGAAATCAGAGCTTCTCTAGAAATAAACTCCCATCTCTAAAATGAGGGGGTTGAACTCTTTTATTTCTTCTGTTTCTCACATTCTGTATTCTTCTGTTTCGGAGTAAAGATGGCATGAAGCCAGAAAACCACAGGGCTCTGGATCAGGAGTGGGTTGTACTATATGCCTAGAGTCATTAAAAAGTTTAGTTAGTATCAACCTTTGTATAATTTGTACAAGGGATCGGCGAACTTTCTGTAAAGGGTCAGACAGTAAACATTTCTCAACATTTCTGGCTTTGCAGGCCACATGGTCTCTCTGGAATATACTCAACTCTGCCACTGTAGTAAGAAAGCAGTCATAGACAATATGAAAATAAATGGGTGCGGCTGGATTTGGCTCACATGATGTAGGTTGAGAACATCTCTAATCCAAAAAGCTTCAAAACCTGAAACTTTTCTTTTTTTCTTTTTTGGAGATAGGGTCTTGCTCTGCCACCCAGGCTGGTGTGCAGTGGCGTGATCACAGCTCACTGCAGCCCCAACCTCCTGGACTCAAGGTAGACTCCTACCTCAGTCTCGTGAGTAGCTGGGACTGCAGGTGGGTGCCACCATGCCTGGCTTATTTTTAAACTTTTTGTAGGGTCTCACACCTTGGCCTCCCAAAGTGCTTGGATTACACGCATGAGCCACCACAAACAGCCTAAAATCTGAAACTTTTTGAGCGCTGACATAACACCAACTGGAAAATGCCACATTTGACCTCATGAAGGATTTCAGTCAAAATTGTTTCATGCACAAAATTATTAAAAATATTGTATGAAGTAACCTTCAGCCTATGTGTATAAGGTGTATAAATAAATCTCATGTTTAGACATGAGTCCTGTCCTCAAGATATCACAAGATTTCCAAAATCTGAAAAACAAACAAACAAACAAACACACAAAAAACAAAAAACCCAACCCCCAAAAACCCAATTCCAAAACAATTCTGGTCCCAAGCATTTTGGGTAAGGGATCCTCAACCTGTATTTTGCCGACTTCTGGTTTAAATCATACTACCTTGCCTTCTCACCATTTGAAATTAGTAAGAAATGAGAGAGAAAAATACACTTTACTGAGACAATTTTATTCACTATGGATATATATACATGATCAACATTTTATCTTCATTCTTCAGAAGACTTAATTAGAGTAGCTTTCTTCTCATACTTATCTCTAATCTCTTTAATATTTTCCGAGAGATCTTCTGACATGCATTCTTCATATTCTCTATCAACTTTAGCAATCTGCTCCTCAAGATGTTTCTAGTGAAGAGAATTAACAATTGTTAAAGTAAAAAAAATTAATTTCTTTTAAAATGTTTAATTGTAAAATTTACAAACAAGAGGATAACATTTTTAAGTTAAGAATAAAAAGGGCCGGGCATGGTGGCTCACTCCTGCAATCCCAGCACTTTATGAGGCTGAGGTGGGTGGATCACTTGAGGTCAGGAGTTTGAGACCAGCCTGACCAACATGGCAAAACCCCCTCTCTACTAAAAATACAAAAATTAGCCAGGTGTGGTGGTGTGTGCCTGTAATTCCAACTATGCAAGAGGCTGAGGCAGGAGATCACCTGAGGCTGGGAAGTGGAGGTTGCAGTGAGCCAAGATTGGACCACTGCACTCCAGCCTGTGTCACAGAGCAAGATGCTATCTCCAAAAAAAAAGTAAAAAGAATATATTTGTATTCACCACATAGGCTCTCTTTTTGTGCCCTTTCTGAATTGTATCTTCTTTTTTCTCCCCAAGATATAGCCTCTTGCCTGAATGGTGTTTTGCTTTTCTTTATATTATACCTTTATTACACACACATGTCTAAATATATATTGACTTAATAGTACCTGGTTTTCACCTTCGTATTTATCAAATGATATTAAATATAATGTTCTATGACTTTTTCATATAGTATTTTAAAATTCATTCATGTTACTACATATGGCTGCAGTTTATTCAATGTACTGCATAGTATTCTAGAATGAATATATCAACATTTACTTATTTTGCTGGTAATGAAGTTTTGTTTGTTCCCAGGTATAGTAGGCTGAGTAATAGCCTTTCCAAAGATGTCCATGCCCTAATTCCAGAAAGGAACCTGTGACTATTAGCTTACATAGCAAAAGAAACTGTAGATGTGACTAAGTTAAGGATCTTGAGAAAAGGAGATTATCCTGCACTATCCAGGTGGGTCCTTAGAAGAGGAAATCACCAGTGTCAGAGTCAGAGAAGGAATTTAAGGACAGCAGCAGAGGGCAGAGAGGAGAGAAGATGCCATGCACTGGCTTTAATGATAAAGGAAGGAGCTACAAGCCAAGGACTGTAGGTGGCCTCTAGAAGCTGGCAAAGGCCCCAGAAAGATTACAGCCCTTTGGACCCATTTTAGACTAACCTTAATAACTCTAAGATGACAAATTTGTGTTGTTTTAAGCCATTAGGTTGGTGGTAATTTGTTACATTAGCAATGGGAAACTAACATGCCACATTATTTTTTCTTGTTGTTTTTGTTGATTTTTTTGCGATTTCAAATACTGATACTGTAACAAATTGCCACAAACTAGGTGGCTTAAAACAACAGAAATGTACTCTTTCAGCTCTGGAGGCCGGAAGTTTGAAATCAAGACGTCAGCAGGGCCATGGTCTCTCTGAAGGCTCTAGGGAAGAATCCTTCTTCGTCTCTCCCCAGTTGCTGGCGGCTCCTGGCAGTCCTTGGTGTTCCTTAGCATGCGGCTGCTTCACCCCAGCATCCGCCTCTGTCCGCACACGATCTTCATGTAAGGATGCCAGTCACTAGATTTAGGGCCTACCCTAATCCAACATGACCTCATCTTAACCAACTGCTACCCTAATCCAACATGACCTCATCTTAACCAACCGCATTTGCAAAGATCCTACTTCCAAATAAGCTCACCTTCTGTGATTTAGGATAGACATGACTTTTGCGGGGGGCACTATTCAACCTAGTACAGCCCCCTAGCATATAGTGTAAATATTTTTTTTAGGGCAAATATACCTAGAGTGAAAGTTGGTTTTTCGGATTGCCAAATTTATTTCTTTCTTTCTTTCTTTCTTTCTTTCTTTCTTTCTTTCTTTCTTTCTTTCTTTCTTTCTTTCTTTCTTTCTTTCTTTCTTTCTTTCTTTCCCTTCCTTCCTTCCTTCCTTCCTTCCTTCCTTCCTTCCTTCCTTCCTTCCTTCCTTCCTTCCTTCCTTCCTTCCTTCCTTCCTTTCTTTCTTTCTTTCTTTCTTTCTTTCTTTCTTTCTTTCTTTTTTTGAGACAGCATCTTGCTCTGTAGCCAGGCTGGAGTGCAGTGGTGCGATCTCGGCTCACTGCAACCTCTGCCTCCTGGGTTCAAGCGATTCTCGTGCCTCAGCCTCCTAAGTAGCTGGGATTACAGGCACGTGCCACCACACCCAGCTAATTTTTGTATTTTTAGTAGAGATGGGGTTTCACCATGTTGGCCAGGATGGTCTCGATCTCCTGACCTTGTGATCCGCCAGCCTTGGCCTCCCAAAGTGCTGGGATTACAGGCATGACCCACTGTGCCCAGCCACCAAATTGTTTTCTAAAATTATTTTATCAATTTACATAGTTGCTAGCAGTAAATTAGAACTCCCATTTCTCCACATCCTTGCTGGCATTTGGTAATGATCAAACTAAATTTTTGCCAATTTCTTAAGTGTGGAATATGACATATACTTTCATATGTTTATTGGCCACCTTGGTTCTTTTGTGAAATTCTCATTCAAGTAAAATAATTATTTTTATTGATACATATCAGATGTACATATTTTCGGGGCCCCTTCAAATCTTTCGTCCATTTATTTATTTTTCAAAGGCCATTGTATATCTGGATGGTAATCTTTTACCAGTTGTGTTTTAAAAAACATCTTCTATCAGTTTGTGGCTTGTCTTTCCACTCTCTTTCCGTGTCTTTTGATGTAGAGAAGATCTTAATTTTAAGAAAGGTAAATTTGTAAATAATTTTTTTGTGGTTTGTGCTTTTTGTGTCTAATTTAAGAACTCATTTACAACCCCTAAAGTATAAAGATAGTTTCTTATAATTCTCGTAAAAGTTAAAAAAGTTAGCCTCACATTAATTTCTGAATCCATCTGGAACTGATTTCTGTGTAGAGTTTAAGGTAGGGATCCAACTTCATTAATTGAACAATTCATTTTATCCAACTATTCTGAAATACTGCCTCTCTCACATATATTTCATGTCTATGCTCATGCATCTATTTCTGTACTCTTAATCACAGAGACTGGTCTTTCTGCATCAATACTACAATGTGCTAGTTATTACAGCTTTATAATAATTCTTGGTATGCCTAAACAGACCAAAAAAGAAAAAAAAGGTGATTTTGTGTCTCACAGGAAAAGCAAAGTTTTTCTGTAAAGAATCAAATAATAACTACTTTAGGCTTGGCAGTCTAGATGGTTTTCTTAACAATTGCTCAATTCTGCCACTGTAGTGCAAAACCAGCCAAAGATATACTAAAACAAATGAGGTGGCTGTGCTCCAATAAAACTTTATTTACAAAAGCCGGCTGTAGGCCCAATTGGGCCTGCAGGTTGTAGTTTGCTGACCCCTGGTCTAGAACATCAAGCCACATGTGAGACCTTTATGGGGCTCCAACCAGGAACTGCTCAAATAAACACTTTGTCCCACAAGAAAAATATTCCATCTAAAAGTACCTTTAGATCTAAACCCCCCTCTCTGTTTTCTTTAGTCCAACTTGATTACTCATTGTAAAGTTTCCTCATTTTGCCTGATCCTGTTCAACAAATATTGTTTATTGGAACCACACTCGTTTGACTTTCTATGGTTCTTCCATATTTTATGAAAGCTATTAAGAATTTATACTGATTAATCATAAATTTTGCATAGTGCAAAGTAAGCGCTTAGTGCTTGCTGAATTTGGTCTAATTTTCCTAATAACACCAAACTATACAGAAACTAAAAAATAATAGTAACTTACCATTAGGTTTTCAAATCTAGCTTTATGTTAACTGATTAAAACATTGATAACTGTGATTACTTCACACAAATCCCTAGTGATAAGTTACTACTGAATTAACAAAGGACAGACAATAGAGCTGCAGATAATAGAAAATCACTGCCAGGCGAGTG
The DNA here is from genome assembly GCF_000001405.40 of Homo sapiens. NCBI lineage: Eukaryota > Metazoa > Chordata > Mammalia > Primates > Hominidae > Homo > Homo sapiens. The sequence continues at coordinate 2,612,574 of NC_000018.10, read as the reverse complement.
GCTCATGCCTGCAATCCCAGAACTTTGGGAGGCTGAGGTGGGCAGATCACTTGAGGTCAGGAGTTTGAGACCAGCCTGGCCAACATGGTGAAACTCTGTCTCCACTAAAAATACAAATACTGGCCGGGCATGGTGGCACATGCCTGTAATCCCAGCTACTTGGGAGGCTGAGGCAGGAGAATCCCTTGAACCTGGGAGGCGAGTTTGCAGTGAGCCGAGATCGCGCCATTGCACTACTGCCTGGGTGACAGAGTGAGGCTATCTCAAAAAAAAAAAAAAAAAAAAAAAAAAAAAAAAAGAAAGAAAAGAAAGTCAGAGGTGCTAAGGATGTTCACAACTGTTTAGCACAACTGCTTCATTTTTACAGATGAAGAAACTAAGGACTCAAAGATGTAAAATGACACATAAAAACAGGCTCTGTCAACCTAAGCCATCAATTGTATGCTATGAATAAACTTTTCTCTTATGCATCTAGAATAGAATTATTGTATACTATGATTGGGAAAATGAGAACATATCACTCAGATAATTTTTTGTCCTATGGTTCAGATGAATAACACTGGCTGAAAAGGATCAGGCAAGGTTATAGAAACACTTAGTGCTTGAATTAGAAAGTGGGTAGAACCCACGTTTTCTGACATAGCATCTAGGATGCTTTTCTTAGTTCTTCACACTAAAAAGTGAAGACCATTGGCACCAAGAAAGCAGCAGTTCAATGTCTTTCAGGGGAGAGGATGGGTAGTAGGGTATCACATGCTCATGTTTTCAATAAATGGAAGTCTATTAATATGATAAAGTGAATTTTTTTCTTAAACCATACTCAACTGGAAATATATTATCACCTAATAAATTAACCAAGAATTTTATAGTTCAGCAATTTATCTTAGCTTCTGGGGCTCTGTGCAGCAGGTTGGAGGGATAGTTTTATTGGTGAACTTTAGCTGTGTGAAGAGTGGGGATGAGGTAAATAAAACTCATACTTTTGAAATACTTTACTTTGTGCCTATATGAAATCACAGAAAGGAATAACGATCATCATAAGATATGCCCTTTCATCTTAAGCTTAATGAAATCCTAAATGTACGATAAGTTTTCAAATGTACTAATATGTTTTCAGTATGTAGAACATGGCCTGGCATAGCATCATTATACATTGTTGGTGTAATACATAACATCATATGTTGTTTATGCAAATACAATAGATTACTTTATAAAATGCACAAGTGGGCTGGGTGCGGTGGCTCACGCCTGTAATCCCAGCACTTTGGGAGGCCGAGGCAGGTGAATCACCTGAGGTCAGGAGTTTGAGACCAGCCTGGCCAACAAGATGAAACCCTGTCTCTACTAAAAATACAAAAATTAGCTGGGCGTGGTGGCAGGCTCCTGTAATCCCAGGTACTTGGGAGGCTGAGACAGGAGAATCATTTGAACCTGGGAGGTGGAGGTTGCAGTGAGTTGAGACCATGCCATTGGACTCCAGCCTGGGTGATGAGAGTGAAACTCCGTCTCAAAAAAAAAAAAAAAAAAAATGCTCAAGTGTTCCCCTGCATCACGTTGCCACATCACTAGACAAGATTCTTCTGATAAATTTTTGCCAGATCATACTTTAAATAGAAATAAAATTCATCATTTAATTTATATGGAAGAAAGCAGAAATGTATCAAAGTTTTAAAAACCTTTCTTAGAACGTAGGAAAGACCATCACATACTTACCTCTACAGACCCAACATGTGTAGCAACCATCTCTAACAGACGTTGCAAGTTATTTCCCACTTTTCGTCTTTCTTCAGTCGTGGTTTGCACAACTAGTTGGTATCTGTAGAACAAAAACTCTTGTTTAAGTTGTCCAGGAAAAAAATTAATACATCCGTTCTAGTTAGCTCACTTCCCATTTCCACATTCAAAAAAACCAAACTGTGATTGATTTATGTGCTGCATACTATATGTATAATTTGTAGAGGTCCCACTATCAATAATTAAAAGAGAAATATAAACATTTTCAAAGATCCTTTGCAAGCAACAAAACAAAAGAGCACCATGTTTTAACATATAAAGCTTTGGAGCGAAGGGTTGTAACTGAGTCTCCAAAGGGATTGTAAACTCAAATGCTTTCTGGGCAAGACAAAAATTTGCAAATGGGGGAGTAGAAGTCTTACTTATAGGAATTCAAATTCAAATTAAAACCAATAAAATTGCAGGCCAAATAAACCTCAACTGAGTTTTCTCCCCTTGGCCTACAAATAAAGAAGTGAAGAGAAATGACTTTCACAAGGCTTGTACTTGCAATCTCAAAATAGAAAATTTTTCAGTTATTTGAGGGCAACTTAAGACTTAAAAAATGTATATTTTACATAAATGTACACGGAGCCTATGGATTAACTGTTCAGTATATTGATTTTATATAAGTTGCTCAAGAGCATTATATACACAGAGACAGAAAATTATTTAAAGAAAGGATGCCACTGTTTGTAGTTGTAGTTATTATATAGTGTGGCTAAAATTTTTCCTATGTAAGTTTTAAAAATTGTGAGGGAAACTGAGAAGGACGAGATCCTGACAACGTATAATTTGATTATAAAGTACTTCTAAGAAATACAACAAAATATATAGGCAGTTCTGTTGTGTTTGTTTGGAAATATGAGCGCAATCTGGCAAATTTCATGTTTGCTTATGCCAGTTTCTTTCCTGAGAAATACCTGGTGAATGCAGAAAACCGCACCCAGCTGAATCCAGATGCAAAAGAATACACACATCTAAGCACACACATCAAATGTACAGCAGCTACTCAGTGCACTGCATATGTAATGAGCCACATGCATCCAGTACTGATGGTGCAATTTCCATCCCACTTCAGATAACCCACTTTCTACCTCTTTACAGTAATTCAGTCTGCAGCCTTCTGAATGCCCATTTCTCAAATCAAACTAGAGGTCTTTTTATTATGAAGGGTCCCATATTTATTGTAGCATTATGTATTTCTTAGCCATTAAGTATGTGTATCATTGTGCTAACATTTTTGTTTGATTCTTATCTTTTGTTTATATGTGTTACTGATGGAGTTTTTAATTTTTTTAGAGATGGAGTCTTGCTATAGTGCCCAGGATGGCCTTGAACTTCTTGAACTTCTCAAGTGATTCTCCTGTCTCGGCCTCATGAGTAGCTGGGACTACAGGTGTGTGCCACTGAGCCTAACTACTGATGAAATTTTAGTGCTGTGCCTCAATATCAGTTTTCCCGTAGGTCCTGTGATTTTTATGGCATGATTTTGCACAGCATGGTAACTATTTGGAAGGCATATGCTGTGTTATAGTAGACTGACTATAATTTATAGTATAATTACATTTTACTATATAATATACATAATTTCTAGGAAATAAAAACATGAGCTCAGTGGAATTTATTAAAGCTTAGTGGAATTTTATTAAAATTCACTAACAGCCAAATTTATTTGAATTGATTTAAAATTTTTTATGTTGTTTTCAGGGATTAAAAGCCATGTATTAACTAGATCTAACGATTAATGATTTCTTGGTGGACAGTAACTCTAATACTAACAGAATGTATCTGTTGATAGGGAAAGTTCTCGAGTTATAAGCAGTTGTACTTAAGTTCTATATACCATTCTTTCCATCCTAAATAGCTGTATACTATAAATTAAAGCAAATAAAAATAGATCTAATTTTATGGAACTGTTAAATTAATAATCTGAAAATAAACGTATAAATCTTGGTGAGATAAACTTACTCCCGCTGAACAGCATCTAATTCATTCATAGCTTCACTGAGCCCCTGGTTAACAGTACTTTCTAGCAGGTGCTTGTGTTTCTCCAAGGACTCAAGCTCACTGGCACATTTTTCATCCTCTTCCTCTGCTTCCTATCAGGATAAAGTCACGGTTATGGGTTTCTTGATATTCACATTCTGTATACTCTAGGTGGATTTAAAACAATTATAAAAAGCACTTAAATAAAATCAGGTTGCATCATTTGTATTCTCAAGATGCTTACTGTTTTACATGCAAGAGACTTTAAAGTGCTCCTTTGGGAATCCTGTATTATAAAAACAAATGCGGCTGGGCATGGTGGCTCATGCCCGTCATCCCAGCACTTTGGGAGGTTGAGGTGGGTGGATCACTTGAAGTCAAGGGTTTGAGACCAGCCTGGCCAGCGAGGTGAAACCCCATCTCTACTAAAAATACAAAAATTAGTTGGGCATGGTGGCATGCACCTGTAATCCCAGTTACTCATGAGGCTGAGACATGAGAATCGCTTGAACCCAGGAGGTGGAGGTTGCAGTGAGCTGAGACTGTGCCATTGCATTCCAGCCTGAGCGACAGAGCGAGACACTGTCTCAAAAAAAAAAGGTGATTTTATTATTTTTTAATTTGAAAATATTTATTAAAATTTAAAATATATATAAGCTTTAAAATATATATAAACTTTAATTCGATGCTTCAGAAATTTATCAAAGGGAAGGAATGGAAAAATACATAAAGATATACAAAGATATTCACAGCAACATTATTGGTCAGTTGAAAATTTAGGGAAAAAATTAATAAGGGGCTAGCTAAATAAGTTATATATATATATATATATATATATATATATATACTATGTATATATGTAAAATAAAAACACAATAGAAGGATTGCTCTCTCTACATTTGTATGAAAAGATATCCATGATATCTTTTCTTGAGAAAGACAGATTATGAAAAACTATGTATAATTTGGTACCATTAAAAAAATATATGTTTGTATATCTGGAAGACACTCCCTAAACTTTAACCATTGTTTCTAGTGATGGGATTATGGTGGATTATAAGGTACATTTCAGTTCCCATTTTATACATTTCTCTCGAGTCTCTATTGTTTCTAATGAGTATTTATATTATGAACAAAAAATACTTTTTCCTTTAAAAAATTAAAAAGTCACTTTATTCTCAAAGATGCAGAAACTAAATAAAATTGGTTCAGTTTTTAGGGCGCCAAGGTCAACTGACTAGAATTCAGTAGTGAAGTTTTTTAGTTTTTTGGTGAGTTGGAAGTATTTACCAAATGTGACCTTTTCAAAAAGCTTGCATAGGATTCATTCAGCAGTATTTTCCAGTCTGAACAACAGGAAATTTTATAATATTTTAATTAAGATTTTTTCCCATGAGCTTCAAGGAAGCCTTATCTAGGTCCTTATTTCACAGATGTATTAACTATGCACAGGCAAAGTAGCCCAAATTAATCATTTCTAAGGTTTGTGAAGATTAAGTATCATAAAACCTTTCATTTAAGTGCGTCAGAGAGTAAACTCAAGCATTGTCATGGAGGATGTGTGAAAAAAGAAAAATGATTACCAATGTCTTATATTTCACATTTAGATCATATTATGTGGTATATTTTCTAAACATTTCACACCGTTTAAGAAAACAAATAGGTCCTAAATATAACACAGGCAAAGAGAAAAGTTTTCAATTCCTAATACTTTGTTGACATAAGTAAAAAATATTGGCATAGTTAAAATTTTCACATGAATTGTGTAAGTGGTAATGAATAGAGTCATCTGAATACTTTAAGTAAAATGCTGGTCAGACAGTAGAATGTTGAAGAATCAGTCTTTTTATTTTACCCACCTTCTAGATTGCACGTAAACAGTCTTTGGAATTTGACCAGGATAGTCAGTTTACAATGACTCTTGGTGGGCAACTACATATTCAAAAGACCTTATTGGGGTTCAGGCTTTAGCAGTACATAACAATAAATCTCTACAAAAAGGTAGGAGAGATTCTGTTTAGTTTTGCAAGGATACTGAGTCATATGCAAGTATAAAATACCAGATAAAGGAAAAGTAAATGTTCCTTTTCTATGGTAAAACAGCCCTAATCCAGAAAAATGTCCTTTAAAGAACAAAATAAAATGACTCCTTACGATAAACTTTGGCAGAGAAAACTAACCCAAGATACAAATTATAGGATATATATAGCTTAAAGATTTTGATTTTGATGTCAGAATATGTGACTCATCAAGCAATCATGACATAGCTTTTGATAACCTACGCAAACTGTGGCAAAGTTCTTACCTTAATTTTTTGTTGGTAAAGATCATCCAGCTTTTGAACTTCTTCTTTCAGAGTTCTCACACTTCTCTTGCTTTCTGTTATCATTGCATTCAACTGGGGAAATAAAACTTTGGTTGAGAAATCATAACTATACATCAAAGATATTTTAACAAGTTATAGAGTTTTTATATTATCAATCAACTAACTGAACAATGTTATTTCTTCTAGTCCTTTTGGACTCTCACTTATCATTTGTCCAAAAACTTTATTATTCTCCAAAGAGAAATTAATTTCAAAGAAACCTCAAAGTTAACGATGTTAATATCTGTTTTTCCACTAGTTGTTGTGGGAGTGCTTTTTAAGCTCTCATATATATTATATATTATTAATATTGTTATATCAATTTATTCATATATAAATAATTTTTGCCTCTGGATTTGAAATCTAGCTTTATTTAGACTATATCTACTACAGCTATTTAGCTTTTCATTTGTATGTTCATTTTCTAAAATGTTAAAAAAGAATTGTTTGTATTAATTTTATTGGATGTTTGCTATTATAGTCATGCATTCCTTCAAAAAGTAATAAGGTAACCACATTTAATCTTGTTAAAGCTTGAACTTTAAGATCAGTTGAAACCAAAACTGAAAGAAAAAAGTGTTTTTCAAGTTCATTTCCTGTTGGCAAGTGCTGATACCAGTTGATGTCAGCAATTAATAGAGAATGTTCTTCAGCTATACCAAGAGGAAACTGTTTCCTGCAGGAAACACAAAAGAGTAAAATGTATAAATAGCTGACTTTTTTTTAAAGGATAATTCTACACACATATGAAATTAAAAAAAAATTTAGGGGTTCAAATTTAGTGAAGCTATTATTATTTGCTACAAAACACAGGGTAGTGACATATACAACTAGCATACGCCCAGAACTCAAAACCAGATCTAACACCAAGAACTTTTTCTAAAGGTATGTTATATCTGCAGTAACTAACAAGTTAAACGAGTTGTTTTAAATTCACTTGTAATAACAACAACAGATACTCAAGTAACCAGAACTTCCACTGATTCTCATGGTTGGTCAAAAGCATGTTTACTCATCTCTGAGCAGCTTCTACTTTCCATGTCAGCATTACTAAAGCTGCATTAATTACTTAAACATTTTTTTCTGAGTCCCAAAGTACACATTTCCATTGTGTACATACACACACACACACACACACACACACACACACACACACACACACACACACACACATACATATAGCCCGCCCGACTCCAATTGCCTACTGGACATTCTCCACTTTGATGCCCCAGAGACCTGAAACTCAGCATATCCCAACCTACAATTCTCTCTTCTATATACTTCTCTTTTATATTCTTTATCAAGGTAAAGAACATCACCACATACCCATCTGCCAAAGATAAGACACCTGGGCATTCTTGATTTCTTTCTTGACCTTCACATACAAATGGACAACCAAACTGTTGTTTCCATCTTTAAATCTCCTTTCTCCGTCTTCACTGTAATAGCCTTGCTTTGGGTCCCTACCATTTACTATTCACTGTATAGGATATTGATAGGTCTCTTAATTGCATGGTCTCGTCTCATGCACCTCTCATCTATTCTTCAAAAGGCCAACAGTGTGAAATTACTAAAATAACAATAATTATTGTTATTTCCTTACTTATAAATCTTCATTGATCTCTACTGCCTAAAGAATACAAAAAAATTCAACCAGTAAGGCAAGCCCCTTCATAATTAGGTTCTTGTCTCTCCAGGCTTCTCCCTTATCTCACTTACACTCATGGTAATTTACTAATATGCTGTGCTCTTTGTTTTTTCTTTTTGGAGAAAGGGTCTCACTTTGTCACCTAGGCTGGAGTGCAGTGGCACAATCTCAGCTCACTGCAGCCTCCACCTCCAGGGCTCAAGCAATCTCCCACCTCAGCCTCCAGAGTAGCTGGGACTACAGGTGCATGCCACTACATCCAGCTAATTTTTATATTTTTGGTAGTGGCTGGGTTTTGCCATGTTGCCTGGCTGGTCCTGAACTCCTGAGCTCAAGCCATCCACCCGCCTTGGCCTCCCAAAGTGCTAGGATTACAGGCGTGAGCCACTATGCCCGGTCCATGCTGTACTCCTTGGTCTCTGGTCCTCAAGGTGTATGTGTGTGTGCATGCATGTGGATGAACATGAGCATCCTTCTGTGTATCCATTGGCCAACACCTACTTGTTATTCACAACTCAGCCCAGCTATCACTTCTCTCAGAAGGAGCCTGTACTTAAGTGTATTATGAGAATCCACAGTGCGCTGTATTCACATTACAAAAAGCTATGATAGAAGAAATTGTTTTCATGCCCATCTTCCCACTTAAAATGAAGTTCACAAAGGCAGATGCTGCACTGTACTAGTATCACCATCTATTACAGTACTAGGCACATAAGCACTCAAAAAATATTTGCTGCATAAATTTCAGTTTCAAATATTTAACTTTAACCTTTATTTACATTCATATTCATAAGTGTGATTAGCTTAATTTCTTCTTTTTGTAATATCTTTGTCATGTTGTGGTATGAGGCCTACATTAGCCTTATAAATGAATTAGGTCTCTTTATGCTCTATGATAATTTACATGTCACAGAAATCATCCAGTCTTCAGTATTTGAAAACAGTGACCTATGAAATTATCCGTTATTGGAGTCTTTTGAAGAGCAAATTCTCTTTTTCACTTTGGTTTCTGGTTACTTACATATTTTGACTTTTTTGGGATTTCTATTGTTCAGGTTACAATCCATTTCATCAAAAAATTTTAAACATAAATTTCTGTTTATACTATATTACTTCATAATTCAAATAAATTTCCACCATCTCTATAAACTATTTCTCATTTTATATTTTCCTGCTTTTTCTTAAATGGTTTTGGCAATTATTTTAAAATACTTTTCAGGTTAAATGTTTTGTTACTCTAATTTATTAATTTCTTTATAAACTTTATTATTTCCAGTTGCATTTTACCCCATCCCATCTTAACTTAAACTACTTGTCCAATAGGAAAAACAATTTTAGTTGTTAGTCTCTGTATGACATTACTGATCTCTCCCTTCTTGAAAAGTTTTCCCTACTTTGGCTTATATATATTACATAGGTGTATATATATATATATATATATATGTATAAACATATTCTCTTCTGTTGTTCTCCAACTAATTTTGTCCACTTTTTCTAAGAGTTTTTCCCAGAATCTCCTTCCTTTGCCGGTCCCTTAAATGTTGTTACTCTTTAGGATTCAATCCTCTGCCACTTTCCCCTCCACATTCATCCACATATATGGCTTCAACTATTACATATGCTCTAATGACCATCAAATCTGTATTTTCAGCCCTGATCTCCTTCTTACACTCTGAATCTATAGCTTCTGCTTCCTCCTGGATATCCTACAGACAGCAAGCTCAACATCTCACCACACCCTACTTTAAGTTTTCCTCCTTTAGGTTAATAGCACTATGATTCACTCAGTTGCCCACATCAAAAATATGGAAGTCATGTTGATACTTCTTTCTCCTCAAGCTTGCACATGCAGCCATGAAATCCTTGGGTTCTACCTCCTTAACATTTCCTAAACCTGTTTCCTTCCCTCTAGTTCTAGTATACATTGGTTTAAGTCTCCTAACATTTTCAGTTGCATCCCCTCTAAGCCATGTTTTCCTGTAGCCCAAAGGGTTTTGTAAACCTAAAAATCTGATGAGCATAACTGTACCTATGTCAGCCTTTTTCTCTATATGGGAGTGCCTGAAGGATGTATTTATCTCTAGGACACTAACATGGGTCCTAGTCTATAGTAGCCATTTTATAACTTTCCCCCATCTATAGCCTTTAAAAAGTTCAAGACAGTCTAAAAGATGTTTTAGATATGAAGTTCCTGTTGTTTGGAATTCATACCTTTTGAGAATCTCCAGGTTTTAGTACCCATTACAGCAAAAAACAGAAATCAAAATGAAGCAGGCTAAAGGAAGACTTCACTGCAAATAATCATCATTCCCAGGGAGCAGTCCCAGGGAGCAAATTCCTCATCTTTTCTCCATAGATATTTTAGAAACTGCGAATTACAGCAATAATAGTATGATGTGATCAAACTCTTCACTTATCTAATGTTACAAATTTTTCTATTTTTCTGAGAATGTAAAAATTCTAATACAAAGTAAGTCTTGATAGAATTTATTAATATTGGAAAAATGTCTTTCTGTGGGTTACTAGCATAATTATTTGTGAAATGCCATAGGTTTTGTTTCCAGATTGAGAAAAAATAAACAAGCTTCTCTTCTGAGAAAACATAAAATTTCATTTTATATCTTGAAATCTATTAGCCAGATCACAGTAGTTCCTGAAGAGCTGAATTAACAAGGGGTTTCCTTTAACTGCTTGGTGTCCTATAAATGAAATCCTTTGTGTGTGCATTTGAGAAGTAGCTTAACTTTTCTTAACTAACAATGTTTACTTTAAAGGTTACTAAATACAATAATAGAATTTTCCTTTTCAGGGATATAGGTGATATTAAGGATCTCAGAAGCAGAGACTACCTGAAATTCACTTTTGGAAATAGACTTTGAAAGGAATTTGAGTTCTCCTGAAATTCCATGATCCAGAATCCAAAAACTTGGTAAAAAGAAACCTCTTAATCTATCACAGCTAATTAGCTTCTAACGCCGTAATTATACTTGCCTACTTTCAAGGTAGCCACTTGAAGCCTCTTTTAGTATAAAAATATTAAATTATCTCAAGTTAGAGACACTTCTCTATTAAAAAAAGGAAAATTTACTTAGTTTCATCTCGCTTCATCATATGTGATGTGTGAAGGCTAGGATGTTTAAATGTCTTAATAAGTTACTTCAAATATTTCTGTCGAGAGCATACCCAATTCTCATTTTTTCATAGTTTTGTTAAAAAATTAATTCCTTAGCAATCAGAAACCATAAATAACTTTTAATTTTAGGTTTTAAAATCTAATTTTCACTTTTTATGACTTTTTATGTTTTATTACTTACTTGTTCTAAAGTATCCTCCAAACCCATTTTTTTATTTAGGGCTTTATTAATTTCTTCTTCAGTTTCATTCAGGAGTTCCTTAAGAGGTACCTATAAAATACATAGGAATGTGGGTGACATATAACATTTAATTACAAAATATCCCTCCTGAAGCATCTACACACTGTGATAGGAGGAGTCACTTTTGGAGAAAAACTGAAGTTATAACATTTTAAATCTAATATACTGTCAAACAGAAACAAAACTAGTTTTTAATCAAATTTCTGTAAGTGTAGACTATAACCTGCTTTTGGTTTTGAATACTTGCAAAATTCAAGATTTGCTCATCTATCCTGGAAATTCATTGCTATTATTTAAACATTTTACAAGTACACTTAGTTTACTGCAGTATTTTTTTTGAAAACAATTCATATGTAGGTTGTATTTTTATGCTATGTTATCCAGAAGTATCAATTTCTCTTAATCCTTTTCAACTGTTTAGTCTTAGGATTCTCTGCCTGTATTTCTTATGTTTATTCTGTTCTACTGACTTTAACACAGCACTTCATTGCTTGTCATTTTTCTAAATTGAGGTGAAATTCACACTTTAAAATGGTTAAACTGAAATACTTAGGTTAAAATGACGTTAACATACAATTAAACATACAACATAAAATAAACATAAAGTTTAACATAAAATTATAGCGTGTAATTCAGTGGCATTTAACACAGTAACCATCACCTCCAGTTCCAAAACATTTCATTATGCTGAAATAAAATCCCATATGCCATTATGTTTTAAGTAGGTCTTTTGAAGTTATTGCTGAGTTTTAATTTTGGCCTGCTCCTTGCAAAAGATGCAATGGCCTCTTCAATCTCTCTCTCTGTTTTTTTTTTTTGAGATGGAATCTCACTCTGTTGCCCAGGCTGGAGTGCAGTGGCGTGATCCTGGCTCACTGCAACCTCTGCCTCCGGGTTCAAGCGATTCCTCTGCCTCAGCCTCCCGAGTAGCTGGGACTACAGGTGTGCACCACCACACCCGGCTAGTTTTTGTATTTTTAGTAGAGATGGGGTTTCACCATATTGGCCAGGCTGCTCTCGAACTCCTGACCTCGTGATCTGCCCACTTAGGCCTCCCAAAGTGCTGGGATTACAGGCCTGAGCCACCTTGCCCGGCCTCTCAAATCTCTTAAAGAACTTTTCACCAAGTACTACTTATAACACTTGGCTTTGTACCTTATTGATTCTATTTTATTGTTCTATTATTATGTAAAACTATTTCTAGAGATGAAATCAAAATTTCTCCTCGAGCATATTCATTCTTCTTTTTGCATTGTGTAATCTTTTCTACAAGAATGTGATTCATGTAATTATTTTCTTGCACCAGCCATGTCAAACTACTCAAAACAGTGGTGAGCAAACTCTGCCTGCCTATCTATAGATAGATTAGTAATAGACTAAATGTTTACTGGATGTATTTTTTCTATTGAAAATGACTATAGCTTGATTTAATCAATGTCTGTCCACTCACAAACTGTTCTCTCTGGTAAAGTAGGGATGTATGTTTCTTGATATTTTATCTCTAATATGTAGCTGGTCTGGAACACACTATGCACTCAATAAATACTTGTTAAATGAATAATTCTCAAGGGAAAAATGTATAGCTTTTGACTTTAATAAACATTCTCCTATTCAAAACTGAAGTATTTTGAAAATTGGCATTTTTAGGGGCAACTCAAATACTAAAATCTATAAATAACTGACAAGTTACAATAGAGCTATTTAAAAATTTTCTTCCCAAAATTACTTCCTTGGCCATATTTTAAAATTAGGCACCAATTTCTCCTTGTTGATTACCAGTATTCTTAGTACTCTAATACATTTTATGCCTTCATGTGTGCCCTTGTGCCTGGAATTCTTTCTACAGACCCTTCCCATATATGTCTCATCTTTCAAGATTTCATTCCACGGTTACCATCTCCAGAGTCTTTTTTGCTACATGGGAAGAACTGATCTTTTCACTATAACTTGTAAAGACTTCTAATTAAGCACATATATAGCATTTATTTATGTCTTTCTCCTCTGGGGGGATCATTAGCAACTTGACAGTAAGGGTTAGGCCCTCTTTGTCTTTATAGTACTGGCATCTATTTTATATGTAATCAATTTTTTTTACTGGATAGTAGAAGATTTCTATGACCGAGAAGAAAGAAGATACAGTTTCAGTGTTTTATTCCTTTGTTTAGTACTGGGTTATGAACAAGCCAAAGTTCAAACTCTTAGAGATACCAATCACAGAATTAAAAAAATCTTAAAAGTAGTCATGATTACTTACATAAACTTGAGCCCTGTATTTGACAAGGCAGTTGGCACCAGCCTCGGGATTAAACTTAATTTCAAAGTCATAACCTTTGGAATTCTCAGCACCTTTAGGAATAAGTTTTAATTTTCTAGCCAATTTGTGATACTCTGCTAATTGTGTTTCAATCTGTAAGAACAGAACACATAAGACATGTTAAAGCAGCCCCATTCCATATGTTTTTTTCAATTGACATTTCTAAAATTTTATACAAAACATATCACACCTATTTTTAGTAGTTTACTAATTCAGTAATCTTTAGCAGTAAGAGTAGCAGTTTTAAAATATACAAAGAAGATAAGGTTTTAGTAACACTTAAATTTACAGAATAATTAAGACTATCAATTGGTGTGTAATGTACTACTATCTTCCATTTATCTGACAGCTTGGAATAAGAGTCCATATTTAGATATTAACTAAAATTTACTTTTTGAAGTGCCAGATAAAGAAATTACGAAACATGTAAAACAAACCAATCTTAGTTTTGTCAATGTACAAATTAAAACATTTCATGTATCCAAAATAAGTAGAATATAATCATTTATGTCTGAAAATGTTATTTTAACTGTATTGATAAAAATATTTTAGTAATATATTTCACATTTCCTGCTCTCCTTCCTTCTTCCTTCAGGGCTCTGTTCAAATAAGGTCATCAGAAAGGCTTTCCCCTAATATAGCACCCTAATTCTTCTAAATGCTTATTTTGTTTTATTTTTCTTCATAGCCATCATCACTACCTGACATATATTTGTTCATCTCCACTTTCTGAATATAAGTTCCATGAAAACAGCTCTATCCTCAGCACCTAGAACAGTGCTTGGCATATAGTAGATACTTAATATTAGATTGAATAAATGAATTTGCAGAGTCTAGGCAACTTGTTTTTAATCTGCTTCCTCCATTAAACACATACTTCGTTTCTCATTGTTATTACCCATCCATAAAAATCAATTTGAGTGAAGGAATGCAATGGTAAGAGCACACGTTGGAACTTGCTTAACCAATTTGCAATTTCCAAAAATGCATTAGATCTCAAAAGCAATATTACTTATACATTAAATTTTGGGCTTATTACTTATACATTAAATGTTGGCTAAATTGGTAATGTATTACCCATAACATTGAAATTAAGTTGAATAATTGGCTTCTCTCATGCCAAGGTCCAGACCCATATATATAACAGCCTATTACCTATTTTCACTTGGACGTGGATATAACACATCCATCCCCATTCCTGTCTCACAACTTCTTCCTTCTCTTCTCTCCCTGAGTGAGTGGCACCTGCCCAATTACCCAAGCCAGACAGGGCAACCACTTCCTCCCTCTTTCATCAAGTTTCATTCGCTCTACCTCTAAGTTGTCAGAATCTACCTACTTCTTTGAATCCTTACTGTCTTTAACTTTATTTTTTTTTTTTTAGACAGAGTTTTGCTATTTTTGCCCAGGCTGGAGTGCAATAGTGGGATCTTGGCTCACTGCAACTTCCGCCTCCGGGTTCAAGCGATTCTCCTGCCTCAGCCTCCCAAGTAGCTGCGATTACAGGCAGGTGCCACCACACCTGGCTTCTTTTTGTATTTTTAGTAAAGACGGGGTTTCACCATGTTGGCCAGGCTGGTCTCGAAGTCATAACTTCTGATGATCCACCTGCCTTGGCCTCCCAAAGTGCTGGGATTACAGGCGTGTGCCACTGCATCCGGACCGAATCCTTACTATCTTTTAGAGAATGATAGTAATTTCTTATTAGATTGCTGCCACAGATTTTCACCTTATCAGAAATAAGATCTTTCTGAGATGTAACCACACCTGTTTAAAAATTTTAGGACCTTCTTAGGGCTTTCTGGATAAAGTCCAAACTTCTAAACAAGAAGAGTCTTCATCCTCTGGTCTATGCTTATCTCTTGAGTCTCATCTCTTGCTCTGTCCCACTTGCTATTTTATTTTATTTTATTTTATTTACTTATTTTTTATTATTATTATACTTTAAGTTTTAGGGTACATGTGCACAATGTGCACATTAGTTACATATGTATACATGTGCCATGCTGGTGTGCTGCACCCATTAACTCATCATTTAGCATTAGGTATATCTCCTAATGCTATCCCTCCCCTCTCCCCCACCCCACAACAGTCCCCAGAGTGTGATGCTCCCCTTCCTGTGTCCATGTGTTCTCATTGTTCAATTCCCACCTATGAGTGAGAATATGCGGTGTTTGGTTTTTTGTCCTTGCAATAGTTTACTGAGAATGATGATTTCCAATTTCATCCATGTCCCTACAAAGGACATGAACTCATCATTTTTTACGGCTGCATAGTATTCCATGGTGTATATGTGCCACATTTTCTTAATCCAGTCTATCATTGTTGGACATTTGGGTTGGTTCCAAGTCTTTGCTATTGTGAATAGTGCCGCAATAAACATATGTGTGCATGGGTCTTTATAGCAGCATGATTTATAATCCTTTGGGTATATACCCAGTAATGGGATGGCTGGGTCAAATGGTATTTCTAGTTCTAGATCCCTGAGGAATCGCCACACTGACTTCCACAATGGTTGAACTAGTTTACAGTCCCACCAACAGTGTCAAAGTGTTCCTATTTCTCCACATCCTCTCCAGCACCTGTTGTTTCCTGACTTTTTAATGACTGTCATTCTAACTGGTGTGAGATGGTATCTCATTGTGGTTTTGATTTGCATTTCTCTGATGGCCAGTGATGGTGAGCATTTTTTCATGTGTTTTTTGGCTGCATAAATGTCTTCTTTTGAGAAGTGTCTGTTCATGTCCTTCGCCCACTTTTTGATGGGTTTGTTTGTTTTTTTCTTGTAAATTTGTTTGAGTTCATTGTAGATTCTGGATATTAGCCCTTTGTCAGATGAGTAGGTTGCGAAAATTTTCTCCCATTTTGTAGGCTGTGCCATGCTAACCCTTCCCTATACTTCCCAATTCAGTTCAGTTGTTCCCTCTTTAAGAAATTCTCTTCTAAAAACCTCTCAGCCATCTCCCCACACCATGTACACTAAATTTGGGCTAGGTGTACTATATGTTTCCTCAGTACCCTGTACACCAAACATTTATTAGAGGTCTCATTTCATGGGAGTAAATGCAAACTCAGTTGGAAGTTTTTGAGGGGAAAGCCAATGTTTTATCTTTATTTCCTCTATGCCTAGCATAAGTGACACACAGCGGATGTTCAATCTTAATGCTTAAGTAGTGAATAGGTGAATGAAGGACTCATTTCCTCTTCTACAGAGTAAAAGGAGTGGGACCTATGAACATTATTTTCATAGTTTTAGAGACTTTTTTGTTTACTTTTTCATTGGGTTATGAAATATAACTTATCTTAAATTTGAGAGAAATTGGGATGTTACTGAATTGACATAAAGGGATGAGTGTTTCATTAAAATGTCAATGCTAATGTTTTACCTCTTAAGCCAATTTACTCTACCCACTGACTTCTTCTTAATTGGGACAGACCTTCAGAAAGGTCAGCTATGATGAGTTGCCACTCTGGAAATGGTATGACATACCGCTTCTTTGCCTCTGGCATATTTTAACTCCTCATTCCACAACTTCTGTTGTTCAGCTTCCAGGTCCTTGGTTAATTTATTAATAGTCTGCTGCAATTCATTTCTTTCATGATTTATTCGCTCAATGTCTGCAACTGAGTACTTCTGGTTGTCAATGATATTCTGTAGTCGAGTGTTCTCCTGTTTTATTGTTTCACATTCTAGTTCTGTGTTGGAAAAAAACCAAATTTTTAATGTATCTTCAATTCCTACAAAGAAACAGATGCCATCATGTAATAGAGCTAAGATATCTAAATTTCCAAGTCATATATATGTGTGTATATATATTATATATATTATATATATGTTTTTATAGTATATATAAAAATTTCCAAGTCTCATATATATATATAAATTTCAAAGTCATATATATACATATGTATGTATATTCTCATTTTTTGAGATAATTCTTTTGATCTTACTTTGTTTATAACATTCTGGAAGATAGGACAATTAAAGTTTTATGTTAAGAAACTTATTTCCCTATTAGCTTGCAATGGTTTTCAAAAAGTACTACATGAAAAAAAAATGTGGCTTCATAAATAATGACTGCCATTAAGAATCCTGGGTTCATGCATGCATCCACATTTGAATGGCCCTGCATGGGGACAAAGGGACATTCTAGGCTGAGGCTCCATGATACCCCAAGGTGCCAATATTTAAGAGAATATGACATTTGAAACTCACAATGTGAAAAAAATGGAACTTTTGTAATATCGAGGATCCCTCCATTGACCTTCCTAGAAAAAGGATCTCTAATTTCACTAATACAACATGAAGAAGGTTAAGAAGTCTCCAAGACAGGTGGCTGCTTACATAAACAGAACAGTTGGACAAGGTGTGAAAAGCCCAGATTAAAGCACATAAGGCAGTCTATTTCAGAAAGTTAATCATCCCTTTCTAAATTCTTGTTACAGAAAAAACAGTTGCCTAGAAGTGGGGATTGTGCCACGGCAAATGAGAAAATGAACTGACTTGTGCAGGCTACCTGCCTGAAAAATTAAGCCATGACAGTTGAGTCACACATATTTGATTAATTCCAGTGATTCTGGTTCTTCCCAAACAGAAAACCCATCATCACAGTATAGTGGGTTTTTTTCTAAGGTTTCTCAGGACCATGAAACAATGGCCAAAATTTTGTTCAGCAGGAAAACTGTTGATTTTTTTCTGAAAAAGCTCATTGAATGTAGCTTTAACTTTTAAGAGAAGTACAAGTGAACTTGTAGCTTATTTGGTGAGGATAGAAGAGCTTGGAGCTGTGGTAGATTGCCTTCTTGTGGTTACCAACAGTTTACAGAAGAAAGCCAGTACACTTGTTACTTCTAGTAAAGTGACTGCTTTAAAGCAAATTTGAAGAGTATGTAATAGTTGATTAAATTGGCTTCAATGGCCAGGTGCGGTGGCTCACGCCTGTAATCCCAGCGCTTTGGGAAGCCCTGAGGCAGGCGGATCACCTGAGGTCAGGAGTTCGAGACCAGCCTGGCCAACATGGCGAAACCCTGTCTCTACTAAATTAGCTGGGCATGGTGGCGCATGCCTGTAATCCCAGCTACTCGGGTGGCTGAGGCACGTGAATCACTTGAATCTGGGAGGCGGAGGCTGCTGTGAGCCGAGATCGCACCACTGCACGCCAGCCTGGGAGACAGAGTGAGACTCCCGGAAAATAAAATAAAATAAAGTAAAATAAAATAAAATAAGCTAGCTTCAAGCAGTCATAAAAAGGTGGTGGTCAGAATTATCATCCAAACAGAAATTATAAATGACGGAAATATTCTGTTTTAAAACAAATAAGTGGATTGTAGGAAATCCACAGGAAAATCATCTTACTTTGGTTCCAGGATATACTGGTATATGATGAGATGCCATAAATAAGAATCAGGATACAGATGCTTATTTATTACAGTTGCATTGAGAGATTTCGTCTACTAAAGAGCATCTGGTTATTCAAAACATAGTTGGACTATATGATTTACAAAAAAAGTTATTGTCTGAGAACTGTGAATTGTGGAAGAATTGTCAAAACCATTTTTTCTTTAAAAGGACACATAATTAAACCCCTAATGAAACCTTAACAGTCTACTTCACATTGAAGTGGAAAAATATTGTAAAGGAACAGCTTCAACTTCAATGAGGTAAAAGTACACTGTGAAGACTGTCTGCCTTTGGGATATGTGGTTATTTGGTAACATTGTTTAAGAACTACTGGATCTTAACGCAGTCCTGCATAAGAATATAATTTATACTATGTGAAAAAATGAGATAAGACTTATTATGGCAGAGGCGGGTGGATCACCTGAGGTCAGGAGTTCGAAACCAGTCTGGCCAACATGGTGAAACCCTGTCTCTACTAAAAATACAAAATTAGCCAGGCGTGGTGGCACACATCTGTGGTCCCAGCTACTTGGGAGGCTGAGGCAGGAAAATCGCTTGAACCCAGGAGACAGAAGTTGCAGTGAACTGAGATCGTGCCATTGCACTCCAGGCTGGGTGACAGAGTAAGAGTCTGACTCAAAAAAAAAAAAAAAAGACACACACACACACACACACACACACACACACACACACACACCAGAGTTTATTCATATTTTACTGACATTTTCAGTGATAACCATACCAAACTGGTCAGGTTTTTGCTTTCTCTGTTTACCAATAGTGTTTTCCAACCTTCTGTGACTCATGGCCTATATTGAACATGATTAGCATTTTTATAGCAGGCTGGGACAAAAGGATGAGGATGACTAAGGGGTCAAGAGAGTCATCCTAAGGGTGGAGAGGATTGGTATTTTGGTATCTTGGTTTGTTACAACCTATTTGCAACACAGTGAACTTAAAGCAAATTCATGGTTAGATAAAGTAAAACTTTATGCATTTATCACAGGCATCTGCACAAAAAATCCACAACATATAATATCTATAAAATTTATGGCTGGGTGTGGTGGCTCATGCCTGTAACCCCAGCACTTTGGGAGGCTGAGGCGGGTGGATCACCTGAGGTCAGGAGTTTGAGACCAGCTTGGCCAACATATAGTGAAACCCTGTCTCTACTAAAAAAAATGAAAATTAGCTGGGCATGATGGTGCACTCCTGTAGTCCCAGCTACTTGGGAAACTGAGGGAGGAGACTTGCTTGAACCCCGGAGGCGAGGGTTGCAGTGAGCCAAGATTGAGCCACTCTACTCCAGCCTGGGCGACAGAGTGACACTCTGTCTCTCAAAAAAAAAAAAACAAAATAAAACAAAAACAAAATAAAATTTAAATATGTCTCATCCACTCATGCCATGAATGGCTTTACATAATCAAGAAAGTTCAAACACTCATAGAATAAAAACATCTTAGATTAACAGTTATAAAATTAATGTCTCAAACTAAATCACTCTGGAATGGCAAATGATTAAGTATTTCTCTCTCACCTACTGAGTTTGCAGCTATCAGAAAAAGTTCTCACAAGAACAAGAAGGATGTATGACAATTCTCTTGATCATATGCTGACAAGAAAGATAAAGTATTAGTATTAGAAAGTATTGATTAAAGGCCGGGTGCTGTGGCTCACGCCTGCAATCCCAGCACTTTGGGAGGCCGAGGTAGGTGGATCACGAGGTCAGGAGTTTGAGACCAGCCTGGCCAGCATGGTGAAACCCCGTCTCTACTAAAAATACAAAAAAGTAGCCGGGCATGGTGGCGTGCACCTGTAATCCCAGCTACTCAGGAGGCTGAGGCAGAAGAATTATTTGAACCCGGGAGGCGGAGGTTGCAGTGAGCGGAGATGGTGCCACTGCACTTCAGCCTGGGTGACACAGCAAGACTACATCTCAAAAAAAAAAAAAAAAAGTATTGATTAATTGCATTATAAAAATTATTATAATAATAATTTAGTCCAAGCTTCTTTGTCATCATGAAGAATAAACAAAGGACATTGATTAGGGGCCAAGTGTAAAGTAGTTAATATATTTAAAGAGTTGGTTTAGAGCAAATCCAATATATATATATAAATCAGAGTTATTTGGAAAAAAAAAACAGATTCAGCAAATAACCCTGGTAATTACTAGTCTTGAGTTGACAATCAATACTCCATAGACTAAGAGTTAAATCAAATATCCTAAGGGCCATGTATACAACTCCCATGTGGGACAGACACAGCCAGCAAAATCCCAAAAGAAACAAACAGAAGTAGGCAAAGTCCTGGGAAAACAGTATAGTTGTCAATAAATTTATTTTTAAAAGTACAGCCCAGTGGCTCTGTGACTTGCAGATACCTTTCTTTACTCTCCTTCAGGCACTGCAGAAGAATCAAGCAATTGCATGTGCCATAGTGTTTTACAGAATTTTATGATTAAGATTGCTGTGTTTATGAAAGTAAGCTTACAAGACATAAGACATAAAAGAGCTTTCTTTGGTTGCTCTTTTCCCCGAGAACTGTAGTACTTGCAGCTTTAATTTTGATTTTCAATCAGTTTCAGCTGCTGAGGTGCTTAGGCGGTAGTGATGGAGGATAGCCAGTTATAGCAGACTGAGGCAGGCAGACATCAAGAATCTGGCTTATTAGAGCCAAGCATGGTGGAGCCCACCTATTATAGTCCCAGCTACGTGGGAGACTGAAGTGGGAGGATTATTTGAACCCAGGAGTTCGAGACTGGCCTGGGCAAAATAGCAAGACTTCATCTCAAAAAAAACAAAAGAATCTGGTTTATCTGGCTTATTAACCACAAAGTGGAATACAGTATATATTTGTATAGAATTTTTATATATTTCTATATTCAGGCAGCATGTTTTCTTAGGTTGGGTCCTTCTTGGCTTCAAAAAGCCAAATGCTTGAAAACATGTAAGGAGTAGTAGGTTGAACAATGGCCACCTAAATATATAAAGTTCTATCTCTGGAAACTGTGAAATTACCTTATTTGGGAAAAGGGTCTTTGCAGATGTGATTAAGTATCTTGAGATGAAGAGAGAGCCCTGTATTATTATCCAGGTGGGCCCTAAATCTCATCTCAAATGTCCTTATAAGATAGAGGCAGAGGGAGATATTTCACACAGGTAGTAGAGTACAAACACAGAGGAGAAGGCAATGTGAAGATGGAGGCAGAGATCGGAGTGATGTGAACATAGCCCAGTAATGCTGCCAGCCACTAAAAGCTGCAAGAGGCAAGGAATAGATCCTCCCTGAGTCCTTGGAGGGATGCAGATCTGCTGGAACAGCCTCTAGAACTGTGCGATAATACATTTCTGTTGTTTTAAGCCATCCAAACTTGTGATCATTTGTGACAGCAGCCTTAGGAAACAAATACGAAACACACTGAAAACTTGGTAGCCTGCTCTAAGCATGTACCACAGAACAACAAAAGATATGGATAACAAAGCTGTTTTTACATGTGACAAATCCCACACAGGTTCGCATCCCAGTCTTTTAGCATTAGCTCTGCTTACCTACTCTAGCAATTTCCTCATTGAGACCATTTAATTTCTGGTCAAGAATGGCTGAATGAGACTCCAAATTGCTCATGTATGCCTGATACTTTTGAACATCTCCTTGTAAGGAAGCCTTCAGTTTTCTCAACGACTCTAGACGATTCTTTAAGAGAAAAGAATATAACTTTAGTTATTCTTAATAACCATTCCATATTTTATTTTAAAGTAAAGCAATATTATTTAAATTTATTTTAGAGAAAGGTAGATTTGAGTTTTCCTTTCATTTTTAGAGGAAGTCAAAAGAACTAAAAGGGGACTACACTGTCAGTTTGAAATAGAAAAAAAAAAAAACCACAATTGCTAGGGTTGAAAAAGCACAAATATTTAAAATCTGGTATTTTACAACAACAGTTTGAGTGCTTCACTAATAATGCAGAAAATAAAGTTAGATAACTGGATATTAATATTTAGCTTTTAGAAAACTCAGGATACAATATACTATATAAACCCATTTATTAACCATTCCTTTTGCACTACCTCCAAAACTCAGGGCTTCTTGTGACTAATGCTCCCTAGAGGTATATAACACAGGGCCTTTGTTCAAAAGTACTTTTGATCTTATGTAAGTAGGTAAGAATCTTTCATCATATCCAGAGCACCATTAGTCTAAGACTGATAGACCGCAAGGGAAAACAAGGCTCCACAGATACCAAACATGTTTTCATTGGGAGTTTCTAGGTGAAAATTTAACTTTTAAGAAGCTTAATTTGTTAATCTATTTTTTAAAATTTTGATAAAGACAGCTAATATCCAAGGACACCCAAAAGTCTAAAAGAGCTCTCAAGTAAGTGTGTAAACATGTTTACTAACCGGTTCTTTTTCTCTTTCTTGTTCCAATCTTGCAATCTGTTCATTCAATGCTCTGTTTTTTGCTTCTAATGATTCCAGCTTAAAAGCATCCACATTAAATAAATCCTCTGGAGACAAAATCCAAAAGCTTTTTAAGACCTCAAATCCGCCTAGAACATTCTTTCCCAAGTTTTCACCATTACTCCCTCCCTCACTTCCTTCTGGTCTCTGCCCAAAACACTATTAGTGAAGTACATCCCATCCTTGTAAAACAGCAAACCCTTTCCATTACTCCACCGTACTTCGACTCTCCTTGTCCTGCTTGATTTTTCTCCAAAGCGCTTATCACCATTTGACTTAAAGTTGCTCATTTCATTATTTTCCTCTTTCTGTCTACTAAAATGTAAGCTCATAAGGGCAGAGGTTTTTATCCTATTCATTACTGTATCCTCAGTGCCTAAATGGTGGCTGGCACATAGTAGGTATACAAAAAATATTTATTTGAATAAATGAATGCAGTTTTTATGCTTGGTTAATTATATACAGAAATATCAAATTACTCATTAGATGCTTAGATCACTCTAAATTTTCCTCTCTTAAAACAAAGCCATTTATTTTGCTCCCTTTCCCATGTGAACAAGCTGAAATTGTCCTGGTTACTCTTCAGGAAGATACAATCCCAGGGGACTATAAGGGAATGCTTTCAGCTTTTGTGATAATACTGGCAAAGTGATTGATTCCATTGTTGGAGGAATAGCTTCACCTCCATTTATCTATTTTACCTTCCATTTTGGCATTTTATATACAAGACTATTTCAATAGAAAGAATGAAAATGTAAAATAATACCTCTGGAATGTTTTAGAGTTATCTAGTAAATACTGTATGTCACTAGGTTGTAAATGAGTAAAAAAAAAAAAAGATTTTCCTTACATATTTGGAAGTATAATGTCTTGTTAACTTTTTGCCACAAATTTTGAAAGAGACCTTAGGTCTTTTGACTAATTGGTGCTTTAATTTCTCAAATAGTAAGCAAGGACAACGTAGGGATATTATCCCCCAAGAGGAATAGCATTTGCTAATTATTGTCTATGCTTCTGGTAGCATGTTTGGTATATTATGACTTTATTATACTGTCATCTACTGCTGCTACACTTTGTCAGGAGGTCAAGTATTTTATTAAGGCGCCACAGACAGTAAGATGTTATGGCTCAGGTCTGGCTCCAACACTAGTATTCTTTTTGTTTAACTTCTCTCCACCAAAGAAACCACAAAGATAAAAATCAGTAGGCATCCAGATACATTTAAAGTAAGTAGCTCATATGAACACTGGATATGGTAAATAAATTACCACTCCATGAGCAGAGTGAAATGACCAAAAGCAAGCACCCTAAGAACGAGAACACTTACTCAGTTTTGACTGCAGCTCTGCATTCATCTCATCAAAGCTGTCGGCACCACTCATAAAACTCTCATAGCATTTTATGGTGTAGTCCAAAAACAACTATGGGGTTAAGCAGATTTTAGAAACAAAGTTATGATTCTCTATTTGGTCTGTTTCACTTTTCTAGGTGGAAATTTATATTTGAATTTAAAAAATAGTCAGAAATACTAAGTAGTCAGATGAACCTATAAATAAGAGACAAAAACCTAGGCTATATAATTATGCTATATGGACTTATTTAGTCTGCTACTTCTAAATATGAATAATGAGGATAAAATAACACTTAAATTTGGATAAAGGCAATATTTAAAAACAGCCATACCTTCAGAATTTTGAGAAGGTCAAACAAACAGGGAAGCTTATTAATAAATGTAATTCAACATAAAATGCACAAACTTAATCATCTTTAGGAATAAAGCACCTGATGAAAAATTTAAATAAACTGCTGATCATCTAAGTCCAATTGAATTGATAAGGTCTAATTGTAAAAACCCAAATGTAATTAATGAAGGCTACAATTACATTGTAACTTCAGGCTAAAAAATGAATTGCATGATGAGTAGCAATCTAAACAGTACAATACTAGAATTCTTAACATTTATCCAAGAGAAAATAACACTATATTTTGCATTCATGAGATGTTTTGGTCACTGAGAATGTAGACTTTATGAGAAGGCAAGAATGGATGATCAGAATTTTCCATACCTTAGATGAAGTAAATATCCCTCAAGACAAACCAATTCCCTTTGTGCTAATTCATTGCTTATTAAGGTGACCTTGAAGTGAGTACCCTGAATAGGCAGTCTGAGTATTCCTGTAACTGGAAAGGTGTATCACTGATGGTAAATTAATACATTTTCATTCTCCTTCAGATCAGTTGCTGTGAATTTGGTTAAGACTGAATCAGTTTCCTTAAGCTTGGTCAATTTTGATCTTATAGGTTTAAAAATATCGAGTTTGTGGACTCACAAAGCTGAGTATCGGAAACTTGTGAAGCCAGATACTCTGACAACTTTCTTTAATTACAAAGAGTACTTTATAGTTTCCCATGTGCTTCTCTATATATTGTCATTTGAAATAATAGCTATAATAGCTCAGAGAGCAAGAATAATTTTTTAACCTTTAGGATGGATGTCAAGACATTTAACACTTTTTTTTTTGAGACAGGGTCTCACTTTGTCACTCAGGCTGCAGTACAGTGACATGATCTTGGCCCACTGTAGCCTTGACCTCCTGGGCTCAAGTGATCCTGCAGCCTCAGCCTCCCAAGTAGCTGGGACCACAGGCACGCACCACCACACCCAGCTAATTTTTGTACTTTTTGCAGAGATGGGGTTTCGCCATGTTGCTTAGGCTGGTCTTGAACTCTGGAGCTCAAGCAATCTGCCCACCTCGGCCTCCCAAAGTGCTAGAATTACAGGTGTGAGCCACTGTGTCTGGCAAGACATTTAATACTTAATAGATGTTGTAATGTACTTGGGTGAAAACTGAGGGGTAATTAGAGGCAGCCCAATATACATATTGCAATGTGGGAGGATAATTTTCTCAAGGGTGGGATCAAAGGTTTTCTAGGAGCCTTTCCAACTGGGATCATTGTTGAAGTAGTAAAGGCGCATGTTTATTTTTTGTTAAAAAGAAAAAGGCAATGATGCCAACACTAGTCAGTTGATGTATCTTTGAACTACATCCCAGGCAGTCATAAAAGATGGGACTGAAATTATTTCCACTTTTCTTTTGTGACAAAAGTTTCAAAGAATGAAGGTTAGAATTAGAACAGAGAATAGTTTTTCTTCTAAGTGGCCCATGTGATGACTAGTTTTTTATGTATGCTAGGAAGTATTAATGTATAATCTTAATGTTTCCTTTATCTCAACCACTTTTGGAAGTGGCGACTCTGGGCTAAGGGGCAATATGTCTAATGAAAAAGGTCAAAACAAAATAAACAACCTATCCACGTGCAATATCTTAAGACTTAACCTATTATGTTTTGTGTTGACAAAGAATTACATTAAAATAATGTTGCCAATACTGATATCTTCATTCCACGACATAAAGGAGGAAAAGAAACATTACGTCTATAACATATAACATGTTATGATTTAATTCCAATCCCCTTCCATTTTTTACTTAGTTAAAATTTTCAAATTTTTGTGCCTAGTTATTTTTAAGAAATTATAATGTGATTCAAACAGATCCATTAATATTAAAAAAAACAAATTTATAATGTTTTCAGGAAGCAAAAAAACAACTCTACAGAAGAATATACAGACAATCCCTGACTTAACGATGGTTTGACTTCAGATTTTTCAGCTTTCTGATGGTGCAAAAGCAATGGAGTAGAAACCATCCTTCAAGTATCCATACAACCTTTTTGTTTTTCACTGTTAGTATAGTATTCAATAAATTACAAGAGCTATTCAATACTTTATTATAAAATACGCTTTGTGTTAGATTAATTTTGCCCAACTGTAAGCTAGTTTAATTGTTCTGAGAATGTTTAAGGTAGGCTAGGCCAAGCTATGACGTTTGGCAGGTTAAGTGTATTAAATGCATTTTTGACATGATATTTTCACCTTACAGTCGGTTTATTACTCTATCATAAGTCGAGGGGCATCTGTATTAAATCCAATAGTGACACAATAATATCAAGGCAATTCATTATTACAGTTTATGATAATACATGGTACCTTATTATGCATAATTCCATCTTCAGTTTCTTCTCCCCAAGGCTGCCCATCATCAAATAAAGGTGAGCTTTCTTTCATGGCAGTATGTATCTAATTAGTACACAAGCAAGAAAAGCAAGTTGATCTGAAAAACACAACTTTCATTTTTTGGCAAATTCTGTTTTCAGTGTCAATTTTAGAAGCATTTACATTATTGTGTAACTAAAAGTCTCTTTTGATAGGTTATTATATTGAACATTAACACTTTTGACTTTCTTTCGAATAAAACAATTTGCAGGTATCCTTTCGATAATTTCAAAACCCTTTTGTTTAGTAACTAAACTCTTCAGGATCTAGAAAGGATGGACTCTATATTTACTTCTGTTCTACAGAGAAAAATGTTGACCTTTATGCTGTTATTAACCCAGTAAGTGCAAATATACACATTTTAATGCAACTTTAACTAAGAATCCAAAACAGAATTGCCACATAAAAGGTGAGCCAATAATAATTTTTCTCTTTGAGCTCAATTCTGGTGCTCAAATGTTAATCGAGTAACTCCTTCAGTATGTACAATATGAACTTTAGATGAAATTTTACAATAGAAAATCTTTAGAAATACAATAGTTTAAACTGCAAGTGATAACATAAATTATAGCAAAACATTCAGATGGTTAAAATTGACAAGCCAAAAGGAAAATAGTTAAAGGTTTTTAAGGCATAGAAATTCCATTTTGGAATGCCTGTTTTTATATCTTCTTTTAAAAACATAACATTTAAAACATGAAAAAATAGAAAATTTAAATGAAATTACTATAAATATATAAAAATGTAGATATAAACACAGATATACTAGATATAAATATATTATCTATTAATATCTATTATCTTGATATAGAGATATCTAGATATAAATATGTATTTTTTTTTTTTTTTGAGACGGAGTCTCACTTTGTCACCCAGGATGGAGTGCAGTGGTGCAATCTCAGCTCACTGCAACCTCTGCCTCCTGGGTTCAGGTGATTCTCCTGTCTCCCCCTCTGGAGTACCTGGGATTACAGGCATGAGCCACCATGCCTGGCTAATTTTTATATTTTCAGTAGAGACGGGGTTTCACCATGTTGGCCAGGCTGGTCTCGAACTCCTGACCTCAGGTGATCCACCCGCCTTGGCCTCCCAAAATGCAGCGAATAACAGGCATCATGAGCCACTGCACCTGGCCAAGATATCAATAGGTATCTAATAGTATAATGAACACTAAGTATAAGAATACTAACTTCTAAGAAAAGGACTATGCGTTAGGAGTACATAAAAGAAGAATGGGGTTTCGCATACAGGATTTCTCAGGGAGACAATGTCCTCAGCCTAGAGTTGTTTGCCCTGCTACCCCTTTCCTATTCTAAAGGCATTCAGAAGATTCTTTGTTTATCTAAGGCGGATGCAGAAGAGCTCTAACAACTGGGTCTTCTACCTTGTCTTTTTTCGACAAGGCCTCAGGTGGCAGACAGATTTTTTTTTTTTTTTTTGAGACGGAGTCTCCCTCTGTCGCCCAGGCTGGAGTGCAGTGGCTGAGATCTCGGCTCACTGCAACCTCCGCTTCCTGGGTTCAAGCGATTCTCCTGCCTCAGCCTCCTGAGTAGCTGGGATTACAGGTACCTGTCACTATGCCTAATTTTTGCATTTTTAGTAGAGACGGGGTTTCACTATATTGGCCAGGCTGGTGTCGAACTCCTGACCTCAGGTGATCCACCCACCTTGGCCTCCCAAAGTGTTGGGATTACAGGCATGAGCTACTGCGCCCGGCCAACACACAGATTTAATAATGTCTGAAAGACATGTAGGGCAGAACCCAAGATAAGGAACAGAATCTTATATCTTGTCATCAGGGTAAAGACAGCTTCTGTCACCTTGCCAAGGGCCTTATGAAAACTCTTGCTACTTTGCAAGATTCAAGGAGAGTCTTACACAGGGACATACAGATCCCCAAGAGCTATAGAAAAGACTACTGAAAGGACTGAAGAATTGTGAACTAGGAAGACTGGTTGAAATAGTTTCAACCTGTAATTATAGATATAAAAAGTATAGATTTGAATCATGTTTTCATTGAAAGGTGGCGTTTTCCACTCTAACACCACTTCTTAATATTGTGAAACATCAGAGGAGGAAAAGGACACAGAGGGATCTGGGATAAGTCAGGTCCAAGTCCACTTTGATCACTAACCAAAAGGCTAACAAGACGCTCCTGAAGTGTATGCAACCCTCCTATTTATGGTCCTTAGTAGAGAAGACTTAGTAACTTTAGCTAAATTATTATCACTTAGACACTGTAATAAGGACTGATTATGTGCCAAGTTCTGTGCAAGGAGGCATAGTGAAATAGGAAATCAAAGTTTATTTACAAAGCATGAACAAACAATTTAGGAGCATAACAAATGAATAATAAACAATGAACAAATAGAGGTCATTAGGAAATCAACATATTAGATCAATAGGTCAAGATAACAAGAATAATCTCAATACATCCTGCAAAAGCATAGGATAACCTTCAAAGATCATTCTTTGATAAAAGTGAATAAACTTCAACATGCAAAACATTATCTTCTACTGAATATATCATACTAAACGATACAATGAAAAATATTTAATTTAAAAACAGTGGTTAGTAATAGAAATCAACTGAGAACAGTAGTTGTAATAAAGCAATTCAATAAGGGTAGTAAACACAAAAAACTCTTTTAGTAATAATCACCATGGAAATAGAATTAAAAAAAGAGAGTCTGTTCATCATAGTAACAAAACACATGGCATTGATAAAAAATATGTTGTTTGATATTAAGAAAACTACATGGCCAGGCATGGTGGCTCACACTTGTAATCCCAGCACTTTGGGAGGCTGAGGCAGGTGGATCACCTTAGGTCAGGAGTTCAAGATCAGCCTGGCCAACATGGTGACACGCTGTCTCTACTGAAAATACAAAAATTAGCTGGGCGTGGTGGTGGGCACCTGTAATCCTAGCTACTTGGGAGGCTGAGGCATGAGAATTGCTTGAACCTGGGAGGTGGAGATTGTAGTGAGCTGAGATCATGCCACTGCATTCCAGCCTGGGCAACAAAGCAAGACTCTGTTTCAAAACAAACAAACAAACAAACAAACAAACAAACAAACAAAAAACCACCATAGAACGAAAAAACAAAAACAAAATCTTAATGAAGGAACAAAAAAGATGAACAAATGAGATTTAACACTTTCCCATATGACAAGATTAAATATTGACAGGATGGAAATTTCCCCTTATATATCATGAATTCAATGTTATGTCAATAATAACAAAATCACAAGATTTTGTTAAAATCTGAAAAAATAATTTAGAGAGTGAGGATACGACAATAGCTAACATTGTGAAAAGAAGTAAGAATGTTCATCTTCTAGATAAAATATATTAGAAAGTGACAGGAATTAGTATGGTCATGAAGCAGGGATAGAAAAAAAAGATCAGAGAAATAGGTTTAATTAAGAACATACTAGTGACAGTTCAAAACTGTGGGGAAAATATTATTTATTTTTGAGATGGAGTTTTGCTCTGTTGCCTAGGCTGCAGTGCAGTGGTGTGATATCGGCTCACTGCAACCTCCACCTCCTGGGTTCAAATGATTCTTGTGCCTCAGCTTCCCAAGTAGCCGGGACGGCATGCACCATCACACCCGGCTAATATTTTTGTATTTTTAGTAGAGATGGGGTTTTGTCATGTTGGCCAGGCTGGTCTCTAACTTCTGATCTCGGGTGATCTACCTGCCTCAGCCTCCCAAAGTGCTGGGATTACAGGCATGAGCCACAGTGCCCGACCAATATCAGTTTTTCCATAAATGGGACTGTGATACATGAGTGAATTATTTAAAAAAGAAGGCCTTCTCTTTCTTATACTAAAATAAATTGGAGATGAATTAAGATTTAAACACAGCACAAAGAAGCCATACAAAATACTACGAGAAAATTTGTAAAATTGTTTTTAAAAAACACTGGGGAGGAAAAAAGGCCTTCCTAAATGTGGCTTAATTTCTAGGCTTATGTTAAGTAAGAAAGAAAATTAGAAAAAGAAACCTGCAGTCTCTCACGGATTAATACATCACATCATGCAAAGCAATATAAAAAGGAGGGGATTCCAACTTAAATAATGGGCTTGGAGGGCCGGGCGTGGTGGCTCATGCCTGTAATCCCAGCACTTTGGGAGGCTGAGGTGGGCGGATCACGAGGTCAGAAGTTTGAGACCAGCCTGGCCAAGATGGTGAAACCCCATCTCTACTAAAAATACAAAAAATTAGCCGGATGTGATGGCGGGTGCCTATAATCCCAGCTACTCGGGAGGCTGAGGCAGAGAACTGTTTGAACCTGGGAGGTGGAGGTTGCAGTGAGCCGAGATTGTGCCACTGCACTCCAGCCCAGGCGACAGAGTGAGACTCGTCTCAAAAAAAAAAAAAAAAAAAAAAAAAAAAATCTGATGGTGAGACCAAAAAAGTAGTTATCAAATGTCCATGGGCATCACCGGGGAGAGACAAATTGAATGCATAAATGTTATATATAAAGTCCAATGAAACTTGGATTTTTATTAATGGGCTATGGCATTGGAATTCTACTCTCTTGACAATGGGTGGTACTGTATGTACCAGCATGGCTCCTGGGTCAAAATCCATATACCCAGTGCCTGCCTTCATTTAGTTAAAGCCTTGCTGATGGCCAAGACAATGTCAGGGGAACAGTATTAGCTTTAGGAATTCTAGCACTAAGTAGGACAGGAAACTCAGAAGCTACAAAAGGAGAGACTGCATTAAATTAGATAAAAACTCACATTTCTGAACAGATAAAACAGCACATGAAATTAAAAAAAAAAAGAGAGAGAGAAAAAAATTGCTTGCACCATATAGAGAGGAACTAATTTCTCTGACTCGACCATTTTTGACTTGCAAAATGGCACCCTTGCAAATCAACACAAAAAAAAATCAGAAGAGTAGATATTATAATAAATGTAAAAAATTCACCTTTAAAAACAAAAAATGTAAATAAGAAAAAATTAGCTGTCAATTTTTTTTGCTTGTTGTGTTGCCAACTATTAAAACCATCAGTAAGTTTAATATATAAAGATTCAAATTCATGGCAAAAAGCAAAGGTGAAATAAAACTTGCCTGAAAAACCATGTACAAGCAAGTTAAAAGAAAAATAACCATATAAAAACATAAATTGTTTAAATATATATACATACACACATATACACATATACACACACATTTATATATAAACAAGCTATTTTTCACCTCCTAAATTGATAAAGATTTTAAAACAACAATGCTAACAGTTTGGAAAAATGGGTATGCTCAAACATTGTTGAGCTTTTAATTGGTACAAGTTTTCTAGAGAAAAATTTGTCGGTATGTATCAAAAGTTTAAAAAACATACATATAGTACTTTGCACAGCAACACACACTTTTAAACTATATCACAAGGGGCCGGTCATGGTGGCTTAGGCCTGTAATCCCAGCACTTTGGGAGGCTGAGGCGGGCAGATCACCTGAGGTCAGGAGTTTGAGACCAGCCTGGCTAACATGGTGGAACCCCGTCTCTACTAAAAATAGAAAATTAGCCAGGCATGGTGGTGCATGCCTGTAATCCCAGCTACTCAGGAGGCTGAGGCAGGAGAATTTCTTGAACCTGGGAAGCGGAGGTTGAAGTGAGCTGAGATCATGCCACCGCACTCCAGCCTGGGCAACACAGCGAGACTCCCTCTCAAAAACAAAAAACAAAACAAAACAAAATATCACAAGGAAACATTTTATGTTATTGTCTGAGTTTGGAGATTATGGTTATATCACTGTATTCTCCAAACTTCTTGCAGTGAATATGGATTTTAATTAAAAAGGGTAAAAACGAATTTCATGAGGGAAAATAAAAAATGAATTTCCTATTGACTCATTTTTTTGAGTTGTAAAACCTCATGATAATAAATAATCTCCTTATCAATTGGTACTTTCTTCCTTTTACCTTGTGATAATAGTTTGAAAAACTTAAAATCAAATGTGCTTTGAAAAATGAAAACTCTGAAGCAGACTTTGAGAATACTGTCAAAAGACTGGGAGAGAAAATATTTTTTTTGAGGAAAAAAACCCTTTCCCATGTATACATTTCAAAAGAACAAATCAAATACCTTGATGCAGTCTATTAGCCAAACTAAGGCTGCCACAATGTGAGGCCATGTATGAGGAGCCCCCACTGTGTACATGGAGCTTTTGGATAGTGCAAAAGGATACCTATGAGAAATCAGAAAAACATAAGCTAATTTAATGTTATTATAATTTAGTAAAGATAATGGTTAATCAAGAAGTTACATTTAAAAAATTCCACATACACACTCAGTCTTGACTTGTTTAGAGGTAAGATATGTTAGGATTCTATCCTTAGTCATCTTATCTCTGTGTATTTCTCTGTAGATTACTTTGTACATCTATCCCCGAAGCTGCAGAACTTGACCTATACAACCAATATGCTGGACTACTCTCCCAAAACATCTTTTGTTCCCTCAAATTCAATATACCCCCAATAAATGACATGTATGTACACCTCCAAATCCATTCTTCCCACTTTCAATTTCATCACACTCTGTTTTCACCAGGCGTGAATCCTGTTTTTTTTTGTTTTTGGCTTCTGTAAAATCTGTGGTATCCAGTCTGTCTTTTCTATTCTCTGTCACTTCAGCAGTTCAGGGCTTTATATTCTGTCTTCTGTTGCTCTGTAATAATCTACGAGTAGTTTTTTTTTAAACAAAGAAAAGTGGATTTTATCCGTCTGTACCCATCATCAAACTTGATCAGTTACTAACAATTTGTTAATCCTTCTTGCTTCTACCACTAGCAATTTTTATTTGTTTTTTTGTAAGCAGTTGCTTTTTTTCTCTTCAATTTATCCTACATATATTGCCCACAGTGGTCATCTTAAAACATATTATTTCTGTAACTCAAACTTTTTACAAATTGATTTAATTTGTTTCATCTCTGTGTGCCAGTCATGTCTCTAAACTAATAAGAAATATACATACCCAAGGTCTTTAAAGATTCTTGGAACCTCTTCTTCAAACTTTGTGTCAGGAAGTTCGTATGAGGGGCACAGGAAGCCATAAAGAAATGTGAAGATCTTCAGGAAGTCTTTAACAGAGGGAGCTTGTAGAGATTTCATGGACACATTATGTGCATAACCATTTTCTGTAAGAAACTACAATAATTTTTATGAACCACCAAACGTTTTGTAATGGAAAATTATTGGAAAATACCTATGACAACAATCACAGTTTAGATTAAAATCCTAAAGTACCTCACAGAGTTGTCGAATACACTGCTGAATGAATGCTTTGTCATTAAGTGGTCTCGGGTCCTTGATTTTCTCAGAACTGGAAAATATACCAAGTTGACTATTCCGGGATCCATGTCCACTAGTTCTGGAAATATATTTTTAAACAGCCAGTTAAAACTATTTGCTTCTGTGATCAAGTCTAAATTATTTCAAGGCAGTTTTGCATTTTAACATCAACATCAAACATTACGTTCTTATAACTAAACAGAATTCTCTTATTTAAAGCAGAGAAAAGGAGCAAATAACGAAGAGTAAAATATGAGGTTACAGCAGTTAAAGATAAGGATGTAAAACGAGGCAAGAATAAACACACACTTGGCCAGGCACAGTGGCTCATGCCTGTAATCCCAGCACTTTGGGAGGCTGAGGCGGTGGATCACGAGGTCAGGAGTTCAAGACCAGCCTGGCCAAGATGGTGAAACCTCGTCTCTACTAAAAGTACAAAAAAATTAGCCAGACGTGTTGGCAGGCACCTGTAATCCCAGCTACTCGGGAGGCTGAGGCAGGAGAATTGCTTGAACTGGCGAGGCAGAGGTTGCAGTGAGCTGAGATCGCGCCACTGCATTCCAGCCTGGGCGACAGAGCGAGACTCCATCTCAAAAAAAAAAAAAAAAAGCGCAGACAGTATCAGTACCTTCTCACAGGGCAGTTCTGAGGATTGATTGAAAGATTTAATATAGATAAAGCACTTAAAACAATGTCTGGCCTATAGGAATGCTCCACAAATATTAGATTTTGTAATTACTATCATCTCTAAAGTTTAGCTCTGAGATGAATTACATTACAAAAATACCTTAAGATTTTTCATCAACTGAAATAAATACCAAAAATGGAAGTTTAAACCAATGAAACCAAATTGGTTTCATGGCAGAGACTTTTTTAAAAGGTGACAAGTACTTCATCTCTAAATATTTTCAAAAGAATGGAAGAAACAGGTTTGTCTTAAAGTTATATTTTGTTTTGGTGAGACAACAACATAATTTATTGTCTTAATTTTGGGGTTGAACTTTTTTTTAAAGGTATCTATTTTATTGACATAATTTGTTTAGAATAAAATGCGCCTGTTTAAAGCATACAGTTTGATGAAGTTTGACAATAAACGCATTTGTGTCACTTATGCCAATCAAAATATGAGCATTTCTATCATCCCCCAAAGTCTCCTTATGCCCCTTAACAGTTAATCCTTCTCCAACCTGCAGCCTAGACAACCACTGACCTACTCCAGATAGATGGTTGTTCTCAAAGTGTTGTCTAAGGATCACTGAGCAGTCAAAACTATTTTTATGATAAAACTAAGATGTTATTTGCTCTTTTCATTTTCAATCTCTCAAGTGTACAGTGGAGTTTTCCAGAGGCTGGTAACATGATGTATGATATTGTAACAGATTAAATGCAGAAGCAAGTATTAGAATCTAGCTGTCTGCTATTAAGCCATAAGAGATTTGCAAAAACGTAAAACAATGTCACTCTTCTTACTGAAATTGTTTTATTTTTGAAAATATGTTTTTTAAAAGTTGAAAACATGTTATTTATGTTACCATGTAATGGGTTGTTATTTTAAATTGAATGCATATTTTAAATTTTTCTCAGTTTTAATTTCTACTATGGTTAATTTTGACAGATATAGCCCATAAAACAAAAGCTCTGTGGAGTTCTCATTAATCTTTTAGACTGTAAAAATGACTAAAATGTTGGACTAGATAATGTTTCCTCATTTTACATTTATTTTTTTGAGACAGGGTGTTTCTCTGTTGCCTAGGCTGGAGTGCAGTGGTGCTAACCTGGCTCACCGGAGCCTCGACCTTCTGGGCTCAAGTAAACCTCCTGCCTAAGCCTCTTGAGTAGCTAGGATTATAGGCGTGCACCATGATGCTTGGCTAATTTTTAAATTGAAAAAAGTTTCTTTTTGAGACAGAGTCTCACTGTCACCCAAGGTGGAGTTCAGTGGTATGATCTCAGCTCACTGCAACCTCCACCTCCTGGGTTCAACTGATCCTCCTGATTCAGCCTTCCAAGTAGATGGGACTACAGGCATGTGCCACTGCCCCCGGCTAATCATTGTATTTTTTGTAGAGACAGGGTTTCACCATATTGCCCAGCTAGGTCTTGAACTCCTGGACTCAAGTGATCTGCCCGCCTTGGCCTCCCAAAGTGCTGGGATTACAGGTGTGAGCCACCACACCCGGTCTACAAGCCTGGCTCATTAAAAAAAATTTTTTTTTGTAGAGACAGGGTCTTGCAATGTTGCCCAGGGTGGTCTCGAACTCTTGGACTCAAGATCATCTCAGCCTCCCATCTCAGCCTCCCAAAGTGCTGGGATTACAGGTGTGAGCCACTGCACCTGGTCTGCATGCCTGCCTGGCTAATTAAAAAAATGTGGAGTCAGGGTCTTGTCACGTTGCCCAGGCTGGTCTTGAACTCCTGGACTCAAGCAAAGCCTCCCAAAGCGCTGGGATTACAGGCATGGCCACCATGCCTGGCCACTCCTTATTTTAAAATGCGATGACTCCACCGTGTCTGAAAGCTAGGTATAGAATTTTCAATCAACTATTTACTTGTAACAATGAAATAGTGGTCTGAATGTGTTAGCTACACTGTCTACAGCAGATGTAAACTAAAATTTTAACCATTTAAAATCAGAGGAAAACTAGATTATAACTTTTCTCTCGAAAGGAACCATGTCATCTAATGTATTTGTTCTCTGAGGGCAACAACGTATGGCTATAAGAATCCCTTTATTAGAGCTAATGAAAAATATAATTACCTTTTGCCAAATAGCGAGACTTTTCTTTCAGATGTCGGTTTGTTTATACTCAACTTTCCAAAGGTTGGTTTCTCTTTGCTTTAAGAAAAATAGAAAACAACTCTTTAAAATAAAAATTAAAATTAGCTCAAGAAACTTTTAGAAATATATTAGAACCAACAACTCTTCCCCACTAGCTATAAAAATAATTCAAAAATCATAAAAATGTTTAGCAGTCATGAAAGCTGTTATAAATAGGATGGGCTAAACATGGTACTATAAGTTATAATGCTTGTAATGTTGGGGGACCAGCAGAGGTCCCTCTGGTGTATGTACCCTTTGGTAGATTTAGTCTTCGTTTTAACCTCAGCAGGGTCTGTTTTACTCATCTCATTTTTAATAACTATCTAAACATTTTCTACCCTAAATTTGCATTTCCAAAGAGTAAAAACAAGGTTAAAAAAAAACCCTGAAGGTAAAGTACAAGATAGAAAATTTGTAGCCCAAAGACACAGAACATACTTTCAGGCCTAAATATCATTATTATTATTACTTTCTGATTTTAAATTATTAACAGAAAAAATTAAAAATTGACACATAATTGTACCTACTTATGGGGTACACAGTGATGCTGTGATACATATAATGTACAGTGATCAGATCAGAGTAATTACCATATCCATCATCTCAAACATTTATCATTTCTTTGTTGGGAACAGTCAATATTCTCCTAGCTATTTAAAACTATACAATATATTATTGTTAACTATAGTCATTATACAGTGCTATGAACACCAGGACTTATTCCTCCCATTTAGCTATAATTTTGTGTCCTTTAACAGATCTCTCCCTATTTCCGTCTTCTCCCTATGCTTCCTAGCCTCTAGCATCCATTTTATTTTTTACTTCTATGAGATAAACTTTTTTAGCTTCCACCTATGAGAACATGTGCTGTTTGTCTGTTCCCTGCTTATTTCACTTATTTACCAAGAGAAAGAAAAGTGTAGGTAGGAAGTCCAGTTAAGACAAAATGGTCAAAGGTAAGGCTTGTTATGCAGATTTAAGTCTTTTGCTTCTCTGCAGAACAAAAACCCTATCTACATTATGATTTCCATTATCTTAACCACATTTACATTTTTTTTTTTTAGAGCCTGCTCTGTATTAGAATGTAGCTGCACTTATTACATTATCTAAACTGCAGGCAAAAAAACATTGACAATGGTGACCTTTTAGCTTCTAATACAATTAAAGGCATAACTTTTTTTGGTATAAGTAATGTATAACAGCACAAACATTTTCTTGGTTTACAGTATTCAAAAGGAAAAATATATAAATATTTCAAATTTCTAAAAGTAACATAGGCTCATACTATGTAAATCCAAGTAATTTAAAAACAGTTAGCAAGTAACTTGTACCTCGGTACTAGAGAAGAATTATACAGCTCTACAATGGCTTACAAATAGCCTTCTCTTATCTGGAAGATAATCACTCATAATGAAAAACTATAGTTTATGACAGCAGGTTCTTTCAGATATTTTTCCAGCAAATCTTGAGGAAAGAGTTCGGAGGAGTGGTGTTTTGTAGGCTGCTACTATATTATACCTTATGAGAGCAAATAATTTTGCTCTGATTTGATTGAAGCTTTGCTAATTGGAAATATCTCAGTGAACTCTAAGTTACAGCACAGAGCCTGCTTAAACAAGTAGCTCTAGAATAAAAGAGAAAAATAAGAGAGTACTGAACAAGAATTAACAGTCCTTTTAGGGGGTGCCTGGTAAAGCATTTGGCTTTGGAAATTTGTGAAACAAATGACACAAACAACACCTAGCAGAGTATCATGCCCACTTTTAGATTTCATTGATCCAAAATTAGGTACCCCTGGGAACAGACAAGATTCACCAAGACATCACTCATATTACATCTTTATATTAACTATTTCTTATGATTTCTTTGCCTAAGATGATAAAGCATGCAAATTAGAACCACAAGGGAAATACTCACGTTTGAGGGGTATAGAGGCCTTGTTTATTTACATCCTGGGATCTTAACTCCTGCATGGAGAGGCGGCCAGCACCACCGCTGGAAACTGAACTGCGCTTCATGCTTATGACCTACATTCACGAATTCAGTATTTAAAAAAAACTTTCCAGACAGAGATGGTACATTAAGCAACTATTTATCCTTAAACAGAAAGACAGTCAGGTTTCATTGTTTCTTCAAGATCATCATCTTTCCCCTGGGGTATCTCTTTTTTGTTCATGTACACTGAAGTTCTCATTTGCAAGGAACATCTATTTAATTCCATTTAAAAATATTCAACATAAACATTTATTAACTGCCCACTATATATATAGGGGAGTGTGCTAGGCAATGCAGGAGATGCAAAGACGAGTAAGTTACGGTTTTTGCCTTCACAAGGGTATCCGTGGTAGCTAAAGCCCTGTCTGTTACCCAGACCACATTACTGCTGTTGGCTGTGCCTATTTCAATAGGAAGACAAAAAAATTACCTCAAATTCTCTTATTCACCTCAAAATGTTTCCTTTTCTTTGGTTTCAGAGAATGGAATTATTCTGTTTTCCTAATGTCAATCTCTCCTGCTCTGTCCTTAACCCATTGTTTCCTCAATTACTGCCCTTTTGGCATCAATCTCCCCTTCAACAAGGATAAATCATCCGGTCCATAAAATGGTCTATAGGCTGCCTCCATTTACAAACCACATTAACAGGTCACTCCCTTCACATCTGCTAAAAAATTTGTCTCCTAGGATACACATGATTGACAAAACTTTTGATCCTGTCTCATCTCTGCACCCAGCCTTCTCAGGTCCTGCCCTGGCTTTCAGGAAGGTGACAATCCTTTTACTTCTCTGGGTACTCCTTAGTCTTTTACACTGATTAGACTCTTCTTGATTTTGGCCGCCTATTTCCTCTTCAATATGCGCTTGTTCATCTATTCAACTTTTCCACTCACACCTGTGTGTCCACGTTTAATCTCCACTTAGAATGTAGCTCTCATGATTTAAGATGAAGACTTCTACACGCAGTCCTACACGGCCATAAGAAGCTACACTAGTATTCAGACGCAACCCACCCAACGAGTCCTCTCTTGTCCATCTCTTTCCGCCCCCTTCAATTCTTCCCCGTTTCCTCTCCCGAGCCTCCACTCCTCATCAGTGTCCCCCAGGCCCTCCCCTTTCCTCCTTGGGAAATCGTTGCCACTAGAAATTTAATAGATCCCGTGAAACCAGCGCCTCGCACAGTTTTGGCCTCGAGGCTTCTCCCAACAGCAAACAAACACCAAAACATCGCCTCAGGACCTCTAAATTTAAGTCATTGGCGCCATCACTTTCTTCCTCCAGAACAGCTCTGCAGAAACAAAGTTAATCCGATGTCATTCAGTCACCTTTTTTCCAGTTTCCTGACACGACCCAGGGACCGAATTTCTGTAAACCGTGCAAGTATCTGCTAGACAGGACAGCGGTCATCAAAACACCAGGTCCTTCCTCGGCCCGCCAAAGCCGTTCGAATTTGAAATTCTCCGCCGGCGCTGACGTCATTACGCACGACGCGCGCAGTAACTTCCATGCGACCGCCTCGTCGCTGGAAGGCTGCGTGCTGGTCGCGCCCAGCTGCGTCACCCCAGGAACTGGGGTCTGTGGGCCAGTGTGGCCGTCTCTACGAAGACTGGCACGACCCCTAAAGTTAGGTCGGAAGACCTGTGGGCAGCTTGAGCGCCGAGGAGTGCCCTGAACGCTCAACTCGCCCTGGAAACGTTTTTCCGTACAGCAACATGGCGGCGCCCATGGACTCTTAGAAAAGGAGAAAGCTTTTTCTCTGTGGACTGGAAGGGGCATTTTTCATGATCACTATTTAGATGGGTGCTGTTTTCATGAGGAGAGTCTGGGAAGGCGGCGTCCGCTTTTCTGACAAGGGAAGAGGTGAGGTGGGAGAGGGGCTGCGGAGTGGGTGGAATGGGCTCCCAGGATTGCGTTGGTACGGCTGCCGAAATTCGGGCTCAGTATTTGATCACTTGCCGGAGGCTCACGGTCCTCTGGTGGTGGCTGACCTGTGAGAGGCTAGGAAGAATCCAAGTGTTTGGGGGCGGGCGGCGAGGGAGTGGATGTGAAGCAGAGACGCAGGAGAGGGGTGCACTAACAACAGTAACAGTAGATCACTTTGCTAAAATAGGATTTCCTCGCTGCTGTGAGTTTGAATCCAGAAACAGGCACTGCCCGGTACCTGGAGAGTGGTGGTGATGAAAGATCTCACAGCTCCAGGAAGTCTGGATACTTGGGTCTGGTAGCAATTGTGCCATTAACTAGCGTTGTTATTTTTGGGCAGCTTGCCTTTCTGCTCTGAGTTTCAATTTTCCCGTCTGAATTTCTAGCTCTCACTAGCCATTCCAGGACCCTTTTCACCTCAGCTGTGGCCTATGAAGGGGATGGGGAGGAACCAAGGATTATATTAATATAAAAATTATATGAAAATTAGGCAACCGTCTGATAATAAAAAGTCTCCTTGTGGAATACTGTTAGGTTAAACTTTACCTACAGATTGTTAAATCCTTAGCACTAATGTTTTCCCCAGAAAAGATTAATGGAAACATCATTTGCTTTTCTGACTAGATAGTTGCTGCTTCCAAAGGTGGTTTTACACAAATACAAAATTAAAAACACCTTTAGTACAGAAATAATTGCTTGTATTTCGGTATACATTCACAGTACAGTTCAGCATTTAGTGGTCCTGCTAGCAATTTGCCAGGAAGTCAAGCCTGCCAATTTCCTGATATTCCTGCTGTGCACCCCAACTTCTTAATCCCTGCTGAGGATCTTGAGAAGCAGCAGCACCAAAACCAAAGTAGGCACCAAATTCAAGGTTCTTTTGGTTCCGGTTGTCACATTTCAAGCTAGACTCCAATAGATGGAAGGATGATCACATGTGAGCCCTGTTTAAAACTTCAATTTTTAAGAGCAAGCACAATTGCAGGAAAAGAAAACAATTCAGAGGGATCATGTGTGCTTACAGTTGTCTTCATGTGGCCTTTTCCCAGGTTTAACCACCAAGGACCCTGACAGCCGGGGTGTCTGAATAACCCTGGTGACTCTTTTCACCATATCAAAACCTGAGTTAAAAGGCTGATGATAACAGCAGAAGGTGGCAGGGCTGAGGACCCACTATTAATTTCCTAGGCTGGTGGAGAGTGAATAAATGTTCTTCCAACCTTACCTTATGGCTTCTGGTCAAAGCAAAGAAGTGTCGTGGAAAGTGTTGGGTGGTGACAGTGCAAAAAGAGACTTGACGGGGAGGGAGCAGCATCTCTTGATAAAGGTGGGGAAGAGAAGATATGGGGAAAGCCCTGAATTCCTCATGGAAGGCGAATCTCAGAGGGGAGCGGAGCAGAGGGCTTATGATCTGTGCTTTGGCCAAGGGTGGGAGTGGAAGAGGTGGGGACAGGACAGTGGTTTGGAAGGAGCATCACTGAATACTTAAACTGAGTGCCCACACACTCAGCAGTGGTCCCACAGGCTGTGATCTTCACGTCTACTCTAACAAGCCTCCCAGGCTAGAGGGCTGTTGCAGTGGGTGGGGGTGGGAGGAAGGGAGAGCGGTAGGGGGAGAAGGCGGAGACTCCAGGCCATGTAAGGAGAAGCAAGGTGATTGTGTGGTCTTTCCACAGTTGAATTAGATGTACCCCACCAGTTATGATGGGAATCAATTTAAATATACTTGCTTGATCCTGTCGCTTGACAGGATGATTTGTTATAGCACAACTTACATAAT
Source organism: Homo sapiens (assembly GCF_000001405.40). Classification (NCBI taxonomy): domain Eukaryota; kingdom Metazoa; phylum Chordata; class Mammalia; order Primates; family Hominidae; genus Homo; species Homo sapiens. The sequence goes on along the minus strand of NC_000018.10, from coordinate 2,569,305 downwards.
TCAAATGGACAAAAAAGTTAGTATCATTCACAGTATCTTAAGATACATTTCTTTTGAATAGGAGCATCCTTTCTAGTACTGTGAGGTCTACAAGATGTATCTAGAAAATTTACTACTGTTGAAAATGAAGACTGCTTAAATTGAATGGGTGTGGGGAAAAGGGACTATGGTTTTTCTTTTTGATTAATTACTGTAACAGTGTCTTTCAGGCTGCTGAGGGAGTTTCATGTTTTCTTTAGATGTCATTAGCTGTTCAACCTCTTCCAAGACAACTTTGATGCTATCTGAATTCTGCTATTTAGCTAGCACTGAAATGGCTCTTGAGTCCACCACTCCTTTAGAATAGCATTAATTTTTGTTACACATCTTACAAAGGGGAGTGCTGCTGGGTATTTAGGTCCACATTCTATTTTAAAGCTGTATATTCAGTTTTTGTAAATTGTTCTTGAAGGCCCAATTATCATCCCTGTCCATTTGGTAAGTGTCATGTCTTTATCATCTTCTAGACTCTAGCTATCTGTGCCATCTCATACTCCCTTTTTTTTTTTTTTTTGAGACGTAGTTTCACTCTTGTTGCCCTGGCTGGAGTGCAGTAGTGCAGTCTCGGCTCACTGCAACCTCTCCCTCCTGGGTTCAAGTGATTCTCATGCCTCAGCCTTCTGAGTAACTGGGATTACAGGCGCATGCCACCAAGCCCAGCTAATTTTTGTACTTTTAGTAGACGCAGCGTTTCACCATGTTGGCCAGGCAGGTCTTGAACTCCCGACCTCAGGGGATCTGCCCGCCTCGGCCTCCCAAAGTGCTGCGATTACAGGCGTGGGCCACCATGCCCAGCCACTCCTTTCTAACCTTCAGGTTCTTCCAACAGTTGGAAATTGAGAGGTACTCCTACTCCTGAGCCTGTGGTGACTGCCATCATGTGTCACTGTCACTCTTAGGCTCGCCCCTTCTTCCCTCTAATTCATTTCTGACACTATTTCTATCTTTAGATAGTGTCACATCTCCCAAATTCATTGTACAGACATGAATGATTACATCATTGGTCACTGGTGATCAACTCAGCCTTCATCCCTGCACTCAGTAAGGCTACAGGGGCGGTGAGCCAGGAACTGTGGATGAAAACCAATGTACATCATAATCTCACTCATGGAGTTAGAAATTTGAATCTAAATGCTGTGATTATTAATTGTGCCATTAAGCACTCATTTATTTCTTATTCTGTCCCCTCTTAAGTTCTCCACTGCACTGGATTTAGAAAGCAATATCTAGAACTCTAATCCATCTTTTGAAAAAAGGTTAGTTCTGAGAAACCTAGTTATCCAAGGGGTACTGCTCAGAACCAATTACAGATCTAGACTCTTAACCTTGCGGTTTTGCTAGGGTTTAGTGCTTCTGATGTGCTGGTAAAATTGCATTTTCTCTGACTAGAACAATTTTTTCTTTTTACCTTATTACTCCATTGGTAGTAGTGATTAAGTAGGGAAGATGATACTGGAGAATGGGCTGACTTACTATGACAAGTGTAGTTTGCAAAAACGAGGGATTACCTGCTAACAGCACCTTCTGAAATTCTATGCCCCTCTCTAGATAGGTTTATCTCATTAAAAAGGGTGAATTCACGTAGCTAATGTAGTGTTCTTTGCTTTTACAGGCTACTTTGTCCTTTTAAGGATTCAATGACTTCCTGACTTGGAGGATGTGGACCTAGTGGCTAGACCCAAGGACCAAAGCAAGAAGTCGTGGGGGGCCCAGGAAGACAGGAGGATCACATTGGGATTCCAGACATAAGATCAGGTTTTAACCCCCTTTGGCCAAATTTTGGCTGAAAATGTTGAATTATCAACTCTGAAATTAAAAAGAAAGTTTATATTAAAACATTGCAATTTTCCTTAGAATTTCTGTATATATTAACATCATGAATGATAAATTCTCTTCAATGTGCATGTCAGGTTTTTGTACTTGTATATCAAATCTATCTGTGTGTATGAAGTGTATGTTTATTGAAATACAAGATATTTAAGAAGCTGATCTGGAAAGTTGGATTTTCATTCTAGTTCCTAATTCCCAGAGGCTTTTTTAAAGGAAGGGAATGTCTGTGGTACACCAGTTGTCAGCTGGGTGGTTACTGGATCATCTTTCTTTTATCAACAAGATAAACTATCAACTTCACCAGCATCATGAACCTTGTTGCCGTAAAAAGGAGTTCACTACTTCTGTTCACTTTGAGTCTCTTCAAATGGATTCTGTGTCCTCCTCTGGAGTCTGTGCTGCATTTATTGCTTCTGACTCTTCCACTAAGCCAGAGAATGATGATGGAGGAAATTATGAAATGTTCACACGAAAATTTGTTTTTCGACCTGAACTGTTTGATGTCACCAAACCTTATATAACTCCAGCTGTTCATAAAGAATGCCAGCAAAGTAATGAAAAGGAAGATCTGATGAATGGTGTTAAAAAAGAAATCTCCATTTCTATTATTGGGAAGGTAGAAAGTTTTAAGAAATATTTATTTTTCTCCAGAAAACATAATTGAGATTTATTATCTAAATGTCTTAAATATCTGGTGATTCGTTAAGTATAAAGAAGAATCAGTAAAACCCAAAAAGGCTTTAGCATATCTGAAATAATTTGTAGCTTTTTTCTAGCTTCAACTATTCTTAGAAGACCAAATTGCATAGTATTTCAAAAATAAGCAAAGTTGGCTGGGAAGTGAATTCTCTGTAAATTAAGCAAAGAAAATAAACCCAGACAGCAAAAAAACAAACAAAAAGCCAAACAAAAAACTCCCCCAAAACCCTTTTCTTGATTAGGCATTTGTATTAATTGAATATGTTTACAACTGTTTTTGCTTTAAAAAAAAAGTTTTTCTACAAAATTTCTAAGCAGTAAGTGGTATTTCGGAGGTTTTTAGAGAGCTATCCCTTGGAGATACGTAATAAAAGTTTGTAAGAAGGGTGATTGTTTTAAAAGTTTCTAGTGATACAAGTAGAAAGCTCCTGTGGTAAATATACCCGTTTGTAAAGTATATGTATTTGTATATTCACACTGGTGCAATCTTTTAGTAGAGTTTTGGGAATGCCATACAGGATCAAATTAATTATGCTTTAATACTTTTTATCTCTTTCAGGAATTTAGAGGTGATTTTACAAAGTCCATTTTAGATATCTGATATCAGCATTGTCTTTTTTACTTATTTTTATTTATTTGTTTATTTTATTTATTTATTTATTTATTTATTTATTTATTTATTTATTTATTTGAGACAGAGTCTTGCTCTGTCACCCAAGCTGGAGTGCAGTGGTGCTATCTCAGCTCACTGCAAGCTCCGCCTCCCGGGTTCACGCCATTCTCCTGCCTCAGCCTCCCGAGCAGCTGGGACTACAGGCGCTTGCCACCACGCCTGGCTAATTTTTTGTATTTTTAGTAGAGACGGGGCTTCACTGTGTTAAGCCAGGGTGATCTTGATCTCCTGACCTCGTGATCTGCCCACCTCGGCTTGAGCCACTGCACCCGGCCTCAACATTTTCTTTTTTAGTGATAGGATTAACATTCATTACTCACCGAACAAACGTTTGAGCTCTTTCTATGTGCCATTGTATGCAGAGTGATGAAACAAGATAAACATAATCCCTCCCTGATGGATCTTATAATTCGGTGAAGAAGAAAGATATTAAATACGAAAGTTTGTTGAGAATTAGAATAAGGAAAGTAATAAAGAAAATACATTTTCTGAAATGGAACTTTTTAATATTGTGACTTTTTTCTTGTGCATATTCTTCTTTTTTTTAATTTTAATTTTAATTTTTAAGTTCACAGGTACATGTATAGGTTTGTTATATAGATACATTTGTGTCATGGGGTTTTGTTGTACAAATTATTTCATCACCCAGGTATTAAGCCTAGTACCCATTAGTTATTTGTCCTGATCCTTTCCCTCCTCCCATCCTCTGACCTCCATCTTCCAGTAGGCCCCAGTATCTGTTGCTCCCCTCTGTGTGTTCATGTGTTGATCCCCCTTTTTTTTTTTGAGACGGAGTCTTGCTCTGTTTCCCAGGCTGGAGCGCAGTGGCGTGATCTCGGTTCACTGAAACCTCTGCCTCTCAGGTTCAAGCAATTCTCCTGTCTCAGCCTCCCGAGTAGCTGGGATTATGTGTGTCCACCACCATACCCGGCCAATTTTTTGTATTTTTAGTAGACACCTTGTTGGCCAAGCTGGTCTTGAACTCCTGATCTCAGGTGATCCACCTGCCTCGGCCTCCCAAAGTGCTGAGATTACAGGTGTGAGCCACCATGCCCAGTCCCCTTTTTCCTTTCATCAAATATTTATTGATCATTTACTACGTGTCACACACAGAAAAGAAAATATTTAGCATTGTCCGAGGTCTTAGTAAAATAGTATGTTGTAATATAAGTAATTCAGATAATAACAAGCCTTTGTAAAGGACTTTATAGTTTACAGGGTATGGGCATTAATTTTTAATGTTTAATCTCTCAGGTTGGGTAAATTTCTTATAACATGGAAAAAAATAGATGAACCTATGTAATAAATGTAATCTTGATGACACCTTCTGATATGCTAAAGCAAATTATACAATATTAAGTCCATTTATTTATTTAGCCAACAGACATTTATTGTTAGCATGCTAAGAGTTTGACACAAGGTAAGCACTGGAGTTTCAGCCATAAAAAGTACTAAGTCCTTACTCTATATTGTTAGATATAGAACAGTGTCAATATAAATCTGATTCATACCTAACCCTCATCAGTCATAAGCACATTGGAATTTCTTTTGATGATAGCACCTGGCTAGTTTCTCTTCTCAGAAATAAAGGAAATTGAGAATAACTATACCATATATAAAGTGATAGATGGCACTGGTAACTTCATACGGTGTCATAGTTTCCTTGTATTTCATGGGTGCTGATGCTACACTTTATCATGTGGAACTAGTTCTTTTTTTTGAGACAGAGTCTCGCACACCATTCTCCTGCCTCAGCCTCCCAAGTAGCTGGGACTACAGGCGCCTGCCACCATGCCTGGCTAATTTTTTTTTTTTTTGTATTTTTAGTAGAGATGGGGTTTCACCATGTTAGCCGGGATGGTCTCGATCTTCTGACCTCGTGATCCTCCCGCCTTGGCCTCCCAAAGTGCTGGGATTACAGGCGTGAGCCACCGTGCCCGGCCAGAACTAGTTCTTATTAATAGCAGATAAAGCTGAGGTGACCTTTTACAATCCATTTTGTTTATGTTGTTGTTTTTAATTTACTTTGGGAAAGCTTACCTCCTCACTCCATACCCTTTGCATTGATTTTGACCTCAGTAGACAATTACTACTATTAATTATTAATTATTATTAGACAGATATAAGACATAAATAATGTTATAATGAAAAAGCAAAATATTAATGGCAACATAACTTTTCCCCTGTAATTGATCTACCCTTTAGAAGCGTAAAAGATGTGTTGTTTTCAATCAAGGTGAATTGGATGCTATGGAATACCATACAAAGGTAAGTGTAAAATGTTCATTGATCACATTGGAAGATTAATGTGAAGTAGTAGAAAATAAATGGACAACATAAATAAGGATTTTTTTTCAAAATCAAGCAATCATTTTGATCAGGCTTAGCACTTAATATATTTATTGTTAATTTTATAGTAATGCACAGTTTAAACCAGTTTTGTCTTTTTTTTTTTTTTTTTTTTGAGGCAGAGTCTCATTCTGTTGCCCAGGCTGGAGTGGAGTGGTAGTGGTGTGATCTCAGCTCACTGTAGCCTCTGCCTCCTGGGTTCAAGCAATCTCATGCCTTGGCCTCCTCTGAGTAGCTGGGATTATAGGCGTGTGCCACCATGCCCTGCTAATTTTTTGTATTTTTAGTAGAGATGGTGTTTCACCATGTTGGCCAGGCTGGTCTCAAACTACTGAGCTCTGGCCATCCGCCAGCCTCAGCCTCCCAAAGTGCTAGGATTTTACAGGAGTGAGCGACTGCATCCAGCCTAAACCAGTTTTTATTGAAACTTCATGTACTTCTATTAGTTTAAATATTTAACAAAGTAAACTTATGCTATATTGGTTAAGTTTAGAGATTTTAGAGATTATAAAATCCTATTGTCTAGATAAAACAATATATTAAGAGAGTGGCAGAAGAGAGCATGAGTAATGTGAAGGATATGTTTCTAGAACATAGCGATAAATGAGATCAGAGAGTTAAAGAAATGAGAAGAAACAGAATGAACACAAATATTTTAAGCTTAATTTTTTTTTCCATGGAGCACCTTTGAAATGGCAAAATTCAGTCTGGAATTCGGTCTTGTTGAATTAATGTGATGGTAGAACCCTGGGTTTTTTTTCCCTTTCTTTCTTGTTGTAGTAGAATATACATAAAATTTTCCATTTTTAACCATTTTTAAGTGTAAAATTCTGCGGCATTAAATACATTCACAATGTTGTACCACACCACTGCTGTTCATCTCTAGTACTTTTTCATCATCCCAAACTGGAACTCTACCATTATTTAATAACTCCCCATCCCCCCGTCCCCCAGCTGCTGGTATCCTTTATTCTACTCACTGTCTCTGTGAATTTGCCTATGGTAGATATTTCATATAAGTGGAATCATACAATGTTCATCTTTTTGTATCTGGCTAATTTCATTTAGCATAATGTCTTCAAGGTTCATCCATGTTGTAGCATTTATCAGAATTTCCTTTTTAAGGGCGAATAATATTTCATTGTTTGTATATACTACATTTTGTTTATTCATTTATTTGTTCATGGTCATTTGGGTTGTTTCCACATTTTGGCTATTATGAATAATGTTTCTGTGAACATTGGTGTACAAGTATCTGTTTTGAGTCCCTGCTTTTTTTAGGTATATACCCAGAAGTGGAATTGTTGGATTAGCTTTTATGTTTAACTTTCATTTTTTCTTTTGAGACAGGGTCTCACCGTGTTGCCCAGGCTGGAGTGCAGTGGTGCAGTCATGGCTCACCGTGGCTTTGAACTCTTGGGCTCAAGTGATCCTCTTGCCTCAGCCTCCTGAGTAGATGGGACTACAGGCATGTGCCACCACGCTCAGCTAATTTTTTATTTTTTTGTAGAGATAAGGTCTTAACTATGTTGCCCAGGCTGGTCTTGAACTCCTGGGCTCAAGCAGTCCTCCTGCCTTGGCCTCCCAAAGTGCTGGGAATACAGACAAGAGCCACTGTATGCAGCCCCTGCCCCCCTTTTTTTTAATCATAGCCATTTTGACGGATATAAAGTGGTATCTTATTGTGGTTTTCGTAAACACATTGGGTTTTAAATGTTCTGAAGACAGCTGAATACACAAATGTTAAATCCCTCAATGTGAGCAGTTTATCTGTTAATTTTGGAAATACACTTATTTTCTGGAAATGACACTTGCAAGGTTAACTGCAGAAATACCAGGAAAATCCAGGGTATTTATATCTATAAAAAAATTAATAAGATTTACTTTCACTTTAAAGTTTACATGAAATTAGAGAATAGAATTTCTTGAATTCATGTATATTCTAATTGCTAAATACTTGTATTAATCATAAATACAAATTATGAAATGTGCTGCAGAATGGAATCAAACTCTTAAAAAGTAGTAGGACAGAATATTTGCTGAATCAGATTTAGAGGTTTGACTATCCGGTAGTGCCAGTCCTGCCCATCCCCATCCTTTTCTCATCACTCCTCTTTTTAATAAATTTGTTTTCTTTCCCCATATAAATTTTAGGATCAATGATAACATCTAGTTAGAAAACCTGTTGCCATTTTTATGGCATCAAGTTAAATTTCTAAATTAAATTAGGGCAGTGTTGACATCTTTAAGATGTTGGTGATTCCGCCCCAAAACATGAATGTATTTTTCCATTTGCTCACGTTTTGTTTTGTCGTTGTGTAAAATTTTCTTTATAAAGGCCTTGCAGGTTTCTTGTTAAGTTGTAGTAATTTTTTGTTGTTGTATCTCTTGGATTTTCCAGATATAGAACTCTTTCAAATAGTAGTAATTTTACTTATACCTTTCCAATTATCATGTTTCTGATTTCTTCTCTAATTCTGTAGGGTGGAAATTATAATACAATATTAAAGAATATTTGTGTGCATAATAAACATAAGTAATATATGTGAGCATATTTACTTTGTCTTGTGCTTGACAAGGGGGATAATTTCATCATTAAGCATAATACTGGGTTTCAACTGAGTTGGAAATAACATGTTAGGCATATATGGAGATTGAACAGATTTTTTTTTTCTTTTTTAAAAATTTTTTTCCATGAACCTATTGATCCTATTGAAGGAGACTGAATAGATTTTTCCTATGATTCTTCCTCAATTAACCATCCTTGCATTTGCAGAATATATTCCAAATGATCATGATGTTACTATTTTTAAAATGTTCTACTGGATTTTCTTTTTTGAGACAGAGTCTCGCTCTGTCGCCCAGGCTGGAGTGCAGTGGCCCATCTCCGCTCACTGCAAACTCTGCCTCCTGGGTTCATGCCATTCTCTTGCCTCAGCCTCCCGAGTAGCTGGGATTACAGGCGCCCGCCACTACGCCCAGCTAATTTTTTGTATTTTTTTAGTAGACACGGGGTTTCACTGTGTTAGCCAGGATGATCTCAATCTCCTGACCTCATGATCTGCCCGCCTCGGCCTCCCAAAGTGCTGGAATTATAGGCGTGAGCCACTGCGCCCGGCCTCTACTGGATTTTATTTGCTAATGTTTTATTTGGGACAGTCATAAGAGAGATTGGTCTGATATATTTACTTCTTCGGCCTTATATATAATTATATATGTAAATATGTAGGATGTTTGCACGCTGGAGAACTTATTAGCCCTCTCGTGTTGGAAGCTAGAAGTTTTCCTTCTTTTTACTTTCCAATTTTCTGGAGCAATAGAAAAATAATTGGGATAATTTGTTCTTTAAAAGTTTGATAAAGTTTGATAGAACCCCCACTTTGTAACCATCTCAGTGTGTTGCTTTTTGTGGTGGATACTTTTTTGGCAACTTTACTTTTTTCCTCTTTTCTTTTTTCTTTATTTATTGATAGAAGAATTTAATGATGAGACTTTTTCTCTGGGCACAGCTTTAGCAACATCATGTACGTTCCGATGTGTTGTGTTTTAATTGTCATGGGGGAAGGTTTTTAGTAACAAAATCAGGTTTTTTAATAGAGAACCGGATTTTCAGGTTTTTTGTTTCTATTGATGTCAGTTTTCACAAGTTTTATTTTCTAAGAAATGTGTTCATTTCAGGCTGGACATGGTGGTTCATGCCTGTAATCACAGCACTATGGGGAGGCCGAGGTGGGCAGATCACTTGATGTTAGGAATTGGAGACCAGTCTGGCCAACATGGTGAAATCCCATTTCTACTAAAAATATAAAAAAATTAGCCAGGTGTGGTTGTGGGCACCTATAACCCCAGCTACTTGGGACGCTGAGGGAGGAGAATTGTTGGAACCTGGGAGGTGGAGGTTGCGGTAAGCCGAGATCATGCCACTCCATTCTAGCCTGGGTGACAGAGAGACTCCCTCTCGAAAAAATAAAAAACAAAAAACAGAAATGTGTTCATTTCATCCTAGTTGTCAAATTTGTTAGCATGAAGTCATGTTATCTTATGCTTTCTTTTAATGTCTGTAGGATCTGTGGTGATGATAACTTTTTCATTGCTTTTATTAGTAATTTGTGGTTTTTTTAAATAGGTAAAATATACGTATCATAAAATTTACTGTTTTAACCATTTTTAGATGTACAATTTAGTGGCACTAAGTACATTCAGAGTGTCATGCCATCATTACCACATCCAAACTGAAACTACACATTAAATAGTAACTCCCCACTCCCCCTTCCCCTGCTGCCTGGTAACTAGTATTCTACTTTCTGTCTCTGTGAATTTGCCTATACCTCATGTAAGTTAAATCACATAATACTTGCCCTTTTGCATCTGGCTTATTTCACTATGTCTTCAAGGTTCATCCATGTAGCATATATCAGAATTTCTTTCCTTTTTAAGGCTGAAAAATATTCCATTTTATGTAAATATTACATTTTGTTTATCCATTTGTTTATGGACTTTTGCGTAGTTTCTACCTTTTGGCTGTTGTGAATAATGCTTCTCTGAAGACAGGTGTACAAATATCTATTCCAGTTCTTGCTTTTAGTTCTTTTGGATATATACCCAGAAGTGGAATTGCTGGATTTTATCGTAATTCTGTGATTAATTTTTGGAGGAACCACCATACTGCCTTCCACAGTGGTTCTATCATTTTACATTCCTACCAGCAATACCCAAGGGCTCCAGTTTCTCCACATCCTTGCCGACACTTTTGTTTTTGATAATAGCTATCCTAGTAGGTGTGGAGTAGTATCTCATTGTGGTTTTGATTTGTATTTACCTAATGGTTAGTAATGTTGAGCATCTTTTTATGTGCTTGTTGGCCATTTGTATATTTTCTTGAGAGAAATGTCTGTTTGTATCCTTTGTTCATCTTCTGGGCTGTTTGTTTTTTTTCTTGTTGAGTTTTAGAAGTTCTTTGTATATTCTGGATATTAACCCCCTATCAGATATATGATTTACAAATATTCAAAGAACAAGCTTTTAATTTAGTTAATTTTCCTTACTGTCTCTGTGTTTTCCATTTTATTGACTTCTGTGTTTTTTTTTATTATTTCTTTTGGTTTACTTTGCTCTTCTTTTTCTAACTTTTTTAATTTTTAATTTTCTTGGGTATTTTCTTAAAGTGGAATGTTATGTCGGTTAACTTACATCTTTTTTTCTTTTCTAACTTAAGCACTTAAAGCTGTAAGTTTCCCTCTAAATCACTGCTTTGGTTGCCTTCCACGTATTTTGATATTTTGTATTTTCATTTTGATTCAATAAAAAGTTATTTTCTGATTTTCCTTATTATTTCATCTTTGACCTATATGAATTATTTAGAAGTGTTCTATTTCATTTCCAGGTAATGAGTTTATCTCAGTGTCTTCTTGTTCTTGATTTCTAACTTAAATCCAATGGGGTATAGAACATACGCTTGGGATTTCAGTCCTTTTACATTTCTAGAACCTTGTTTTATGGCCCAGCATACGAGTTATCTTTGTGCCTGTATTATATGCTTTTGGGAAGAATATGTATTGTCTATACATATTCTTTCCAAAAATTGTTAGATGCAGTGTTCTATGAATGTCAGATGCAGTGTTAGAGGCAGTGTTCTATGAATGTCAGATAAAGTTAGTTGATAGTGTTTTTCAGAACTTCTGTGTCTTTAGAGATTTTTGCATTAATTTCTCACTTGCTGGGTAGATTTTTTTGGGTTGGTTTAGAATAGTGTTTAAGGCTAATTATGCCCCTATACTGATGCAAGATCGGTCTAATTACCCAGTACCCCTGTCAAGAACTGTGAAGTGTCTGAAATTTTACCCTATTTGGAAGCTAACAAATTAGCTTGCTTTAGTTTCATGGATGCTAGCAGAAGATAGGAGACTCCTAGGTCAGGGACAAAGGATTTTACTGCTCCTGGCACAGCATGTGCTTTATGCTCACAGGCTCCCTTTGCACCCCATGTCACATGAGGACAGTGGCAATCAACATAGTTAGATGCTGTGCATGCAGTGGGTTTCCTATGCATGCAGCAATTCTTTGATTCACAGCTAAGGATCCCAAGCTTAGGGAACTCTCATCTTTTAAGTGGGTTGCAAACAAACCTGTCTGACCTTTTGCCCCAGAGGGAGACTTTATTAACCTGGACAGCATACAAGTCTATCCTCTGCCTTGGGGAGACACTACTCCATCTTCCATGTTGTATACATATCCTTGGAAATTTTTTCTGGAACAAAAGCTGTCAGTGCCTCTGCTCAGAGACTCAGGATGAATTGTCTCCCAGTTGCCCTGTGAATCATGAGGTGTTCCCATCTGAGTGGTGGAAACAGGCACTATTCTTGGCCCTAGGGAGCATCAGATACTTTTTTTATTTTTATTTTTTAAATTTTTGGGGTACTCATTTTCCCAGCTTCTGATAGTTCCTTCACACACTTGTACTGATCAGTACATAGGTAAATTTCTCTAGTGTGCCTACCTGCAGATTTCCTGAGTTCTCTCTCTGTGGAGCCCTTTCCTCTCTGATATTCTGTCCTGTGAACTGTTAACTGTACTCTCAGTTCCATCTCCTCAACTCAGGGATTCTTCCAGGCTCTGCTCAGATTCTTCCTTTCTATGGCCTGGAAACTCTCTCCAGGCAATTTGCTGGGGCTATCGATTTCTTTCCCATTGCTTAGGGCTACTGTCCTTCCTTGCCTAATGTTTTAAAAGCTCTTGCTACTGTTTCTCTTTGTTGTTCCAGCCAGTGGAAGTCTCTCACTGCTTTGAACATTTCTCTTTATCACTGTTTCTTTTAGCAATTTGATTAGGATGTTACATAGTGCGGATTCCTCCTCCTCCTCTTCTTCCTCCTCCCCTGACCCCCACCTCCTCCTCATCCTCTTCAGCAAATTTGGAAATTTTCAGCCATTATTTCCTCAAATACTTTTTCTGTCTTCATTTTGGACACATTTGGTCCTTTTTTTATGTCTCTATGTCACTTCTTAATATGCTCATTTTTTTCCTTTACATCTTTGATCATATGAATATAGTATAAATACCTTAATATCATTTTTTACTTTTATTCCCAATATTTTTATTTGGACTGCAAGTAAACCTACCTAACCTTTTCTACTAATTTTATCATCTGTATCATTCCTATGTTTCCATTTGGTGATTTTTTCCTTTTATAATAAATTTTTCTGCTTCTTTACATTCCTGATAATTTTAAATTTTTTGTAAGATGTTTCTACTTTAGCTTTTTGGGTAGTTCATATTTTCATATTTGTTTAAATATTCTTGAGCTTTTTTCTCAGAAAAAGTTTCTTTGCAACTGGTTGATCTTTCTGAGACTCTCTTTAAGCTCATTTAGTTATGATCAGAGCAGACTTTGGTCTAAAGCTATTTTTTTTTTTCCCAATTGCCGAGGCAATGCCCTTGTGAATTGTCTGCCTGATGTTCTGTGAGTTATGAGGTTTTCCATTTTGGCATTGGGGAGCACTAACTATTCTCAGCCCTGGGTGAGCCCTGAGGATTGTTTCCTCGGGTCATTTCATCTGGTTCTTCCTTCCTTGCCTTTGGTAGTTTCATCCCATGCATGTGTTGATCGTGACTCGGCTGGAATTCTGGGCAGATCCCCTGCAGCTCTTAGGAGCTCTGTCTGTGCTGTCTCCTCTCTGGCACCTTCCTTGGCCTTTCTAGACTCCAAGCTCCATCTCCTTAACTCAGAGAGACTATTGGACTCTGCATGTGTCTTCCCTGTGCCTGGGAACTTTCTGAAGGCAGTAAGCTGGAGTGGTCCTTTGTTTTTGCTGTTTAGGGACCACTGTTCTACACTGCATGGCATCTGAAGTCTGAAAGCCTTTTTTTTTTTTTAAACATACCAACCATCCAACCAACCAACCAACCAACCAACAAAACAAACAAACATATTTTGTGCATTTAAAAAAAGTAATTTCAGATGAAAGGGTAAATCTGATCCATGATACTCCATCTTGTCCAGAAGGGGAACTTGGGTTTTATTTTTTATAATTATTTTAGTTGTATTTTTATAAAACTTTGTTTATATGTTTGTTTTATAGAGTTATGTTTTTCTTTATAATTCAAGCTATGTTTTGTGAAAGAAAAGGTATGTTTATTTTAAAATTAGATAACCAGAGAAATCTAAGATTAAGTGTTGTGATTTAAACTTAATTCTCCCTATAGAAGATGATGATGATTTTTTTCTTATATAGGAGTAATATGCTACCACTCAACCTCTATTGAAAGGTTGGCAGCCCTGAGACCTCCTTTTATAATTTAGCATGTTATGGATGTATTTCTCCTCCCAAAGGAATGAAGAGCAGATACTTCCTCATGCAATCCCTATAGATTAGAAATCCCATTTTCTTCTAGAAACATTCAGATTATCAAATTTACCTTATACATGTTTGAGGATATATTTTCTTACATGTATTTGGTTATTTAGTTGTCAGTGAATTTGTGAGGGTTGTTTCACTCTGCAGTTGGGAAACAGCAGTTCAAAGGCGTGCTCACACATTCTTTTCATTGTAGTACAGAATTATTTTACTGTAAGTGTTAAGGATATTGATTTCAGTTTATAAACTCAGATATTCAAAGCACAGTCAATGTTCTTTTTTAATGTCAACGTTCTTTTAATGTACTTAAAATTCTCTTACAGATCAGGGAGCTGATTTTGGATGGATCTTTACAGTTGATCCAGGAAGGTCTCAAAAGTGGTTTTCTTTATCCACTTTTTGAAAAACAGGACAAGGGTAGTAAGCCCATTACTTTACCACTTGACGCCTGCAGTTTGTCAGAATTATGTGAAATGGCAAAGCATTTGCCTTCTCTGAATGAAATGGAACATCAGACATTACAATTGGTGGAAGAGGATACATCTGTTACAGAACAGGATTTATTTTTGCGAGTTGTTGAAAACAACTCTAGCTTTACAAAAGTGATTACTTTAATGGGACAGAAATACCTGCTACCACCGAAAAGCAGTTTTCTTTTATCTGACATTTCTTGTATGCAACCACTTCTAAACTGTAAGTAATTATTGTGTTTGTTATTAGAAAAAGATAATTTTTCCGTGGGCTGAAAAGTTAAGAGCTAGTCTGAAATTTGAAGATGGGTCAGCATTTATGAGGATAGGGTAGACACTTTTCCTTGGGTTATTTGTCTCTTAGGTTTAATTTTAAGGTGCTGACTTTTGCTTTTTTTAAAAAAATAAATATTGTGAATAAAGAGTCAAAAGCTAATTTCTAAGAGAACAAATATAGTTACTTCTCTGTACTTAGGAATTCGGTATGCAGTTGTGTTTAACCAAATCACTTTTTTTTTTAACTTTTTTTCATAGCAAAGTAGAAACACTTCAGTTATGAATATCAATTCCCACATCATTCCTAGCCTTGTATAAAGGATACCATTTAGGCTAGTGTTCAAGCTCATTGTCTAAAATTTCTTGAAACATTTCCGTACAAAGTTAAAAAATTTAAATATTGAAGTCCGCAGTCACACAGACCTGTATTTGACTTTAGATTCTGAAGCTTATTTAACTGTGAGTCTTTGGGGTATTCATTTCACAAAACCGAGCCCCAGTCTCCAATCTATAAAATGGACATGATAATACCTGCTGCTTAGGGTCATTTTGAGGTATATTGATCAGATTGAATTTAATGTGCTGTTTATTGTTATTTGGACATTTTATAGCAAAATTTTAAGTTACTGAGCAACTACAACACAACTTACTAATGAAAAGCTTCTTTTAATTGCTATCAAGCCATCTTACACTTGAGTGGTTATCCATGTAGCAGTGCCATAAATTCTTCAGAGTAAATGACAGGATAACAAATTAATGAGAAAACCATTCTATGCATGCACATTTTTTCTCTTCTTTTTGATCTTTGTTACTCTAATAGCTTAAAAAGTGTCACTTCTTTATTTTAATTTGCATTCTTTTGATTACTTATGAGATTGTACACATTTACAAAAATATACCTATGTTTATAAAAGGGGGAGAAAGGACAGCTCTTCCTTACAGTAAAATTCCAGTTAATAAATGAATGGAATGATGGATCTAGAGAATTTCCATCTGACAAACACCATAATAATTGGATGTCAAAATAGTGGATGAAAAGATGAGACAGGATATTTTCATGGTCTTAAAGTATCTCCTCCCAAGATACTTGTTAATTACAAGGGAAAAACTGGTGAAACTCAGCAGACAACACTTTAACCAAAGACTCTTTAACATCCTTTATCTCCTGATATGTTGCACTGATAGGGCATGGCAGGCATTACTTTGGTGGTCCTCTTGCAAAAAATAAGTAATCTAAATTTAATCATGAGAAAATACTAGACCCAGATTGAGGGACATCCTATAAAATAATTGGTAGCCTTTAAAAGTTTCAAAATCATGAAAGACGAAGAAAGACCGAGGAACTTTTCCAGGTTGGAGGAGAGTTAGGAGGGATGGCAGCTAAATGCAATGTTTGATCCTGGCTTTGATCCTGGGTCAGAAAAAGTACATTAGTAAATAATTGGGGAAGTTTTATTATGGCCAATAAGTCAGTTGTAAAGGCTGAAATTATTTTAAAATAAAAAGTAAAAAAAAGACCTAGATTTCTTAGAACTATATTAATATGGCTGCCAAGACGCATAGGGAATTCACAGATCATTAGTGTTCAGCTTACTGAGCTGTAGTCATCTGCAGATAGTCTCTGCAACAATTGCAATAGGTAACATTATGATACAATTCTAGAGGTAAAGGAAACATCTAATATTTAATGATAAATTACTCTGTTTGAATAAATGCTATATACAGATCCCTTTGGTGCATTCCATTATATTCGTGTCCGTAGTGAAATCACTTGAGTTTTGAAGAACATGTTTAGTTTTTAAAGTGATCACATAGAGAAGGTATTTTCTGAAATTGTATCTTTGTTTTCAGATAGGAAAACATTTGATGTAATTGTGATAGATCCACCATGGCAGAACAAATCAGTTAAAAGAAGTAATAGGTAAGTGGAAATGAAAGCATTTGCTTTCTAAAAAAACTGTAGTCCTTTGTACATTATAGTTTAATATACTATTGACATTACTTTATGATATAGATTATCTGAAACTACTAAAATGCTTTCAATAGTTTTAACAGCTTAATTTCCTTAACTAGTTAATTCTCTTGAACTGTAACTATATATAAGTGTAAGAATGTCAAAAGTAGTGCATTTATTAATGCCAGAAGCAGTTCAGGGCTGTTTCTGTTAACACCAAAGGACAACATATTTGTCTTCTTTGATATCAAATTCTAAAGTTTAGAAATATGTGCCAAGATATTTCTAGTTTTCCTTAATAAAGTGTTATGAATGAATTTGTCTAATTCATTCTTAAATTTGTTTTTAATTTTTTAGTTTATGTTACTTCTTAGGGCGATAAGTTATTTACTAAGGTGATATTTCCTTTCAATAGCATTAAACAATTTTTTCCTTTCAATTCCTTATTTTATTTTATTTTATTTTATTTTGAGATGGAGTCTCACTCCGTTACCAGGCTGGAGTGCAGTGGCGCGATCTTGGCTCACTGGAACCTCTGCCTCCTGGATTCAAGCGATTCTTCTTCCTCAGCCTCCCGAGTAGCTGGGAGTACAGGCGCACGCCACCATGCCCGGCTAATTTTTGTATTTTTAGTAGAGACGGGGTTTCACCATATTGGCCAGGCTGGTCTCGAAATCCTGACCTCATGATCTGTCTGCCTCGGCCTCCCAAAGTGCTGGGATTACAGACGTGAGCCACCGTGCCTGGCCTTTTCCTTTCAATTCTAATGAATGTCTTCAGTTACATTGTCTCTTACTTTTCAGTTTTCTAGATGAAAAAATTCCAATTTCCTTGACTTAAACTTCATATGAAATTTCTTCTTCTCCTCAGTGATCCTCACCTTTCTTACGCTTCTTGTTTATGAGCTGTGCCAGTAGGATTTGTTTCTTTTCTTTCCTTTTTCTTCTTCTTCTTTTTTTTTATTTTGAGATAGGGTCTCACTCTGTTGCCCAGGCTGGAATGCAGTGGTGCAATCACAGCTCACTGCAGCCTCAAACTTCTGGTTCAGATGTGCCTGCTGCCTAAGCCTCCTGAGTAGCTGGGACTACAGGTGTATGCCACTACACTCGGCTATTTAAACATTTTTTTTGTAGAGACAGTGTCTTGCTGTGTTGCCCAGGTTGAACCCCTAGTCTCAAGCGATCCTCCTGCCTCAGCCTCCATAGTGCTGAGATTACAAGTGTGAGCCATCATGCCTGGCCAGATTTGTTTCTTTTAAAGTTACAAGAATCATACAAAGAATTCATGTATCTGTTTTCTGTGTGTGCAGATATCTATATCTTTATATAATTTTTTTGTGAGTTACTTGAGAATGAATTAATTAAGAGAAAGGGTAAGTTAGCCTTGAATATTTCAGTATGTATTTCCTAAAAACAAAGATAATTGTTTTACATAATGTAATTATCAAAATAGGTAATCAACATTGATATAATATTCTTTTTTTTTTTTTTTTTTTTTTGAGACGGAGTCTCGTTCTGTCGCCCAGGCTGGAGTGCAGTGGCGCGATCTCGGCTCACTGCAAGCTCCGCCTCCCGGGTTCACGCCATTCTCCTGCCTCAGCCTCCCGAGTAGCTGGGACTACAGGCGCCCGCTACCACGCCCGGCTAATTTTTTGTATTTTTAGTAGAGACGGGGTTTCACCATGTTAGCCAGGATGGTCTCGATCTCCTGACCTCGTGATCCGCCCGCCTCGGCCTCCCAAAGTGCTGGGATTACAGGCGTGAGCCACCGCGCCCGGCTGATATAATATCCTTATTGATTTGGCACTATTATGTACAGACATTATTCAGGCTACACTGATTGTCCCAGGAATGTCCTTTGTAGCAAATAAAAGTCTGGATTATACATGTTCAGTTGTCATACTTCTTCAGTATCTTTTGACTCTCTTTCTTTGACTGATTTTAATTTGTATCCTTACCCCTGAGAAATTGTAACTATGAATATAAAAGCTTTCAGTAAGTTTTGTTAGTTTAGCAAATTTTTGATCCTATGGGTGGCTTTGGAAACTACCTTAACTTGCAGTTGGTTTTAGAAGTGAGGTGTCTTCAGGACTGCACCTTCAAACTTTGCAGTTTGGCTAACTCTGGGTGATGTATTTTTATTAATAGTTCTCTTGGATGTGTACCTAGAAGTGGAATTACTACACCATGTAATTCTATCTTTAAATTTTTGAAGAGCTATCAAACTAATTTCTACAGTGCCTGCACCATTTTATATTCCCACTGGCAATGAGGGGTCTAGTTTTTCCACATTCTCACCATTTTCTTTCTGTTTTTTTGCATACTTTCCATTGCATCACATAAATATGCATATTTTAGAATTTGCTCAGTGATTTCCATGAAATTAGAGCTAGAAGAGGAGATATGAATATTTCCTCTTTCTCCACACAAATCAACCCAATTAAATTAAGGCAATCAAGGAATCTGCAGTTACTGAAACCATGTACTTTCAAATTTTTGACCTGACATTCTTCATACTGTAGCAAAATTAGTTCCTTCATCACTTCGATTATGAGAAATACTAGTCTGCGGGAAGAGCACTTGTTTCGATGGCAGGAAACTTGGGTGCTTGAGATCTGAATTCTTTTGCTTATTTATTTATTTATTTTTATTTTATTTTATTTTTTTTGAGACAGAGTTTCGCTGTTGTCGCCCAGGCTGGAGTGCAATGGTATGATTTCGGCTCATTGAAACCTTCACCTCCTGGGTTCAGGTGATTCTTCTGCCTTAGCCTCCTGAGTAGCTGGGATTACAGGTGTCTGCCACCACACCCGGCTAATTTTTTTTTTTTTTTTTTTTTTTTTAGTAGAGATGGGGTTTCACTATGTTGGCCAGGCTAGTCTCAAACTTCTGTCCTCAGGTGATACACTTGCCTCGGCCTCCCAAAGTGTTGGGATTACAGACATAAGCCACCACACCCAGCCCTATTTGTTTTAAGAAATACTTATTGATTGTCCCTGACATACAGTTGTCACATGCTAGAGCTGGATTCCAATGTTTGTTGCATTTGGCCATTAGGAAGTCATTTACTTTTTTCAGAGTAGGCATAGTGGTAAAAGTCTCATTGGAGTCAACTAAGGAATAAAATAAAGGAGATAAAGTAGGATTTGCATACAAGTCCTTAGCTTAGTTGTAGATAGAAGGTGATGGAATTGAGGGAATTTCTCTTCTGTATTCTCTGTCCTCTTCTTTCTCCTCTCCTCCCCTCCACACCTTTTCCTCTCCTCTTCTTACTCTCTCCTCCCTCTCTCCTCCTTTTCTCATCTTCTTTTCAAATGAGATAGGATAATCATATTTGTAGGTTGATGGTAAAGAACTACTAGAGAAGTTGAAAATAGAGAAGGAGGGGATAATTGGTATTACAAGATACTAGCATATGGGACTAAGAGAATACAACCGGAGGGATAAGCTTTAATAGGTGAAATCATGCCATTTCCTTTAAGAGGAAATGTATGGAAATAGATAAGTAAAGGTATATAAAGGAGAGGGGTTAGGGTTGGGTAGTTGAGGGAGGTTGGCGGCCTTTAGTTTTACTGATGTATGAGTTAACTTTACCTGCTAAGAGAGAGTTTGGTCAAGGGATCTGAAGAGTGGTGAGGGTTTGTGGTACTTGACCAAGGATGAGTAAAAGAATTGATGAGTACTTTAAGATCCTGATAATGGATTTTATAAACTTTTAATACCCAGTTCTTCCGCATTTTCTTCATCTGATTTTCCCTATACAAACAAGTGGAATAAAATTGTGATACTGATTTAAGATGGGAGGTTTGCAGGAACTGTGAGGTTGAAGGGTAAAGGGAGGATGGGAACTGAGAGTGCTAGTGAGAAGACAATGAAACGATTGGCGGTCCACGGGGAAGAAGAGCAAGTGTAATCAGGAATAAGCTGCTAGATAAGCTCAAAGAGTAGGTGAGGCATAGCATGTTATTGCCAGAGATTGATGTTTATGGTTTCAGAGAAGGAGCAAGTGTGAGTGATGACAGGGTCCAGGTTATGGCATTGGAGTGGATTATGGAAGTGGGATGAAGGCAGTTGTATTTGTTTAGGTGAAGAATAGTTGAAGTATATACATTATATGGATTGTGCTTTGAAATTGTTCAGAATAGTGGCCAGTTTTGTGTTGGTGAGGTAGTGGGATCTCAGAGCTTAAGTCCTTATTGAATATGTTGAGGATGAAATGGATTCAGTGAGGAACAGTAGAGGTTAACATAGCTGGATAGCATACCTCTCAAAGAGAACAGGGTTTTTTTTTGCAAAGGTGGATGAGTTATAGCCTAGAAGCAGCAATGGGGGAGCCAGGAGAATAATGACTTCTCCCCTTCCACTGAATGTTGGAGAAGGGGCCATATTCATTTGATTGAGTATTGTAGAGCAAGTAGTATTTTTGCAGGACAAACTAGCCATTATACTCTATGGCCAGGAGGTACAAGATTATAGATTTTGTTTTACAAAATGAAAATATGAGGGCTTTAGAGAACCCAGTGGAATTGACTGAGAAGGCAAAAAGCAAGATGATAGATTAGGGGTTGCAAATGCAGTGGGGTGGAGATGAGGATAGGTGAGATGACTCCCTGTGAAGGAGTCAGCATTTTGTGCAGGGTTTGAGGATTCTAGGGCTAGGAGAAGCTTCATTGGAATAGATTGGCTTTAGCATTACCAATTTTGCAACACTGATTTGGTGCCAGGTAAGGCTTGTATGGTTTGACTTAGGTTATTGAGAGACTCGTTTCAAGACTCACTGTGACAGGGCTCCTGTGTAACGTAGAGTATGGGATCTAAACAACAATATTTGCTTAATTTTGAATTGGAGAAAAAAATATTGTTAATAGTAAAATTACTGAAATGTAATGCATTTAGAAGTGACTAAAAAAAAATACAGCCTGACGATTTTAAACTAGTTAAAAAAAAGGTGATTTTTGTCTTGTGTGTAATAATATGTCCACTGGGTGTCACTGTGGCTTTATATTTTGCTACACAAATAAATAGCAGTAAGAGCTTTGCATTTGTGGAGTCTGTGTTATGCATGTCTTATCCCTGCTTAGTTTTCTTCTTTTGCAGTGAATTTTGCTCATCCTTTTTTCCGTTTATTTTTAGGTACAGTTATTTGTCACCCCTGCAAATACAGCAAATACCTATCCCTAAATTGGCTGCTCCAAACTGTCTTCTTGTTACTTGGGTGACCAATAGACAGAAGCACCTACGTTTTATAAAGGAAGAACTTTATCCCTCTTGGTCTGTGGAGGTAGTTGCTGAGTGGCACTGGGTAAAAGTAAGTTCAGAAGTTAGCTTATTTGTTAATACAGCTTGATAGAAGTCACATAAAGGTAGCATCTACTTTGTAATGCTCAACATGTCACTGCTGTACTCCTTCAACATGGGCTAATTCAGACTTTTGCTTTGCTGCTTACCACTTTTATATTTTTATTCTCAAGGCTATATTTTTTTTGTATGTCTTTTTGTAATGGGGCCTCAAACTGCTGGCTTTGGGAAGTCAGTCTGGAAGATATCAGGATAAAATTTTTAAAAGCTCTGATTTTGTCTGTAGTTTAAAAAACAACAAACAAAAACTTTGGGGAATTGTGTATCACCAAACATAGAAATAGTCTTACTCTTCATCTTCTTCCCTTTATATACTCACAGTTTCAACCACCCTTTGTGATTTCTTTTTCTTATTTTGTGGGGGATGAGGGCAAGGAATAGCAAAGTAACCCATTGTAGAGGGGATGGGAAGATGCCAGAACCAAGAACCTTTTATGCTCTAAATCTTAACTTAGGTCCTCAGTGCCTTTTGTGCTGCTGTGCATATTTTTGAAAGAAATGATTTGGACTCTAGAATTGGTTGAATGATCTTTAATATCTCTGCATGCTACAAGATTACCAAAAAATACAGAAAAATAAGGCATCAATTTAGAGTTCATCAGGTTTCCTTTTAAAGATACATTGACTATTTAGATGATTTCTATAAACGCCTTTCTAAATTTTGAAAAGATAATCCAAGCTATTATTTTAGTGTTTAATGTTTATATTGCAAGCATACTCATTTTTGACACAGTGGAGTTGTACTTTTTATGGCTTTGTGTATACTTTTTCATCTACTGGAATATCTTCTAAAAGCTGTGTACAGTAGTTCTCCTTATCCTTGGGGGGATACATTCCAGGACCCCTAATGGATGCCTGAAACCATGGATGGTACTGAACCCCATATATAATTTTTTTTGTATACATACATACCTATGAGAAAGCTTAATTTATAAATAGAGAGATAAACAATAACTAATAATAAAATAGAATATTATAGCAATATACTGTAAATGTTATGTGAATGTGGTCTCTCTCTCAAAATATTTTACTGTACTGTACTTACCTATCTCTGGACTGTGGTTGACCATGAGTACCTGAAAACCTGGAAAGTGAAACTGTGGATAAGGGGGGACAAGTGTATATTGTTTATTTATACCTATGTTATGGGACTTGACAAAGACTTACAGTTGTATCTTTGTTTTCATGCTGTACTTTGGTCTTAGTGTTGGTTGATTTGGTATAGGACCGTGATAGGAGTATACTACCCTGTTCCGTCTTGCCTATTATGATAGTTCTTTTATAGTCAGAAACTGGGACCAAAGTCAGGAGGAGGTCACCTTTTGAAATCAAACCCAGTAAAATGTTAATACATAGAAACTAAGATTATTAATCCGTAGTAGTTATCAGTTCTAAGAGATGGTATGATAAGACCAGAATTTAAAACATAAATATCATCTATTATGTTATATGAAGCATTTATTAGGCAATTATACATATTGTTATGATAGGAGGGGTAATGTGCATTGAGTATAAAAACTACCCAACGTGCCAGTATTTATACAGCACTTTTTGTAGGATATGCTGTGTCTGATTGGCCCTAGAGGAGATAAAAGACTTTCTGATTACTGAGTTGGTTGTTTAGGTACATTGATATCGGATAAAGAGTTTCACAGATATCAGTATTCTGACAGTGAAAATGTATATTCCCATGGTAAATTAATGAATTGATATTTTAAATTATTTTTAGTTTGATTAGCTTAAATGAGTCTTTGAGAGTATGATCATCCCAGGGTGAAATGTGAAATTGAATTTCTGAATTTATAATGCCAAGGGCCAGTCTCTGGACTAGGTATTGTCTATCAACCACCCACTTTCTATCCTTATTAATTTTGGCTTTGACAATGTTTAATGATACTATCTCGTGTAACTAAAGGGAAACGTGTTATTATGATCTACTTAGTCATATTGCAATTCATTTATTAGTTCATTAGTAATTCATTTATTAGTTTATTTGCATGAACTAATAAATTACTGATGACATGGTTTCCAGGAATCAATTTTAGTTAAGAGTAGAGATTGTTTTATGTGCAAGATGATAATGAAGTTATATTTGAAATATTTATATGATATTTAATAAAAATCTCTTATAGAAGCAGTGTCTAATATGGTAGCCACTAACACATGTGACACTTCAGCACTTGAAATGTGGCTAGTCCAAACTGAAATGTACTGTTAAGTATAAAATACACTTTGGATTTCAGGCATAGTACAAAAGAAAGAATGTAACATATCTCAGTAACTTTTTTGAATTGATTACATATTGAAATGACAGTATTTCAAGTATGTTAGACTGAATTAAATATATAATTAAAATTGATTTCATTGCATTTTTTTTTTTACTTCTTTTGGTGTTTCTATTAGAAAATTTAAAATGATAAATGTGGCTCACATAGTATTTTTACTGAATATCACTAGCCTGGAGGTTTAATTTCTTTTGTGTGTGTGTGGAAGCTCTATAGTGATGGGAAAAAATAACCCTCTTTTGTTGGCTCCTTCCTATCAGATAACCAATTCAGGAGAATTTGTGTTCCCATTAGATTCTCCACACAAAAAGCCCTACGAAGGTCTTATACTGGGGAGGGTTCAAGAAAAAACTGCTCTACCATTGAGGTAGGAAAGGTGATTTTTCAAAATTGTATACATGTATTAATTTTTACGCTTTTAAAAATGATTAGTAATCATTGACTTTTTAAAATGTTTATGTTTTTGAAACTCTGAAAATGGTCCAGTGTAGAAAAGAATGGATGGTATGGCACAGGAAACTATATTTTGTTTTATCTAGTGTGTAATTGTCATTATTATAGAAAATGAAATTATAGGAATGTCTCAATACTTAAATTGTTAATTTCTTTCATTGATTGTAAAATTTGTGTTAAAATCAGATACAGAAAGAGAACAAAAATCAATGCAGCTGTGGCTTATGTATAGAAAATTGTTTTTTAAAATATAGTTTACTTTCTTGTTCTGTTTAATTAGGAATGCAGATGTAAACGTGCTCCCCATTCCAGACCACAAATTAATTGTCAGCGTGCCCTGTACTCTTCACTCACATAAGCCACCGCTTGCTGGTATGTTTTTATAAAATAGAATTGTTATCACTTTTGTCAAATTTGAAAAAAAGTGTACATTTAGTATTTAAACGGCCTACAGATTCGGAAATTAAGTCAGACGTAGGTTGTTAATGAATATTCTAAAACTTTATAGCAGAATTCATAGCAGAATTTGCCTATCTCTATGAAATAGAGAATAGATTAGTTTTATGTTACTCAGCTTTTCCAGTTATACCATTTTTCAGATTCCCCTTGCTATCAGTTGCTTCCCATCACTGGGCTGACACAAAGAATGCTGATGGGCATCTGAGGATGCAGTTCAGCTAGACCCTTTATTTTACTACCGGGGCTGTATCCCTTGCTTGTTCTAAAACCAGGAACTCAGAATAGTAGTCAGAGAAACAGAAGTCCCTTGATATTTGGTTAGTGGCTCTCAGTTTTACGTTTTTTTAAAGGTAGTGTTGCTTTTCTGGAACATTGACAGGTAATTGCTGCAGCCTGCAAATTCTCACTAGTCTTAATGCTTTAGTATAATGTTTATCATTCAATGAAACTATGCAGCAGGGAATAGTGGGGAATTTGGCTTTAGAAATGGACTAATGTGATTTTGAATCCTGGCTCTGGGAGTTGGGCAAGTCACTCAAATATTTTTCTGTATCAAAGTCCTCATTTAAAGAGGGAATAATGATATTTAGTCCTCTAGAGTTGTGAGAATTAGTTATATTTAAAGTTCCGTAGCATGTGATAGAAGCTCAATGAATGCTAAATTTTTCAAGTCAGAGTTTAAAAACATAGAAATATAAGTCCTTGAGAGATACTGAATTTGATATTCAAAGTTTACTTTTCAAAGGATTTCTTCAGGAATACATATTTTATTGGTTTGGTAATTTCTACCAACAAAAAACTGCTACAAGTTACCACTCAGGAAAACTACAGGAGCTTATGTTACCTTGCAGAATATGAGGCAGTTTATGACCTGGGAAATGGAGAAAGTGAATACAAATTCCTAGAGAATTTTTATTGCTAGCACTTAGGATTTCTGTTATCTTAAATAGTTTATGGAGAAGGGTCCTTTTTTAATTTTTTTTTTTTTTTTTTTGAGATGGAGTCTCACTCTGTCACATACAGTGGCCTGATCTTGGGTCACTGCATCCTCTACCTCCTGGGTTCAAGTGATTCTCCTGCCTCAGCCTCCTGAGTGGCTGGGCCTACAGATGTGTGCCACCATGCCTAATTTTTATATTTTTAGTAGAGACGGGGTTTCGCCATGTTGGCCAGGCTGGTCTCAAACTCCTGACCTCAAGTGATCCGCCCGCCTCGGCCTCCCAAAGTGCTGGGATTACAGGCATGAGCCACCGCACCCAGCCTCTAGAAGGGTGTTTATAGTATTACTTCATTTGAGACATATACAGATGTCTACCTGATAATCCATTCTTTGACTAAGAAGGATTCTCAGTGAATAATCGATTGCCTTATGCTTCGGACTGTCATAGACCTTTAATGCTTTAATATATAACTCAAGTGAAAGTGAGATTGCATTGTTCCTCATGAAAAAAAAATTATACTTGGCACTAGTAATACCTGATTATATATGTATATGTATTCCTCTCATTTGAATTTTATTTATCACTTGGTAACAAAGCTAGTGTTTGTCTCAAACCTTATTTTTTTCTTTTAAAAATTCAAAAGCTAAGACCATAAACTTTTCATTCTGAAATGATAGTAAACTATTTGTCAATTCCTTTAAAATAAAATAAAGTTATATTTAAAGATGAGCCTCAGGAGACAGGTTTTAAAATAGTGAATAAACAGGAAGGGGAACATCACACTCTGGGGACTGTTGTGGGGTGGGGGGAGGGGGGAGGGATAGCATTGGGAGATATACCTAATGCTAGACGACGAGTTAGTGGGTGCAGCGCACCAGCATGGCACATGTATACATATGTAACTAACCTGCACAATGTGCACATGTACCCTAAAACTTAAAGTATAATAATAAAAGAAAAAAAAAATGAGTCTTGCCCTAAAGCATTACAGCTTATATCTTTGAAATGCAGTTCTTCCTCATTCCCAGTAGAGAGCAGCACAAACACATTTTTAGCATTGAAAACATTTAAAGACAAAAGTTAGATTCTGGAGGAAACATCTGAATAACTCCATATATATATAAAATCTTATGTTTTGGTTAAGTAGTGATAGGAAATATTGTAATATTTTATTTTTGAGTTCATGTTACTGTATATATTTTTAGTATAGTTCATGTTTCTATATATTTCAGAAAGCATCTCTCAGATTTCTGCAGTATATTTTACCCTGAAATCATAACTCTAGGGGTTTGGGATGATATATATTCTGTATATAATGCTTACAGCTTTTACATTTAAATATTCTTAAACTGTTTTATGCAAATTAATAAAATGAAATGTTTTCTCTTTTGTATTTAGAAACACCCTGATTTTTTTTTTTTAAGTTTAATTGGTTATTTCTGTTGCAAAATGTAGGAGACCACATTGGTAGCATATGGCATTTCAAAATGATACATTTGCATAAGTTTTGAAATTTTCTCCGATTGAAAGATAAGCTATCAATAGCTATGGTTTACAACCTAACATTATAAAGTGATATTGTTTGAAGATTTAAGGTAGGAAAATCATGAAATAAAGTATTTAAATCAAAATTTTAGCTTTCACATTTTACCTTAGAGGAATTTCCACTTCTTTTTACTGCTTTACATACTAACAGTTTCCATCTGAAGAGTGAAGTTTAGTTGATGGGATTATATGCACTGATGTTTGGGCCACTTCTCTCTTACTCCTGCCCCATGCTTTCAGAGCAAAAACGAAATGACTAGCTGTGCACAGATTGCATCCGCTCCATTAGTTAAAGTGTGTTTTACTAACTCCAGATGTTATGTAATTGTTGAAGTTTATGTGTCATACTCATGTTTAAATTTATACATTCACATTTATTTTTAAATTAATATTTAAAAACCAGAATAATCCATTTTTATTAATTTGCCTTTATTTCTTCTCCCTTATTTTGAAATAAAATAATTGTAGTTAACATTATAAAAACACAACTTAATATTCTGTTTTTCTTAACTAGAAAGGAAAAGAACCATGCAAAAACTTACTACATTGAGAAAATAGGATGGCAGTAAATGGGTTTAGGTTGTATGTATTTTTCCACTCCATCCAAGTACCTGGCCATTATTTTCCATTAGATTGTAAACTCTCATAAAACATGGATATTCTGCTTCCTTTGTTTAAGTTTTATAACACTGATTATAGTGGGTGCTCAGAAGAGGAAACATTTTTGACTGGCTGACTCCAGTTTAAATTTCTAAAATAGGGTTGCTAACATCTTCGTACCAAAAATCTGAACAAATGAAACAAAAACAAACAAAACCTTTCTTCAGCGTAACCTGAGACCACATTAAAGTGAACTGAGGCTGGTGAGGCGTTAAATTCATGGGAAGAAAATGGAAAAGTTCTTCCATGTGGGGTTATTTCCTCCAAGACTCTAGGGAAATCTTTCTCTTTCAAGGTTAGTAGCATTTAATTTATGCACTTAGGAAAGGGTTAGAAGCCTTCGTGCCAGTATCTCCTAGAACCCATCAAAGCCCAAATTTGAGTTCACTTGAATTATAGACAGTGAAACCTTTTAATTCTTCTTTGATTTTTGCTAAACAGGACCAGTACTTTCTGACAGATGAACAAGTATTTTGCTGTGAGAGCAACTGAAGAACATGATGAAACCTAAAATATTTGATATATTCTCTTTTAAACCTTACCTGTCTCTAGTATTCCTAAAGAACCCTTATCATTCCTAAATTTGATAGATTTCTTCCAAGCGCAATCTTACATAGCAATTATGAACCATATTTTACCTTTTCTAGTGATTTTTCTTATCTGAATTTTATACCAAATTCCTATTAGGTGGTTAGCATAGCTAACCAGCAGCATGATCAAGATTAAATTGATTTAAGTATTTGTCATCCAATTGAGTGAACATGTGCTTTTCAAAAAGTTTCTGTGTTCTTCTTTTCTTTTAGTGTAGACAACAGCTCTTTAGCCTACAGCTCTTTCCCCAACAAAATACAATGTTCAGTAGTTATTAATACATTGAATAATACAAGGAATACTTAACTGTGGAAGTACCATGATGAAATTTTAGGTAAAGAAGGATCTATAATTTGAAAATGAAGAAATGTTTTTAGTGCTACCAATTTACTGCTAAGGGGGCTAGTTATTTAAATGTTAGTTATTTGTTCTCAGTATTTCTATCTCTATCCAGCTCTTCATTTATTATTATTTTATTAAAGTTTATATTGCAGACAGACTTTTGTCTTTTTTTTTTTTAAATGGGTTGTTTTTCAATTTTTTTTAGAGCTCTTTTTCATGTATGGGTTATATTTATTAAAAATAAATTGGCTGGGTGCGGTGGCTCCTGCCTGTAATCCTAGCACTTTGGGAGGCCGAGGCGAGTGGATTGCCTGAGGTCAGGAGTTCGAGACCAGCCTGGGGAACACGGTGAAACCCCATCTCTACTAAAATACAAAAAATTAGCTGGGAGTGGCGACGTGTGCCTGTAATCCCAGCTACTTGGGAGGCTGAGATAGGAGAATTGCTTGAACTCGGGAGGTGGAGGTTGCAGTGAGCCGAGATTGCACCATTGCACTCCAGCCTGGGTGACAGTGCGAGACTCTTGTCTCAAAAAAAAAAAAAAAATTAAATAAATAAAGTTAATACTCAGGAGATATATCAGCAGTATTGGAAAACTGAAAAGTCACCTAGTAGGTGTTAAAGTCCTCATTTCTCATCTACAAATGAAACCAGTAAACCAGGACTATGGAAGTTCAGATGATATTGTTCCCAGTCTCAAGGGTACTTATTTTAAATGGCTTTCTAACTATAAATAGTAAAGCCTGTGATGAAATCCTTGAAATTAATTTGCTGTCTTTTAAGAACAAAATGAAATATTTCTCTGTTTCTACTCTTAACTGCTAAAAGGAAGTGGATTCCTTCCTCAATAATAATTTTTGTGTTTTTTCTCTTTTTTAAACAGAGGTTTTAAAAGACTACATCAAGCCAGATGGGGAATATTTGGAGTTGTTTGCTCGAAATTTACAGCCAGGTTGGACTAGTTGGGGCAATGAAGTTCTCAAATTTCAGCATGTGGATTATTTTATTGCTGTGGAGTCTGGAAGCTGACTATGATCTTGATTAAAGTAGTGGTTTCTTCATTGTTTCCTCACCACTTTTCCCTTAATTCTAAGTCATTTTTTTATTTTGTTACCAACCCATATTCTTAGAATATAAACAGGACTTGTTTTTTTCAGTAAGGGACCAGAAGTGACTAGCCTTCATGTAATTTTAAGATGAATTTTACTTGAGTTGCACTAACATTCTATGTTATTCTAGACTATACAAATTAAGTGGTAAGCAGTTATAAAGACGGCAAGACCATGCTATTGAAAAAGTTCAGAAAACATACACCGTGGACCAGAGGTCTTAATCCTATCTATGGATGTGTTTTGTGTGACCCATACAGTGTTGTAAAAAACACTTAGAACCATTATTCTAAAAAATGGGGCTATTTCACATTAAAGTCCAGATTTCTGCTTCTTTTTAAACATCAGAGGCTCTGGCTACACAGAGGCCTTTGTTCTTTCCTGGCATCAGTCTGCAGGACCAAGCGGTGGTGGCTCACTTGGGAAGAGCCTTGTGCTCTCCACTTTGCCACAGTACCACTGCCACCATGCTGCTCACTTATGTCATCCACTTGGCCCTTGTATGACCTGAATTTGCAACCTCTGGTATACTGTTATGTTCTGGAGAAAATATTCAAAGATCTGCCAAATACTGCATTAGTATACTGAGTTTATACAGCATTTTTGTAGGGTTTTAAATTGCATTCAAGGTCACTTTCCAAGCACTTTCTGGTTTTGCTTGTTTTTCTAGAAGAAAATGAAAAGCTATTCCTTATAATAAACATGGCAGCAAGTAAACAGTGTGATTGTGAAAAAAATATTATTTATAGATTTTCTACAAATAAATATTTGTCTACCAAGTAAAATATTTTGACTGAAATGATTCTTTGAAATGCATATTGATTTATTATGTATTGACTTTTTAAAAATTGAGGTATAATTTTCACAAAATTCTCCAATTTTCAGTGTCAAATTCAGTGAATTTTGAAAACATATATACAGTTGTCTGTCTGCCACAGTGATCATGATACAGAACACTTTCTTTACCCTGAAAACTTCTCATTTTTCCTTTTGCAGTCAATCCCCTGCTCCTATCCTTGGCCCCTGGCAAACACTGGTTTGCTTTCTATCATTAGTTCTGCTGTTTGAGAATTTCATATAAATGGAATCATGCAATGTGTAATCTATTGTGCCTGGCTTCTTTCACGTAGCATTTTGAGAAAAGCATTTATACTATTTACAGATTGTTGACAAATATTTATCCACTAAGTAAAATGTTAGACTGAAATGATTCTTTGACAAGCTTGCCAATTTACTGATTTTGTCAAAGAAAAATATGTTATTTTTGAAGTTTGTTCATCCTTTGAGTGTGTGAGTATAGTATCAGAGGCTTAATTTTGTATTTATGGAGCTATTCTAACTTGTTATTTAAAAGGAAAAAGGTATTAAACTTGAAGCAAACTTCTCATGATCTCATTTGAATTCTTTCCAGCTTCTTTTGGTATTTATAGATTTTATATACTTTGTGGGAACATTTTATCCTCACCAAGTTTTTGGACTTTTATTTTTGCATCATAAACACGGGTACTGAAAGAAAAAAGAGAGAATCTTAATTCAATGAGTCTATTATTCACGTTGCAAGAGTACTAGTTTTAGCTTTACTCCGAAGTTGTGAAACCTCTGGACCTTGTTTTAACACCAGTTTAATTATTGGGCTCCTTTTAAACAAAGGAGTCTGCAAATTTTAATAACATACCTTGTAGAACAAAAATGAAGGAAGATGAACATCAAACTTTGACTTCATTACTACAGTTGGTTTAGCCAACTGACCTGTTGGACTTACATATTTTAGAGCGTTTTCATTCAGACCTTCCTATATTATTTTTATAACTTGTAAGAATTTTGTGGGGTTTTTTTCTATCACATTCTTTTTACAGGCTTAAGGTCTTTTAGGACTCTTGGTAATAATGCTTAGGCAAAGGGGTGCGGCTAACATTTGTTGAGTAGTGTATGTTACTCCGGTATGCTTTCTACTTACTGCATTTAATCCTCGTATAACCCTGAGAGATAGATACAACCTTCATTTAATAGTTGAGAAAGCTGAAGCCCAGGGGACTATTTTGTCTGTAAACACACAGCAAGTGTCAGAACTAGGATGCACAGTTTCCTGACTCCATAGCCCATGCTGTATTCTATGTAAAAACGTGGAAAACTGAGCAAATGACTAAGGATTTCTCAAGTGATAGGATTACACTCTAGCATTCCCCCTCGAGCTCTTTTGCTTCTGTGTGCTTAACTGCTAACACCACTCAAGAAACTGGGGGAATTGTGCCTCATAACGTCATATCCTTGGAATTCTTGGCCTTTCTCTGACTCTTTCACCCTTCTACATGAGATCCGGCAGAGTAAAATCACAGAATACAAAACACACAAAATCACAACTACTCTTAGAAACAGATTCTCTTTAAAAAACCTGATCTTTTTATCATTTGTCCTCCTTTCTTCCTCAGCCTTTATTTGTACCCTCTAGTCAAAGTTTGACCCAGTTTTTTTTTTTTCTCTTGGCCACTGTAGACACAAGATCTTTTTTGTACCTAAGGCGGTACAGTGTGGCACAGTCAGTGCAGTCTAAAGCCAGCTTGTGTAGATTTGAACCCAACTGGCTTTTGGCTTTGAGCAAGTTAATTAAATCTTTAGGCCTTGGTGTTCATTCATGCATATAGGTGATAATAATACTACCTCATAGAGTTGTTATGAGGATTAAATGACTTAATACATGCAAGGCACTTGTAATAGTGCTTGGAATATTTTAAGCACTCCAAAAATGTGACAAGTTTTTTTTTTTTTTTTGTTTTGTTTTTAAATTTCAGGTCAAAAAGTTCTTACCACAGTCTGGACTCTCAATCAGGGAACGCACTGGAAGTTAAATGTTAGTTCCATCCCTTTGCCTGAGCATTATTAAACTGCCCATACAGTTTTTCTGTCTAAGCATCCTTTTTTTCTTAATCTTTTTCTTGTTCAGAACCTGCACCTGATTTCATACATGAGGAAGCTATGAAATCTCCTTTCCTATTGCGGTCCTGCCTAAGAAACAAATTAAAACAAGGGCCACATGTGGCTTTGGGCTTTGTGTTTTGATTGCCTCCTGCCATGTTGACTAAGCTGTGTAGCTACTCTACATTGCTCTTTGTTGAATTCCACAGGTGCTAAATAGGTCACCTTTTAGCGATGATGTTTCTTCTATGTTTCTTCTATGTTCAGAGACTTCAGGCCCATGCCATGTAAATTTGGTTCAAAATAGATGTGTTACACTTTGCTGCAGGTGTTAGGAAGTTGATCTTTATTTGCCACCCAGGGGATTTTCCAGTTGATAAGGCACAGACCAAGTAAAGAAGTCCTGTTTCTTCAGATGGTCTGAAAGGCACCAATGGGATAGGTTTCTTCTCTTGAATGCCAACCTTTGAGGGAGGCCAACATCACCATGGGCCAGTGGCCTTCAGCCTAGTCTGTGACACTGGGGATATAAGTCTGGATCTAGATCTGGGCCTAGCTTTAGATCTGCCTTTGCTCTGTCCTTGCTGCAGGCTCTCTTTACCTTGTCCTGTTCTAGTCCTCTAAATTCTATGATGCAAACTCATTCTCACAAGAGAATCATGGGCCCCAAATCTTACCATCTCAAACTTACACATATCTTTTGAGCACTTTTATGTATTCAGCTTCAGGCAGATGCTGGCTTTTCTCCTGATGTGATTGAGAGGATTATAATCACTTCAAAGGACCTTCCCTTCCCTGAAGATGCTGTCCGATTTACCTCATTTGATTCATGTCATGCACCACTGGCCTACCATGTCTTGGTAAGCACCACAGCACTATTGGCACTGTTCTGTGGTTATTAGAGTTCTTTTACTTTAATTGTTTCACTTTATCTTCAAAACAATCTTACAAAGGTATAGGTATAATGAGGGAATAGGGTCACAGAGGCTACTCATAAGGTTAATAACCAAGACTTGAATTCTATTCTGGTTCCTAAATTAAGGCACTTTTTGTTATATCATGTTTGCTAATGAACTTGAGATCTTAATAGTAGGTCCATCAGCTACTAATCAGAGAGGTTCATTGTATAGGCTGGGGCAAATGTAGAATGGTTCATATATAATCACCCAAACATACCTTTCTCAATATACCACATCATCATTCTTGTGTTATTAACACAGTATTTTTTGTTAGAGATTTTAGTGACATTAGTTGAACTGATAGCCTCAGTCAACTCAGAATCACTTAGAATCTGATGGGCTGCTAAACCCTTTGACATAAGCCATAAGCATTTTTACCATGCCATTGTATTTCAACAACTCAATCAGATGAGCCATTTTAAGCTCACATTTTAAGGAAGCTCTTCTGCAAAATATTCACCTGGATTTGAAGCTGTATGGATAGTTAGAAAAGGGAGTAAGTAAGGTAAGCACAAGTGTAGATAATTTATGGTGATCTGATACCAGTGTTTGGATATATGGGCCAACTCATAACTCCAGACGGGGTTTTGTTTAAATTCACAGCTCTATTGACCAGTCTGCACCAGCTTGAAAATAAGTCAGAACTACCATGATAACTTCACAACCAGCCTTTTCCCCCTAAATATTCTTAGGGGGGTTAACCTAGACCTCCTGGGGCTTCTGCGAACTTGAGTGGGACCTCTTAGATTTTTCAGTATCCATCCAAGTCC
Organism: Homo sapiens; assembly: GCF_000001405.40. NCBI lineage: Eukaryota > Metazoa > Chordata > Mammalia > Primates > Hominidae > Homo > Homo sapiens. The sequence continues at coordinate 2,534,277 of NC_000018.10, read as the reverse complement.
CTGGAGCCATATACAAACACATTGATATCTAGTAGTGGAGAGCATGAGGAAAACGATTTAATTTATTTTCTCAGATGAGATGTTGGCCTGGTTGTTGGGTAGCTGTGACAATGGGATACCTTTGGATGATGGGTAAGGCAAATAGAGTGGTTGCAGTATTAAAACTGTTTTTAGTCAATATCATTAAGGAAAAACATGGTTCCCCACCTGCTTTTAAATTGCTTCTCCCAACACTGTCCACATGTTCCCTAAATGTTAATCAGACTGGACTATATGCTGTTACCTGATTGAGGCCTATGCTTTTGCTCATGGTACTTTCTCTGCCAGGAAAAAACTAGCTAGACTTTGAGATCAGCTAGATCTACATGTTGAGTCTGGATATATTTAGCTTCTGAGTGACTTTCAGCAATTAGTTAAACTATATTATCTTGAACTTCCTTTTCTAAGGAACAAGAAGGCTAATCTTTGGGCCTTATAGAATTATTTTGAGGATGAAATGAAATAACTGAATGTGCCTAGCATAGGACCTAGTAACCTAGCAGGTATTCTGTATATGCTCATTTTAAAAAAAATTATAGTCTTCCTGGCAACACCTCTAATTTCATGACCCACTTTAAAAAAAAACTGTTATTTTGGACTAGTTTTAGGCTTATAGAAAATATGCAAAAGTACCAAAGAGTTTCTAAATTATTTTTCCACCTCTGTAACCTCTGTGAAACCTCCTATTTTATAGCACAGGTAATTATTGTCAAAGTGAGCCTTTTGCATGCTTCTTTTAGAACACTTAGAACAAATTTCTATCTATATCATCGATATCTATATCTATACCTCTCTCTTCATTTCCCTCTCCTCCCTCCTCTCCCCTCCCTTCTTCCCTCCCTAGAGCCAAATCCACAGATCTTTTCAAGATAATCCCTCTGTTTTTCTGCTGAGATGGCTGAGGGCCAGTGCCCTTAAATTTCCTATAGGTCCTCTGTATTGATTGAGCAGATTTATTAGGAACACTTTTAATCTCTTGGAAGGATACTCTATGTGGCTGAACACTCTGACCCTTTGGTTTTCCAAGGTGTCAGCGAAGAGCCCAGCCTCTTCTTTATAACATGTTTTCAGAACAATCTTTTACTTTTGGCATCTCTTGCCACCTGGATAGGCCAAGAATTTCCCAAATCAGCAGGTCTTGAAACCTTATCATTTCTTTTCTCAATTTGTCTCCTCCTGTATTTTACTAAAAGCAGCAGGAAGAAACCAGGCAGCACACTCAACACTTTGCTTGGAGATCTCCTCAGCTAAATATTCAAATTCATTGTTTTTGAATTCTGTTTTCCACACAACTGCAGGTCGTAAGTTTGCTAAGTATTCTGCCTTTGCATGATAAGGATTTCTGTTTCTGTAGTTCCCAATGACATGTTCCTCACTTCTTCATGAGCCCTCGCCAGCAGCATTTTTAACATTCAGATTTCTACTAAGTCTTTTAGAGACATTTATTATGCTCCTTAAAATCCTTCCAGCCTCTGCCCCTCTGTCCAATTCAGAACCATATTTTACATATTTGTTATTACATCCCTGCATTTCCAGATACCAAAATATGTAACAGTTTTCTATTGTTGTGTAACAAATTACCACAAACATAGTCATTTTAAAACAACACTAGGGCCAGGCATGGTGGCTCACACCTGTAGTCCCAGCACTTTGGGAGGCTGAGGTGGGCGAACTGCTTGAGCTCAGGTGTTTGAGACCAGCCTAAGCAACAGGGTGAAACCCCTTCTTTACAAAAAATACAAAAAATTAGCTAGGTGTGGTGGTGTGCATTTGTGGTCACAGCTACTTGGGAGGCTGAGGTGGGAGGATCACTTGAGCCTGGGAAGAAGAGGTTGCAGTGAGCTGAGATCATGCCACTGCACTCCAGCCTGGGCAACAGAGGAAGACCTTGTATCAAAAAACAAAAACAAAAACAAAAACACTAGGTAAGACAGGCAGACTACTAGATTCTTTGCATAGAGTCTCCCAGGCCCAAAGCAAAGTCTGGTCAGGCTGGGCCATTTTCTGAAGGCTCTGGGGAAGAGTCTGCTTCCAAGCTCATTCAGGTTGTTGACAGAATCCAGTTCCATGTGGTTGTAGGACTGAGGTCCCTGCTTCTTTATTTTCTGTCAGCAGCGCTTTCTCTCAGCAACTGGAGGCTGTGCCCCCTCCATCTTCAGAGTCATTAAGAGTGTATCAAATTCTTCTTGTGCTTCCAATCTCTCTGACTTGCCTTCTGCTATCAGCCAGAGAAAATGCTCCATTTTTAAAGAGCTTTTGTGACTAGATTGGGCCCATCAGATAATCTCGTTTTTGCCATATATGGTAACATAATCATGAGAGTGATATTTCTTCATAGTCACAGGTTCTACCCAAATCAAAGGGGAGGGGATTAAGATGTGGGCCATTCTGAGAATTTTTCTACTTTAATTTTGTTGATGGACATTTGTGTTCTAGTCTGGGGCTATTATAAATAAAGTGTCTAAGAATAGTCATGTGTATGTTTTTGTGTGACTCTATACTTTCATTTCTCTTGGGTACATACCTCAGAGTGGAATGTCAAGTTATATGGTAGGTCTAAGTTTAAACAGTTTTTTTTTTTCTTTTGAGATGGAGTCTCGCTCTGTTGCCCAGGCTGGAGTGCAGTACAGCGGCACAATCTCAGCTCACTGCAACCTCTGCCTCCTGGGTTCAAGTGATTCTCCTGCCTCAGCCTCCCACGTGGCTGGGATTATAGGCACCTGCCACCATGCCTGGCTAATTTTTGTATTTTTAGTAGAGATGGCATTTCATGTTGGCCAGGTTGGTCTTGAACTCCTGACCTCAAGTTATCTGCCTGCCTCGGCCTCCCAAAATGTTGGAGTTACAGACATGAGTCACTGTGGCCAGCCTTAAATTTTTTTTTTTTTTTAATTTTTACCTTGCAGCTCCAGCTCGAAGGATGCACGTTTAACATTTAAAGAAATGGCTAGAGTTAGAGGTTGCAGTGAGCCAAGATCATGTCACTGCACTCCAGCCTGGGTGACAGAGTGAGACTCCATCTCCAAAAAAAAAAAAAAGGCCAGAGAGTTTTTCATAGTGGTTGTACTATTTTATATTCCCTGCAAGCAGTGAATGAGAACTCTCTTGTTCCTTCACAGTCTTGTCGACACTTACAATGGTCAGTCTTTTACATTTTAGCTACTAGAGGGAGTAATATCTCATTGTGGTTTTAATTTGCATTTCCCTAGTGAGAATGATTTTGAGCACCCTTTCATGTACTTATTTAACATCTGTGTATTTTTGGGGAAGAATCTGTTCAAATCTTTGCCTGTGTTTTATTCGGTTTTTATATTTTTGAATTGTAAGTACTCTTTATATGTACTTGATGAAATTCTCTAGTTAATCGGTTTTGCAAATATTTTCTCTTAGCCTCAGACTTGCCTTTTAATGTTCACAACAATGTCTTTTGTTTGCTTTAAAGTTTTATTTTGAAATAACGATAGATTCACAGGAAGTTGGAGAAATACTGTACATACAGAGAGGTCTTGCTTTATCTAGTTTCTCTTCATGGTAACATCTTGTATAACCATTGTACAATATCAAAGTTGGGAAATACACATTGGTATCACCCACAGAAGTTATTCCGATTTCACCAATTTTACATCCTCTTCATGGAGTCTTTCTTTCTTTCTTTTTTTTTTTTGAGACGGAGTCTCGCTCTGTCACCCGGGCTGGAATGCAGTGGCGCATCTCGGCTCACTGCAAGCGCCCCTACAGGGTTCACGCCGTTCTCCTGCCTTAGCCTCCTGAGTAGCTGGGACTTCAGGTGCCCGCCAGCACACCTGGCTAATTTTTTGTATTTTTTAGTAGAGACAGGATTTCACTGTGTTAGCCAGCATGGTCTCCATCTCCTGACGTCGTGATTCGCCTGCCTTGGCCTCTCACAGTGCTGGGATTACAGGCGTGAGCCACCATGTGCAACCCATAGGGTCTTTCACAGAATAAAGATTTTAATTTCAATGAAGTCCAATTCATGAATTTCTCCTTTTATTGATTATATTTTTGGTGTTAAGTCTAAGAACTCTTTGCCTATCCTTAGGTCATCAATATTTTCTCCTATTTTATAAACATTTCATGTTTTATATTTAAATCCATAATAATTTTGAATTATTTTTGTATGAGGTGTGAGGTTTAAGTCTAGGTTCTCTTGTTTTTGTTTGTTTTGAGATGGAGTTTCGCTCTTGTAGCCCAGGCGGGAGTGCAAAGGTGCGATCTCAGCTCACTGCAACATCCACCTCCCAGGTTCAAGCGATTCTTCTGCCTCAGCCTCCCAAGTAGCTGGAATTACAGGCATGCGCCACCACGCCCGGCTAATTTTTGTATCTTTAGTAGAGTTGGGGTTTCTCCATGTTGGCCAGGCTGGTCTCAAACTCCTGACCTCAGGTGATCTGCCCACCTCGGCCTCCCAAAGTGCTGAGATTAGAGGCATGAGCCACTGCGCCTAGTCATTCTTTTTTTTCTTTTTTTTTTTTGCTTATGATTGTGTGGATTTATTTCTGAGTTCTCTATTCTAATCCATTAATTTATATGTCTTTCAACACCAGAGTCTTGATTACTCCTGTTATATAGTAAGCCTTGAAATCAGATAGGATAAGTCCATAAACTTTCTTTTTCTTTTTCAAAGTCATTTTGGCTATTGTAGGTACTTTGAACTTCCTCATAAATTTTAGGATCAGATTGTCAGTGTCTATAAAAAAGCCTCCTGGGTTTTGATCGGAGATAAATGGAATCTGTAGCTCAATCTGCGGAAAATTGCCAGTGTGCCTTTGTGCGGGTAGCTGCTGTGAGATCATCCTTCCTGCCTCCTGCAGGGCCCTGCATTCTTGGGTGCTGTTAGGTATGCTGAAAACATGCTTGACGTAGCGCCCCTCACTCATTGCTTCATGTCCCACATCCTTGGACACCAGTAGGCAGGCTGCCAAGATGCTTCACATACTTTCTCTTCACCCCTCCACCTCTGCCTGCCACTAATTCTTCCACCCCAGGTAAGGAAGTTAGAAAGAGAAGATGCGAAAAGATGGGACGATGGAAAAGGAAGGGTATATGGGAGGGCAAGAAACAGATGGAAATTTCTGAAGCCAATTGAAGAAAATGCTTAAACAAAGAGGAGGTAATCAACTGTGTCAATGCTGCATATGTTTGGCGTAAGATGAATGCCCATCAGATTTGGCAAGAGAGACGTTATTGGTCACCTTGACACGAGTGATTTTACTGGAAGAGTGGGATAAAAGCCTAACTAGAGTGAATTAAAGAGACAATAGAGGGAAGGAAGATGAAGAGAATGAATATAAATCACTCTTTTAAGGAGGCTTATTATAAAGAATGGGCTGGAAAATGGGCCAATAACTGGAAACAGCTTCTTGAATAAGTCTTGCCATTTCATTGCAGATAAAGCAATGTAGTTCTTGGAAGAACTTATGGGAATAAGTGCCTTTTTCTCTAACTGGGTTTTGATCATCCAGGGATAGTATAATCTAATTGAGTAGAGTGCTATTCTTTAAAGAATCAGGCATACCTATTCAGAGAGAAAATAGTATAGTGGAATAACTGTGTTAAGAATCAGAACTGGATTGAAGTTGCCACAATTTATTATTGATCCTAGTAAAGCCTACTGACATCTCTGAGCCTCACCTGCTCACCTCATATGATAGTTTTGAGTATCAAAATCAGAGGCTGCACTGTCTCCTTCAAATGAACAGTCCTGGGGGGAGGGATGGGGGTGTCAAGGATTGAAAAATTACATATTGGGTACAGCATTCACTGTTTGGATAACGGGTCCATTAGAAGCTCAAACCTCACCATTACACAATACATGCATGTAACAAATCTACACATGTATCCCCTGAATCTTTTTAAAAAAACAACAGTATTTTGTTTTTTGCTCTACCCTTAGGCCTAGACCAGTGTTGGCACATAGTAGGTGTTTAAAAAATACTAGTTGAACACATAAATAAGTGGATAACTTTTTATTGTACATTATTTGTACATTAAAGTGAACAAAGCACTATTGCATATTAAATGGCTAATGGAAATTAATCTAAATCTCTTAATTTCAAGTCAAATACTCTTGCCGTTACTAAAAAATTGCATTGCTAAATTTACTTCACTAAGAAAAGGCAAAGTACCATTATTATTATTGTCTTAAAGATGGCAATGTAAAGGTTTCATGAAATAACCTGCGTATTTTATCAATGTATTCGCTGAGTATTTTTCGGTTGTGGAAATATTGATGCCCTTACTGGTTAAAAGAACTATTCTATAAATTATGCATTTTTCCTTATAATTCCTTGAGATAGACTGGATTGGAGGTTATTGTATAGACTTTATAGTTGAGAAAATTGGAATTTGGAGAAATGAAGTCATTGACTGTAGTTTATAGAGCTAACAAGTAATGAAGTTTCAACTCCAGGCTTTCAATGCCTAGGTTACATCACTTTTTTTTTTTTTTTTGAGACAGCATGTCCCTCTATCGCCCAGGCTGGAGTGCAGTGGTGTGATCTTGGCTTGCTGCAACCTCTGCCTCCCGGGTTCAAGCAATTCTCTCCTGCCTCAGCCTCCCAAGTAGCTGGGATTACCAGTGTCCACCACCACACCCAGCTAATTTTTGTGTTTTTAGTAGAGAGCGGGTTTCGCCGTGTTAGCCAGGGTGATCTCGAACTCCTGACCTCAGGTGATACGCCTGCCTCGGCCTCCCAAAGTGCTGGGATTATAGGCGTGAGCCACCACACCCGACCCATCACTTTCAACTACATCATGAAAGTTCTTTTGAAAGGAAGGGGCATTTAATGGTAGAAGTGACATTTCAGGTGAAAAGTGAAACACTTTGTTTATACATTTTAGGGGTGAAATTGCTTGGAAACATAACCCAACTGGGATTGTCTTAACCTAACATAAAAGTAACCTGTTTCAACACAGAAACATGAATATCATTTTGTCCTCTTAAGTACTATACAAGTGTTTTCCAACCTTTAGTTTTATAAATATTTTATGTTTATAAAGAAAGCTAGTTTAAAAATAAGAGATATACCCCCTACATTATTATTTATAAATCTCACAGCAACCTTGAAAAGTAGCTATTTTACAGATGGTGAAAGGGAGATCCAAAGATATTTAACACTTACCAATTAAAGTGAAAGTTCTGTGAGGAGAGGAAGAAAAGTTTTAAAAAATTAAAAATAATAGTACTTGTTCAAGGTCACACAGCTAGTAAGTGGCAGATCTAGGATTCAAAGCTAGGGAGAGAAGATTTTAAACCCTTTAATGGCCACTATCTACAGTCATTCTTATTCCGTACTATGTGATGCTGCTGTAAGTAATGACAGGATATGCTTTTAGCATAAAGTTTTGTACTTTCTGTTTATAAATATGAAAATGAATCAGCATATACTTATTTGTTTTCTGATGTCTAGACTGAGATGGTGTTTTAGTCCATTTGTGTTGCTATCACAAAAATATCTTAGAATAATTAATTTAAAAACAACAGAAATTATTTTCTTACAGTCTGGAGGCTGGGAAATCCAAGATCCAGATTTGATATCTGGAGAGGGCTTGTCACTCATGGACAGCAGCTTCTCATCTCATCCTTGCATGGTGGAAGGGACAAGGGAGTTCCCTTCAACCTCCTTTATAAGGGCAGTAATCCCATTCATGAGGGAGGAGCCCTCGTGACTCAATCACTTCTGGAAGGCCGTACCTTTTAATGCTAACACAATGTGGATTAGGTTTCAAGATACACATTTTGGAGGGACACATTCAGATCACAGCAGATGGTACATGCTGTTATGGCTCTTACTGCATAGCCATCTATGAAGTGCCAACCTGCAGAAATCACTAATTTATAATCTTGAGAACTTTCACATATTTCTTGAGACCAACTGAGAACAGGAAGTATTTTCTGTCTTGATGAAGGTGACAAGTGGATAAAATCATCCAGTTCCTTTGAAACTGCAGTAAGAAGCATTATTATCTGAGGATCAATAAAATGATGACTGTGAATAGGCAGGATATCTGTGGAATAATAAAGCTCTTATTGTGTTACATAAAATTCCCAAAGTGTAGCTATAATTACAAAGGATTATCTTATCTAAATTATATTTGTAATTTTCAACCTTTATTCATTTTCTCATTTTCTTTTTCTTTTTTGTTTTTGAGACAGAGTTTCACTCTTGTTGCCCAGGCTGGAGTGCGATGGCACAATCTTGGCTCACCGCAACCTCCACCTCCCAGGTTCAGGCGATTCTCCTGCCTCAGCCTTCCGAGTAGCTGGGATTACAGGCATGCGCCACCATGCCTGGCTAATTTTGTATTTTTAGTAGAGACAGGGTTTCTCCATGTTGGTCAGGCTGGTCTCGAACTTCTGACCTCAGGTGATCCATCCACGTTGGCCACCCAAAGTGCTGGGATTACAGGCGTCAGCCACTGTGCCTGGCCTCATTTTCTCATTTTCTATGAGTCCTTCAGCTCTTGCATTTTGTCGTCACTTCATTCTTTCTCATTTGCCATACCATCTCAATGAACTTTTCCTTTTTTGAGTGCCTTAGATTGATAGAAACTTTAAAGACAGTATATTCTAAATTGAAGAAAAACTTTTTAGTTGAAAAATTGGAGCAGACATGTGAGCATAGGGACCTTCAGTGCTGAAAATGAGATTCTGATTCACCTGAGTGGATTAGCTTTGCTTTTGCATTATCTGCAATGACATGTAAATTAATAATTTTACATTGATATCAGAATTGAAATTGATTGTCTTGAGGCCAAAATAATGATGATAGATGCAGGAAGATTCCTGTGTTTTAGTCTTCCCTTGGCTAAGATCACCACCATTATTGATATACGCATATATATTGGAAGGCTATTCTTTCTTTTTTAGTTTTTAATATTTATTTTATTTTTTTAAGTTCTAGGGTACATGTGCAGGATGTGCAAGTTTGTCACGTAGGTAAACATGTGCTCTGGTGGTTTGCTGCACCTATCAACCCATCACCTAGGTATTAAGCTCAGCATGCATTAGCTCTTTTCCCTAATTCTCTCCCCCTGCCTTCCCTCCCACAACAGGTCCCAGTGTGTGTTGTTCCCCTCCCTGTGTCCATGTGTTCTCATTGTTCAGCTCCCACTTATAAGTGAGAACATGTGGTGTTTGTTTTTCTGTTCCTGCATTAGTTTGCTGAAGATAATGGCTTCCAGTGAGGGTTTTTCTTTTGAATTTAACTGATAAGCAGTTCTTGACTGCGTTTGGGAGGTCTTTAGTCTAACACAAGTTAAGGATAATGACAACGACAAAATCAGCACTATCAGCTGTCATGTGTCAGACACTGATTAAGAACTTTTATTCAGGAATTAGTTTAATCTTTATAACATTTGTGAAGCAATGTTGTTAGCTTGCTTTACAGAGGTGGTAATAAATTAAATGACTTGCTCAAGGCCACAGTTGAGATTTTGGTTAAATTCCAAGCATAAATTTAAATCTTTTTTAAATTTCATTGAGACTTATTTTATCACCCAGCATATGGTTTATTTTGGTGAATATTTCATGTGTATTTATAAAAATAGTATTCTGCTATTGTTAGTTGGAATGTTCTGTAAAAGTTTAATAGGTAAAATTGGTTTATAGTGTTGTTCAGGTCTTTTATATACTTATTTGTTTATTTTTTGGGAGACAGCATCTCGCTCTCTCTCCCAGGCTGGAGTGCAGTGGTGTGATCTTGGCTCACTGCAAGCTCTGCCTTCCGGGTTCAAGCAATTCCCGTGCCTCAGCCTCCCGAGTAGCTGGGATTACAGGTGCACACCACCATGCCCAGGTAATTTTTGTTGTTGTTGTTTTATTTTAGTAGAGATAGGGTTTCACTGTTTTGCCCAGGCTGGTCTCAAACTCCTGAGCTCAGGCAATCTGCCGGCCTCGGCCTCCCAAAGTGCTAGGATTACAGGCATGAGCCACTGTGCCTGGCATATACTTACTTATTTTATGTGTATTTATCAGTTACTGAAATTTCCAGCTATGCTTTTTGATTTGTGTATTTATTTTATTTCTGTCAGCATTTGTTTCATGAATTTTTTTTGTAAGATGGGGTCTCACCATGTTGCCCAGGAAAGTCTTGAACTACTGGGCTCAATGATCCTCCTGCCTCAGCCTCCTGAGTAGCTGGGACAGGGTAGGCACCACCATGCCCAACTTGCTTCGTGAATTTTGAAAGCTTTATTTTTTAATGCATACACATTTGAGATTATGTTCATTTATCATTGTTAAATATCCATCTTTATCCCTGCTGATATTTCTTGCCTTTAAATCTACTGGCTGATATTAACATAGCCACTCCAGCTTTCTTATAATTAGTGTCTTTATGGAATATCTTCTTTCTCATTTTATTTTTAATTTATCTATGCCCTTTTATTAAAGTGGTTTTGTTATAGAAAGAACACTGTTGCTTTTTGTTTTTTAAAAACATTAGAAAATTTCTCTCTGCCTTTTTTTTTTTTTTTTTTTTGGAGACAATGTCTTGCTGTGTCGCCCAGGCTGGAATGCAGTGGCACAATCTCAGTTCACTGCAACCTCTGCCTTCCAGGCTCACTATGTTGCCCAGGCAGGTCTTGAACTAGTGGGCTCAATGATCCTCCTGCCTCAGCCTCCCGAGTAGCTGGGACTACAGGTGTACATCACCGTGCCTGGCTAATTTTTGTATTTTTAGTAGAGATGGGTGTTTCACCATGTTGCCCACGCTGGCCTTAAATTCCTGAGCTCAGGTGATCTGCCCACCTTGGCCTCCCAAAGTGCTGGGATTACAGGTGTGAGCCACTGTGCCAAGCCTGAAAATCTCTTTTAATTGGAATATTTAGATTATTTATATTGAATGTAGTTATATGATTGGGTTTACATCTGCCATTTTTTTTTCTATTTGAGCTATCTGTTCTTCCTTCTTCCCTTTTTACCCAACTTCTTTTGGATTTATTGTTTTTTTATGATTCCATTTTATCTTCAGTATTGACTTCAAAAGTTATCTCTACTGTTTTTCTTTTTAAATGGTTTATCTAGGGTTTACAACTCCTAACTCTAGCTTGTCATAGACTACCTTCAAATAACATTAGACTATATATAAGAGCTCTACAACAGTATGCTTCCATTGCCCTCTTCCATCCTTTTTGCTATTCTTTTAGATTTTATTTCTACATATATTATAAGCTCTGTGACATACTATCATTTTTATTTTAAACACTTAATTATCTTTATTTTTGAAAAGTAGTTTTACTGGCTATAGAATTCTTGATTTTTTTCCCCCAGCACTTTAAAGATGTTGAACACTTTCTATGAGTCCTCCACGATACTGGGTTAGTCAGGAACAAAACAGACAGAAATGGTGCATACTTTTTAATAAGGAGAGCAAGTCAGTATATAATATTAATAATCAATACATATATTATGGAAAGTAGTAAGTTTCTTAGAGAAAAATAAGCAGTGAAAGGATGTGCAGAGAGCTGGGGTGGGGTCACTTTTAAGTAGTGTGGTTAGCAAGGTCTCCTGAGCAAGACTGGAAGGAGGTGAGACAGCAAGACACTAGATATCTAGAAAGAGAGCGTGCCAGGCATTGGGAACAACAGATGCAAAGGTTCTGGGTGGGGAGTAAATCTGGTAGGTTTGAGACAGAGCAAGGAAGCCAGAGAGCTAAAGCTGAGTAAGGGAGGGTTGGGTAATGGTGTCCAAATCACAAGGGTTTTATGGGACATTAAAAAGATTTTGGGAGATGGAAAGCCAGAAGAGGCTACAATTAAGTTATTGACTCGATTGTGTCAGCTGAGGAGTAATGGGGCAAACACAGTTGCATGACTTATTTGGGGAGATTAATTAGGTAGTGTTTGCTGGGTTACACTGCGTAACAGTAAACCACTTCAAAATCTCAGTGGTTTACATTAACATGATTTATTTCTCACTCTGTATGTTTGTAGTTGCGGGTTGGCTGGCATGGTTCTGCTTCAGATCACAGGTCAGATTCAGACACTATGCACATCTTCTCATTCAGTGTCTCAGGCCAGAGGAACAGCCTTGAATAGGACATGACTTTCTCATGGTGGAAGGCACGGGAGGAAAAGCCCAGCTGAACTCATACTTGCCCCTCCCTCCCTCCTAGAGAAAAGAAGGTTGATCTAGAATGAAGTCCTCAGGTCCATATATCTAGACCATGGGGTGGAGCTTGGCATAAAGGGGAAAGTTTCAGAGGGAAGTATGAAGAGGCTGAAAGTGCTTTTCTTCACATGTTACTTTTTGGGGGTGGCCATTTACTTTTGGATCTCTTCCTTTCTCCTTTCTTTTCCTTCCCTTTCTTTCTATTCCCCTCTTGTCTCTTCTCTCCAATGGCTGGAAAGAAGGGCCCAGGGCTACCTCTTCTTTCACTTGGGAGGGTGCCTTGGAAAGCCCAGCAGGCAATATGGCAGGGCCCAGAGGACACATGGACAGTCCAGCCCAAGCCTAACTCTAGACAAAGTGGTCTCTGCATTTACACTTGATCTGTCCAAGCTTATAATAGACGAGGTTCTGAAACCCACTCTTGGATCTATGATGGAGTTGGGCAGTCCGTGGAGGAATAAGGGCCTTGAGATTCTGTCAACCTTTCCATTTGTTAAGACTCGGAAATATACTATATTTGGCATTATATCACTAGGATTTTAAACATATTGATAGGACAGATGGTTTATTGTCTCTGAGGACACAATGTTCTATTGTAAGCTTGATACTCTAAAAGCTTTTAATTTCAGAAAATATATTTTTGCTCTCTTGAAATTTCTGAAAGTTATTAAGTAAAAGAACATAAAGAGAAAAAAACTCTCAAGTTAAAAAAAGTCAAGTATTTTGATTATGCTTGTACACAACATGTCTCAAGGTTGTTCTATTCTGTTACACACAATGGGACAGCTGAGCTCATGCAGTTTTCAGCCTCCTCCCTGACTCTTCCCTTTTGGATCTTTAGCTCCCAGCACCATGCTTCATGCATGGTAGGAACTTGAGAAAGATGTGGTTAATACTGGATTGGAAATGTTTGTATTAAAGTTGAAGGTTAATGTAGGGAAGGGAGGTTTTTGGTGGAGTGAGTGGAAATTTTAGTTCCCAGATATAATGCATTAGTGTGTCTGTAAAGTGCAGTTTACAAAGGACTGCTACATGCAGTGTCTTATTTGTCCTCACAACTCTGTGGGGCAGACATTATTTACATTATTATACATCCCTCTTTTACAAATGAGGCCCGGAGAGGTTAAGTGACTTGTCTACTGTTTTACCCACAGTGATAGTCAGGTCTCAAACCCTCTTCTCCTTTTTCCCAAATGGAAGTAAGAGTTTTCTAGAAGGTGGGGATTAATAGAGGTTTCAGACCTGTAGAAATATTTAAGAAGATGTAATATTGCAATAATATTTATAGCTTTCCTAAGAAACAGCCATGTCAGTGGAATAGAAAGATTGGAAGACAGTTGGCCGGGCGCGGTGGCTCACGCCTGTAATCCCAGCACTTTTGGAGGCCAAGGCGGGTGGATCATGAGGTCAGGAGATCGAGACCATCTTGGCCAACATGGTGAAACCCCGTCTCTACTAAAAATACAAAAATTAGCCAGATGTGGTGGCGCATGCCTGTAGTCCCAGCTACTCGGGAGGCTGAGGCAGGAGAATCGCTTGAACCCAGGAGGAAGAGGTTGGAGTGAGCCAAGATCGTGCCACTGCACTCCAGCCTGGCGACAGAGTGCGACTCCATCTCAAAAAATATGATTTTAATAACCCCACAAACTATTCTATAATATTAGCTCAGTTGTAAATGTATGGTTTTCAAATAATTTAGAGTTGCTAAAGCGGTACAACTCATAATACTAAGAGAACATTGTCAATTCTTTTGCACATAGAAATAATTATTTTCTGGAGTGTTTAAGGACTACAAATCTGTGCCCTGATTCTCTAAAGTATTCATAAGCATTTTATAAAAGACATATATTGGTAAGAATTGCTATTATGCAAAATATATTTCAATTAGGATTTTACTGAATTTCTTATATCATTCAAGCTTTTCATGTCATTTTTTTTTTCAGTGTTCCATAGTTTAATGATGGAATACCTGTGGAAATAAATGTTTTAGAAAACTTTCTCCTATAAATATCAAGACAATCTTTTTTTTTTTTTTGAGACAGGGTCTTGCTCTGTTGCTCAAGTGGGAGTGCATTGGGGGTGATTATGGCTCACTGCAGCCTCAACCTCCCAGGCTTAAGCAACCCTCCCACCTCTCAGTCTCCTAAGTAGCTGGGGCTACAGGTGCATGCCACCACACACCACACATGGCTAATTTTTGTATTTTTGTAGAGACTGGGTCTCACCATGTTACCCAGGCTGATCTCAAACTCTATCAAGACAATTTTGTTAAAAATTATACAACTGCTATTGTTCTGATAGTCATATACCATCCCATGCCTGCCCAAATATAGTGAAGAGTGCATTCACATGATAGAAAACGTAGTGCCCACAGGGCTACAATGCATATCTGAAGCTTGTCTCCACCTCACTGAGACCCAGGGGATTTTGCGTATCGATAGACTTTGTTTTTACAATATTCTCAGTATTCTACTTGTAATTTCAATTGTTAGAGTTCACTTTAATTTTTTTTTTTTTTGAGACGGAGTCTTGCTTTGTCACCCAGGCTGGAGTGCAGTGGCGCGATCTCGACTCACTGCAACCTCCGCCTCCTGGGTTCAAGCGATTCTCCTGACTCAGCCTCCTGAGTAGCTGGGACTAGAGGTGCGTGCCACCACGCCCGGCTAATTTTTGTATTTTTAATAGAGATGGGGTTTCACCATATTGGTCAGGCTGGTCTTGAATTCCTGACCTCGTGATCCGCCTGCCTCAGCCTCCCAAAGTGCTGGGATTACAGGTGTGAGCCACCGCGCCTGGCCCACTTTAAATTTTTAATCTATGACATAATTGTTTTGCACATACCCAAGAAAAAGGACCAAAATATGACATAAGAATATTTTAGAAGTTTTCTCTTGAGCTTTTCAGTACATCTTGATAGAGGGGAAGATATGATGATAAAGTATTTGGCACTTGGGTCAACAATCTAGTTTATTCAGTAGTTCAGCAAATATTTTAAATATATCTACTTAGCACGTAGTCCAAGGGGATGTAGTCTGGAGCAAGACAGACATGGTCTTTGGCCTCCTGGGTTTACAATTTATAATTGCTGGATTACAGAGTATAGAATAGTAACAAAATGATAGAAAACTTAAATGTAAAAGATAAAAGGGCAACGGGAGTCGTGTGAGTTTGAGTGTGAGGACAGATAGCATGGCCATGCTATCTGCTCTGCCTCCTTAAAAGGTCACTGGAAGTTGGTTACTTCCATTCTGATAGAGGCCTCACCCTTCCCTGGCAACCCAGTCCACTAACAGCTGTATTTTGCTGAAGCATAAAACTTTAAGCCAGTGTTCTCTTCAGAGCCCAGACAGTCCTCTGCAGTTTGGAGAGTTCTTCCTGGACTGCACTAACAAAGGCCAACCTGTTTCGGGAAACTCTCGACACTTTCCTCTGTGTCAGCACAGTCACCTGGAATGCGTTCCAGCCGGAGCTGTGACTATTTAATCTCACTTTGTCTCTTAGCCCTGTCATCTTCCACACCCCTGAACTGTCAGTCTCTGTAGGCCTCTGTCCTTTCTGGCGAGGCTATTTCAGCAAGGCTTTAGGCCTACAACCCCTTCTCAAGCCATCCCCTTCATTGTCTTTTTTGCCAGGCCTTCTGCTGTGTGCTTTGGACTTCCTACATGCAGGCATTCTCCAGATTAACAGGGATGCTCATCCTGGCTAAGGATTCCACAGGTTCAAAACCAAGCTCATGAGAGTTCGATGTATTAATTCTCATAATTAGTCATATGTAAGTTTACTGCTGCTGGGAGTGAAGCTGAGTCCAAGATGCGAGGTGCCAGATGCAGAGGCAAAATGATTATATATAGATGGGGGAGAAGACCTTGAGAAAATCTGCTCCGTGGGACCGGACACTCAGGAAACAATTTTTCCTTCTCATGGAAAGCAGATCAGATGCCTAGAGATGATTGTGACCTGCAGTGCTTATGTGATGCAGATGTGGTCCTTTGTGCCGCTTCCCACAGATGGGAACATGAGAAAATGTGGAAGTTCTACTCATGTCCTGCTAAAAGCTCTTACATTTCATAATCATGATTATTTGCTTTATATATGTTTCCTTCAGTAGCCCACGTAAGGTAGGACAAAATTACAATTAGGTACACAGTTGGAATCATAACTTCTTGGCTGAGTGAAACAGCTAAAGGGATGGGGACACTCTCCTCTCCCTACTCCTACTTCCACCTCTGTCCTGCCTGCATAAGACCGTCTGGTCACACATACAGATGCTTAATTGTCAAGGTCAAGCACTGTCCCTCTATCACTCACCCAAGAAACTCACTGCTGAGGGAGTGTCGCTGCCTCTCAAATCCAGGGACATGTAGATGGTGGTAGAATCTCACCTTTCAGGTGGAAGTGTAGGAAATGTGCAGGCAAAACTACTAGGCCCTGCATTTGGTAGGAAATAAAAAGAGTCAAGTCTTTGGACAAATTTGATCACTTATATATAATTTCTGTTTCACTGGCAGCAAAACAACTGACACAAAATTGTGGCCAGAGAAAGAAGATATTCCAGGACCGGGCACGATGGCTCATGCCTGTAATCCCAACACTTTGGGAGGCCGAGGTGGGCGCATCACCTGAGGTCAGGAGTTGGAGACCAGCCTGCCAACATGGTGAAACCCCGCCTCTACTAAAATACAAAAGTTAACAGGGTGTGGTAGC
Organism: Homo sapiens; assembly: GCF_000001405.40. NCBI lineage: Eukaryota > Metazoa > Chordata > Mammalia > Primates > Hominidae > Homo > Homo sapiens. The sequence goes on along the minus strand of NC_000018.10, from coordinate 2,517,401 downwards.
CTGCACCTGTAGTCCCAGCTACTCGGGAGGTTGAGGCAGGAGAATTGCTCGAACCCGGGAGGTGGAGGCTGCCATGAGCCGAGATCGTGCCACTGCACTCCAGCCTGGGTGGTAGAGCGAGAGTCCATCTCAAAAAAAAAAAAAAAAAAAAAGAAAGAAGATATTCCTAATTTTGAAATGCCCTGTGACACCCTGACATTTTCTTACATACTCTTTAAAAAATATTAATAATAAAAAATAGAGTTTGCCTTTCAGTTTTAGTTATGGTATATTCTGACATACACATACTTACATTTTCATTTTATCAGATCATTTTTTTCTTTCTTTTTATGTTCAGAAACTCTGTGAGACTCCAAATACTACAATGTTGGGGTTCTTAAAACAGCCAGGGACTCCAGCATACAGCACCCTCCGTTCCTCCTCTGGAAGTGCTTTTCACCTGTAGCTATTAGAGTTCTCAGTTGAAAACAACAGAAACCAACTTTGGTTAACTTAAACATAAAAGGAATTGATTGCAAAGAAACCCAATAATGAGAAGGCTTGAGCATCGGGGTCAGAAGATGGGCAGGAGATGAGTGAGGCTGCGCAGCTGCAGCTGGAATCATGGCCTGGGCCTGGCACAGGGTCAGTTTGTTGTGGGGCCTGCTGCTGGGTCACCACCTCTGTCACTGCCACCACTGAGCCCTTGGCTATCTGTGTTCTGTAGTTTAATAATAAAATGTATGTAAAAATTTTAGGGTTAAAAATTACCATGACACTGTACTATTAAAAATTCTACTAACCTCTGTTTTCAAATTGTCTTCCCCCAACTTCCCCCAAATTGTCACATGAGAACAGACAATAGACTACATCACATGACAGGAAGTGGTGCTTTTAGGGCAGAAGTGAGTATTGGAAGTCCTTTCCTGCCCTACTGAAGCCTGAACAATATTGGGTATGGCATGTTTAATGTTACAATATACCTCATGTCCTGATGAGTCATGGGACCGTCATTTGAACTGCTGCTTGTGCTGTGAAAAATTTCTCAAGTTCACTGTGCCCTTACATGACTGTCTCAAGGTCCAGAGCGGGACATGGAGATGGCAGAACCTAAGTCACATGCTAGTGCCTTCTTTGTAAGGCTTCCCAAAAGTGTGCCCTGCCCCCACCTCCTCTGGGATTTCCCCCACAGTAGAAAGGGGGTTTGGATGCTGGAGAGTCAAAACAGAAGACTTCATAGTGCACCTATTTGCCCTTGCTGATACCCAGTGGTCTCCCACCTGCTTTGCATTCCGGCCAAGTGACTGCTGCTGCTCTCCAATCTCCATGACCACATCTGGGCAGGGGTGAGGTCAGCGTTCCTTTTATCCTTACTGCTATTTCAAAACCTTTGTTTCCTCCTCATGTTAGATCTTTCTGGAGGCTCATGCCATCTGGCTAGAATGTCCTTTATACCATTGTAGTTGGGGTTATTTATTATCTCTTCCACGTTCATTAGGAATGTCATCTAGCTCCCCATTCTGGTTCTATCTTTGTCCTGAGTGTGACTTTAACATATTTATGCCTTAATCGTCTAACATTTGACTTTATAATTAAAGTTGATCTTATAGTTGGCTTTACAGTTATGAGTTGGCCTCCATTTTAATCCTATAGACAACTTTAATTTAATGTTAAACTGAATTTACCATCTATCCATTCCAAACCTGCCTCTATTCCTGAATTCTTAGTTAACAGCATGACTATCCTCCAAGTTTCCCAAGCCAGGAATCAGTGAGTCATTCTGACTCCTCTTCCTTTCTGGGCATCTAATACCCAATCTAGTTACTGTAGATACCACATCCTTAAAAATCTCGAATCCATTTCTTGTCTTTATTTGTCTTAACCATTGCCTTAGTACAAGTTTAGATTTCTTTTCATGTGGTTAACTGTAATATCCTTCTGACTTATTTCTATTTTTAAAATGCATTCTCTTCAATCTATTCCCACATGCCAAAGTAATCTTCCTAAAACAAATCTGATCATCTCATTCTTTCCCTGAAATCCTTTTGTGGCTCCCTTAGGTCTCAGAATAAAAATAAAATTCATCCTTTTAAATAAAAGTCTGACCTTGATATGACCTTTGACTATTTCTGTGATTCAACTACTGTATTTCCTGTTAGGTGAATTTTGTTCTAGACAAATATAGAATTCTCCAAATTGGTGTTTTACTCTCTTTGCTTCTTTTCTATGTTCATGCCTATTAACATTTTATTTTATTTTTTGTTTTTATTTTTATTTTTATTTTTTGAGACAGAGTCTTGCCCTGTTGCCCAGTCTGGAGTGCAGTGGTGTGATCTCGGCTCACTGCAACCTCTGCCTCCTGGGTTCAAGCAATTCTCATGCCTCAGCCTCCAGAGTTGCTGGGATTACAGGCATGTGCCGCCACGCCTGGCTAATTTTTGTATTTTTGATAGAGAGAGAGTTTTGCCATATTGGCTAGGCTGGTCTTGAACTCCTGACCTCAAGTGATCCACCCGCCTTGGCCTCCTAAAGTGTTGGGATTACAGGTGTGAGCCACCGCGCCCAGCCCTCCTATTAACGTTTTAAAACTCAACGTAATTTTTGAGTGATATATTATAGGCAGGTAATATTTTTGAGATTTTTAGTATGGACTTGTGATCCAATTTGGAGCCAGCAGAGGCATTATCTGGGACTTTTCTCCTGAAGGAGCAGGAAAGGCCGTATTTTGCCTTTCAGGTTAGGGTGCTGTAAAGATGTGAACCTGGGGTTCCTACCACTTGGAGTAGGAACTCACGGAGTAGGGTACTCATGACAGAAAGAATGACATCTATGTCTAGAGGGAAGCAGAGATAAGGACTAGTGCAAGGGAGTATGAGAGTAAGAAACCAAGTCTTGGTGACATTATTTGGGTCCTGGATCTATTGTGCTTGATGTGAGATCTATTCTGGTTCTTTCTAGTTATTCGCTGATTAAATCCATTCCTCCACTTTTTCACTCCAACTAGAATGATTTAGCTTTTATCACTTGAGATCAAAAAAGTCCACGGAAATCCAATAGAATCAAAGAATTAAGATTCTTTATAATTGTAGTTTTTGACATGTTGCTTCTAGCTAGTATTATTTTGACAGATGGTTTTCATGGGAAACCTAGAGGCTTGTGTATATGTATGTGTTAACTTTTAAGTCTACATAAAGAGGGCTGTACTAAAGAGTAGCTCAGACTTTGCCTGAATTAGCACTGGAAGTATAAAAAGGGAAAGCCTAAGTGTCTTTTTAGAAAGCTTATTTGTAATTTTATATCATTTAGCCTAACCGTTCTCAACTCTGGCTGTACATTACATGCATCTAATAATTTTTTTTTTTTTTTTTTTTTTTGAGAGAGATGTCCCAATATGTTGCCCAGGCTGATCTTCAACTCTTGGGCTCAAGGGATCCTCCTGTTTCAGCCTCCTGAGTAGCTGGAATTATAAGTGTGCACCATTGTCCCGGCAATGCCTGTGACTCTCCCAGACAAAGTAAACAGAATGTCTGGGGATGGGAGACAAGCAATGGTTTTTTGTTGTTTTTTTTTTTGAAGCTTCTCAGGTTTCTACTTTCAACAAGGGTTGAGAACCACTGATCTAACATAATATTTTTCCTCTTTCCTTTGAGGAGTTCAGGTTACTCACACATGGCATCTGTTGGCCTCTTTTGCTCAATGTAATGTTCCCTGTAGTGAGCATAACATTAGAAACTAAGTTGCTGGCTTTCATGTTGTTTTCTAGGTTGACATTAATTTCTGCAAAACTGGCCAGGAACATGTGATTGAGCACGCCAGACCTTTATTTCTTAACGTAATAATGTGGCTATAAATGCAAGTCTCTATAAACTAAGTTACTCTAAATTGTCTTGCTTAGATTTGTATTTTCTGAGATTTATCTTGATAAGAGCTTTATTTAAAAAAAGTGACACTAGAAGTAAAGAGAATATAACTTTCAGTAATAAAACTGATGCAAAAGAAAACCATTAGAACGATACTAAAATAAACTCAACTGATGTAATTATGTGTTTAATCTGTGGACAAAAATGTTCCTTAGATTCAGATGTACATTTTAGTCTATTTTCCCTAAGAGTTCACCAACATTTCCATATTAAAAGCAGTTTCTGTCCAAGGTTAAAAGTATATTCAGTTTTTGATGATGTATCTGATTAAAGACAGATAAATATATATATATATTTGTTTGTTTGTTTGTTTGTTTTTTGAAACGGAGTCTCACTGTCACCCAGGCTCTAGTGCAGTGGCACCATGTAGGCTCACTGCAATATTCTGCCACAGAGGCTCAAGTGATTCTCGTGCCTCAGCCTCCCCAGTAGCTGGGATTACAGGTACCACCACGCCCAGCTAATTTTTTTATTTTTAGTAGAGATGGGGTTTCACCATGTTGGCCAGGCTGGTCTTGCACTCTTGCCTCAAGTGATGTACTGCCTTGGCCTCCCAAAGTGCTGGGATTACAGACATGAGCCACTGTACCCTGCCAAAGGCAGATACATTTTTTCTTAATTCCCAGTTTATGACAGCTACCAGTTGCCTTTAGGTATTATATATACACATACACATATTTGTTTTGTTTTACTCTAATTGCAATGGCATTTAAATAAATCCACAGAAAATGATGGCTAGAAAGAAAACAATAGAGAAATGTAGAAATTAATTAAATGTACTTAATTCATCATACAAGCATTTAACAGCAGGCTGGCAGGGTGCAATGGCTCATGCCTATAATCCCAGCACTCTGGGAGGCCCAGGTGGGAAGATTGCTTGAGGCCAGAAGGTAAAAATTAGCCTTGGCAACATATGAAGAACCCCTTTCTACAAAAAAATTAAAAAATTAGCCAGGTGTGTGGTGGTGTGTGCCTATAGTCCCAGCTACTCAGGAGGCTGGGCAGGAGGATCACTGAAGCCTAGGAGCTTGAGGCTGCAGTGAGCTATGATCACGCCACTGCACTCCAGCCTGGGCAACACAGTGGGACCTGGTCACAAACAATCAAACACCCAGCACGCCTTCTTTGTGCCCAACATGGCCTTCAGGCTGAGAGGAATACAATCCTGATCATCTGGAATTTATAGTCTAATTGGAGAGAGAAGACATAACAGAAAAATTAAATAAACTTACAGGAAGTATGTGATTGAATGTCAGTCTGAATGGTAATGACAATAAGTACTGTATCTCAGATAAGAGATATGTACAAAATAAGCTTCCTAGAAGATGTGAAATGATAAAGACTTTTTGGACTTTCTCTATAGGCTTCAATTCCCTGTGGTGGGTTTTTAGTTTCATATTTTGACAAGACTCAAATCAGAAGCAAGTTCCCTTGTTTTGTTTTCACAATCTACCTTTTTTAGAACATTGTTTAGAAAGTTATATATTGAGGGGTGAGCTGACATTATTTGACTAGATTTCCAAAACTTAAAATATGTAGGTTATAGTTTTAAAAATTTGGATTGAATTTTGTTTATCCCAGTTTCTTCTGATATAGTAGAAGGTTGTGCGAGCTCATAGAGAAATCTTGGCCGTTGGTCTAGAGGATTGTTAGTGAGTGACAGGGCTCAGATCCACAGAGCCTTTGGGGAATGGCTAATTATTTTAACCTGGGGGCTCTCATGAGCTTATTGACAAGTAGTCAGACACTCTGGCCTTCCCTAGGCATTTCCAGTTGCCCTTTCTAGTTTATCTTACCTCTGCTCGGGAATGGTAGCAACTGGAGGTGTCTCAATCATTACGAGTAATTAATGATTGACTTTTCCGATCCATTAGAGTGCCTATCCCACACAGATGGCACAGTCACATGTGACAATTCTAGAGTGGAAGAGAAAGAAATGAAATGTGGTGAACAATTGCACCTGTCTAATATCCTAGTTTTTTTGTGCTTCTAAGGGTGTGTCTAATGGAAACATTATTTACCACATGTGTCCTGGTGCCAAAAAGGTACAAAACAATTGTTCTAGTATAAGGATAGAGATAGTTCTTCTAGCATAAGGATAGAGATATTTCTTCTAGCATAAGGATAGAGATATTTCTTCTAGCATAAGGATAGAGATATCTCTTCTAGCATAAGGATAGAGATATTTCTCTATCCTTATACTTACTGGGAAAGAAAGCTCCCCTCCTCTTTTTTTTGTCTGGGTCTAAATCAACTTTTTGGTGGCTGGTCAAAATCGCTTTCCTTTCAGCCACTTGAATGCTGGTTCAATTAGGCCCTTTCTCCTCAGGGCACCTATCCCTTATTAAAAAATCACCTAAGTTGCCCTCGATGTTTAACAATGCCATCCACTTCTAATGACTTCTTACTGTTTTTTTTTTTCTCCTGAAATTCTCTAGCTTTCTTTATATGTTTGCCTCTTTGCTTTCATTCACTGTGGCTTTTTATTTTGATTCCTCCTCTGAGCATCAACTTCTGGTCCACTGTCTCAAATCAATTCTAGTATATCTACCAACTAATTACATTTCAATCCCTACAATGTCAGGTACCTTGGGCTTTCTCAAATTACTTTTGATTTGGGGAAAGAATTTAAAAAAATGTTTCCACTGCAATTATTTAATGATTCAACCTTCATAGAAACTTAAACTTCAGAGGAGCAAATAGCCTCAACAGAGGACTAATTAAGCTTCATGTTACCCTGGCGAAGTAGGGAGAATAAGTACGCAGTGAGGCTGCAATCATTTCCTCTGAAGTTCGATTAAAAGCCAAGTTTTAAAATGTTAGACCAGTGCTAATCTGCATGACTGCTTCGGGTTTCATTTGAGAAAGAATTGTGGTTGCAAACATTAACACTAAAATATGTGAATCTATTTCCATAATCAGGGCCCTACGGGATGGAGCCTAGATTTAATATGGTTTTGGTGCTTACGTGTTTTCCACTACATTGATTAATACTGTCCTCTCATGTGGAACCCAATCAGGAGCAACCTGCCAGAGGACTATTTTCTATAAATTTAAGCTGAACTAATATCTGTGGAAATCTTAAGACTAAAGAAGAGTTGATGAATATACTACAATTAAAGTTGCCTTGTAAATTGAAGAATGAAGCAGAGGATAATGAACATATTGAAATGATTCCACATGTTTTATGCATGACACATTTGTAATTAAAACGGATCCTGAAGGTAAGTTTGTATATACTAACATAATGATTGCAAAAAAGCAGAGTGTGTTATTAAATATCTCCAGGGCATATTTCCCAAATGGTGAGTGTAAAAATTTGGTACATTTCACTTCCTCAACAGTTGCTTATTAGAAACTAGAGATTGGGTGCACTGGCAAAACATACTTGTTAGGAAATTTGTCTATATTAATCAAATATATGCATATTATATAATAATCTATTGGCTCATTCCCAATTATAAATTTCTAAACAATGTTTAGGAATAACTTTAATTTCAAT